>NC_000001.11:90803835-92053835 GCF_000001405.40 Homo sapiens
TTCCATTGATTTATTTGCCTATTTGTTCACCAATACCACACTGTAGCTTTATGGTAAGTCTTGAAGTCAGGTAGTGTTAGTCTTCTAACTTTGTTCTTCTCTTTCAATACTGGGTTGGATATTCTGAGTCTTATGCCTCTCCTGTAGAGTCAGTTTGCCAATAACTGTATTGCAAACTGTTAGAATGTTGATTGGGTTTGCAATGAATTTATAGATCATGTTGGGAAGAACTGACATGTTGACAATGTTGGTCTTTCTATTCATGAACATGGAATATCTCTCCATTTGTTTAGTTCTTTGATTTCTTTCATCAGTTTTATAGTTTTTCTTATATAGATCTTGTATATATTTTGTTAGATTTCATTTTGAGGGTGCTAATGTAAATGGTATTGTGTTTTTAATTTCAAAGTCCACCATTTCATTGCCAGTATATAGAAAGGCAATTGACTTTTGTATATTAACCTTGTATCCTGCAACCTTACTGCCATACTTATCAGGTTAGTGCAAAAGTAATTGCAGTTTCTGCCATGTGGTTTTTGTACCAACCTAATAGTTCTAGGAGTTTTTGGGGTTTTTTTGGTCAATTCTTTTGGATTTTCTACATAAACAATCATGTAATCTGCGAGCAAAGGTAGTTTTATTTCTTCCTTCCCAATCTATATATATTTAATTTTCTTTCCTTGTTTTATTGCACTAGCTAGGACTTCCAGTGCAATGTTGGGAAGCAGGGATGACTGGGGATACCTTTACTTTTTTCCTAATCTGAGTGAGAAAGTTTCTAGTTTCTCCCCATTAAGTATGATGTTAGCTGTAGGTTTTTTATAAATATTCTTCATTAAGTTGAGGAATTTACCCTCTATTCCTAGTCTGATGAATTTATCATGAATTGGTATTGGATTTTCTCAAATGCTTTTTCCACACCTACTGACATTATCAAGTAATTTTTCTTTTTTAGTTTGTCGATGTGATTGATTATATTAATTGATTTTCAAATGTTGAACCAATCTTGCATACCTGGGATAAATCTCACTTGGTCATGATATGTAATTCTTTCATACATTATTGGATTCCATTTTGTTAATATTTTGTTGAGGATTTTGCATCTATGCTCCTGAGAGATACTGTTCTGTAATTTTCTTTTCTCATAATGTCCTTTTCTGATTTTGGTAGTAGAATAATGCAGGCTTCATAGAATGTGTTAGAAAGTATTCCATCTGCTTCTGTCTTCTGAAAGAGGTTGTAGATAATTGGTACAATTTTTCCTCAAATGTTTGGTGGAATTCACTAATGAACTCATCTAGACCCAGTGCTTTCTGTTTGGGTATATTATGAATTATTGATTTAATTTAATCAATATAGGCCTATTCAGATTGTCTATTTATTCTTGTGTGAGTCTTAGCAGATTGTGTCATTCAAGGAATTATTCTATTTCATGTAAGTTATCAAATTTGTGGGCATAGAGTTGTTCATGATATTCCTTTATTATCCTTTTAACGTCCATGGGATCTGTAGTGATGTCCCCCTACTTTCATTCCTAATATTAGTAATTTGTGCCCTTTCTCTTTTTTTCTTAGTTACCCTGTTCTAGCGTGGCTTATTGATTCTACTGATCTTTTCAAAGAACCAGTTTTTGGTTTGGCTGATTTTCTCTGTTGATATCCTGTTTTTAATTTCATTGATTTCTGCTCCAGTTTTTGCAATTTCTTTCCTTCTGATTATTTTAGGTTAAATATGCTCTTCTTTTTTCTAGTATCTAAAGTGGATACTTAGATGATTGATTTTAGAGCTTTCTGCTTTTCTTTTTTTAGCTTTTATTTTAGTTTCAGGGATACATGTGCAGGTTGGTTCTGTAGATAAATTGTGTGTTGTGAGGGTTTGATGTACATATTATTTCATCACCCAGGTAAAAAGCATAGAATCCAAGATCAACAAGTAGTTGATCCTTTTTTCTTTTCTAATATCTACATTCAATGCTATAAATTTTCCTCTAAGCACTGTTTTCACTGCATCTCACAAATTTTAATAAGTTGTATTTTCATTTTTATTTCATTTTATGTATTTTAAATTTAATTTCATTTCATTAAAATATTTTAAAATTTCTCTTGGCCCATTAATTATTTAGAAATATATTGTTTAATCTCCAAGTATCAAGCTCAGAGATTCTTTTCTCAGTGTATTCAGTCTACTAGTAAGCCCATTAACAACATTCTTAACTTCTCTTACAGTGTTTTTGTTCTCCAGTATTTTGTAAATCCTTCTTAGAACTTCCATCTCTCTATCCATCTGTTCTTGTATGTTGCCTACTTTTTCTGTCAGATCCCTCAGCACATTAATAGTAGTTGTTTTAAATTTATGGTCTAATTATGTCAACAATCCTGCCACATGAGGGTCTGGTTCTGACACTTGCTGTGTCTCTTCAGATAGTGTTTTGTTGGGTTGTTTTGGGGGTGGGGGGGGCGGTTAATGGAGGGGTGGGGCTGGGTTTTTTTTTGTTGTTGTTGTTTGCCTTTTAGTATGTATTGTAATTTTTTTTTTAGTCTGGACGTAATATACTAGATGAGAGGAATTGCAGTAAATAGACCTTTAGTGATGTAGCAGTAAGGTGTTGTGTGGGGGTGGGGAGTAGGGGGAGGATTCTATAGTCCTATGATTAGGTCTTAGTCTTTTAGTGAGCCTGTGCCTCTAGGTTGTGAACTTCACAAGTGACTCTCAGTTTCCCCCCATATTAGATGGGACAGGGTGGATAGAAGTTGCTGGAGTTAGGTATTTCCCTTTCGCCAGTTTGGTTAGTCTGTCTAAACCCCTGATAGGTTAGGATCTGGTAAAATAATTTCTCTTGAGGGCAAGCCTTGTTAAAGAGAACAGAATGCTCTGGCATACTTCAAGATGGCCACTTTTTCTCCATCCCCCTGCCAGAACCATGAGGAGATGTTCACTGTGAGAACATAGTAGAGCTCCAGGCAGTAAGACTCGAAAAAGTCTGAGGAGCCTCCTAGAGTTTTTAATTCACAGATTTGTCCACACTGAGCTTTTAGTAATTAATCAATTACAGTTCAGGTTTTCCTATCCCAGCATTGGTTTCTATAAAGGTTTCTGCTTGTGGGTTTCTACTTCGGTAAGTTGTCATTCTCTTATCTGTCTGTCTGTTTCCCCGGTTTTAAGGGCAATGGTTTACCCTGTAACCTCACTTCCTGACAGATCTAAAAAGAATTGATTTTTCAGCTTGGTCAGATTTTTACTTGTTTTTAGAGTGGAGCGGCTACTTCTAAGGTTTTTACATGCCAGAAAGGAACCCAAAAATCTGTACTTCATCTTTAGGCAGCATGGAATTATTAAAAGATGGGTAGATTGGTTAACTGATTCATAGGTTGGATTTTAGCAGAAAGATGACATAATTGAAAGTTATTATGTAATGGATTTTGGAGGCTAGGCAGCTGGGCAGCTCTGCTGTCCTGGTTGGTCTCACAAGTCTGAAGGTTGGCTGGTTGTAAGCTGACCATAGATAGCCAAGGCTGGGACAACTGGAATGACTTGGATTTGATGAATGAATCTTTCATCCTCCAACAGGCTGGCCTGGACATGTTTTTCTTCATGGTCATGGGAGAGGACAAGAGTGCAAACAGAAATATACAAGCATTACTTAAAAGCTTCTGTTTATATCATCCATTATCATCCCATTGGCCAAAGCAAGTCACATGGCTGAGCTTAGAATCAAGGGGTAGGAAAATGGATTCCACCTCTTCATAGGGGAACTACAAAGTCACATGGCAAAAGGCAAGGACACAGGAAGGGGTGAAGAATTGGAATGATAAATGCAAATATCTTGATTCAAATCCCAGTTCCTCTAGCTATGTGACCATGAGCAAAGTACCTGGAAACTGGTATAAAAAGAGTGCCTACCTCTTAGCATCATTGTTTGCATCAAATGAAAAGACCCATATAAAACACTTAGCATAGTACTTAGCCCACATAGGTAACTATAGGCCATGGGCACTGCATTGCAGTGGCAGAAAGAGGAGTTGAGATGCATATGGAGATTGTAGGCCTGTACTAGAGTAATGTTAATATGTTGTTCAGGACAGGTTGGAAATCTACATCTGAATGCACCCTGAAATATGATACTGTAACCAGAAGTGAAAATGTCTAGCCATATTTGGGAGGAATAGCAAAGGATGAATCTTCAGGAATAGGTATCCATATTCCTGTATGAGGACAATGGTAGTGCCATTCATTGATGAAAGCAAGGAGAATCAGGAAAGTTGCAGCTTCGGGACAGATGGCAAGATGTCCACTCCATCTGGGTCTCTAACTTAGTCTCTGGGAGTTTCATGAAAAGGAAGAGCAGAAAGAGTAGTCAATGACTTTTCTTAGCATGACATAAAACAAGGTATTTAATAATCATCCAAACCAGAGTTTTTATTTGGAAAACCTGCTGTTCTATACCATTTCTTCTGTATTAGGAAGGATAATTCTAAATATGAAACAAAACAAAATGAAAAAACTTGGAGAGAAGACTGCCCATTAGTCTGGTTTCCAGCAAGACATTCATCGAGGGCTCTCTGACACACTTGGCCACAGCCCCATTGGAGAGGTGATTATTCTTTTTCTTTTTCTTCTCTCTCTCTTTTTTTTTTTTTTTTTTGAGACGGAGTCTCGCTCTGTCACCAGGCTGGAGTGCTGTGGCGCAATCTCAGTTCACTGTAACCTCCGACTCCCTGGTTCAAGTGATTCTCCTGCCTCAGTCTCCTGAGTAGCTGGGATTACAGGCAAGCGCCACCACACCTGGCTATTTTTTGTATTTTAGTAGAGACAGAGCTTCACTATGTTGGCCAGGCTGATCTCGATCTGTTGACCTTGTGATCCACCCACCTCGGCCTCCCAAAGTGCTGGGATTACAGGCGTGAGCCACCGTGCCTGGCCGATTACTCTTACAATCACAGTAGAACCTGGGCTACAAGGTGCCAGAGGTAAGAGTGATGAAGAAGTTTTTACTCAATCTCATGGTTTCAATTTTTATAACAACTTTCAGTCTAATGGGTATTCACTTGCACTAGAACAATCCCAAGATGCAACCCTGAGAAAGACTCTCATGGCCCCTTAGCTTAAGCAATTGCCAGCCAAACAAAACAGCAAATTTCCCATGTACAAAGATTTAGTGCAGTGAGACTAGGATAAATAATGAAGGCATTTGTTTATGCCTGCTTACAACATTCCTCGTAGGCAAAAAGGGGAAGAAAACATCATTCCAAGCATGCAAAGGCAGCCACTGCAGGCTCATCAAAAATATGCATTTGCTTTTGTAGTCGAAGAGTGTGAGTTTGCTCTGCTTCACCTCCTGGCCTGGGCTCCTCTGATAGCTATGTAATTTAAATGAGAAAGTTGTCCTAGGGAGTCATCACATTTCAAAGAAGTGACCCTTTTTGGATGTTGAAAGGATCCTCAGTGTTTGGGTTCACTCCCAGGTGAGGTGATGTCATAGAGTTCTTGAGATGTCATCTAGAGAAACAGACCTTGGAAAGTCTAAACAGAAGTTGTTTACCTTGTCTTTTTGCTTGTTGTGCAAATGGGCCTCAGCTTTGGAGAGAAAACAAGCACGTTTCAAGCTCAGTCAAAGTCAAAATTCACCATTGCCGTCAGTCAAACCCTGACAAAAGAGGAGCTTTTGTTCATTCTTGCAGTGACCTGACTTCTACCATGAACTTTGTAACTAGGATGCCCATAGCATCCTCCAAATTGACCTCAAGCTGGTTGGGCTCAGCTTCACAGGGCAATTTGGGCGAGGCACTTTACTTCCTGTTCTTTCTCCTGAGGGACTGGTTCCTCTGAGTTCTCCCATTTATCCTTCTCCCCCACAACCATGCCAAGGAACTCCTGGTCCTCCTGGGAACAGAACCATTCAGGCAACCACGCTAGTCACAGTATTGTATTTCAGGCTGCATTCAGATGTGGATTTCCAACCTGTCCTGAACCTCATACATCCTTACACTGCCCTAGAGCCACTACTTTCCCAACATGCCCCACTGGCCCATATTGAGTGAGACCTGTTAAGAAAAGTCCCACCAGAGTAACTCTCTAGACAATGCAATCAAAAAAGACTCCTTCTCCATATAATGTTCAGCCTCCAATAACTGGCTTTTGTCTTCATGGCACAGAGCTTTATGTACTTTCTCAACTGCTCAACTGGAAATACTCTTTCTCTCTTTCACTTGCCAAATTAGGTTTAAAGAGAGGGTGCCTGGTTGCTGGATCATGCGAGGGTGTTAAATATCTCCACTGCTAGAAATCCAGCTACAGACATTAACGCCTACCTCCTGGCTCAAGAGTGAGTGTTAATGTTCCTGCTGCCAGGACATCTTTCATCCAGGGCCTCTCCCCTAGCCAGCACTCAGCCAGCGCCAGGGCCAGAGGAAGCAAGTCAAACCAGACTGGCATCCTGGCAGTGTTGATCCTCAGTTGGTGAGCACTAAACCAACAATCTCATCTTTTTAATCACTTCCAAAGCACTTTCAAGCAGAAGACAATTCTAAAGACCAAGAAGATACAGTTCATGGGAAGCATTGCTTTTAATAATAATAAATTTGCATAGCACTTCTAATAACAAAGCATTTTTACATAAAAATAACAAAAACCTTTTCTTAAAGGTTTACTTAACATACATACATTATATTAATTCTTTTTTTGTTCTTTTTTTTTGAGATGGAGTCTTATTCTGTCACCCAGGCTGGAGTGCAGTCGCACGATCTCGGTTCACTGCAACTTCTACCTCCCAAGTTCAAGCGATTCTCCTGCCTCAGCCTCCTGAGTAGCTGGGACTACAGGCATGCACCACCACACCCAGCTAATTTTTGTATTTTTAGTAGAGATGGGGTTTCGCCATGTTGACCAGGCTGGTCTCGAACTCCTGACCTTGAGCGATCCACCCACCTCAGCATCCCAAAGAGCTGGGATTACAAGCATGAGCCACCACATCCGGCCAACATACATTAATTCTTACCTCAACCTGGAGAGGAAACAAGCTACTGTTATTCTCATTTTACAGATAACTTAACAGGCTTGGAGAGGGTAAACGGTGGGCACCCATCACACTGCTCTCTGTTCAGCTGCCAAGTCCTTACCCTCAAACCACAGCTCCCTACTGGATTGCTGGATCCTAACAATAACTTTGTGAGCACACTAGGGCAGGCGCTGTTTTATACACCAGAAATTAGGGCATTTTGACCAAGAACAAAAAGTAGAAGACTTTGATTCAAGCTTAAGTCCAACTGAGTCCCAGATTAATGTACTTTCTACCAGTCCACACTGGCAATGATCACCCTAAGAGAATGGCATTTTCCCCAAGGCTTCATCATTCAGTTATTCATTCTTCCAAATGACATATATTTACTAAAGTCTTACTATGTGTCAAGCACTGTGTTGAGTGTAAAATATTTAAAAAATAAAGAATCGAACATAGAGCTTGCCCTCAAGTTGCTTACATCCAATAGAGGGGATAAGGCAGGTATGAAAGCAACTCTAACATAGGTCAAAGAGCAATCATTGCCATTTCATTTATTATTTATTTATTTATTTTGAGACAGAGTCTCTCTCTTGTTGCCCAGGCTGGAGTTCAGTGGTGCGATCTTGGCTCACTGCAAACTTTACTTCCTGGGTTCAAGCAATTCTTCTGCCTCAGCCGCCTGAGTAGCTGGGATTACAGGCACATGCTACCACACCCAGCTAATTTTTATATTTTTAGTAGAGACAGGATTTCGCCATGTTGGCCAGGCTGGTCTTGAACTCCTGACCTCAAGTGATCCGCCTGCCTTGGCCTCCCAAAGTGCTAGGATTACAGGCATGAACTACTGCACCCAGCCCTATCATTGCCATTTCAAAAGAGCAGATGATGATAAGTGAAGTTTGAAGGGGGCTGGGCTGATCTCTACACTTCAACATTTCTAAGCTGATCTCTACATTCTAAGCTTATCTCTACACTCCAGCATCTCACTGAAAACCCATGAAGATGTCTTTATCTTCAAAATTCAACGTATTTTACCACAAAAAGAGGAGAAGCTTACAGGAGGAGGAGACTGCTTTAGTCAAACCAGTCATACCCTAGGTAACCAAATAGTTGATGAAGGGAAGTTTCTTACCATCAAAGTAGTGTAGCTAAAAAATGTCAATGAGATGATAGAATTATCACCATTTTGCAATTCTCAAAAAAATAATGGATTTAGGCTATGATAGTCAACTGTTGCTAATATCACAAAAAAAGAGACACAAAAAGAGAGACAGATGTTATGTGTCTCCTGACAAAAGCAAATACCACCTATGAAGCAATCTTGCCAAAAATCCAAATCTGAACTTAATCAAGATTATCAGCCCACAGGAAATACAGGCAACAGAGAAATCTGTTAAATGATACCACAAGGATACAATAAATAGCATCTAGTATGTGGGAAACTCTGCAGGACAAATGAATAAGTTTCTATAGCAAATAAATTACAAGGGAAAAAAAGAATGGGAAGATGAGCCTATAGATTAAGAGACTCAAAAGATACACCGCCTAGCTGGATGCAGGGCTCACGCCTGTAACCCCAGCACTTTGGAAGGCCAAGGCAGGCAGATCACTTGAGGTCAGCAGTTCAAGACCAGCCCGGCCAATATGGTGAAACCCTGTCTCTACCAAAAATACAAAAATTAGCTGGGCATGATAGCAGGCGCCTGTAATCCCAGCTACTCAGGAGGCTGAGGCAGGAGAATTGCTTGAACACTGCAGGCGGAGGTTGCAGTGAGCCGAGATCATGCCACAGCACTCCAGCCTGGGCGACAAGGCAAGACTCCATTTCGGGGAGGTGGGAGGGGGGTATATATATATACCTCCCGATACAATAGGTAAACCTTCTTCGAATCCTGATTCAAACAAACCAAATTTAAGGTGCATACGCACGCTGAGGCCTTGGATATGATGAATATCTACACATCTTGCTGACTCCTGACCACTTAAAATTATCTCTTACATGGCCCTTGAAAACCCCAATCAACCAAAATTGGCTGTGCCTCAATCAGCCAAGACTTTAAACTTGCTTTTCTGCCATGCCTTAGATTTTAAAATGTCGGGGAAGAGAAGAGGGGTTTGAGGGAAGCTATATCTTTCTTAAGATATTTTTGTTTTGTTTCTTGTTTTTTTTTGTTTGTTTTTCGTTTGTTTTTGAGACAGGGTTTCTCTCTGTCACCCAAGCTGGAGTGCAGTGGCGCCATCTCGGCTCACTGCAACCTCCACTTCCCAGGCACAAGCGATCCTCCCACCTCAGCACCCACCCCCTACACCAGTAGCTGGGACCCCAGGTACATGTTACCACACCCAGCTAATTTTTTTGTGTATTTTGTAGAGATGAGGTTTTTGTGTCCAGGCTGGTTTCTTAGGCTATTTTTAAACAGTTGTATGCAATCTTTTAAATTATAATTGTAGGCCTGGCATGGTGGTTCACACCTGTAATCCTAGCATTTTGGGAGGCAGAGGTAGGTAGATTGCTTGTGCCCAGGAATTCAACACTAGCCTGGCCAACAAAGTGAGACTCTGTCTCTACAAAAAAATTTAAAAATTAGTCAGGTGTAGTGGCATGCACTTATGGTCCCAACTACATGGGAGGCTGAGGCAAGAGGATTGCTTGAGCCTAGGAGGTCGAGGCTGCAGTGAGCTGTGACTGCACCACTGCACTCTGGCCTGGACAATAGAGCAAGACCCTGTCTTATAAATAAATAAGTAAATGCATATTTGTCATTTCCAGTAAGCTAGTAAAAGCTATAGTCATTTTCTAAAAAAACAAAACAAAAACAGTCTTATGTGCTTCAGGAAAACTTCTACTTGGGAGGAAGTCATGCTTTTAATTATTTTTACAGTGAAAAATCCCCAATAAGGTGAGGAGCTTGAGTTCGGGTTTGCCTACAGTTTGAGTTTAGAATCATACGTATTGATTTCCTTCAAGTGGGGATCACTTGTAGATCCTCAGGGACCAAGTCCATCCTTGTCCTTCTACCTGCTACTCCACACTAGGAAACCAGAGGGTTCTTAACATCACCCTCAATTCTTGCAGATGCATCCCCGGAGTGTTGGACTTGAAAACCTCCTGGTCCCTTCCATTTGCCTAGTGGCTTTGATACAGGCACCACCAGGGCTGGATCTTTTAGAGAGGCCCCTCAGTTTGGAATGAAAGCCTCCAGCTAACAGCAAGTGCTCACAGGACAACAGAAGTGTAGTACTTCACTGCAAAGCATTTTGCATCCTTGAGCACTTAAGAGGTAACCTTAATGAGCACAAAATATTCCTCTCTAATAAGAACATGCTGTCATAATCACCCTCCATGTGATAAATATCCTGGAAGTTTTCTCTTTGTTAGGTTAATGCTTTTCCACAAGATAATTTAACCAATTCTCTAAAAAATAATCACACGTTATCAGGCCCCAATATAGTAATATGGTGTTGTGTGTGTGTTTTTTTTAATGTTTTGAATCTTGCCTTAAACAAATTCCATCCAAATAAATGTTCCCTTTTTTAGGTGGCACCAAAGCTTGTGTTGTTCATTGTAACCAAGCTCGCAGTTGGCTAACTCCTCATCTAACAGTATGTCTTCTGATTTCATTTGAGCAAAATTTATCATCCACAAGCAAAGACAAAAAATGTGTGAATGTCTAAAGCTTATGTAAATTAAGGGGCTATGCATGTTATTCCTAAAAATAGTAGACAATTATAGGCATTTCTTCCCCATACAATAATTATAGGCTTCCTGTCATCTTTTCTATTCTGTATAAGGTCACAGTAGTATTATACAAAATTTACAGTATGTTAACAGTTAAAAACACAATAATTAGCAACTGTGCATCTTCAGCACCAGTGATGAATGTTCACAGTAAAAGTTTTTAAAAAAAATGCATTATTTGTTTTATGTGGACAGTACACACTTAAATTTAATCATCAACTCCTGCTACCCAATAGGCAATATTCTCTCACTATTATAATGCTATTTGCCAAGTTCATAGTATACCCTAGGGCTGAATTCATCCTTAACGAAGAGACAGGAAGCCAAATCTCTCACCGTCATCTCAACCAGGTGCACCATATTATTTTAAATTTAATAATTCTGTTGAACATATTGAATGATAATGAGCAAGCTTAGAGAAAGTACCAAGGATTATTTTGACCATTATGATCAACATCTGATTCAGGGGAAAAAAAAATCTTCTCACTAAATAATGTAGGGAGTTCACAGGATTGCTTACTATGAGTGTTATTTTTTTTCCTCCTGCTTGTTTATATCATTCATTCAAAGGGAAAAATGTTAGGGATATTATAAGTCAGTGGATAAAAAAAGTAATTTTACAAAAAGGAGAGTTTATCCTCAGCTCTTAATTATCCATACTAATGGTAACAAAGAGCCACAGATAATACAAAATGACAGGACAGAGCTATCATTTCTGTTTTGCTTAAGGAAAAAGTCAAAGGGCCATATACCTCATTTTACGTTCCCCGGTTCTGTCATGCTGTCAGAAATGGTTTAGAAAGGATGAAGAATTAGCAAGAATGGGGCAAGAGAAGGTTCCAGAGGCCCAGAATCCTCAATCACAAACCCCATTCGTGGTTACATGTATCATCTGGTTTGCTCAGTGGTTTCATACCTTGGACTATGAAGGGTTCTTCCCCTGTTTGTCATGCTGGGGCCTAGAAGATCACTGTAAACAGGAATGCTCGCCTCTAGGGCTGTGCCCCTCAAAGGTAATTCAGAACCCAGAGACCAGCATCCCAGCAGGAACTATGAATAGATGAGAGCAACCATTTGGCTTTGTGTTTAAAAACACCTGATTGACTGATGCCCATCTTAGCCATTTCCCTCCTGAGCGGAACAGTATGTATAGAAATTAAGACTATGGACTCCAGAGTCAGACTTTCTTGGTTCAAATCCCAATGCTACTCTTCAAGCTCCATGACCTCAGGTGTAACCTTTTTATGACTCAGTTTTCTTATCTATAAAATGGGGAAACTAATAATTGTGAGCATTAAAAGAATATATAAGTGAGATATATAACCATTGTGTGATTAAATGTCCCTCAGCCACTAAGACTTGCTGTGGCAATTGACCAGACTGCAATCCATTTGGAGCTACTACCTTGGAATCTTCCGCACAACAATGCCAAATCCCCACCACCATGAAGGCAGTCTCATCTTTTTGCTGGTCAGTCCTTAAGAATAATGTAAAATATGCCTCAAATTAAGAGCACAAGTTTTGGGATCAGGTAAGTCAACAACACACAAATCTCTCTTCAGCCAGGACCTCCATTCTGAGCTTTCAGCTAACCCATGCAACTGCCTGGTTGACATCTCCCCATGGATGTTTCTCCAGCCCTGCAAACACAACTGAACTCATTATCTTCCTTCACAAACCTGGTTCTCTTGCTCCCCTCCTCAATGAGAGATACCACTAGAAGAGGGTCATCCTTGACCTTCTTTTCCCTAAACTCTGACTGACATTCAACCCATTAAGAGAAAAGACCCTTACTCATTTCCAGCTTGCACTCCTCCCTTCTGCCTTCTCAACCATCTCCATTTCCATCTGGGGAAAAAAAAAAAGCTGACCCCATAGCTCTAGAAAAGCTGACCCCACAGCTCTAGAAGGAGAGCTCATGACTTGAGCTAAGTCAATCAGAGAATTCCATCTTTCTAGCTTCAATAATTTGCTCAGAAATGTGCATGAGATTTAAATTGGTCCAATTAGAGTGAGACTTGAGACTTTTGCTGAGAATGCTGGAACAAAGATGCTTTCTTTCAAATAGGGTGAAAAGAAAGAAGCATGTAGCCTTGGAGCCACTGGCAGCTACCTTGGGAGCATGGGGCATGGGGGAAGTCCCTTTAAGATAAAACACATATGGCAAAAGGTAAAATAGAGAGCCAAACAGAAAGCAGTCCCCTCGAGAGTTTACTGAGCTTTGCCTGAATCCAGCCTCATCTCTACATATTGCAGTTATATAAGCCAGTAAGTCAGTACTTTTAAATCAGTTTCTACTACTTACAATTGAAAGCATTCCAAATGACTCCATCCATAGGTCTACCTACTAAATATTTCTAGAATGTGTTCACTTCCATCTCCTCCACCACCACCCTGGTCCAAACTACCATTATTTTCTACCTGAACTATTGCAATAGACTCATAATTAGTCCTCTTGCTTCCTCAGGTGTACCCCTTCCCACTCCATTCTATTCAAGTAGTCAGCATAATCTTTAAAAATATTTAAATATGATTAAATTGCTTCCCAGCTTAAAGTCCTCTAATGACTTCTTGCTGGGATTAGGATAAAGTCCAAACTCTAACAAAGCCTTCCAGGCCCAATATGACTTGGTCCTTTTCCTTCTCCTTCATCCTCTCCCTCATCGTATCCAGGATGTGAGGATGTGTGAGTCCCTCTTGGTCTTGAAACTCCACATACAATTACCTTTTCGCAGTTCTTTTGGTGAAGACACACCATGTTCTTTTGTGCCTTAGGTCTTTTGTACATGCTGTCCATTCACCTAGGCCACCCTCTCCCCCAGCCTATGACCACATCTTTCCAAGACCCTTTTGCCTACCTCACCCCTTGGATCTCGGTGGTGTTCTGCACAGAAGCCTCCAACAATAGGTCCCCTTGTCACATGCTCCTACTCCCCTCTGTGTCTCCCTCTCACAACAGCATCACACTTCGAATTACTTATTTAACCATCTGCTTCCTCCACATCTGTCTCCTTCAATGGTATATCATCACCACCTAGCCCAGCACAGGTCTGAAACATAGCAGGCACCCAATTAATGGTTAACGTAATTGAGATAAGCATAAATTCTGTCTAAGTGACTTTTTAACTTGTTAACCCTGGGCAAGCTGCTTAACCTCCTTGAGCTTCTGTGTCTTCATCTTTAAAAAATGCAAAGGATAATACCCACCTCACAGGGCTATTTGATGATTAAATTAAATATAATTGGGGCACATAGTAAATGGTGAACAAATCTCTAGTGTCTTAGTTAGCAGTCTCCAGAGAAACAGAGCCAAAAGGAAACACACACACACACACACACCACACATACACCACACACACATACACACATATATATAGGCACTAGAGCATGTACATATATATATGTTTTATATATATATATATTATATATATATATAATATATATATATATACAGAGAGAGAGAGAGATTGTGGGAGTCAGCTCATGTGATTATGGAGGCTGAGAAGTCTCCATGATCCACTCTCTGAAAGCTGGAGAAAAAGAAAAGCTGGGGGTGTAATTATTCAGTCATTCCATCTGAAGCCTGAAGTCCAAGTCCAAAGGCCCAAGAACCAGGGGAGCCTATGGTGAAGGCCTGCTCTGAGTCTGAAAGCCAAAAAGCCAGGAGCACCAATATCTGAGAACGGGAGAAGACGGCTGGATGTTCCAGCTCAGCGAGATGGAATTTGTCCCTCCTCTGCCTTTTTGCTCTACTTGGGCCCTCAGCAGATTGGCTGATGCCCACCCACACTGGTGAAGCTGACCTTCTTAACTCAGTCTACTAATTCAAATGCTATGCTTTTCTAGAAACACCCTTACAGACTGATATGGTTTGGCTGTGTCCCCACCCAAATCTCATCTTGAATTGGAGCTCCCATAATTCCCGCATGTTGTGGGAGGGACCCAGTGGGAGATAATTGAATCATGGGGGTGGTTTCCCCCATACTGTTCTCATGGTAATGAATAAGTCTCATGAGATCTGATGGTTTTATAAGTGGAAACCCCTTTCACTTGGTTTTCATTCTTTCTTGTCTGCCACCCTGTAAGATGTGACTTTCACCTTCTGCCATGATTGTGAGGCTTCCCCAGCCATGTGGAACTGTGAGTTCATTAAACCTCTTTTTCTTTAGTAATTACCCAGTCTTGGGTATGCCTTTATCAGCAGCATGAAAACGGATTAATATACAGATACATGCAGAAATAACATTTTACTAGCTGTCTGGGTATCTCTTAGCCCAGCCTAGTTGACACATAAAAGTAACCATCACATCTAGGGAGTAGGGTATCCCAAGTCAGGGATCTCTCCAGGTCTCAGGTGGTGAAAAAGAACCGTAAGAATCAACTGCTTTATAAAAGAATCTAAACTGAGGCTGGAGTGAAAGAGTGAGTTTCCACGGTGAAAGATTCCTTGAAAAGGCCCCCCAAACAACTATGCCATTCGAAGGAACTGAAATAATTTGTAAGCAAAACACCAGGTGAATATAGTCAGCCCTTTATATCCAAGGGTTCCACGTCCTCAGGTTCAACCGACTGCAGATGGAAAATATTTGAGAAGAAAAAATAAAAAGTAATAATACAACAATAAAATATAATACAAATTAAAATATAGTGTAACAACTATTTATATGGCATTTACATTGTATTAGGTATTATAAGTAATCTAGAGATGATTTAAAGTATATATGGGAGGATGTGTGTAGGTGATGTACAAATACTATGCTATTTTGTATGAGGAACTTGAGCATCCATGGATTTTGGTGTCCAAGGGCAGTGCTCTAAATAATCCCCTGTAGATACCGAGGGATGACTGTATGCACATCATGATTCCATACATACATCTATACATCTGGAAGGAGAAAGCTTGGGTTTTAGTTTGTTGTTTTAATATTTATCAATATTATTTTTGATAAATTTATCAATATTATTCTTGAATATGAATAAAACAAGTTGTCATTTTAAGAACAAGAAAATAATTAATAGTGCCAAATTAATACTTTGTACTTTAGGAGAAACTAATTGGTAAACCGTCATGCTTACTCTTGTAAATAAATGGCAAGAATGATTAGCTCCTGGTCTCTGTAACAGCACCTCAAAATGTGAAGACTGAACTTCTGTCCTGGGGTACTTTACCAAATTTTAAAGTCATAACAAATATGCCATTTATCCTCCCCATGCATTCAATTATATCTCACCTCAAATTGAGCACTGCATTAAGAAACTTATCTGCAGTCTCTAGTTTTATTCAATTCTCAAACTCTAAAGTAGGTGTCATCATTTACATTATACGGATGAAAAAGCTGGCCGGGCGCGGCAGTTCACACCTGTAATCCCAGCATTTTGGGAGGCCAAGGCGGGTGGATCACCTGAGGTCAGGAGTTCGAGACCAGCCTGGCCAACATGGTGAAACCTCATCTCTACTAAAAATACAAAATTAGCTGGGCTTGGTGGTGCAAGCATGTAATCCTAGCTCTGGAGGCTGAGGCAGGAGAATCGCTTGAACCTGGGGGATGGAGGTTGCAGTGAGCTGAGATCGCACCATTGCACTCCAGCCTGGGCAACAAGGGCGAAACTCTGTCTCAAAAAAAGAAAAGAAAAAGCTGAGGCCTTAGTTCTGTCTGACTCCAATACACAACCTCTTTCTTCATAGCATTTCTGATTTGTGATTAGGTTTACTGCATGCTTGTTTGTTTAACATCCTGACCAAATTGTAACTTCCTTAAGGGTAGGCGCCTTGTTTGTTTTGTCTACCCTTTTGCAAGAGCCCAGAATGGTGCCTGCTATATATTTGTTATTTGTTGTTCAATATTTATTTATTGAATACATAAGTGAATGGATGCTTTGATTTAACAGAGTAATTAGATGAAAATTCGGTATTTGAAATAAAACAATACACAAGTTAAACTAAACATCCAGGAAGGCTTGGTTTCTCTGTAGCCCACTGGTATTTAAATACCTGAGAACCGATTGGGGATATGCCGACAGCCCATTAAAGAACCGGTGCTCAATGTTTAAAGACCTGCTTTCCCTCAAGTCCTGAATGGCTGTTTGGTTTCTGCAGAGCATCCTCTGTTGAGCTGCAAGGCCCTCATTTGTATTAGAAGTGAGAGCTGGTTCGAAAGTCAACTTAGATGGGACAAATATGTTCTTTTGACTTAATGATATAACATTTTATCAGCCACATAAAAAATGAAATATATGTGTTCATTTGCTATTTGAGGAGCTTTTTCGGCGTGTATGCAGGAGCTATGTCAGCTGCTAACTGGTGATCCTTTTTTGACACCTTTTCCCAAGAGTATTGCATAGATAAACATACTCTAGTTGAACAAGACCAGTGACAGCAAAATTGCTTGCTTGTCTCTAAAAAGACTCTAATAATGTGCACCAAGGGAGAGGCCCATGATCTGACAGAATTTTTTTTTCCCCAGTGTAAACCATAAAATCCATTTCAGTAGCCAGAATAAAGCAGTTTAAAGTGCATCCCTAGTTAATTACATCCAAAGAGTAATAATAAAATCAACTGTTAAATTTTAGAACTTCCTCTTTAAAGTATTAAATATCTGGGAACTGCAATGCAGTTAAATTTCTCTCAGAACAATGCTTTCCGTTGCTTAGGCTGGCCCCTAAGAATACTTATGCAAACTCTTTCGGTGTGCTAGAGAGTGTGTTTTTCCTGTGAAGAAGTATTTCAAATAAACCCTTGTTTCTGCCAGATGTCTGTGGCTTATTAAATAACCAATAGAGGAATAGGTTCATTCACTTAATAAGAGGATATCACTGAGTCACAAATCTTCTATAATAATTGACAGTACATGACCAAAAATAATTGTGAAACCAAAACTAAAATGTTGTTTGTGTCCTAATACCGTATTTGAAGCCTTGACTCAGTTGCCTCAGCAGGTTTCAATCCAGACATTGTCTGGCCTTTAAAATTTGGCCCTTGATAATGTCAACCCACATCAATGGGAAGGGCATTTGTGACTCACTGAAGCACAAGTCTGTGCTAGACCAGGATGAAAGAACTGGGTTCTGCAGAAATCATCCAGGAAGCAGTGACTTTGGCTCTCGGCACATGGTTTGATTAGGTAACTAGGAATCTGCTCCCTTTGGTAACTTCACTCCCAGATATAAGAAGGATTAAGCTTCCGGGAGAGAAGAATTCAGAATGTGATCTTCCAACGCTGAAGGCAGTGGCTGCTGACATTTATCTACCCTAGTGCAATTTATTTTGCCTCAACTTCCCACTTGAAAAGCTGATTCTCTGTCTCTGTGAATAAAGTGGAGAGTGAGGACTCCTTCCTAAAGAGGCACTAGAGCATGTAGGTCACATGGAAGCCAGCTTACTGGCTTCTCAGGGATCCTAGAGGAGAATGGAAAACTTATCGCCCTCTTCAAAGACAGAGATTCCATTCTGGGAGCACTTTGCTGGGCAACTTTAGAAAATAGTTGGGTCTACAAACTCACTAGATTGCGGAGCAGATAATAGGCTGAACTTAGATCACAAGGCAGTCTACCCGGAAACATCTCTGGCAAATAGCCAACAGAAACCTACAAGACAAGGGGAAGCAGAAATGATGTCATGGGCAGGATCCTTGCAGTCATCGTGCATCCTTCCAGTGGGCCTCATTTGCCTGCCTCTGAAAAACCAGATGCAAATAAATATCAGAGCATGTTCATGACAGCAAAAGAGGCTGCCTCCTGCCCCAAAGCCCCTGGGGAGGGAGAATGCAGGTACCCGCTGCATCTTCTCAGGCACTGGACACGAGGCTTAGGGTGTTCCCAGGGGCAGACCAGAAGTGGATGGCCCTTTATAGGGTTTCACTCTGGGGCCAGATGCTTAACTAAACAATCTAAAAAAAAGATTCATAGTTGTAATTATGTTCTTTCTTTACAAAGAAAGTAACTGAGCTAATGCTATATCCAGGACAATTCTTGGGAAAAGAGAAAACGAAGGAAATTTGTCCTTAAGAAGTTACTGCCTAAACTCTCAATTAAACATTTATTAAGAACATAATACATGGCCAGGCCTGTAATCCTAGCACTTTGGGAGGCCAAGGCAGGTGGATCACTTGAGGCCAGGAGTTCGAGACCAGCCTGGCCAACATGGTGAAACCCTGTCTCTACTAAAAAAAAATACAAAAACATAAAAAATAGCTGGGCATGATGATAGGCACCTGTAATCCCAGCTACTTGGGAGGCTGAGATGGGAGAATCACTTGAACCCGGGAGGCGGAGGTTGCAGTGAGCCGAGATCATGCCACTGCACTCCAGCCTGGGCGACAGAGGGAGGCTCTGACTGGAAAAAAAAAAAAAAAAAAGAAGAAGAAATGTTTAAATGGTCCTGCATTCTAGGGACATTATCATCTAGTCATGTTCACAAATAAATGCCATTCATTTGTGCCAGCTGCTATAACAGCACAGATAGATACAAGGAAGGCACATAGGGGAGATTGGTACCTTGATGAAGGAGCTCATGGAAAGCTTCATTGAGGAGGAGTCATTTAAATTGACTCTGAAAGGATCAATCTAGATATTTACCAGGAGGACACAGGATGAAGTAGGTAGTGTCCTAGGAAGAAATAACTCAGGCAAGGTACAGTTTAAAACATCTCAGGTGTTTATGGATCTAGAAGTTCAATATGGCTGTAGTGAGTCTAGAGGGGGTGTGCCAATATGTACCTGCACACACGGGGTTTTGAGTGGGCTGCCAGATTGGGAAGGGGAAACTCTGTAGGAGTTGGACCTCGTATAGTCCAACATGAAGGAGCATACATGAAAGACCTTGTATTCCAAGCTAAGTGATTTGAATTCAATCCTGTAAGTAACAAAGAGTCACGAAGGACTCTATATAGACCAAACCTGGGCTTTAGTAAAGATCACTAGGATGCCAGCATGCTGACGAATGGGTTGCAGGGGGCCCAACTTGGCAGCAGAGGCCAGTTGGGAGGCCATTCATTGATCCATGTATTTTTGAGCACTGATGATGTACTAGGCACCTTGCAGAGGCACCTTGAGACAGCAGGTGAGTGATTAGGATGGTGATAAGGATTAAGGTGAGAGATGTAGGAACATCCACAGAACCTCTTACAGTAGAATGTGAGGAGTGTAGCGGGCTTGGGAGATTTCTGTCCTCATCCTCATCATGTAACAATGCTTGCTCTCAGGAAAAGTCTAACAAACCCTAAGGGTTAGTAGGTTATTCCTCCCAGAAACATCTGTCTTGAAGCAGTAATTAGAAGCCTTGAGTCATTGAAAGGAAGTCCTGATGGCAAATTTCCAGGATCTGGGTAGGAAGGTACTCTTTAATTAGGATCTCCTCCATGTGAAAGGGCATCTGCTCCACCTCTTAGGCCAACGCTGGATTCAAGGCAGAGCAGTGAATAACTAGTGTATTTTAGTGCCCTTACACCATGAGCCCAGTCTCCCAGGTCCCAGAAGTCCTTTCTCGTAAACACACACACACACACACACACACACACACACACACACACACACACACACGTAGTAGTCATGCAGGATCCTTATCCCAAGAAATATCCTTCCATCACAGAATTAAATATTTCTGCCCAGGAAGGACAACATGCTTTACAAAGGCAATTCCAGAAATCTTTCAGTTGTCTCATTATAAAGGCAGATCCATGTCAGGTGCTTCCTAAGAAGGCAAACTGTTCTTCTTGGAGTGAAAATGATCTCAGGATTTGAAGATTCAGGTGTGAACTGACTCACCTTCCTTCTTCTCCACCTCAAAATCTCTCACTGTCATATCTTTCCTACCAGTCTCTTAGCCCCTCCTGAGTCTAAGTCCTTTTTTCACTTGTTCTCTAGATAGTGGCATCTTCTCCTTCAGGAACTGCTTTTTAAAAACATTTCTCTCATTTCATTTTTTTTCTTTTATTTACTGTTATTCTTTTTATTTTCCCTGTTTTTTTAAATTTTCTCTCTTGCTTTTATCTTCCTCTTCTCCCTCTCCACTGAGTCCTTCCATTCCATCTACAACCTTGTTTGTCACCCCTACCCTCCTTTCAAACCTGTCATCCCTCAAGTTCCTATCAAGTCATTCTCCTGCCATTCAACGGAGTTCTGTTCCTCACCTCCCATATCCTCGTATATTCTCCCCATGAGATATCGCTCCCACTCAGCTACCATGTACCCCACCCCCAGCTCTCCTGAAACCACTTCCTTAAAGGTTGTTGATGACTTTACTATTGACAGATTTAACTACAGTACTAGTGGTCTCTAGTAGGTGAAAATAGCATGGATTTTAAGACACCTGGGATTTGCCATGTCACCAAATAAGTGATATTTGTAAAGCATGTAATGGCTCTGTGCCTGTTTTGTCTTCTACAAAATGGGCATAATAATGATCTTGACCCTCTCTATCCCACTGAATTGAAATGAGATGTATGTAAGTAAATTTCATAAACTATAAATTGCACTTAAATTATTAGTCATTATTATTGTCATGCTCACCCTTTCTAGCAATCAGCTTTGCTGACCACTCACTCCTTCTTGCAGTTCTCAGTCTGAGTTCCCACAGTACAATCCTGTCCTTTTTAATTTCTCTGCATTCTGGTCCTATCCCACAACTTCAGCTGTCCCTTCCATACAGATCTCCAATTCCAGCCTAACACTTCTCTAGGGGTCTTGACTCCAACCTTGACATGTACCAACCCAAAAGGATGAAAACTGAACCCATTTTTTTATTTCTCAAGACTGAGAAGGCAAAAAAAAAAAAAGACTGAGAAGGCTTCTTCGTTTTTCCATTCTCTTGAAGCTACCATGATGCTCCTGCTTAAATATCTTCCAAGATTGGAGACCAAATATTTAATGTTCTCTGAATTTCCATTAAGTTTAAGCAGTGAAAGAGCCTACACCAGTGTATCAGTTATCTATTGCTGCATATCAAATGACCCAAAAACTTAAGGTTTAATTAAATAACTATCTATTTAGTTCACTCCTATATGTCCTTCTGCTGCTGCTCTCATCTGGACTCACAGGTGCTTCTGTGATCCGCTGCTGGTCAGCTAGGTAGCTCTACTTTTGGGGTTGGCTAACTGTTGGCTGGACAAAGGGAGATACTAGGCCACATGTCTGTCATAATTCAGCAGGCTAGCTCAGGGTATCATTCACAGGGTAGCTCAGGGTTTCAGGAGCAGCCAGAGAGCAAGTACTGATAGTCAAGTGTTCTTTAAGTCTCTGCCTGTGATGTATTTGCTTCTGTCTCATTGGCTAAAGCAAATTACAAGGTCAAACTCAGAGTCAGTGTTGGAAGGGTACTATCAAAGGGCATAGATAAAAGAAAGGGAACATATATTGTGGACATTTTTGCAACAACTACAATTAGTCAACTTAGACATCTAATCTACATGAGTTTCTAATCCACATGATTTTTATGGCATAGAGTCTCCATGGAAAACCGCCTGCCCTGAGCATTCACTAAGAAGCTGCATTAAAGGTCTCTGTATTATTCAGGGTTCTCCAGAGAAATAGAACAAATAGGATACACATACACATACACGTACATGTATGTGTATATACACATACGCATATACACGTACGTGTATGTGTATATATACATACACATACGCATATACACGTATATGTGTATATATACATACACATACACGCATATACACGTATGTGTGTATACACATACATATACACGTATGTGTATACACACATACATGTATGTGTATATACACATACATATACACGTATATACATACACATGTGTGTATGTATATACGTGTATACACACACACACACATATATATGAAAGAATTCGCTCACACAATTATGGAGGCTAACTTCCACAATCTGCTGTCTGCAAGCTGGAGACCCAGGAAAGCTGGTGGTGTAGTTCTGAGAATCAGAGCTCTGATGGTGTAAGTCACAGTCAACAGCAGGAGAAGGCTAATAGCTCAGCTCAAGTAGTCAGGCAGAGAGAGTGAATTCCCTCTTCCTTGGCCTTTTTGTTCTATTCAAGTCGTCAGTGGCTTGACTAATGCCCATCTACACTGGAAAGGGCAATCTGCTTTACTCTGTCCACCAATTCAAATGCTAATCTCATCCAGAAACACCCTCAAAGACACCCAGAAATAATGTTTAATCTGGGTACCCCATGTTCCAGTCAAATTGACACATAAAATTAACATCACAGTCTCTAATGAATGTTAATCAGCCCTCACTTGCCCAGCTCTTTCTGAAATGTTTGCTGGAGAAGTAGTATGATTGCTTGCTAGACATTCTGATTGTCATGAAATACTAATGGTCACTTCCTGGCATCCCCTCATTGCATGTTATAAAAGAAAGATACCACACAAGCCAGACACAAAGCCTCAGGGACATACAGCTGGTCTCTCAAGGTTATCTTATCTCTAAACACAAAGGCTCAACCCAGCACTCAACCCAGCCCAAAGTCAGCAAAAAGCCCCAGGGTTACTACAACATCATGTAGATCTCACTTCCCAAGGACCCGGCCAGGCCACAGCTCACAAATAAATTACACAGGTGTTTTGTTCTGTCCCTTGGAGGGCCACACCCTGTGAAAGTTGGAGTTTGAGGGAAGAAGATGGTGAGCAAGGCCAAACACACAAGGAGAATTTGGTTCCTGGCCTCAGACATCTCATCAGTGTTGGAAAGACAAGGGAAGCAGGATCACTGACCCAATCACTGCTGGAGCCACGGCTAATAGGTATGATGCCATTGAGAGCTGCTGTGGGAATGTGGGAATAAGAATGCTCTTGGTAGGCCAGAGTTGCCAAGGAAGGCATCAGGGAAAAGGCAGGATTTGAAATTAGTCTTGAAAGAAGAAAGAGGTTTCCAGGCTTGGACAAGAGCATAAAAGAAAGATGAGTGTGGTGAAGAATAGTAAAGTCTACCTTGGCAGGGAGGGCAGCAGGAGATCAAGCTGTATAAATAATATGGAACCAGATATGGCTGCTTGCGTGATAGGATCTTAATTTAACAAGAAATCAAACTGCTTATGATCTTGATGAGTAAGAGAATGAGGAAAGTGTCCTACGAAGATTAATTTGGTGACAATGAATTACAGGAAAAAGAAATGAAAGCAGGGGTACTAGTTAGGACACTATTAGAGCAATCTAGGAGTAGTCCAGGTAAGTTAGAACAGAGACCAGAGAGAGCAAGGGGCATATCTCAGAGACACTTTAGAAGACTCAAATGTCCACTTTATATTAAGCTATATCCCACAGTTCAATTCTGTTCTCTTGAGGACTGGGAACAACTTGCCAAGAGGGATAACTATTTCAATGTAGAGAACCAAGGCAGATAAATTCACATTCTTCAACTAAAAAATTGGGGGATTTGTTTTTTTCTGATGGACTAATTGGGAGAACATTTTTAATGTGTCCCTTTCTACACATTTAAATGCAGCTCACAGATTATCATGAGGTTGAGATGAAAATGTAATGTTTTTAACACCTAATCTTGTAGTCAGTTGAGATATGGTACTGGGTTATGTGTTCAATCCCAGCCTAACAGGTAATAATAACCAATATATAGTTACCTCACTCAATATTCATGACAACCCCGTAAAGTTAATATTAGTATTATGTGAATCAATATTATTTCTATTTTATTTACAGAGGTTAAGCTACTTTCTAAGATCACTCATTTAGTAAGAAATACAACAGGAATTTGAATTCAGGTCTTTTGATTTCAAAGCCCATGCTCTTTTCGCCACATCATTGAATTTCCAACACTGCAAAGCAGAGGTTTGTTCTCTTTAAAGAATCGGAATTAAAGGATCAGAATTTTAGGTGTTTGTTCTCTTTAAAGGATCAGAATTTTAGGATATAGGCTGATGAGTCTTGACATTTCCTTAATGTAACAAGTTAAGTCTTTATTTAAGAGATAGAACAACCTGTGATTTTCTTCCATTGGTGGGCCAGACAGATAATAAAAATGATAGCAAAGGTTATTAAAATTTATACGGAGACTAGCATAGATTGGAATAACTACAAAGTGAATTCTTTAAGCTGCTATCGAAAGGTGGTGAAATAGTACAATATGAAAAAAAAAAAACTCTTCTTTAGCTTCAGATACCTAAATATGTCATCAAAAGACTGCTCAATTCTCAAATGCTAGTATTTTCTGACTCCTCTAAACCTATTCTTAATGCAAAATATCAAAGTCAGCGGGATAGTAGGTGTCCCAAAATGTCTTAATTCAGAGAATTAGTGTTAACTGAGCCTGATTAGCTCCATTTATCTCTAATTAATTACCTTTATCTAATTAGACACTTTGTTTCCAGTAGACATGGAGTCAAGTAGACTAGATTATTAGTGTAGTCATTGTGCCTTTACAAAATCCTGAAATTAATGAAACGTGCAAAAGAATCTGCAGTTCTAATTGCACAGGTGTTGCCTTATGGCAAAGCTTTATCATCTGATTACACCAAGGGGTTATTAGTGACTTTTTATATACAGGATGAGCCTATGAAATGTACCTTAGCAACAGCTCATTAGTTTAGGGTTGTTACTGTATTATTTATTACAGTCAGCCTTCCCCATTATCTAGATTGATTCATGGACCTATATATTTTTCCTCTCCTCTGTGCAGAAAAGATAAAATAAACCATCGTTATGAAGAGTCCAGATGCAATGTGAAAAAATGCAAAATGTGTTCATCAGCTGCAATTTGACTCTTTAAAACAGAAAGCTCTAAAGATGAGATCAGAATCAAATTTATGGTTATTTTCCATGGGAAAAGAACCAATTTAAAATTACTGAGGAGTATGGAATGATTCATACCTGTGATCCAAAAAAAATGTGGCTGCCCTAATATCTTCACATAACTGAACTGGCATACCAACGTATGTGGAAGACAAAAGCAAAATGTTTTTACATTAAAATATCTCTGGATTTATTTTTACTCATATCTTCCCAAAATGGATTGGCAAAGCACGATCTCTATATGTGTTCATCCACAACATTTATTTTAAAATCCATCTCATGCTTTACTTTTGGCAATTTTTTTCTTAAGGATGTGTTACCAGGTGGAGAAAACTAATAAATTATACAATCTAGCTTCGCTGAAAAAGCAAGATTTCAATATCTACTTACAAAAATGAAAAGTGCTTTTTCATGGCAAGGTTAGATACCTGCAAAAGACTGAAATAGCTCAACTTTTCCATTTTCTATTTTTTTCCTTGGAACTACTTGAAGAAGCACTGTTTTTCACAATCATAATAAGAGTAATTAAACAGCTAGAAGCAAATTTAGCCACAATCCTATTCCAACATACAAACATGTTTATTACAACACAGTAATTCCTTTAAATAATTTGTCAACATAAATATGTCAAATGGGTTTTAAAATCATTTCTCTCCCTGTTCCCCGACAAAAAAAGTCCTCTGGCGCTATGAGCTATATATTGCTGTTCACTTACTGCTGAATCCAAACTAGTGAAATGATAACGGGTAACTATTACACAGAGCATGACAACTAATTTGAGTGGTAATAATGAATATTTAATGATCCTCCTTTCAAGCAGGAACATATAACTTTTCATGTATGCCTTACCAAAATTATAACCATTAATCTAGAATTTATAGTTGCAACTGAGAATAATAGGCAGGAATTACAGATTATGGCCAAGTCAGAATATTGCATAAATATTCTGTATGAACACAAACACAGGGGAATGTAGGAAGCCCCAGCTCTCTGTTTTCATTCAATCCAAGTCCTCTCTTTGAACTGTACGGAAGTTGTGTGATAAGCAGAGATTTGAATCCAGTCATTAAGATGCTATTATTTCTTTCAAGAAATAAGTACAATAGCCAAGGTCTTTTTCACTCTTTACTAGCCCACACTTTGTAAAGAAAAATAACATGCATATAAAAATTTATCCCCTATAGGGGTAATATTTTTAGAATGCTCTATTTAAATCAAGAAAAAAGTGAACATTAAATTTGTCAGAAATGCAGAATTTTTACACCTTAAATTTCATTGATTAAATATGTGCTTAGTTTTCCCAGTGTGTTCCTTTATCAGAAACTACAATGTGACTTTGGGAAAAAGAAAGAGAAAGATCTGAAAAATGCAAGAGGCACTTTAAAATCGGCTTTGTTCACTGATGGAAAATATTTTTGGTTAAATTTCCAATTTATATCACTCCTGATATCTCAATATCTGAACAATTTCACACGCCTGTGATGTTGCACAGAAACACGTCTGCCTCTTTTGCTGGTTAGAATTGCTTCCTTGTTACAGGGTAGTTGAAAACCAGTGCCATTGCAGTTACAAATACGCAATTCTACATCAAATCCCAGTGCTCGTTATTAATTAATTGTTTTAAAAGGAGTGTGCTTATAAAATTCAAGAGGGGAAAAAAAGTCTAATAACGTGGAGAAGAGAAGCAAGTAGAATCTGAGGTTTCTCCCAGTTGTGACCCTCTTTATCAGAAATTGTGTCCGGATGAATGGCGCACCATGCTGGTACCAAGCTCATCAACATTGTCTGCCTCTCTAGGACTCCAACATACAGGCCAAAGGCGGCGTGTGTTGGGGCACATTCTCCAACTGCGTACATACCCACCGAATACATTTCTAACTGAGCAGGTGTTCCTGACTAAAGCCAGGGCAAGATCAAATAAGAAAAGGAGATTACAAACGTTCTTTGTAACAGGTAAAGTACTTCAGAAATTTACTATGGTAGCATTCTTAGGTAATGCTACATAAGGATACTAAACTCCTGATGAAGCTTCATTTGCTCACCCACAGCTTCATTGTTGCCCCTACATAGACATGGCCTTTAGTCAATAAAGTCTTTCTCATTCCTGGGTTCTTTCACAACCTTTCATTCTAGGTTTCTTCTGATGGTGAATATTTATGAAGGCATGCATACCAATTAATTATACCTTAGCAAGTTTGTTTTGCTATGTTACATATACATAGAAACTATGTATGGTATGTTAAAGAACATGTTCACAAATATTGGGAAGTTTATGTATGATTTTCATTTAGCCTTGTTCATCACCTCCTTGTACCAGCTTACCAAACTTTCCCAGAGGAGCAGCAGACCAAATTCCTTAGCACCCAGTGGCTCTGAGCAAATGCAGAACATGTAGCAAGATGCAAGAAGTAATGAGAAAGACCAAAACCACACACCAGGGGGACAATTTGGAGTGAAGAAAGGTTTTTTTGTTTTGTTTTTTAAGGGATGGGGAAAACCCAACTTTGGACAGTGGGAGAGAAAAAAGTTGCTGCTGGAGGCTTTTAAACACACATAGAACAGGTTCATATTGTGCTAAAAATATGTTTATGTATTAAGTTGGTAGAATAATATGAAGAGTAGGTACCCAGAATGAAGACACAAAACCTAATGTGCTCAAATATCCTCTCTTGTTGTTTGAAAAGTTGTCTGGAGAGCAGTGCAAAGCCTCTTCTTCCTCATGGGCCTGACTTGTCTGCTGCCGTGCTGTCCTCAGCAGCGCCGTGGGGTGGTGACTAATTGCCCCCGTAAATCACCGAGCAGCACTGTGCTACTCCGTTTATTTTTCTGACAGTAATTTAGTGCTTGCTCTTTCCCACACTTGTCATTCCGTGTTTTTCCTCACATTAGAAGCCTGTAGAAAAAGGACAGTAATTAACGGTGCAATACATACTCATGGAAGCTCTTTCATCATATTGTGATAATTGTGCTCCTTGTCTGTCAAGGTAACCTCTCAGTTTCTAAGCTTCATGCAGCATTATTTGTCAACTTTAAACTGAGGATACCGTTTTGACTGGAACTGAGCTACTTCCAACCAGCTTTCCTATTTGTCCAAAGAGGAGATCATTTATATTTTAGGCAATGTGTCAAAAATTTTAGCCTGATCCGCACAATAAGACGAAAGAGTCATAAAAAAGATACACTTGGGTTCTTCATTATTGGTGGGTTCTGAGGATGCGGGATTAGGAGTGTTAGGGGGATGCAGAGAGAGAGGGTGCGCATTCTGAGACTTTCCAGAGCAACCACCAAATATCTCATGCTCTCTAGCTTAAAAAGAAAGGGACCCTTTCTCTAATGCCAATGCCGAAATTTCCTTCCAGCTTGCTCTTTTGAATAATCAAAATAATTTCCAAAGTTCTTTTGGACCCGGGTGATGCCAGCACCCAATTTCAATCAGACACACAGTCGAGAAGCAAGGGACTGAGGAGCTCAGCAAGAGATGGGGATCTCTGTGCCAACAACCAACTACAAACAAAAGCTTTCTGCAGCATTTCCCTGGGATTGTATGAAAATGTTACAGCTCTTTGTAGTTTCAGGGGCTTCAGGGAATAATTAATCGACACAAAATCTGAAGCCCTACTAAAGTTATACCTCTCCATCTGTAAATCTGCTAAATGGAATGAATTCTTTTAGAACTGCTTCCTATGCTTCAAATGTCTGAAAAAAATAAAAAGCTAGCTTCCTACTTTCCTGCCACAAGGTTAACTTAATAGTAAGATATCAGGGAAATATTTTTTGAAGCTATTTCAGATTTTATTGAGGCTTTTTGACTGCTCCGCACCTTTCAGTCAGCTTTTTTTTTTGGCACTTGTACTGTTTTTTAATATCTTTCTCCCACTGTCATAGACAGAGGCTAATGGGATGTGTGGTCAAGATTTTGGGATCCATCAATGCCTCTGTCTAAAATTAGCATGGACCCAATACATCAGCTGCCAGAGCTGTCACAATCTCTAGTCTCTGATCTTCATTATATACTTCTCTGGTGCTACCTGTCTTTTCTCTAGACGGAAAACTACAGGCCCAGCCAGCCCTGACAAAGGGGTCCACCACACCCTTCAATGTCATACTCCACCAGAAAGCCATCCAGAAGCTTCCCCCAGAAATGTGGTTAAAAAAATAAACATCATTCCTGCTGTTCCTTAACATGGTTCTCTCCAGAGAAGGCAGTGTCTCTCCACAAAGGCTTTTCAGTGGGAATTAGTCTATTAAAAACTATTAACATAATTAGGAATCTCCTGCCCTTGTAACTACAGAGACCCAAGCCTTGATTATTCATGCTCCCGTCATTGTTATCGGGGTCTCCTCATCTCATTTACACTGCATGACCTCCCCTGCTCACTGGGAGCTGGGTCTCTGTGCTTATGAGGGTTGCTTGTTTCTTTTTTCGCAGAGATTATATCAGTAACTGCTAAGAAGGTCATGATAAAATGAAAAGAGTAAACCAGGGATACAGCTGGGGACTTTCCTGTTCTTTTCCTTCCCCTGATTAGCAAATCAAAGCTGCCTGAATGATTCACACTTTTCACCTGATTTTTGTCCTTTTCACTAATCATGTAGCAATTTTCTCTTGACTGACAGTTTTCTTTATAATTGGCCCTGATCTAGTAGGGTTCTAATAACCAGAAAATCCCCTCTGTGGGTCCAAAGGCTCTGGCGAATCGTCTCTCTTCTTTCCCTGGGCCATCTGTGGGCTGTGGCAAGCCACGTTTGTGGGAATAGAAGCTGCCTAATCTAAATGTTCAATAATGGTGTGAATATTCTATGAGGAGTGGAGTTAAGGACTTGAGGTAGCAGATTCTAATTACTGTTCATTTGCCAGAGTATCAAAGCCTAATTACTGTTCATTTTATGCTCCTGAGGAAAGGCGAAGTCAAAGCAGGGTTGTGCAGCCGCCCCCAGAGATCCCCAGTAAGCCTTTATCTGTCTTTCTGTTTAAATAGGTTGAGTGTTAGTATGTTAAATTACATCCTAGAAGCAAACAGATTCCACAAACAAACACCGTGATCTATGTTCTAAATAAAGAGTAGATGGCATTTGTAATACCTGGTTTATGCCTTCGCTCCTCTTTTCTGATTTATCTTTTTAATACGAGCAATAAATATCTGGGAGAAATTTAGTGAGCCATCCCTTTTCAGGCGGCAGTTCATCTTTGAAAGGATTTTCTCACCTCCTTCAACGGAAGTTTCCGCAGTCGCTATCTGCCACCTATTTGACAATTTCTGTCACCAATTAGCAACTAAATCAACATCAGCAAAAAACAAAAAGTGAAGATGCTTACAGTGCCTGGCTGCGTGTGTGCGGGCAGAGGCCCCACGCGAGAGGCTGGGGCTGCGGTGGGCGGCGTGTCTGTGGCGCACCCCTCTCTCCTGCACACACGGCTCTTGTTCGCGTGCGTACCCATGAGTGTGCTTCCCTATATATTTCTGCATGTATACATGCGTACATATTTCCTCCACCACATTAGGAGGCATCATATTGTTATCAATTCGCCGCAGCGCTCAGCAATAGATCAATGTGCCTGCCTTCGCAGGGAGGGATTGATGGGCCGGATTGAATTGTCTAGCTTTTCCTATCAAGAAGTTTGTCAGGTAATCTGCTGGCTGCAGTGTGAATTTACAAGCTGCAGACAACAACCTAATGAGGGAGCCAAGCTGTTAGGCGGGCTGCTCGCTCCATGATGAGATGCTAAATGAAAAGCTGGTGCGACACACGCAGTTTGTTATCATTCAATCTGCTTGAAACCGCAAACTGGTCATTATCCAGCCATTATTTTAGTTGATTTACAATCGCAGTGGATGAAGCAATTGCTGTGGCTTGTTCAATCCCCTGGCGGGAAGATGGGAACCAGCTTGTAATTTGCATTTACACGATCTGACTGAGCAGCTTATTAGATCTGGATATTTATTTTCCACTTAACCGATGTTTGATTACACTTTAATAAAGTACAAGAAAACTGTCTGGCTGCCTGCGTCTGATTGATCCTGCCGGGTGGTTTCTCTGGGATTTTTCGTAATGAAACAAGAGAGACCAGGGATGATGCATCTTAAGAAAGTGACAAAAACAGTTGACTATTACTCAGACGGGCTTTCGAGCAACGCGAGGAGCCGGCGCCGAGAGGCGCGAAGGCCCCGGCTCCTCAGCTCCAGGCCGCAGAAGCCCCAGGGCAGAGCCTAGACCAGCCCGGCGCCCCCACGGGTTGGGCCCACTTTCAAGCGGCGCCCGCGAGGAGCTCAGACAACGTCCAGCAGGAGGCTGAGAGGGGCGAGCCCACGGGGCTGGCCGGGAGAGGACCCTCGAGCGCGAGCGAGTGGCCTCGAGGCAGACGAGGAGCAACCCCCAAACCCCGAGCCCCAGGCCACCGAGCGCAGGAACTGGGGAGGAGGAGCGGTTTTCGCCCCTGGGGGCGTTTAGTCAGAAATGTTAGGAGAAGGTGCCTGAGGGAGGGGCCGCCAGTCGCAGCGGAGACTCCCCGTCCCCTCTCACCTCAGGGCTTCGGCGTTGGGGTCCGGCCTACAATCTCTTCTTCTGCCCAAGCGAAATCCAGGGGAGTGACACTGGAGGCGTCTGCACCCACAGGGCAGTGACGCGGGCCTCGACTGGGGAAAAGGGCGGAAGGGCTGAGTCCCTTTCCCTATTCCACCCATTTCCCGAGTATCTACCTCAGGGTTAGCCAGCGGCCCCCCAGCGCTTAGGCCAGCCTCGAGGGCAAAAGGCAACCCCACCCAGGCCGGTGAGGCGCGTCTTCGGGCGACGCCACCATCCAGGGTCCGCGGCCGCAGGGAGAACTCGCCTCCCCGCCCCGGCACGGGCACTGTCTGCGGCCACGTGCCCCGGAGGTCGCGGCCCAACCAGCCCCGCCGACTTGTTCCGCTTTCGCCCCAGCCCCCGGCGGGGCGGGGTGGACGGCATCCAGATCGGGATCCTGAACGCCCAGCGGGGCCGGGATCGCCTCCTCTCAGATGATCAGCCAGCGTCCCAAAACCGCTGTCGCGTCCCCTTGGTGTCTGGGTTGGGGTGGGAGAAGGCAGTCCAGGAAGAAGATACTCGTCTTTGGCCAAAAGCCGATTGAGCGGAAGTGAGAGAGACCGGGATTTGATATCAACTACCCGCAAGCCCCCCCACTCCAGGCCCCCTGATTGTTATGAAATGGGCCGGCAGGGTGCCCACTAGAAATCTAAATTACCCTTCCTCACTGGTGCCTGGAGTAGTCCTTTGGCCGCGCAGTAAACTAATGTTGCTTGCTTTCTCCTCCACCTTCCCTCATCAGTGTTTTCTCCAGATCTTACATAATGCTTAACCCAGTTGTTCTGACCTAAAATTAAAACATATCCCTTAACAGTGTTCCCAGACAAGGGTAACTATAGAAATTCTGCCTGGAAATAATGCCCTTTAGACTGAGGCTGTTACCTATACAAGTTGCTTTCCTGCTACTTCCTTCTGGAACAAGATGAAAATCCCCCAATAGAAGCCTGAAGTGACGGAAACTATTACTTCTATGCTGTTTAGTGCGAGGGAGAACAATAACAACAACAACAAAAATACTTCAACCCCCCCCCCCCAATTTTAAATTTTCTGATAACTTTGAACACCTTGGCATTTTAAAGATCCAGGTGGCATTTTATCGATAAGAGTTGTAATTGATACGAAATTTTACAAGTTCATTTCACCTTAACTGTCAATTGAGTTTATTTTCCTTAACCAAACAAGCCATTTCCTTAAGGTCATTTAAAACTGAATTTCTTTCCAGCACGCACCATATAGTTTGCTCATCCCTGTCTTGTTAAGGGACACCTAAAAAACAAATACTATTACATATGTGTGCATATTACAATCATGAGGCAGTATTTCAAATTAGCACTTTATTCAACTAAGGTGAGAGGGGTTTTGTTTTCATAAAATTGATTAACAAAATATGTTCTTACATATAGATAGCTTTTCTGAGATTAAGTACATTTTCAGTGAAATAAGCACGGACTGACTGAGGCTGCCTGGTGGCAGTAAGATTGTGGAGGAAAAGAGACAGTATTGTCAATGTATGTAATTTTCACCCTGAACACGGTGTGTTTGTTTTTTAATTTTCAATCCTCGTCCTACATTTGCCAAGACATCCACCTCTGCAATGGAGGGGCGTATATACAGGGTCTGTGGTTTTGAAACAGCACACAACTCTGTGCTGCAAATGGCTCTGATCTAAGGTTTAGGAATACCTGGGGCCTGGGGCGCTCCCTTGGTTGTTTGCAGTTCTGTAGTTCAGAGCCTCAGCCAACATGAGCCCCATAGACGAGCTCCGCAGGTGTCTTACACTCCAGTGTGGACAGCAACATTCCTGGCAGAGACTTGTGGGTTAGACAGTACCCCCTGGCATAGCACAAGAGCACGGAGTATGAAACAGTCCCAACTGTAGTAGTGACAGCCTCATCCTCCTGGACAAGAGAAGGAGCAAACGTCACAGATTTACCTCTTCTACATAAAACCAGTTGGTGAGGTTTTTACTTCTTTTCACTTTATGAAAACAATTAACATAGAAATTCAATACAAAACGTGTATCAAATTTAAAGACACAGAAATCACGAAACTCAATTTTTTAAATTAAGTACATATCACATTTCACATACAACACATGCCAGAATTTCCTTGTGGCAAGCGAATTCACTGAAGACCTGCAGTGCATCACATCACAATGTGGAAAACACAGATGTGACTTTCTTTCAGTCTAATTGCATACTACAGGAAATGTGGTTTCAGGTCAGTGTGACCTACTTGTAAATCTAGACTTATATGTCCATACCTGCCTATGTGCAACCCAGCCTATAAGATTCTGTTTCTAGGCTGGGCGTGGTGGCTCACGCCTGTAATCCCAGCACTTTGGGAGGCCGAGGCAGGTGGATCACCTGAGGTTAGGAGTTCGAGACCAGCCTGGTCAACATGGTGAAACCCCGTCTCTGCTAAAAATACAAAATAAGCCAAGCGTGGTGGTGCATGCCTGTAATCCCAGCTACTCGGGAGGCTAAGGCAGGAGAATCGCTTGAACCCGAGAGGCAGAGGTTTCAGTGAGCTGAGATCGTGCCATTGCACTCCAACCTGGGCAACAAGAGTGAAACTCCATCTCAAAAAAAAAAAAAAAATATATATATATATATATATATATAAAGGAATATATATATATATATAAAGGAATATATATATATAAAGGAATATATATATATATATGTATATAGTGTTTCTAAAATTAAGAAAAAAAAAGTATTTCCTTAGTTATGCATTTTTTTTCTCACCATGGGCTTTGGGTGAGCTGTTTTTCTACTGTCCTAAAAGTTTTTCCCAAGTCTCTCTAGGGCCAGGAAATTAACACAAATTTGATCTGAGATGCTAATGGAAACTTTCTGCTTGGGACCTGCCTACAGACCACCTTTCCCACATTGAAACTAACACACTTCTGCTACACACTCCTGCTATAATAAGAGCAGTAGGCATTTGGGTAGAGCAAAGAATTCTGTGGAATAAGGGTGGGAGCAGTGGGGATGAGGGGATGGGGAGATCATCAATACATAACATATACATAACAAGAGACAACAGGAAAGAATGCAGAACCAGAGTCTGTTCCCAATGTTTAAAGAGAACCTCCCCCAACTCCTTCTCAAGTCCTGACCATAGGGAGCAGGTCCTCATAGCTCACACCTATTTTCTGGAGAGCACAAAGGCTGAGGGCATCATTCAGATTCTGGTGACCTGCAACCAATACAATATTTGTGGAATGGGAAGTTCTGTCCTAACCCTGGAAACAAAATAGAATTGTAGTCTCCTAAGCAGGCAGTCACTGCCTCCAAACCTCTGCGCCCAGAATCTTGAAGGAGAAGCTTCCAAATTTCGCCAAGATGGCTCAGCACGCCCGTAATCCCAGCACTTTGGGAGGCTGAGGTGGGCAGATCACTTGAGATCAGGAGTTTGAGACCAGCCTGACCAACATGGCGAAACCCGGTCTCTATTAAAAATACAAAATTAGCCCAGTGTTGTGGCAGGCACCTGTAATCCCAGCTGTTCGGGAGGCTGAGGCATGAGAATCACTTGAACCCGGGAGGTGGAGGTTGCAGTGAGCCGAGATCATGCCACTGCACTCCAGCCTGGGTGAGAGAGCGAAACCCTGTCAACAACAACAAAAAAAAAAACAGATGGCTCAGCAAACTGAAAGTGGCTGCATCTGAGAAAAAGGAATCTTGGCACTGAGAGTGGGTGTGTGGGAGGAGGAGGGATAGTGGTCAGGGCCTGATTGTATCTGCAGACTGTTACCTATACAGGTGGGATTCGATGACTAAGAACATTTCCTAGGGTTTCTCCAGTGAGTTTTGGCTATCTCTTGAGGCCCCTTTCCCTAGGTTTTGGAATTTCACGTAAAGCTGGGAACTTTGCCCCACCCTCCAACATCTTTTTCTATGGGAAAAGAAATCTCTGGCTAGGGGAAGTTAACCTTTATTTTAAAGTATGTGAACAATCCCCATCTCCTTGAAAGTCCTGAAGAGAAATTCAGCAGAGTGGCATTTTCCTGCTTTCTGAACACATCACCTACCAATTTACCCAGGGTGCTGCAGTGGAGGCGGCCAAATAGCACCTGAGATAAGAGAAAGGAAATACAATCCTACAAAGTTGAACAAACAAGTATTATTCCAGCCTCTCTCTCCTTCCCTATCCTGCCCCTCTCCGACTCCAAGAATAAGTCACCAGAGTCCCCTAGAAGATTCTTGAGTTTCTGCTCTTAAACGGCTCCTTTTCCAAGGAGGAACGAGGTCTGTTTTCTGATGTTGGGGCCTCAGATACTCTGTGATTGCAACTTAATTTTGTCGTTGCTTCTTTTCAAGATTATTTGGAATGAATTGTTTCTTTTGTTTACTATCCAACAAACGACCTCTGCTAATCTTGTATTTTATCTCCCTAACATATGGAAAAGCTATTTATTCTAGCCAATCACAATAAAGTGAAGAAAACCCCATTTTATGGAAAGGTATATATCACTAGTCTGTTGATCATTAAAGATATGATTACCAGTGAAAACCCTCTGAAGGTGGCACATTTATGCTTCCAGGAACAGATGGGGACACGCATTTTCCTTGCAAATACTTTTGAAATTGCTCTACTGGTAGCAGTATAAAAATGATATACAGATGCCAGGGCCGGCATGGCCAGGATGAGTGCGCCAGATTTACACAGTAAAGCCTTCACACGCGGGCTGTCAGTTTTGATTGATCTCTACTATACCTCAGGAACTTGTTGACTAGGTAGGGAAACAGTGCAAATAATTCACTGCAGCAAGTCAGATAATTCACACAACCAATCGGTCTGCTTCACTTTCTGGCTGTGACATACGAGCCTTCCCTACAAAGATGCATCATTTTCCAGCTTGAGCAATATTCAATGTCAGGGAAGAAAAGGTATTAAAGCCACACAAAAGGAGTTCGACTATCGCAGAACGAGAAGTTATTTTGGTAATGGGGGACAGATCCCGCTCTACTCCAAGTCCCACCAGAGCTTTCAGACCCAATTGTCATTATCATATTGATTAAAAAAAAGTTCGTCATAGTGCAATTTTAGGTTTAACGCCAACAGATCGGGAAAGAGCAAAGAATTATCCCACAAAAGCACAACATTCTTACCACAGGGACGTTTCCCTGTTCCAGTTCATTGATGGAGTTGATTAAGTTTAAATGAAGCAGACACTGGATAAAAGTAAGGGTATTGACCACTGGGCACCGAGATCCGTGCTTGAAAGGACCTGATACATGCAGAAAAGCAAGATTTGCTAAATGCTCTAATCTTCAATCAAATCTTACATCAATACAGACAAAGTTTGGTAATGAGAGATTCAATGAAGCATGCGGGAGAAAGAATTAATCCTCTTGGTCTAAACTGGCTTCAACTTTGAAGCTTGCTCCGAAGGAAAGACAGTTATCTAAATGCTAAATAAGAAACTTATTGTACTTTTCATGGCATGCTAATCTTTTGTCTATTTCATCTCTATTATGTGTATGCTCATAGATTGCAGTTGTCATGGTGATGATATCTAGCCATGCTCGGGGGATGGTGGTGAGAAGCCGGCGCGGAGGTGGAAAAGACCCCCACGCAATCCACAGTACAAAAAAAAAAGAAAGAGAGAGAGAGAGAGAGGGGAGAGGAGTGGGCGGGGACCGGACCCCTCCTGAGCTCTTCCCGCCAGGCCCAGGCTCCGCTCACGTCAGAGTACTAAGGAGGACTGGGCCTCCTGCCCTTGGAACCGCGTGGTGAGGCGACCTCAGCGAGGCGAGCAGCATTCGGTAGTGGTAGTGGAGAGGGAGTCGGGCATCCGTCCCACCTCAAATCCGTTTCCCCATAAAGGTTTCCAGCTTTTAGTCCGTAGGCTCCTCCCTCCCCATGGCGTCCCCTTCCCCCCACAGCGCTGCTGGGTAGAAAGGACTGTTGGAGAGGGGACCGAGAGAAGAAAGGGCTCGAACCCTTAACTTGTGGACAGGTTATGCCTGGCTGTGTCGGGGGCGGGAAGGTGAATCTTCTGATCCTGACTGCCAGAGGGGCATGAATACCGAGAAGAGTGGCCTACGCAGCCCTGGCAGGAGGTGGAAGCTATAGGGTCACCCAGGGCCTTGGCGACCAAAGGTGACCCTGGGCCCTTTATGTGTTTTACAAAAGTTGCCAAATTAAGACAGGATTATAACTGCTCGAGTCCTTGTCAGGGCTGAAAGGTTGGGAGCCTCAAATATGCCCCGGCAGTGTTGATGAAAAGCTTAAAAAGTAATAAAAGGGAGAAAAGAGCGAGGAAAGTAACATGTAAAACTCTTATTAAAGAGAAGAGCCACAGAGAGGTTGTGAACTTGAATCACTGTTTGAACTTTAATTTGTTCATTAACAGGATTTGCCCCTTACTGTGAATGTTATTACTTCCCTTTGCCACTCAGCAACAACTCTGGGCATAATAAAAGAGCCTGGCAAAAAGTTAAACGCCTGGTAATTAATTCATTTAATTGAAAAAAGGGGGAAGAGAGAAAGAGAGGTCCCAATGCAAAAGCAGAAGGCAGAGAGGTTGGAGGAGGGGGCAAGGCTGAAATCTCCATGGAGGCCCTCTCCAAGGCCCACCACCTGTAGGCAAGAGGAGGCTTGGTCTCTGATGAGGTCTCTTTAGCAAAATTAATGCCAGCAGACCCTGAAGACCCTCTTCCCAATGGCATCTGCCGCTGGTCCAAATCCCCTGGCCAGGCTTTCAGCCAGGGGCTAGTTTGGATGATCTGTTAGGGTGGCACGGATACCAGAAATCCAAAAGCAATAGATATTCATAAACTCTTTCATTAAAAAGTGAAGAGATGTCTTTTGCTTTCTCCTCTCCCTTCCCTTCGATCAGGTTTCTTATACAGTCTTCTCTTTCTAGGCTGGAGTGAAAAGGACTGCCAGTAGCCTGATATAATCTGCATGTTTGCATCTTAATCAGCCTTATAACATCATGCTTTCTTTCCTTCCCCCCTCCCAGCAGATGATTTAAATAAACTCAGGAGACAAGAAATGAAATGAACACTCCTTGCTCCTCCTGCTCGAAGCACTGGGACTAAGCCAGCTGGCTTTGCCTCTAACCTTGCAGGGCCTACCTTTTTCTTAGTCACTTATCTTCTTTCTGTGTTTGTCAACCACTGCACACAATCTTCTTTCATGTACATCTTTCTTCCAAGGGAAGCAATGCACTATTCAGGCACCCCAGAGCTATTGGCACAATGTTGCCCTTGCAGCCCAATAAGAGAACAGCAAAGTTCAGGAAATCAGAGGTAGGTTGGTTATCAGTTCCTATTTAATATGTTTAAGGCTTACCACAGTTAGGATTTCCTAACGTTTTAAAAACCAGTGTTCATATACATAATCAGTGTGATTTTCCTTAGAAACAGAATTATCTACCATGTATTCTCCCATTACAAAACTACTAAAGACAGAAAAAAAAGAGAAAGGTAGAAAATGTGAGACATTATAAATTAATTCCTAGTATCCAAAACTATTTCCTAGGTTTGTTTTTTAATTAAATCACTTCTAAACCCCAGGAGAGAACAGAATTTCACTATTATCAAATAAATAAAATCATCAACATTACTATTTTGCTGGCAGCATCCTCGCCCTTTGCCCCAACCCCTCTTGGTGTTACAATCCTAACTGCAAACTCCATACAACGATAAATGATCTGTACTTATGTCTTCCTGAAAACCAGTGGTTGGAACACACTTGATCTGTATTAATAATAGGAAGGGGGAAGGGGCTTTTAAAAGGGGCTATTTTATAAGTTGAAGCAAATTATAGGGCTTATTTAGCATCAGAATTACTTCTCACCTTGTACTGTCCCTGAATGCTGAGTGATCTCTCTTTTCCAAAGTTGTGGGTCTATCCTAGTTTTATTGTAGACAATCAATACTAAATATTAGGAATCTACAAACAAAACAAACAAAAAAGCTCCCCCCTACTCCACACTGCTGAGCCCTAAATTGCTTTTATGAAAATAACTTTAAAAAGACATTGGCCAGGTCTACTAACCCTTCCACCATCCTCATCTAGACCCTGATCACTTTACACATAAAGGAGTGAGTTTCTTCCTTCCTCAAATACAGCTTTCAGAGTGCCTTAAGATTAACTATCCTAAACCCCTACTTTGCCTTGGTAGTTCTGATTGCCTATAACAGCCCCAGCTTCTTTTTTTTTTTTTTTTTTTTTTTTTCTGAGACGGAGTTTCCCTCTTGTTTTCCAGACTGGAGTGCAATGGCACAATCTCGGCTCACCACAACCTCCACCTCCCAGGTTCAAGCAATTCTCCTGCCTCAGCCTCCCGAGTAGCTGGGATTACAGGCATGCACCACCACACCCGGCTAATTTTGTATTTTCTCCATGTTGAGGTTTCTCCATGTTGAGGCTGGTCTTGAACTCCTGACCTCAGGTGATCTGCCCATCTCAGCCTCCCAAAGTGCTAGGATTACAGGCGTGAGCCACCGCTCCCGGCCAGCCCCAGCTTCTTAAATTGGCTTTCAAGCCTCCTTCCTACCCTCCCCATAGGCATTAATTAGCTGTTCCTGGTTTGTTTTCCACTACTAGCCTACACAAGGCCAGACAGCTCTTCAGGCAGACAGCTCTCTCTTTGTCCGCTGAAAACATCATGTGAATTGTCTTTATTTTACTGAAGATGCCAGGCACCATGTTAGGCATTACAAATATTATCTTATTTAATCCCTTCCATTTAAGAGATGGGTATAATTATACCCATTTTAAGGCTGTAGAAGGCTAAAGAAGTTAAGGTACTTGTCCAACTAAGGTCTCACAGCAGCACTAGGATTCTTACATCTGGCTCAAAAGCTGGTATACTTTCCACTCCAGCATACTCTCCCCCCTGCTATGCATGTGCTGTGTGTTCTGATTCCTCCTTCCTCTTGTCATCTGGATGATTTCTCAATTTCACTCCATATATCTGACTCCTGTCCAGTCTGCAAATCCGGAGAGAAACTCCCACCTCTGTCTTGAAACCTTTCAACCATCATCCTAGTCCTTGGCAGACTGCTGAATTTGTCATCTGCAGCACTCATTTGGTGCTCCCATTTTCTGCCTTGTATTGTCAGCTTTATTTTTATTCAGTCCCTTCCAACCAAACTGAAAGCTCCTTGAAGATGGGAATTTGCCTTATATTTATTTATATTCCTCCCTGACTCCCCAGAGCCTAATATTACAACTCCCGTTTGTCATACACTCACCTCATGCACACTAATCCTTAGAAGTGAGCACTGTTATTACTGCCATTTCGCAGATAAAGAAACTGAGACTCAGAGAGATGAAGAAATTTGCCCAAGCCACTAAGCTGGTGAGCAGATCTGATGTTCAAACACATACTGCCTGAATCAAATGCCCCTTTTCCTTTGTGACTGTATTGTCCTGGCTCACATACATGGTCCCTCACACAATGTGAACTTATGAAGCATTCCTGTATGGAGGATACTCAACAAGCCTCCAGAAAACATCCCTCTAACATGACTTCAGAGAAGGGGCATTGTTTTTACTCTTCATGAGGTGAAATCCGGCAACTCAACAGAAGAAAGGATGAGTATATACCCACCTGAGGACACCCACATCCACTTCCCCCTCCTCTCTAGGAGCCATGCCTCATGTTGGTGGGAGCCAATGATGCTGTCTATATCTGTACAGGGGTTTCTGTGAGGTAGAGAGGCAAACTGCCCTTCCCCCTTAATCCTCTGTACCTTTTAAATACACAGAGGAAAGAAGGAGAAAATTAAACTGTTAATTTCTTTTAATGGTCTGCAGGGTCCAGAGAGGTGGGGTCCTGCTGTGTCTGCAAAAGAAATGAATTGCTGCTGTGGGAAGAATAACAACTGTTTTTAGAAAATGTTCATAGCTGACCGATTAAGCCAATCTGTAGAACTCAAGTCAGCTTCTTCTTCTCCTTTAAGGTATGAACATGGCAATGGGGATTAATGAAATCTCTAAGAAAAGAAGGACCATTGGGAGTACAATAATCAAGGCCTAGGAGTCTGGTCAATTTTCTCCACAAAGAAAGTTTGTCCTTTCAGTGCCACTGCTGCAGAATTGAGCTTGATAGTATAAAGGGGGCTATCTTAAGGTTACTTTATACACAACAGGTCTTCAGGAAGTGTAAAAACAAAATCTCTTGCAATGGCAACAGGGTACTTCCTATGAATCTGAAAAAGGAGTAATGACTATACTATCCATTTGTCTCTGGTATCCACGCTAAAACTATTCTATTCTCCCAAGTTCCCACAGGTGGGTTTCTAGCTTTCTTTATATTTTGGTTCATATATTTGGACAACTCCAGGGCTATAAGCATTACCTTCACCTATAAAACCTGCATTGTAGCACACAAAATCCTGCGCATGCACAGCAAGTGTTTCATTTACTTCATCTCAGATAAGGCACAAACTACCCTGCAAAGTAGACTAGTAGATATTACAATTATATACATTTTGCCTATGAGGAAAACTAAAATTTGCCTCAAGAAACATAATTGGGACATGATAAACCTAGTTCCCACTCCCAGTCCAGGACTCTTTCTACCACTTCTCAATTCTCATGGCAGTCCTCTACCTTTTCTGTACTCTGGATCCACATGTGAATTTTGGAATCTAAAGACAGGAACCTCTCTCTTTAAAAGAGATGGACTTCAAATTATACTCACCAGGCTTCTATTACAACTACCTGGACCATACTGAGAACTACCCTCTCCCCACTCCTGAAGCTACAAACACTATACACAAAATTTAATATTTAGACTCAAATTTTAAAATATTTGCACGAACTCTTAAATCTATAGAAGCTGAGCAGTCATGGCTGGGTGCGGTGGTTCATGCCTGTGATCCCAGCACTTTGGGAGGCTGAGACGGGAGTATCACTTGAGCTCAGGAGTTCAAGATCAGCCTGGGCAACATGGCAAAACCCTGTCTCTACCAAAAATACAAAAAATTAGCCAGGCGTGGTGGCACACAGCTGAGGTCCCAGCTACCTGGGGAGCCAAGGTAGGAGGATGACTTGAGTCTGGGAGGCGGAGGTTGCAGTGAGCTGAGATCATGCCACTGCAGCACTTCCCGCCTGGGTGACAGAGTGAGACCCTATCTCAAAACAACAACAACAACAACAACAACAACAAGATGGGTAGTCATGATGGTTAGGCTCCCCATTTAAAAAGGAAGGCTAAAATCACTGTTACTTGTTTTTCCACAAGTACTATTTATGGATAGTTTGCCAGATAACTGATACTCCCTTCAGATAACTGATACTCCCTTGTACCCCTAATTTTATTTTTTTCTTTTTTTTAGGTGGAGTCTCACTCTGTCACCCAGGGTGAAGTGCAGTGGGACGATCTGGGCTCACTGCAACCTCCACATCCTGGGTGCAAGTGATTCTCCTGCCTCAGCCTCCCGAGTAGCTGAGATCACAGACGTGTGTCACCATGCCCAGCTAATTTTTGTACTTTTAGTAGAGACGGGGTTTTACCATGTTGGCCAGGCTGGTCTCAAACTCCCGACTTTAGGTGATCCACCTGCCTCGGCCTCCCAGAGTGCTGGGATTACAGGCATGAACCACCACTCCTGGCATCTAACATACATTTTAAGAGTCATTCTGTCTACCTAATGGACAAGCAGTCCGGTGTCTTTCCCCAGAAAAGATCTAGAATTGGGTCTGTCCACCTTGTTCACTGACCTTTTTAATTAGGTGTGTAATCTTGGTATCCAGGGCCCAGCAGGTTTTCCCTTCCCCAATGTCTGGACAATACCCAAGTTCATCAAAGCAGAAACAGGACTCAGTTCCAGACCTTATACCTGGCTGAAAGAATGATATTCTTTTTGTCTCAGCTCAATCTTGGTTAATCTCCATATGCAATCTAACTCTGGAGTGAAAGAGAGGAATGACTCTACTTGTTGCTTTGGGACGACTGCCCTATTTCTTTGTCTGCTGGCTGACCTTCCCTATGTAAGAGCATCAGCATTTGCAACATTGGGTTTAAGCAGGAAAGCTCTTTCATCTTTGTCCATTGGCCTTGATCTCTCCTGATCAGTATGGTCTGGATTCTTGCTAATCACTAATGATCCCTTGGCCCTCTATATAATACTAAAGGTATTAGACTTGAACTGTTAGGAAAATTCCTACTCAGCTAATTACATTCTTTCTGCTTTTCTTGGTTTTCTGTATAGTCTCAGCTGGAGTTGAATTTGAATTATTTCCTCAAATTTTAAATTGCTGGTTTTTGGAAAGCAATGGTAAGTTGTTCCCTCAGATGAATACAACTAATTATAATTAAAAAGCCCCATGACTAACCTCTTTCTCCCCCATCCCACTCTTTTCCTTGGATGACTTTCCATACCATCTCCCACATTCTGGCCTTGAATATTATAATAAGAGCTTAGTTCACTGGGCTAGGAGTTTCATGATTCTGTATTTTGTAAAGCAGGTTGAATATTATTCACTTAAAACAATATGGTGGTTCCACTACACATATGCTTTTCAGTCTGTATTTATGATCAACTACTAAAAATGACAAGTGTTTGACCTCACAGGTTAGGCCTCACCCATAGGCTAGGAGAAGGGGAAGTTTTTTGTAATAGTCAAAGCCTTGCTCACCAAATAGAATACAAGTTATGTTTGATTTCTTAAATGAGTATGATTCTTTAATATTTCAAGGAATGTGGAATGCCAATCCTGTGGAATTATATAGGGCAACCCTAATTTTAGCCACGACATCTTGAATGTTTCCCACCCAATTCCATATTCTAGAACTTAGCTTTTTAAATCATACCAAAATTGTGCACTCAAAAAATTTAGAATCAACCAACCAAACTCTTGACAATATAACTTTTTGAAGTAATGTCTTTATCATGCATACCAATGCACTATACATGTATATGATTGTTAAGTTAGTAATTCATTGACAATCAAAGAGAATGTGTAGCACTTTTCTTAAGGCTGTCCTTTAGCAGCTACTCTTATTCCAGTGGTGCTGCCATATGTTAGTATGATGACTTTATAACTAGTTAAAAAGTCATTGAGGGAAGTCATCTAATTTTCTTTCAGCTTGTTTTGACCCCAAATTATATTATCCTGACTTGACCACCCACCTTATTCTTCAGAGCACTGAAGGATGCTAAAGGAAGATGGCTTGCCACCTCCAAGGCTCTTAAACCAGATGTGCTGTGGGTTCTGAAAGCAGTGCCCAACAAAGAGCTCCAGAAACGTTTTGAGCAATGGCAGCAATGGAAGCACCTACACAATAAGTGACAGCCTTCCAAGATGACTTGATAGATGAGAACACACTAAAATGTTTGTGTAAGTTCTGGTGTAGTTGTTAACATGCAGACATTAGTTAGACCTTGGTTATACCGTTTCAGCCCTCCAGCTGAGAGTTAGGGACAAAATTATTCCTAACATATTGTACTTCAAAAAATGGTACATCCTTTAGGTGCATCTTGCAGATTTCACACAAAATGTTTTAATATTTAGGATCTAGATATTGTTTTGAATGATTTCAAGCATTATCCAAGAAAGATGAAAACTATAACTGAGATAAACATATTGAGTATGTTTTTATATTTTTATTAAACCAATTAATTTTAACCAGGTGTATGTATGACTACTTGGGATGCATTTTGTTTACTTAATTGTAGACAATTCTGACTTAAGATTGGGGGGAAAAAAGGTACTGTATGTGGTCTTGATTTTAACTAGAAATATAGTGCTTTCAACTCAAATGAAACCAGCCCGTCCAGTATACCAAATAAGGAGCAAGACCTTTTAAGGATTATTTTGCTTTCTAAAGTAATTAAAAGAATATCCCCTTCAATCATGTATGCCCTTTAAACTTTGCTTAATGAGTTTTAAAGGAGAAAAAAAAAAAAACATGGTACTGTGTGGTACTGTGAATACGGCACAATCTGGAGAAAACTTTCTGATTCCTAATTTATTTTTTTCCCTTGACTTTCTACTTAAAGGTAATCAACACAATTTTCCATTTGTATCAAAGAAAGGCCACAGTTTTTAACTCTTTCATAATAATGTTCCTTGAGTTTCTTGGAGCAAGGAGAAAATATACATATTTTAGTTACATTTCAACAATTACTTATTAAAGGTCCATAGGGATCATGTTCAATGGCAAAGGGAAGTGGAGGACCTATAATAGATAATGAATAAATACTTATTGAATGGATGGATGGAGGAAAAGAAAACTGTATCTTGGGCCCCATATGGAGTTCACTATAAAATTAATTCCCACAGATTAGCCTCCCAAAGTATTTGGTCCATGTAAATACAACTTCTGGCTATCATATAATATTAAGCCTAAAGCATCTGCTTAAATTTGGACTTGATTTTTCCTATTATTCCAGTTTTAGAAAATGTTTGGTCACATAAATAGAGCTCTCTCACTAACTTACTTGGACTATTTGGTTACATAACATCTCTGTTCCTCAGTTTATGTCAGAATGGAAATAAGACAAAAACCTCCTCCTTCCTATAGGGACTTTTTTGAGTACCTTGATAAATACCTACAAAATGATAAATGCTACTACCTCTTTCAACATTTGCACGATGTTAACTAAACACAAAATATTTTTAGTGTGTGAATTAAAATGCCTCTTTTACTGATGGCTTCAGATGTTTCCTTGTAAGATACCATGTCAAGAACTGGTTTATAAATTATCTGTCCTTCCAGAACGCACTGACATCACGCTTCCTAATAGCTTGGTATGATGACTGCTGTCAAAATCGCCTGCATGGAACCATCCCTGACCTGGACTAACAGCATGTATTAGCGTGACAGAGACTAAAAAGCTAAGAACCGCCGTGCGATGGCCGGCTTTGGGCACCGGGGGTGGGGGCTACGCTACGCGTGAAGGGCCTCAGTCCTCGGGCTTTAGTTCAGGAAGAAAATGAAAGCTGGAGGTCTCGTGGGCGGGACTGGAGGCGGCCAGATAGGCAAGAACCCGCAACAGGAGTAGGGACATTTTTTCTTCAAATTCCAATCCCATCCAGCGATAGACAGGCGCGTGGGTCTCCCTCCTCCACGACCACCACACAATGGCACACACTTTTGCTGGAAACTGAAATCGAAGTCTCTGAGGCAGGCTGGGGCCCAGGCCGGCAGCGGGGAGGGGCAGGGTCCAGCCACCTCGGCGTGGCCTTGGCGAGCGCTCCGGGGTCAGAGGCCGTCGTTCTCGCCGCGCTCCACAGCGCGTCACCCGCTGCCCTAGCGACCCCCGGGCGACCCCGGCATCGCCTGGCTGCGCCGTCCCGGCGGGCCGGCCCTCTCCACGCCCTCTCCTGGGGTTTGCGGTGGGCACAGCTCCCTCCAGACTGGGTCTCTCCACTAGCCTCCTCCCCAACTGCAACGTGGGAACCAGAGCTATCCGAGTCACGAGCCCCAAGTGCACACAAAGCCCCCAACGGGGCCACGGCGCCTCCACGCCTCGCTACCTCCAGCTCCAGGAGCGCAGAACGCAGCGCCCTGGGTCACCGCGTCTGCCCTGCGGAGCAGCCCCACTGAGGGGAAGCCTCGGGCAGGAGGTGAGACCCCGCGCACGCAAGCACCCCCGCCCCAAGCAGGGCCCTCTGCCCGAGGGAGACTCTCACCTCAAATAAACGGGCGCTGCCGCCTCCAGGGGGAGGACAGCGGGCGGAGAATACTCACGCTGGGCCCAGCCGCGCGGGGACTTCGCTGGGAACCACGCGCGGGCTCCCGCCGGGGAGCGGAGCCCCAGCCTGCAGTCCTGCGCCCGCCCCAGCACCGCCTCCTCGGAAGGGAGGCCTCTACCGTCCGGCGGCGGACCTGCAGCCGCCGCGGGAGACGCTGCCCCGCCCCCCGGCCCCGCCCTTCGGCCCATCCCCGCCCCGCTGGCCTCCTTTTCCCCTGCCCCCTCCCTCCGCTCCTCAACGCCCGCCGGGTGCAATCTGCTCTCTCCGGGAGACGAACGCGAAGCGACGTGGAAACCCTTCCACCAAAATGAGCTGTGATATCCTTTTGATGGCTATAATTTATTCCAAATCGTCCCTGGACTGAAACGATCAATTAGCAGCCCGAAACGCACTGTGAAGTAAATTGTCACACTCTCTATTACAGGATGGTTATCATATATTTATAAGGTGTGTTTTCTGCAATCAGAACCAACAAGGTGTTGAGCGATCAGTCATAAACGCACTTCTTCAAAAAGAGAGGGAGAGAAGCTCAGCATTGTGTGGCGGGGGAATAATCCTCATGACAGTTCTCTCCCCACCCAGTGATGTTTTGTCTTGGCACCTGGGAAGTGCAGTGAGGGCTGGAGCTCTGGACGGACTCTCTTCGCCACGCGTGCCCCTGGAAGCAGGGTCCCTGTGAACTACGGAGAGACCCCAGAGGAGAGATTTCCTTATTGTGTAAACACAAATCAGTCGTAAGGGCCGCTCCCTCTGTCTTTCTCTGTCTTCTCTTGTATCCACGAAAATAATATCTTACTCTTTGCTTCTAAGCTTCTAATAGAATGTTTGCATCCTACACTTAATGATAAGTATTTTTTCTTCTTCCTCAGGTCTCAAGGTGTTGACCTCCTCTCTTGTTATTTAATTGATGATGTTCGGTAGAAATTATGTCTGGGTGATATGAAGTTTACCCACAGAGAGAACCCTGCTTTCTGAATTGAAATCCTCAGCAGAACTCTTCCATCATTCATAAATGAGATAGCCCAAAGTTCTAAGAAAGTAATAAGAAAGGGCGATTTAGGCCAGGCGCCGTGGCTCACGCCTGTAATCCCAGCACTTTGGGAGGCCAAGGCGGGCGGATCACTTGAGGTCAGGAGTTCAAGACCAGCCTGGTCAACATGGTGAAACCCCGTCTCTACTAAAAATATAAAAGAGTAGCCGGGCATGGTGGTGCATGCCTGTGATCCCAGATATTCGGGAGGCTGGGGCAGGAGAATCTCTTGAGCGGGGGAGATGGAGGTTGCAGTGAGCTGAGATCATGCCACTGCACTGCACTCCAGCCTGGGTGACAGAGTGAGACTCTGTCTCAAAAAAAAAAAAAAAAAAAAAAATACTGATTCAGCCTGGTAGCTATTTTGACTGGACCAGGCCATGGAGACATTGTTATTTTCCTTCTCAGTGGTCAGGAATATACATCTGGAACTTCTGAGTTTTTCCCCTTACAAACTTTCATCAGATAGTCATCCATGAACCACCTATCAATCATTTTTTAGAAGGGTTCTAGTTTGCATCCAAGTGATATTCCTTTTGCCTGAAAAACATAGCTTTAGAGCCTAGACTACTGGTTATTGATTGTGAAAAAAATTTAGCAGCTAGAATTATGCCTTTGTAGTAATAAAGTGACATTCATGCAGAGTGAATCACAAGGTGTGAAGGTAAGATGCAGAATTTATACCACATTCTTCTTAGGTTAAGTGCCCCCATGACTTTTGCATGGGAGGGCTTATCTGCAATGCCAACCCTTGAAGAATGGGGAGAAAGGAAATCTCGTTGGGTATTTGAGCTGTGGAGGCAGCTGTTGCCATTGGGCTTTCACCCCCATCCTCACAGCATAAATGAAGTACCACATTCCTCTGTCAGAAAGCAATGGGGATAGGGAACCTTGCTTCATCTGAGGACTGGCATAGCAAAGAGCCAGACCCAGCACCTTCACCTTGTGCCTTCCAATATTATTGATTTAATTTGCATTTAACAGCTAATATTTATTGAACATTTACTCCATGCCAGGCACTGAGCTTTAAACTACAGATGCACCTCAATTTATGATGGGATTGTCCTGATAAACCTATTGTAGTTTAAAAATATGTTAAGTTGAAAGTACATTTTTGACTTACAATATTTTCAATTTATGATGGGTTTATTTGAACATAACCCCATCATAAATGAAGGAACTTTTGTACCATCGTAAAGTTGTAAAGTAGAGAAATGCTAAGTCAAACCATTCTAAGTTGGGGACCATCTGTATGTGTATTATCTTATTTAATTATTTCAACAATCTTATTGGAGAAGGTTCTTTATTTTGCCAAAGAGAAAACTGAGACCTGGAAAGATTAAGTAATTTATGCAAGACCACCCTCCTAGTAAGTGATGACTTCAAATCCAAGTCAGTCTCCAATACCCACACTCTTCATCCCAATAATATAATACTTCAGAAATTTGAGATTTTGATTTAAGATTTTTTTCCACCAAAAAGATTTTAGTGGAGCTGATGATACAATGAGAGTGGTAAATTCTGGGAGACGATTGAAAGAACAGCTGTTTGCAATAGAAAGCCACATTGGGTACTTACACAGCCCCTCCCCACCTTGGTAGATTACCTCTTCTTTGTTCTATCCTTCCTACCCTTCGTGATTTCTTTTTCAGAGTTACACCTGCCATCTAGCAAAACAGACCTCACCCAAGGTCAATGATGGCTGCTAACCTTGGGGTTGATGGGGGAAGGTGGATGCAGCAGACCCCAGGGAAAACAGAGCACCGTGAGGAGGAGCCAGAGGAGGCCGGAGGCCCTTGTCTCAGACATCCAGCTCTGAGAGTGAAATGTTGCTTCCTAATGGACTTTAAATTACCAACATCGCTAAACTCTCTCTTAATAGACTTGTAAAGATTTGCTTGCTACCTTTTTCCTCCTTCATGTAGAATTTGTAATCAAGAGCCCAATTTTGTCATTTGGAAATACTAATTATCTAATCACGGCATGCTGTATAACGTACTTGTCTGCCCAATTAGCTAGGACAATTATTAAAATTCAGAGGCCTAATTATGTCTCAATTTAATGCTGGCAAACTTGCATACAGAGCAGTAATTAAAATCCTCTCTTTCCCTCTGCCTTTAGGGCAGGGGATGATTAGGCCCTGTCAGGGGGTGTACTGAACCAAACCAGTGAAGCGTATTGTGCAACATGACCCTGCATTGTTAAGTGTGTCAACATATTAACCTGAATTCCCTTCAGCCCCCACATAATCACATTTGGTGGAAGAATGAAGGAGCTAAAACATGAAGCATTTTTTTAAAAAAACATAAATTCATTTTAATTAATGCTGTGAGAGTTCTGGTGAATTTCACGTTTCCAAGTGCTGGAAGACGTAAGACTGGTTCATCTAATTACTAGCAAATTTGTTCTTGTAAAAACTACTTTTTTTACTCATTTAAATAAAATAATTTTTGGGGGTAGCATTAAAAAAAAAAAGCCCTAGTTAGCTTCCAGTAATACAGTTGATTACCAGCTTTGATGATGGAACACAAGTGAATGTTGACTTCCAAAAGATTCAAACCCAAGACTGGAGGCATTGAGGGGAAAAAATACTACAATTTAATACTTGAAAGATGTTAATAAAAGTCGAACATTACAAATCATAATATTGAAATAAATTCAAAATATTTATCTTTTGAGCTCTTAAGTTTGATGTCTGAAATTGAACCAGGGTGAGAAGACCAGAGCATTGCACAAATTCATGATGCTTTGCAAGCTCCAGATGGTGTGTGTCCACCTTGCCAGCATCTAAACCACCTTCTCTATGGAGTAAGGAGAGCCACAAAACCCATTAAGACTCCTGAGCTGTCCTCTAAGTTCTGGCTTTCACTCATGATGGTCTTTAGAGATTATTCATATATTCAGCTAAGGAAGGACAACATTTAGTCTAGACCAAAAATGAATTATTCTGGAGCAGAACTTCTTTCAATTGCTTCCCAACTTCTTGCTGTATGGATAGCTTCCACAGAGTAAGAGACACACAAATACACACTCATGCACACTCGCACAGTCCCTTACTTGGACAGAGCTTACTCTCATCTCAATTGATCTCTTTTTCTTTTATTTTTTTAGATGGAGTTTTGCTCTAGTTGCCCAGGCTGGAGTGCAGTGGTGTGATCTCGGCTCACTGCAACCTCCACCTCCTGGATTCAGGTGATTCTCCTGCCTCAGCCTCCCAAGTAGCTGGGATTACAGGTGCCCACCGCCACACCCGGCTAATTTTTTATATTTTTTGTAGAGACCCCGTTTCACCATGTTGGCCAAGCTGGTCTCAACCTCCTGACCTCAGGTGATCTGCCTGCCTGGGCCCCACAAAGTGCTGGGATTACAGGTGTGAGCCACCACGCCCTGCCAATTGATCTCATTTTTAATCTCATGATCACCTTGTAACACATGTAAGGCAAGCATGTCTCCATGTTAATATGGGGCAGTTAATATACTTGCCCGAGCTCACCACTCCATACTCTTACTTCTTGGTTGTAGGCAGGGTAAGACTAGACTCCGTTCCCCTTGCTGCCCACTGCATCAGACAGTTAGCTGTGGATCAGTCACCAATCAGGGAGGCTTAGTTTGGTTAAATATGTCATGTTGAGATCGAAGTATAGATAATGTTATAAACAATGAGACAACAAGGGGACAGCCTATGTACCAACACCAGAGGACCTCCTGTCCTCAGTCAATACTTACTTGCAACATGTTTAGCCATATTTGTTTAGATTTGATGCCTCTGGCCCATTTTCTTCCTCTTTAAGCTTTTATATTTCTCAAGTTTTATATAGTTTCATCTGGGCCAGTGATAGTAAAATTTGGGTTCCTTCCTCCTAATCTTGCTGTGGTACAATGTGGTGTGTTTAGGGACAATTCTGGCTGGTATATGCTCTCTTACTAACAAAGGCAGTGACTACAGCTATCTCTATAAGAGATGGTTGGCTGGAGCCAGGACAGGCCCTTAGGCACTTGTGCTACAAAACCCGGGGGTGGTAGTCCTCCCTCCACACCCGCCACTACCCCCCACCCCCACCTCCCAGGGAGTATGCCCTGTGTCTTGAAAATGGCCTTGCTCTGAGCCTCTTTGGATGGCAAACTGAAGTGCAAATCTGTGTTCTGACTTGTTCCCGTGGCTGTCAGCATGTTTTCCTCTTGTCAGCAGCAATTGACTGGTCAGGCTCACCCCTGTACAGCAATTGTAACAGCTCATTGACAGACTAGTGACCCAGCTGGACCTGATAATGGAAAACTATTGATTTTTGTGGGCTCCACGAATCTAAAATGAACGACCGATGTAATGTCATCAATTGTCTCGGACTCTGATAACCCAGGGGGAAAAAGTTTCAGGGATTGCTTGTATTTCCTGACAATAGTGTTCCAAAATCTCACTGAGCATATGTAAGAAGAAGCCCATTTCTTAGATGGGCTTTAAATGACCCCGATTAGTCCATCAGGGTTTCAACGCCGAGGCTTGCATGTTAAATGAAGTGGAAATTAGGATTATCAATTAGCAGAACTGAGACATAACGTACAATTTAGGAAAGATATTTGTGGAGAAGCACTTTGAGAGGAAAATGTTTAAAATGTTTATTATAAAACAAGCTCACAGGAAAAAAAAAAGAAGAAGCTGGGAGGAAACCAAAATATATAGGCTCTCCAAGAGCCTTGATGTATGAAATTGTGATAGAACTATGAGGCTGCTTTGGCTTGCCTGTGTTGATTTATTGGTAGTAGAAAGAAAGGCTTGAAAATAATGTAGAGATGCCTTAAACATGTGTTGCAGGAAATAGCTATTTAGTTTTGTTTTTTAAACAATTTTCTCCTTACTTGATCATTTAAAAATCCTCAAACATTGCTTAGTGTGTTTTTTAGAAACAACAGCATTTTTTTCTTGAGCCAAATTAGCAATGGGTTGGAGCTAATTTTGCCCAGTGGACAGGTCTAGAAAATTCTGTACTCTATGCTGAATTCTGATAGATAGGATTTCCCTTAATGGCCTCTGCCAAAGGGAACTTGATTAAAAAAAAAAAAAAAAAAAGGCAAGGCTATTGATCTTGGCTGCCAAACTGATACATTTAGTTCACAATCCACTTGTAGTGAGGACATAATCATCTTATGGTCCTGATCAAATTCAGACATTCTTAGAACACAGTTCTGAAGGCTAGACAAATCAGAGAACACAGAAATAACAGGGGTGCTTCCCCATCCATTTTATTTGCTCAAAGAGGGCTAGAAATCTCAGTAAGGGTCCAGAAAGAACAGGCCCCAGAGGAGATGAATCTATGTGTGGCTGGACTCCTGTTCACAGGATGCTGCCATCTTCACACTCTCCTGTCATGGTCCTTCTCTGGCCTTTGATTAGCATCGCCCCTTACAACACTACACCTCTGGTTTTCTAGCACTATCAAAACCAGCTTTGCCAATTGTTTGGCTGGCTACCTATTAGTAAAGACACACAAGGTTGAGGTTGAGACCTGAAAGAAAATTAGGCTAGGCAAAAAAAATTGGTATTTGGACTTTAATAAATAAAAAAGGCTTGATGCAGAGAACACAAAATTTGCCTGATGCTGTGTGATGTGTCTTATGGCCCAGCCAAGGCATCAACAGGTCAAAGGTCAGGAGTGAGGTCTTATATGTTTTGGAATTCTCTACAGTGGTTTTCATCAGGCCTTGCATGTCACAAATATATAAATAATCATTGAATAAAGGAGCAAAAAGGCTATTTTTAAGTATAGAAAGATGAAGGTAACATTTTCCAGTGTATAATAGATTTGGGAGAAAATATTTGCAATCAGGGTTTTCCATGTGCAGGCTCATGCCAGTCCATGAAGGAGTTCACCTGTCTGTGGTAAATATAAATAAATGAACAAAGGGAAGTTAACAGGATTTTATAAAGCAAAATTTAATCTTTTTAAAAGTCCGAGATTGGCTGAGCACGGTGGCTCATGCCTGTAATCCCAGCACTTTGGGAGGCCGAGGCGGGCAGGTCACCTGAGGTCATAAGTTGAAAACCAGCCTGGCCAACATGGTGAAACCCTGTCTCTACTAAAAATACAAAAATTAGCCGGCCGTGGTGGCATGTGCCTGTAATCCCAGCTACTCAGGAGGCTGAGGCCGGAGAATCACTTGAATCCGGGAGGCGGAGGTTGCAGTGAGCCAAAATCGTGCCACTGTACTCCAGCTTGGGTGACAAGAGCAAAACTCTGTCTCAAAAAAAAAAAAAAAATTCCAAGATTATAGTCTTTTGAGATGTTAAACATTTTCTTTTATAAATAATGATTATAATAAATTAATAGCTTTACTTGGCAAGGCAAGATTAAAAGTTGGCAAAAATCATACACTGGTCCAATACCTTAAAAATTACTTTTCTGTAGAAGCCAAAGAATGGGTGCACTAATCTAAATACCTATTGTGCCTCTTATTAATATTAAGGCAATCCCATATGACTGTCAACAAATAGAAATATTCATGATTAAGGCACAGCATTAGATGTGATAGGTGTAACAGCACTGGCCTAAGGTCTAGTCATTTGGAGCTTCTTTTAGGTTTTTGGTCTGTATTCTATCTTTACAAATTATTAAATTATTAAAAAATTTTAATTTTTAAACCCAAATCTGTGATTTGATTGAAATGCTGAAAGATGCGATATTAGTCACCATACTTTTAACTTCAAGATACTCTTTTCTGATAACACAATTCCTATCTTCTGCCCTATGCAATGTCAGGTCTGTTCCCAGCAGCAGTTCCACAGTAATGATGCCACTTGGAAGAGAAAACAATTTTGTTTCTTTGGGTTTTAATTTGATGTGTAAAGTCAAAATTTTAACTCAGAGTATGTGTTTTGCTGTGCTTTGTAACTTGCACTAAAGATTTAAATGTATTAAACACATTCCTTGCAATAACTAATCATAAAATTACAGTATTTATTAATAGAAGATTAATAACTCTGGACCCAGTTTCACCTCCACATTTAACATCTTCCTCTTGTATCTTTTGGAATGCTTTCAGCTGCAGGTAAAAGAGGAATGCTTTGTGTTACTTCACAAAGCAGGTCAGAGATCTTGTGGTTCTAGGATTGATTGATGCAGTATCTCAGCAACATAATCGAGGACCCAGGTTTTTTCCATATTTTTCACTGGCTATCTCAGCATGTTCACTTGTCCTGTTATACTCTCTTCCATCATGGAGAGCAATATGACCACACAGTTCCTGGTGTTCAATGTAGATAGTAATACTTAGCAGCAGGAAAAGGGGACATTCCTCTGTTGTGTCCCTTTTTAAGACTTAAGGAACACTTCCCCAAAAGCCCATTTTCTCACTTTCCCTCAAGCTTCATCCAGAGTTGTGTTATCAGCCTGTTTGTAAACCGTTTGCTGGCTAAAGGAATAGATTAATCATTACTGGATTCTTAATCTATATCCATCCTCTGGGGCTGGAGAAGAGCACAGCATCCCCTAACGTACATCACACCTGAAAATAAGTCACCTGAAAAGAAAATTAAGTTTCTGTTTACAAGGAAAAAAAAAGGGACACATCAACTTAGAATAACTGTTTCGATGACACTCCCTCTTAGAAGACAGCCATCATGTAAGAAATTCAGATGCCCTGAGGACACCATACTACGAAGAAACCTGACCCAGCCATTTGGAGAAACACAGAGGCACCAGTCAAGTGAGTGAGAATTTTTTGGACCTTCTAGCTCAGTTTAAGATGAATACAGCCAAGTGAATAATCCAGAACTGCCCAGCCAAGTCCTGCTCAAATTCTTGACCCAAAGAGATAAAATAGTTGTTAGTTTAAGCCTCTAAGATTTGAGGTAGTTTATTGTATAGCAATAGGTAACAAAACATCCAACAATGTGGTATCTAGAAGAGAGACAGTTTAAATATAGAGGTACTAAGAGGTTGAAATTAAAATGGAAAAAATATACTATACAAACAGTAAGCATATAAAAGATGGAATTACTATATTAACATCAGACCAAAGTAGGCTTCAAGACAAGCAATGTTGCCAGAGAAAATGGGTAATGTTTCATAATAATAAAATTATAAGTGTATGTATCTAAATCAGAGATTCAAAATACATTGTGTAAGAATTGTCAGAACTAAACAGAAATAGATCATTCAGAATTATAATTAGAGATTTAAGGCCTCCCAACAACTGTAGCCCCTCCCCACGCCCATGATTAAGAATACAGAAAAGCTTAACAACACAATCAACTATCTTGATATAATTGATATTTGTATAACACTATGTATTAGTCCATTTTCACACTGCTGATAAAGATATACCTGTGACTGGGAAGAAAAAGAGGTTTCATTGGACTTACAGTTCCACATGGCTGGGGAGGCCTCAGAATCATGGCGGGAGGTGAAAGGTACTTCTTACATGGTGGCAGCAAGAGAAAATGAGGAAGAAGCAAAAGCAGAAACCGCTAATAAATCCATCAGATCTCGTGAGACTTATTCACTATCATGAGAATAGCAGAGGAAAGATGGGCCCCCATGATTCAATTACCTCTCCCTGGGTCCCTCCCACAACACATGGTAATTCTGGGAGATACAATTCAAGTTGAGATTTGGTTGGGACACAGCCAAACCATATCATTCCACCCTTGCCCCTCCAAATCTCATGTCATCGCATTTCAAAACCAATTACGCCATCCCAATAGTCCCCCAAAGTCTTAACTCATTTCAGCATTAACCCAAAGGTCCACAGTCCAAAGTCTCATCTGAGACAAGGCAAGTCTTCTGCCTTTGAGCCTGTAAAATCAAAAGCAAGCTAGTTACTTCCTAGATACAATGTGGGTACAGGTATTGAGTAAATACACCTGTTCCAAATGGGAGAAATTGGCCAAAACAAAGGGATTACATGGCCTATGCGAGTCTGAAATCCAGCGGGGCAGTCAAATTTTAAAGCTCCAAAATGATCTCCTTTGACTCCAGGTCTCACATCCAGGTCATTCTGATGCAAGAAGTGAGTTCCCATGGTCTTGGGCAACTCTGTCCCTGTGACTTTGCAGGGTACAACCTCCTCCTGGCTGCTTTCATGGGCTGGCATTGGGTGTCTGTGGCTTTTCCAAGTGGACGGTGCAAGTTGTCAGTGGATCTACCATTCTGGGGTCTGGAGGATGGTGGCCTTCTCACAGCTTCACTAGGCAGTGCCCCAGTAGGGACTCTGTGTGGAGGCTCCAACCCCACATTTCCCTTCTGCACTATCCTTGCAGAGGTTCTCCATGAGGGCCCCACCCCTGCAACAAACTTTTGCCTGGGCATCCAGGAGTTTCCATACATCTCCAAAATCTAGGCGGAGGTTCCCAAACCTCAATTCTTGACTTCTGTGCACCTGCAGGCTCAATACCGCATGGAAGCTGCCAAGGCTTAAGGCTTCCATCCACTGAAGCCACAGCCCGAGCTCTGTATGTTGGCCCCTTTCAGCCATGGCTGGAGTGGCTGGGACACAGGGCACCAAGTCCCTAAGCTGCACACAGCACAGGGACCCTGGGCCCAGCCCATGAAACCGCTTTTTCCTCCTGGGCCACCAGGCCTGTAATGAGAGGGGCTGCTGGGAAGGTTTCTGACATGGCCTGGAGACATTTTCCACACATCTTGGGGATTAACATTAGGCTTCTTGCTACTTATGCAAATTTCTGCTGCTGGCTTAAATTTATCCTCAAAAAATGGGTTTTTCTTTTCTACTGCATTGTCAGGCTGCAAATTTTCTGAACTTTTATGCTCTGTTTCCCTTTTAAAATGGAAGGCTTTTAACAGCACCCAAGTCACCTCTTGAATACTTTGCTGCTTAGAAATTTCTTCCACCAGATACCTTAAATCATCTCTCTCAAGTTCAAAGTTCCATAGATCTCTAGGGCAGGGGCAAAATGCCACCAGTCTCTTTGCTAAAACATAACAAGAGTCACCTTTGCTCCAGTTCCCATCAAGTTCCTCATTTCCATCTGAGACCACCTCAGCTTGAATTTTATTGTGCATGTCGCTATCAGCATTTTGGGCAAAGCCATTCAACAAGTCTCTAGGAAGTTCCAAACTTTCCCACATTTTTCTTTTTTCTTCTGAGCCCTCCAAACTGTTCCAACCTCTGCCTATTACCCAGCTCCAAAGTCGCTTCCACATTTTTGGGTATCTTTTCAGCAATGCCCCACTCTACTGGTACCAATTTACTGTATTAGTTTGTTTTCACACTGCTAATAAAGGTATACCCATGACTGGAAAGAAAAAGAGGTTTAATTGAACTTACAGTTCCACATGGCTGGGGAGGCCTTAGAATTGTGGCAGGAGGTGAAAGGTACTTCTTACATAGCGGTGGCAAGAGAATGAGGAAGAAGCAAAAGCGAAACCCCTGATAAACCCATCAGCTCTCATGAGACTTACTCACTATCACGAGAACAGCATAGGAAAGACAGGCTCTCATGATTCAGTTACCTCCCCTTGGGTCCCTCCCATAACACATGATAATTCTGGGAGACACAATTCAAGTTGAGATTTTGGTGGGGACATAGCCAAACCATATCACACTACATCCAACAATATAATATACATTATTTTCAAGGGCACATAAATTGTTCACCAAGATAGACTATATGTTGGGCCACAAAATATGTTTCAATAAATTTGAATAGACTGAAATTACACAAAGTAAGTTTTCTGACCCCAAGAGAATGAAATAAGAAATGAATAACAGTAAGATAATTTTAAAATTCCCCCCAAATCTTTGGAAATTAAATAACATACTTCTATTAATCTATGGGTCAAAGAAGAAATCATAAGGAAAATTAAAAATATTTTGAACCAAATGATTATTTATTTATTATTATTATTATTTTTTGAGATGGAGTCTTGCTCTTGTTACCCAGGCTGGAGTACAGTGGCTGTATCTTGGCTCACTGCAACCTCTGCCTCCTGGGTTCAAGCGATTCTCCTGCCTCAGCCTCCCCAGTAGCTGGGATTACAGGCACCCACCACCACACTGGGCTAATTTTTTCATTTTTAGTAGAGACAGGGTTTCACCATGTTCTCCAGGCTGGTTTCAGACTCCTGACCTCAGGTGATCCACCCACCTTGGCCTCCCAAAGTGCTGGGATTTCAGGTGTGAGCCACTGTGCCCAGCCAATAATTTCAAAAAGATCGAAAATCAATTATCTAAGTTTCCCCATTAAGAAACTGGGAAAAAGCCTGGGCACAGTGGCTCATGCCTGTAACCCCAGCACTTTGGGAGGCCGAGGTGGGTGGATTGCCTGAGCTCAGGAGTTCGAAACCAGCCTGGGCAACATGGCAAAACCCCCTGTCTCTACTAAAATATAAAGAAAAAAATTAGCCAGGCATGGCAGCATGAGCTTGTAATCCCAGCTACTCCAGAGGCTAAGGCAGGAGAATCGCTTGAACCAGGGGGTCGGAAGTTGCAGTGAGCCAAGATACCGCCACTGCACTCCAGCCTGGTGACAGAGCTAGACTCTGTCTAAAAAAAAAATAACAAAAAAAAAAAAACAAAAGCAAGAAAGAAACTGGGGAAAAATTAGCAAATTAAATCTATAGTAAGTAGTTTCATTTAGGAAATAATGAAGAAAGCAAAGACAAAAGCAGAAGTCAATAACATAGAAAAATAAAACAATAGAGGAAATTAACAAAGCCAAAATTTGGTTCTTTGAAAAGATTTTGAAAAACCGATAATCCTCTAGCTAAACTTACCAATAAAAAAGAGAAAACACAAACTAAAAATACCAGAAATGAAAGAGGGGAATCACCACAGATCCTACAACCATCAAAAGGACAATAAGGAAATATATGAGCAACCCTTATGCCTTTATACAGCTGACCCTTGAACAAGGATATCTTCATCTTTTTTGAACAACACGATTTCTTCATCTTTTGTCCCCCTTTTCTTCCTCCTCCTCCTCCACCTTCTTTCTTCTTCTTCTTCTATTATTATTATTATTATTATTATTATTATTATTATTATTATTATTATTTTGGTAGAGACACGGTCTCCCTATGTTGCCCTGACTAGTCTCAAACTCTTGGGGTCAACTGATCTTGCCTCAGTCTCTCTGAGTGCTAGGATTATAGGCGTAAGCCACTGATATGAGCCACAAATTTCTTTAAAAAGCAAAACTTGTCAGTGGGACATGTTGGCTCACACCTGTAATTCTAGCACTTTGGGAGGCTGAGGCCAGGAGACATCTCTTGAGGCCAGAAGTTCGAGACCAGCCTGGGCAACATAGCAAGACCCCATCTGTATGAAAAATTTAACAATTACCTAGGCATGGTGGCACATGCCTGAAGTTCTAGCTACTCTGGTGGCTGAGGTGGAAAGATTGCATGAGCCCAGGAGTTCAAGGCTGCAGTGAGCTATGATTGTGCCACTGCATTCTCGCCTGGGCAACAGAGCAAGACCCTGTCTCTAAATCAACAACAACAACAAACCTCCTAAAACCTCATCAAAACTGCCATATAAGTAAATAGAAAAATTGAATAGCCCTATATCTATCCAAGAAGTTAAATCCATTATTAGAACAATAACAACAAAACTCCAGGCCCAGTTAGTGCCACTGGCGAGTTCCATAAAATCTTAAGAGTAGTAATGACATCAGCCTTAAAATAGGGGAGAAGAGGCCAGGCACGATGGCTCATGCCTCTAATCCCAGCACTTTGGGATGCCCAGGCGGGCGGATCACTGGAGGTCGAGAGTTCAAGACCAGCTTGGCCAACATGGCGAAATCCTGTCTCTATCAAAAATACAAAAATTAGCCAGTCCTGCTGGCAGGTGCCTGTAGTCCCAGCTACTCAGGAGGCTGAGGTATGAGAATTGCTTGAGCCCAAGAGGCAGAGGTTGCAGTGAGCCAAGTTCACGCCACTGCACTCCAGCCTGGGCAATAGAGCGAGACTCTGTCTCAAAAAAAAAAAAAAAAGGGAGAAACCATTTCCATGTTTCTCTGATGAAACCAGCATAACCTTGATACAAAAGCTTTAAAAGACAATACAAAGACATAAAATATAAACCATATATCACCTATGAACCTAGATGCAAAACTCACTAAAAATATTAACAAACTAAATCTAGCAATATATAAAAAGGATGTATATAATAATCAAGTGTAGTTTATATGAGAAATTCAAGTTAGTCTCTGTCATTTAAAAATCAATGAAATTCAACATATTAATAAAGGAGAAAAATCATTTGAACATCTCAATAAATACAGAAAAAGCATTTAATAATTTTTTTTTTTTTGAGACAGACTCTCGGTCTGTCGCCCAGGCTGGAGTGCAGTGGCGCAATCTCAGCTTACTGCAACTTCCGCCTGCTAGGCTCAAGCAGTTCTCCTGCCTCAGCCTCCAAGTAGCTAGGGCTACAGGTGCCCGCCACCAGGACCAGCAAATTTTTGTATTTTTAGTAGAGACGGGGTTTCGCCATGTTGGCTAGGCCGATCTCAAACTCCTGATCTCAGGTGATCCACCCACCTCAGCCTCCCAAAGTGCTGGGGTTATAGGCATGAGCCACTACGCTCAGCTACATTTGATAAAATTTAACACCCATTAATAATAAAAATTTTCAGCAAACTAGAGCTATGGCCTCTATGAAAAACAAACAACTAAACATTATGTACAATGGTAATATGTTGAATGCTTTCTTCTTAAGGTTGGGAATAAGGCCTGATTCCACTTTTCTTTTCTTTCTTTTTTTTTTTTTTTTCCGAGACAGAGTTTCGCTCTGTCACCCAGGCTGGAGTGCAGTGGTGCAATCTTGGCTCACTGCAACCTCCGCCTGCCAGGTTCAAGCGATTCTCCTACCTCAGCCTCGCGAGTAGCTGGGATTACAGGCACCTGCCACCACGCCTGGCTAATTTTTTGTATTTTTAGTATAGATGGGGTTTCACTATGTTGGCCAGGCTGGTCTCGAACACCTGACCTGGTGATCCACCCACCTCGGCCTCCCAAAGTGCTGGGATTACAGGCATGAGCCACTGTGCCTGGCCCACTTTTCTTTTAACATTGTAATGGAGTTTCTAGCCAAGGCAATAAAACAAGAAATAACAAGGCATAAAGATTTGAAAGAAAGAAATATACAAATCTTTATCCCTATTTGTAGATGAATTTAATTAATTAAAATGTTAATTTAACAAGTTACAAAGATATAACATCAAAATATAAAAGTCAGTTTTATTTTACATACTAGCAGCAGTTACAAAATGAAGTACAAAAAACCAGTTCACTTTACAATACCATCAAATAACATAGACCCCTTAGTAAAAAAATTAACAAAATAAATGTGAGACCTCTGCCTACATTAAAAACTACTAAACATGCCTGAGGGAAATTAAGTAAGATCCAGATAAATAAAGAGGCATTCCACATTTATGGATTGGAAAACTCAATGTTTTTAAGATGTCAGTTCTCTCAAAATTGACCAGTAGTTTCAATGCAATCCCAATCATCATCACAACAGACTTTTAAAATAAAAATTGACAAGCTGATCCTAAAAGTTATAGGAAAATGCAAAGGACCTAATGGAGTCGAAACAATTTCAAAGAACAAAACTGGAAGAATTAAATTACCTGACTTTGTGACTCACTACAAAGCTACATTTATCAAAGGCAGTACAATATTGCCATAAGCATGTAAAGTTGAACTGAATGGAAAGTATGTATATGTGTGTGTGTGCATGTATATATATATATATATACACATGCAAACATATATACACATTTTTTTATTTTCTTTGAGGCGGCGTTTCATTCTTGTTGCCCAGGCTGGAGTGCAGTAGCGCGATCTCGGCTCACTGCAACCTCTGCCTCCCAGGTTCAAATGATTCTCCTGCCTCAGCCTCCCAAGTAACTGGGATTACAGGTGCCTGCCACCATGCCCAGCTAATTTTTGTATTTTTAGTAGAGACGGGTTTCACCATGTTGGCCAGACTGGTCCCGAACTCCTGACCTCAGGTGATCCACCCGCCTCGGCCTCCCAAAGTGCTGGGACTACAGGAGTGAGCCACTGCACCCAGCATATACATATTAGATTTTCAAACAAAGGTCCCAAGTAAATGGAGAAAGATAAACATGTCAATAAATTAGTTTCTTGGAGGAAAAGTTGATTCCAGTGCTGGAGCAGGAATAGTAAAAGGAGCTCGTGGTGGTTCAATCTCAGTGTGTTCCAGGGGAGAGGTGGGGGTTATTGTCTCTTCCAGGGGCTGTGCCATACTCTGCCTCCTGGAGCATCAAAGCATCTCTGCTCTTTTCCCCAAGGCCCTCAGAGTCTCTTGAGAATACAACCTGGGTAGAGGTGAGGCTTTCTCTGTAGAATCCAGGCATGAACCAACCAAATGCCCATCAGCGATAGACTGGATAAAGAAAATGTGCTATATATACATATATACTATGCAGCCATAAAAATGAATAAGATCATGTCCTTTGCAGGGACATGGATGAAGCGGGAAGCCATCATCCTCAGCAATCTAACAAAGGAACAGAAAACGAAACACCACATGTTCTCATTCATAAGTGGGAGCTGAACAATGAGAACACATGGACACAGGGAGGGGAACAACACACACCAGGGCCTGTTGGGGGCTGGGGGTTGAGGGGAGGGAGAACATTAGGACAAATACCTAATAATGCACATGGGGCTTAAAACCTAGATGACAGGTTGATAGGTTCAGCAAACCACCATGGCACATGTATACCTATGTAACAAACCTACACATTCTGCACATGTATCCCAGAACTTAAAATAAAATATTAAAAAACTAAAAAAAAAAAAAGAATCCAGGCATGAATCATATGACATTCTGACAGACCATGACAAACCCTCTAGTCGCCTCCTAAACTCTCCCTTACCACCTTCATGCTCCTTTTGCATCAATTTTTTTTTTAAGTGTGGAAAAACCAGGTGTGGTGGTACATACCTGTAGTCCCAGCTACTCAGGAGACTGAGGAAAGAGTATTGTTTGAGCCCAGGAGTTCAAGGCCAGCCCAGGCAACATACTGAGGCCCCATTTCAAAAAATATTGATAGCATAAAATACACCATCATAACCATTTTTAAGTATACAGTTTAGTGGCGTTAAGTACATTCACATTTTGCAACCATGATCACTATCCATTTCCAGAACTCTTTTCATCTTGCTTCAGTAAAACTCTGCACCTATTAAACACTAATTCCTCTTGTCCTCCAACTCTCATCCCTGGGCAACTACCATTCTACTTTCTGTCTCTATGAATCTAACTACTCTGGGTATTTCATACAAGTGGAATCATACAGCATTTGTCCCTTGATTTATTTCATTCAGCATAATGTCCTTAAAGGGTTCATTCGTGTTGTAGCATGTGTCAGAATTTCCTTCCTTTGAAGGCTGAATAATATTCCATTGTATGGATATACCACATTTTATTCATTCATTCATTCACTGATGGACACTTGGGTTGTTTTCACCTTTTGGCTATTGTGAATAATGCTGCCATGAACCGGAGTGTACAAGTATCTCTTTGACACTGTGCTTTTAATTATTTTGAGTATATGCATAGAAATGGAACTGCTGGATAGTATAGTAGTTATATTTTTAGTTTTTTGAGGAACTGCCATATTGTTTTCCATAGTATTTTACATTCCCACCAACAGTGCTCAAACGGTCAAATTTCTCTATATCCTCACCAACACAATATTTTCTGTTTTTTTGTTTGTTTTTGTTTTTGGTAATAGCCAGCCTAATGGGTGTGAGGTGGCATCTGACTGTGGTTTTGATTTGCATTTCCCTAATGATTAGTGACAGTGAGTATATTTTCACTTGTTTGTTGGCCATTTGTAAACCTCCTTTGGAGAAATTTCTGTTCAAGTCCTTTGCCCATTTTTTAATGAGATTTTTTTTTTCTTTTTTTTTGAGATGGAGTCTTGCTCTGTCACCCAGGCTGGAGTGCAGTGGTGCAATCTCGGCTCACTGCAACCTCCATCTACCGGGTTCAAGTGATTCTCCTGCCTCAGACTCCCGAGTAGCTGGGATTACAGGGACCCGCCACCATACCTGGCCAATTTTTTGTATTTTTAGTAGAGATGGGGTTTCACCATGTTGGCCAGGCTGGTCTTGAACTCCTGGTCTCAAGTGATCCCCCCGCCTCGGCCTCCAAAAGTGCTGGGATTACAAGAGTGAGCCACTGCGCCTGGCTTTGTTTGGGTGTTTGCATCGCTTTTTTTATTATTTCAGTTTAGTTTTATATATTTTGATATTACACAAGTGAATGCATAAATACATCCTCATTATACAAATTTGAACAATAAGAATGTATGTAGGTAAAAGCAAAGTATCCCATTCATGTCCTCTGCCCCTAGCATGTCCACCTCTTTTTCCTCATTGCTCTGTAAGTTTGATTAAGTATATGGCTGCTGGTTGTTGAAATTCCAACTCTGCTGTTTATTCACTAGCTGTGAGATCTCAGGCACTTACTTAACCTCTCCTCATTAGTACCTACCTCACTGAATTGTAGGGACAGGAATAGTAGCTACCTTAGTGAGCTGTTATGATAATTAAATGAGTTAATTCCTGTAAAGAGATGAGAACAGTGCCAGGTGCATTGTTATGTACTCTATAAGGGTTGACTCTTAGGATCAGTTTGGCGTGTACCTTTTCAGAACTTTCCTATACCTTTACCTACATATGCATGCATTTGGAAACGGATCGTTTGTAAGTATTTGACCAATGTTTTGCAGTCCTTCAGCACTCATTATACTCTGCTGTCCCTAACACACATGCAATCAGGTTGTGACACCTTGAGATCAAACTGATCCCTCCTGCATCTCTCAGATGCAGTTTCAGCAGAGGTTGCACCAACTTCTTTATATTACCCAAGTGGTAATTTTTTAGTAGCAAACAAAAATTTCAGGAAGACAGAGTTCTAGTGTCAGTTTTGCCACTAAATGTACCTTAAGGCCACAGTGTCAGCTTCATTCCAACTCCAAAAGTCTTGAGGTTAATATACATCTTTATGGAAACCCTTTCTGAGAGAGCAATAAAAGGCAAATCACACCTCACAACACACAAGAAAACTCCCTAAAGCTCTTCTTTGTCTATTGGCAAAGCCACATTTATTGGCAATGCTCGGACTCCCAAAGCTCTGGGTTATGGCTCTCTCCTCACTGCCCTGCCTCCAGGGCTTGTCTGGGGACTCTGTTGGCTTTTTATCCACATGGTATAATCTAGTCTCTTTCAGTTCCCATCAGTTCTCACCTCCAGGCCCAGCAGTGATAAGGTCCAGTAGAGACAAGGAAAGGTGAGATGGTAAGGAAGGAAAACACTTTGAATTTAATACATATTTTTATTTCTGACACAGACATAACTCCAAGCAAGCCACTTTCCCTCCTAGCCCACAATCTGCCCTCCCTGTCTTCTTCCCCTCCTGCCCCTTTTCTCCCCTTTGCAGGTCACTGTCAGGTGAGGGCCCCCACAACCTCCACTCAATAATACCTCATCCCAAAACAAGTTTGAGAACTCCTGCCATAGCAATTCTGGGCCTTTCTTTCTCTTGAGAAGGAGATACTGTCTTGGGAGAATAACATATCTTTGAGATGCCAGTTATTACTTCATCCATTTCAGAGGGAAAAACTAAGAAATTACGAGCACTTTAGAAATCATTCATATTAAATATGCCCTTAACAGTACCTTTTTTTTTCTCAGCTGGCCTTAGGCCTAATCTTATTCTCAGTCTCCATGGAGAATCTGGCCTTCACAGATCCTTTATTTGTTACAATAAAAAGCAGAAGATTTCTCGAATATTTCAAATATTCGGGTTTTTTTTTTAGGTTCACATAGTCCCTGGAGGGTTTTTTATTTTTATTTTTTCGCATCTGTTAACTGTTACTTAAAGCTTTAGGGGAGGGAGATGGGAAGGATAGGAATGGAAGGGATTCTGTTGCAAACAGCTCTTTTTGGTTATGAGTATGCTGGAATATTTTTGTTTTCAAAAAGCAGTCCTTGGTCAAGTTATGCCCTTTCTGTTTGGAAGTAACAGCCCAACTGTCACCTAACCTATGGCATGGGAATCCTTGGTCTCCCATCAGTGAGTCACAATGAACACAGCATTGGCAAATTTCAGTGAGCTTCCCACTTCACTTTCAAACTGCTGTGACTGTGAAACTTTCAAATGCTGTGAAACTTCCTGAGGCTCCTAAGAGTTTATCAGAGGCATCTGCATTTATGGGTTAGCAAACTGAGCTACTACAAATTTGAGCCCACACAATTAGATGCTGAGCAGACCCTCATCTAACATTTCATGAAAAAAAAATCAAACAATTATTTTCATATTATTTACTATTTACTTTATTAAAAATCTCCCCAAATTGCCAAATTGTCTTTAAACTTAGAGAGAAGGGCTTGCAATTTTAAATAAGGTGGTCATGGAAGGAAGACCTCATAGAAAAGGTGACATTTGAGTAAAGACTTGAAGAAGGGAGAAAGAAAGCCATGTAGAGATCCTGGGGAAAAACATTCAGAGCAAACGGAACAGCAAGGTACGGGCTCTGAGATAAGAATTAGTATGGAGACCAGGCCTGAAGAATCCCTGAGCAGACAAAGCCAGTTGGGCCTCATGAGTGACCTTAACCTTGCTTAATTTGCAAACATGAGGGAAACCTAATTTGATCAATTTCTTGTAGACACCTGTATTAAGAAAAATGAAATTTAAAGGTAACCAATCAGAAGCTGCCAACTAACTTATTATAACTAGGGACTTTCCAGCAGGATAGACTAAATGAGACACATGTATAATTGTAATCAATCAAATAGTTTCTTTGATTACTTTTTTTTTTTTTTGAGATGGAGTCTCACTCTATTGCGCAGGCTGGAGTGCAATGAAAGTATCTCGGCTCACTGCAACCTCCACCTCCTGGGTTCAAGTGATTCTCCTGTCTCAGCCTCCTGAGTAGCTGGGATTATAGGCATGCACCACCATGCCCAGCTAATTTTTGTATTTTTAATAGAGACAGGGTTTCCCCATGTTGGCGAGGCTGGTCTCGAACTCTTGACATCATGATCCGCCTGCCTTGGCCTCCCAAAGTGTTGGGATTACAGGCTCGAGTCATCGTGTCTGGCTTTTTTTTCTTTTTCTTTTTTTTTTTTGAGACAGGGTCTCACTCTGTCACCCAGGCTGGAGTGCAGTGGGAGTACAGCCTCGACCTCCTGGGCTCAAGCCATCCTTTCACATCAGTCTCCCGAGCAGCTGGGACTACAGGCCCTATCCATCATACCCAGCTATTTTTTGTAGTTCTTGTAGAGACAGGGTTTTGCCATGTTGCCCAGGCTGGTCTTGAACCCCTGGGCTCAAGCAATCTGCCCACCTCGGCCTCCCTAAGTGGTAGGAGTACAGGTGTCAGCCACCATGCCATCTCTTTGCTTACTTCTGTGTTTGTCCTATAAAATATTTCCTTTTGCATTCCTTAGTGAGGGCTTAAACCACCTTTTGGTTTGGTGCTTCTTGATTCATGCATCCCTGTTTGCTCAAATAACCTTTTAAAAGTTTCTGTTACCTTTTAACAGAATATGTCTCGTATGTTTGAAGAGGAATATTCTGTGGCTAGAATGGCTGGACCAAAACAAGTAAGGGGAATTAATAGAAGAGAAGGCAGACAGAAGCCAGGGTGGAGGGTGGAGGCAGATCACGTAAAGACTTACGGATTGAGAATACGACGAAAGTAAGAATAGAAAATCTATTAGAAGCCTATTGCAAGCCGGGTGCGATGGCTCAAGCATGTAATCCCAGCATTTTAGGAGGCCAAGGTGGGCGGATCACAAGGTCAGGAGTTTAAGACCAGCCTGGCCAATATGGCGAAACCCTGTCTCTACTAAAAATACAAAAATTAGCTGGGTGCGGTGGCGTGCACCTGTAGTCTCAGCTACTCGGGAGGCTGAGGCAGAAGAATTGCTTGAACCCGGGAGGTAGAGGTTGCAGTAAGCCAAGATCGAGCCACTGCACTCCAGCCTGGGTGACAGAGCGATATTCTGTCAAAAAAAAAAAAAAAGAAGCCTATTGCAATAAGCCATGTGATAAATGATGGTGACTTTGATCAGGATGGAAATAGTGGAGATGGTAAGAAGGGGTTGCATTCTGGATGTATTTTTTTTTCCTTAACTTTCTTGAGATGTAATATATACCATCAAATGTACCCACTTAAGTGTACATTTCTGTGTGTTTTGACAAATTTGTGTACTACTACCATGATCAAGGTATAGAACATTTCATCACCCAAAAAAGTTGCCTGTGTCCCTTTGCAGTAAATGCATCCCACTCCAACTCCAGGAAACCACTGATTTGCTTTATGTCATTACACATTAGATTTGTCTTTTCTGTAGTTTCATGTAAATTGGAACCATATCTTACTTTTTTTGTGTATGTCTGGCTTCTTTCTCTCAGCTTGCTTTTGAAATTTACTCATTTTTTTCATGCTTCAGTAGTTCATCTATTTTTCTTGCTGAGTAATATTCCATTGTTTGGATAAACCAATTTGTTTATTCATTACTGTTAATGGACATTTAGGTCATTTCCAGATTTGGACTATAACGAATAAAGCTGCTCTACATACTTGTGTACAAGTCTTTGTGTGAATATGTTTTGTTTCTCTTGAATGAATACCTAGGAATGTGATTGTCATAATAAGTATATCATTGGTCAAGGTAAACATGTGTTTAACTTTAAAAGAAACTGCCAAAATGTCTCCCAGAGTGATTGTATTATCATACATTCTCACTAGCAAAGTGTGAGATTTTGGTTGCTCCATATCTTTGCCAATATTTATTGTCAATCTTTTTAATTTCAGTCATCCTAATGGGTATATAGCATGTGTGGTGTGGAAACATTGGACCAACAAACTCTTTGACACTTCACCTATCAACAGGTGGAGTCTAACTCCCCTTCCATTGCATATGAGCTGGATTTAGTAACTTTTTATTTTCATCCTTGTAATTGTTTTTATTGAAATATAATTAACATAAAATTTACAATTTAAAACCGTACAATTGAGTGACTAGTTTTCCATATATTCATAATGATGTGCAACTATTACAAGTATCTAATGTCAGAACATTTCCTTTCTTTTTTTTGTGTGAAATGGAGTCTTGCTCTGTCGCCCAGGCTGGAGTGCAATGGCACAATCTCAGCTCAGTGCAACCTCTGCCTCCTGGGTTCAAGCGATTCTTCTGTCCCGAGTAGCTGGGACTACAGGTGCGCACCACCATACCCGGCTAATTTTTGTATTTTCAGTAGAGATGAGGTTTCACCATATTGGCCAGGCTGGTCTCGAACTCCTGACCTCATGATCCACCCACCTCGGCCTCCCAAAGTGCTGGGATTACAGGCGTGAGCCACCACGCCCGGGCCAGAACATTTCTTTAACACCAAAAAGAAACTTTATACTGTTATCAGTCACTTCCAATTTCCTCCCATCTCCACCTCACTTCCCATTCCCTAGCAAACACTAATCTGCTTTCTGTCTATGGATTTGCCTATTCTGGACATGTCATACATGGAATCATATAGTATCTGGCCTTTCATGTCCAGCTTCTTTCACTGAGCATAATGTTTTTAAGGTTCATCCACATTACAGCCTGCATCAATACTTGATTCCTTCTTATGGATATTATTTCATTGCACAGATACACCACAATTTGTTTACTCATTCACCATTTGATGTATATTGGGTTGTTTCCACTTTGGGGCTATTTTGAATAATGCTAGTATGAAAATTCATGTACAAATTTTTGTGTGAATATGTTTTCATTTCTTCCTTTTTGAGGAACTGCCAAACTTTTCCAAAGTGGCTGCACTAATTTACAATCCCACCAGCAATATATGCAGGTTCCAATTTCTCCACATCCTTGGCAATATTTTTAGTGTCTGTCTTTTTTATAAATCCATCCTAGTGGGTGTAAAGTATTTCTCATTGTGGTTTTGGCTTGTGTTTCCCTACTGACATGATGTTGAACATCTTTTAATGTGCTTATTGGCCATTTGTATATCTTTTTTCGAGAAATGTCTATTCAAACTCCTTGCCTGTTTTAAAATTGGGTTATTTTTGAAGTGTAAGAGTTCTTTATATGTTCTGGACACTAGATCCTTATCAGATATATCATTTGCAAACATTTTCTTCCATTCTGTAGATTGTTTTTTCACATTCTTGATAGTGTCTTTGGATGCAAAACTTTTAATTTCGATGAAGTCCAATTACCTATTCTTTTGTTGTTTATGTTTTGCTGTCATACGTAAGAAACTGTTGCCTAAGTCTTAAACCCGAAAAACTTTACATTTGTTTCCCTTTAAGAGGTTTTAAAAATTAGCCAGGCGTGGTGGCGGGTGCCTGTAGTCCCAGCTACTCGGCAGGCTGAGGCAGGAGAATGGTGTGAACCCGGGAGGCAGAGCTTGCAGTGAGCGGAGATCGCACCACTGCACTCCAGCCTGGGTGACAGAGCGAGACTCCGTCTGAGAAAAAAAAAAAAAAAGAGTTTTTAAAGTTTTAGCTCTGACAAAATTTAGATTGTTGATTTATTTTGAGTTAATTTTTCTATATGGTGTAAGATAGTGGTCCAAATTCATTCTTTTGCATTTTGTACTAGGATAGCTAGTTATTCCTACGCCATTTGTTGAAAAGACTGTTCTTTGTCCATTGAATGGTCTTGGCACCCTTACTGAACATCTATGTATGGGTTTCTTTGTGAAGTCTCAATTCTATTCCACGGATTTATGTCTATCCTTATGCCAGTACCACTCTGTGTTGATTGCTGCAGTAAGTTTTGAAATTGGGAACTGTGTGTCTCCAATTATGTTCTTTAAAAAAAACTGTTAGGCTATTCAGGGTTCCTTGCATTTCCATATACGTTTTAGAACCAGCTTTTCCATTTCTTCAAAAGAAAGCCATTGGAATTTTCATAGAGAATTGCATTGAATTTGTAGATCTATTTGGGGAGTTCTTTCATCTAAACAATATTTTCCAATCCAAGACACAGGATGTCTTTCCATTTATTTAGGTCTTCTTTTTTTTTTTTTTTTGACAGAGTCTTGCTCTGTCACCCATGTTGGAGTGCAGTGGCGCGATCTCGGCTCACTGCAAGCTCTGCCTCCCGAGTTCATGCCATTCTCCTGCCTCAGCCTCCCGAGTAGCTGGGACTACACGCGCCCACCACCACGCCTGGCTAATTTTTTTGTATTTTTAGTAGAGACAGGGTTTTACCATGCTGGCCAGGATGGTATCGATCTCCTGACCTCGTGATCCGCCTGACTCGGCCTCCCAAAGTGCTGGGATTACAGGCGTGAGCCACCACACCCGACCAGGTCTTTTTAATTTCTTTCAATGATGTGCTGTGGTTTTCAGTATATAAATCTTACACTTCTTTGGTTAAATTTATTATTAAGAATTTATGTTTGTTGGTGCTATTGTAAATGAAATTGTTTTCATTTCATTTTCTGATTTTTCATTGCTAATTTATAGAAATACAACTGATTTTTGTATATTAATCTCATATCCTGCAACTTTGCTGATACTAATTAGCTCTAATAGTTTTTTGTAGGTTTTTTAGGGCTTTCTACCTATATAAGATTATGTCATTTGCAAATAGAGATTGTTTTACCTTTTTCTTCCCAATCAGGATGTCTTTTTCTTTTATTTTCTTCACTAATTGCCCTTCCAGTACAATATTGAATGGAAGCAGTGAGACCAGACATCCTTGACTTGTTCCTAATCTTAGGGGGAAAGTGTTCAGTCTTTCACCATTAAATATGATGTTGACTGAGGGTTTTTCATAGATGCCCTTTATCAAGTTGAGGAAGATCCCTTATATTTCTAGTTTGTTGAATGTTTTATCATGAAAGAATGCTGGATTTTGTCAAATGGTATTTCCTGCATCTATTGAGATGTTACTCAATAGTAACAAATTTTACTCAATTCTATTAATATGGTGTGATATACTGATTTTCATATTTTGAATCAACTTTCCATTCCTGGGATAAATTCCACTTGGTCATAGTGTGCAATCCTCTTTCTATACTGCTCAATTTGGTTTGTAAGTATTTTGTTGAGGACTTTTGCATCTCTATTTACAAGGGATATTGGTCCGTAGTTTTCTTATGATGTCTGGCCTTGGTATCAATGTAATATTGGCCTCACAGAATGAGTTATGAAGCATTCCCTCCCCTTCCATTTTTTGGGAGAATTTGAGAAGAATTGGTGTCAAGTATTCTTTAAATGTTCAGGAGAATTCAATAGGGAAGCCATCTGATCCTCGACTTTTCTTTGTTGGAAGTGTTTCTTGATTACTAATGCAATCTCTTCATTGTAGGTCTATTCATGTTTACTATTTTTCCTGAATCAGATTTGGTATTTTGTGTGTTTCTAGAAATTAATACAATTCATCTAGTTACCTAATATGTTGGCATACAATTATCTATTGGAATACAATAAGTATTCCCTTATACTCCTTTTTATCTGTAAGGCCAGCAGAAATGTTCCTTCTTTCATTTCTGATTTTAGTAATTTGAGTCTACTCTCTTCCTTTCTTTGGTCTATCTAGAGATTTGTCAATTTTGTTGATTTTTTTTTTTTTTTGAGGGAATGAGAGAACCAGCTTTTAGTTATGTTGGTTTTCTTTGACCCCTTAATTACTCAGAAGTGTAATTTCCACATATTTGTGAATTTCTCAGTTTTCTTCCTATTATGGATTTGTTGCTGGTTTTGTTTTTTTTTGTTGTTGTTGTTTGTTTGTTTTAGACAGAGTTTCGCCCTTGTTGCCCAGGCTGGAGTACAGTGGCACAATCTCAGATCACTGCAACCTCCACTGCCTCCCGGGTTCAAGCAATTCCCCTTCCTCAGCCTCCTGAGTAGCTGGGATTACAAGCGCCTGCCACCACAGCTGGCTAATTTTTGCATTTTTAGTAGAGACAGGGTTTCTCCATGTTGGCCAGGCATGTTTCGAACTCCTGACCTCAGGTGATCCACCCACCTTGGCCTCCCAAAGTGCTGGGATTACAGGTGTGAGCCACTGCACCCGGCCCCTATTATTGATTTCTAATTTCATTCCTTTGTTGTTGGAAAAAACACTGTGTATGATTTTAATTTTTTAAATTTTATTGAGGTTTGTTTATGGTCTAACACATGTTCTATCCTGAAGAATGTTCCATGTGCAGCTGAGAAGAATGTGTATTCTACTATTGTTGAGTAGAGTTTTCTTTAGATGTGTTAGGTCTAGATAGCTTATAATGTTGTTCAAGGCTTCTGTTTCCTTGCTGATCTTCTGCCTAGTTGTTTATGCATTACTGAAAGTGGGGTACTGAAGTTTCCAATTTTTGACATTTCTAAACTATTTCTCCATTCTGTCCGTTTGTGCTTCATGTATTTTGGGGTTCTGTTGTATACGTTATATATGCTTAGAATTGTCATATATTCTTGATGCCTTGATATTTCATCCTTCTTTGCCTCTAGTAACAACATTTGTTTTAACATTTATTGTGTCTCATATTAGTATCTCCACTCCAGCTTTTAGTTACCGTTTATATGGAATATCTTTTTCCATCCTTTTACTCTCAACCTATTTGTATATTTGATTCTAAAATGAGTCTCCTATACACGGCATATAAATGGATCATGTCTTTTTTTATCTATTCTGCTAAAAGCCTCCCTTTAGCATTTCTTGTAGGGAAAGTCTGATAGCAACATACTCTCTGTTTTGTTTATCTGGGAATATCTTAATTTCTCCTTCATTTTTGATGGCTAGTTTTGCTAGATATAGAATTTTTAGTTGATGACAGGTTTTTTTCTTTCAGTACTTTGACTAGGTAATCACATCACACTGCCTTCTGACCTCCATAGTTTCTGAGGATAAATCAGCTGTTAATCTTATAGCAGATCTCTTGTATGTGATGAGTTGCTTTTGCTGCTTTCAAGATTTTTCTCTTTGGCTTTGGCTTTTGACAGTTTGATTATATGTCTAGGTATAAATCTCTTTGAGTTTATCCAACTTGGAGTTTGTTGAATTTTTTGGAAGTGTAGATTAAGTTTTTCATCAATTTTGGGCAACGATTGAGTATTAAATTCTCTAATATTCTTTCTGCCCTTTTCTTTCACTTCTCTCTCCTTCTAGAACTTCCACTATGCTTATATTGGTATGCTTTATGGTGTACCCCAGGTGTCTGAGACTATTTGCTTTTCTTAAATTTTTTTCTTTCTCAGTTTAGATAATCTCAGTTGATCTATTCTTTTTTAATCTGTTTCTGCTAACTCATATCTGTTATTGAGCACTTCTAGTAAATTTTTCATTTCAGTTATTGTACTTTTCAACTCCATCAATTTCTATTTGTTTTCTTTTTATAATTTCTATTTCTTTATTGATAGTCTCTATTTGTGAGACATCATTCTCATACTTTAGTTCTTTAAATGTGGTCTCCTCTGAATATATTCAAAATAGCTGATTTGAAGTTTTTGCCCAGAAAGTCCAACATCTGAGCCTCTTCTGGACATTTCCTACTGATTACTTTTATCCTGAGTGTGGGACATTCTTTCTTGTTTCTTTTTATGTCTTGTAAATTTTTGTTGAAACTGGGCATATTAAATAATATAATATGGCAAGTCAGGGAATCAGATTTTCTCACTTTCCTCAGGGTTCATTGTTGCTGATTATGGTAGTAGTTATTGTTTGGCAACTTTTCTGAACCAGTCCCATAAAGCTATATTCTCTGTTGTGTGATGTCACTGCAGTCTCTGTTTGGTTAATTGAGTGGTCAGCTAATAATTGCACTGAAATTTCCTTAAATGCCTTGAGCCAAAAAAATATCTGTCTTTGCTGAGGAGCTTCGTGTGTATGTTAGGGCACATCTTCAGCACTCAGGCAGGCAGTTGCAACTCTGCCTTAGCCTTCACTTTCTGCTTGTGCAGAGCTTCAAGGTCAGCCAGAGGTGATAGCCTAGGGCCTTCTTGGGGCTTTCCCGAGCATGCACAGAGCCCTATGCTATGTGTGTGGCCGTCTAGAGTCCAAGAAATATGTTGTTTTTCAAAGCCCATATGAACATCTTTCCCCAGCCTTTTCTCTCAAACTTTTTCATTAGTCTACTGTTTGCCCCAACTGTTATCCATCATCCCTGCCAGCAGCAACTGAAACATTTGCCTGTAAATGTTTCAATAAATGCCACTTGTGTGGCAGCTTTAGCACTGGACAAGTTCTGAGTCAACTTAAATAAAGAGAAGCCTTTCTGGCTGATCTTCCAGGAAGCCACCAGGCAGGTCAAGTAATTCTTTATGAATGAAACCCATTCTGCTCCCTCAGGTGCCTGGATTGTGGACTGTTATTTTTAAGGCAACTGCTGAGTTGGGGAGTGGGAATGGGAGCAAGGTATATTAAAATGCCACCAAGCTCACTGTTATTGCTGAGATTCAGCTGTTTTTCTTGAATAGGCATTCCTCAGCTTGCTTCAAGACTTTAGTTTATTTCTTGAGTTCTGAAAAAGTTGATTCAGACAGTTTTTGTCAGTTTTTACATTGCTTTTTTGGAGGGGTGAAATTTCAGAGTTTCTCATCTGACATCACTCCTTAGTGAAAAACTTTTAATGAATAGATGCAGCAGAAGTAATGCTGAATGTCTTCCAAGGTTAGGTTGAAAAAGATGATGCAATTTCCACCTGGCTGTCTCTTGAAACACTTATCCTTGGAATAAGTGACAAATGGTGACAGCCATCATTTTGGAAGAATGCCCAGAATATATGGATAGGCTACATGATTGTGTTTGAGACAACAGCCCAGCTACAGTCTAAGCTAATGGCCAGTATTAATTACCAGACATGAGTGAATGAGCCTTCAGTGGATTCTAGTCCCTTTCCATTAAGTAGCCCTAGCTAAGTGGAGTAGGGATAAGTATACCCCTATCGAACCCTGCTCAAGTTGCAGTTTCATGGATAAACTCAATGTTATTGTTTTACACTATTAAGTTTTGGAGTGTTTTAAAATACAGCAATAGGTAAATAGGAAATTGGAATACAGTCAGCGTATTACTCAGGGTTCCCTAGAGGGACAGAACTAATATAGGAGCTTATTAAGTATTAACTTACATGATCACAAAGTCCCACAATAGGCCATCTGCAAGCTGAGGAGCAAGGAGAGCCAGTCCGAGTCTCAAAACTGAAGAACCTGGGAGTCCAATGTTTGAGGGCAGGAAGCATCTGGCACAGGAGAAAGATGTAGGCTGGGAGGCTAGGCCAGTATCTCCTTTTCACATTTTTCTGCCTGCTTTGTATTTGCTGGCAGCTGATTAGATTGTGCCCACAAGATTAAGGGTGGGTCTGCCTTCCCCAGCCCACTGACTCAAATGTTAATCTCCTTTGGCAACACCATCACAGACACACCCAGGATCAATACTTTGCATCCTTCCATACAATCAAGTTGACCCTCAGTATTAGCCATCATTGTCAGGTACCTGAAAGAGGTGTGCTGCTGTAACCCAAAATCTCAATTATAGGTACTGGCTTTGGGTGCAAGCTTGAAGGACCTCAAACGGATTGTTAATTAAAGTCAAAATGGTCTTAAAGATACTCTTAGCAGAAACTTGATGGCCCTCAAGGAGGCTGTTGGGATTACAGGGATTACAGGAACTTGAAAAATGTTATTGGAAACTGGAGAGAAGGGGACCATTATTACATGGGAATGAAAGTTGAACTTCATTGTTTGTTTCAATAACATGAAAACTAGGAAATTTACACAATGAATTGGATGTTCTAGCTAAGAAGATTTCCGGGCAAAATGTTCAGTTTCTTATTTAGGTCCTTTTGGCTGCTTACAGTAAAAGCAAAAGAAGAAAGAAGTGCTGAAGAACGACTGTTAAATATAAACTAACAAGCGCTTGCTGGTTTGGAAAAGAAAATTGTCTCTCATTGCCAGCTTTTCCAGATGGCAAATGTTGCTAAAATTAAGAAATGGATTTGGGACAGAGTTCAAATCTAGGAGGGCTGTTAGGAAAACATGGTATATAATTGCAGTCCAACATATGACTGTAAGACTTTTGGTAAGACTTCAGAAAGATTTAAGATGGTGCCTCTTAAGAGTATGCCTTACAGATCCTCTCTATTAAACAATAGGGCTCCTAAGGATCTTATGGTTGTTGTCCCACAGAACCTTGTAGGAAGCCCAAGAAGAATAACTTACCTTGACAAGACTTGTGAGTGCAGCTTTTGTCTAATGGATTGAATCTCGATAAGACTCATAGAAAACCAACAAAGTTTTTAAGAAAATTGTATCAGCAAACACTGCCAGCTTGAACTGAAAGAGACTGAGACACTACAAAATGATAGGAAAGTTTTGGCTCTCAAAACTACTAAGTTCAGGAAGCAGGCTGAGAAATCTACTTGGTAGCCTCATAGACCATTTCTTATGTGCAAGGCAGGATGACTCTCAAATTCAAGAAAAGATGACAAAAAGCCCAGAGGGAAGAGCCAAGAGCTGTAGGGAATCATTCCCAGGCAGTAGGACTAAGCACTAATCAAGAAACTGGCAACATGTGCCCTGCCAGATTTTTAAAAGTCTATGGAGCAATAACTTCTGTGTACTTCATTTTCCACCTTTTTGAATGGATCTAAAGCAGTTTTCGTGCCCCACCATTGTATACTGAGGGAGGGGAGAGAAGATTTCTTTGTAGTTCACAGGTCTTCACATCAAGAACTGTACTTCAGGAGCTGTACTTAGGGAATCACATCCAAGGAGCCTCAGCTGCCTCTGGATCTGATTTAGATGGTGAAATCTTTGAACTTAAACCTGGTTCTGATACTGTTAAGAGTCTTCAGGGAGGTTTGAATATGTTCTGCATGAAGCAGGAATGTAAATAATGTGTGACAGACTGTGATTGCTATAAACATGTTTGCAAATTCTTTGACACTCTTCTTCTCCCCTTAAATATGGGCCAGCTTTAATGACTTGCTTTTAATGAATAGAATAAGATAGAATGTTGATGTATGACTTCAACTTCTGAGGCTAGATTTTAAAAGGTGATAGCATTTTTACTTAGTTCTCTCTCTTGGGATGCTTGCTCTTGGAATCTGGCCATGTTGAGAAGAATCCCAGGCTATACGGAGAGGCCATGTGCAAGTGTTTAGCTAACGACCCCAGTTATCATCCTAGCTGATGGCTAGCATCAACTGCCAGACAAATGAGTGAATGAGCTTTCAGATAATTCCAGCCCCAGCATTTAAGTGGCCTCAGCTAATGCCTAATGGAGCAGAGGTGAGCTGTCCCTCCTAAGGCCATACTAGTTTGCAAGTACGTTGGTAAAATAAATGTTGTCATTGTTTTTAAACCACTATATTTGGAGCTGGTTTGTCACACAATAGATAATTGGAACAAAGTGGTGGTTTTAATTTGCATTGCCCTGATTAATGATATTGAATATCTTTTCATATGACAATTGGCCACTTACATATCTTCTTTTACATATCTTCATTTGTTCAAATTTTTGCTTTTTTATTCCAGATACAAGTCTTTTTTAAAGAAATATATATTTGAAGACATGTATTCTCCCAGTCTGTGGCTTGCCTTTGCATTTTCTTAATGTTGACTTTAGAAGAGGTTTTAAATTTTTATAAATTTATCATCTTTTGAGTACCTACAATGATTTATGTACTTTCCCTATATTACGTTTAATCTTCACAACAACTTTCTTAAAAAGGGATTATCATTGCCATTTTGCACATGATGAAACTGAAGGTAAGAGAGGATAATTTGAGAATAAGAAATGAAGTAACACAATAAGGAACAGTATCAGGCATCAGGCATCAAACCTAGGTATGCATGATGTCAAAGCATGGCTCTTTTCCTTCTACCATGCAATAAACCTCAGTAAAACTTACATCTGGAACATCCCTCTTTGGCTTACTAATTATGACCCTGGAGAAGTCACTAAACTTTTAGGAAGAGGCCTCGGTTTCTTTTTCTATAAGATCAAGAAAATGATACCCATGTCATAGAAGCCCTATGAGGATGGTTGTGTATGAAAAAGCATTGTAAACTCTCAAGTCCCTCATAAATGCTTATGTCTTGATCAAAACTATACTAAAGAATTGGTTTATCCCCATAGTACTTCCCCATAATTTTGGGAAAATTTGATAGCTTCTCTTTCCCTTTTTACCCCATAAAAATTCTATAAATATATTATTTTGCCTCCCCCTTTATACATCAGATTACTCTTAAATTTAATAAGGAAAAAAAGTCACATTTTTACTCAATATTCCTTCCAAAAGTCTGGCCTACTTTCCTCTTATGTTTACAACCAAAAAGTGCTCTATGGCCTTTTAAGATGTTAGTAAACAGACAGCTGGTCTCAAATGACCAAGAAACCATAAATGAGCACTGGCAGGTCTAACATGCCAACAGGCCCTCCTCAGACAGAGTTCACATCCCACCTGCACCTGGATGGGCCAGAGCAAGGCTGTCACAGCCAGATCCAACACCTGTTTGCTCACAGAAACACATTATCTCCCTTGCTATAGGGTGGTGGTGGACGGTGGGTGCTATCGCAGGTCAAGGTTATGCTGTGGGTGAGACTCCACAGCTTGAGGAGGTTCCATACCATGAGTGCAGGAAGACACTGATACTCGCCAGCATGTGCCCCTTTTCTACAGTTATCTTCCTCTAGATTCTGAAAAATAGAACACACTGCTTGGTGTTAAATTTCTTTGAGATTAATACAAAAATGCTTGCTTAACTAAACTTGCTTTCTCTCTAAACCTGCTGTTTCCTTAAATCATCCCTGGGCATATGCAGTACTTTGGACCAAAAATCCGTAAGTATTTAGGGTTAGTGAGTTGACTCTATCATTAAAAAATAATTTATTTTGGGTTATTGTTTTTCTAGCATTCACTTTTAGTAAGCCAAGGGATAATTTTAGTGTGCTTTTTACATATTTTATAAATCTACCTTGTTTCCAATAGTTTCTAGTTTAAATTGAACCATTTTCCATGAACATTTTTAGGTCAAAGATGGTTGAATATCAGCAACTTCATATAATTTCACCTAATTACATTGTGAATAGGAAGTGATGTTCTCTCCTTAGATTAAAGGGTGTTGGTATAAACACCCAGTTTAGTTCTGTATTTCTACTTATCCTTTGATGCTTTTTCTTTAGTTCTCCCCAACATAATATTTAATTTTTATTAAGATCTCTGCGCCCCTTTCTCTGCCTCACCCCATCGTAGCTTAACAATTATTTCAATCTCTCCTAGAAATAGTTTATAAATACATTGGTTTTTAGTAGTTCAGAAATGTCACCAAATCACACCACCTTTCAAGCCTAAAAAAGCGGTATCCACCATTAGAAGAAAGCAGCTTTTCTTTCATTTCCTTCTTGATCATTGAGCTGAGATGTTTTAGAAGGTATCATTTATAAACTAAGATGACTTAGAACCAGCATCCACCTTTCAGAGGATATAAATACTCTTTCGTTCCACATATGGTCCCATCTGGTGGTTCTATACACAAACCATGCCTCTTGGTCTGGCTTCCATTTATAAAATTTGGCATATGAGAAATACAGAACTGTGGTTCCAGGTCTGGCTCTCCCAGTGTTTAGAAAACACATATCTACACCTCCACACCCTGGCAGTGGCCCAGGCCTGACCATGCATTCAGAATTTGAGGGAAAGGGTTTGCCTTGGAAAACCTCTAGTGAGGCAGTCTTTTTTGTGATATGATCTGACTCCTCTGTAGAGCTTCTTACTTCCTAACAGCGTCCACTAAAGATCTGCAGGGGGCCGGGCATGGTGGCTCACGCCTGTAATCCAATCCCAGCACTTTGGGAGGCCAAAGTGGGTGGGTCATCTGAGGTCAGGAGCTCGAGACCAGTCTGGGTAATATGGTGAAACCCCATCTCTACTAAAAAAAATACAAAAATTAGTCGGGTGTGGCGGCACTCGCTTGTAGTCCCAGCCACTTGGGAGGCTGAGGCAGGAGAATCACTTGAACCCAGGAAGCGGAGGTTGCAGTGAACCGAGATCACGCCACTACACTACAGCCTGGGTGACAAGAGTGAAACTCTGTCCCCCAAAAAAAAAATCTACGGTGCATAAATGTCTCAGAGGAACAGAGGAACACCTAAGTTGTCAATATATCCCTTGCCATCAAGGAGAGCCATTGATTCCTTGTGTGTCAAATTCAAAGTTCATTGATCTGCAAGAAGATCCATCATCAGTCTCCATTACCAAAGCAGTAAGATTCTCTTAGTAACTCCTTTCATCCATATATGGAGTGCACAACTCTAGCTATCAAAAGTATCTTAGCAATTTTTTAGTACCACAGAGGGTGGATTGTGCTGGGGATCTGCAGAAAGTCTTCCTGTGTGGCTTCAGAATAACATCATTCACGACTTTCTCTACCATTTTTCTTTTTATATCAGGGGAGAATCAAAATGTGATACTAAGGAGAATGATCAGGAGGCCCTCCGTATGTTTCATTGTTTCTTACTTGGGCAGCTGCAAAGGTTGAGATCTTAGTGTTGATTTAACTAAGATCTTTCCTCCTCCTCCTTCTTCCTGCCTTCTTCTACACTGTCATCTTGCCAGTGGCTCATGTCAACCAAGTCGGAACCAGCCAATGAATCTAATTCATTAGCTCACGGCAATGCAAAATAGCACTGTTAACTCAAAGCAATTAAGAAGACTGGGTCACACGGTTGTTAACTGTGTCAGAGAAAAATTTCGTGAAGAAATAAATCTTGAGTATGACCTTGGATGTGCAGTGATATACTTTGGATATTTGTCCCTGACCAAACCTCATGTTGAAATGTAATCCCCAATATTGGAGGTGGGGCCTAGTGGTAGATGTCTGGGTCATGAGGGTGGATCATGACCCAGCAGGCACCAAGTGACATGGCTGCTCCTGCTTTGCCTTCCACCATGGGAAAAGCTCCCTGAGGCCTCCCCAGAAGTCAGGCAGATGCTGGCACCATGCTTGTACAGCCCACAGAACTGAGAACCAATTAAACCTCTATTCTTTATAAATTACCCAGTCTCAGGTATTTCTTCATAGCAATGCAAGTACAGAATGTACATGAAACTGGTAAAACTCATTGACTTAGAGATGTGTTCATCAACTGTAACTGAGCAGATTATTTACATTAAATAACTAGCTAAAAAAGAAATACCATCCAATCAGACAAACAGCAGCCTAACAACAAAACTGTATTAGGACAATGGTGATGTTTTATTTATCCTGGCAGATTCCATTATGCCTCACCACAGAAAGCATCTATTACCTACTTATTGAATAAACACAGTACTAATCATTGGTAGAGGGTCTGAGACTGAACAATGTTACCAGTGTTATTCAGCATTGTGTAGTGAGAAGGAAACAGATATTTAATAATCAGATGAATATTCAAAATTCAACATGTGTTACTTGACATTGAACAGGTGATTTTAGCTCTCCAGAGCCTTTCCTGATTTGTAAAATGACATCTCTGAGGACTATTGTGAAGATGAATGAGTAAACATGTGCAAGTTCACTGTTAATGGGGATGAAGGTATAGTATTATTTTGAACACCATTATTAGTTTTGTATGAATATTAGCCATCTCATGATGGGAGTGACTATGTCCTGATAATCCATTGCTTTCTCTCCTAAGGTTTAGGGGAAGTTTTTGCAATTCCCAAATGGTTTTGTCTTTTAAATACAGAAAGCAGAAATTCATAAGTAAATGTGAAGGCAACTAGAGGTTCCAGTTCTTACCCAGTATTTGATTTCTAGGCAGGAACACCAGCCATTTGGGCATTCAGGCACTGGAGAAGTTAATGCCTTTTGTTTCCTTTACATCAAGACTGAAGATATGAGAGATACATTTCCTGGAGTCACAGAGATACATGCAGGTCCAAGAATGAAGATAGGAGGTGGGCCATAAACTGACATGTTAACTGAAAGTTCTACTCTTTCAAAAAATTGGCAAATAAATAATATCCTGTAATGGCTATGAAATGTTTCTAGTCGGGCTTTTATCGAATGGTACGTAGTATTTCCCAATGTGTTGAGTTTTTAAACACCTAAATACTAAAATCCAAAATAGAACATCCAAATTATTTTACTTTGAAGGGTGGGCTTACTGCTTCTAAGAATCAGTTCTTCTGCTGACTGGTAAACTGATTTTTCTGTTTATATCAACCAGAACTTTAAAGGCCTGAGTGACACACTACAAACAGCAGTATCACGGGGGAATCTTTTTGAGAAATATTGGTCTCTATGATTTAAAAAACATAGCTCTGAGAAGTCCTGTGTTTGGTTTGCCCAGGCTGGAGTGCAATGGCGTGATCTTGGCTCACGGCAACCTCTGCCTCCCAGGTTCAAGCGATTCTCCTGCCTCAGCCTCCCCTGTAGCTGGAATTACAGGCATGCGTCACCAAGCCTGGCTAATTTTGTATTTTTAGTAGAGACAGGATTTCTCCATGTTGGTCAGGCTGGTCTCGAACTTCCGACCTCAGGTGATCCGCCCGCCTTGGCCTCCCAAAGTGCTGGCATTTACAGGCATGAGCCACCACGCCCGGCTGGTTCACTTTTATAGTTTGTGACAACGTGGGAGGGAGAAGTTCTACTTGGTAATGACAGTGGTAGCTGTCACTGAGTGACAGTCAAAGTGATGATTCTGAACTTTGGTGTTCTATGTATACTTGACATAGGACCACTGGTGTGCTGGAGCAATGAGAGGTGAGTGTGCACAATTCTTCCCAACTCTGCTTTTGGTGACATCATTTTGGTAGCTTGCAGTCAGCCACAGCGAGAGCATTTACATCATAGAAATTGGCAAATGCTACAAATTAGGTACCTGTGCACATAACCACCCCCAACCCTTGCCTGGAAAACCAGTTGTTAAACACTGACTGACACATCATTGCATCGGAATAAATTTTTTTTTTTTGTTTTTTGAGACAGTGTCTCACTCTGTCACCCAGGCTGCAGTGGTGCAATCTCAGCTCACTGTAACCTCTGCCTCCGGGTTCAAGTGGTTCTCTTGCCTCAGCCTCCTGAGTAGCTGGGACTACAGGTGCACACCACCGTGCCTGGCTAATTTTTTTATTTTTAAGTAGAGACGGGGTTTTGCCATGTTGGCCAGGCTGGTCTCAAACTCCTGGCCTCAAGTGATCCACCCGCCTTGACCTCCTAAGTGTGGGGATTATAGGTGTGAGCCACTGCGCTCGGCCCAGACTAAACTTCTTGAATGCTATTCTTACTGATATTGAGTCTATGATTCTTAAAGTCCAAGAGGGTACAGTTGTTAACAGGTTGTTTGAAGTCTTAAAATTTTAATCTAAAATACCACTAATATCTTCCTGGATCTGTATCAGCAGAAGTACTTCAATCTTAGGTATCCTAGTTCCCCAGAATCCCAGCCTTCACTGTAATATATTTGGTGCTGGTCTAATGCCCTAAGGTTCTCAGTCTCTAAGACAGTTTGACTCTTCTGGAAATCAAAGGCTGTTCTATAGAAAACAGACAGTTTGATTAAAAAACATTCTATTGATGCCAAATGTTTGTTTGAAAATTCTCTCCAGGAGAAGGCTCTTCCAGAAACTGTATACAGATCAGAGATGCCAATGAGACTCAGGCTCATTTAAAAATTGTGTCAACTGACAAGGCTAAAAATGAAGACTCCCTTAGTATTCCAAGAGCACTGAGAAAATTTCCAGTTTAATTAGTTAAATGCTGTCATTACATTGATACATACATATTGCTCTCTTATTTGTGTCATTATGTATTTTTGTGCTTCTATCTTGTTATTTGATGTTTGTACTGATCATTCTCCAGGTTCGGGATTCTCATTCTTGTGTAGCTCATCACATTTCTTACTACAGGGCTACCCATGTCACAGATAGACAATAAATGTTGTGGGAGATAGTAATGAGTTTTTAAAAGACTTCCATAGAATAAGATTCACTCGGTAACCCACTTCAGTTTACAAGATTGTTCCTCATTCCTTGCCCAAATCCCTCACACTGAGGCTTATATCCATTTATTGTTTGGAACGCAGGGGAGATAGAGAACAGCTGATCACCATCTTCCACATAATCGCCCTTCATATTTGTATCTGGGTGGAGCTTACATTCAAGACAGAAGCTTAGGGCCCAGTATGAGACTGGCTGAATAGGCTTTGTTCTTTAAAAATGTTAAAACTGCCATCACTCGGCCTACTGCTCTTTTAAATGAGTTTTCTTTTTTCCTACACCAGTTTCAGCGGTTTTCCAGGGTAGGAAGACCAAGTGACTAGACATCTGAATAAGCATTAATATGTTTTGCAGTCTTCATTCAGCTCACAACCCTTCAATATCATTTTGTTCCACAATAATTCAGGTCAATTCTTGAAACACAGTATGAGACATGTTATCAATGCCTTTAGCCCTGAAGAAGTCCAGCTTAAGTAGGCTTTTCCCAAAATCGTGTATTGCTTCTTACCTTACTAGTCATATGCACCATTTTCACTCTGGTTTTTAATGAACAGTTTACCTGAAATAAATTGGCAATAAAATTTATTAACATTTTTTGTTCTCGTATCATTTTGAACTTTGCTTTTCATTTTTTTTTTTAATTTATTGATTGATTGATTTATTGATCATTCTTGGGTGTTTCTCGCAGAGGGGGATTTGGCAGGGTCATAGGACAATAGTGGAGGGAAGGTCAGCAGATACACAAGTGAACAAAGGTCTCTGGTTTTCCTAGGCAGAGGACCCTGCGGCCTTCCGCAGTGTTTGTGTCCCTGGGTACTTGAGATTAGGGAGTGGTGATGACTCTTAAGGAGCATGCTGCCTTCAAGCATCTGTTTAACAAAGCACATCTTGCACCGCCCTTAATCCATTTAACCCTGAGTGGACACAGCACATGTTTCAGAGAGCACAGGGTTGGGGGGTAAGGTCACAGATCAACAGGATCCCAAGGCAGAATAATTTTTCTTAGTACAGAACAAAACGAAAAGTCTCCCATGTCTACTTCTTTCTACACAGACACGGCAACCATCCGATTTCTCAATCTTTTCCCCACCTTTCCCCCCTTTCTATTCCACAAAACCGCCATTGTCATCATGGCCCGTTCTCAATGAGCTGTTGGGTACACCTCCCAGACGGGGTGGCTGGCCAGGCAGAGGGGCTCCTCACTTCCCAGTAGGGGCGGCCGGGCAGAGGCGCCCCTCACCTCCCGGACGGGGTGGCTGGCCTCGCGGGGGCTGACCCCCCACCTCCCTCCCGGACGGGGTGGCTGCCGGGCGGAGACGCTCCTCACTTCCCAGATGGGGTGGCTGCCGGACGGAGGGGCTCCTCACTTCTCAGACGGGGTGGCTGCCAGGCAGAGGGTCTCCTCACTTCTCAGACGGGGCGGCTGGGCAGAGGCGCTCCTCACATCCCAGACGGGGCGGCGGGGCAGAGACGCTCCTTACTTCCTAGATGGGATGGCGGCGGGGAAGAGGCGCTCCTCACTTCCCAGACTGGACAGCCAGGCAGAGGGGCTCCTCACATCCCAGACGATGGGCGGCCAGGCAGAGACGCTCCTCACTTCCCAGACAGGGTGGCGGCCGGGCAGAGACTGCAATCTCGGCTCTTTGGGAGGCCAAGGCAGGCGGCTGGGAGGTGGTTGTAGCGAGCCGAGATCACGCCACTGCACTCCAGCCTGGGCACCATTGAGCACTGAGTGAACGAGGCTCCGTCTGCAATCCCGGCACCTCGGGAGGCCAAGGCTGGCGGATCACTCGCGGTTAGGAGCTGGAGACCAGCCTGGCCAACACAGGGAAACCCCGTCTCCACCAAAAAAATAGGAAAACCAGTCAGGCGTGGCGGCGTGCGCCTGCAATCGCAGGTACTCGGCAGGCTGAGGCAGGAGAATCAGGCAGGGGGGTTGCAGTGGGCCGAGATGGCAGCAGTACAGTCCAGCTTCGGCTAGGCATCAGAGGGAGACGTGGAGAGGGAGAGGGGGAGAGGGAGGGGGAGGGGAGGGGAGGGGGAGGGGGAGGGGATATGTTTGATCTTATTCCTGCTATCTTATTGTATGTCTTCTTCTTGTTTCCAGAGAAGACAATAGTGGGTAGGATGAAAAAGTAGAGCCAAGTTGAACAGTAATGCTGCTGCTGCTAATGATGATGATGATGATGATGATGATGATTTGGGGGATGGAGGAAAATAAAGAGGATAGAGGATTGAAAGATGATTCCTTGATATAAAGCTTGGTCAACTGATAAACGAAAGGAATAAAAGCCTTCTTTTGCTTGTTTTTGTAATGGTAGAGATGATAAGTTTAGTTTAAGTCCTTTCAAGTCCTTATGGCATATAAGTAGAGACATGCCACAAAAGCAGTTGGATATCAAATCTGCAGCTTATGAAAGTTTTCATCTACATATCCATGGTTCTACAGGAGAATCTGAATGTTGCCTTTGCCATTCCAACTGAACTGGCATTCAACTCTGAGATCCCTTGGTTGGTCTTGTCTCCACATTCCCATATCCCGAAGTCAGCAGTTTTATATGCAGCTTCAATGTAAAACACAAGGTTCTGTATGAAATTGACTTCATCTAGGCTGTGGATGATATGGAGTCCTGAGGCAGTCATTTGGGCTAAGAAGAGCAGGTACACAGAGGTAGCATCCAACTGCAGGTGTCCCCATTGATCATCACCCACTACAGTGGCACAGGTTTTGGTGTTGTACTTTGCATGGAGGCTATCCTTAGTACTCTGACTATATTTGAAGGATTCTACTTTATCCACCTGTCTGATCATGCAGTGCAGTAGTCCTCTCATCAGCTTCACTACACTCTGCTCCAATTCATAGGCCTTTGCCTTATCCTCATCCCGGTCTGCATTCTTCCGATAGGCCAGGCCCAAACCCCACACAGCCAAGATGCTGTACACATTATCTCGGACCCAAGCATCTTTCTGAACATAGCTGGCTGGAAGCAAGCCAGTCACTGGATTCTGATGGCACAGGATGGCCTGTTGCACCAGTCGAGCGTAGCCGTCCAGCCGGACCCCGGAGTTACTCCGGCTCCTCATGGCGACATGTTACTAATTGTCCTCTGAGAAATAGCCCGGGTGCCACCAGAGCCTTCGGTCCCTAAGGAACAAGTATCCAACGCTGCTCCACCCTCGTGGTGGGACGCCTGAACACCAGGCCCCGCAGAGCCCTCCCACCGCTCAGGCCTGGCGCCGCGGGTTCCGCGTAGCTCTCCGGACTCCGGCGGCCTCAGGGGCCCACCACGCGCCAGCGCTAGCACTGGCTTCCCGCGGTCTAGAGCCCCGCCGCAGCGCCCCAGTCGCCGCTCCTGCCCCCTTAGTCCAGTCCGGCCTCCACGTGTGACTCCTGCATCCTCCCCTCAACCCCGGGAGACCGCCGCGGCCCACAGCCTCCCGCCCGGCCGCCGCCAACAGGTCAACGACCGCTGCGCCGCCTGCTTTTCATTTATCAGACTATTTTCCTTCCTTTTTGAGTCTGTCGAGGCTGGGTGTGGTGGCTCATGCCTGCAATCCCAACGCGTTGGGAGGCTGAGGCAGGAGGATTGCTTGAGGCCAGGAGTTTGAGACCAGCCTGGGCAACATAGCAAGACCCCCATGTCTACAAAAAATAAATTAGAAGAGTCTGCTGTCTAAAGAATGTTGCTTACATATCCTTTGTATTAATTGCAGCTCAGTTCTTAGCAAGGTTTTCTCATTTTATTTCAATAAAGGGTCATAGTTTTATAGAACTTGGTGAAGAAAATGATTATTTTTAATTTTATTCCAACTTCCATATCATGCTCCTTCTTTAGCATCTATTTTTATCAGAAAGAGTACCATAGACCACCAAAATTTTTTCTTAGTATTTACAGGGTTCTGTAAATTTAGGGTGCTTTTGAAATAAGAGATATCATCATCTCCTTCTTGCCCAACAGCCAACAAAATATTTAGCATTCTGAGGAATGCCAAAGAAGTACTAAAGAAAGAATATTTTCCATTTAGGCAAATCATATCTTGCTCCTGAAGTGTAAAATATTTCCAAAATAATACAGAATATAAGACACCCAATAGACTCTATCTTAGAGACAGGATGTGATTGCCTTTATTTTGAAACATGCCTGAAATCTCAGTTTAAAGTATAAACTAAGTTAAAACCTTAGAAATTTCTCCTGAGTAGTGCTCATTTGACACACTCTTCCCAGAAGGTTCTGACAGAGAACAGACACTCTAATTTTTAGAACTCTCTGTTCAAACTCCTGTGTTTGGAAGGCCAGATTACCTAGTTAGAAACAGTACTTTAGTTTTACTTAACTAAAAACAATGTTATTCTCTATTTTACCACATAAAGGATACATTTTGAAAGATATCTGGCTTCTCAATTTAAACTGAAATTTGTAGTATTTTTTTTTTTAAATTGTGGCTTCAATAAAGGAAAAAAGATCAGTGAATGTTTACAGACTACCCAGAAGACAGTTGTTTTAATAATTTCCACAACAGAGTTTACAGAATATAAAATTAGGGTCATATTCAGCTTTTGTTATGAGAAGATGATGTGCTCATGGTTAAGCAAATTTGGTGCATCCCACTGGGTTATGTGTCATTCAGTGAGATGTGTTCTTAGTCTGGGGCCAGATGGTGGATGCAGAAGTCTTTTGCTAGAATACATCTCTATAGAGGAGGATGTCGCATTGGACTTGGTGACCAGGCAGATACTGAATGCAACTCAGTCACGGTATTTAAATCACATTAAGACTGTCTTTTATTTATGGCTCTCCTTGTGATTTTGTCTGGCTTATGTCTAATTCGCTAGCCTCCATGTGGCAATATGATGTGCTACCAGTTCTGCTTTTTATGTTTACCAAAATGAACTCTGCATCCCTGTCAGAGGTATAGTTTCCAGAAAAAATTCATTGTTGCATAAACCTATTAAAATAAAGCATAAACTTAATTAAAACAACACCTTATTTTTACATGCTATTTTTCATCATCTTCATACTGTTCAAACAAATTTTATTAGTGTAAGTGTGGATACTTTTCTGTTGTAATTATATAATTTTAGAGGTGGAAAAACAAGATCAGGTAGTCTTTCTAGTGATAAAGAACTAAATCAATTGTGAATTTAGGGTCTTGTACTGGATAAAGCAGGGCAAAACCCAGGCGCAGACATCAAGTTTTGATACCTGGGTTAGTATTCTTTCCACTACTACTCCCTAGCTTCGCTCTAACAACCACTACACTTAAACATTGCCTTCATCATCATCATTGTCATCATCATCTGACCACGGTAGGACATATCATTTGTTTCTTTTTTAAATCATGAAAAAAGGTCTTCTATTTGCATAATTTTATTCTTCCTATAGTCAGGGGGAAATTATATTTACTCAGTAAAGGAAAAAGCCAACTATGGTTTTATGATTTGGGTGTTTCTCAGTGTTGTAATATCAGAGACAGTAGCTGTGTGAAATCTGTGGCAATGACACATAGAGCTCTTCTCAAAACTGAAGCCTTCTTCCTGCCTTTATCAGTTTTAACGAATGTTTTCTGGAACACCTCCTTCTCCCTCAGCCCTCATCCATAGGAAGCAAAATTTGTTTTTCTTTTCCTGGCTGGCACTTCCAGCATATCCACTGTGTTGAGTCTGAAATTGCTTTCATGGAAGTCTCCTTTCTAACACCCCCTAGTGCTAGTTCTAGAATCTCTGATGTTCTTTTAGAAATTAGATTATCTTTGACCTGTCCAGCTTATCAAATCTCTCATCATGTTCTTGTTCAATTTATCTTTTGTCCTCACCCACACCACTGGCATCAACCTGAAGGACCTGTTATAAGATTAACATTTACCTTTTACAGACATAAAAAGCCCTTTCCTGTAGTAGGAGGTGGCATTATCCAACACAGGTACAACTGTATTTATCACAGTAAGACCTTGGGTCACAGATTCTTAAATTACAATCTTGGTCTTCATAATCCTTGATAATATTGATTTTCTTTAAGCTATCAATATGAAAACGCTTTATTTACTAGAATTAGTTAGGCCAAAGCCCCAGGATAGATGTCTAGTAAAAGGAATCAACTCACTTAAAAGCATATAGGATTTACAATTCTTAAGTCAAATCTCCCCAACAAAGTTATATATTTTCTTTAGAACCAAACAGATAAATGTTTCAGATATCACTCCTAAAGGACCAGTGGGGTTTGTTCATTAAGTTTAGGCCAGTTTGACAAAATCACTCAGCTTTATCTTTTTTTAAGAAATAAAACCTGCACAATGGAAAGTAATCACTTGGGAAATGGTTGGATTTTCATTCCATCATGGTAGTTTTGTAGGTCAATTCTTTTTTTAATTATTATTTTAGTAATTTCATATTAACATCAGTTCCTTTTGTAGAGACTGGACCTTTCAGTGTAAACTAATAACATTTCAACATTTTTGGGTACTGGAATGTAACTAAGACAAGTGGGGGTTCAGAAAGGTAGAACTGTAATGGGGTAAGGGGATAACAATATGGCTGAAAAAAACTTGCCTGCTCTTTATAATAGGAATTTTAAACTATCTCTGACAAGAGTTTAACTTTTAAGAATGAACAACAAAAAAATCAAACAAAAACCAATAAATAACAAATACTAACAACTCCTCTCTAGGTATGGTAATAAACTCTACAATTTGACGCAGAAAAGGGTTAAGACAATCATAGTAATCCCTTGCCAGTGACTGTTTAGGAAAGGGCATCTCTGCTGTGTCTGCCAATGACAATGTGGGAGAGGTCACCCAACGTTATTCTGATTTTTCCTTGCTCTTAAAACTTAAAAATTGATTTTGAGGATTTACTGTTTAAAATTTTCTAAATCAATAGTTACAAAACATACATGCTAAATGTTTAACTGAATTTCTTCCACTCCCAAAGGATAAATATAACAAAGAATATAATATAAGTACAAGAAAGGAGTGACAAATAAATAATGGATTACAGGCAATTATTTAAGAAAGAAGTTCCCTAGGGATATATCAGATTAAGGTCTATAGAAAACAACTCCAATTGAAGGGTTTTAAAATTATGTCATTGGTAGGGGGTAACCCTTTGATAGAAAGCACAGGTGCCTGATTAAAAAAACAAATATCTACCACCTATTGCCACCACAGATTCCAAAGTAGCAATTGCAGAAGCAGCAATTCAGACAAAGAAGTCTTGCTGGTTACCAATCTGATTTAGCTCCAGGATTCTTTCTGGACTAGAGATCAGGGTGAAGAGTCTTCTCTAGAACTTCTTTTCCTGGGACCCCACTCTGGTTCTTGTTTGGCCTACGATGTGGTAGGGATAGGATGAGGTAGAGCTTATGCTTTTATCGGAGACAGGCAGTGTTGAGCTGAACTTACAGGAGATGTAAGCGAGAAATGAAAAGCATAAAGAAACCAGAAAGCACTAAGGTTACAAGAGAGAAAGAACACTCAGCCTAGAAGCAATCACTTTTTAACTTTCTGATAACATGAAAAACTCCACCTTATAACAAACACAATGCCCAACAGCCAGGACCTATTAGCCCTGCTCCTCATAAGGAATGAGAACTGCAGTAGGGTATACTCGCTCTTGGGAGCTGGAGTGTACTGCTAGCTGCCTGCAGGAGAACTGACATTTAAAACACATTTTGCTTGAGATCCTAATAGTAAAGGGCATAGGCTCTGATGCCAGACCACCTGGATTTTTAATTTCGCTTACTATTGATCAGTTACTGAGAAAGTTGGTCTTTATGCCTCATTTTTCTCATTGTAAAAATGCTATTTTCTACTTCACTGGACTGCTGTGAGAATAAAGATTAATATATGTAAAATATTTAGAATGATGTCTGACACATAGCAAGTGCTCAATAAATATTACCTATAATTATAAATTTTATCTCTGTATCATAATGCTATCTGGTTATCGCAAGAAGTTTTGCTTTAAAAGGAAAAACAGAAATGACTGATAGCTGGAGAAGGCAGGGGTCAAAAAAAAGGTTTTTTGTTTTAAGATGGAGGAAAGTAAGTGTGGAGAATGGTTTAACTGGGGTTGGGATTTTGCCAAGAGAGCACAGAAAGTGAGACAGACAAGGGAAGAGTGATTATAAGAGAGTGATCTTGATGACAGACCGACGAATATAATTTGGGTAAGGAACTAAGGGAAAACATGGAGGGGGTGGATGGCAGCTGAGAGTCAGTGAAAAGGTGGTAACATCAATGGACTGTTAGGCCCTGGTGAGGTTGAAGAATTACTGGAGTCAGGGTTTAAGAGACAGTAAAATCAGAAGGATAAGAAGTGGTAGTTCAGAGAGTAGGAATATTGAAACTGAGAAAAAATAGGCTGCAGTTTCATGAAGACAGACAAGGTTTAGAGCATCATGATGAGAGTATGAGGCCAAGAAAGGGTGAAGGCTAAGTTTGTTAGAGACATCCTATGATCTTACATTTCTTACAATGACACAGAAGCCCTACATGACCAGCTCCAAATTACTTCTCTGACTCTATCTCCCACTTTTCCACTTGTTTCTCTCCAGCCACGGTGGCCTTCTTCCGGTTCCTTCAGAACACCAACCATGCTCCTTTGCACTTATCCTTCCTAGAGCCCAATACTTTTCCCCAAGACAATTATACTGCTAATTATATCACCTTCTTTGGTAACTTGCTTTAATGGCACTTTCTCTTGGACGATAAAATCTCAAGATTTAGAATGGGGTAGTGTTGTAGAGAGTAACCGGGAGCTAAAAATGTTCAAGGCTTTGGTATACTGGGGAATTGTCAGTGGTATAGCCTGGAAGCATGAGCTTCAAAGCTGAGGATTTTTAAAGAAGACGAAGAAGAGTTTAGAAATAACAATGAAGAATAAATACTATCAGAACTTTCCTCCCTCTCGTATGAATTAAATTAAATTTACTGTTGTGTCAGCATTACCATTTAGAACCCTTTGGTTTTAGCAGTAACTGCATAAGAAAGTGATTTCCTTTTAAACTGTGTGGGCCCAACACCACACAGCAGACTGTATACTAATGTTCCCAATCACCAATTCAAATAGCCACATTAGCTCCAGTCTTAGACAGAAAGGGGCTGGGGTGATGGCTCATGCCTATAATCCCAGCACTTTGGAGGGCTGAGGAAGGAGGATTGCTTGAGGCCAGGAGTTCGAGATCAGCCTGGGTAACATGGTGAGACCCTGTTTCTAAAAAAAATTTAAAAATTAGCCAGGAGTGGTGGTACATGGCTGTAGGCCCAGCTACTCAGGAGGCCGAGGTGGGAGGATCACTTGAGCTTAGGAGTTTGAGGCTGCAGTCAGCTACGACCATGCTGCACGCAGCACTCCAACCTGGGTGACAGAGTGAGACCTTGTCAAAAAAAAAAAAAAGAAAAAAGGAAGGGAGGGAGGTAGAAGGGCAAGGACAAGGGCATTTGCCTGCCCTATCAGAAGAGAAAATATGACACTACCAGATGTCTAACAGAAATAGTAGACCTTTAACGTTATACATGAGCGAATATAAGTTCCATCTTCCTAGTGAATGGCCCTAAGTCTTCATTGTATTGGCCTCCTAAGTGAGAAGAGGGCCCATGAAGCTATGATCTATGATGTACAGACTTAAACATATTATACGAAATATTAGGAGGGTCTGCAAAAACCATGTTCACATGATATCATTCACCTTTGGTAAGTAATGTTTTAGTTCTGAAATGGTACCATAACAAGTATTCCAAATTAGCAGCTTGGTTACCACCTTAAGCAAAGAGAAATGAATAGCAGTAAACATCACCTTCTAAAAACAAACAAAAAAAGCAGAATGCAGAATATACAACTTAAATCACAGGGTAAAAAATGTGTTCATTTAAATCACTTTATGTTTTAGGTTAACATATTACAAAAATACTTTTCCTCCTTGTCTTTTTCTACGTATCTCATAAAAAATACATATCCAGTGGTTGTAGAGAGTAGAAAGACAGCATTGTTGTGATAATCTGAAAGGACTTAAAAAAGTTAGGCACAGAAAAAAAAATAGAGGATTTGAGGCAGCTGAAAAAGAACACTTTTGAAGCATAACTACCATGCCTTAGACTTGACTTTACAGTGGTTTAGGGAAATAATGTATCACTCATATTTACATGAACAATTCTTCAATCAATTAAAAAAAGAGACTATACTGCAGGATCCTCTAATCCCTAAAAACTGACATAAAGAAAAAATTTAAATCTGTAACAGGGTTGGGGGAAAAATAGCATATTTTGGTTAATAAAAAATTGTAATAACTGAAGAAACAGAAGGCAAAAGAAATCTAATAAAATGAGGAAATTAACCCAAACGATACATGGGAAGATTGCTACAACAGGTGGTAAAGGCTCTGGAGGCTGGGGTTCTCTTAGTTCAGATGTGGCAAGGCTATGACATTGCTCTACAATACCAAAAACAGAAACAGCCTCCATTTCTAGAAAACTCAATATTTATATGTTGTACTCTTTCCCTACAATCACCAGAAACAGGCTGAATTAATATAACGTTTGCAGAAAGGCTAGCAAGGAACCTAAAACATAAGATGAGCAAACAAGCACGAATCACCAAATATGTGAGGAAAACCTAACCCCAAGAAAACATTCAATAGAGTAAAGAGACTTAAAAATATATATAATTCCTGAGGGCCAAGAGGAAATCATATCCACAAAACAAAATGGATCCTTAAGAAGAACAATTAAAGATCTTAGATATAGAAAGTGTTGAGTGCCAATAAACAAACAAACCAAAATATCAAACCCCAAAACAACTCATCAGATAGCTGATGAGCAGAATGCACAGAGCTTTAAAGTCAACCTGTGATGGAAGACTGAGCTAAGGAATTCTCCCACAGGACAGTGCAATAAAAAACTAAGAGAGACATGGAGGATAGATTTATAAGTCCTAATATACACCCAGAAAGAAGTGCCACCAAGGACAGAACAGAAATAATTAAGGGAAACAAGAAATGATAAAAATAAGTATCCCAGAACTGAAAACAGACATTGGTCCTCAAATTGAGAATGCCTACAAAGTATTGATCAGGATGAAGGAAAAATGACACATCTTGGTGAACTTTCAGAACATTAAGGATAAAAAGATAATCTTACAACTTTCATGGGGGAGGGTAGGAGATTGACAAAGAAATTAGACCAGATTGGCACCAGACTAACCACAATACTAGATATAAGACAATGGAACAATCTTCAGAGGCCCAGGGGAAAATCTATTCTACCCCTAGACAAACTGGAAGTACATTTTCAGATGTACAAAGATTCAGAGAGCATACCACCCATAAGGTTACAGCCCTTTGTGAAAAAAAGCTCCTTGAGGTTGTATTCTAACTAATCTAAGAGTAAAACATGTATAAAAAACCATGGAAGGTGAACTTAAGAATTAAATTACAAAATACTGATTAAAAAATAATACGGAAGTACAACAGGTAAACCCACCGAGACAAAATAGACTGGTGGTTGCCAGTGGTTGGGGGTAAGGGAAGATGGGGAGCAAGTGCTTCCTATGTACAGGGTTTCTTCTTGGGGTAATGAAAACATTTTGGAACTAGGTAGAGGTGGCTGTTGGACAACAGTGTGAATGCACTAAATGTCACTAAATTTTTTACTTTAAAATGGTTAATTCTGTTATATCAAGTTTACCACAATCTGCAAAAATGTTCCATAAAAATAGTAACTAGTTCAGCTTGGAACTCAAACTGCATATAATTTTCTTTGAGGCAACCACTACACTTCAGTATGCAGCAGAAATGCTTTATGCATTTTTCCCATTTCTTCACACAGAATATTAAGTAATAAAGGGTCAAGACTTAAAATTAATAAATTAAAAAAATATGGAAGCCAAATTTCAAGTGATCAAAAGGAAAAAAAAAGTTGCTGAACATGAGGGAAGTAAAGCATACTAAAGTTCTTGTGTTGCTGGAGAAAAAAGATAAAATGCATGGGTGATTTCAATACAGGTTCCCTTTCCTCTACTCTTCTCCTAAGCCAGATGGTGACTGGGACTTGTAGTAGCTGGTGTAGATGTGTATGAGGCTTGGCACTCTGCTGGGGTCCTATTAGAGAAAAGAGAACCAATATGCAACTTTCTTCTTCAAGTGTTGGAAGCTCAGTGTGGAGGACCAGAAGATGCACCTTGGGAGAGACTGAATATCAGGAATATGTAGGCTCCAGGGAAGAAGGTCAATTCTGGCCCACAAGTAAGTGTACTATGTATTTTTGAAAGAGTAAGTGGACTGAGTCCCCCTTATCTTGAGACCCAGAGATTATCTCCCAGAGAGCTCAGGGTGATAAGGGACCAGACACATCCTTCAGGTACTTCAGCAGGAACTGCCACTTCACTATCTACTGCTTGGTGGATTACTAACATGTAGGACACCACAACAAACAGGCCAGAATTCAATGAGCTGAAAAACAAAAATAACCCATTTAAGGAGGCCCAGCAATAAGAGGAAAATGAGCAGAGTAATCAGAATACACCTTTAGTAAAACAGAAATACTAGAGAAGATGAAAACATGAATAAAAATAAGAGCATTTAAGGTGATTCACGTGCAGCACATACACATACACGCACAACTTCCAAAAGTTTAGTAACATTATTTTTTAAATAGATTTTTAAATGAGGGCTATGCATGGTGGTTTGATCCCAGTTACTTGGGAGGCAGAGGTGGGAGGATCACTTGGGCCCAGGAGTTCAAGGCTGCAGTGAGCTATGATCCTGCCACTGCACTCCAGCCTGGGTGACAGAGCGATACCCTGTCTCTTAAAAAAAAAAAACAAAAAAAATTTGAATGATAGTTTTAAAAGGAGGATGGTCACTAAGCACAAGAAATATCTCAAAGTACAAAGCAAACATATGTAAATGGAAACTGTGAGGGAAAAGATTTAAAGAATGGATCAAAGAAATCTAACATACAATGGGAGTTCTAGAAGGAGACAAAGGAATAAATGAAAAAAATAAAATTATTCAGCAGGTAATAGTAGAAAATTTTACCTGAGTTAGAGAAAGACTGAAATCTACTCAGTAAGTCCCAAGCTGTACATTTAGACATGGTTGGTAAAGTTCCTGAACTCTAAACAGAAGATCTTATAAACATCCAGGCAGAAAGAACAAGTTACTTATAAGGAAAGAGGTTACACTGGCAATGAAAGAGCCAGTCTATCCACCCTGAGACAAACAGCATCTATCCACCCTGAGAGAATGGACTGCCTCCAGTGATCCTTTACCTGGCCAATTAATTATTCATCTTTCAGGGCAAAAGAAAAGTAACTAGAAAAGAGGCCTCAAGATGGAATTAGAGAATAGGAAACACTGGTTACTCATGTAAATTTAAATTTAATTGGGGAGGGATAGATTTCTTAGGATTATGACAATAAGGACGCAAAATTTAGAAGAGAAGGGTAGCAAAATCATTCTGAAGTTCTCACTGTGACAGCAGTGAAGGAGGTAAGTATATTCTCAAGAAGGACAGGGAACTGTTCTGCCATTATTAGAATATAGTATTAACTCTGCAATCAAATAAATATGGTATTGATTAAGAAAAAGACAAAAAGAATAGTTGAACAGAATAGAGATTCCAGATGCAGATCCTAGGTTACACAAGAATTTGATATGTGACAAAGTTGTTTAATTCTGTTAGACAAAGAAAAACTGTTCAGTAAGTGGTGTTGATATCCATTTTTGGTATAAGAAATGGACTCCTATATAATACTGTAAAAGCCAAAGTAAATTCCAGATGGGTTAAAACAATTTTTTAAAAAATATCTAGAAAACTACATGTATTATCTAAGAAAAGAGGTATTTCTCTCTGTCCTATATTATTCTATACAAATATATGCATAAAAATTAACCAAAAACTCCTCAATCAATCCAATAAAAGTTGGAAAAGGAATCCTTAAGAAAGCACAATACATAGAAACCATAATATGTTAAGAGTAAGTGTAAACATATGCACAAAAATATGAATCGTTGTATTTACCTACTCATCTTAACTTGGGTGAAATAATAAGAAAATCTAGCTCTACGTCCAAAATAAACTGACATTAGGAAAGAAGGAAAAAAGATATCCCTCCTTTTTTTTTTGTATTTGAAAAACTGAACAATCTACCAAGTAGATATAATAGCAACGAACCTCTATATACTTAAAAACAAGGTTAAAAAATAAACTGAGGTTTAGCAGAAACAGATACAAAACAATCACACTGAGATCCTAAACTATCTTTCATAGAATCTGACAAATTATATAGAAAATAGATGAGTAGGCCGGACACAGTGGCTCGTGCCTGTAATCCTAGCACTTTGGGAGGCCGAGGCGGGTGGATCACCTGAGGTCAGGAGTTCAAGACCAGCTTTGCCAACATGGCTAAACTCCACCTCTACTAAAAAATACAAAAATTAGCCACGCACGGTGGCAGGCACCTGTAATCCCAGGTACTTGGGAGGCTGAGGCAGGAGAATCGCTTGAACCCAGGAGGCGGAGATTGCAGTGAGCCGAGATTGTGCCACTGCACTCCAGCCTGGGCAACAGAGCGAGACTCTGTCTCAAAAAAAAAAAAAAAAGAAAGAAAGAAAATATATGATTAAAATATAGATAATTAAAACAGCATCATTTAAATCCAGACTATATATATGATATAAATTATATTTTAAAATATATGTAAATAAACGATATATCACGAATATATAAAATTCTATACCAAAAAAAGATTATACATTATTTTCAAACACATTAAACACTACCAACAAGTAATTACAGATCTTAGACCACAGAAAAAATTTCAACAAATTCCCAAAAGTTCTGTAGAAATTGGTTAAAAAGTAAATCAAAGTTGAAATATAATGTAAAAAGTAAATAACAATAGCTCTAGTATATCTACACCTGTGGGATATCAAATTGACATGGACAGAAAAACATGTAGCCTTACATGTAATTACTAGAAAACCAGAAAGGTGGGAAATAAAATTTAGGTTGGAAGGTAGAAGAGTTAATAAATAAAATACCAAGAGTAAGTTCTTGTAAAGACTGAAAAACAAACACCCCAGAAAAAACCTTCAGTAAGTTTAATTAAGGAAAAAGAGAATAAAACATCAGTAAATGAGGAAATGACAGAGATTAAATAACTTTTAAGAGGATATTATCTAGAAGTTACTCCAAAATTTTGGAAAATCTAGGATAGATAGATACTCTTCTAGGAACGTATAACCAAAATTGGCTCAAAAAGAAGAAAAAAACCCTAACAATCTATGATTATAGAAGAAACAGTAAACTTCTCCAAAATATTGATCTCTCAAAAGGTAACAGGCTCAGATGAGTTTATGGATGAGTACCATCAAATCTTTAAGAAAGCAATATTGTCCATGATATGAAAACCCTGTCAAAGCATAGACAAATTTAAATTTCCTAACTCATTTTCTTAGGCTAGCCCAACTTAGATTCCAGACAAGTAAGGCAGAAGAAAGGTACAGGCCAATATTACTAATAAACATATATGAAAAAAATTCCTCAATGAAATATGGATTGAGTATCCCTTATCTGAAATGCTTAAGAACAGAAGTGTTTCAGATTTTGGATTTCTTTAGGTTTTGAAATATTTACATATATTAGATTTATGCAAATATTCTATATTAGATATGCAAATATTTCAAAACCCAAAGAAATTATTAGGTTATATACATAATCCTTATATTATTTACATAACATATTGGGGATGTGATCCAAGTATAAACACAACATTCATTTGTTTCATATACACCTTATACACAGTCTGAAGGTAATTTTATACAGTATTCTAAATAATTTTGTGCATGAAACAAAGTTTTGACTGTTTTAACTGTGACTTGTCACATGAGGTCAGGTGTGGAATTTTCCATTTGTGGCATCATGTCAACACTCAAGGGAGTGACTCAAGGATTTTGGAGCATTTTGGATTTTCAGATTAGGGATACTCAACCTGCAGAAACAAATCAATTGTACAGTATTAACCAACACATCATGATTATAAAAAGGCATTTAAGGATGACTTAATGTTTAAAAGCCTATTAATATATTTTATTAGTATCAACCGATTAAAGAAGAAAAAAATCACATGGCAATCTCAACAAAAGTTAATACTTATTAAAATCGATGTTTCCTTTGTTATTTGAAACAAAAACATGCAAAAACCCTTATCCAACAAGAAATAAACTCTTTTCAACTCAAACTGTTTACAAGAAACTTTCAGCAAAATTACATTCAATAATGACAGCAGTATCCTTGTTATAATCTGAAGCAAGAGAGAAATACCTGCTAATATATTGCTAATACTGTACTGGGGATCCTTCATAATATAAGAACACAAGAAAAAGAATAGGAATAAAATTGGAAAGCAAGAGATGATTTTTTGAGATGATTGGCTACTTAGAAATTTCAAGATAACTTACAGAAAAAATATTAGAATATGAGTTCAGCATGATAGGATTGAATGGATTCCTTTGTATCAATATTGAATTAGAAAATTCTGGTATAAAAACCCCTCTTTCACTAGCAACAAAAACAAAAACTAAGATACATAAAAATACATTTTAAAAGAAATGTGCAGTTCTCTATAAAGAAAACTATAGGACTTTCCCATAGGACATAAAATACAAAGATAAATGGAAAAACATATCATGTTCCTAAGAGGGAAGACTTATATTTTCCCGTTTTCCACAAATTACAGTGTAGTTCTAAGCCAAATCTCAGGATGTTCCCAAATTTGACAAACTAATTCTAAAATATACGTGGAAGAAAAAAACGCAATGCTTTAAAATAGCTAATTCACAGGCTGGGCGCAGTGGCTCATGTCTGTCTTCTGAGCACTTTGGGAGACCAAGGTGGGTGGATCACTTGAGATCAGGAGTTTGAGACCAACCTGGCCGATATGGTGAAACCCCATCTCTACTAAAAATACAAAAATTAGCTGGGTATGGTGGCAGGTGCCTGTAATCCCAGCTACTCGGGAGGCTGAGTCACAAGAATCGCTTGAACCCAGGAGGCGGAGGTTGCAGTGAGCTGAGATCATGCCACTGCACTCCAGCCTAGGCGATAGAGCAAGATTCAGACTCAAAAAAACAAAAAACAACAAAAACAAACAAAACTCAATCATTCGGTAACTACTGGATGCATGCTATATACCAGTACTCTTCTAGAATAGAAGTGAACAAAACATACAACATGCCCAATCTCAGAAAATTTATAATGATTTATTAAAATGTTGGATTAATAAAAACAAAAACTTCATATAGGCATCAAAGAACTAATATGACAGTGAAGGATTACTGAGCCAAAAATCCGAAAGATACTTCTCCGCAGAGTTCACAGAAAAAAAAAAAATCTTAAGACAAGAAACTCAGTGAGGCCATCCAGCAGGGATACATTTTAGTTTTGCCCAGGGGGAAATGTCCGATCTGAATAAATAGCTATAAAACTAAATTGCACTTTCAATGGCCTCATGGGGCTAGAAGAACAAAACTATACCCACAGGGCAAAAGGTGAACCAGTTGTAAAACCAGCCTTCCCATGAGATAGCTCTTATAGCCTGACTTTGGGTCATCTTAGTAGGCCAGGTAAATGCAAGACATGAACTTGGATTAGGGTGTTCTGAACTAGTAGCACCCCTAGACACCTGGCAGAAGTAAATGAAAATCCTATGGGAGAAGATACTGTCCTAGGCCTGAAAATAGTTCTATAATACATTTCAAATACAATGTCCACCACATAGTCAAACATATGGGCATATAAGAAAACAAGACGCCATGAACAAGCAGAAAAAATCAACTACTAACAGAATCTGACCCACATTTTGGAGTCCCAGAACTATCAAACACAGAATGTAAAAATAACTATTTGCACCATATTCAAAGAAATAAAAGCCAACCTAGGGTACTAAAAACAATAAAAAGTATATCTGAAAAAGAGCCAATGGAAATTCTAGATCTGAATAATAGTATAACTGAAGTAACAGTCGCTGAGAAAATCAGGGGAAGAAACTAGAATGCAGCACAGAGAGACAAAGAGAAAGAAAACAGAGAAGACAAAAAATCTAGAAAGCACAGTGAGAAGGATTTAACTTATATTTAGAGTCCCAAAAGAACCAGAGAGAGAAAATGGGGCAGAAAAAACAGTTGAGAGATAAATAACAGCCAGGAAATTTCCAGAATCCCAGCAGAGATCTCAAACTTGACAACAACAAAAAAATTCCCACAGACATATTAGAGGAAAACTTTAAAAACTCGAGATTAATATAAATGTCTAAAAATCAGCCAGAAAATAGAGAACAGATTATTTTAAGATGAGCAACAACTGAACTTCCAAGAACAAGGCAGAAAATGATGGAATAGCCTCAATCTGTGAGGAAAAAATAACTATCAATATAGAATTCCATACCCAGTAAAAATATCATTCTAGAATTAAGTGAATATCCATACTAACTAAAACATCAAATAAACCCTAAACAGTGAAAAAAAAAATTAACCAAATAAAGGCATCACCAGACATACAAAAGCCAAGAACATGTGCCATAAAATGACTAAAAAATTTAAAAGGATTTATTGGAAGTCACCATAAAGCAAGTGAAAAGTACAGTCACAAAGTAGAGGATATCTGCAACACATACAACCTAAGGATTAATGGAATTGCTAAGAGTCAATATGGAAAAAGACAGACACCCCAATAGAAAAAAATGGGCGATCAGTAAAAACATTTTTCAAAAGAGAAACATAGGTGGCCAATAAACCTAAGAAAGAATAATCAGCCTTATAGTAATCAGGGAAATGTAAATTAAGTTCACAATGAAATATCATTTATATGCACCAATGAGTAAAAATTTAAAAGTCTGACTGTGTTAGTGAGAATACAGAGGAATAAGAACTCTGACACAGTCCTTCTGGGAGTAAAAACATGCACAATCATTTTTTAGAAAAGTTTGGCTTTATCTAAGAAGCATAAACTATATAGTCTATGACTAAAAAATCCCACTCCTTGGCATGTACCTTAAGAGAAACCCACAGATGTTCATCATGAGACATAATAAAAGTGTTCATAGCTCCACAGCTTTTAAAAGCCATAAGCTGAAAACAACTCAAATGTCTATCAAGAACAAAAATGGATAATTAAATGTGTCATATCTATAATAATAATATACAACAGTGAAGCCGGGTGTGGTGGCTCACTCCTGTAATGCCAGCACTTTGGGAGGCTGAGGCGGGTGGATCATTTGAGGTCAGGAGTTCGAGACCAGCCTGGCCAACATGGTGAAACCCCATCTCTACTGAAAATACAAAAAAATTAGCCGGGCATGGTGGTGGGCGCTTGTAATCCCAGCTACTCAGGAGGCTGAGGCAGGAGAATTGCTTGAACCCGGGAGGCGAGGGTTGCAGTAAGCCAAGATTGCGCCACTGCACTCAAGCCTGGGCAACAGAGAAGACTCCGCCTCAAAAAAAAAAAAAAAAAATACAACAATGAAAATGAATAAACTATAGTTACTAACAAAAACAGAGATGAACTTCAAAGACGGTATTAAGCAAAAGCAACAGGTCACAAAAGAGGACACGCAGTGTAATTCCATTTCTATGAGGACAAAGCAGACTGCATGCTTTCTAAGAGGTCAAACTATTAAGAATGGTAAACAAATGATTATTAGAAAAGTCAGAATAATGGTAAACAGAAGAAAGAGAATTTAATTGGGGATGCTGGCAATGTTCTACATCTTGTCTTTAGGGTAATTAAGGTTATTTCTTTAAATATCAGAGTAACATATTTACGTACTTTATCTCACAATAAAGCCAATTTGGTAAGTGGCAATTTGTTCATACTTTAAACATTTTGAGTATTTATAATATTTAAGAATTATCTGGTCTATTAGCCTAACAGTTCAGCCTCCTAAATCCAATCTAAAAATGTGTAAATGAGTAATCAACATGGACTTGTACTAATCATTTTAAAGTAGAAATCTTATTAAGTTATCTGAGGCATTGAAATAGCCAAGATAATTCAAGGTTCTACATATTAAGACTAATTTGTTCTATTTATAAAAGATACTTATGTACTTGAAAAGGTTTTAAATCAGGGAACAGAGGTTCTTGAAATAGAAACTGAATATACTGAATTTAGAAATGCACTTTTAAATGTTTTTAAAATTCTACTAAGGTTGTAAATGTGACTACACATTATCTAAAAGCTCCTTACTTCAAAGTATTTGCTGAAATTTGCTAAACTCATCAATAGAAAAAAACAAACAAAAAACCACGAGTTTGACCTTAGAAACTTAAGAAAGAACTAAATCTCTGGATTTATATCCTTAAGAAATCATCTTTTTAGAGCAAACTTCTAAATAATATTTGTCTACCAACTTGTTCAGAAGACACAAAACAATTCACATTTAATGCTATTTTTCACATTATATAAAAGCAAACGAAAAAACCTATGCCAGAAGTTTTTTTTTAATTCCCAAACACCAATTTATATGCCGGAAGATTTTGAGGGTTAATTTTAATTAAAATTTGTCTAGGATTATACTCAAAAACACAAAACACTTGACAGTTGATATGGTGACATATGCTACTTTCAAAGAAGTTACTGTTTACTTTTTTGGGGGTAGGTGGGGGTCACAGAGCAATTAAGTGCTATGGAGCTCCCAGAAAAATGTATAGACACACCACATAATACAATAGTCAAAGATCTCTTGAAAAAGACTACAGGTTAAGGACACTTAAAACTCTCCATTATCCTGGTGGCCAATTATGAAATCAGAGCTTAAGTTATTTTAGACATATTATCCAGCAAAATATAATTGTATGTATTATGTTATTATATATAATTATATTCATTTTAAATCAGAAAGGTAATGTCTTTAAGAACAAAAGTTCACATATTTTGTTTTCATTTACCAGTTAAAAATGAACACAATACCACTTTTTACATACTAAATAAGCAAAGTTTTGTTTCGTTTAGAATATACTGGCAAGGATGAGAGGAACTGAAACCAGTCTCCATACATTGAAGTTAGGAGAATATAGTTATATAACCTTTCTGAATAGTAATTTGGAAATGTATACATAAAGCCTCAACTGAGGAATATTCAACTCTTGATTAACTCTACTACTAGAAATTTATTCTAAGGAAATAATTTTGGATGTGTACAATTTACTGCAAGAATAATCATCAAAAACATTTTTTTTTGAGACTGAGTCTCACTCCGTTGCCCAGACTAGAGTGCAATGGCACAATCTCAGCTCACTGCAATCTCCACCTTCTGGGTTCAAGTGATTCTCCTGCCTCAGCCTCCCAAGTAGCTGGGATTACAGGCGCCTGCCACCATGCCCAGTTAATTTTTGTATTTTTAGTAGAGAAGGAGTTTCACCATGTTGATCAGGCTGGTCTTGAACTCCTGACCTCAGGTGATCTGCCCACCTCAGCCTCCCAAAGTGCTGGGATTACAGGCATGAGCCACTGTGCTGGGCCGACAAAAGTATTCTTTATGATGCCCAATCCTGGAGACAATATAACATGAGTAATAATGGAGGAGTAAATAATGTATAGGATAATGGAAAATTGTAAAAAATTTAAGTATATTTAAGATGAATATTTAGTGGCATGAAAATGCTCATGGATCTACTGCTAATAGAATAAAGGGTCAATTTCTACATAGCAAATTCTTTTTTTTTTTTTTTTAAAGGAAAAATTCTACAAACAGAAAAAAAAGACTAGGGGGCATATGATGAATTTTTAATGTAGGGAATTATAAGTATTTTTTTCTTTTTCTTATCTAAAATTTTAACAAGAAATAAATCAATAATTTATTAGATTATATGCACTCTTTGTTCACCTTGACTTCTGGTCTAATCTAAGAACCATGCAGTATGAAGAATCAATTCTGTAAATTTTATTTATTATTACAGTTGTCGTTTGCCTAAACTATTACAGGTATTATTCAATAATTTGTGATAAGAAAAACCAAGGTTGTAGTAAAGGTATGGCTACTGATGAAAGATCTATAATTGAATGTGGCTGGCCCTCAAAATAAGAAAACAAGTTCCCATTGTTGAAATAAATATGATAGCTATCTTCTGCAGTGGGGATGAAAAGTGATTCTAGTCTGTCATTTGAAATATCACAGATGGGGACTGGCTTCTGTCACATTCAAGGGTTAACATATATTTATGTGGTATTCAAAGGTTAATCTATACAATACAGCACCTGAATTTAAAATTAATGGTAAAACAAGATACGTTATAATACATTCTGATCATAATTATATTGAAATAGTAAGATAGATAAAAGAAATAAATATATCAAGCTATTTAAAAGTAGGTATCTTTGAGTGATACTATCACAGGTGATTTCCCCAATTTTTATTTTTTTGTTTTTCTAATATTTTTTAAATGGGCATAGATTACATTTTTTTTTTTAAGAGACTGGGCCTCACTCTGTTGCCCCAGTATGGAGGGCAGTGGCATGGTCATAGCTCACTGTGTTCACCTTGAACTCCTGGGCTCAAGCAATCCTCCCACCTCAGCCTCCTGAGTAGCTGGGACTACTGGTGCACACCACCATGCCTTTTTTTTTAATTCTTTCAGAGATGGGGTCTTACTATGTTGCTCAGGCTGATTTTGAACTCCTGGGCTCAAGTGATCCTTCTACCTCAGCCTGCAAAAGTGCTGGGATTACAGGCGTGAGCTACTGTGCCTGGTCTATTACATTTTCTTAGTGAGGAAAAACCCAGAGTGATCCTTTGGACTTTGTATTCTAATTGGACAGTCCTTGAGAAGTTATGTATATGTCCTTTAAAAAAGTTTGTCTAGTAAATTACTGAGAAATCATTATCTCCCCAACCCATAATTAAATAAGTAAAATCTAAAATACAGATATGAGTTATGCCACAGTTCTAATATACTCTAAAGAAGTATAGTGGAAAATAATACATAGAAGTTAACCTTTTTGTCTTGAAGCCATTAAATAAATCAACACTGCAGCCTGGAATTTTTTTTTTTTTTTGAGACGGAGTCTTGCTCTGTCACCCAGGCTGTAGTGCAGTGGCACCATCTTGGCTCACTGCAAGCTCCACCTCCCAGGTTCATGCCATTCTCCTGCCTCAGCCTCCCCAGCAGCTGGGACTAGAGGCGCACGCAGCAACGCCTGCTAATTTTTTTGTATTTTTAGTAGAGACGGGGTTTCACTGTGTTAGCCAGGATGGTCTCGATCTCCCGACTTCGCGATCCGCCCGCCTCGGCCTCCCAAAGTGCTGGGATTACAGGCGTGAGCCACTGCGCCTGGCCCAGACTGGAATTTTTTAAAGCCCTAATTTAGCATTAGAAGCTTGCATATCTCAGGCAATGGTAAAAGAATTAAAAGAAAATTAGTCAATACTGAATGATAAATCAGGCCATATGCTGACATAAAAATCTATCATGTAAATTGAGACAATATTTTATACTTTTCTTCTAGTGGGAACCAAATGAAAACATATTATTAATTTTCTAGTTGCCAAATAAAAGACGAATTTTGAATGCTTCCTAAAGAATTCTTTAAATTTTGTAACCCAAATATCTTTACTATGAAAAATGCTCTTTGCTTAATTTACTTTTCAGGAGTCACTCTAGTCTACTGTTTCTGATGTGAAATATTTTATTCTGATGACTGAATTCTTTATATAACTAGAAGGAGAAATAATTGTTTACATATAGTTCAACATATTTTAAAATTAAATGTAGTTTTGATTCCGAAACTTGTGGTCAAACTAATTCTTCTACTTGTATTCACACATGTTGATATTTGGCCTGATAAGACAAAATCATAGAAGTGTAAGAATTAGGAGGCCAGGTGTGGTGGCTCATGCCTGTAATCTCAACACTTTGAGAGGCGGAGGCGGAAGGATCTCTTGAGCCCAGGAGTTCAAGCACAGCCTGGGCAACATGGTAAAACTCTGTCTCTACGAAAAATACAAAAACTAGCCAAGAGTGATGACATGTGCTTTTAATTCCAGCTACTTGGGAGGCTGAAGTGGGAGGATCACTTGAGTCCTGAGAGGTTGAGTCTGCAGTGAGATATGATCACACCATTGCACTCCAGCCTGGGTGACAGAGTAAAACTCTGTCTTTAAAGAAAAAAAAAAAGAATTAGAGTGGAAAGGGGCTCTAGTGATTACTAGCCTTCCCACAAGATTCCTATGATTTTTGTTTGTTTGTTTGGTTTTTACTTCTGGACTCCACTTGCTATGTAGTATGTCTTCCAATTTAAAAATATATATTCAAAGACATATAACTATCAACGAAACTTGTTCAGTAAGAGATAACCAATATATACAGACTTGGTATATTTTCAGTCAAAAGTAAAGAAATGGGATGTTTTAGTTAGTTTTGTCACTATAGACAAATACATAGTTTTTATCGGGACTTTTGTAAAATTGAAAATAACTTACAAGTACTATTCCCTTATCTATTAACCTAAGGATCAGGAGACCCTTGGTTGGGAATGATCCAACTAGTCCAACCTTCTAATTTTGCATATAAGATGGCTCTGAATTTAGAGGTTTGATTAATCATGAAAGGGGGAAAATGATTTTTCTCACATACATTATATTGACCAATGAGGTGATTCTAGAAAAACTATGCTCTGTGATCCAAGTAACCTGGCAAGGATAAACAATTTAAATCCAATGAAACACAACCTGAAGTGAACTATTACCACCAATGATAAAAATAAGAAATGTTTCACATTTTAATTTTCTTTAAACCTTTTTTTATTTAGAGATTTTTCTGGTAAGGAGATATACCATAGGAAAGCAATTTCACTGGCAGTGAGGTATGTATATACTCTACCAAAATACTCCTTATTTTAACTGTTTTTAACTTTATTTACATACGAAGCAAAGAATCAATGCATATCCTTGGTTCAACTATAGTATTAGCCATACTACATGAAATAAAATGGTGCTTGCATACAAAAACTTGTTGTTTGTAAAGGAATCTGATTTCAGATTAAAATACCTAATTGTTTTTGGAAAAAATTTTTAAAAAGAATCACAATTTATCATGACCAAGACACCTGCACCATATTTTCCATTCCTCACAGCACATTTATTTCAGTAATTCTGTTATGTCGGTTCTTAGCATGAGCATAGTGTTACACGATTTTCGTACATATAATCACATCCAAAACAAGTTCTAAAATTTAAATTGTAAACATTCTCATATGTAGAAATATTTTAATTGGTGTATTAAGTTTTGCTAACTGATCAAATTTGGAAGATAATATAAATGAGAACGTCTATTCTAAACTGTGTAGTGAGCATTGTTTATTAATTACATTTCTACAATGTTAAATAAAGTAAGAGGCAAACCTGTCCTGTAAGCATGTCAAATTTTAGGTAAAACATTAAAAAGAAACAAACCTGTTAACAAAAGAATGTCTTGCAATAAAGAACATTAGATTTTTAAAATCTATTATGATACAAAAATGTAAAGGGTAAATAGCATCTTTGTTGACAAAGTAGGAGGTAGCATGGATGCACCACTTTATTGTCTGAGAAATGCAACTGGAGTAAAGAATATTTCCTTACCACAAATAATTTCCAGAACTATGTACATATTTCTTTTAGAAATACTTGTTTAAACAAATCTCCCTCCACTTTTTAGTATAAAAAAAACCGTTCCATGTGATTTTAAAAAAAACACTTACACATCTAGATAGAATAGTACTCTGCCCTATTTGAGTGAACAGTCTCAAACTATGAAGTACATGATATTTAATGCCCTAATTTGAGTAAATTTAGTCAGCGGTTCTTGGTATTATACAAAACACTAAATACATACAAACAAAATATAATATCTTATTTTTCTATGCAAGTCTTGTGGGGAATAAACAGAGCCTTGATTCTGGTAACACTGCAAAAAACATAATTGTCCAATAAGTCTGTCTATAAGTATCCATGTGCAACAGTTTATTAATGGCTGCTTACATGTACTGCTCTTTTACTGAGTGAACACAGTTAACCAACAAAACTTCATAAACCTTAAAAACACATCTTCCACCCTATATAAAATATATAGACTACTTACTGTTTTAAGTATTCAATTTGCTCTGATGTCACTGTAATTCACTTTCCCCCCATTTTCCTGCTTTAGTATTTATAAACAGATAATTTAATGTGGCTTAAAAAAAAAGAATTTCAAATTTACATCCAATTCAAACTGGCTATTTAAAAGGTTTCCTGGTTCTATGAAGCTGCTTCGGCCATTAGTAGAGAAAATGAAGTTTCTGTAATGGAGGCAGGCTTTTTAAGTAGTGACGTGACTTCCACCATGCCAGCTCCAGTCCGTGGAAGATTAGCGTTTACAATATGTCGTTGTAAGTGCTTAATCCAGTCTTCCTGAACAGACAAGGGTCCTCGAAAGACTAGGCCACAAAACCTACAGAAAGATAACAATTCTCTTAACATGACCAATTCTCTTTCTTTAAAACTAATTCACACAAAATCCTAAAACATAAGGAATAAACTTTATCATATTTTAAAGACAGCAATTGATAAAGTTTCTAAAGTCAAATGATTTAATAAAACATCAAAACTCCCAATTCATATGTTTATTAACAGCTATAATAAACTCCAGTAATCTTTGTATAGGTGGGAGCATTATTATTTTAAAATTAACATCTACACATCTTAATTCACTTGAAACAACAACTATTACTCCAAAATATGTCATTCTTTAGAAAAGACCCTTCCCCAGTTTAGCATTCCTTAAATGGCATTGTGTCTATGTTTCTTCATGTGTGTTGTGTGTGAGTGTGAGTACGGAAGAAGGCGTGACTATGAGGGGAGAGAAAATGTGTTCCCAATAAGCGAGAACTCAAGACAACAAAACATCAAACCAAACAAAATTAAACCATACAAACCAAATAAACACAAGGAAAGCCAGTTTTTTTTTCTTTTTTCTGAGACAGAGTCTTGCTCTGTCGCTCAGGCTGGAGTGCAGTGGCACGATCTCGGCCCACTGCAACCTCTGCCTCCTGGGCTCAAGCAATTCTCCTGCCTCAGCCTCCCAAGTAGCTGGGATTACAGGCACCCGCTACAAAGCCTGGCTAATTTTGGTATTTTTAGTAGACACGAGGTTTCATCATGTTGGCCAGGCTGCTCTTGAACTCCTGGCCTCAAGTGATCCACCCATCTTGGCCACCCAAAGTGCTGGAATTACAGGCATGAGCCACCACACCTGGCCAAGCTACTTTAATAAATCACAGTATAATAGATTTACATTACTATTGGCTAATGTAAAAAACTTGATTCATTAGTTGTTGAAGTACGGATATTGTGAGCTGAATTAAGATTTTAAGCCTATCTCCAAAAGTTCATTTATAACTTGATTGTTGAGAATGCACTCTGCCACAAATTAAAAATCCCAAATGAAATAGCTAATATGTTTCAAAGCAAAGTATGAAGAAACTGATCAGATTTGGCAATATAGGCATATACCTGCATCGGAGAATGTAAACCTCGTCAGCACCATGAGGTAATGTTAGCATTTTCTTCTTGCTTCCAGATCTTGACCTTGATTTCTTTTGCTTACAATCTAAGGCTAAAAAGGGGAAGAGAAAGACTTAACATTCCTTATATATTTCAAAATATACATACACACATATTTTTCTAGAGAGGTCAGACAGACCATCTAAATCAGTTAGAAAAAGTCCGCATTCATTTCCCTATTCCCTGAAGCATGCATTCAACTTGCTGATTCTGTAATAGCAGTAATATTATCTGTACTGTACAGCGGTATTATCTGTACTGAAGAATACTATCTGTATTCTTCCTATACTGCCTTTTCAAATAATGCTTTACCACACCAAACTAGAACTGAGAAAATGTAACTAAATAACTTGAAAGTACTAAATTGGTCAATTATTACAATAATGGTAATCTTTACTTTTATAATCATACATAATTTTAATATCTGGTTTAATCTTATTTCCAGAAAAGTAGAACCTTTTATTTGAGATCATTAAATTAAGTTTGCATTTGATTACTGCTCCATTAAGTAGGTCTTCTATACTTGGAAAACTTCGTAAGGGAATATGGATAATGTAATTAAAAGCTCAAGGAAAAATCAATTTTCATAGTGATTCACCATGAATTTTATAATAAATAGCTCTTAAAATTGTATGCTGGCCCTACATTTGAAAGGACAAAAAAAGCTCAACTTTCATTTTTGAACTTAATTTGTATTGCATATACAATAATCAATTATGCAATCATATAAGTTTTATTTTACTAGAAAATAAATATAAATCCATATTATCTCACGTAAGTTTACAATTGGATCTGATGTTTAATGCTAACTATTCTTTACATATTTTTCATTTTACATTTTCTCCAACTGCTTATTTTAAAATGTGATTTGAAAAGGTAAAAAAAAAAATTAAAATAGACCAAAATTTTATGTGAACTGTTCTTGAAATTTTTCCATTAATTGACTTTTCCTTTATTTATTCTAAAACAACCTGATTTTAAAAAGAAAAAAAGGTATTTTTTATAGGTAGCAATAGATAGCACATAACATTTTATAGGTCTTTGAATACAGCTACACCATTTCTTTGGACAAAGGGATGATAGCAATCCAGGGTGCTGCTGGTCAATTAGCAGGAAGAGAAGGTAAGAATTTATCTGTAGGGATCCAAGGGGGGAGGGATACAAATGTAACAGAAGAGTTACCCAAATGGCTTTTCTTCCATTATCCTGCCATGTGAAAAATTCCCTGGAAAAATTCTAAGTAAGAGAGAAGGAACTGGCTGTTCAATGACTCTGTGAAACGAATTGTTCAAAGTCCAGATTCCAAAAGAATAGATGCTACTATTACAAAACCAGTAAACATAGTTCCTTAGTCAAATGGCAATGATAACAGAAATGTCATATAGAAAATTCAAAACCACAAGAAACCTAAATCTCATTGAAGCCACTGGTTTCAGCTTCCTGTCACCTGCCTATTCAAAAGTAAAATCTAGGACACAGTCTTTTTCTGTTTATCCTTAGAAGAAGAGTCTAATAAGTAAAGAACTACTAGAAGTCAAGTTAGGTATTAAAGAATGGGTAATTCAAAGCTAAACAACCAAACTCTGGAATAGAAAAATCTTATAAGGATCTTATTAGTTATCTCAGTCAAGAGCCTCGCATGTAGTAGGAACTCAACAAATACTTCTGGAGTAAAAATAAAGCAAAACTCAGTAATTTAACCATTGATATTTAGACAGCCTATGAATGAAAATGTTTTACTCCTATTTAATACAGGTAATATTCCTGTACAACATTGTGCATCATTTGTTTAAATATGTTGCTGCAGTCACACATACTTCATTATCCTAGATATAAATCACTGACCAGCCAGCTTATGTACAGAAACTAGGTTATTCACAACAACTACAAGAGTGAAATACCTTATGCTTTGTACCCAGTAGGAAAAACCTTTTTCCTAATCGCTTTGGTGAGCAATCTGAATTTAAGTGGGTTATGAGTGATTCATACACTAGAAATAGAGTTCAGGGAACTCAAAGAGTAAGTGCTACTAGATGTCAGCTATTCTTTCCATCTGTAAAGATGGATCCTTGTCTGTGTTAGGCAGAATAGAGCAGGCATTTGGTGTATCATAAGATTACAGGTAGAATCTTACTTTGATGAGCTTGCTGGTTGTCAAAATTGCCACACTGTATTCAAACTCCTTTTAAAATGCAAATAAATTACTGTAGGATACAAATAGAATACATTATAACAACCCTTAAAAATTTGTTCACAGAATGTTAATGTTAGGGGTGTAAAGCAAATTGAGGAAGAAGGGCAGGAGGATGGTAGGGAAATATGCAAAAGAACATTTTATCAGTTACAAAAGCATTTAAATTTACATGTTGTTAATATTTTAAAAATGGAACTGGAAATGTTTATTCTAAAATACAGAAATATTTTTGGCTTTTTCTTTAATAGGGAAAAAAGAATTATTTTATGGCTTTTGATGCTTTATGGACTGTGGAAACTCTTAAGTTTAGGCTGTTTTATGAATGATCAGATCTAAACTTGAAATGAGAATGCCATCATTTTTGTAGCAATGAGTATTTGAAGGTATTATAACCTTGGAAAGCAGGACAACTCTGCCAGCTTATGACTGATCAATCATCTCTAGAACCCAGGGCTCCAAAGTTAAGGTTACAGAATCTCATGCACTGAGAATCCCTAGAAACTTATTCACAAAGTTAAAATATTAAAAATCTGGGAACTTTGGAAATTGAAATCTAAATGCCTCAGTGTTTTAATATCTTCATCAATTCTAGATTTATTATCTCCTGAAATGTTATATTTTTGAGCAGGTGAAACATGAACATATTTTACAATAGTTTTTCTAATGCCAATATCCAAACCCACTCCTGTGATACTGCCCATACCTTTGGGAAAATCTGTTTAAAATTGAGTATTTAACATATTAAAACTGCACAAAAAGGGGACATCTATATAGGATCCTCTACATAAAAGGATGATTTACACAGAAAATTTCAATAAATGAAAAGGATGAGGTAGAAACATGTCTGTTATACCAATATTCTCACTTAAGAGATTTTATTATATCTAGAGGGAAAAGTAGTTTTGTTCTGGACTGTACCAGGAGCCACTAGAACATTAAATACAGATCACTAACACATTCAGTTTTAATATAATGCAGCTCATCAGTATCTGTGATAAACAGCCAAAGCTTTAACAGAGTTGTTTATATGAATAATCTGCCAAATAGATAACTGTTACACAAAGCCTTTTTTTGTAATAGGATTTTATTTGCACTTGTTAGTGACCAAAAAACTCCAAGGAACTTAAAAACAAAAAACCCACACACTCTTTTCTCTTTACAAAGTATTTTAAATCTAACATTGTTTCTATACTTTAAATATATTAAAAAATTATTTTTAGAAAGTATTAATTTTCTTCTCAAGCATAAGCTTCTATAGAAAGAAACAAATCCAGTCATCCAAACCTTCCTAAGATTACTATTCGGTGGGCAGAAACTGTTTAAGTGATCAATTTCAACCAAAAGACTGTTATCTTTCAAGTTACCTGATTTATAAAAGATCTAAATTGCTACTGAGAATATTTTACTCATACGGAGAATAAATTGAGCTGTAAGGTCAAATGCAAAAAAAAAAAATAGAATATACCTTTCAGTAAGATATTTGTCTTGGTCAAATACAAATATGAAAGAGAAATACAATAAACTCATGAGTCCTCAAAAAGAACACCACACTGCTATGCTATGAATACGACGACCAATGACCATGACGACAACAACATGCCAAAGCACTAAACCAGATTGGTGCAAAGCAAATAAATAGATAACACAACACATAAAAATTCAAGTCTGTTTTCTGAGCCATTATTTAGTTTTATACAAAGAAGATTAAGAATTTACTTTTGACTTTGACATTAAAATCTTTTGCTCTTTCCACCTTTCTGCCCATTTTATACAATAATTGCTTCAATGAGTTTCATTTTCTTTTTCCTTCACGATATAAATGACCCAAGAGAATGAGATTTCATAAAAACATCTGGAACTTCTTTGATAAAGCACACCATAACTAAATTAACATTCGCCACCGAAGTATTTTTATTTGTAATCATTCTCACCTGCCCAATAACTTAAAAGTCTTGTTTAATCCATTTCTTTTCTAATTGGTTGCTGGTATCTCTAGGACAAAGTGAAACAACTGGGGTATCTATACCCAAAGTAAGAGGCACAGTATACCCCTACGAGAGGGAAGAAAATTTCTTCTCTAAGTGGTTGGCCTGTGTTAAGTTTGGTGGACAATATTAGCTATGAGCTCATTCAGAACTACAGTAGGAATAAACATGACACGAACAGGTAAATCATCATTCTATCACTATTAAAAAGTTGGTGCTGGAGGTCGTGCTGGCAGTGGTGAGGTGGGAAGAGGATGCACACATGCCAAAGGATACACAAGTGTAAGAAAAATAAACTCAACTCTTTTTTTTAAACCTTTATTTTAACTTCAGGGGTACACGTGCAGGTTTGTTATATAGGTAAATTGTCACGGGAGTTGGTGTACAGACTATTTCATCACCCAGGCAATAAGCACAGTACCTGATAGGTAGTTTTTTTTATTATCTCCCTCCTCCTACCCTCCACCCTTAAGGTAGGCCCCAGTCTGTTGCTCCCTTCTTTGTGTCCATGTGTTCTCGTTGTTTAGCCCCTACTTATAAGTGAAAACATTCAGTATTGGTTTTCTGTTCCTGTGTTAGTAATAAATTCAATTATAACTGTTGTCACTAATCCTTCAAGGTTCATAAGCCCCAAGCATATAAAAAGACTGCAAATATAATTTTCTTTCCTTTGGCCTCAAATGAAAAAGAATCAGGGCCTTTTTTTAGAAAACAACAACAACAACAAAAACATGCTAGCTTGTGTAAAACAGGAATGGGGTAGAGAAAGCCAATTGCTGAGAAGCCAAAGTTTCATTTATTCAGCTTTTATCTTTCTTTCTGTACAAAGTGCCTAGGAGACCAGCTTCATGGGTGTCCAACTTACACAGTCACATAGGGAGAGCCCCACACTCAGTTTAATGCTCTACTGTTGCAGCCTTGAAACTATTAATTTTTGAACGAGGTCTACCACATAACTCATTTTGCATTGGACTTTGCAAATAGCAGCCCTGGGACCTGAGTATCTACTATCATAAATGAGAAAGGCTGCATTCAGTTCCACCCCTCAATCTCTCGGCCCATTCAAAAAAGGAAAAAAAAAGGCTGAGAAAAATTGTTAAATCCCCACTCTACACAGTATTAAAATTGAAAAGGACTCCCCTACTCCTATCAACATCAGTTCTTTGCTCCTAGCTATACCACTTCATTATTCCCAAGATGAGTAGTTTACATTATAAAAAGCAATGTTTCCCTTACAGTCAGGCATGAAGTATAAAGATACACATTTGGTCACCTCAAAAGTATTTATTTTCATCAACATTTTCCCTTGATATTTTCACTCTAAAATTGGGTAATTTTTTAGTACCCTAAATAACTTTCATTAATTTTTAGAGTTTCCACTCCCAATGACTGAAAAAAAGATAAGTAACTCAATCACACAGCAATCAGTGGCAAAGTTAACTAGTTCCTGCTTGTTTTAATAATTTACCTGGAAGAGGATGAAATGCAAAATACCTGGAAAGCAGATTTCCTTTGCTTTAAGAATTAGGTTTGTGGTTTTACAATTATTAGTCCACAAGGACTGGTTGCTTGAGTTTGTCCTACAAAGTAGGAAGTTAAATTAAGTATAGTCAACAGCCTTATAGTTCAGAGAAAGAGTTAAAGGAAATGGAAGTAGCCTTTTATTTAAACTTGAATGGATTCAGTTAAAGAAAAAGTACAATTTGTAGAAGACTCCACTATTTCAAAGTAGAGGGGATGATTACTAAAGGGTATTTTGAGCAAGTATTCTCTATGTAAATAAAGGGAAAAGCTGGACATAAATATGATACTTCATCACACATTTTTATAAACAGGAATTAGAGGCAGGCTAGTTTTATCAGCTTACCCAAAGCTAAAAAAGCTAACAATATCACAACTACAAGTGGCTTACTGGTCAGCTGAGTTGATAGGATAGCAAACGTATTACTTCTTTGTGGTGACAGGTAAGAAAATAACATTTAAAAATTTCTTTTCAAGTAAGTTGGACTTGTATGCCGTTTTATTAAGCAAAATAGGCATTAGCCATCAACATCAACCACTTTTGTAAGACACATCTGAAATTAGAATAAACATTAAAGTACATAATGACAATCTGCTTTAAGTCACTTTTGTTGAGAATTACAAACAAAATAATCACAGTCCCTGCCCTCTAAAATCTCCGTATTTCTGATATATCATTTCAGATGTAGTAACAATAATTAAATTGTTCTTGATCATAAAATTAGCTAAGAAAACCACCAAACTTTAAAATTTCCTTTAAATTATTTTCAATACAATCATATTTACCTTAAATTAGATAGGACTCACAACAATATATTAGTAAATCTAAATGGCACAAATCCATGGTCGCAATGGATCTGATTTGGCTTTTTATAGTTCTCAAGAGCCTTACACGTGTAATTCCAGCCAAAATTCAAACTATAACCAAACATGGTATTGATCAGATATTTTCTGTTTTAGCCAACTTCCAGCTAAGCTACAATTAAATACATAAACCTTGGATAACAAGAATTAACCTCATTCTTCAAACCCTAGGCATACCAAAAAAAAAAGTAAATTCTACTTTTCTACTTTTTTCTACTTCTGCAGTAAGTGAGGAACTACCTACCAATAAGCCATCCTTTTGCCCTAACCTCCAATAGAGAAAGTCTGAGTGTTATTTTATTATTTCCGTAAAGTCAATTAAAACATTACCTAAAATTTAGCTCTGGCCAACCACATGCCTTGTTATATTATAAGGGCTAATTCTATCTTAATCCAGATTACAAACCGCATTCAAGAAATTCATGTTAGAGAGAAGGAAAGCAGCTCAGCAGTCAGCTATGCACAGTATGCAAGATTTACCAGGCCCAGAAAGACTGGAGTAGGGGACTTCAGTCACTTGACTCTCATGCCCCCCACTGGGGGGAGGGCAATTGTTTAAACTAGGCATTCATTATGTTCCTGACCTGATGCCTCACCCATTATTTTTATGTTCCTGAAATCTGTGATACAAAGAACAATGTATAGCCAATCGATAGCTTACGTTATCTTAATGTAAATTCTTGGTAAATAAACATAGAAACCGCTTTTTTTCTTAAAAATTCACTTGTAACTGCTGCTAATCACAGTGTATATCCAGGGCAACTTGAACCTATGCTCCCAGGTGGCCATCCTCAAGCTTTGGGCTTGAATAAACTCTATACCTAATGATATTTTCTGAATCTCATTATTTAAGGCTTAGAGAATAAAAATCATAGCAAACACAAACATTATAACTGAAGATATAATTAGATATATTTAAGATTCCCAAACATATATTAAAAAAAAAAAAGCAAAACCCAGAAACTTAGTAAATAATTAAACCAATAGTAATGCTAGGAAACTAGATAAGACTTGCATGAAAAACAAGATGTCAGTCAAAATAGATCACCTTCCTTATGAAACCAATGAGCAGCAAAAAACAAGCATCATAAAATTTAAGTATTTTATGCTACAATGGTGTAACTCTTAGGCTATATTCTCCTAAAAACAAACTTACTGATTCAACAAGTGTGGTTATTTGCTTTTGAGAAATAAAAATAAAATTCTAAGTTCTACAGCAGACTGAATGGACACCCTCCTCTTTGCCAAGGTGACCCCAGAGAAACCTTAAAAATTGAGTTCCCAGCCATGATGGGACAGGAGGTAAAGCAAGTCTCGTTAGGTCCCCTCCCTCACTAACCACCATAAAACTTTCCTTCCTAAGAGTTAAAAAGAAACCAACCCTTTCAAAAGACTTGCTCCCCACTGATATCAACCAATTGCCTAACTCAGAAGCCAGACTCCACTCTGTTTTTGTGGTTTTGAACTGACCAGCATTCCTTACTGATAAGAGATCACCAACTGGTTCTAGCTGGTCCATGAAGGCTGCACATAGGATGCCTATGAACTCTGTTTCACCTTTTGACATGTAAACCTTAATTTTACTATGATTAAATGTTAGGTCTCCAACTCAAAGTGAACATGGGATGTATGTAACATGGAGTGTGCACACTAAGCTTGTGTGCACCCCCTCATGAATATTCATAGCTCCTCCTATAATCTGTTGAATATGTATACTTAGCCAACCCATTCAACATAACTTCCTGTCTCACCCTTCCTCCTTTGAAGGGCTTGCTTTTGGTCTCTGTCTGAGGATACACTTCCAAGCCTGCAGGCTTCAAGCTTCCTAAGAAATAAAGCTCTCTTTTCCAAATTTGTAGATCTCCTGCTTTTAAGGTGATACTTTGTTATAGTGGATAGCTGGATGTTGAAGTGTTGCTAGTAAATGACAGAGAAGTAATGAAGCCTGCCCTTCTACCAGACAGCATGGTAGCAGATTGATTAACTGTACTGGTATAACCATCCTCCTCCCACTCAGATTTAAAATCTTGAGTCATCTCTTAACTCTAATCTACCATATCCTGCTTATTTTATTTCCATAATATTACCCATACATCTAGTACCCCTCCTTTACATTCTTAATGTCACTGACCTGGTACAGGACTCTTAAAATGATCTACCCTGCAATTTTTCCTCCTCTCTGCCAAATCCTTTATTTAAAAAGCAATTTCAAAAGCATTACACAAATTCTGCATTCAAATAGTTCCCCACTACAAAGTTAATTCCAACATCTTAGACTAGCGTTCTATGTCATCTATCTGACTCACTTTACCAGTCCAACTCAATTCCCTTACCTCCTACTTCCTAGTATTTCCTATAAACTTCCCACATTGTTCCACCTTGCTCCCTCTTTCAGGCATTTCTCTTCCCCACCCCGACCCCCATTTCCATTTCAGTTAGCTATACATCAGGGTCCATTCAAATGCTAATTCCAAAAGCCTTGGGAGTTCCTAGTCTAGCTGAAAGTGTCTTCCTCTTTCTCTGAAATTCCACAGTATTTCACGCATACCTCTCCAATGGCACTTAACAATTTGTCTTGTATTACAGTTATGCATATATGTGCTTCTACTGTATTGTAAGATCCAATGTATCTCTGCATACTTAGCACAGTTGGAGGTGAAAAAAGTGCTTGTTGAATTAGTGAAAAAATCAGCCGATCATTTTTTTGTATGGTGGAGAAATAGCCTAATTCTTGCTGGAATAATAAAACAATTAGTAGAGTATCTATAAGGGTTACCCAAAATACTCGATTAAATTATATCCAAGCTACTCAAGGCAAAAATAAGAACAACATTTTGGAGCAATAACCACCAAAATGGTTAGGAAAAATCAAGTTATTAACAGTTAAAGGACTATTCTTCAGTCACCTAGAGAATTTACTCAACTCAGATAATTCGTTACCTTGCTAATCACTTATAAATGATACGTTACTGTGCAGATAAATGTATACACATATATGCTCTTAATGAAGAACAATACTATAGAAATAAGTTATAGCTAAGAAATATAAAGACCCATCTTTTCTCTGTCTCATGAAAGGCTTTTTAAAATATAAGTTTAACCATACCATTCCCTTATTTTTCTTCTCTCTCTCTCTGCCCTCCCTCTCTTCCTCCCTCCTTCACTTCCTTCTTTCCTTCCTTCCTTCCTTCTTTGGAGATGGAGTCTTGCTCTGTTGCCCAGGCTGGAGTGCAACAGCATGATCTCAGCTCACTGCAATCTCCACCTCTCAGGTTTAAGCGATTCTCCTGCCTCAGCCTCCTGAGTAGCTGGGATTACAGGCGCCCACCACCACGCCTGGCTACTTTTTCGTATTTTTTAGTAGAGACGGAGTTTCACCATGTTGGCCAGGCTGGTCTCAAACTCCTGACCTCAGGTGATCCGCCTGCCTCGGCCTCCCAAAGTGCTTGGGATTACAGGTGTTAGCCACGGCACCTGGCCTATTTTCCTTTTGTATTTATTTATGAGACGGAGTCTCACTCTGTCGCCCAGGCTGGAGTGCAGTGGCGCAATCTTGGCTCACTGCAACCTGCACCTCCCAGGTTCAAGCAATTCTCCTGCCTCAGCCTCCTGAGTAGCTCAGATTACAGGCGCGCACCACCACACTGGGCTGATTTTTTTTTTTTTTTTTTGAGGAGTTTTGCTCTTGTTGCCCAGGCTGGAATGCAATGGCACAATCTCGGCTCACTGCAACCTCCAGCTTCTGGGTTCATGCAATCCTCCTGCCTCAGCCTCCTGAATAGCTGGGATTACAGGCGCATACCACCACGCCTGGCTAGTTCTTTGTATTTTTTTTTAGTAGAGGCAGGGTTTCACCATGTTGACCATGATGGTCTCACGCTCCTGACCTCAGGTGATGTGCCTGCCTCAGCCTCCCAAAGTAATGGGATTACAAGTGTGAGCCACCACGCCCGGCCTCCTTATTTTTAAAACATCCTTTAATGACTTCCTAATTTTTTTTACCAAGCATTCAAAGCACCAACCCCACCTTTCTGGCACTACAATTTTACCAAACATCTGTAACCAAATCTTCTGACACTTGAACTCCAAGTTCCACTCCTGACACTTGAAGTCCAAATTTCATCCCTTTGTGTCCACACTATGTTCTTCTCTGCCTGAAATATTCTACACTTCATCTCGTCTTCCTAAAACTCTACTGCATCCTTCAACTTCAGGGTCTGGCTGAAACCATATAAACCCTTCTGTAATGGCATACTTGATCTTTTCCCACTGGGTTATATTATGTTTATGCAGCTGGAGTGCAGTATCTTTACTGGCTCAGCGATGAACAGTCTTGGTACAAGAACTCAAACTTTTGTTGAATGAATAAAATTTTGTATGGCTGCTGGTTTTGTTGTTCTCTTGCATTTAAAAAGTCACAAGAAGCATACCAGCATGAACTACTTTTATTTATTTATTTTTTCTGTTTTTTACAAGCTCTAATTCAATGAGACAAACAGTAAGGGCATCAGAAAAAAAAGGAATCTCAATTCCCAGCTGCCCTCAAAAGGAGGCTTAGACTAAAATAATCAACCTGAACTCCTACAACACTTAAAGCCAATATGCCATTTAGTTGTATACTATCTTGCATAGTTTTCAATTTTTGATAGTTTTATGTATGTTGTCAACAATCCTTTCCTAATTTCTCTGACAGCAGAGACATGTCTCATACTTTTCACATACCCTCCTCAGCCCAGTCTGGAAGAATTGTCAAGGAGTTTGCTTTAAGCAGAAGCAAGTTTGCTCATTTGGAGTTTAATCTTAATAAGAAGATCAAAATTTTCTACTTACACTCTTTCAGTCTGAATGAACCACTATGAAAACATGCAATTTTTCAAACATGCAATACTATATTATTTTTAAAAGACACTACAGTGACACTCATGAATGAACAAATAATTTAATGCACATTGGGAAGCTTTCACAATACTATTTTTTCTATCACATCAGAAAGTGCTCCCATAGCACTTTCCACAACATAAGAATGACTTTTCTAGTGGCTTACAAACCCATTCAGCACTTGATACTGTGCTATATGTTCATTAGTACTTGTTACAGTCCTGTGTGGCCAATTATATCATTAAAGCTGAAAACAGGCAAAAGAAACCTACTACGATTACACTTAAAAGTAAATGGTATGAAAAATAAAACACTGACTTGATTTTTTAAAAACGTTAATATATTGCACTAGTGGTATTGACCTCATCAGAAAAGTCAAATAATTATGATGGATAAGTCATTTGTTGTAGAATAGCAACAATTGGGCTTTACTTCCAAAACGTATCAAGAAAGTGTTCTGGGCTGGGTGCAGTGGCTCACGCCTGTAATCCCAGCACTTTGGGAAGCCCAGGCGGGTGGATCACCTAAAGTCAGGAGTTCGAGACCAGCCTGACCAACATGGAGAAACCCCATCTCTACTAAAAATACAAAATTAGCCGGGCGTGATGGCGTGTGCCTGTAATCCCAGCTACTCAGGAGGCTGAGCCAGGAGAATCACTTGAACCTGGGAGGCAGAGGTTGCAGTGAGCCGAGACTGCACCATTGCACTCCAGCCTGGGCAACTAGAGTGAAACTCCGTCTCACACACACACACACAAAATTGTTCTGAAGATAATGAAATGAAGCCCCTCCCAAATATAAAAATATTTTTCTTGCATTAATTTTAAATGAGTAACTAGAAATTTCCAATTACTTTAAGTCCCAGAGGTTAGCATTTGATTTACAAAAGTGATCTAGAGAGAAAAATGTGGATAGAATGAGTATAGAAAATTCACCTGCTGCCACAGAAGAGTTATGACATCTAAGATACTACTACCATTGGTCAGTACCAACCCCTAAGAGAAAGAGGCAGTTAGGGCAGTGTCTTCAATCTATGATAGTGACTTCTTAAGTGGGTAGCAAATCAATTTACTGGCTCATGACCAGCATTAATTTTTCACAACAAAGAATATAATAAAAAAGAAAATATTAAAGTACATTTAGGTGAGTACACAAGGAATTGTGTGTTTGTATTAATGTAAGTTTGTACATGTGGTCAAGATATAAAATAAAGTCTCAATTAAAATGCTGACTGCTACCATCATTGTTTCTTCTTTACAAAAGATAACAACATGCTATCTACCATAGAAAAGCATTGTGGCATTCATCTGACAGATCTACTTCCTTTAACAACATTCTCTCTACTCTGTATTTCCCTTTCCCTACCTGTTGAAATTCACTCTTATTTTGACCTCAAAATATATTTTTTTTCCTGATTGCAGATTAGGTTGATAGAATATGCTTTACCTTAATTTTAAATGCTTTAGCAATTTTAATAACCAGGATGATTAATTTATCATTCAATCCAGGACACTTATGAGAGTAAAAGAGGCACTAGTACTTAGGTGTGACAACAAGGTAAACCAGTATGTATAGTCACTCCATTAATAACTTAATAGAACTATGTTCTTAATATGGCTAGCATAAAAATACATCATTTAATTAAAACATTAGGCACAAAAAAAGCTAATCAGTAAAATAAAAAGTCCAGAAGTAATTAATATAAGCTACATTATAAAATTTCAATATTTAATGAAAACTATATAATGTTCTCATTAAACTGTATGGAAAATTAACCAGAAAAAAATCTGTATGAGCATGTAAAACATTAAAGAGAACAAAATCTCAAAAAAAAAAAAAACCCCTACCATTACTGCATTCCATAAATAACTAGAATAAACTCTTGAATAAGAAGTCTGCCTTAAATTTACAATATAGGATATAAAATAAACCCTTTGATTCTAGTCTATTTTGATAAAGATTGATCGGGGAAAGGAAGTAAAACAGCTTCATAAATTATCTACAAGTGAAGACACAGAAAAATTATTAAACAATTTATTTGAACCTACCCAACAGAAGATAAACTGGGACAGTTCTGGGCAAAACTTTAATCTGTGAAATTATTCTTTTATGACAATTTAACTCTCCCAAGTCTGCCCACCTCTTCCAAATCTTCAATTCTAAATCTTTCCTATTTCCCCCATCGGTTCCTTTTACAAATATTAGGGAAGATAATGACCCCACAATTAGTTTTGCTATTATGCAATTCTTGCATTTTAAGCATCTTCTGCTCTTAAAAAAAAAAGAACTTCTTAAGGCTTCTGATTCCTAGTTCTGTTTCTACTTTCCTTTTATTCTGGCATCTCTCCTTTCTCAATTTGCCATCAGACAAATTGATGATAGCCTTCAGGAGATACGCAAAGTCTATACACACAAAAATTTTTATCTGAGAACAAATAAGTGCATGTTTCTGGGATGGGGCCCACAGCTTTCATGAAATTCTCAAAGATGTCGGTGACCCCAGTAAAGATTGAGAACCATCACATTAGAAGTATTTAAGTTACCAGTAAACAGGTATTTTGGGAAGAAGAGGGATATCCTTTTCAGTGTATTCAGGATACTTGAAGAGATTATAAGTTAGAAGAAATATTTTTCTTCCCTCAAAAGGTCACCAGTTCCCACAGAAAAGACCAGGAGCTGTGGCTTCTAAGAAGGCTTGAAAGTTTATTCTATCACAGGTAACCAAAAGCAGGCCTTTACCATTTAGTCTGAGGGTATCTAAGCTTTGTATTCAAGAGTGGACCACACAACTTAAAATCTACATGAATTAAGACTGCTTAAACTAGAAATACACATACTGGACATGGTTAGGGAGGCTTTATTCCTATCTACTTTCCCTTTACATTGTTCCAATTTTGTGATATACTAAGGTAAGATTTTATAAAAATGAATTTGCATTTTATTCATTAAAAGATCATGTGTTCTTGAAAAATGATGCCTGTTACTCATATGAATTAATGAATCACTTATAATAACCAAGTGGAACCTTCTAGGGCCATAGGTTTTTAGGAACACTGCTTTATAACAGTGATATTGATATGGGGGATAATCAGTATGTGGAGTTTGTAAATACAATACAGAATTCTCTATCTGGAAAACAGAAAAGTTAATAAAGCTTGAAAAAAAACTTCTTAGTTGGCATGAATAAGCAGCAAAGACATCTGTATAGCTCTACTGATCAAGAAGATTTTTTTTAATGAGGGAAAAAATGTTTCAGAATTTCCAAGAAAAAGAAGCATTAGTTTTTAAAGTTTCTCAAAAGTGGCTACTGGGTGTGGAAAATAAGACCCTAGGCTTTCTTCAGTTTCTCATTTTCCTTTTCTTTGCCTAGGACTGCCAAACACACGCTTTCTATTTCCTAGTACTTCTAATATTTTGGTAGTACTTAATCATATTTTTAAAATAACACCCTCTTTTATTCTTCAGGACCTAAACATATTCCCAGTCATCCTACATTACTTTTCTCTCTGATAATGAAGATTTTTTAGATAATCTTCATAAGTGCATTCTTGGTAAATGGAGATTTACTACCAGTTATTTATAAGTAATTAATCCTGTGTTTTGCAGAATTTTCAGATGAAGTAAAAGCATTTTTTTAATGGACTAATAAAATCTGGACTGGAGATATCTTGCCTTATTGGATATTTGCATAATCTGCTTGAATAATCAGAATGGAACATTAACTCCTCTAAAGTCTAATTTAGGCCTAAGCACTTCTTGGATCTCTGCTCTTTTTAATTAGACTCTTATTTATTCAGTCTTCACCAGAATAGTCCCCATTTTAAACCCACCTTCAGGCTGGGTGCGGTGGCTCTCGGCTGTAATCCCAGCACTTTGGGAGGCTAAGGCGGGCAGACTGCCTGAGGTCAGGAGTTCGAGACCAGCCTGTCCAACATGGTAAAACCCCATCTCTACTAAAAATACAAAAAAATTTGCCAGGCATGATGGCATGAGTCTGTAATCCCAGCTACTCGGGAGGCTGAGGCAGGGGAATTGCTTGAACCAGGGAGGTGGAGGTTGCAGTGAGCCGAGATCGCGCCACTGCACTCCAATCTGGGTGACAGAGCGAGACTCCGTCTCAAAATAAATAAATAAATAAATGAACAAACCCACCTTCATTTTAGAATTTTCCATTGCTTATTTTTATTTCAATTTCTTATTTTAAAAATAAGAAATTCAAAAATAGACCGCCTGTGTAAGGTAGAGAATAGTGATTAAAAACAAAGATTAGGTAAGATAGCCCTGATTTGAATTACAACCTTGCTACTTATTAACTGTGTAAGTTTGAGCAAATTAAGTTCTTTAAGTCCTAGTTTCCTATAAAACGTTAAGAGAATTCCAGTACCTACAACTTGTATGGCTGTTGTAAAGATTAAATGTTATGCATGTAAATTGCATAGCATAGTGCCTGACACATAGTAAATGTTCAATAAAAGTTAGCAAGTATGGTAACAATAATGATTTCCTACTTGTATAGTCTCTTATTTTTATTGTTCCCCACCTCTAATGTCTGCAATCACTTGCCAAGCCTGATAAAGGTGAGGGTATATAAAAATTATAATCTCAGAGTAGGAGGCCTAATCCAGTAGACTAAAACTCACCCCACTCCTCTCTTTTTAATATAAATTGTCAACATTCATCCCTGGTCATTTGTATATCAAGTTAAGGAAGAATGCAAAGAAGCAGAAGAAAGACACTAGTATAAATATAAGTGGTTTTTTGAAAGCAAGAACATATTGGATCTAAGTTCTAGGACATGAGGAAGAACAAAAAAGCTGGGAAAACAACTAGAAGAAAGCAGGAGGCAGTGATCTAAAAAAGAGCAAGAGAAATAAAATGATTGGAAAGAATTTTAGGCAAAAGAATTTATGTAGATCTATGTCAAAAAGAGGGTATATTTTAAGATGTGAGGGAAATGAGATTTGCTGAAGCAGGGTAGCTTAAAAGACTACAAATGAAAGTGCAAAGCATTTTGTAGGTTATAAGAAGCGTATTACATATAAGTAAGCTAATAAAATTTTCACAGATGAGCAGTATTAAGAGGTATCTGCAAGGTTGGGCTAACCAACCAAAAATAACACAGAAATGTGCATGTTAACACTTATGTGCATAGCTAAATTTATTAATCCTTAATATATTTAAGAAGTATTAAAAGAAAAATCTATTCGCTTGTCAACACAAGCCATTATTAAGGCTCACCCCTTCAAAGATCTAATCTATAGACTAATGAAAATTCATTAGTTTGCTTAGTTTCCTAATCAAGTCTACATTTTGAAATTTCCCTATAATTTCCTTTTCTAATAAAGGATTTCCCCAAGCTAGAACTACAATATTTTTATGCTATGTTGCCCAGGCTGGAGTGCAGTGACTATTCACAGGCACAATCATAGCACATTATAGCCGCTAACTCTTGAGCTCAAGTGATCCTCCTGCCAGCCTCATGAGTAGCTGGGACTATAGGGGCACACCACTGAGCCCGACTAGAACTATAAAGAGAGGTGTTTTACTGGAATCTAAAATCAATTTAAAAATCAAAAATAGTATTCTAAAAAATAAATGGGATTAAGGTAGACTCAAAGTTCCACACCTCTTGGGTTAATTTTTTTTCCCCCAAATTAAGTCAATAAGAGCCAAAAGAAAAAGATTAACTTGCTTAGAATTACATCTAACAGTTTACAAGTTGCTGAAATTCAATGGGTATTCAGACTCAAATGCAGCTTACCAAAGAAAGCTATAAATATGATCTGAATTAACACCAGTCTGGTGGGGAAAAAAAAAGTGTATTGTATCAAACAGACTTGCTGTGATATCTGTTCAAACATACCTGTACCAGTCAAAAGTCCAGCACTCTTCTTTCGTGCATAAGCGCGTAAGTGGTTGGACAGGCTAACAGCACTTGTAAACGTCGTATTGCAATGCACACATGTTCTAAGCTTCACAGGCATACCTATCATTCAAAAGAAAACTATAATCCAGTTCTCACTTCAAAAAGTGAAATTTTCTTAGCTTAAAGAGTGTAGAAAAGCACCACAATAAAGATGGTTTTCAAAACGTTCAATGAAATAGGTTAACTTAAAATAAGGAGGGGAAATTAAGTTAACTGTTATTAGTTTGTAGTTAGTATTTAGAGTCAACTCATGCTCTTTGGAAAGGTAGACGAGGAGTGACTTGAACCTTTGAGCTCCTCTGGATATACACCTATTATTACTTTCTTGCAGATTTCTGTGTTACGCAGATTATTTCTTAAACCTACTACAATACAATCCTGTGATTTGAACAACACGGTTCTGTTGAGAAGTTTCAAAGCTTACAACATTACCAATAAAAAGAATTAAAAAGTCTAGTTGACAAAGTGGTAATTAAAGTGTTTTACCCACAAAACCGTAAAAGTCTCAATACTAAATTAGGCTTTCTGATGAAGGCTGGGAGAAAAGGTGGTAAAACACACCACTGAACAGCTGTTAGACACAACATTTTATTTAGGGTATTTTATGTTCATTACTCTGAATGCGCAATCAATAATGAAAGTTAATGATTTAAAGTTTTTTGCTAAAATCTTTGTGCTAAATAAATGATCAACAAGCTAACATCTTAGTCATCACAGGAAAAACATGTTCAAACAATAAGAAACTCCTAACTTCTCAGACAATCCTCACTCCCCCAACACATTTCAACTGGTTTCTTCAGCATTACTGTGATAGCCACAAATATGCTTTCCATCTCTGAAGTATACTACCCCTTGGTCAACACAGCTAACACATCTTCCCTGCGTTTTACCCTTCTGAAAAAATATTGAAAGCTATTGACTTTCAGAGACTCTTTATTCGAAAGAAAAAGCCGGATTAAACAGAAGCTCATACAAGATAAACTGCTTTCCAGACCACTTACAATACAAAGTTATCTTTCCTTAAATCAAAACTGCATTACAACTATTCGGGATATCACAATGTCTGCCCCAAAGCAAATAAACAACATTACTTTACAGTAATGTTAGTCGTTATTAATCCATTAACTATTACCTCTGACACATTCAACTTAGAGCTCTAATCATGAGACCATTTACATAAACCTTCAACATTAACCTTCAAAAAGAAATCTAGAAAAAACACTTAAAATTTTTCTAGTCTAAAAGTATAAACCACACTTGGCAATACTGAATAAAGTTTGGCTACTTTATCTGCCACATTATTTGCCAATACATACAAAATATTCCTTTCAAAAGGAAAAAACTATTGGTGCACCAGCACTAAGCTAAATCATCTGTCCTGTTCCATTAGAGCACTATCTTAAAACCTAAAACCCCAAACAAATATGTTTTATGTTCACAACTGTTCTCCAAAACCAAACTATTCCGCAATACAATGAGGAATTGGAGAGGGAGATGTTTCTTTGGGTTAATCACAACAGACACCAATCCATTCAGCTTTAAGAGTCTGTTTTGTTTTACCTAAGCAGTGGAAAAACCAACAGCTAAATCTTGAAAACATGATCACCTTGGAGAACTGGCAAAAATATGACAGAGGTATGCCTTTTCAATAATGCTATGCTTTTGAACATCAACCTCCCATCCACAACCATCCTCCAGCCAGAGCAAGTTTTATTTTTACAGATCAGCTTTTTGTTTGTTGTTTTTATTGTGTGTGTGTGTGGTTTTCTTCTGCTTTTGTTCTCACCTTACATTCAGACCAAGAAAAGAGGCACAGAGAACTCAGTGCTAATGAGCATCAATTGATGAGTTATACAGAAATGACAGTAGAATAACCAATCTGTGCTCTGTAAAAAAAAAAAGCAGCTTAAACAGGAAGATTGTGAGAAAGTATTTTCCACATAGATTCCATTAAAGAAGGCATAATTGAACTGCATTTAAACTGTGTATAGCATAGTCATAAACGTCCTCTTACCTGAGTGCATAGTCAAGTCCATTTTTTGTGGCTGATACATCAACGGACTATCCTCATTTAATGGAAGAACGCATTTCTGAACGAATCTCTTTCTTGCTGTCTGATTATGGATCTTTTGAGGAGAAATAGCAGAATTCCTTTCTTCTCCCATCCTTTTATTTTTAAGAAGTTCTATGAGTGTAAGAGACTGATTCTTTTTCCCACTGGGCAGTTCTGGTTTTGTTTCATCATATTCATTTAAGAAATTCAGCCCTTCTTCTTCTGATGCAGACACTGACAGAGCTTCAGTCTTTAGGCCATTACGGTATGCTTCAAGAGGTATAACATTTTGAGATATAAAGTCATCACTTGATGCAAGTTTTTGAGCTACAAATGGTCTGGGAATAATACGACGACTGTTCAATGCCTTTAAGATTTTTTCATATTTTTCTTCATTTTGCATCATCTCATTCAGAACACAGATTGGAGATTTGTGAGCATCCCATTTCGTCTTTCCAAGTCTTTTCAAGTGGCCTCTAACATGATTTGATAATCCAATTTTAGTATCAAACCAACCACCACAGAGCTGACAAGTGTGTTCAGAAGTGGTTTCAGACTTCTCTATAGCTAGAAAAAAATTTTTAAGAGTAATATCAGACTTTCTTATATAAACTGACCACCCTAAAATGAGTTAATTCTGAAACATAAAATTATGATTCTAATAAAGACTAAATTCAAAAAAAACTTTTAAATCTTCAGAATTAGAACACAGACCTATCAGCCCAAATCATCCCCATGGAGAACTTACCTTTTCTAACTCGTTTAACAGGTGTTCCTGTGCCAGTTCTTTTGAAATGCTGCATTTTGTCACTTGTGGCTATTTGTTCTGGTGATACAACATGACGGGCTTCATAGCTTAATCCTGCTCTGTGAAGATGCCCCCTGACATGATTTGATAACCCAACACCTGTTTCAAATGTTGCTGGGCAGTAAGGACACGATTTCTTCTCAAGAGACAAATCAGTCCAATGAAAAACAGAACTATGCTTTGACAATGAAGCATCTGCAGTTTCTAAATGCTGAGGATCATGTATCTCATGCAAAAAGTTGTTACTTCCAGTATCTTCATAGTATTCAAAATAAAAGCCATCGTTTTGGTCATAACTAAGAGTAGCATTTTCTCCAGGCTCCTGACCTTCCACTTTGCTCTTAAATAAAGGGAATAAATTTACATGCTCTTGATTAATATCACTATAGGTTTCATCTTCTATGGCCTGTGTAGTGTAGTCTCCTAACTCAACATTATCCCAGGAACTTTCATCTTCTGTTTCATAACTATCTTTCTTTTCAGCAGAATTAAGTTTTTGCAAAACGACAACAGTCATTTTATGCAAAAAATCTGGATAGCTATCCAAGTCTTCCCCTCCAACAGAACTTTCCTTCTTAGATTCCTTAATTACTCTCTTTACAGCTACACGTCTGTGATCTTTGAAGCTTTCAGGCCTTTTGGCGTCAGGCTTATGAGGGTCTGAAATAAAATTGTTGTGAGAATTACTTGATGATGAAAACAGGTGTAAAGAATTTAATGAACTAGCTTCTTCTTTTTTGAAATGCACAGGATATGATTCACCTGATTTTTTGATCATCCTATAGTTTTCATATTTGTGTCTATACAAATAGTGGCTATTTGCCTTGGCATTAGACTTTTCTTTTGCTGCTTGATGGAAATACTTAGGTTTTTGGTCAACGCTGCTTTTAATTGTAACATTCTTATGAGGAGAGCTGTTTTGATTGCACATGTTTACACCTGATTGGGCAATGCTTTTCCGAGCTTTCTGTATTCTGTGTGGCCGCTTATGAATTTTTGAAAAACTACTTGATTGTGAGGTTGATCCAAATGTTCGCTTCACATCTTGTTTTAAAGCAGAGTTCTTTGGAAATGTGGTTGACTGTTGTTTAGTTAATGTTTTAGTGCTATCACTATCTACAGGTTCTTCAAGGATGTCATTTTTTCTTTTATCAAGTCCAAGAGGACTACCAAATGAATCAACACATGATGATGAATGCAAGTACTCCGTGTGCTTTTTTAAAACACTTTTGGCTGAAGTAGTAAAAGGACACATCTTACATATGTAGGTAGCTGATTTTTTGGATGATCCTACTACAGAGTCTTTCATGAAAGTCTTTTTTTGTGTTTTTCTCTGGGCAATATCAGAAGTGACCATAGGGCATTTTACCACTGCCCCATGTGCAATGCCTCGATGGCATTCCAATTCATTTTCTGTCACTGCCATGAAGTTACACTCTTCACAGCAGTAGTACCTTTTATCTTTTTCATGGGTTTTAGCATGTTGCACAAATGTTTTAGGGCAATTGGTACCAAACACACACTGAGGACACTGTAATCGTGCACTTCTTCCTTCATCCTGAAGTTCTTTCAATTCACGAATTTCCTCCATCAACTTCTGTCTTCTCTCCTGGTGAATAATCATATGTTTTAGAAGTGAATTGCGATCTCGAAATGTCCGTCCACATTCTCTACAAGCATATGGCCTTGGGACATTAAGATGGCGAAAGTGACTATTCCCATCTAAATGATACATCATATGCCTGTGGAGGTGCTTCTTCTCCCTAAAATTCACATTGCACTTTGTACAGGGGTAGAATGATGGCTCTTCGGTACTGAAAGTAGCAGGTGACTCAGAATCACTCTCTTCACATTTCTTTTTTAAGGTATTTGAAAGAAAAGTGCTAGTATGAACAGGTGAACTCTCTTCTCCACACTTATCTGGGTTATAAATTAGATGTTGGAAGGCATCCACAGATTCTAAGTCTTCATCAGTTGATTCAGGCTTCACTTTTGATAATGCATATTTCTGTGAGTCTACTGCTTGTAGCTCTTCATTTTGTTCTAGAAAGTCTACTTCTTGCATTTTTGATTTATTGGGTACACAATTAGAATCACTAAAGCAATCCTCGGTATAACGAGTTATCTTGCTTACATCCATTTTTCGCTTTCTTTTTTTTTCTAGACCTATTTTAGAATGAGGTGGAGCTTTATCTACTGTTTCCTCATTAGTCATAAGAAATTGAATGAACTCTTTTTGGGGATCCCAGTTTGTATCATTTTCTGACCTAAATCCATCTGTACCTGAGGAAATTCCCGTTACTGTATTGACACAATCATCTTTCACCAATAAATCTTCACCATCCTCACCCACCTCTACTTGATTTATTAAAGTGCCATCTGACTTTATATTACTCCCTACTGAATTCTGAATGTCACAACCAACTGAAGCAGAGGTAGGTAGTTTTTTATTGGAATGGGTGGGATTCTTAGCATGTGCTACATCTGATAACAAAAATAAAACTTGGTGTTGACTTGCTTTCTGTGGTGTAGACAGCTGAAGATCAGCTGCTACCTTCAAAGTTGAACAAGATTCTGTTGTTGGCTGATCCACAGGCTGTCCAGTGGTTAATGAAACACTGCCTTTATTCATATTGGAAGTCTTAGTTAAGGAGGAGTGTGAAACTGGTCCATTAACAGCAGCTCCTTTAGGCAAGATAAAGTTTTCACTAGAAACAGTAGGAGCACCAGCATGTATAAATAGACTAGACTGGCCTCCACTTAAGGCGTTTTCAGATTTGTCCTTTGACAGTTCTTCAGGCAGAGTCAACGTATTATTTTTCTGAAATGATGTTTGACAATCTTTTGGCTTATGAACTCCGCTCTCTTTGTCTGAGATAAAATTGTTGTCATCTAGGAGTTCTTCTTTAGCACCAGTAATATCGGTGTTTATCTTCAAATCATCCATATTGTTGGCAAGCCCATTTAACACATTTAGTCTAGAAAATGGAAAAAAAAAATTTAGATTTGCATGAAAGAAAAAATACTATTAGAATGTATGGAGAGTTGAAAGTACATATTTTTATTAGTTTAATTTTCTACTCTTTATATTGAGATTCTAATAATTTTCCAAGAATGAAAGAACACAAACATATTGAAATATTTAAAAAGCACCTCAAAGGTTAATATTGTTCTTCATGCTAGGCAACAACAACAGTCCAATACGTCATGTATACAAAATGTCTAGGGAAAAGCAACATACACAAACACACTAGGGAAAAGCAGCATACACACAGATACACATGTATACACAGACTCAAAAACAATATAAATATGCTACAGACTGAAAAAATTTTAAACCTCACGTGGAGATTGCTAATACAAAGAAAATTCTTTCACTTAAGTAGGTTTATCAGAGGTAGTCACTCTATTCTAGAGAACAATATAAATTATCAAATATTGCAGAGAAGTAAAAGATTTGTCACTTATAAGTTCATTCCTGAAGGTAACAAAACACCATTCAGTAAATAACTTTATTGAATGAACATATTTGCTATCAACATCAATGTTTTATGTATGAAATAGTCCTTTTTAAAAGACTGCTTTGCTCTCAAGATGCTTAATGTTCTCCCAACATTCTATCAATTGTAAAAATGCTTTATTCATAGTTTTGTTCATTCCTTATTCAAATTAACCTTAACTATAATTTTAACTTTAGTAAAGTTAACTAAATTTTAGTAAAGCGAATTTTAACTTTACTAAAGTTAAAATTAATGAAGGTTTATGTCAAACTTTCATATGTGGGGCCTCAAATTCTAGGCATTCTCTAAAAGCAGTTATCCCACTTATGATCTGGTGGTCTAGTGCAATGGCCTAACACATTTTACAATAGAATAGCATAAACATATGTTTTAAATTTATTTCATATAAAATGTAGATAAAACTTTTCTAGGCATTTTTGATAAGATATTTAATCATTATGAGAAAAAAGTACAATATTTTTAAAGGAAACAGTATTTCTGAATGTTTGGGGTCCATTCACACCATGACTGTAATGCCTACCCCCACTATGAAAAGTTCCCTTGCAACCTGTTTTTTTCCTGCTCTTAGAAATGGCCACATTGGAAGTATCTGCCTTCTTCAAAGAATGTCAGCTCTTTGAGGGCTGGGAATGTAATCTAGTCACTATCATATCTCTAGAACCTAGTACATCACTTGCCATAGGTGCTCAGGCAATATTTGTTGAATAAAATACTGAATAAGTATTGGATTAATAAAAACACAATTTCAAAAATCAAAGTAAAAGTTCCTAAAGTGTACAGAAGAAAAACAGTTTTGTTCCTATGAAATTTGGATACCCCATTCAAACACAAGTTCCATCAGGTTCTGATTTATTAACTCAGTAATTATAATAAGGTCCTCAAAATATCCAGTAATTTTCATGTACAATTTAAAGAACCTGCTATTTGGCAACCCCAGGTATTAACTAATTGAAGTACTGGCATCATAAGCTTCCATATTTCTTCTCCTTTTTTGCAGTTATTCTCCAAATATTTCCTAAGCACTTAGTAGTGCCATGCATTGTTCCTGTATTCCAGATATAATGGTAAACAAGACAAGTTAGGTTCCTGCTCTCAGATAAAGAATGAAGCCTGTATATTTTTCTTTTGCAGTATTTTTAATTTGCATAACAAGTAATACTATTTTAGGGCAACAGGACCTTACAATCTAACATTTAGAAATCAAAACATGTTCAATATAGTTCAATATTTCTACTATCCTTTAAGGGTACCAATTTCATGCTTTGTAAAACATTAAATCTAATTCAAGAATAATAAAATTGTTCTTAGGCTGGGCGCGGTGGCTCACTCCTGTAATCCCAGCACTTTGGGAGGCCGAGGCGGGTGGATTACAAGATCAGGAGATTGACACCATCCTGGCTAACATGGTGATACCCCGTCTCTACTAAAAATAAAAAAAATTAGCCAGGCGTGGTGGTGGGTGCCTGTAGTCCCAGCTACTCGAGAGGCTGAGGCAGGAGAATGGCGTGTACCCGGGAGACAGAGCTTGCAGTGAGCCAAGATTGCGCCATTGCACTCCAGCCTGTGCAACAGAGTGAGACTCCGTCTCAAAAAATAAAAAACAATAAAATAATAAAATTGTTCTTATATTTTTCTTATTTTATAACTTAGAACAAGCACTTATAATCTGATCTTATTCTTTCCATAAAATGTTATTTAATACAACAAATACCTATTACCAGTATCTTTGACATTGTTTTTTATACCAACAATCATTTTTTCCACCCCTCGTAGGTTTTAGAATTCTGTTTTGAGATTGGCAAACTTCTGTGGTAATAAAAATAGACTTCCAATAAGATCACATTTAATGATATCACTCCAAAATGGTGCTAATGCATCACCCAGCAGGAGTCTCTACATCACATACACAGAAGTTAAAAATGGGCAGCACATAAACATGTGTTAGGAAAGGGTGTGCAAATGTCAAGGGAAAGAAAAGCAAGCCTTAATGCTACACTACCATTCATTCCTGATATTTCTCATTAAATTAGGTAGAAAACATAAAACGCTTCAATAGCAACAATCTCATAAATCTGAAACGAACGACAAAAAACTAGCTTGAAAGACAGTTACTTTCCTTTCCGTTCCCACTTATTATAATCACAGAGGTGGACAAATATATGCTAAGTCAATTTGAAAGCCTATATTAGTTTTTCTCAACAGGAAGCAATGTTGCTAACGAAGTGGTAAATTCAGTGTTAATGAGTGGCTTCACTGTTACCACCTCAGAGGTAAAACCTTCCATGTTCTATGTTCCACCCATCTGTTCTGGTGTTAGAGGTTTAGAGATGGAACAGACGCTTCCCATTTAAAGCAACTTCATTGGTACCCCCTGAACAGCAGGGTGACAAACTATGAGAACATCATGTCAGCTTGGAGACTGCATCCTCATTACCGGAATGGCTTTATAAGAGCTTTTCATAAGGTCACATTCTGAAGATATCAACCTGTTTTGTTCAAAAACATAGAAAAAATATATGTGCATAACAGATATTTTATCTACAAAACACATCTAGCAAAAAAAAATCCGATTAAATATTGTTAAAATATAAAATGAAGTCTTTAACAATGAAAGTTTTCCTTCACATCCACATAATAAAATATGGCTTACTTACCCCTAAATTATTAATTATCTCTACTCAAAAATAAAAGATGTTACCTTCTGCATCAGTTTGAAAATATGTTACAAAAGTTGACTTAGGAAGCTTTCTAGGTCACTCGGTAATTCTGATTAGATACAACCTTCCTGTCATCAAATCTATACTGTCCATTTTCTGTTCATGAGTAATTCTTTACTGAGAGAAAATTAGCTTAATTTTGTTCTTTTATGTACATTATTAACTGCATTTACTACAAGTAGATTAACGTTTTGTGGGTACTTATTTTAGGAACAATTAAAATGTTCAGAATATATTCTAATTATACAATGCTCCAAATATACTTCTTCTTAGTAACAGTACTCAAGACTCATAGCTGTTGTGCTGAGATACAATGCAGAACCATGGATCATCAAAATCTGTTGCACTGAATAATTGATACAGAATTTTAACATCATCAAAAATTATTTTACTACATTCATGTTGGGTTATGTGGCATCTAGGCAAGAAAGCATTTGACTTGAGTTAATTTTACACCATCTCAAATAGTTTTTCAACTACCTTTGTATAGTCAAATGTATATATAACAGAGACATCAATACCAGTTTAGGTTACTATAACAAAGTAGGAACGTATTTGAAGGTGGGCATTATTCATTAAGTTTAAAAAACAGAAGCTAATAAATTAAGATAAATAAACTGATGTTTGGACTCCTTATATATCAATTAAGATTTTTAAACACTGTTTAGACACCATTACTAAATCTTCCCCATATAATCATATAACCATAGAATTTTTCTTTTAACTGGTTTTTAAAAGTCTAAAAAATTCACACACCTTTTTAAAAAGCTGCAAACAGAACTTTAAATCTACATAAAATATATTTCAATTTCTAGAAAATCATAATGAGTTCTACAGCTATAACTGCCTCTAGTTATATACTGTGAGCACTAAAAAAATTGTACAAAGGTCAGATCTGTCTTCAAGATGACAGATCATCACTTATATGCCTCAAGCTAGACTTATTGTCTCAGAAATCTCAAACATCAGTATTTTTGCAAACTATCAGCACTTGCTATAACACCCTCACTACACTACATCTTGAGGTTACTACAGAAGAAATGAGGTGATAATTGCATATTAACATAATTATTCTGTAATCCCTCTGAGCAAGCTTCCTAGGTCACTCAGTAATTCAGATTAGATACAACCTTTCTGTCATCAAATCTATGCTGTCCACTTTCTGTTCACGAATAATTCTTTTCTGATAGAAAATTAGCTTAATTTCATTCTTTTATGTACATTATTAATTGTATTTATTGCAAGTAGGTTAACATTTTGTGGGTACTTAACTACATAATGCCAACCTTTGTTGTGTTGTATAATTTCATGCAAAATATAGTACAATTTGCCCTCATTGTATATTAGTTCATTAATTGCTATATTACACAGCTATAAATAAATTATAATGCTGCCCACTAGCTGAATTATAGTTAGGATCTGTCAGGTTTTCACAAACCCTATGTTCATTTAAATTATCCTTGTGAACACATGACAACTTCAGTTAGTAATGTATGAGATTGGGTCAAGAAGAGAAAACAATTCACAAGTGTCAGTCTAACTGTAAAACAGATCTTAATTAACTGAAATATTATATTTAAAATTATTGTGGCATTTAAACCTATATATACCATACACAATGTACAAACATATATACCTAAATCTCACCTAGTGCACACTTCAAGAGAAGACAGAATGTATCATCCAGGTAATAACTTATTCTGGATGTCACATTGAGAAGAAACACTAAAAAAATACAGAACACTTGTAAGGGTGTCCAGCATGAGACTGACTTTAAAACCAAGCCAAATAATAAAATGGTTCAGAAGGTTAGACTGCTTACTTGTCAAGAACATTACAGACAGGAATATGGAGTTGAGGATTGAATAAGATGATTTCTAAGGTCCCTTCTAATATGTACTACAAATGTTTAGTACTTAGTTATTACATAATTAACATTTAACATTATTTGAAATAATGAGCAAAAAACTGAAGAATTACACTACTGAGCCTTAAAAGTATTCTTTAAATTCACAATTACCTGAAATAATCCTTTAGTTAACTTATGATCTGTCAATAAATTGATTGTTGAACAATGAAAATATGACATTAAATGACCAACACACTGCCACAGAGCTAACTGTATCATGAAAACTCAATGTTACAGCCAGAGATTTTTTTTTCCTTGGCAATACCAAAACACAAAACAAAACAAAAAAGGCACTGAGTTTGATATATAGATTGCCATTAAAAAAAAGCAAACAAATTACACTGAACCTGTTGAACAGCTTGTTCCTGATGCCATGTACCATCCTCACTTGTTAACAGGAAGGCAGATGTTACAAAGTCAGGTACCAGACCATAAACACCTAATAACTCAAGATCATTCTTACTGCAAAGTATAGTAAATACTAAATATAATCTAACACATCTAAAGAAGCTCCCATGTGGTAAACGGAAGCAGGTAACTGTGTGGATGAAGGCAAGGAGGGCAGGGAGGCCCTACAAAGACATAACTTTAAAGACATGGCAAAATTATGTAACAATAAGAATCAACAGTAGAAAATCAAAAGGATGTTCACTAATCAAACATTAATTTCCTAATGAAGAATTCTGCAACTGGAAGAAGGCAATAAATTACAGCTGCAACCAAAGGAGAGTACTAAGTCATAGTTAGCACAGAATGACTGTTGTGTTGTTTATGCTTTCATGTAATTAGAATAAGTGATGGTCTCAGCTTACATCGTAATAGACATATATGCACGTGGCTCCAATAAGACAAATTTAAGCATTTAAGCATTTGAAATGAGTGATATATATGTAACTGATCAAATATTTTGACCACATTTGTGTAACATGGGTCAGTTCACTATAAAACATATCTGTTCAAATTATTAACTGTGAAACTTTCAAAGAAACCAATGTACCTAAGTATGTCAATCCCATACTCCAGGGGCAGTGTGTCAACTTTGCCCTCCACAGAAAGTATTATGCCATAAATTGTCATTTTACTTTGAGCCTTCTGGTATTCTTTAACCTATGATGGGTCTGCTGTTTATGTTCAGTTTTGAAATATTATATAAATACTAAACTATCATATCTAATAAATTCAAGAAAAGTGAGAGTGTTCAAAGTCCTAGGAATACAAAGCATATACAGATGCTCCTTTACATATAATGGGGTTACCTCCCAATAAACCCATGATAAATGGAAAACATCATGTTGAAAATGCATTTAATACATCTAAACTATTGAACATTGTAGCTTAGCCTACTTATACATACTTACATTAGCCTACAATTGGCCAAAATAATCTGACACAGTCTATAAAAATTTTATAATAATAAAAGATAAGATTAAAAATACAGTCTCTACTGAATGCACATTGCTTCTACACCATCGCAAAATTGAATCATTGTCATTGTAAGTCAGGGACTGTATGTAATTACATAAATGAAAATAGAGACAATTATACGTAAAGAAGTGAGATAAATATATGTGCATATGGAATAAATTGCTTCAGAATAGAAATAATTTTAAAGGGCAAAGACAATTTCACCATTCAAAAAACTGCTATACCTATAAATTTCACAACAATTATCAAGACATAAAGAAATAACAAAAGAATGGTTTTAGAGCATAGAATCAGCACCAAGTCAGATATCTATTTGCTTAATGTTTATTCAGGAAATGCTAGGAATTTGTTGAAGAACTTAAAAGCTAAGAATGTTCAAAGTGCTGTTGATGAAGCTTTTGCCCCAACCATGTATATTCCACAGGATCAAGGCACATTATAGTATGCACAACAAAGTTAGTGGCATGACTGCAAATGCAAACATGGTGGCTTTAAAGGGACTCCTTACAACAGCTGAAGAGATAACTGGTGCCTTAACAGATTGTTAATGCGGATGAAACTACTGTCATCCCTCAGTATCCATGGCTGATTGGTTCTAAAAACCTGGTGGATACCAAAATCTACGCATACTTAAGTCCCCGCACTTGACACCATCTATGGATAAGATAAGCAAGCCCTCCTTAAATGTAGGTTTCACATGCCATGAAGACTGTATTTTTTATCTGCATTTGGTTTGGGTGCGGATGCAGAACCCACAGATACAGAAAGTCGACTATATTCATCGAAAAAAATCCACGTTTAAGTGGACCTGCACAGTTCAAGCTCATGTTGTTCAAGGGTCAACTGTATTTCATTTTTGGGAAAAGTTGACCAACAGAACCCTTACCAGCATGTCTAGCCTGATGCTTGGAACATAACGAATGTATACTAGTTTCCTTCTAATACCTCAGTAATTAAGTTTTTCAAATTCAAAGGTTCACAGATTTTATTTAATATGTAGATTTCTTAAACTTCTGTAGATTTTAATAATCTGTCATTATAAAAGTTCCATAAATTAATTTGCTTAACCTCATATTTAGAAAATATAAAATTAAAGTCTAATGAGAAATAGAACTTGAATAATATGACATCCAGGATTGAATTATTTCACTGATTTACAATTTAATCTATTGAAGGAAGGATTTAAATCGTAAACAAATTTCTGTAAATCTGTAATAATCTATAATGAGTACTTAACCTCTCACCTGTATTATATACATTCAAACTCTACTATGTAAATTCAAACTTATATATTGAATTTATATATTTATATATTTGAATATATTTATTCCATATATTCACATGGAAAAGTATGACATCTTTGAGAACTAAAAAAAAGAACAAAACTGAAAGTGCTACTTCAAAGAAATGTTTTGTATTAAATGTGAACTCTTGAAATATTATCCTTGCTCAACTTATTTTTCTGAAACCAGAAAAAATCCAATTATCATCTAAGAAAAATATTTCAAGATAATCACTATTCTACAAGTATCTTAATTTAGGATGGTAATAATTCAAATACAAGAAATTTGCTTTTCTTGAAACAAAATATATTAGTGTGCTTCTCTCTCACATTATTGTCTTAACAAAAATATACTTGGCTCTCTCTGTGGGTTTTGCATCCTCAGATTCAACCAAACTCAGATCAAAAGAAATAAAAAATAAAATTACAAGAATAAAAAATACAAATAAGAAACCAATGAAGTATAACAACTATTTGGCATTTACACTGTAGTAGGTATTACAAGAAATATATTGATGGTTTAACATATATGGGAGGATGTGTACAGATTATATGCAAATACAACATCATTTTATGTAAAGGTCTGGAGCATCATTGGAGTTTGGTATTCTTGCAGGGTCATGGAACTAATCCCACATGGATATCCAGGGTTGAATGTATGTTACTGATTTTTAGTTAGCAGCTAAATTTGCGTGTTTTTAGCAATAGGATTCCCAGTATGTGGCTAAGGAGAATGTTTGCTTATACCACCAAACACCGTTCCTGAATCCTTTTTGTTGTTCATTTATTGATTCAAAAAAATAGCGCTGGGGCCGGGGGCAGTGGCTCACGCCTGTAATCCCAGCACTTTGGGAGGCCAAGGTGGGCAGATTGCCTGAGCTCAGGAGTTCACGACCAGCCTGGGCAACATGGTGAAACCCCGTCTCTACTAAAATATAAAAAATTCGCAGGGTGTGGTGCCATGCACCTGTAGTCCCTGCTACTCAGGAGGCTGAGGCAGCAGCATTGCTTGAACCCGGGAGGAAAGGTTGCAGTGAGCCGAGATCGTGCCACTGCACTCCAGCCTGGGCGACAGAGTGAGATTCCATCTCAAGGGAAGGGAAGGGAAGGGGAGGGGAGGGGACAAAAGAAAAGAAAACAAAAGAAAAGAAAAGAAAAGAAAAGAAAAGAAATAGTGCTAATAATAGTGCTTTGTTGTTGTTATTGTTAGTAGTTTTTTTAATTTCAAAGTGTTTTGTCAGCCTCCTCCCAAAAGCAGATTGTGTTTCTTTATTGAAAACATACTAGTTTACAGAACCTGAGGATATTAAGTACTAGGCCTGGTAATGATGAATCTTATACATTAATAAAGTATAGAGATATTCATGAATCTCTTGGCACACAACAAAATGGCTATAAAATATAAAAATAAAAAACTTTTACAAGTACAAAGAAAAACTGACAAATCAACAGCCACAGAGGGAGGCTTTAAACGATTCTCCCAAAGGTTAACAAATCAAGCAGACTTAAAAAGTAAAGAAGAATATAGAAGATTTTAATAACATAATTACTAAGGTTGATCTGAACAGTGGTCTTCAAACTGGGCTATGTATGCCCCTGAAAGTACAGACAGACTTCTCAAAGAGTATGCAGGTCAAGTATTAATTTCTAGTTCCTCAACTTCCGTAAGTACTCTTTCCCTAAAATTGATCTGGATGTTATATTTGCAATACTCTAGTTCTTCTTACCCATCTCCCTTTTAAAGATCACCCTTCTCTCACTGTACAAAAGAAAGGTTCCCAAACACATATCTAGCAGCCTTCCTCATCTATATCAGTTGTTCAGGCCAATAACCTTGGAGCAACCTTCACTGTTCTTGTTTACTCACACCTCATATCTAAACCATCAGGAATTCCTACTGCTATTATCTTCAAAATACATCCAGAATCCAATCACTTCTCATCACTGCTATACCCAGATCCACTAGGACTTCATCAGCTGACTAATCTGGTATTAGTACAAGGACAGATCCTTACACACTTACCATCTATTCTCAACACAGCAATCGGAGTGATCCATACAGATAATGTCCCTCAAAACTCTAAAATGACTCCCTGTTTTTCTCAGATAAAAAAGGAAAAGCCCTTACAATGACCTGAAAGGACCTACAGAGAGATACTACTACCTAGTAACCCTTTGACTTCGTTTCCTACTCCTCTCCCCAACTCACTCACTCTGCTGTAGACACATTGGCTTTTTTGTTGTTGTTTTGTTTTTACTATTCTTGAATATGTTCTCTACTAGCGTAAGGCCTTAGCATTGACTATTCCTCAGATGGAATGCTCTTTCTCCCAGATAGTCTCATGGCAAACTATTTCATCTTGGTTCAAGTCTTTGCTCAATCATTATCTTCTGAATAATGCCAACCTGGACCACTCTAGTTAAACTGACACCCCAAAACCCTTACCTTCTCCACACTGCTGGCATTCTCAAATCTACTTATACTAGTTTATCCCTTCCCCCGCCTCCCATAACACTTAACACCATCTAACACACCATGCAATATATTTATTTACTGTGGTTGTAGTTTGTGCATCCCTCCTCTAATACTAAGTTTCACAGGCAAAGATTTCTATGTACCTTGCTAACTGAATACCTCAAGGGTCAAGAAGAGAGCTGCCCAGAATCTTAGCATTGCGCAAATGCTCCAGTGTGTAAAAACCTTTGGGGAACCAAATAAAAGGTTTGAGAATACAGAGCTCCTTAGGCAGACAGAAGGCCATTGCAGCAAAGCACATAATAGGAAAATTTGAAGGCTACACAGTCTTAGTTAATCAAAAAACAGCTCAAGGGAAGAGTTCAGTATCTGTCTCTCTCTCTCTCCATATTTCTCTCTCTCACCCCTCTCCCTGACTCCCAGTCTTAGAATTAAAATTCAGAAATGAAAAGGTCATCAACAGTGATACAAATACATTTATTTGAATTTTTAAAATGAAGCCATTTTTACTGACAAAGGGTCACCTTGGTTTAGCTGTAAAGACTGGCTTTGTTAAATGTTACAAGACAGACATTTTCTGTAACCTTAATGAATTAAATCTACAGTACAAAGATTCTGAAGAAATGAGATGTAAATTATGCATACAATGTACTGTATAAACATGTAATTATTCTCACTTGTGACAAAAATGTCAGATGCCACCTTAAAAATACCATAGTTTTCCAAAATTATTTTAAGAGGTGTGTGAAGAAAACAGTATGTAGACCACTGATCAAACATATAGGGAGAGGTCTATACAACAACTAGGCATTTTTTTCAAAACACAGAACATTTATAAAATCTGAGAATGTATTACAATGACCACTGAGAAGCTTCCAACAGAAACAGAAATCACTGTAGACCATATGCTCTGGCCACTATGTAACAAAGCAGAAAGTTGATACAATTAAAGAGATAATTAGTGAACTAGAAAAAGGTCAATACAAAGTATATTGAATGAAGCAAGGGGAGACAAAAGGATGGAAAACAGAGAAAAGAGTAAGAGCTGAAACTGATATGGTAAAAGATCACACATACATTCCAACATCTAGTTGGAATCCCGGAAGGAAAGAAGAGAGAATATAAGACAGAAGCAATACTTCTGAGATAATCGCTGAGAATTTTGTAAAACTGACAAAACACATCAAGCCAAAGCTTCTGGGAGCACCTGGAACTCTGAGATGAATAAATAAAAACTACACTTAGATACATCACAGGAAAACTAATGAAAATAAAAGACAATGAGAAAAAAAATCTTAAAAGCAGCCACAGAAAAAAAGAATACCTATAAAGAGACAACAATTAGACTGAGGAAAAAAAAAAAAAAAAAGCAGCTCCCGATGTCCAAGAGCTAATCTCATGCTATCAGACTATCTGATGTTCTGTCACAACGTTGCCTTAAGAAAAAAATAGTATCTCATAAAACATCCATGTCAGACAAGGTCATTGTGCAACACAAACTACCAAACATCTCCCCCCCTCATTAAAATGAGTGATTTGTCACCTTCTTTACCAATTACAGGAATACCTTGGAGATACTGTGGGTTCAGTTCCAGACGACTGCAATAAAGTGAATACTGGAATAAAATGAGCCACCATTTTTTTTTTTTTTTTGGTTTCCAAGTACGTATAAAAGTTACATTTAACAGACATGGAGAGGGGAACACACTGGGGCCTATGGGGTAGGGGGTGAAGGGAGAGCATCAGGAAAAATAGCTAATGCATGCTGGGCTTAATATGTAGGTGATGGGTTGACAGGTGCAGCAAACCACCGTGGCACACATTTACCTATGTAACCAACCTACACATCCTGCACATGTACCCTGGAACTTAAAAAAAAAAAAGTTATGTTTGTACTATACTGTTGTCAATTAATTACACAGAAGCTATTATGTCTAAAAAGCAAGGTATATAGCTTAAAGTATTCTATTGTAGCTGGGCCCAGTGGCTCACACCTGTAATCCCACACTTTGGGAGGCTGAGGCGGATGAATCACCTGAGGTCAAGAGTTCAAGACCAGCCTGGCCAACATGGGGAAATCCCATCTCTACTAAAAATACAAAAAATTAGCCAGGTGTGGTGGCAGGCGCATGTAATCCCAGCTACTTGGGAGGCTGAGGCAGGAGAATTGCTTGAACCTGGGAGGCAGAGGTTGCAGTGAGCTGAGATCGCGCCACTACTCCAGCCTGGTGACAGAGCGAGACTCTGTCTCAAAAAACAACAACAACAAAAATAAATAAATGAAATAAAATACTTTATTGCTTTAAAAAAATGCTAACAGTCATCTGAGCATTCAGTGAGTTTGATTCTTTTTGCTGAGATTTTTGCCTTAATATTGACAATCAGAGTGGCAGATGCTGAAGGTTGGGGTGGCTGTGGCAACTTCTTAAAATAAGACAGCAATGAAGTTTGACACATTGATTGACTCTTCCTTTCATGAAAGATTTCTCTGTAACGTGCAATGATGTTGATAGCATCTTACCCACAGTAAAACTTCTTTTGATATTGGAGTCAATCTTCTCAAACCCTGCTACTGCTTTACTGACGTAATATTCTAAATCCTATGTTGTCATTTCAACAATGTTCACACTATTTTCACTACGAGTAGACTCCCTCTCAAGAAACCACTTTCTTCGCTAGAGAAGCAACTTCTCATCTGATCAGGTTTTATCGTGAGATTGCAGCAATTCAGTTACATCTTCAGGTTCCACTTTTTTTTTTTTTGAGACAGAGTCTCACTCTGTTGCCCAGGATGGAGTGCAGTATTGCCATCTCAGCTCACTGCAACCTCCACCTCCCAGGTTCAAGCAATTCTCCTGGCTCAGCCTCCTGAGTATCTGGGATTACAGGCTTGCACAACCACGCCCGGCTAATTTTTGTATTTTTAGTACAGACAGGGTTTCACCATGTTGGCCAGGTTGGTCTTGAACTCCTGACCTCAAGTGATCCACCTGCCTTGGCCTCCCAAAGTGCTAGGATTACAGGCGTGAGCCATGGCACCCAGTCTTCAGGTTCTACTTCTAATTCTAGTTTTCTTCCTATTTCTACCACATCTACAGTTACTTGCTCCACTGTAGTCTTGCATCCCTCAAAGTCATACATGAGGGTTGAAATCGACTTCTTCCAAACTCATATTAATGTTGATATTTTGACCTCCTCCCATGAATCACAAATGTTTAAGTTGCATCTAGAATAGCTAATCCTTTCCAGAAAGTTTTCAATTTACTTTGCTCAGATCCATCAGAGGAATCACTCTAGCTACAGCAGCTGTAGCCTTATGAAATGTACTTAGTGACTTCAAGGTCAAAATTATTCCTTGTTCCATGAGCTACACAATGGATGCTGTGTTGGCAGGTATGAAAACAACATTCATCTTGTACATCTCCATCAGAGATCTTGGATGACCAGGTGCATTGTCAATGAGCATATTTCGAAAAGGAGTCTTTTCTAGCAGGTCTCAACAGTAGGCTTAAAATAGTTCATAAACCATGCTGTAACAGGTGAACTGTCATCCAGGCTTTGCTGATTCATTTATAGAGCACAGGTAGAGATTTCGTATAATTCTTATGGGCCCTAAGATTTATGGAATTGTTCAATGAGGCTTCAACTTAAAAGTTACCAGCTGCATTAGCCACTAACAAGAGGGTCCGCCTGTCTCTCAGGCTTCAGTTTTGAAGCCAGGCATTTACTTTTCTCTAGCTATGAAAGTGCTAGATGGCATCTTCTTCTTGTAGAAAGCTGTTTCATCTACACTGAAAAATCTGTTGGTTAGTGTAGCCATTCTCATGAATTGTCAGAGCTAGATCTCCTCGGTAATTTGCTGCAGCTTCTACATCAGCACTTGCTGCATCACTTTGAGCTTTTATGTTATAACATGGCTTCTTTCCTTAAACCTCATGAATCCACCTCTGTTAGCTTCCAACTTTTCTTCCGAAACTTCCTCACCTCTCTTGGCCTTCACAGAATTGAAGAGAGTTAGGGTTTTGATCTGGATTAAGCTTTTGCTTAAGGGAATGTTGTGGCTGGTTTGATCTTCTGTCCAGACCATTCAAACTTTCTCCATATCAGTAACAAGGTTGTTTTGATTACCTACTATTTGTGTGCTCACTGGAGTAGTACTTTTAATTTCTTTCAAGAACTTTTCTTTTGCATTCACAAACTTGGCTAAATGTTTGCGGCAAGAGGCCTACCTTTTGGCCTGTCTCATCTTGTATAATGCCTTCCTCACTAAGCTTAATTCTAGGTTTTGATTTAAAATGAGAGACATGTGACTCATCCTTTCACTCAAACACTAATAGAGGCCACTGTACAGTTATAAATTTGCCTAATTTCAATACTGTTGTGTCTCATGGAATAGGGAGGCCCAAGGAGAGGGAGAGAGACAGGCAAGGAAGGGCCAGCTGGTGAAGCAATCACAACACACACAATATTGATCAATTCAGTTCACTATCTTGGATTGGGCATGGTTTGTGGTGCCCTAAAACAATTACAATAGAAACACTGAAGATCACTGACCACAGATCACCATAACAAAATAAAAAGTTTGAAACACTGTGAGGATTACCTAAATGTGATACGGAGATACGAATGAGCATATGTTGTTGAGAAAATGATACCTGTATACTTGCTTGATGCAGGGTTGCTGCAAAATTTCAGTTTGTATAAGACACAATATACGAAAAGCACAATAAATCAACACACAATAAAACAGGGTATGCCAGTGTAAGTTTATCTCAGCTTCAGTCTGCATTCCCCACAGATGAGATTTAGTATGATGGCCAATCTTGACACAAATGAAAATGAAAACACAACATACTAATACTTATAGGATGCAGCAAAAGCAGCATGTAGAGGAAAATTTACAGCTGTAAATACCTACATTAAAAAAGAAGATGTCAAATTAGCCATCTCACTTTATGCCTTAGGGAATTATTACCTTAGGAAAAAGAAGAGCAAACTAAACCCAAAGCCAGTAGAAAGAAGAAAATAATCAATCTTTAGAATAAAGATAAGAGAATATTGGTTCTTTTAGTCACAAATACTCAGGAGGCTGAGGCAGGAGGCTCACCTGAGCCCAGGAGTTCAAATCCAGCCTGGACAACAGACTCTGTCTCAAAAACAAAAACAAGAAACCCCTACCTAAGCCGTCCTCTAATTAAAAAAATTAAGTTGGTTCCTTAAAAAGATCAACAAGATTGACAAAGGAATTGACAACAACAACAAAAGAGAGAAGAACACAAGTGAAAAATCAGGAATAGAAGTGGGGGAACACTGGTACCAACCTTAAAAATTAAAAGAATTATAACAGAATACTATGAATAACTGGATGCCAAAAAATTGGATAATCTAGATGAAACAGAAAAATTCCTAGAAACACAGAAATTACCAAAATGAAGTCAAGAAGAAATAGAAAATCTGAACAGACCTAGTACAAGTAAAGAGAATGAACTAATAATCAAAAACCTCCCCAAATGGAAAAATCCAGGACTATGCGGTTTCACTGGTAAATTCTATGAAACAAAATTAACACTAATTATTCTCAAATTCTTTCAGAAATGGAAGATGAGACAACACTTCCTAACACATTCTAAGCAGCCAGCATTACCCTAATACCAAAGCCAAAGATACTCAAAGAAAACTACAAATATCCATTATGAAAACAGACACCAAAATCCTCAACAACTTACTAGCAAACTGAAACCAACAGCATATTAAAAGTATCATATAACATAACCAAGTGGGATTTACCCCAGGAATGCCAGGGTAGTTCAACATAAGAAATGCAATCAATGTAACATATCACATTAATAGAACAAAGAAAAAACACTACATGATCATCTCAATGGATGCAGAAAAAGCATTTGACAAAATTCAACACTGTTTCATGAAAAAAGCAAAACACTCAGCAAATGAGTAATAAAAGGAAATGTCCTCAACATGACAAAGAGCATAAAAACCCATAACAAACATCATACTCAATGGTGAGAGACAAGTTTTTCCCCTAATATCAGTAAAGAGACAAGGCTACCACTTTTACCACTGCCATTCAACACTGTACTAAAAGTCAGTCAGAGCAATTATGTAAGAAAAATAAATAAAAGGCATCCAAATTGGAAAAGAAGAAGTCAAACTATCTCTATTTGTGAATGACATAATTCTATTCATAGAAAATTCCTTAGCATCCACAAAAAAACTACTAGAGCTAATAAACAAATAAAGCAAATTTGCAAGCACAACAGCAACATGCAAAAATCAGTTGTGCTTCTATATACCAGCAACGAATGATCCAAAAAGAAAATTAAGAAAATAAATCCATTTGCAATAGCATCAAAAATTAAAAAATAACCAGAAGAATAAGTGTAACCTCATGACCAGCCTGGCCAACAGCGAGAAACCCTGTCTCTACTAAAAATAAAAACTAGCTGGGCGTGGTAGTGGGCACCTGTAATCCCAGCTACTCAGGAGGCTGAGGTTGCAGTAAGCTGAAATCGCACCACTGCACCCCAACCTGGGCGACAAAAGCAAAACTCCTAAAAAAAAAAAAAAAAAAAAAAAAAGAATAAATGTAACCAAGAAAGTAAAAGACTTGTGCGCTAAAAACTACAAAACATTGCTAGAAAAACTTAAAGGCTTAATTAAATGGAAACACATCTATGTTCATGGATTTCAAGACTTAGTATTGTTAAGATGGCAAAATTCCCCCAAAGTGATCCCAGATTCAACTCTATCCCTATCAAAATTCTAAAGGCCTTTTTGCAGGATTGTAAAAGCTTATCCTCAAACTCATATGGAACTGAACGAGTCCCTGAACAACAAAAACAGTACCGAGAAAGAAAAAGAAGGAGTACTCACACTCCCTGATTTCAGAACACTGATTACAAAACTATAGTAATCAATGTGGCAGTAGAAGCAGGGTAGACATACAGATCAATGGAATAGATTTAAGAGTCCAGAAATAAGCCCAATCGTCTATGGCCAATTCATTTCCAACAAAGTGCCAAGACCATTCAATGGGGAAAAGAACAGTCTTCTCAACAAATGGTACTGGGACAACTGGATAACCACGTGCAAAAGAATGAAGTTGGAAGCCTGTCTCACACCAGGTACAGAAACTAAATCAAAATGGACCAACAATCTGAATATAAAAGCTAAATTTGTAAAGCTCTCAGAAGGCATGGGTTGGATCCTCATGACTCTTGATTTGGCAATGGATTCTTTGACATCAAAAGCACGAACAGCAAAAAACAAAACAAACAAAAAACAGAAATTGAACTTTATCAAAATAAAAATCCTTTGTTTATCAACAGGTATTATTGAATATATTTGAAATATATTAATATCCAGAACACATAAAAAACTCAACAACAAAAAGACAACCTAATTTTTTAAATGAGCAAAGGACGTGAACAGATATTTCTCAAAAAAAGATATATAAATGACCAAGCCCATAAAAAGACGTTCAACATCGTGGTCATTAAAGAAATGCAAATCAATACTACAATAATACCACTTCATAACCATTAGAATAGCTTTAATAAACAAACGAAAAAACCAAAACTAACAATTACTGACATTGATGTAGAGAAACAGAGACCCTCATACACTGCTGGTGGGATAATAAGTATGGATAATAAGTTTGGCAGTTCCTAAAAGAGTTGAGCTAGATTACCATATGATCCAGCTATTCAATGCCTAGATATACATCCAGGAGAAATGTAAACTCATGTCCACAGAAAAACTTGTACACATATGTTTATAGCACTGTATTCATAAAAGTGAAATAGTAAAAATAACTCAAATATTCATTAAGGAATAATATGTAAATTGCGGTATATCCATACAATAGAATATTATTTAGCCACATAAAGAAATGAAGCACATGCTACAACTTGCCAAGTAAAAGAAGCCAGACACAAAAAGTCACATATTCTATGGTTTCTTTCATATGAAATATCCAGAACAGGCAAATATATAGAGACAGAAAGTAAAGGTTACTTTACCAGGTGATGGAAGGGGGCAAATAGAAAGTGATTACGTAATGAATACGCAGTGTTTTTATGGGGTGATGAAACACTTTAGAAACTAGAGAGCTAGTGGTTGCACAACAGTGTAAATACAGTAGTCCCTCATCTACAGTTTTACTTTTCACAGTTTCAGTTACCTGAAGTCAACCACAGTCCAAAAATATTAAATGGAAAATTCAGAAATAAGCAAGTTACAGGTTTTAAATTGCTATTCTACGGAGCTTGATGACATCTTGCACCATCCCACTCAGAGGGATATAAATAATCCCTTTGTCCAGTGTATATGTTCTCCACCCATTAGTCACTTAGTAATCATCTTGGTTATCAGATTGACTGTCATGATATTGCAGTACTTTTGTTCAAGAACCTTTATTTCACTTAATAATGGTCCCAAAGCACAAAAGTAGTGATACTGGCAATTCAGATATGTCAAAGAGAAGCTGTAAGCCGTTTCCTTTACATAAAAAGGTGAAAGTTCTCAATAAGAAGAGAAAAAAAATGCTAAGGTTGCTAAGATCTACGTAAGAACAAATCTTCTACTCGCTGAATTGGTAAGAAGGAAAAAGAAATTTGTGCAAGTTTTCCTGTTGCACCTCAAGCTGCAAAAGTTATGAACGTGGTGCATTTTAAGAGCTTAGGTAAAACAGAAAAGGCATTAAATGTATGGGTGAAAGACATGAACAGAAACGTGTCTGACTGACAGCAATAAGGTTTGGTACGACCTGCAGTTTCAGACATCCTCTGGCAGTCTTCAAATGTACACTCTATGGATAAAGAGGGACTACTGTTCACTAAATACCAATGAATTGTACACTAAAAATGGTTAATCGTATGTAATGTGAATTTTACCTCTGTTTAAAGAAAGCCAATCATAAAATGTCCCATGTCCTGACGACACCCAATCTAGGACACATTTCCACTTCCTTAGACCCTCTCCAAACTACTCAACCAAAGCCCAAATCCTGTAATAGGTTCCTTCTAATATCCTCTTAGTAAGACACCCTAAAGCTCCCTTTAGTGTGTGATCTCCCTCATTGCAACAAGTAAAAAATGTGCTCAACTACAGGTGTTCTTGCTAGTCTTTTTGGATGGAGGACATTGACAAGACTAACAATTTCTCAACAGAAACAGAAGGCAGAGAAAACAAAGGAGTAACATCCTCATTAAAAGAAAATAACTGCCAACTCAGAATCCTAAACAAGAATCATCCAAAAGTGAGGGTGAAATACAGAACATGACCAGACAACAAAAATGAAGAGAATTTCTCACTACAGACCTACACTAAAGGGTACAATAGAAAGTGTTCTTCAAAAACAGAAAATGGTCACAGATGAAGAAATGAAGATGGAGGAAAGAATAAAAAGCGATACAAGTGGTAAATATGTAGGTAAATCTATATAGCAAAACGATGATGACGTTTCATGGTGGCTAAAATATATATGGAATTTAAAAACACAAGAGTATAGTGGCAAATAAGTTGAGTAAGGGGTACAGTATGGAAGGAAATGAATAGGATTAAAGTGTCTTAGGTTTCTTGCACTGTCTGCAAAAACAAAACAATTAAATTAACAAATTATCAATCTAATCTAATTTACTTAATTTATTAACAGTTTGATTAAATTAGGTCAAGGGTGCATGCTGTGATCTCTAGGACATGAGGTCTGAAAAGTGTGAGTTGTGGGGCCCAGGGGGCATCCCTAAGACCTTATTAGAGGATCTTCAATAAACAAAACTATTTTCATAATAATACTAACACCTTATTTGCCTTTTCACTGCCATTCTCTCACAAGTGTACAATGGAGTTTTCCAGAGGCTATATAAAGTATGATATCTGAACTGAAGCAAGTATAAGAATCCAACTGTCTTCTATTAAGTGAGACATTAAAGAGATTTTTAAAACATGTAAAACAATGGTACTCTTCTCACTAAATTTTGTTCTGGAATGTATATTTTTCTCAAAATGCTGTTATTTATGTTAACATGTAATGGAATATTATTATATTAAAATAAACTTATAAACATTTAAAATTTGTTTAATTTCAAAAGCAGTAAATATTGTTCTCAACTGGAATCAATACACTTGGAAATGTCTAGAGACATTTTGGCTGTCACACTGGGTAAGTACTACTGGCATCTAGTGAATAGAGGCTAGGTAAAAACTTATGATGCACAGATAGTCTCCATCCAGATAGTCCACTGAACAGAAAATTATCTGGCCCAAAATGTCAATTGTGCCAAGGCTGAGAAACAATCTTGATAAAAGCAACAAATAACCTGACATAATCATATAAATAAAAGTTATTTTAAAAAGTTCAAAGGGATCCTGAGAAGAAAGAATTTCAGTCTGAGTGAGCTAAATAAATGGATAATTTGCCACTCATGAACTATAAGACCTAATATCATAAAGATGTTAACTGTATCTCAATGAATAGATTCAATTTTATATAACTGATATGAATAAAAATTTATGGAAAGCAATGAAACAAGAACAAGGTAGGCCTTAGTGGATATAAAGACATTATTATTATTATTATTATGCCATGTAATTAAAACACCATAGTGTTGGTGCTTTAGATAGACAAAAGTAGACCAATGGGGGAAAAAAACAGAGTCCATAAACAGACCCATATGTATATGGTCACTTTATTTATGCCAAAGCTGATACCACAGAGCAGTAGGGAAGTGATCTTTTTAATAAATGATGTCATATAAAACATACATTCACATGTAAGAAAAGGTGATTCTATGCCTCACACATTATACAAAAATCAGTTCTAGATAGAAGGTAGATCTAAATACATAATAAACAATATACAAAATAATAATAGTAAGTTCTAGGTAGATGGTAGAAAGCAAAATAATAAAGATCCTAGGATAATGTTTCTTAACCTCACCCACTAGTGACACCCTGGCTAGATGTTTGTTTTGTGCATTGTAGGATGCTTAGCATTCTGTACATTGTAGGATATTTAGCAGCACCACTAGCCCAACTCACTAGATGACCAGAGTACTCCACTCACTCAGTTATAAAAACTAAACATGTATTCACACTGCCAAATGTCCCACCCAGATGGTGGGAGATGTGTGGTTAGAGAGGAGGGAACTGCCTCTAGTAGAGAAGCATAGTTTCTGAGCCTAAGAGAATATCTTCATGTCCTTGGAGCAAGGAAAGACTTCTTAAATGGGACACAAGCAGCATTAACAATAAGAGCAAACAATGATAAAATGAACTATACTAAAATTAAGACCTTCCTTTCATTAACAGATAATATTAAGAAGGTGAAAGTCAAGCCAAAGTGGAATGTATATATTTTTTAAATGTAACTAACAAAGAGTCTGTATTTAGAGCATATAAAAACTCCTAAAAACAAAAGGAAAAGTACAGAAACTCCAATAGGAAAAATAGGGCTGTATGTATAAACCATATAGTTCCTATAAACCAGTAAGTTAGAAAGCTCAATAGTAATTTTGTTAAGGTGGTGAGGATAGGAGAAGAGACGTTGCAAAAATGGATACCCAAACAACCAGTACATTTATGAAAGGGTATTCAATTCCATTTGGATCAGGGAAATGCATCTTTCAGAAGACTAAAATTAAAGGGGATATTAATACCGAGTGTTAGTGAGGATACAGAGCAACAGGAATCCTCATATACTTGATGTGATTGATACAACCATTTTGAAAACAATTCATGTGTCATCTTCTAAATTTGAACATACATACACTGGTCAAACCAATGACCCAGATTCTAGTCTTGGTATACACCTAGTATAAATGTTGCACATATGCACCAAGAAACATGTACAAGAATGTTCACAGCAGCATTATTCAGCCCAAACCTCCTACAGTAACATGACAAATTGTGATAAAATTATACAAGTGAACCATAGCGACATCTGACAAAATTTCTAACTCTCAAACATAATGTTGAACAAAATAAGCTAGACAAAATAATACTTCTGTATATTTCTGAAAAATTTCAGAAACAAGTAAAAAAAAGTTATTTTCTTTTAAGTCAGGCAAGTGGTTAACCTGGGAAAGAAAAAACAGGGATAGTGACTGAGAAAAGAGACATAGGGGGTTTCTGGGTTGCTGGCAGTATTCTATTTCTCGATCTGTGGTGGTCATGGAGTGTTTACTTTGTGGTGATTCACTGAGCTGTACCCTACACTTCATGCATTTTCCTGTAAGTATTGTATTTAAATTTTTAAAAAGACACAGAGCACCATCTTTTATAGCTATATATGTGACCCTAGAAAACAATACATTACACAAATACCTTAACAATTATGGTATTAGATGTCAAGTGCTAGGCAGCAAAAATTATGTCTGGAACAAAATAACTTTCTTGTTATACTTCAAGATCCTTTATCTAATTAAATGAAACAAATACAGTATCTTTAAAAGGGCTGCTTGATTTTTCAATATGCTGCAGGAAGACATCATTCAATATATTTAATTTTTCTGTTTTCCTTTAAGTTTTACATATTTTAATCATTTGAAAAAATTTCAATTTCTTAAGTTTATATAAGAGAAAATAAAATACATATCTTGGAAAACATTAATTACTATTAAAGTTGAAGATGTTTGTTTCTAATATTAAAAATCTATTTTCTCACATTTAGACAAAGAAGGGGATTAAGACAGAATGATAAATGACACCTGACCTAAAGGAGGTTTCTATCAAAAATGTATATACTTCCCTACCCAACAAACTAAGCCTTGGTTTATATTTTTATATTCCATGACATTTTAATAAAACTCTACAATACCAATTAATATTTTATTTACAGAAGAATCAAACATTTACTATATTAAGTTGCTCAGTATCAGTTTCCCTCTGAATTTAATCATTTACCTAGAACAGTATAGTTAATTGCATACAATGTGATTCATTTTTAAGCCACATAGTGCCACCAAGTGGTAACAAATTCTTTTTCCAAAATACCACACTGAAGCAACAGAAAAAGCTATACTGGAATATTATACTGGAATGGAAAAATCAATCTTTTGACAAATTTAAATAAGACTGTGAAGTATATTAGTATGAAACTTTAAAAATAGAAGAGGTCTTTTTTTTTGGAAAAGAGTTGTGCATATTATCTTGTGATAGTATTTAGTTTTAGAGTTAAAAATTTTCTTGGAAGGCAAGGAACTATTATATAATGCTGTAGCATTTACTTTTTGTTGCTTGTTGTTTTTAAATTCCCCACATTTCCTTAGAAGACATAAGTTGCTTTACAAATTAATGAAACACACACACATACACACAAACACAATAAAAGACCTGGAACGTTTCATAACAATCTGTTACCCTTGTTAAGTATGGGGAAGGAGTGAGGAGAGTAAGTTTTACTTTTTAGTTAATAACTGTATTAATTTGCTAGGATAACAGAAAAAGCTATACTGGATCTGTATAGCTAGAACTGCCTTTTAACAAAGTCCTGCAAGTGGTGGCTTAAATAACAAAAATTTATTGGCTGAAATATCTGGGAACTGGAAGTCCAAGACAAAAGTACAGTAGGGCTGCTTCCTTCTGACTGCTGTGAGGAAAGATCTGTTTCAGATTTCTTCTTGGCCTGTAGAGAGCCATCTTTTTCCTAGGTCTCTTCACATCGTCTTCCTTCTATTAGTGTCTCGGTATCCAAATTTCTCCTTTTTATAAGCACATCAGTGATAACTGGACAAGCCCACCCTAATGACCTCATTCAACTTGATTACCTCTATAAAGACCCTATATTTCCAAGTGAGGTTATAGTCTGAAGTAGAGGCGGACAGGATTTCAACATAAGAATTTGGAGGAGGATATAATTCAACCCTTAACACTACTCTTCTTTTCTGAAATTTTTGTATATTTTTCTTATTTAAAAGGAGGACAAAAAATAGTTCCTAAAAGTTGTAAAATAACAGAATACTATTTTAATTACATAAAATGTTATCAGCAAAAAAGGACTGAATTTTGATATAAGTAATGAGTCATATAGTTCATATCCAATGCACTTTGTCCTAGACCCCATCTCCCACTAACTCTCTCTTTTTTTTGAGATGGAGTTTCGCTCTTGTTGCCCAGGCTGGAACGCAGTGGCATGATCTCGGCTCACTGATACCTTCACCTCCTGGGTTCAAGCGATTCTCCTGCTTCAACCTCCCAAGTATCTGGGATTACAGGCGCCAGCCACCACACCCAGCTAATTTTTTGTATTTTTAGTAGAGACGGGGTTTCATCATGTTGGCCAGGCTGGTCTCTAACTCCTGACCTCAGGTGATCCACCCACCTCGGCCTCCCAAAGTGCCTGGCTTATAGGCATGAGCCACCGCGCCTGGCCCCAACTCTCTTTCTCAATGTACTCATATTGGCCTTACTATTTCTCGACTATGCTCTGGTTATTTTGCACTTAATATTCTCTGCCTGAAGCTCTTCCTCCAAATATACTTACGGATCATTTCTTTCACATTTGTGTCCATCTCCTTCTTAGTTCTTCGTAGACCATCCAAAATAAAGTTACTAGAAGAGCACTCTTAGTAACTCTCTATGCCCCTCTCTGCTGATATTTTTCTTTATAGTACTAACACCTGATACATTATTATTTGATCATTTGTTTTTTTCTCCCCACTACAAAGTAAGCTTCTTGAGAAAAGAGACACATTTTGCTCACTGATGTACCCTTGACATCCAAAATAGTGCCTAGAGTGTTCCATTTTGAGCCATAGGTTAAGGTCTAAATTAAATCTGGGGAACAGGGGCCAGGTGCGGGTGGCTCATGCCTGTAATCCCAGCACTTTGGGAGGCTAAGGCAGGCAGATCACCTGATGTCAGGAGTTCGAGACCAGCCTGGGCAACATAGTGAAACCCTGTCTCTATTAAAAATATAAAAATTAGCCAGGTGTGGTGGCGTACACCTGTAGTTCCAGCTACTTGGGAGGCTGAGGCAGGAGAATCGCTTGAACCCAGGAGGTGGAGGTTGTGGTGAACCAAGATTGTACCACTGCACTCCAGTATGGGTGACAGTGAGACTCAGTCTCAAAAAAAAAAAAAAAAAAAAAAATCTGGGTAACGGGCCAACTTCATGGACTAGTAGGCATTTTGGGAGATGGTCTTAAGGTAGCAGTAAGTAAGAGCTGAGCAGCTCACGTGATAGGAGCACTTTGGGAGGCTGAGGTGGGGAATTTGTGACTACTTTTTTGTTCATTATCATAAGCAGAAAGAGTTTCTTAAAGTTAATGCATGTCTGACTTCTAAGTAGAATCTACTGTTCCCCTTTCTAATCATTTTCTGCACCACAGGCAGAGTCATCTTTCCACTTCTCTGTAAAACACATTTTCCCTTCTCTCAGGATATAATCCCAAATCTTTTATACAGTTGAAATGGCTTTGCTGGGCCCTGCCTATCTCTCCACTGTAGTCTCAGATTCTACTCCCATCAGTTCTCAGTGATCCAAAGTACTGTCCTCCTCTCAAATTCCCCAACATGTTCCTCTTCACCATAGGGCCTCTGTACATGTAGTTCCCTTGGTCTGGAATCCTCAGCCCTCCATCGCACAAATCTAGTTAACCTTAACTCATAATCTCATCAGATCACAGCTCTTAAAGTCACTTACTCTGTGAAGCTCTCCTCAACCCACTCTGTGTCAAGTTCCTTTGACAAATGCTCTTACAGAACGGTTCCTTTCAGAACTCTTTCAAATATTTAGCTGATGATTATTGATTTCTCTCTCCTAATGGTCCTAAGTTCCAAAACATAAAACATAAAAACCTTCCCTGTGATTCCAAGAGAATGGGAACCATGTCTTCTATTGCATATGCTGTGTTGAACAACTAATGCTGTTTTGAACAACTAAAAGGTAGTAGTCAACCTAATGAAGGAACACAGACAACACAGGCTGACTATAAATGAATAAAGCCCTGATATCAGTCAATTATAGGAATTAAACACAACAAATTTTCCTTTTATTAACTTCAACTGGTTTCATCAGACACATTGCATATTTCTGGGTAGCCTGCCCCTAGCCACCAGTGAGTGCACAAAAAGATCCAAGCTTATGGCCAGGCACGGTGGCTCACGCCTGTAATCCCAGCACTTTGGGAGGTAGAGGTGGGTGGATCACAAGGTCAGGAGTTCGAGACCAGCCTCACCAATATGGTGAAACCCCGTCTCTACTAAAAAAAATACAAAAAAAAAAAAAAAAATTAGCCAGGAGTGGTGGCAGGCACCTGTAATCCCTGCTACTCGGGAGGCTGAGGCAGGAGAATTGCTTGAATCTGGGAGGCGGAGGTTGCAGTGTGCCAAGATTGCACCACTGCATTCCAGCCTGGGTGACAGAGTGAGACTCCGTCTCAAAAAAAAAAAAAAAAAAAAAAATCCAAGCTTATTTTAATATTCAATCATGCAATCAATTTAAAAGTGCATGAAAGGTAATAGAAATTGTCATTATACACCTTATCTCAATTAGTGATATACCTAATTCACATGCCTCATGATCAGTTATTTTGTAGGAATTTGCAGGAAAATTTTTAAAATTTCCTAGGTATGTAAATGTACTGATATGCACTGAAAACTTAAAAGGCTGCCTATGAGATATAATTTACAATAGGGTAATGTCAAAATATAGTATTGCATAGGCAACTTTTTGCCCCCAAATTAAAAATTTGTCAACTAGCTAATTTGCTTTTAAACTGTATATAAGCATTCTAATATATTTCGGTTTTGGGGGGGGAGCCTCTCATTTTAATGTGATGTGTGATAAACAGACTTTTTACAATGGTTCTAATATCACTACTATTTCTCTGAATTGAGAAAATAAGGAAAATTTAAATCTCTGTCACATTTATTGTTGTATCATTAGCCTTCTGGTACCTAAACAATGACTATCTCCAGATTAAACTGTGTAATTTTAACAGACAGTACAAATTTTTACTGTTTCCTTAAATATCACAGTAATATTTAAAGTGGGTTGAATAAATTTTTTAAATAACTTTGTATAATAGATGACATGAAGGTATACTGTAACTCCCTTTCAGATTTATGATTCTTTTCCTGAATACTTTAAGGATACCTTTCAATATATACAGATAAATAGATATATTGATAAATAGATACATTTATCAGTATACCTTGAATGCATATATGCACATCTAGATGCATTTATCCTATTTACTTGCCACAGCAAACCAAAAGTCACACATCTGACTCAATGCACCACATCTTGTTATTACATTCTAAAAGTATGGTTAAATATTCATTACAAAAATCAAAGTCATCATTTTTGGCAAATTTTCTTCAGTAAGCAGCATCTGATAATTCCAAATAATTTAACTCCACTCATTAATTCATTCACTATAAAGAACAACACTTTAAATGCAATGTTACAGATTGAATTGTGTTCCCCCCAAAATTCATATGTTGAAGCCCTAGTACAAAGTTAAAATGAAGCCATTAGGGTAGGCCCTAATCCAGTCTAACTGGTGTCCTTATAAGAAGATTAGGACATACAGAGAGACACCAAGGATGGGCATGCACTGAGAAAGGGCCATGTAAGGACACACGGAGAAGACAGCCATCTGCAAGCCAAGGAGAGAGGCCTCAGGAGAAGCCAAGCCTGCAAACATCTTGATCCTGGACTTCTAGCCTCCAGAAATGTGAGAAAATAAATTTCTATTGTTTAGGCTACCCAGTCTGTGGTACAATAGTCACCCCTCATCTGCAGTTTCGCTTTCTGAGGTTTCAATTACCTAGTCAACTATGGTCTGAAAATATTAAATCGAAAATTCCAAAAATAAACAATTCAAACCTTTTAAATTGCACACAGTTCTGTGTAGTGTGATGTAATCTCACACTGTCCTGCTCCATCCTACCCAGGTTATGTATAAACCATCCCTTTGTCCTGTGTATCCATGCTGTAAATGCTCCCTATCTATTAGCCATCTTAGTTATCAAATCAACTGTCTAGGTATCGTAGTGCTTGTGCTAAGTAAACCTTACTTTACTTAATTGTTCTATTATTATTGTTTTAAATCTCTCATTGTGTCTAATTTATAAATTAAACTTTATCACAGATATGTGTATGTAGGAAAAAAACAGCCCATATAGGTTCTGTACTGAGGTTTTCGCATCCACTGGAGGTACTGGAATGTATCCCCCACGGATTAGGTAGGTCTACTGTAGATTCTTATGGCAGCCCTAGCAGACTAATATGCTCAACTTGGCAGAACAAATGAGATGTTTTAAATCACACTGCATTTAAGTTCTACTGTGATATACATGAATATTTCTATCTTCTGAAAACACAAAACTAAGGTCATCTCCAACATGCTTTATGCTAAATGCTGAGATGTGAGCAGAATACCAGTTTAGACATAAGAACAAGTTTGCCTAAGAAAATATTTGGTGGTCCTGCCTATTCATATTATTGCAACCCTATACAGCAATTAGATTAATATCTGGATAAGCACCTATGTCAATTTCCTTAAGTAAACAACTTAGCTCCTGTATAATTGACATTTAAAACATATGGATCTCCTTTCAGCCCATACAATAGAAAACCTGTATTCAGGGCCCTTGCAAATGATCTTAATCAAAATAAATTGCTAACTATCCTTTCTTGTCGCTGAGAAAATTCTAGACCAGTACTAAGAACCTAGCTGTGCTTCAGATAAACTTGGGAAACTTTTAAAAATGACAGATTGTGCAACTCCTCCCCTGGAATTTGATTCCACTTTACCAAGGCCTATAGACTTTTTAAAGCACCCCATACAACTTGTATTTGTAGCCAAAACAATCTAGAGAATTTTTAAATATTGCTGTACTTGAAGACTTTTTTAAAACTACTAATGTTCAGTCCCCTTCTGAAAAATTCCAATCTAAATGACTCTGGCAATGGTGTGTGTGCGAATATCTCCTTTGACATTGTAAAGTGCAGCCATAATTGAAAACAATGGTCTAGAGTTCAGATATCATATGATTATCAAGTGTTGTAATTAGTGTGAAGCATATACAACCAAATACCAGGGTATATAAGTGATTATCTATTAAAAAAATATATGGCTGAGGAGGGCAGATCACAAGGTCAAGAGATAGAGACCATCCTGGCCAACATGGTGAAACCCTGTCTCTACTAAAAATACAAAAATTAGCTGGGCGTGGTGGCACATGCCTGTAGTTCCAGCTACTCAGAAGGCTGAGGCAGGAGAATCACTTGAACCCGGGAGGCGGAGATTACAGTGAGCCGAGATCACACCACTGCACTCCAGCCTAGCAATGGAGCGAGACTCCATTTCAAAAAAAAAAAAAAAAAAAACACTATCACTTACATTCCACTGAACTATAAATATACACTGTAGTATGGCTTTATTATGAAAATTATCTGTATGCCTTCATTTATCCAGGTAGAAAAGAGATTGAGAACCTCAAACAAAATACTAGCAAACAAAATTAAACAGCACATTAAAAGTATTATACACCGTAAGCAAATGAGATTTATTTCTGGAATCCAAGGATAGTTCATCAACATAAAAAAAAAAATCAATGTAACACAGCACATTAACAAAAGAATGGACAAAAACCCATGACCATCACAATTGATGCAAAAAAAAAAAAAGACAAAATTCAATATCCTTTTGTTAATAAACAGATCCAACAAACTAGGAATAGAAGGAAACTACTTCAATGTAATAAAAGCAATATTCAAACATTTCTTTCTTTCTTTTTTTTTGGTGGGGGGACAGAGTCTCACTATGTCACCCAGGCTGAAGTGCAATGGCGTGATCTCGGCTCACTGCAACCTCCACCACAGGGTTCAAGCGATTCTCCTGCCTCAGCCTCCTGAGTAGCTGGGATTACAGGTGCATGTTACCACATCCAGCTAATTTTTGTATTTTTGGTAGAGATGGGATTTCACCATATTGACTAGGCTGGTCTCAAACTCCTGATCTCATGATCCATACACCTCGGATCCCAAAGTGCTGGGATTACAGGTGTGAGCCACCACGCCAGGGCAAGAAAAGCCCACTTCTACGTAACATTGTACTAGAATTCCTAGCCAGAGCACTTAGGGGAGGGGATGAGGAGAAGAGGTGAGAAGGAGAGAGGGAGTCTGACTGCTCTCCCAAGTCTCACCTCCTTTCAATCAGATAGAAACCAGGCCCTTTTTTCATCATTTCTCAGAACACTTCCAAGTATTACTTCTCATTATTCTTATATTCTTATATTATTCCGTTTGCATTTTAAGCATACAGTGTAAAGGCTGGAAAACAATGAAACATGCAAGTAAGCAGCTGTAGTCCCAGCTACTCAGGAGGCTGAGGCATGACAATCACTTGAATCCAGAGGCAGAGGTTGCAGTGAACCAAGTCATTACACCACTGCACTCCAGTGTGGGCGACACAATGAGACTCTGTCTAAACAAACAAACAAACAAAGACTAATTGAACTTTGTGAAAATGTAAAAATTTTTGTGCAACAAAAGATACAGAGTAAAGAAAACCAATGGAATGGGAGAAAATATCTCTGCAAATCATGTTATCTAACAAGGGATTAATATCTAGAACATATACAGAACTACAACTCAACAGAAAAACAACATGATTAAAAAATGGGCAAAAGACTTGAATAGACATTTCTCCAAGGACATTCATATGGCCAATAAGCATATGAAAAGATGCTCAACATCACTAATTATTAGACAAATACAAATCAAAACCATAATGACACATCATAGCCACTATCAAAAAACAAAAAACAAAATGTCAAGTGTTGGCAAGGATGGAGAGAAACAGGAACATTTGTGCACTGTTGGTGGGAATGTCAAATGGTGCAGCCACTACAGAAAACTATGGTGGCTCCTCAAAAAACTAAAAATAGAATTACCATATGATCCAGCAATTCCACTTCTAGGTATATATCCTTGAAAATTGAAAGCAAGGTCTTGAAGAGATATTTGTACACCCATGTTCACTGCAGCATTGTTCACAATAGCTAAATGGTGGAAGCAACACAGGTGTCCACCAATGGACAAATAAACAACATGTGTTACATACATACAATACAGTATTATGCAGACTTAAAATGGGAGGAAATTCTGCAAAATGCTGTAACATGAATGAACCGTGAAAACATCACACTTGTGAAATAAGCCAGTCACAAAAAGACAAACACTATATGATTCTGCTTATGAGACACTTAGTCAAATTCAAAGAGAGAAAAATGGTGATTTCCAGGACCTCAGGAGCAGGAGAAACGGAGGAATTGTTGTTTAATGGGTACAGAGTTTCAGTTTCGCAAGACAAAAAGTTATGAAGATGGATGGTGGTGATGAGTGCACATTATAAATGTATATAGGAACACTCAACTGTACACTTAAAAATGGTTAAAATGGCAAATTTCATGTTACATATAGTTTACCATAATAAAAAAAAAAACTAGAAAAAAATTACCAATGGGGATGAGGTGGAGATCAATAAATAACAAATATGTCTGGGTTTGCTCCAGAATAACCTGAGAGGGAGGAAAAAATGGGTGAGAGTATAATACATAAATGGGTGAGAGTATAATAAAGTAAGAGTATACATGTAATTATGTATTTTCCTGTGTAGTATTTCTTATGTTATTTCACTGAATTATTTTAATATTTACTAAATTATTTTACCACTCTGTTGAGAGCAGTATAACATAAGCCTTTAATAGCAGACTCTCAAGTTAAACTACCCCGTTCAAATCCTAGGTCTTCCATTGTTAAACTCGTATTTTAGTTTTGTTATCTGTAAAATGAGGATTGAGTTAATATTGAAAAAGTACTTATAACAGTGCCTGGCAGATAGTAAGCACTATATAAATGTTAAATAAGTCTGCATTTATCATGGTTTTTATTTTTAATCCATCAGACAAAAAATATCTGTGTTAAGTGTAGAAAGAGTAAACATCATATAAACTTTTGTTTAAGAAAACATATATATATATAAGGTAACCACGATTTTTGTTTTTACCAGTTTAAAAAATAGAAGAGCCCGTCATCTATAGAGGGCACTGCAGGAGACGTCAATATTTAGCACTTCATTATCTTGTGATACTTTTAAGTCATTCAATTTATAGGTGGCTCAGTTTGCAATCATAAATATCAAGAGAAAGTGACTTCCTAGTAATGAGATGTAGGAAATGCTGCCCCCAAAATATGGCACCTTGGCATTTGAGAAAACAGCAGAAGCAGGAAGGTCTCTCTTCTGACTTTCTCATTTTTTTCTCCCCTGAAGTAAGCCATAAAATCTAGGAAAGTCATTCTCTGACTTTCTCTCCCTTCTCTCCTAAAACTTTTATGGGATAGGTGTCCGTATAGATGTGTCACACAGAGATGCCAAGAAGAATCTGAACAAACAGGCTCTGCTAAGTCCACCCCAGTTTATCACCATTAGATCATACCCTTTTGTCCTCTAATCATACTCCTGCATGACTGTCCATCTCTACTAAAAATACAAAAATTAGCTGGGCAAGGTGGTGGGCGCCAGTAATCCCAGGCTGAGGCATGAGAATCATTTGAACTTGGGAGGCAGAGATTGCAGTGGGCCAAGATTGCGCCACTGCACTCCAGCCTGAGGGATACAGCAAGACTCTTGTCTCAAAAAAAAAAGAATTTGAGGGACATTAAGATTTCACGCTGATGATTCTCACATCTCGAGTTATAGATAGGTCTCATATCTAACTGCCACCTGACATTTCTACTCAGAAGTCCTGAGCTACTTAAAGCTTAATACATCTAAAATGTAGCTCTTGTTCTCTCCAAATGTTCTTCTTCACAGTTCCTATCTGTGAATAATACAGCACTACTGCCCAGCTAGAAACATGAGTCATACTTAACTCCTTTCTTATTCTCCTACTCCCACCTCCATTACAATTAACCACCAAAGCTGGTCTCTTTTGCTGTGTAAATCTCTCTCAAATCCAACCACATCTTTCTATCCCCACTTCTACCACTCTCAAGTCAGGCCAGCATGCTCCCCATACTAACTAGTCATCCTGAATCCAATCCAGCTTTCCCTGTGATCTGTTCTCCCCATTTTAATTAGGTTCATTTGCTAAAACAGATAGAATAAAGTCATTTCCTCACATTTAAACTCCTTCAATGGTTTATAAAAACCTCAATAAAATAGCCCAGCCTTACTCTCTCGTCTAATCTCTTGAGACTAGCCACTCCCCACATCCACACCCCACGGTGAGCTCTACATTCAAAACTTACATTTATTTCAGTTCCAGCAATCTTCCCTTTCTGTTACCTCTCATCCTTTGAACATGCTATTTCTTCTGCTAACAGTCCTTCCCCACATTTTTTATCCACATTAATCACCAACAGTTCCTCCAAGTTTCAGTTTAAGTGTCACTTCTGGGAGGCCTTGCCATATTTCCATCCAGTCATTAAATAGACATTTATTAAATGTCTATGAGTAAAGTATTAGCTATATTAAAGTACTGAATATATCTTAAGAAATAAAACAGACATGGCCCTTGCCTTCCAGGAACAGAGACTATCACAGTACTAATGATACTTGATTATAATTACATATTTAGTTATCTTTTCTCCTCAGACTAGTAAAGTGTGATCTAAAACCAACTTAATTACAATCACCAATTCATAAAACATCAGATGAATCAATAAAATATTAAACAAAAATTTACTGAGCCCACGGGCTTCAGCCTAGTTAGAAGACCCTAAAAGTTTCAAATATCTACTTTTTTTTTTTTTTTTTTTGAGACAGAGTCTCGCTCTGTCTCCCAGGCTGGAGCGCAATGGCGCGATCTCGGCTCACTGCAACCTCTGCCTCCTGGGTTCAAGTGATTCTCCTGCCTCAGCCTCCCAAGCAGCTGGGATTACAGGTGCCTGCCACCACACCCAAATAATGCTAATTTTTGCATTTTTAGTAGAGACAGAGTTTCACCACGTTGGCCAGGCTGGTCTTGAACTCCTGACCTCAGGCAATTCACCTGCCTCAGCCTCCCAAAGTGCTGGGATTACAGGTGTGAGCCACCACGCCTGGCCTCAAATATCTACTTTAATGGTCATCTCAAAAGAATAGTAAATCAGAGGTCAGAAGACTTAGGTTCCAATTCTGTTTCTGCAATTATCTACCTGACCTCAAGCCAGTCATTCATTATTTCTGAATCTCTTACCCTTAAGTGTAACATTAGAATAATCAAAATAATGATGAGTATGAAGGCTTTCACAGTATCATTTATTTCTTGGTGTATTCAAAAAAATTAAACTTGTTTAAACAGTTTGAAAAAATAGCACAAGGAAACAGTTCAAATAATAAATTCCTAAGCTGTGGTAAAATGTGAACTTCAGTACATTTAAGAAACTGCCAGTAACTCTGGCAATATGGACATCCAGTTAAATGAAACTGTTTTTACGAAATAATGTCTAGCAACTAAAATAAGAGCTTTAGTTCATGCCCCCTCTGCCCATATTTTCCCAAGGTCAAAATTCTATTCTTTTTTTCAACTCTAAATGATATCTTGCTCTATGAAGCCTTTCCTGACTTCTTCCTTAAAAACGTCCTCCTCAGGCCTACTACTACACTATACTACTCAGACTTGGCAGTATTGTGTTCATCACTTGTACTATAACTAGTTGCATGGTACTGGGAATTCTAATGACTAATGCATCCCTAACATATAGCACAGTGCCTAGAATATTAGATTTCAATAAAGGCTTACTGAATGCCTTGTTTTATTTAGCACTTTTATTTACAGTTTAGACCAATCATAGAAGGCTAAAGTATAGCCATGGCAAAATTCTTTGGTCTGAAGGAGCAGTTTTATGGTTTCCTGTTCACATATTGGAATGATATTTGCCGCTTAGCCTTTGTTAGGTTTAAAAACATTTCAGATTTGGATAGAAACTTTTATACTAAAGACAAGCATGGCTGAAACTTTCTTTGGAAAAACTACTGACAGCTCAACTTCAAAAGAGAACAATGTAGCCTCCCTTTAAACAAATTTAACAGCACAGTGAAACCAAGGGTGAGTTTTAAGAGATGTAGATCAAGACAGACAGATATACAGTTGACCCTTCATATCTGAAGGGGATTGGTTCCAGGACAACCCCCTAGATACCAAAATCCACAGATGCTCAAATCCCTTATATAATATGGCATAGTACTTTAAACATATCTAGGAATAAAGGCATCACACTAGAAAATACTATTAAAAAATACCAAAATATGCCAATTTGTAAAAATAACTCAGAGAAATCCATCACAGAAACATTAAGGATTTTCTCAGCTCTTTTTTTCTGGTTGTAAATTTAAGTATTTAAGTTTTCTAGAATTAAATACTTAAAAAAAAAAAGGAGTTCACTCACATTAAAGCTGGAATTAAGACTAACAACTGTAGCTTATCATACATAATAAGGATAGTAAAAAATAACCACAAAGAAGCAAAGTATTCTAATGATTGCGTTGTAAAAGACATCAGATTTTAAGCAGTCTGCTATCAATCTAGACTTAATGAACCTAATATTTAGTAATGGCTTTTATTTTCTTTTTATTTACAGGCTATGCTGATGTTAGTTTGTAGCAAACTATAAAGAAATTTACCATAAGGAAATATTTATCCTAAAAAAATAGTATGAAGGGAAAAAAAGGCAAATAATCTGATTATTCAATATTAAATAACTTTGACTGTAATACCTAAAACACAAAGGTATGTTAATTGATGGAACTGATGGACTTAACAGTAAAAAATAAAAATCTTCACATATATTCTCCAACAGAACTTAAGTTGTAATGAAGGTGATATTTCAAACCTTTGAGCACTCTCACAATTTAAAAAATGCCCAGTAAAATAAATACCACTTTCCACCAATTAGACTAGCAAGGATAAAACAAATATTTAGCAGAATGTGGGAAAACAGATATTCTCATAAACTAGCAATAAGAGTATTAAGTGGTACAACCTCATTGCAGTTTTATTACATCAGAAGTTAAAGGGCACATATCCTTGATCCAGCAATCTACTGCTACAAATTATCCTGACACTCTCACACACTCCCGTTAATACCATCAAAAATATTTATTGCAGCAGTACTTATATACAGGCAAAAAATCCTGAGACTTACCTAAATATTAATAAGGTAACAGTTATAATAAATGTGGTAAATATATGGAAAAATGTCCAAAATATATTGATAAGCAGAAAGAAAAAGATGTAGAATACATACCAGCTATTTTTGGTAACTTATGGGGAGTATAGTGCTGGGTGGGAGAGAAGAGTTTTACTTTTTACTTTAAACATTGCTGTACTATTTGCTCATAAGGTCACATGTGACTTTTATAAAAAATTTATATTTTGAAAATACTAAATGTGGCCAGGTGCAGTGGCTCACGCCTATCATCCCAGCACTTTGGGAGGCTGAGGCCGGTGGATCGCCTGAGGTCAGGAGTTTGAGACCAGCGTGGCCAACACAGTGAAACCCCATCTCTACTAAAAATACTAAAATTAGCCAGGTGTGGTGGCATGCACCTATAGTCCCAGCTACTCAGGAGGCTGAGGCAGGAGAAACGCATGAACTCAGGAGGCGGAGGTTGCAGGGAGCCAAAATAGTGCCATTGCACTCCAGCCTGGGCAACAAGAGCAAAACTTTGTCTTAAAAAAAAAAAAAAAAGTGAAATACTAAATACTAACTGTTACTTGGCAATACAGCTGGAAAGGGTCAATGTACGTTGTACAATCTCATCTAGAATGAAGGACAAAGAATTTTATTAATTAAAAAGTCTTCTTTTTCATGCTACAACAAAGGGCAGCACATCTACAATGCTACTAAAGAAACTGAAGTACAGAGAGGTTAAGTTAGAAATTAGAGAAATTAATCTAAGACAAATATCCATAAAGAATTTCAAATCCTTGGATTCGGGGATTCTGCAGTCTTAGCAGCAGCTGCCTATGTTAAATATTGAAGCACAAAATGAAGACGAAGACTCTGCAACGGAGGTACAGCTAGCAGCCTCTGAGAAGAAAAATTAGTCTAAAGTCTTTGTGGAGACATGTAAGTTAGGCAATCTCAAGGTTAAATTTCTCTGGCTCCTCAACTCTAACCAACAACATGACTAAACACACTTCACAATCAGGATTTAAAAAAAAAAAAAAAGAACCAAGGTCTATATACGGTAAGAATCTATGTCTAAGAAAACCCTTGTGGGAAGACAGAAGGAACAGCATGAGAAAATGTCAACGTCTAACTCTGTGTTCAAACATTATGGCAGAAGCTGCAGAAAGGAAAAGCAACAAATTGATCCCTGTGGGGAAGAACCTCTTCTTGCTTTGGACTTGCTAGAGGGCAATCAAGCTTCAGGCATAAAAATCTCCAGATGATTACTATAGCCAACCCAACTAGCCAAATTTCAAACACAGAAAAAAAAAGAACCACTAGTCAAAATGCTTTAAAATTTAAGAAGTGTGTTATTTCTTAAGAGAGTATATTGTTTAGGCCAGGTGCAGTGGCTCACACCTGTAATCCCAGCACTTCGGAAGGCTAAGGAGGGTGGGTCACCTGAGGTCAGGAGTTCGAGACTAGCCTGACGAACATAGTGAAACCCCATCTCTACTTAAAAAATACAAATTTAGCTGGGTGTGGTGTCGCATGCCTGTAATCCCAGCTACTTGGGAGGCTGAGGCAGGAGAATTGCTTGAACCTGGGAGGCAGAGGTTGCAGTGAGCTGAGACTGTGCCATTGCATTCCCACCTGGGCAACAAGAGCGAAACTCCATCTCAAAAACAAAACAAAAAAAGTATATAGTTTATATATGCTACATTACATATCTACAATTTAAAAAAATTTAAGTACCTTTAAACAAATAGCAAGCTTCCTAAGCTGTGGGAATCAAAAATGTTATCACAGTTCCAGGCTATGATTCTACAATTTCTTCCTCCATCCTAACAGTTTTTTACCTTCAGAGAAATAAGGAAAAGTTTTCTTCACTTCTTACACGTGTGACTAGTGTTCCCAATCTTCTACTTGTATTAGTCTAACATTCCAAAATCTTTAAAGAAATAACTAGTACAAACCCACAAAGAAAATACTCTTCATAGCAAACACTTCAAATTTCTGCAACATGGATTAATACCTCCACTTGGAAATACTAATCAAAATCAACAATGACAGTCTTACTTTAGGTCTGAATTAAGAATATTTTACTAGCCACTGTATTTCAACTGGATTGAATGAAGACTTGGGAAATATTTTATTTCTCTTTCTAAAATGTCTATAATGCTGTCTGTGGATTATCCTCAGTGGCTCCTTCCTATGGCCCAACAGCAACTCAAGTGCCAATGCCCCCATCCCATTCCAGCTAGCATTCTGAATCTCTATTTGCCTGGGAGAACTCTTTTCATTGGTCAATGTTTAACAAAACATTTACTGAATGCACACAGTATTCCCAGCACTGTGCTAAGATAAACGAGACATGGATGGTATCTACCTTCAAACTCATACTCTAATAAAGAAGACAAACTACGGCCAGGCATGGCTTAAAGGATCAGATGATGCTTCAGATAGGCTATTTCAGAAGATAAGCTGACAACTAGCAAAGAGGTCTCTGGCAACTGGGGAGGCATGGGATTGAGGGAAAGTGACAACATGTACCTAGGACTAGAACTAGGAATATGAAACATCATACTTAGTTTATTCATATAATCCTCAGCATTCTGGCATAGCTACGGTGAGATAACTGCATGCCGTGTTATAAGGTTTACTACATTTTATTCTGAAAGTGATGGGGGACAATTAAAGAGACAGGTAGAAGAAGGAAAAGAGTATAAAAAAGTTAGCAAGTAGGAACAGAGATATGGAGAATCCAATAAACCAAATCACTGAGAAAACATAAATACTTTGTAGTGTGTTCATACAATGGAATATTACTAAAAATAAAACAGCAATAAAAAATAATGAACTGCTGACATAGTCACAACATAGATGAAGCTCAAGAACATTATGTTGAATGAAAAAGCCACATACAAGAGTACATACTATATATAAAATCCAAGAACAGGCAAAACTAAATTATGCTGACAGAATTCAGAAAGATGATTACTTCAGGGGAAAAGGCTATTAGACTGGAAGCGGGGAAAGCACAAGGAACTTTCCAAAGTAATGAAATGTTCTATATCTTGATCTAGATGGTGGTTACACATATGAATGTGTATGTGAAAAGTCATTCAGCTCTATACCTCAAATTTTATGTTACCATATATATGTAAACTATACCATAATAAAAAAGAAAAAACTACATATATAAGCATGGTGAAAAATAAGGTCAGAATAAGTTAAACCAGTGTCATCCCACAAGCAATATCAAACATAGAAAATCAGAACAAAAGTTTTAACAGACACTGTATATTCAACTAGAAAACAAACCCTAATAAGACCTTCAAGTACAAAAGAATGGCTTCTTCTCCACTTTAAGAAGATACATAGGCAAGTGTTATTTCTAATAAATGCTACAGAAGTAAATTATTATTCCTAAAGAAAAACAGCCCACTATAAAGCAAAAAATAAAATTTTTCTACACAACAAGAGGAGGTACTATAACGATCAATAAGGTATGACAAGCACTTAACAGAATTTAGAGCACAATAAGTACTCTTCAAACTACCACTACTGTTATTATTATATAATAGCAATAAAAGCAAAATTTTGCTTCAAAACATGCCCAAACCACTGACTGAGATTTCCTTCAGTGCATATTACTGAACTACAGCACTTTTCATCCTAGACTTTTTTTTTCTTTAACAAACATTGAGATCAGCAAATTTTTGACAGCTGAAACATCTGGTTAGAGGGAAAACCAAGTTAACTCCAATTTTTTCAATGTTCTTTTTCCCTTGTTTCCATTTTGAAGCCATATTCACTTACCAATAAATAGTAAATGTATCTTTTTAAAACATGTCAACGGCTTATATTATTAAAAAGCATTCTTTCACATACCAAAGTACATGATGCCAATTCAATTTTTTAAAAGTGAACAGCCTTAGAAAGCTAATCAGAATGCTATATTAGAGAGGTCATTCAGTAGAGACACCCACTAGGAAAACATTAAAACAATAATTTACAATTTTGAATACTATATTAACAGAAAGAAATCACAATTTGGCAAATTTATCCCATTTGGGAAAGTGCTTCCTTAACATTAAAAATGAAGCAAAATTCACAAAAGCAATGACTATTCATATACTTTATCAACAAAGGAGAGAACAATGAAGTGACACAATAAATGTCTTACTGAAGTGGTCAGAGTTCAATAAGAGTGGCTGAACCAAACATTAACTTGATTTTCTAACATTTTAGAATATTCACTGGAAACTTGAATGCTTTAGTTAACCTCAACACAAAAGAAGGAAACTAAAAATTTAGTTCCACAATGTGATAGTTATAATTTTACTCCCATCAAATCAACTGGACCAAGTGTGTCAAAAAGTCAATTATTTGCATTTCAAAATTTTATTTAAAAACTCTTTGGTTCTGAACTCAACACCACATTTTTAAGACATAATTTTTTTGTATTATTCCTACCTTGATATGTACATTTAACAAAGCAGTCTTCTACTTACCTAGATTTTGTCTTATTAACATCTTGCTGCAAGAACGATCTCATCCAAAATTAAATCAAACCTGAAAGAAATACACACAATGACCAAGGTTTAATTTTTTGTTTCAGGCATGAATAACCATAGCTACAATACACTATTATTTTAAATGAAAAAACACAAACCAAATTATATTTCTTGATATAACATAAAAAAACCATTCAACCAGAATACCATCATTTTAATCTTTAGGAAACTATTGCTAAGTGCCCCCCAACCTCACTGCTTTTTTTGAGAAATAATAATCTATTCAAATGAGAAATTGAAACTAATTCTTTTTTTTAAAAAAAATTCTAAATTGTTTTCATTAATTTTAATAGTATGGCAATGGCAATAATTAAAATAATTACTAAAACACACATCTTTCTAGATCAGTATTTATTTAATATTATGTACATATCAAGACACACACCAAACAGCTGAAGACAAAAATGTTATAGTATTGGAACACATAAAAGTATATACACATAAAAGTATATAACAAAGTAATTTGTTAGAGCAACCACAGTAATTATCATAATAGCCAACACTGATTACTTACTAAATGCCAAGCATCATTATTCTAGAGAATAGAATGTATCAATACTCCCCATCTTCAATTTAATCTTTAATCTAGTATAAAGTGACTTCTACACCAACAATCCACTGAACATGCATTTGCCAAAAATATATCCACCATTACTAATTTTACCATATTTCAGAACTTCTGAAAACTCAGTATGTCCCACACTCTACATATCTCCTCCTCCCCATACCTGAAACTAGCTTGTGACTCTTCTAAATTCTCTATTCTTTAAAAAATAGCACCACCACACCTACCTCTGTTCTCAAGCTAGGTTACTTTAACTGTTTTATTTCCAAACTATCATCTCTGATTTGTCCTTCCTAGAACCACAGACCTAGAATTTTCTGCATCGTATCTAGAAAAGATGAGATATTTTCTCTGCCACCCAATGCCATCATCTCCCACCAACCCAGAAGTGGACATGGGGGCCTGTTAAAAACTAAACTATAAAATAAAAGTAAGAACATTAAAAGTCTATTATAAACGACTGAGTGGGATAAGCTGAACTATTGCCCCACAAAAGACTTCCACACCCTGATCCCTGAAATCTGACAATGTTACCTCATATGGCAAAAAAAAAAAAAAAAAAAAGAAGAAGTCTTTGTAGATATGATTAAATTAAGGATCTTGAGAGGGAGGATTATTCCGAATTATCTGGGTGGACCACAGTGCAATCACATGTATCCTTATAAGAACGAGACACACACTGAAGGCAATGAGAAGACAAGCGGAGAGGCCGGGCACAGTGGCTCACACCTGTAATCCCAGCACTTTGGGAGGCCAAGGTGGGCAGATCACCTGAGGTCAGGAGTTCGAAACCAGCCTGGCCAACATGGTGAAACCCCGTCTCTACTAAAAATACAAAAGTTAGCTGGGCGTGGTGGCACGCGCCCGTAGTCCCAACTACTCAGGAGGCTGAGGCAGGATAATCTTGCTTGAACTCAGGAAGCGGAGGTTGCAATGAGCCAAGATCACGTCGCTGCATCCAGCCTAGGCAACAGAGCAAGACTCTGTCTCCAAAAAAGAGGAAGAAGAAGAAGACATGGCAGAGAGAACTGAAAATGCTGCTTTCGTAGACTGGAAGGACATGGGCCATAGCCAGGAATGCCAGCACCCACCAGTATCAGGGAGAAGCAAGGAATGGATTCTCTTCTACAGCCTCCCTCCAGAAGGAACAAAGCCCTGCCATCACCTTGATTTTGGCCCAATAATACTGATTTTGAACTTCTGGCCTCCAGAACTGTGAGAGAATTAATTTCTATTGTTTTACACCAACCAGTTTGTGGTAATTTGTTAGAGCAACCACAGGAAATTAATACACTGAAGACAGCAAGTTCTCAAGGAGATAAACTGGAAGCACCCCTATATAAAAGATGTTACGAACTGCATTGGTCTGCTAGGACTGTCATAAAATACTACAGACTGGGTGGCTTACATAACAGAAATTTATATTAGAGCGAGAGCCTTTCAGGAATCAAGTTAAATAAGGTAACTTATGAGGCCTTTACCCAATATGACTGGTGTCTTTTTTTTTTTTGGAGACAGAGGCTCACTACAAACTCTGCCTCCCAGGTTCAAGCGATTCTCGTGCCTCAGCCTCCGAAGTAGCTAGGACTATAGGCACACACCACCATGCCTGGCTAATTTTTTATTTTTATTTTTAGTAGAGACAGGGTTTCACCATATTGGCTAGGCTGGTCTCGAACTCCTGACCTCAAGTGATCCACCCGCTTTGGCTTCCCAAAGTTCTGGGATTACAGGCGTGAGCCACCACGCCCAGCCTGACTGGTATCATTCTAAGAGATACAAGGTATGCACACACAGAGGGCAGGCTCTCTGCAAAAGAGAGATGCCTCAGGAGAAACAAAACCTGCCAACACCCTAATCTTGAATTTCCCATCTCTAGAACTGTGAGAAAATAAATTTCTGTTGTGTAAGCCACCCAGTCTGTAGTATTTTATGACAGTCCTAGCAGATCAATGCATATTTTTTAAAACTATATATGGTTGCACAAACGATATAAACATACTTGAATGCCATAGAACTGTACACTTTAAAATGGTAAATTTTGTTATGCATATTTTACCACAATAAAAAATAAAGGCATATACAAACACCACACACATACAAACTTTGACTTAAGCTGTTTAATTTTACCTTGCTTTGCTCGTACTCTCCAAAATCTGAAAAAAAACCTTTTAACTGCATTTGTTCCCCACAAACCTAAACCAGCACATTTTAGACACTTTATTTTTATTTTATTAATTCTTAATTGACAAATACTAGTTGTATATATTATCTATTTATGGGGTACAATGTGATGTTTTGACATATGCTTACATAGTAGAATGATTAATTCATGCTAATTAACAAATCCATCACCTCACACTTATTTTTTTGTGGTAAAACACTTAAAATCTACTCTTTTAGCAATTTTAAAATATACATGCATTATTACTATATTTCATAATTCTGTGCAATAGATCACTAAAGCTTATTCCTCCTGAATAAAACTTTGTACCATTTGATCAACATCTCCTCTTGCCCCATCCACTCCCCAACCCAGCCTCAGGTAAACACCATTTCACTCTCTACTTCTATGAGTTCAACTTTTTTAGATTCTACATGTAAGTTAGATTACGTGGTGTTTGTCTTTCTGTGCCTGGTTTATTTCACTTAGCATAATGTCCTCCAGGTTCATCCATGTTGTTGCAAATAACAGAATTTTTTTCTGTCTTAAGACTGAATAGTATTCCATTGTGCATATATACCACGTTTATCCTTTCATCCAATGATGGACACCTAGGTTGCTTCCCTATTTTAGCTATTGTGAATAATGCTGTAGTGAACATGGACATGCAGATACCTCTTCAGCACACTGATTTCAATTCCTTTAGATGTATAACCAGACGTGGGACTGCTATATCATATGGTAATTCTATTTTTAGTTTTCTGAGAAAGTGCCATACTGTTTTCCATAATGGCTGTTTATTTTGCATTCCTAACAAGGTACACAAGGGCTCCCTTTCTCCACATCCTTGCCAACATTTGTTATCTTTTGTCTTTTTGATAATAGCAAATAAATTTTTTTAAAAAAAGATTTTACAAACAAGTATGATAGAAAGTATTTTAAAATCTACACCTAAGAAATATAATTGGAATATTACTTATATAAGTGGGAGGGGGTACAAAAAAAGAGGATAAAACTTAAAAGCAGTTGGCACCGCTGGTTTTGCTTCAAGCAGTATTCTAAGAGAACACCTGAATACTAAAATGTCAAGTATAACACATCCTCCCAAAAACCCATAACCACAGTCTGATCATGAGAAAAACATCAGACAAATTCCAATAGAAGATCATAGAGTATATCTGACCAATATTCCTCAAAACTGTTAAGGTGAAAAGAAAAAACAAAAAACAAAAAAAAAACCTCATAAGGTCATCAAAAACAAAGTCTTCAGAAACTTAGGAAGAAACGACAACTAAATGTAATATATCTTGGAACACAAAAAGAACATTGGGTAAAAACTAAGAAAATCTGAATAAACTATGGTCTTTAGTTAATAATAATGTGTCAATATTGGTTCATTAACTGTAACAAATGTACTGTACTAATGTAAGATGTTAACAACAGGGAAAAATGACAGTTGGAAGGGGTGGTTAGAATATGGGAACAGTATACTATCCTGCTGAAATTTGTTGTAAATCTAAAACTTTTAAAAAAGAATGTCTATTAATTTTCAAAAATATTGTAAATATGCTGAAGAGACATGAACATATTTTAGAAAACTAAACACTGACAATTCAGAAAAGTCTTCAGAATTAACTCCGAAAGTTCAGAAACACATTAAAATTATATAAAAGGTAGGTCACAAAACAAATCTGAATAAATTTAAGACTGAAATCATACCAACTATCTTCTCTAATCACAGTGAAATGAAACTAAACACCAATAACAGAAGGAAAACAAGAAAATCCACACATGTGGAAATTAAAAAACTTACTCTTACCCAACCAATGGGTCAAAGAAATTACAAAGAAATTTTTTAAATATCCGGAGACAAAAACAAAAACACAACAAACCATTACGTTATGAGATGCAACAAAAGCAGTACTAAGAGAGAGGTTTATGGTAGCAAAAGCTTACATGTTTAAAAAAAAAAAAAACCCACAAATCAACAACCTAACTTTATATCTCAAGGAACTAGAAAAAAGAGGAACAAACTAAACCAAATAGTAGCAGAAGGGAGAAAAATAATACATATTAGGGCAGAGATCAACTAAATATAGAACTGAAGACAAGGAAAGAAAAAAACTCAATGAAACCTAGAGTTGGTTTTTTTTTTTTTTTTTTTTTAAAAAAAGATCAACAAAATCAATAAACTCTTTAGCTAGACTAAGAAAAAGAGAAGACTTGAAAAATGAAAATCTGAAATGAAAGAGGGGACATTACAACTGATGCCAGAAGAATTATAACAGAATATTATGAACAATTATACATCAACAATTGAATAATCTAGAACAAATTGGTATATTCCTAAAAATGTACACCTAGCAAAACGAGGACATGAAAAATAAAAACTCTGAATGGCCTATAACTAGTAAACAGAGATTGGATGCAGTTATCAAAAACTTACCAAATAAGAAAAGCCCAGGACCAGATGGCTTTGCTAGAGAATTCTACCAGACATTTAAATAAGAATTAACACCAATCTTCCTCAAACTCATAAAGAATTCAAAAGAAGGGAATACTTCAAATTCATTCTATAAGGTCAGCATTACCCTGACACCAAAACCAGACAAAGACACAACAAGCAAGAACAAAATTATAGACGTATATCTGTGATTAATACTGATGCAAAAATCTACAACAAAATAGGAGCAAAACAAATTCAGCAGCACATTAAAAGGATTACACATCATGACCAAGTGGGCTTTACTCCTGGAATGCAAGGACAATTAAACATATGAAAACAAAATAGAAATAGAAGGAAAGTTTAACATAATAAAAGCCATACATGAAAAGCCCACAGCTAACATCACACTCAACCGTGAAAGACTGAAAGCGTTTCCTCTAAGATAGAGAACAAAGCAAGGATGCCTACTGTCACCATTTCTATTCAACACAGTAGTGGAAGTCCTAGCCAGAGCAATTAGACAAGAAAAAAGAATAAAATGCATTCAAATTGGAAAGAAGTAAAATTACCCTGGTTCTCAGATGTGACCTTATATGCAGAAAACTCTTAAATTTTCAAGAAAAAAAATGTTAGAAGTAATCATTTCAGCAAAGTTAAAGGATACAAAAAATAAAAGCACACAAACATGCAAACATCAATTGTATTTCAATGAGCAATTTGAAAAAGAAATTAACACAATTCCATGTACAATAGTATCAAAAAGAATACAATATTTAGGAATTAACCAAGGATCCAACAGACTTGTACACTGAAAGCTATAACACACTGCTGAAAGAAACCATAAAATATACCAATAAATGGAAACACACTGTACCCACAGATTGGAAGATTTATTGTTAAAATGTCCATACTACCCACAGCAATCTACAGATTCAATGCAATCCCTGTCAAAGTCCCAATGGCATTTTTGCAGAAACAGGAAAACCTATCCTTAAATTCATATGGAATCTCAAAGGACCCCATAGAGCCAAAACAAACTTGAAAAAGAACAACAAAGTTGGAGGCCTTACATGTCCTGATTTCAAAACATACTAAATACAAATAGTAATCAAGACAACAATGGTGCCAGCATAAAAAGACATATAAACCAATGAAACAAAATATAGATAGCCCAATAATAAACCCATGCATTTCTAGTCAAATGGTGTTTGACAAGGGGGCCAATACTATACAGAGAGGAAAGGACAGTCTTTTCAACAAATGGTACTGGGAAATCCAATATCCACGTGAAAAAGAATGAAGTCGGACCCTTACTTACACCACATACAAAAATTAATTCAAAATGGATAAAGACCAAAGCATAAGAACTAAAACAATAAAACTATTAAAGAAAACATAGGGGAAGGCTTCGGGACACTGGATTTAGCTATGAATTCTTGAACATGACACCAAAAGCACAGGGAACAAAAAATGGAATTACATTAAAAGTTAAAAACTTCTGTACATCAAAAGAAGTAATCAATGGAGTGAAAAGACAACCTACAGACTGGGAGAAAATATTTGCAAATCATGTATCTGATAAGAGGTTAAAATCCAAAATATGTAATATAATGAACTTGACAACAAAAAAAGAAATGACTGAATTTAAAAATGGGCCAAGTACTTCAATGGACAATCCTCCAAAGACAGCATATAAAACAAGCACACAAAAAGATGCTCAGCCCAGTGTAGTGGCTCATGACTGTAATCCCAGCACTCTGAGAGGCTGAGGTGGGAGGATCGCTTGAGCTCAGGAGTTTGAGACTAGCCTGGGCAACATGGCAAGACCTTGTCTCTACTAAAAAAAATAAATAGGTGTGGTAGCACGCGTTTGTAGTACCAGCTACTTGAGAGGCTGAGGTGGGAGGATCACTTGAACCTGGAAGGTCAAAGCTGGAGTGAGCCATAATTGTGCCACTGCACTCCAGCCTGGGCAATATAGCAAGACCCTGTTCCAAAAAAAATATTGTAAGAAAGAAAAGATACTCAACATCACCAGTCATCAGAGAATGCAAATCTAAACTACAAGATATCACCTTACATCCACTAGAGGCTGTTATTTTTAAAAACCCAGGAAATAACAAGTGTTGGCGAGAATGTGGAGAAACTGGAACCCTTGGTGCACTGTTGGGGAAAATATAAAATAGTGCAGCCATTATGAAAAACATGACAGTTCCTCAAAAAATTTCAAGTTAAATTACCATATGATCCAGCAATCCCACTTCTGGGCATATACACAAAGAATCCAAAGCAGAATCTCAAAACGATATTTACATGCCCATGTTCACAACAGCATTATTCACAAGATCCAAGAGAAGGAAGAAACCCACTGTCCACCAATGTATAAACAGATCAAGGGAATGTGTATACATACAATGGAGTATTATGCAGCCTTAAAACAGAAGGAAATTGTGTCACATGCTATAGCATGGATGAACCTCAATCACCTCAAGGGCATTATAACTGAAATAAGCCAATCACAAAGGACAAATACTATATGATTCCATCCATGAGATACCTAACATAGTCAAAAATCACAGAAAGTGGAGTGGTTGTCAAAATCTGGGGGAGAGAGGAAGTGAAATTAGTGTTTAACAGACACAGAGTTTCTCTTTTCCAAAGTGAAAAAGTTCTAGAGACCTGTTACACAATGTAAATACACTTAACACTACTAGACTGTATACTTAAAAACAGTTAAGATGGCAAATTTACTGTTATGTGTTTTTTACCAAAATAAAAGATAAATATGAAGAGTAGAAAGTACATATAAGAGCCAAGGTGGAGTAACAGGAATTGGGTTTGCCTTCCTCCCTGAAAACTCAAGAAATCAGAAAACATATGAAACAATAGTTTTCATATATTAGACATTAGGCAACCCCTGATGGTGAACCCTGAAAGGGAAACAAGGTGAGCAAACTTACTGCCTGGAGAAAGTACAGATCCCTGCCCAAGGAAAAGAGTATCTATGCAGAATCTGGTGGTAATCCTTGAGTTGAGGAGACTGAGCTAAAAGCCTAAAGAAGTCATGAGGGCAGAGTACTGAAGAGAAGATAATTCCACAAAGAACGCCCTCAAGTATCTAGCTACATAATGATTAGAGCAACTCTGTGTGGAAACTATCCAAGCAAGGAAGAGTCACCCAAAAGGATGAAAGGGAATTGCCCTAGTCTTACACAGCACCAGAAATAGTACCTGTTCTCTTAAGAGTGGAAAATCTCCTGATTCACGTTAACACCAGACAAAAAGGAGTCTTGCCTCAGTGGGAAAACAAAGTAATCCTGAACTATATGCTGTTAAAGAGACAGACCCCCAAAAAGGAACGTGGTGGAGAAGAACTACAAAGTGGCACCAGGAGAACTTTTGCGGGTGATGAATATATTCATCATCCTGTTTGTGGCCTCCTGAGTATATATATGTGTCAAAATTTTTCTCACTGTATACTTTAAATATGTGTACTTTATTACATGTCAATTATGCCTCAATAAACCTGCTTTTAACACCTTCAATAATAAAACAACCCAATTACAAAATAGGCAGAAAATTTGAAGCAGCACTTCGGCAACAATACATGAATGACAAGCATATCAAAAGATGCTCAGTATCATTTGTTACTGGGAAACTGCAAATTAAAGGCACAAAGAGTTATCACTACACAGCTATAAGAATGGCTAAATTAGTAAGACCAACCATACCAAGTGTTGGTGAACAAGTGGAGGAACTAAAACTTTCATACATTCATATGAGAAGATAAAATGGTACAACCACTTTGTAAAAGTTTCACCATTTCTTAAAATGTCAAACATACACCTACTACAGGATCCAGTCATGGAGTGGAAACTCCTAGGTATTTGTCCAAACAAATGAAAGCATATGTCCATACAATGATGTATTAGTCCATTCTCACACTGCTATAAAGAACTACCTGAGACTGGGTAATTTATGAAGAAAAGAGGTTTAACTGACTCACAGTTCCGCAGGCTGTACAGAAAGCACGGCTGGGAAAGGCCTCAAGAAACCTGCAATCATGGCAGAAGACAAAGGGGAAGCAAGCGCATCTTACCATGGTGGAGCAGGAGAATAAGAGTGAAGGGGGGGAAGTGCTACACACTTTTAAACAACCAGATCTCGTGAAGACTCACTCACTACCACAACAACAGCAAGGTGGAAATCTGTCCCCATGATCCAATCACCTCTCTCCAGGTCCCTTCTCCAACATTGGGAATTACAATTCAACATGAGATTTGGTAGGGACACAGAGCCAAACCATGTCAAACGATTTGTATGCAAATGTCCATACCATCCTTATTTGTAATATTGAAACACTAGCGGAAAAATGTCCACCAACAGGTGAATCCTCACATTAAACACCTGCAACAGAATATGTAGGACTGAACTAATGATATATGCAACATGAATGAATCTCAAAAAAAATACGTTGAGTTAAAAAAAAACTCCAAACAAAAAGAGTACATACTGCATGTGTTGATTTATGTAAAATTCCAGAATATGCATAGCACCTTATAAATGACCTAAAGCAGATCATTCACTGTCTGGGCAAACAGGAAGAATACCAACAGGCATAAGGAAACTTTTTGAAACTAAAGGGTATGTTGCTTATCTTGAATGATTTCATAGGTATATACAGACGTCAAATCTGTTCAAATTGTTTACTTTAAGTGTGATTTTTTAATATGTCAATTATACTTCAATAAATCTGTTAAAAATTCACAGTATACAAAGAACAAATAGAAAAAAGTCAAATCTCGAAGTTAGAATAATAAATGTACACCCAAAAAAAATCATTTATAACCAAAAAAAAAAAAAGATATAAATGAATCACCTTTGAACAACTGCTAATTTACCAACATCTACCTACAACTGGTAATTCAGTCTATAAACAATGCTTCCAAAATCTCATCAGACCTGATGTATGAAACAAATATAGCAAAGAGTAATCTGGACTACTGGACAGATTGATATACAAAATTTGTACCTGCCCCAATTTCTATATGCAAACAATTCTTACTGAAATATGAGTTCAGAATTAAACATTGAAAATTAATCTAATTTTACCAACTGAAACAAAAAGCCTGATTGTGAATAGCCCAATTCTGTTTCACCTCGTTATCCATGTATTTGGCAAGGAAATTTTGTAGTTTCTCTCATCAAGAGGTGGTCCGCCAGGTGCAGTGGCTCATGCCTGTAATCCCAGCACTTTGGGAGGTCAAGGCAGGAGGATCACTTGAAGCCAGAAGTTCAAGCAGCCTGAGCAACACAAGGAGACTCTGCCTCTACAAAAATACAAAAATTAGCCAGGTGTGGTGGTGCATGTCTGTGGTCCTAGCTACTCAAGAGGCCAAGGCAGGAGGATTGCATGAGCCCAGGAGTTTGAGGTTACAGTGAGCTCTGACTGTGCCACTGCATTCCAGCCTGGTCAACAGAGCAAGACCCTGTCTCTTAAAAAATAAAAAGAAAAAAGAAGTAGCATCCTCTCCCTGATCTCTTAAATCTGGGATTGACCTTATAAGAAACACCAGTGGAATCCAGCAGATTTCAGTTTGCCAGTTTTGAGCTTAGGCTTCAAGAGACATTGTATACTTCTGCTCTTTCCTTCAAAACCTTGCCACCACCATGATAACAAGCCAACTCTCATCTGCTTCAGAATGGGAGGGTATCCCAGACGTCACAGCACATCCTAGACCAAACTACAGCCAGCTCAATATAGGCCATCCTAGATCAACCTTATGGCCAGTCAATGCCCAAATATATCAGAGAACCCAGCCAAGAGAAGCAGAGCCACCTTCCTGACCTGCTGCTAAATGCAGATTCATAAATGAGCCCAGTCAAGACCAGAAACGCCACCTGGCTGACTCACAGACTTGTTCTAATCAAAATGTTTATTGATTTAAATCACCAAGTTTCAAAGTAATTTGTTACACAATAATTAGCTAACTGACAGAGCAACTCTATCTTAACAATACCATAATAAGTTTTTCTTAGCCCTAGGAGTTATTTTATATTGACATTTGATTTAGGTCTCTTAACTTTTGAAGACAAGGGGGGAAAAAGGAACAAATCTATTTCATTCTTTTATTAGCAGTAACTCTACAAGACATTCTGTCACAAAATTTTTCAAACTCAGAGACACATAAACTGACCAAAATCATTTTGTAAGTAATGTCACCATTCAATTATAATTTTTTTGTGAAATATTGTTCCTAGACAACTTTACTGGATCCAGCAATACAAGGAAATTTTTCAGGACACTCCAAAATCTATAAAAACTGTTATAGAGCAATCTTCTATTTCTAATATTGCCTCTATTTTTACTAATAGTAACCTTAATTTCCAGATAGGGACACATTCTTACTCAACTATTACAGTGGCCCCAATCCTAGGCACCTGAATGGAAGGATAAACAAGTGACTCTCAGGCTGATCAGATTACCCTGTTCTCCTAGCACAGTAATTTGTTCATGGATGGGACTAAATGGGAGATGTAGAATGCTTCTTAGTACATTTGCAAAAACTATTGGGAAAGTGTCACTTGAATCCTCAGTGGAAACAGTTATGAGAACGATGTAGGTTAGAGCAGCCAGTGGCTATCTTTGCCACACTTCATGGAGAGAACATGTTCAGGGATGAAATTACTATGGAAGAAATCCAAGCCAAAAATAAAGACATCATCCTATAGATACCATATGCACTCATCGATCCTTCAATCCCTAAAATTTAATTAAAGTAATCACAGAATGCTAGAGACCCCACAAGCACACAAAAATTATCTCTGGATAAAGACAGTATCACTGTAGGGCTCTGTATTCAGGCCTGAGAAAACAGCTAGAAATTTAAATGGGAAAAACATGGCAGTCAGAGAACCAGAGGGGTGAAACAAAAATTCTAGGTATAAACTTTGCCCAAATAATTGGATGACTGATAAACCAGTAGGCACAGAGAAGACCTGAAGGGATTGAGGAAAAAGTAGGCAGAAACTAGAAAGAATGATGCTACACTTGAAAATAGCACTGTATTACTGAATCTGTTGCCTTTCAACAGAGTGCATTCCCCAACTATGCAGTGTAGGCAGCAGGAAGCTGCAGCTCTACAAGGTTGAAGTACTAGTGAAGGTTAGAAGCTCTGTAGAACAGCTGGAAATTAGTAAAATTCCGAGAAGCAAGAAAACCACAGGGCAAAATTGGACTACAATCTCCACAAATCTCTGGGTAACAACCAACTTACTCAGACACTGGGAGACCCCCAACAAGCCAAGCCAAAAAAGCAGCAATGGAAAGCTAGAAGAAAACAGAGATGGCCGTGGCTGCATACATCAGGGGAGACCAAGTTTGCAGTCTGGGCCCAGGTAAGTTAACTATCTACCTTAAAAAAAAGACCTGCAACTCTAAGAACATTAACTGAATCATTCATTAAAACATACCATAATGTGCAGTTTCAGGCAAAAAATACATGATATGCAAAGAAAGAGGAAAATGTGACCCAGACTCAGGAAAAAAGAAAAGTAAATCAACAGATACTGATTCTGAGTCTACCTGAATTAATTCAAAGCAGTTATTCTAAGTATGTTATGAAAATTAAAAGAAATTATGTTCAAACAATTGACAGAAACTTAAAAAAAAGAAAAAGCTGAAAAATACAATAACTACAATAAAAAATTCCTCAGATGAGTCAACAGAAGATTAGAGATAGCAGAAGAAAGAATTGGTGAGTTTGAAGACAGGGAAATAAAACTGTCTAATCCAAAGAACAGAAAGTAAAATAACTAAAGAAAAATAAACATATCCTAAGAGACCAGTAGGACACTATTAGGCAGTCCAACATATATGTAAGTCCCAAAAAGAAAGGAATGAGATGAGCATAAAAAATTTTTTGTTGATGAAATAATGGCCAAAACATTTCAAATTCAGTAGAAAATGTTGACTTAACAAATCCAAGAATCTCAACAAACCCAAGCAGAATATACACAAAGAGCCACATATGCATATATATCATAGTCAAGCTGGTGAAAGCCAAAGAGAAACCTTGACAGCAGCCAAAGAAAAATGACTGGTTACATATCAAAAACAACAATACTGTTAATGGTTGACCTATCAGAAAAAATGGAGATACTGAAACAACATCTTCTATATCCAATGATATTATCCTTCAAAAATGAGGTGAAAAAAAGTTATTTTCAGAAAACAAAAATTGGGTTTGTGGCCAGCAGATAAACAACAAGAGTTTTAAAAGGGGAAGGAAAGTAGTAACAACACTAAATCAAAAACATGACATCAGAGGCTCAGAGCCCTCATCAGAACCTGACCATGTTGGCACTCTGATCCCAGACTTCCAATCTCCAGAACTGTGAGAAATAAATTTCTGTTGTTTGTAAGCCACCCAGTCTATAGTACTTGTTACAGTAGCCCAAACTAAGACACAGACACATAAATACTGCACACATTCTTTCCAAAGACACACAAAACATTTATAAAACCTGGCAATACATATATTAAAAGGTACTCAGTCACATTTGGAATCAGGGAAATGCAAAATAAAAATCACTACGAGATAACCCTACATACCCTCTAGAATAACAGAAAATATTTGCCAACTATATACTTAACAAAAGACTCATATCTAAAATAATTTAAAACTCCCAAAACTCAACAGTAGGATATAAGCAAAAATTTCAAAATAAGAACCTTCGAAAATCATCTCCTCCATAAACCCAGCAAGATCACTGGCAAAAACTGTGAAAATCAACATTCTGTGAACTCTGGAAACTAGCCAAAGGCTTGGAGCAATCTAGGAAGAGTGATAGATGGCTGAATCTTATTTGGGAAGACCAGCACACTTTAAGGCATCTTATCTTGCCCTATTCCCATTCTCCCCCACAGTAGCTTTGAAAATTAGCAGCCTGGGGGATCAGGCCCAGTGGCTTATGCCTATAATCCCAACTACTTGAGAGGCTGAGGTGGGAGAAATGCTTGAGTCCAAGTGCTTGGAACCAGTCTGGGCAACATGGTGGTACCCCGTCTCTAAATAATGTTTAAAAATTAGGCATGTTGGCATGCATCTGTAGTCCCAGCTACTCGGGAGGCTGAAGACAAAGGATCAGTTGAGCCCAAGACTTTGAGGCTGCAGTGAGCTATGACCATGCCACTGCACTCCAGCCTGAGCACAGAGCCAGGCCCCACTGCTTTATAACTAAAAACAAAAACCCAACAGCCTGGCAGGCACTAGGAAAGACAGAAGAGGTTTGGAGCTCTTTTAGTACCTCATTCCCAGAGAACTGTCATTATTTAACACATCTGGTGGTCTCCTGGAAGGCTCTACTCGCAAAGCTATCTTAATTTGACCTGACTCAGCACTTACCTAGTATAAAAAGCTTCCCCCAATACCCTAGGACAACCAAAGGACATTTGTCAAAAACAATCAGAGGTAATTGTTTCATATTGCAGCTGGCTGAGGGAGAGAAGAACAGCTGAGGCAAACAATAGACTAAAAGCTTTAAAAAGAAAAGCTGGGGGCTTTGTAAAGCTCCAACATATTCCTGAGACTCTAGAGAGCCACATGTACAGAAAGGGCTGTATACACGCCCAGGAAAGACCTAAGTGCTCACCTCTGGCTAAACCTGAGGCTCTACACAAGCAGGAAGTAAAAAGTAAGGCAGAGTTGTAAACTGCCTGGTTAAGTGTTGAAGGAGCATCCCAACACACACATAACTTCAACAAAAAGATTTATTGCTCCCAGGCATTTAATGAAATCTCTGTCCAATCATTAGCTGACCACTAAGCCAACTGAGCAGAGATTTCAGTGCCCATATGTGACAAAGAATATAGATTTCATAGAATTAGTTTCAAAAAAAAAATCACTAAAATAACAAACAACGCTGGGGCAGAGAGGAGAATCTGATTATCAGAGTTGTGACATTATTTTAAATGTGCAGTATTCAACAAAAAATTACAAGATATTAAAAAAAAAAGGGGAGGGGGGCGGTTCCAAGATGGCCGAAAAGGAACAGCTCCAGTCTACAGCTCCCAGTGTGAGCGATGCAGAACACAGGTGATTTCTGCGTTTCCAATTGAGGTACCGGGTTCATCTCACTGGGGAGTGGTGGACAGTGGGTGCAGCCCACCAAGCATGAGCCGAAGCAGGGCGAGGCATCGCCTCACCCGGGAAGTGCAAGGGGTCAGGGAATTAATTCCCTTTCCAAGCAAAGGGAAGCTGTGACAGACGGCATCTGGAAAATTGGGTCACTCCCACCATAATACTGCGCTTTTCCAATGGTCTTAGCAAACGGCACACCAGGAGATTATATCCCTCGCGTGGCTTGGAGGGTCCCACGCCCATGGAGCCTCGCTCATTGCTAGCACAGCAGTCTGAGATCGAACTGCAAGGCAGCAGCGAGGCTGGGGGAGGGGTGCCCACCATTGCTGAGGCTTGAGTAGGTAAACAAAGCGGCCAGGAAGCTCGAACTGGGGGGAGCCCACCACAGCTCAAGGAGGCCTGCCTGCCTCTGTAGACTCCACCTCTTGGGGCAGGGCACAGCCGAACAAAAGGCAGCAGAAACCTCCACAGACTTAAATGCCCTTGTCTGACAGCTTTGAAGCGAGTAGTGGTTCTCCCAGGACGGAGTCTGAGATCTGAGAATGGAGAGACTGCCTCCTCAAGTGGGTCCCTGATCCCTGAGTAGCCTAACTGGGAGGCACCCACCACTAGGGGCAGACTGACACCTCACACAGCCAGGTACCCCTCTGAGACAAAGCTTCCAGAGAATGATCAGGCAGCAACATTTGCTGTTCAGCAATATTTGCTGCTCTGCAGCCTCCGCTGCTGATACCCAGGCAAACAGGGTCTGGAGTGGACCTCCAGCAAACTCCCAACAGACCTGCAGCTGAGGGTCCTCACTGTTAGAAGGAAAACTAACAAACAGAAAGGACATCCACGCCAAAACCCCATCTCTACGTCATCTACATCATCAAGGACCAAAGGTAGATAAAACCACAAAGATGGGGAAAGAACAGAGCAGAAAAGCTGAAAATTCTAAAAATCAGAGCGCCTCTCCCCCTCCAAAGGAACGCAGCTCCTCGCCAGCAACAGAACAAAGCTGGACAGAGAATGACTTTGACGAGTTGAGAGAAGAAGGCTTCAGACAATCAAACTTCTCTGAGCTAAAGGAGGAAGTTCAAACCCATTGCAAAGAAGCTAAAAACCTTGAAAAAAGACTAGACAAATGGCTAACAGAATAACCAGTGTAGAGAAGTCCTTACATGACCTGATGGAGCTGAAAACCATGGCACGAGAACTACGTGATGAATGCACAAGCTTCAGTAGCCGATCTGATCAACTGGAAGAAAGGGTATCAGTGACTGAAGATCAAATGAATGAAATGAAATGAGAAGTTTAGAGAAAAAAGAGTAAAAAGAAGTGAACAAAGCCTTCAGGAAATATGGGACTATGTGAAAAGACCAAATCTACGCCTGATTGGTGTACCTTAAAGTGACAAGAAGAATGAAACCAAGTAGGAAAACACTCTGCAGGATATTATCCAGGAGAACTTTCCCAACCTAGCAAGGCAGGCCAACATTCAAATTCAGGAAATACAGAGAACACCACAAAGATACTCCTCGAGAAGAGCAACTCCAAGACACATAATTGTCAGATTCACCAAAGTTGAAATGAAGGAAAAATGTTAAGGGCAGCCAGACAGAAAGGTCAGGTTACCCACAAAGGAAAGCCCAACAGACTAACAGTGGATCTCTCGGCAGAAACTCTACAAGCCAGAAGAGAGTGGTGGCAAATATTCAACATTCTTAACAAAAAGAATTTTCAACCCAGAATTTCATAGCCAGCCAAACTAAGCTTCATAAGTGAAGGAGAAATAAAATCCTTTACAGAGAAGCAAATGCTGAGAGATTTGTCACCACCAGGCCTGTCAACAGCTCCTGAAGGAAGCACTAAACATGGAAAGGAACATCCGGTACCAGCCACTGCAAAAACATGCCCAATTGTAAAGACCATCGATGCAAGGAAGAAACTGCATCAACTAATGAGCAAAATAACCAGCTAACATCATAATGACAGGCTCAAACTCGCACATAACAATATTAACCTTAAATGTAAATGGGCTAAATGCTCCAATTAAAAGACACAGACTGGCAAATTGGATAAAGAGTCAAGACCCATCAGTGTGCTGTATTCAGAAGACCCATCTCACGTGCACAGACACAAATAGGCTCAAAATAAAGGGATGGAAGAAGATCTACCAAGCAAATGGAAAACAAAAAAAGGCAGGGGTTGCAATCCTAGTCTCTGATAAAACAGACTTTAAACCAACAAAGATCCAAAGAGACAAAGAAGGCCATTACATAATGGTAAAGGGATCAATTTAACAAGAAGAGCTAACTATCCTAAATATATATGCACCCAATACAGGAGCACCCAGATTCATAAAGCAAGTCCTTAGAGACCTACAAAGAGACTTAGACTCCCACACAATAATAAAGGGAGACTTTAGCACCCCACTGTCAACATTAGACAGATCAACAAGACAGAAAGTTAACAAGGATATCCAGGAATTGAACTCAGCTCTGCATCAAGCGGACCTAACAGACATCTACAGAACTCTCCACCCCAAATCAACAGAATATACATTCTTTTCAACACCACATCGCACTTATTCCAACACTGACCACATAGTTGGAAGTAAAGCACTCCTCAACAAATGTAAAAGAACAGAAATTATAACAAACTGTCTCTCAGACCACAGTGTAATCAAACTAGAACTCAGGATTAAGAAACTCACTCAAAACCGCTCAACTACATGGAAACTGAACAACCTGCTCCTGAATAACTATTGGGTACATAACGAAATGAAGGCAGAAATAAAGATGTTCTTTGAAACCAACGAGAATAAAGACACAACACACCAGAATCTCTGCGACACATTTAAAGCAGTGTGTAGAGGGAAATTTATAGCACTAAATGCCCACAAGAGGAAGCAGGAAAGATCTAAAATTGACACCCTAACATCACAATTAACCAGAAAAGCAAGAGCAAACACATTCAAAAGCTAGCAGAAAGCAAGAAATAACTAAGATCAGAGCAGAACTGAAGGAGATAGAGACACAAAACACCCTTCAAAAAAATCAATGAATCCAGGAGCTGGTTTTTTGAAAAGATCAACACAATAGATAGACCACTAGCAACACTAATAAAGAAGAAAAGAGAGAAGAATCAAATAGACACAATAAAAAATGATAAAGGGGATATCACCACCGATCCCACACAAATACAAACTACCACCAGAGAATACTATAAACACCTCTATGCAAACAAACTAGAAAATCTAGAAGAAATGGATAAATTCCTGGACACATACACCCTCCCAAGACTAAACCAGGAAGAAGGTGAATCCCTGAATAGACCAATAACAGACTCTGAAATTGAGGCAATAATTAATAGCCTACCAACCAAAGAAAGTCCAGGACCAGATGGGTTCACAGCCAAATTCTACCAGAGGTACAAGGAGGAGCTGGTACCATTCCTTCTGAAACTATTCCAATCAATAGGAAAAGAGGGACTCCTCCCTAACTCATTTTATGAGGCCAGCATCATCCTGATACCAAAGCCTGGCAGAGACACAACAAAAAAAGAGAATTTTAGACCAATATCCCTGATGAACATCGATGCAAAAATCCTCAATAAAATACTGGCAAACCGAATCCAGCAGCACATCAAAAAGCTTATCCACCATGATCAAGTGGGCTTCATCCCTGGGATGCAAGGCTGGTTCAACGTACACAAATCAATAAACGTAATCCAGCATATAAACAGAACCAAAGACAAAAACCACATGATTATCTCAATAGATGCAGAAAAGGCCTTCAACAAAATTCAACAGCCCTTCATGCTAGAAACTCTCAATAAATTAGGTATTGATGGGACGTATCTCAAAATAACAAGAGCTATTTATGACAAACCCACAGCCAATATCATACTGAATGGACAAAAACTGGAAGCATTCCCTTTGAAAACTGGCACAAGACAGGGATGCCTTCTCTCACCACTCCTATTCAACATAGTGTTGGAAGTTCTGGCCAGGACAATCAGGCAGGAGAAAGAAATAAGGGGTATTCAGTTAGGAAAAGAAGAAGTCAAATTGTCCCTGTTTGCAGATGACATGATTGTATATTTAGAAAACCTCATCGTCTCTGCCCAAAATCTCCTTAACCTGATAAGCAACTTCAGCAAAGTCTCAGGATACAAAATCAATGTGCAAAAATCACAAGCATTCTTATACACCAATAACAGAGAGCCAAATCATGAGTGAACTCCCATTCACAATTGCTTCAAAGAGAATAAAATACCTAGGAATTCAACTTACAAGGGATCTGAAGGACCTCCTCAAGGAGAACTACAAACCATTGCTCAACGAAATAAAAGAGGACACAAACAAATGGAAGAACATTCCATGCTCATGGATAGGAAGAATCAGTATCGGGAAAATGGCCATACTGCCCAAGGTAATTTATAGATTCAATGCCATCCCCAACAAGCTACCAATGAATTTCTTCACAGAACTGGAAAAAACTACTTTAAAGTTCATATGGAACCAAAAAAGAGCCCGCATCGCCAAGTCAATCCTAAGCCAACAGAACAAAGCTGGAGGCATCACGCTACCTGACTTCAAACTATACTACAAGGCCACAGTAATCAAAACAGCATGGTACTGGTACCAAAACAGAGATATAGACCAATGGAACAGAACAGAGCCCTCAGAAATAATACCACACAGCTACAACCATCTGATCTTTGACAAACCTGAGAAAAACAAGAAATGGGGAAAGGATTCCCTATTTAACAAATGGTGCTGGGAAAACTGGCTAGCCATATGTAGAAAGCTCAAACTGGATCCCTTCCTTACACCTTATATGAAAATTAATTCAAGATGGATTAAACACTTACATGTTAGACCTAAAACCACAAAAACCCTAGAAGAAAACCTAGGCAATACCATTCAGGACACAGGCATGGGTAAAGACTTCATGTCTAAAACACCAAAAGCAATGGCAACAAAAGCCAAAATTGACAAATGGGATCTAATTAAACTAAAGAGCTTCTGCACAGCAAAAGAAACTACCATCAGAGTGAACAGGCAACCTACAGAACGGGAGAAAATTTTTGCAATTTACTCATCTGACAAAGGGCTAATATCCAGAATCTATAATGAACTCAAACAAAGTTACCAGAAAAAAAACAAACAACCCCATTAACAAGTGGGCAAAGGATATGAACAGACACTTCTCAAAAGAAGACATTTATGCAGCCAAAAGACACATGAAAAAATGCTCATCATCACTGGCCATCAGAGAAATGCAAATCAAAACCACAATGAGATACCATCTCACACCAGTTAGAATGGCAATCATTAAAAAGTCAGGAAACAACAGGTGCTGGAGAGGATGTGGAGAAATAGGAATGCTTTTACACTGTTGGTGGGAGTGTAAACTACTTCAACCATTGTGGAAGACAGCGTGGTGATTCCTCAAGGATCTAGAACTAGAAATACCATTTGACCCAGCCATCCCATTACTGGGTATATACCCAAAGGATTATAAATCATGCTGCTATAAAGACACATGCACACGTATGTTTATTGCGGCACTATTCACAATAGCAAAGACTTGGAACCAACCCAAATGTCCATCAATGATAGACTGGATTAAGAAAATGTGGCACATATATACCATGGAATACTATGCAGCCATAAAAAAGGATGAGTTCATGTCCTTTGTAGGGACATGGATGAAGCTGGAAACCATCATTCTCAGCAAACTATTGCAAGGACAAAAAACCAAACACCACCTGTTCTCACTCATAGGTGGGAATTGAACAATGAGAACACTTGGACACAGGAAGGGGAATATCACACACTGGGGCCTGTCGTGGGGTGGGGGCCTGGGGGAGGGATAGCATTAGGAGATATACCTAATGCTAAATGATGAGTTAATAGGTGCAGCACACCATCATGGCACACGTATACATATGTAACAAACCTGCACATTGTGCACATGTACCCTAGAACTTAAAGTATAATAATATCAAAAAAAAATACAAAGAAAAAAAGAAGGAAGTATGGTTCATACACATGGAGAGACAAGCAGTTCACAAAACTGTCCCTGAGGAAACCCAGACATAGGACTGACTAAACAAGACAATGTTTTAAAATCAGCTACTTTAAGCATATTCAAATAACTAAAAGAAACCCATGTCTAAAAAACTAAAAGAAAGTATGAGAATATCAATAAAAGATAAAAAATTATGAGAAAAAAACAAATTGTAGAATTGAAAAGCACAATAACTAAAATGAACAATTTACTAGAAAAGTCAGCAAACCTGAAAATAGATCAACTGAGATTATCCAGTCTGAGGAACAGAAAGAAAAACCAATTTTAAAAATCCATAGGGCCTAAGAAACCTGTGAGACAACATTAAACATCCCATTGTATACCTAATAGGAGTTCTACAAAAGAGGGGAGATAAGAATGAGGCAGAAAGAGCATTTAAAGAAATGTGACTAAAAATTCCCCCAGTTTGATGAAAAGCATTAACCTAAACATCCAAAAAAGCTCAAGGAACTACACAGAGGATAAACCCAGAGAGATCTACACCTTAGACACATCATCATAAAACTGCTGAAAAAGGAAGAGAGAATCCTAAAAGAAGCAAGAAAGAAGCAACTTGTCACAGACAAACAACTTTAGTAACATTAACAACTAATTTTTCATGAGAAACCATGGAGGCCGGATGGCAATGGTGTCAAAGTACTGAAAGAAAAAGACTCGACCATGAATTCTACAACTATTTTTCATAACAGAAGGAGAAATTAAGACATTTACAGATTTAAACAAATACTAAAGAGTGTCCCTCAGGCTGAAATGAAAGAACACTAGATAGCAATCTGAATCCATCTGAAGAAATAAGGAGCATGGTGAAGGTAACCACATAGGTAAATATAAAAGACAGTATAACTGTTTTCTCTTTGTAACTTTTTCTTCTCCTGTCTGATTTAAAAGGTATAAAAGGATGTATGTATGGCAATAACAGCACGAAGGAAGGAGAGGGAATAGAGCTATATAGGAGCAAAATGTTTGTATATTATTAAAATTTACAGTATTAATTTCAACTAGACTAAAATTAAGTTGTTAATTATAATTCCCAGGGCAACCACTACAAAAATGAACTAAAAGTATACAGTACAAAACAAGTGATTTAAGTGATACACTTGAAAATATCTATTTAACACAAAAGGCAGCACTACAGGACTAGAGGAATAACCACCCCAAAAAACAATGAGACACATAGAAAACAAAGAGCAAAATAGCAGATGTAAATTCCACTTTATTGGTAATTATATTAAATGGAAATTAATCAGGCACTCCAAACAAAAAGCACATAGGCAGAAGGGGTAAAAAACATAATCCAACTATAACTGGCTACAAGAGACACACTTGAGATTAAATAGATACAAATAAACTGAAAGTAAAAGATAAAAAAAGTTATACCATGCAGAAAGTAACCAAAAGAGAGTTGATGCAGCTATTCTCACAGCAGAAACAACAGACATTAAGACAAAAAATTGCTACTACAGAGAATGTTTTGTAACAATAAAAAGGTCAATCCATCAAAATTACATGCCACTTATAAACATGTGTACACCTAATAAGAGAACCCCAAAATATATGAAGTAGAAACTGACAGAATTGAAAGGCAGAATATAATTCAAAAATAATAGTTAGAAACCTTAATACTTCACATTCAGTAATGGATAGTATAGATAGAAGATCAAGGAAATAGAAGACTTGAACACTATAAACTCTACAGAATACTCCACCTAACAACAGCAGAGTAAGGAATGTTCTTTAGTATGTACTAGGTGTTAGGCCATCAGACAAGTGTCAATAAATTTTAAAGGAATAAAAATCATAGAGAGTACGTTCTCTGACCACAATGGAATGAAACTAGAAATCAATACCAGAAGGAAATTGGTAAGTTAATATGTGGAAATTAAGCAACAAACATCTATGTAACCAGTAAGCCAAAGAAATTGCATTGCAAATCAGAAAGTATATTGAGAAAAATGAAAACAAAAACACAACATACTAAAACTTATGGGATGAAGTAAACGCAATGCTTACAGGGAAATTTATAGCTATATATGACTACATTAAAAAAAATCTTAAATCCATAACCTAATTTTCTAAGAAATTAGAAAAAGACAAACTAAACTCAAAGCAGACAAAAGAAAAAATTAAATAAAGAACACAGCAGAAATAGAGAACAGAAAAACAGTAGAGAAAAAAAAAATCAATCAACCCAAAAGTTGGTTCTTTGAAAAGAACAAAATTGACAAACCTTTAGCTCAACTAAGAAAAGATTTAGATCACTACAGTGAGGAATGGAAAAGGAGTCATTACTACCAACCTTATATTAATAAAAAGGATTATAAAAGAACACTATGCAACTGTATGCCAACAAATTACATAGTGTAGATGAAATGGACAAATTCCTAGAAAAACCCAAACTGTTGAAACTGACTAAAGATGACATAGGAAATCTGAATAGACCTAAAACAAGTAGAGAGAACTTCCCACAAAGAAAAGCCCAGGACCTAGCCAACCACGGCGGACAGCACCTGTAGTCCTAGCTACTTCAGAGGCTGAGGCAGGAGGATAGATCATTTGAGCCCAGGAGTTCCAGGCTGCAGTGAGCCAAGACTGTGCCATTGCACTCCAGCCTGGGCAACAGAGCAAGACTCTGTCTCATAAAAACAAACAAACAATCCATGACCAGACTGCTTCCCTGGAATCTGGGGAACATTTCAATAATTAACACTATTCCTTCTCAAACTCTTCCAAAAAATAGGAGGGAACACTTCCTAACTCACTCCTATAAGGCCAATATTGCCCTCATACCAAAATCTGACAAAGTTATCCCAAGAAAACTACCAACAAATATCCCTTATGAATTAAACCAAAAAAGTCTTTTTTTTCTCTAAAGACATGCCATCTAGATCCCTTCAACCTCCTATCCCAAGCTGAACTGATTACTCTTCAGACCTCCTGTACAGCCCTATCCTTGAATCTCCCTTCATAATCATCCTAGAAATTCTCTTCACTCTTCTCCTGTAATGCATCCTACTTTCTGGATCCCCCCTCTTTTTAGTTAACCCATCACTTTGATGGAGCCTGTGCCTTCTAGTAAGTTCCTGATATAGTACTTTTGAAGTAAATATTCTAACAACCTCATGTTTCATATTTTTAGCCTCCTCCCACACTTGATAGCTTGGTAAGGTATAGAATGAATAGTTTGGAAATAACTTTCCTTCAGGATTTTGAATGTATTATTCCATTACTGATTACTTTCCAATGCTACCTATTTCTAATCCCTTCTTTGTGCTCCATTCCTGAAAGCTTTCTTGATCTTCCCTTTATTTCTGGTGTCTGAAATTTCACCATGATGTATCTTGATGTGGTTCTTTTTTTTCAGTCACCATGTTGAGCATTCATGAGCCCTTTCACTGTGGAAATTCACATTTCTTGTTCAATTATTCTTAATTTCTTCCATTTTCTCCCATTTTGTTTTTTTTTTTTTTTTTTTTTTTTTTTTGAGACAGTGTCTCGCTCTGTTGCACAGGCTGGAGCACAGTAGCGCCACCTCGGCTCACTGCAACCTCCACCTCCCAGGTTCAAGCGATTTGCTGGGATTACGGGTGCATACCAACATGCCCTGCTAATTTCTGTATTTTTAGCAGAGACAGGGTTTTACCATGTTGGCCAGGCTGTTCTTGAATTCCTGACCTCAGGTGATCCGCCCACCTCGACCACCCAAAGTGCTGGGATTACAGGCGTGAGCCACTGCGCCCAGCAAATTCTTACTTTTCATATGTTGAACGTGCATGCAAGTGTGATCCTCTAGTTTTCTTATTTTCTCCCACTTTACAACTCTTTTTGTCCTCCTCCGTGGGAGTTTTCTCAACTTTATCTTCCAACCCTCTAAGAATTTAATATTCTGAATTTCCAACTCTTCTATGAAGTGTTTCATATTCTAAATTTCTAGAAGCTCTTGTTTTCTGGGCACTGCTTTTTCATAGCATCCTTTCTTGTTTCAAAGATGCAATACCTTTACTTCTGAAGAAATCAGTTAACTTTTTACAAAAACTTGTCTTCTTCTTGAAGTATTTCCATTTCCCTCTTCTCTTTCATATTAAGGTTATCCTCAAATGTTTGGTGATCCTTAATCTCATATTTAAGATTGAGGCACTTAAAAGTTGCCTAGGGATTCTGTCTTAATGAGTAGACATACTGTAGGATTATCAATCTGGGCCACATCTGTTATCAGTTAGATATTTTTCCTGATCTCAGCAGTTTGCTGTCACAGGATGAATCTTTTAATCTCACAGCTAGATGGGGCAAGAACTTGTCAGCCAGTATTCTCAGAACTGGGAGGGAAAAAGAGACTGGGAATAACTCTCAGATCAACATGCAGATTTTTATTTAATTCTCCCTGTTTTCCAGTATGATGCCCTTAACCTGAACTATGCCTACTGTTCTCAAGTACAGAGATCCTCAGGTTGAATGTCAAAGAAGAAAACTTGGATGAGGCAAGAGATCCATTCCTGAAACCATGAGTGTTGCTTACTTGTTATACAGACTTTTAGACAATTCCTTCAGAGGTCCCTGCAGCCACCAATTCCTGAAGCATTCCAGGGCCCTATAGCACCAGTTCTAGACTAATTCTAGGCCTTCTCCACTGACAGCAGAAGGTTCAGCTTTCTCTCATCTACAAACAAATGGAGGTAGGGCTATTCCCAAGAACTCTGGAGCCATACACAGGAATAAAAAAGCAACTACTTAAGCAAGCAATTCAGAGCAGCGTTTTCAGAAAAGCTTCCTATACCACTAGTTCATCAGGATAATCAGAAAACAGTTGATAGTTCTGCTGTCATTCCTTCTCACCCATACTATCATACAGAAACCCCATTTTTCAGAGATGTAGATGAAATCTCTAGGTCCCAGTGATAGTAGGGAGCAACCCACTGTATTTTGCTTTAGCTGATCTGCCTCATCAGATAACTTGGACAAAGTCAAATATACCTCCCGGTTTTACCACATTCCCAAAAACCTCACTATTAACGTCTTTACTTGCTGCAGTTAAATGGTAATAATCGCACAGATGAAGGTGATACATGAATAACCAAGGTTGAAAAGCACAGTAGAAAGACAAAAAATTGACAGCAGGAATAACAGAAGGCTGTGTACCCAAAGCTGGAAAGGACTTCATCAGTACTGACCATCAGAATTAAAAGAAAAGGCTGGTCTCAGCAGCTCACACCTGTAATCACAGCACTTTGGGAGGCCAAAAGGACTGCTTGAGCCCAAGAGTTCAAGACCAGCCTGGGCAACAAAGTGCGACCCCATCTCTACAAAATAATAATCATAATAGAAAGAAAAGAACGGCTTATGAGAGCTTGGGCAATACCTGTTGGAAAGGAGCGAAGGGGAAAGACTTAGTGCCAGCAGAGAACTACTACATACTAAATCCTAAAAGCTTAATATTTCCAAGTTAAGCCTATATTAACTGTGAGAATGTTTAAAATGTAAATGTTATACTAAAACGTGGTATCTTAAAACTCTAAAACTATTAGTTCCCAAGCTTCTGTTCTATTTCCTAACTCTTAAAAAAAAAGAGGATTTAAAAAACTGTATTACTTCTATTTTTCCTGTTTTTCTAATTCTTCTATTTTAAAAATGACCTTTACCCATAATAAACCATAAGGTACACTCAATTTAGGAATTATTAAAAACTCTACATTTTAAGAACATTATTTTCCTATAAAAGCAGAGTATTCCCAAATGTTCCTAAATTTTAAAACAAGTATCTATTTAAAAACAAATATAAATATGTAGTCCACATTGTTAATTTTTATTATTTCCTGTTTTCCTGCCAGCTCCAATACAAATTATAATGTCTCTTAAGCCATGGCTAAAATACAGAATTTTAACTCAAAATTCAGCATACAAGTACAAGCTCTTCTTACCAGTTACCTTAAATATTTTTTACTTAGGAAAACACCATTATAGCATAACTTTATTGGTTTTCAAAGTAAACTTAACAGAAAAAAAAGGCCAAGCCAGTTTTTTTAAGAAAAAGGCATACCTCAATTAGTGCTAGTAAGTCATATGCAAACTCTATCTCCATTTATTTTGAATACCAGAAGATAGTAAAATTCTTTCATTCTTATTTTAGCTCTGCACTACAAACTGAGGAGCCACAATATTTGATTTGACTTATTTAAAACTATGCATCCTTACTCTTAATATACCCTTCCCACTCACAAAGATAATAATCACCAACTGGCCTTCCTCACTTCAATCTCCCTCCAATCACGCTGTATCTGGCTGCTAATCATATTTCTTCATGTAATTCTATTCAATGATCTTCAGTAGAACTCCTTATTTCCAATTTCTAATCCAAACTTCTTTAGATCCCTCCAGCTCATGCCACAATCTTATTACTTTTTATTATATGCATTTAAAATAGACTCTAACCAAGGAAAACGCTTGCATTCCACAATTCTCATGTCTGTGCCTTTTTTTTTTTTTTTTTTTCTGAGACACAGTCTCACTCTGTTGCCCAGGCTGAGTGCAGTGGCACAATCTCAGCTCACCACAACTTCTACCTCCCAGGTTCAAGTGATTCTCCTGCCTCAGCTTCCCGAATAGCTGGGATTGCAGGCACCCACCATCACGCTTGGCTAATTTTTTTTTTTTTTTTTTGTATTTTTAGTAAAGACTGGGTTTCACCATGTTGGCGAGGCTGGTCTCAAACTCCTGACCTCAGGTGCTCCACCTGCCTCAGCATCCCAAAATATCTGTGCTTTTTTAACATGCTCTTCCCCCTAGCTGTTATCTCCTTCCCTTTCCACCAACCTATACACACCACTTCTTCAAAATCTAGGTAAAAAATTATTTTTGTCAAAAAGCTTTATTAATCTTATTACAGATCATTCATTTTATTTTGTCAGCTCAGTAATTTAAATGTTTCATAGTTAAGTACTCTTCAAGCTATATCTTAGATCATGAGCTCTTTGGAGTAGAAGCCATATCTGTGCTCTATGTATATGCAACCCTACCCCTAGTGGAGCATTAGCTGAATTTTGTATGACAACTAACCCAGTTAAATAAAAGTTATGAAAATTGGGGGAAATACAACCAGACAAACAAGACTTTTCTGAATACAAAAAAACTGAAATCTCCCAAAACTAAATTCAAACATAACATTCATTTTTGTCAAAACAACATGTAAACATAGAACACAAACTTGAGTGTATTTTTTTCTACATAGTCAGTTCTGAAAACTATAATTAAGAACATTCTAATTGTTTTATGTTAGTGATTTTCTAAATCTAGCCCCCAAAAGCTGTTATGTGTAAAGTCTCAATATTTTGGAGATAATAATCATATACTTTTTTCAATGTCTAATTTAACCAATTTGCTTTAGCCTTCTATACTTCACAAAAGCTACAATAAGAAAAGTTGACAGGTGAGATTTTATTATTTCTTCAAGACAAATACTGAAATCCCTGGAGCAAGAGTATATTAAATGAACTTATTACAAATTCCAAAAGACAAAACTTCTTTATATAGAGTAAATATTTTCATTTATAAACTCGAGCATTCACAATCCAAATGTTAATGAGAAAGTCTTTTCATACCCATTTCTGCGCAATTTACATATTCATTCTTCAAAACCAGATATACTAGAATGTGAAGATATATTTTTTATTATATACGTTTAACAACATTATAATACCCATTTCAGAAAAAATTCTTTATCTGCAAAGCACCAATTTAATACTGCTATACTACAATAAGGTTTCTACTGCTCAGTATTTACGAAAAATAATGCTACAACTATTAATTCCATTTGGGGGAAAAAAACTGATTCAAGCACTAAAAGTAAAAATCATGATCAACAATTCTATTTCAGTTTTCCATTTATAAAGTCTCCTACATGGGCTTTAACCATTCACACTTGTAAGCAACTGTCCATAAGGTAACATTCTAGTTATATTCTACTTTTCTGTTGAACAGGTAGATGCCTACCTATAAAAAAAAAGTACACCTATTTATTCCTACCTCTAAAATTACAATCAGAAATACCCAAATACCTTAATAAGCAACCTAAAATGCCTAATAGCTAACTGACATAATGCCTGGAAGCTACCATCAAAGAGGCTCCAAAAACCATCTATATAAGGAGGCAATCCACAACTTCCTCCACCTACTTCCTGGCTATATGCCTAGAGAATACTGTAATGACAGCAAGCCAGGCAACTATGTTATCGGTGGAGGCAAATTCAAATCTCTGCATTCTAAACAAAATATCAAGTCATAAAACTAACCTCTAAAGGATTACTATTAATGAACACTAAGAAGCACCTCTCTGATTTTGTCACTGGGGGGAAAAAAGGGCCATAGTACCAAATATCACCTGATTTACCTCCCAATTCATAACAATGCCAAACAAGGACAGAAGAAAAGAGAGATGGATTCAAGCATCAATTCTCACTACCCTTGGGAGGGAGGACAAATATGCCATAAGAAGTTTAGAAACAAAAACTCCAGCCCGGGCAACATGGTAAAACCCTATCTCTACTACCGAAAGAAAAAAAAAAAAAATCAGCCAGGCATGATGGCATGCACCTGTAGTTCCAGGTACTCAGGAAGCTGAAGGAGGAGGATCGCTTGAGCCTGGGAGGTGAAGGCTGCAGTGAGCTGAGATTGCGCCAATGCACTCCAGCTAGGGTGACAGACTGAGACCCTGTCTCAAAAGAAAAAAAAAGGAAGGAAAAGAAAAAGAAACAAGCAAAAACTAATTTATGGTGATAGAGGTTAGAGGTTAAAATAGTGGTTACTTCTGTAGGGAGAAATTAATAGGAGGGAGCACAAGGCACCTTTAATCAGTGAAGAAAAATATTCTACATCTCTATCTGGGTATTTCATTTAAAATAGGCTCTAATCACGGAAAATGCTTGCATTCCACAATTCTCATGTCTGTGCTTTTTTTACATCCTCTTCTCCCCAGGTGTAACCCAGTACCTCCCACTACCTGGGAGTTACCTAGGTATACTTATATGTATAAATTCACTGAGTTGTACTTAAGATTTGTGCACTTCACTGTATGTTATACCTAAAAAAAATACTTAAAAACAAGTAACCAATTAATAGCTAAATCTAAAAACCTTTTCTCAATTCTCATCCTTCTTTATCAATCTCCATCATATTGTTAATCACAGAACATCAATATTCCCTAAATGAAACACTTTCCCTTTTGAAGATCGACTAGGCTTTGTTAGGATGTTTTTTCCAGCATTTTCTGTAGTGTCATATTAATTCTCTCTAAATATTAATTCAATATTTATCTTTTTTCTTTTGTTTTTTGGAGACTGAGTCTCACTCTGTCGCCCAGGTGGGGATGCAGTGGCATGATCTTGGCTTACTGCAACCTCCGCCTCTCATGTTTAAGCAATTCTCCCGCCTCAGCCTCCCAAGTAGGTGGCATTATAGGTGCACACCACCATGCCCAGCTAATTTTTGTATTTTCAGTAGAGACGGGATATTTCATCATATTGGCCAAGCTGGTCTCAAACTCCTGACCTCAGGCGATCTGCCGACCTCAGCCTCCCATAGTGCTGGGACTACAGGCATGAGCCAATGCACCCAGTTAATTCAGTATTTATCAAGTGCTCATGTATGAGACACGAATTAGGCACCCTCCAATATATATTTCCAATCTCTCTCTCACACACACACACACACACACACACACACACATACACACACACACACACATATACACACCCAAACCAAATTCCCTAAACTGGATTCAAGCCACTCTATTACCTGGTATCAAACTGTATTTGCTGTTTTAATTCCTATCACTTCTTTATGGGAATATTCTTCTCAAGCATTTTCTGTTCTCAGCTATCCTTTACGGTTCAGTTCAATTTCTATGTTATTCTTTCCCTATACCCCATAGGACTTACTATCTGTAATTGCACTGTCCAATACAGTAACTTCATGTGGCTACTGAATACCTGAACTCTGGCTAGTCTGAATTGAGATGTGCTTTAAGTATGTAATACTAACAGATTTTGAAGACTTAACATGGTTAAAAAAAGAAAAAATGTAAAATAGTTCAATCATGTTTATATGATGAAATAATAGTATTTAGATACTGGGTTAAATAAAAATCCATTAATAAAATTTCACCTATTTATTTTATTTTTTGATGTGGCTATAGAAAATCTAAAATTGCATTTGTGGCTCAACTTATATTTCTATTGGGCAGTGCTGACCTATACAATCTATTTATAAATGCCCACAAATTACCTTTTTCTTCTTCTTCTTCTTAAACTGATAAATACAAATTGTATATATTTATGGTGTACAACACATTTTGAAATACATATAAATTATGCAATGGTTAAATCTAGCTAATTAACACATGCATTACCTCACATAGTTATATTTTGTGGTGTGAACACTTAAAATGTACTCTCCTAGCAACTTTCAAGTATGCAATATTAACTATAGTTACTATGCCCCACAAATTATCTCTTAACATATAATGTCATCTTCCCGATGAGTGCCAGAATTCAACATTAAGCTTTTTTCTTTTATGAATTAAATATTATATTAGGAATTACTAATAGTAATTAAGTGCCATTTAATTTTAATATCCCTTTAAGATTTTTAACAAGGAAGTGTAAGGCATTTCAAAGTGTTCAAATATTAAAAAAAAGTTGTTTTCAGATAGCTATAAATTATACAATTTTTCATCTATATTTTACTTATATACAATTCTAAGTCAAATGTCCCACCAGCAAGGATAGATAGCATGATTAAACCTGTAGCAATCCAAATCCCATAAAGTATTAGTTCTGATTAAGCCTGATTTTTTTCATCTTAGTCACTCAGTAAAGGGCAGCATCCATTTTGGTCAACATCATTGTACCAATGTCCAGCAGCCAAGACAAAGAGCCTTTATATGGTGGTATGAATAGACAATGAGAGCAATACGACACCACTTGAAATAAGGGGGGGGAGAAAAATGTTTTTATAATGCTAAGTTTTAAAACTAGGAGATGAAACTTACAAATTGTGTAACAACTAGGTAAAAGGATATATATGTAAGAAGAACAGGAAGGTAGAACAGAAAGGTCTCCTCTCTAGACCTTCTCAAGATATACCTAGGTTCAAACTTGGCTACTCCATTATTAAGTGGATGTGTTTCCTCACATGTAAAGTGGGAATATATACATCACAGGATTATTAAAAGAATATAGTAGATGCTTAATTAACGTCATCTGTCTTTAATACTAATAATTATATAATGGTAATAAGATTATGGGTGACTTCCCCTCCCTCACTTTCCAAATTGCTGTATTTTTCAAGCATAAATGAAAAACTTACAATTTCATACTAGTACCCCTCCTCAAATGAACCTAAAATTATTTTTACTAGCTGTCTTTGACAAATTTGCTTATAAGCTTAAAATCCGTGTTTGTGCTAGGAGGAGGTTGGTGGTAGAAAGAAAATTAAAGAGGGGGAACTGATAACTTTAACACCATACCAGCACAGACATATACAAAACAAAGTGTGGAGAGGAAAAGAGCAAAAGGAAATGCTGTTTGGGAAATTCCCAACTCAGACTATCCAATGAAAAGATTATATTCCACCCGCCTCAATCTAGCTACCTACCAGCCACTCCTCACTCTCATCTTGGGTTTATACGTACATTACAAATACGCATAGCCACTCACCTTCTTCTCTCTACTAATAGTCACCACATGGCCTCACAGTCAAAAATTGAAAGGAGAGTGAAGAAATTCAGCATGTTATAACAAAGACAAACCAATGCACTGGCTGGGAAATAACTTCATTAAAATGTACTCATTCCCAAGTGTATCTACTCATCTGCTGACAGTGCTGGGAATGCATTCCTGAAATATTTAACCTGGTTATAAGATTCTGCTGCTAGAATCAGAGAAGGCACACTTTGATGCCTACCTCTCACTTCCTCTATAACAACCTTGTCTTTATCGGCATGGCTTAAAATGGGACATTAGCAAAAGTATACAACTGCAAATCACTCACAGGTGAAAATCTCAAGTTAATGTAGAAAGAATAATTAAACAATGGTAATAATAACTATTATTACTCTAACAGGTAACACTTACTTTACTCAGCATTGTATGCCAGAAAGCTAAGGACTTTACATGAATTATGTAATATCAACCCTAAACCTCTTTGAAGATGGTAATTACTAATTCCACTTGCCTAGTGCTCACACAGCTAAATCTGAACCCTGTCAATTTTACTTCAAGGCTTACACTTTCAAACTTTATCATATCCTGCCTCTTTATATATGCATAATTACAATTGCAATTGTGATTCTATGTGTGTGTGTGTCTGTGTGTAAAGTATTTAGTGAGTCAGTAGCAAACAAAAGGCAATTAATTCCAACTCTGTGAAGCCTTTTACCCACCTTCACAAACCAACAATAAATTGGGAATTACCCCTCTCCTCCCCAATAAATGGTGCTCTGAAAGTACTAGTTTTACAGTCATACATCACTTAAGCATGGATGTACATTCTGAGAGATGCATTCTTAGGCAATTTGGTCACTGTGCAAACATCACAAAGTGTACTCAAACAAACCTAGATGGTAGAGCCTACTTACACACCTAGGCTACTTGGTATAGCCTATTGTTCCTAGGCTACAACATGCTCCTGTAAAGCATGTTATTGTACTGAATACCACACACAACTGTAACATAACTGTTTAGTATTTGTGTATCTAAACATAGAACATAAAATACAGTAAAAATACAGTATTACAATCTTATGGGACCACCATCGTAAATGCAGTCCACTATTGACCAAAGAACATCATTATGCTGCACATGACTGTATTTAATATCTTCCTCAAGAAACTAATGAAAGAGATACTTTTAAGTAAAATATTAATCTTTTCAAAAAATTAGATAAAATAATTGATAGACTACAGGTAAACATGCTTTGTAAAGTGTAAAGAATTTTAATCAACACTTTATTAGGTATTTTTAATTTTCAGTTGTCTATTTGGCTCAAAATATACTTACGTTTCTAGAGTTTGAACAAAGTCTTTTTTATTTGAGACAGGGTCTCACTCTGTCACCCAGGCTAGAGTGCAGTGGCACGGCATCTCTGCTCACTGAAGCCTCTGCCTCCTGGGTTCAAGTGATTCTCCTGCCTCGGCCTCCCAAGTAGCTGGGACTACAGGCACGTGCCACCATGCCCAGCTAATTTTTGTATTTTTGGTAGAGACAGGGTTTCATCATGTTGACCAGGCTGGTCTCAAACTCCTGACCTCAAGTGATCCACCCACCTTGGCCTCCCAAAGTGCTGGGATTACAGGTGTGAGCCTCCACACCCGGCCTATATAAAGTATTTTAAAAGCTGTATTTTCAACTTAAAAAAAAGATACACATACCAAAAGGCTTAACACATAAAATCTGCCTTCATCACTCTAACCCAGCTTCAATTCTACCAAAATCTAGGCTAACAGAATTAAGCTTCAAGGAACAAATCATTTATCTTTATTTTTACTTACAAAATCTCAGTTCAAAGGATTCCAAATGAAATGGGAAGACCACAGCTAGCAGACAGAAGAGGTAGGGCCAAGATTAGTAGGAGAGGGGAAAGAAAATCTCCCAGAAACGCTAATCTTAATCCAGTCTCACTTTCTCCCAACCAAGAGAAGTGTGCACTGCTGCTACTTCTGCCCTGGCAGGCTCCTCCTCCTCTTACTCTTGAAATCCTCTGCTTTTTTCCTCCTGGAAAGTTACTCTCACAGGGCTGTTTTTCTTCCTAACATCTCTCAATTGTCAAAGGATTTCTTATCTTGAAATTAAAAGAATAAAAATATACTAACTTTCCATAATCACATAAGAGTTCCCAGGAAGTTCAAAAAGGATAGTAACTACTGCCAGGTGCGGTGGCTCACGCCTGTAATCCCAGCACTTTGGGAGGCCAAGGCGGGTGAATCACCTGAGGTCAGGAGTTCGAGACCAGCCTGGCCAACATGATGAAACCCCATCTCTACTAAAAATACAAACATTAGCCAGGTGTGGTGGCCGGCGCCCGTAATCCCAGCTACTTGAGAGGCTGAGACAGGAGAATCACTTGAACCTGAGAGGCAGAGGTTGCAGTGAGCCAAGATTGCACCACTGCACCCGCGCCTGGGAAACAGACCGAGACTCCGTCCCCCAACCAAAAAGAAAGAAAAAGAAAGGATAGTAACTCCATGGTTCAACTTGGCAGATCTGCAAAAAAAATTATAATGCAGCAACTAAGGCCTTAGAGACAAGAAAACACCTTTTTCATGGGAACTTCCTCTCCCTGAAGAAAGACAGAATTTAATTTAGAGTCTTACTACCCTCTGGGTCTCCTGTGATCTTCATGTTTGTTTCTTAAGGGGAAGAGGAGAAATCTTTTAGCCAACCAGCAGGGTGAGCTAGTGCTAGCATCAGTTCCATGATTCTCAAATCTCCCAAAACTCAATGGTGTAAACGGCTTGCACTATTAACAGCAGCTATTTATTTCCCTCTAATAAACCTGAATCAAAAACACCACTTCTAGAACTGCTTCAGTCAATGCTATACCTGACAACTTTACTCAATATTTACAGATTCTCCATATACGAAATAGACATTCTCTCTACCAGAAAGATTAATAAGTGTAAATAAAAGCTCATTTGAATATGTATCCATAGTATTACAGTATCCACTCTTCATTCTCGTTTTATTTTACAAGGTTACTAATTTAAAACATTTAGAAAACAGTTTAAAAAATGGTTAAAACAAGTGCTCTATAAAATCAGGGTTAGATAACTCAACATGCCAATTTCTCCATTTGCTGCAAGCTACAATTGTCTTAAGACCTGACTGAAAAGCCTTCCCAAGAATAAGATTCACTTTTCCTTCCAGAATCACATCCTGAGAAAATGGTCTAAATAAGTAACACTAAAAAACAATATTTAGGATGACAGAAAAAAAATGGACCTGACCTTTCTCTAGATTGCAGATATCCCACCACTTCTATTCTCTTTGAAACTTTCTTTTCTCCTCCTGCTACCCATTAACAGTCTCAATTCAACCAAAACACTCTTATAACTTGAATGACAAACTAAAACTGGAAAATGTTTAAGGTTGGCAGGTGACAGACCACTTTATAACTACAAATAACCTGAAAGTGACTCTAATTTTCACAAAATGAAAGTGTAAGTAAATCCACTCACATAATGTTGAAAATTATAAAACAGCTTATCAACTAACAAAAATCAGTAATTTAAAAGCACCTTATATGACCCATAAAAACTTTTAAAACCTTAAAACAATTTAACTTTTTGCTAAATCTGACATTCAAAGAAGTTAAAAATCACTATAGGGTTCCACCATAAATGACTGTCACTACTTGTTCAATTTCCTAACAGACCTTAGAGGTACCACTCAGTAGAAGTAGTAGTCTTAAAAAGTTGTTTTAAAGAAAGGGAACATTCTGAGTGGCACATTCGTTTATCCAACCAAAACACTATTACAAAATGAAAGACACCATTATTTTCAGCATTGATCTCATTTCTTTTCCTACATAATAACTGGCAATAACAGCAGTTATTTCAAACTTTCAAAGAAATTTATCAAGTCCCTGGTTGTTGTTTTTTAATTTTTCAATTTCTGGGTCAAGACTGCATTTGGAAAACCTTAAAATTCAAAAGCAACATTGCTCTGAAACTATCTGATATTTCTGTATTTTGTACCTGATTTTGTTTCACTGAAAGTCACTTTAAAAACCAAGTTAACCACAGAATATGAAAGTTTTTTTGTTTTTTTGTTTTGAGATGTAGTCTTGCTGTGTCACCAGACTGGAGTGCAGTGCCACGATCTCAGCTCTCTGCAACCTCTGCCTTCCGGGTTCAAGTGATTCTCCTGCCTCAGCCTCCCGAGTAGGTGGGACTATAGGCACCACCACGCCCAGGAAATTTTTACATTTTTAGTAGAGACGGGGTTTCACCATGTTAGCCAGGATGGTCTCGATCTCTTGACCTCGTGATCTGCTCGCCTCAGCCTCCCAAAGTGCTGGGATTACAGGCGTGAGCCACCGTGCCAGGCCAATATGAAAGTTTTTAACTTATTGTCACAGAAGTTCTCATGAACCTAACAATATTTAATTAACAAGTATTCTCAATAACATTCCCTTGTTTTTTTAACCATTAGTTGTAGATATTCACCTTCTCATCCCAGCAATATGACAAATACAAACAGCAATGGGTAGAGGCTGAAAGGCAATTTTCCATTATGCCACTAACTTAATCATCTCTGGTCCTCAATATATTGTAAAAGAGGAGGGTAAGAGCAGTTGTTCTTTGATATTGCTTCCACTGTAAAACTTTATGATCCAGGAATACATTTGCTAATGTTAATGCATCTCCTATTCATTAATACAAGACTGTTCTGTATTAGAAGCTAAAAAAAGAGAAAATATATATCTGAAAAGAACAAGGAAATGAAAGTTAACTAATGTTGAAAAATTCAAATTTCAGTTTGAACACAGAGATCTACACAGTGATCTAATGTGTTTAAATATCCCTCCAACCAAGGAATTCTGTTAATTGCCAACACAAAACATTAGGTGTTTCAAAATTTTGTACTTCATGAGTTAATACCAACACAAAGTATGATATAATTGCAGTATAACTTTAATTTGTTAGAAATTGTAAGACTTTTAAAAGCAATACATACCACTGCATTAATACTAATCAAGCTTTATGCTTCACCAATTAAAATGTCTAAGCTAGATTATAGCCTTATTATAAAAACGAGGTTTTTCTTAGCAAGCCTACCAAAATGCAATATTACTGCCATCAAGTTCCCTAGATACTTACACATGCAACTGAAGGCAAACAGCCAGGTTTCCTTTCTTTGAGAAACTTTAGTTGTCTATTTTTTGAAATGTTTTCCTTCTCATGGGACCAAAAAATGTTTACAACTAAAGCAAACTACTGCAGGGAGGGAATACACAATTAAAACAAATCTACCATCCAGATGCAACAAGCGTGGAATTAGGACTGGACAGGATAGTCGGCGGTGTTGTGATACTTCTGTTGAAATTATTAACAAGACAAGACCATCATTCGCCCCCAATTATGTTTATCCCCTCGTTGAGTTTGATGATCACACAAAATCTGAAGTCTAAATATAAACGTTTTTATATTCAAAGTCAATATTCAAGAAAACTTTTCCACTAATGTTGCTAAACCATAGATGGATCCCAACAAGAGTTGTCTGTAGAAGTCTCGTAACAAGTAACCTTTAGCTCCACCACCTAAGTTTCCAATCACTGAGAAGAGTCTGGGACAACTCATCTTCAGGTTCACGGGAGAAGTGGAGCACACCTGCTTTCCTCTGGCAGAGTAACTTCCCAGGGACACAAAGGCCAGAGAATCAGACCTGGAGAGGCAAAAAGCTTTAGCTGGACACCCACCAAGCCCCTGGCAACCCAAACACTTCGAGCGATTTACCTCTTGCTGTTACTTCCCAGGCACCTAGCCGCATAAGATCTTGCAGGACGGGGGGAGGGGAGGGCTATGCGGTCCTGTCCCAAGTAAGGGGAGGGGTGTAGACAGTTAATGCCAGAGCCAGCGTTTCTGGCCACAACCGAGCAGCCTCAACGAGAGGGGTTGGTGACTGCTCTCGGCCCGCCCCGTTACTCAGTGCATTGCAATGGCGACCGCCAGGCTCCCCAAGCCGCCTGATCTCGGCCCCTTCCCCCTACTGCTCACTGGCTGCTCGGCTTCATGTGACTAAACAAAACCCCCAAGTCTAGTGCCCAGCTCAGCCCCTTTGTGTCCGCTACCGGATCCTCCGACGCCGCAGCGGAAAGCCCCCCCCCCATCCCCCCGCCGAGTCCCGCCCCGCGGCGGCGGCCGCCGCTCACCTCAGGCTCCGTGGCCCCCAGCGACCGCCGCGGCCGCCGCCTCCCCGAACCCGGGGCCCGGGCTCCTTGTGTAGCACCAACTCCGCCTCCTCGGCCGCCGCCGCCATCTTAGCCTGTGCGGCAAAATGCGTCCTTTTGGATGGCTGGGACCCAGCCTAGGGCGTAGCTCCCCGGGCCCGAGAGCCGGAGGCCGGGTCCCCCAAGTTCTTCCGCCACCCTCAGTCCCGCCGCTGCCACAGCCCAGAGGCCCGAAACCCACTCGGGTCCCAGCGAATCTGACCAAATAACCCCTGAAACTCACAGTTTGGTGCCGTGTGCGTCAAACCGGGGCGACGTTGGGAGCACGCGGCGTCCCCGCGTCACACGCCGCTCTGTACGCTACTCGGCTCCAGCGGCCCCCCTCCGCTCCCCGCTTTTCGCCTCCAGCCCCGGTTCCCACGGCGCAGGCGCGCTGCTTTCCCGCCTCTGCCGGGCTGCGGGCCGCGGGGGTGGCCAGCGAGGAGCTCCCGGGAAGCTTCGCGCTGGTGGAGCGTCTGGGCCAATTAGACAAACGAGGGCAGCGGAAACAGTGCACCACTGTTCTCGGGTGCCAGAAACCAAACAAGGTCACCTCCCCCAGCGCTGACCTAATCACTCCCAAGGAGGTTCCCGCCCCAAAGTAGGCACGCTCCAAATATGGTGGTGCCCAAACTCTGCAAGACCCAAGCACTAGGCATGCCTAGGCCCTTTAAGGTGGAACAGGCCCAGGTTTGAGTTCCACGATCACGAGCGTGCAAAAATCTCTGTTATTTTCCTCTTGTTGAGGAAAACAGCAATATTTGCCAATCACAACTGTGGAGTAATGGCAGAGGGAAGGTTTTAGGATCTTAAGGGGGCAGATTGTTGGGAGTTGCTTGATGGCCAGGCAAAGCATCAAGTGTGACATCTCAGTTACCCGGACAGCCTGCCCTGAAAGGTGGCCGAGGTTTGCTCCAGTTTGACTCTCTGAGGATACTCTCTCCCTGCATTACTGAAAGTGTCGTGGTTCTACGAATTAAAGTTATATAAGAAGCATGTGAGATGCTGGTTAACCCTTCAGAGAATCAGTCCCTAGAGGGTTCTGGAAATTTTCATTTTTAACAAGACTTCACCACAGGATCCTGGGGCAGAGAAACACTGAGTGGGCTATTCTTTTGTTTTTCGACTGAGCCAACGAGAAACTGCTAACATGTTTAAGATTAACCAAGAGTTCTTGAGAAATCTACTGGTCCCGCCTTAATTATTTGGCTTCTCTGAACCTCTGTTTACTCATTTAAAAATTTAAAAATAAAAAAGTTTTCCTTAGTTGTACAGCTGTCATTACTGTGGCCCTCCAAACCCTCAAGATGTTATTGACATTCGGAAGAATATACCATAACTGCATTTATTTGACAAGAATGAGAAACATTCTCTTTCCTATGGAATGATGCCTTCAGCAACAGCAAACGTAGATTCCAAACAACAAATATTTGACTAAACACATTAATTGCTTCATTACTTAATAGCTAACACTTTTGAGTGCTTACTGTGTACCAGGCATTGTTCTAACTTGCTCGATTTCATTGTAACCCAATGAGACAAAGAGGAGTAAGGTGATTTTCTCGAAGTCATACAGTTCTTTGGGCTCTTTAAAATGCAAATCTCCTGTCTTCATTTACACAAATGTGTAAACAATAAAATATAAATACGTATATATTTGCAGTCAATGGGGGAGGGGTGCTCTTTGGATCATTTCGTTTGCAGAATCCATTAAAATTGGACATTCTCAGTTTACTATTGGACTTACTACAAAATATTATGTACTATGGAAATTCTTACATTATATCACTGTAAAAGCAGTTACTAAGAAAATAACTGTCATTAATGTATACCACTGACTAATGTGCAGACAAATCACACAAGCAAATAGAATCATTCAGAACTCAGCCATGATCAGGAACTTGTCTCACTAATGAAGCTGTTTTTTACACTAGAACTCAGCAACTGAATTGTAATACTGTGGAAGTCATAATAGCAGTAAAAGTAATCATAGTAATTATAATAGTAGAAGTAGTAATAGTTGATGAAACGCTGTACAAAATGGATCTCAAAAGCTTCTATGAATGGCAGAAAATATAATGACAGAAAGCTTGAATAAGGTAATGCGAAAAGAAAAAAAAATACACGTGAGTTCTCTGTCTAGCCGCAGACGTGGGTCTCTGTTCTGCAGGATGGGGTTTGTAAAAGTTATTAAGAATAAGGCCTACTTTAAGAGATATCAAGTGAAATTTAGAAGACGACGAGAGGGTAAAACTGATTACTATGCTCAGAAACACTTGGTGATACAGGATAAAAATGAATACAACATACCCAAATACAGGATGATAGTTCGTGGAACAAACAGAGTATCATTTGTCAGATTGCTTATGCCCGTACAGAGGGGGATATGATAGTCTGCACAGCATATGTACACGAACTGCCAAAATATGGTGTGAAGGTTGACCTGACAAATTATGCTGCAGCGTATTGTACTGGCCTGCTGCTGGACCGCAGGCTTCTCAATAGGTTTGACATGGACAAGATCTATGAAGGCCAAGTGGAGGCAACTGGCGATGACTACAATGTGGTAAGCATTGATGGTCAGCCAGGTGCCTTTACCTGCAATTAGGATGCAGGCCTTGCCAGAACTACTACTGGCAGTAAAGTTTTTGGCACTCTGAAGGGAGCTGTGCATGGGGGCTTGTCTGTCCCTCACAGTACTAAATGATTCCCTGGTTATGATTCTGAAAGCAAGAAATTTAATGCAGAAGTACACAGGAAGCACATCATGGGCCACAATGTTGCAGATTACATGTGCTACTTAATGGAAGAAGATGAAGATGGTTACAAGAAACAGTTCTCTCAATACATGAAGAACAGTGTAACTCCAGACATGATGGAAGAGATGTGTAAGAAAGCTCATGCTGCTATACGAGAGAGTCCAGTCTGTGAAAAGAAGCCCAAGAAAGAAGTTAAAAAGAAGAAGTGGAACCGACCCAAAATGTCCCTTGCTCAGAAGAAAGATTGGGTAGCTCAAAAGAAGGCAAGCTTCCTCAGAGCTCAGGAGCGGGCTGCTGAGAGCTAAACCAAACAATTTTCTATGAGGATTTTTCAGATAAAGACAATAAACTTATGGACAGAAAAAAACATACAGGCAACTGAAAAAATCCAAAGACAAGTTATGTGGCTCAGTGCCAAAATATTTAAGGAAATCACAGTTGAGAATGAAAGTCAAGATGTGGAAAACAGTTTGGGAGAAAATTCATAACACATTGTGAATAAAATGATGCTCCAATGAATACACCTGGTAAATGTTTTAAAGAAATAAAAAGCAAGATGCTGGTTTTTGTTGCTGTTGTTGTTTTTAAACTTTTATTTTAGGTTCAGGAGTACATATGCAGGTTTGTTATATAGGTAAACTCATGTCACTGGGGTTTTGTACAGATTATCTCATGACTCAGGTACTTAGCCTAGTACCCAGTAGTTATTTTTTTCTGATCCTCTCCCTCCTCCCACCATCCACCCTCAGGTGGGCCCTAGTGTGTGTTGTTCCCTCCCTTGTGTCCCTGTGTTCTCATCATTTTGCTCCCACTTATAAGTGAGAACATGCAGCCTTTGGTTTTCTATTCCTGAATTAGTTTGCTAAGAATAATGGCCTCCAGCTCCATCCAAGTTCCTGCAAAGGACATGATCTCATTCTTTTTATGGCTGCATAGTATTCCAAGGTATATATATACCACATTTTCTTTATCCAGTCTACCACTAATGGGCATTTAGGTTAATTCCAAGTCTTGGCTATTGTGAGGGATACTTCAGTGAGCATACACATGCATGTGTCTTTATGGTAGAATGATTTATATTCCTTTGGGTATATACCTAGCAATAGGATTGCTGGGTTGAATGGTAGTTCTGTTTTCAACTCTTTGAGAAATTGCCACACTGCTTTTCACAACAGTTGAACCAATTTACACTCCCACCAACAGCATATTAGTGTTCTCTTTTCTCTGCAACCTCACCAGCATGTTATTTTTTGACTTTTTAATAATGTGGCTACTGTTAATATGTTAAAATCTGACCATATTAACACAGTGTATGAATCCATTAGTGATTACCAGATTATCAGTGAATGGAATTACCTGATAAAAAACATAAAGTGGCCAGGCACGGTGGCTCATGCCTGTAATCCCAGCACTTTGGGAGGCCAAGGCAGGCAGATCACGAGGTCAGGAGATCGAGACCACCCTGGCTAACACAGTGAAACCCTGTCTCTACTAAAAATACAAGAAATTAGCCGGGCGTGGTGGCGGACGCCTGTAGTCCCAGCTACTCAGGAGGCTGAGGCAGGAGAATGGCGTGAACCCGGGGGGCGGAGATTGCAGTGAGCCGAGATCCCGCCACTGTACTCCAGCCTGGGTGACAGAGCAAGACTGCGTCTCAAAAATAAATAAATAAATAAAGTAAGTTGTGGTCTCAAATGACTTGCTCAAAAAGAAAATGCAGTTCAGTGTTGGATAAAAACAAATAATTCTCCTCATTCCAATGCTTTATAATTCCAAGCAAAAAGAAAGAAATGAAACATTAATCTACTAGTAATAAAGTCAAATCAAGTTTGGATTTTGCTCAGTATCCCACTAGTTCTGGATCAACCTCTTAATACCAAAACTGTAAAGCAAGTCACTCTTGTGGAACTGCAAATAGTTCAGTATGTTTGTTCATTGGAGTGGGGGTAGGGAGGATGTGTGGAGTAGAAAGAGAGATGATGTAAACAGAAACCAAGTTTTGTATTTATTTTTGTTCCACGCTGACCTGAGCACAGAGCTTTACACATAGCAGGTATGCGATAAATAATTCCGTTCAGTTCAACCAACATTCGTGGATTGTTTACTCTATGCAAGGTACTGTACTAGGCACTGTCAGAAAAAAATGAATAAGACAGTTCCTTGAAGCTATTCAATAAATACTGTTGAATGAATGCAGTGCTTTTATACTTCAAAGAAAGAGCTAGACAAAAAGGTACAATCAACTCTCAATTTACCAGGGAATGGAGGACATAAGGAATAGATAATAAAGTTCTCCAAATCTCAGTTAAAAACAAAGGCTCATAAAACATAGTACAAAATAGATTTAGTATACACATATTTAATGAAAATTATATCTAATATTCAGAAACACATTTGCTATTCTACTCAGCATATCATTATGCATGCCCCCTGGAGGATGTGAAGGTAAATAGAACACACTCAGCTCTCAAATATTTTGTGGTGGAATGGATCAAAAGTTGCATGTTCATGTGCATGTGCAACTTGCGTGTTAAAGTTGACAAAGAAAGAGATCAGCTCATTGTTCAATTGGTGCTTCACCTAGTGATGATAATGCTGTGGTATCATTTTCCTCTGGAGTTTGGCTCTTAGCTTTGCAGGTTGAGAATCAGTTGAACCAGAGTTGATCAAGCGCAGATAGATGAAATGCGTAAGAGATTAATAAGTAAATCAAACGCTGATATATTAATTTACAGTAAAATTTTTGACTGCCAATCATAATGGAATACCTAAGCAGACTGGTCAGCACATTCCCTCTCTGTAGAGAAGGATGCTAGGAACACCAATTTACTTGCTTGATGAGCATAGAATTAGATGAATATGATCTCAGCAGATGGTATCATGAAACTTTGATAGCAAATTGCACTCTGCCATGATGATGTACCTGTCAAGGGAACTTGGACGGTTTAGTCTGCTTTCACCAGGACAATAACTCTTTTAAGAGTTAAAATCTTTCTTTTAAGATATATAACATACAAACCACAAGAAGATGAAGTATTTATAATCCGTATTTCATCAATTCTATTACTTTTTTTAAAAATGTTGTAACATTTCAAATTGTGTCTTACAATCATAATTTGTAATTACCAGTTTTTTCTTTCGTAGGGGTTCATAAAATAAGGGCACACCTTTCAGTGGTATCTTAGAATCTAGTGGAATGTGATAATTGCATGACTTTTTTTAAACTCCCTTACTTCTGTTTTGGTAAATTGACTTTCATCAACTTAGTAGTTGCCCCACTACATCATTACGTACACAGCCTAAGTTCAAAAACTATGTCAAGCTTTATTTTCCTCAATTCATATTCTGATCAGGCTGTCGTAATTGAGCTAAGTTCCCAAGGGATACAGGACACTGGAGGATAGTTCATCCACAGATGTATTCTTAGCTTCTAAAGTAACCCAGACTTGGCTGTGTGCAGTGGCTCACGCCTGTAATCCCAGCACTGTGGGAGGCCGAGGCGGGCAGAGCACCTGAGGTCAGGAGTTCGAGACCAGCCTGGACAACATGGTGAAACCCTTTCTCTACTAAAATACAAAAATTAGCCAGGTGTGGTAGCAGGCGCCTGTAATCCCAGCTACTCAGGAGGCTGAGGCAGGAGACTCACTTGAACCCGGAAGGTGGAGGTTGCAATGAGCTGAGATTGCACCACTGTACTCCAGCCTGGGCAACAGAGTGAGACTCCATCTCAAAAAATAAAAAATAAAGTAACCCAGATTTCACTGGGTTTTGTCATCCCTTTTTACTGCAGGACGCTTAAAATGCCTGCAAAGTCTCTTAAGGGGGCATTTGTACTTAGGAACAGGTCCTATTAGCTACCTCATTCCCTCTCTGATTTGGCAAGCCATCTGCTGTGGCTACTGATGAGCCTCCTGCTGGAAACAACTGCATTCCACATGGCAGCACCATTTTATTGCCAGGCACCAATATGGCCATAGCTAACAATCTAGAATACATATGGTACTAAGTAACCCATTATTGGAGTCTCTAGTCTAAGCTTTTACTTTTATGGACTGTTTTCTAAATATTTACTTAATATGTGTTGGGCTTTATAATAGTCACTGTAGATACTACAGAGAAAAATCTACAGGGTCACTATGTACAGTTGTGGAGTTTGTACACGGTACAAAGATGACAAGTAGGTGAATGGAGGCTGAAACTCAACCTGTTCCTTACTCACCAGCTCATGCCCCCTAGTGCAGGGCTGAATCCATCTGCAAGAAAGAGTGCCATTTTCTTCTGGCAAGGATACTTCTTATGAAGCAATCCTTGACCCCATGAGTCTGTAACAGCCTGTTTCTAATTCTTCTGCATAGAGAGTTACCTTCCCAATCCCTCTGCCCAGAGAGAATTCCTTCACACAGAGGGAATTGATATGCTACTGGGCCCTAATTACTCAGTCTCTATCTTCAAGGAGCTTACAGTCTAATGGGGGAAAATAAAGAAAAAAACCATTGTGACACATGTGATAAGGGTGGGCTAGAAATAGGCATCCAGTAGGACCTTGGGAACACCAAGAGGGAGTCCTAACCCAGTCTAGTGGACCAGGGAAGGCTTCTGGAGGATGCCTTCTCTGCCTAGAATCATCTTCCCACTCCTTCACCTGGGCTAATTCCTACTCATTCTTCAAGTTTCAGTTAAATATCCCTTTGATTAAGTTCCTTAGTTTTGGATAGCTAATATCAACAATCCTTTGACCAATTTTATAGGTTACCCAAATGTAGGCCAATTTGTGATTATCTATTTATATATACATATATGTAGATTATATATGTAAATATAATTTATATTTAAATGCATATATTTGTATATACATATATATAATCTACATGTATGCATATATAGATAATCACAATATATGCATATATAAATGCAAATATATATACATATAAGACCTGTGTGTATATAATATACATATAAATTATGTATATACAAATATTTATGTATGTATATTTATATATAAATATAATATACATAAGTATGTGTACATATATTTACATATATGCTTTCCTTCTTGGCATATGCCTGCCTATACATTCATTTTTTTATTTTTTATTTTTTTGAGAAGGAGTCTTACTCTGTAGCCCAGGCTGGAGTACAATGGTGCAATCTCACTGCAACCTCCACTTCTTGGGTTCAAGCAATTCTCCTGCCTCAGCCTCGCGAGTAGCTGGGATTACAGGTGAACACCACCATGCCTGGCTAATTTTTGTATTTTTGGTAGAGACGGGGTTTCACCATGTTGGCCAAGCTGGTCTCAAACTCCTGACCTCAAGTGATCCACCTGCCTCGGCCTCCCAAAGTGCTGGGATTACAGGCGTGAGCCACCACGCCCGGCCCCACCTGCATTTTAAGTTAACCATTGTGGGCCTGCCTTGATACTTCAGCAGTCCCAATTAATGTAATTGGCTGATTGGATTCACCTGGGCTTCTGTCAGAGCCACTTTCCGTCACCCTCTTACCTCATACTCAAAAACCACTCAGTGCTTCTTTTGTTATACTTATCTCATGTGTACATAAACCCCACTATAACTGAACAAATAGAATCTAAAAATTCAGTTTCACAAATTACAAGGTCATATTATTATGAGATTAATGAAATGATTGGAGTGATCCCACATAGTTTGCTGGAGAGCACCAAGTGTCTGGCTGTGTGACCAAAATCCATTCTGGTCTCAGCTAGAGTTCGGAGCCGTCTGCTGGTACTTGACTTCTCCAGCTTAAATAAATATACAGGGGATAACTCTAGGCTCTATGACTAGCTGGGAATTACAGAATCGTAGCACTGATTCCAGGAATCTCTGGGCTTCTTGACAGCCATTTGATCTGTCTAATACAGGCAGATTGGGCTGGGAGAATACTGGGAATGCAGAGTCCCACTTCCTGGGTGTGCAGAGGTCCACTTCACCTTGTCTTCCCCTCCAAGATAGGAACTTTAACCCACCACATTGAAAACGGGAACTGGGGAGAGGGCAGGATTAATAGCCAGATGTATTAAAATTGGTTTTGCATTGTCAGGGAACATAATTTCACCATGTTATTTCTACATTATTGTACATGTGGATTTTACTATAATTACTTGTTTAATGACTACCTCCTCCTCTAGACTCTATGCTACGTGAAGATAAGGGCCCTATTAATCTTGTTTCTTACAGTGCAGGGCATTTCTTAGCTCACATTAGTTGCTTAATAAAAATTTGTTAAATTAAATCGATGTCATATCTAAGAGAAGACATAAAATACTTTTTTTTTCCTTTTTTTTTTTTTAAAGATAGCATCTCTCTCTGTTACCCAGGCTGGAGTGCAGTGGCATGATCATGGCTCACTGCAGCTTCGACCTCCCAGGTTCAATCAATCCTCATGACAGCCTCCTGAGTCGCTGGGACTATAGGCACACGCCACCACGCCCAGCTAATTTTTAAATTTTTCTGTAGAGTTGGGGTTTTGCCATGTTGCCCAGGCTGGTCTTGAACTCCTGGGCTACCCACCTAGACCTCCCAAAGTGCTGGGATTACAGGCATGAGCCACTGAGACTAGTGAAGACCTAAAAGACTTTTAAAATCTAGTTGGGGGGAAAGAGTAGGGGTAAAGATATTCTTCGCAGAGGGAAACATGAAAAAAGTATAAGAAGTACAAGAGAGTATGCCATGTTTAGGGAATGGTAAGTAATTCACAAAACCAGAGTATACATGCAAGAAGTGGCAAGAGTAAGTGTGGTAAGAAATGAAACTGGAAAGAGAAGCAGAAGTTGGATTGCTAAGGACAAGGAACTTGGACTTGATCCTAAGGGCAATGGGAAACCATTGAGGGATCTTAAAAGGAAATTAAATGGTAAAATTTGCACTTTAGAAATATATACAATGTATTGAAGAGGTAAAACTGGATGCAGAGAGAAGAGTAGGTTATTTATGCAGCTTGTACCTGCATAATCATAGCACATGTTACAGGAAGCTGCCCTGCCCTCAGCTTGCATGGAGAGGTAGTGCTCAGCAGCCCTGCTTTGCACTCTGCAAAACTGCTCTCCCCAACACTTAGCTACATCTGACTGGACACGGGATGGGCACCTGATCCGAAGGAAACTAATCCATAGGCTGGCAAGTGGTCTATGACATGGCCAGCATGGAAAATAGTAATCAAGATAGTGTGGTATTAACATTAAGATAGGCAAATAGATCAATAAAAGAAAATAGAGGGTCCAGAAATAGACCCACAATTACATGGTCAATTAAATTTCAGCAAAGGTGCAAAGGCAATTCAATAGAGAAGGATAGTCTTTTCAACAAATGATACTGGAAAAATTAAATATCCATATGTAAGAAATTGAAATTTGATTCATATACTAAAATTAACTCAAAATGAATTATAGACCTAATCTAAAACCTAGACCAAAAAAAATTTAGGAGAAAATCTTTGTGAGCTTGGGCTAGGCAAAAATTTTTGAGAAATGACACCAAAAGCACAATTCATGAAAGAAAAAGTTGTTAAAATCAACTTCATTGAAATTTAGAATTTTTGCTCCTTAAAAGACTTAGAGAATGAAAGGACAACCCCAGACTACGAAAAAATATTTGCAAATTACACAACTGATAAGGGACTTGTATCCATAATATATAAAGAATTCTCAAAACACAATAAGTAAATAAATAACCTAATAAAAAATGGACAAACGAATGAACAGGCACTTCACCAAAAAAGATATAATGGTGTAAAAAAAAAAAGCACATGAAAAATACTCATTAGTCATTAGAGAAATGTAAATTAAAACTCCAAATGAGATATCATTACACATCTGAATGAGAATGGCTAAAAATAACAAGACCAACAATACCAAGTGTTGTCAAGGATATATAACAACTAGAACTCTATCACACTGCTTATGGGAATGTAAAATGGTACAACCACTTTAGGAAAAAGCTTGGTAGTTTCTTTAAAAGTTAAAAATACACACCCTATAATGAACATGATTCATCCCTTTTACTGCTAAGTAATTACTCAAGATAAAAGAAATACACATGCACACAAAGACTTGTACAAGAATTTTTATAGCAGCTTTATTGCTAACAGCCAAAAACTGGAAACAACATGAATGCCCATCAGTAGATTAATGTATAAAGCCAGCCTACCTAACAGAATAGTTGCTGTGTGATTATCTTTATATAAAACCCTAGAAAATGCAACTAATCTGCAGTGACAGACAACAAATCAGTGGTTGCCTGTTGTGGAGGAAGAAGAGGCAGGTGTGAGGGTAAGGGTTTTATATTAGGAAATGAGGAAATGTTTGGGGGTGGTATGTTTATTTTCTTGAATGTGGTGATGGATTCATTGGTGTAGATATATGTCAAAACTTATGAAATTGTACACTTTAAATATGTACTGTTTATTGTTACAATATACAATAGTTTGAATAAAATTCTTTAAAGTGTTTTTAAAGAGAGAGCATGGAAGGAGAGAGTTTCTTGTAGTGGTTGAATATGAAGGGTATTCAGAGTACACTTGGACAGAGACAGATAACACTCCTATTTGACATATTTCAACATGGGGTATCAGGCAGATGAAAGATTTCTTTGCTCAAATGCTGTCTATTTTGTTGGTAAGATTGGCAGCAAAGCTTTCTGCACAAATGACCTAAAATAGGTTGGCAGAAGTCTTGAAGAAGGTGGAGTAGGTTTGAAACAGCTGCTGGAGAACCCAGACCCAGAACTCTTGGCATTTGAATAGAGCTGGAGGTTCTGTTGATATTGGGGACCAAGAATCTATGGTAACACTACTTCCATATCATTATGTAATTTTCTATAGCACATGTCAATAGTACAGGCAAAGAGACACAGTCCTGTTTTTCCTCTGAACACATTTCATCTCCCAGAAGTTTCTTTAATCTCCCAGAAGTTTCTTTAATCTCTTGAGCACTCAGATTTCTATGGCATCTGCTCCACCACTTTGTCAGACATGCCAAGATATTTTTCATCCATTCATTCAACAGCTATCTATTGAGGCCCTTTAACTCAGCTGTGAGGCGTCAGGTGGTACTGAATATACAATAGTCCAAATATACATGATCCATGCTTTGAGGCTTACATGTCTGAATATGCAACGTACTCCCACAGGATCTAACACTGATCACTTGCAGACCTCAGAGGACTGTGCATTTCCCAAGCATAGGTCTCCCCGGGACTCATATCAGCCACACATCACTTGACCATTAATAATCAAGGTGGCCTCATTGCAAGTGCCCATTTTCAAGCTTGACCCATCTCAGGTTCCTCCTTTTTATTGTGGATATATATATACACACATATAATTTTTCTTTTCCAAGACAGAGTCTTGCTCTGTTGCCCAGGCTGGAGTGCAGTGGTGTGATCTTGGCTCACTGCAACCTCTGCCTCCCGAGTTCAAGCAATTCTCCTTACTCAGCCTCCCGAGTAGCTGGGACTGCAGCCACGTGCCACCACGCACGGCTAGTTTTTGTATTGTTGTAGAGACGGGGTTTCACCATTTTGGCCAGGCTGGTCTCGAACTCCTGACCTCATCAGCTGCCCATCTCAGCCTCCCAAAATGCTAGGATTACAGGCTTGAGCCACCGCACCCCGCCTACTGTGGATATTAAAAGTTGGGAGAGGTGTGTGGCCAACACTGAATTTGTAGGATCTATAACTAGAGACCTGAGGGCCCAAGGAAATGTTCACAGCTATCTAGTATGCTGTCAGATAACAGGTTTAGGTATTTTCTTTCTTTGAAATTCAATAAATTTTCACAATGACTTTTCATTAAAGATGAATGCTAAATTGCTATCTCACCCACAGTTTGGATAACAGATTATTAGAAAATCTGTACATATTAAGTAATGTATCACTGTTGCATCAAATGGAAGTGTATCTCTTTATCCTCTTTAAAGAGAGATATCAGATACATAATACTCAAATATCTGCAGTTGTGTGTTTACACACACACACACACACACCAGGCAGGGGAAGAGAGAATGTAAAGATAGTAATCACATTTGCTTTGAGGGGAGATAGAAAAGTAAAACTTTCTTTCTACCATTACATCAGTTTTGAGTATACTAGGAAATCCCATATGAAATTATAATTCTAGGATAGAATATTCTGTCTTTTAGGGCACCACCAGAAGAGAATACTAAACAGTAATAAAGAGGAAAAGATAGACATACACATGTTCTTTTCTCTTCTGCTGTTGTTAGCCTAAAAAAATTTAAAATGTGCACGAATGCATAAGGGATATTTATTTTAGTGAAAAGGCGAAAATACCAAATGCCTAAAGGTTGGGAATAGAAATTGATGAGTTTGGCAGTAGGCTTTGGAAATGAGCAGTGATAGCCAATCTGACTAATATGAAAAAAATGTTGCAAAGAAGCACTAGAAACAGAAAAAGCAACAACTTTTTGCATTGTGCATAAAAACGAAATGGTCTTGTAATAGCCCCGGTAGAAGTTTTCTTGTGACAACGAGACTTTCCTAAAAAGGAACAAAATGGAATAAGGAGCATCTGCCTGCAATATCCCTAAAGAGACAAAGTGTTAATCTCTCTATCCCTATAAAGATAGTGAATTTTTTTGTTTGTTTGAGGTGGAGTCTCTCTCTGTCACCCAGGCTGGAGTGCAGTAGTGCAATCTCAGCTCACTGCATCCTCCACCTCCTGTGTTCAAGCAACTCTTCTGCCTCCACCTCCCAAGTAGCTAGGATTACAAGCACCCACCATCAGGCCTGGCTAATTTTTGTATTTTTAGTAGAGACAAGGTTTCACCATGTTGGCCAAGCTTGTCTCGAACTCCTGGCCTCAAGTGGTCCACCCACCTTAGCCTCCCAAAGTGCTGGGATTACAGGTGTGAGCCACCACACCTGGCCAAAAATAGTGAATTTTTTTTTTTGAGACGGAGTTTCGCTCTGCTGTTGCCAGGATGGAGTGCAGTGGTGTGATCTCAGCTCACTGCAACCTCCACCTCCCGGGTTTAAGCGATTCTCCTGCCTCAGCCTCCCGAGTAGCTGGGACTACAGGCACGCACCACCACATCCAGCTAATTTTTGTATTTTTAGTAGAGACGGGGTTTCACCATGTTGGCCAGGATGGTCTGGATCTCTTGACCTCATGATCTGTCGGCCTTGGCCTCCCAAAGTGCTGGGATTAAAGGTGTGAGCCACCGCTCCTGGCCGTGACTTTTTAATAGGAAAAGAAATCGTGTGCCAGATACTTCCCTAAACGAGGTCAATGCACAGATTCTCTATATAGCCATCATAAGTAATCTGGCCAGAAATCCCAGGATAATCATCATCCCTAATTAAATGTAAAGCATACATGGAGCCAAATATCAGTATCGTGCCTGCAAGTATACTTGCCAGGATGAATAGTTGAAATAGTAACAGAAAATAAGAGCAGATTCATGAATCAGCCTCTTAAAAGTGAAGAAGGCGGCAGGGCACGGTGGCTCACGCCTGTAATCCCAGCACTTTGGGAGGCCGAGGCAGGCGGATCACGAGATCAGGAGATCCAGACCACGGTGAAACCCCGTCTCTACTAAAAATACGAAAAAAATTAGCCGTGCACGGTGGCGGGCGCCTGTAGTCCCAGCTACTCGGGAGGCTGAGGCAGGAGAATGGCGTGAACCCGGGAGGCGGAGCTTGCAGTGAACCGAGATCGCGCCACTGCACTCCAGTCTGGGGCGACAGAGGGAGACGCCGTCTCAAAAAAAAAAAAAAAAAAAAAAAAAAAAAAAAAAAAAAGTGAAGAAGGTTTGACGCTGGAATTCTTAATTTCCCCTAGTTTTCGGAAGCTTAACTATTGAGATAAGGAATTGTTAGGCTTATTACTATTATAAGTGTGCTCTCAGTACTTTTTATTTAGATAAATAATTGGAGAATACTTACATAAATAACCCTTAAGACAGACTGCTTTGTGAGTTATCTGTGGTGACTTGTGAAGAATTTCCCCTCTTCCCAAAGGTAACCTACTCTGCCTCCCCTCACCCACCCTTAGGTTTGCTTGTATCTTGAAAGATTGGCCTGCGAGCCTTCAGGCAAACCGTCGTGGAAATCGTTTTTCTCCTGGCATCTATGAGTTTATGATTTCTCTCTGCAAAGTGCCAGAGTACAAGATACCTAAATTGTTGTAAGAGCCAAGTTTGGGATTCCATCACTGACATGCTAATTCAGTCAGCCATTATCTATTGTATGCCTACTGGATCGCAGGAATCACACTGTTTAGGATCCTGGGCACAATGCTATAAACAAAATTGACAAGATCCCTGTCCCTGTGAAGCTTACATTCTATTATCGTGACTGTAGCTCAACACTAAGAGTTGATAAATAAGAAACCACTATGGGCACTTCAAGCAAAGGATTCTTAAGTAATCCTATGAATCAACTGGGCTGGGGAAGGCAGACCCACCCTTAATCTGGTGGGCACAATATAAGAACTGTTAGGAAGGGAAAAATGGAATTAGAGTACTAATCTGAAGAGAGACCTCCTGGTTAGGAAGCCAGAATCTGCTCAGGCAGGCAGGCTTAGGTGAGTGAATGAAGGAAAAATCTATTATTTTGCAGGTAGGGAAGGCAGCACAGTAGGGGCTCTGTCAGACCCAGAATAAAGCATTCTTGGAATGAGAGCAGGCTGTTGCTTATGTGCTATGATTTGAGATGAATTGGGAAAGCTGCCAGTTCAAAAATGTCTCTTCCACAGATGTCTGGAAAATGTGAATGTTTACTTCTCTTGGGAGAGGTGGTGGTTAAAAGCATGGACTTTGGAATCAGGCAGTCTTGTTTGTGAATTGCAGCTCTGCAACTTACTGTGCGACTTTAGAGAAGTTACTTTTCTTTCTGAGCCTCAGCGTCCTCATCTATAAAATGGGGATAATCATACCCCCTCACAGTTTTTTTATAAGACTTTTAAAAAGCTATTATAAATCAAATAGTAGCACAGGTACCCAGAAACAGTAAATATTTAATAAATAACAGAATTCTTAATATTATATATAATGAATGTTCCAACTAACATTCATTGAATTCCCCCTGTGTGCCTGGCACTGTACTGGTCATGATGCAAAAAGGAAGACAGTCTTGAAAACAGCTGACTACAGTAAAATGTGAAAGATGCTCTCGGAGATAGTTATGGAATAAAACTTTGTTTTCTTTTTCTCAAAGCAGAGAAAGGAGGGCGGACTTTTCAGGAAGATGGAATAAAAAAGTCTCAGTAGGTGAGAAATATTTTAGGTGAGCTTCTTCCAAGAAACTAAGATGTAAATAGTAGAAATTGAACATCAATATAAGAGGATACTTCCTCCTAAAGACGCTGTGTTCCTTTGACTTCTGCGGCACAGCACTCTCCCCGTTTCTCTGCAGTTTCTCTCTTAAGTTCTTCCCAGTCTCCTTTGTGGTGTCCTTCACCTCGACTGTTACATGTTGAAATTGCTCAAGACTGCCTGAGGTGTTTTCCTACTCCATATACTCTCCTTAGACATCTCATCTACTACCAAGGGTCCTAGGGTTTCAATTACCACTTAAATGCTAAATCCCAAATTTTTATTTCCATGTCAGATCTCTCATGAACCACTCCTATTTCTGACAGACTCATATTTCCAACTATTTTGTGAATATCTTCATTTGGGTGTCTTAAGAATATTTCAAAATTAAATTGTCCAAAACTAACTAATCTCCTTTCCAAGCCCTTTCTGGTGTTCCCAGTCTCAGTAGTACACCATCCACTCTAGTGCTGTCCAAGTTAAAACCTGGCAGTCATTCCTGACTTCAATCTCTCCCTCAATCATCACATTTAATTAGTCATCAAGTCTATTCCTTCCACATCTTAGACATGAATGTCTCAAGTCTGTTCATTTCCCTATCCTCATTGCCACTACCGTAGTCTACCTGGGCTATGGTAATGTCTCCCCATACTTAGGCCTCTTCTCTCCCATCCAATCCAGTCTTTATACAGCAGCCAGAAAATGCAGCTCTGTCCATGTCAACACTTTGTTTAAAACCCTCCAAAGGCTACTCATTCCCTTTAGGATAAATTCCACATTCTTTCCCAAGCTGTCGCTCTTTCAGCTCCAGTCACTGTGAAACTCTCCTTTCCTGGGATTCACTACACAGGCTATTGCTTATCTCGCAAGTTTCCCCACTTGTTTCCTCTGCCTGAAATGCTTTGCTCTCCTCTTAACCTAACTACTTCTAGTCATGCTTTAATTATCTCTTAAAGAAGATCACTTCCTCAGTGAAACCTTCATAACCCATCACTCTAGGTCTAACCCCCCTCTAATCCCTGTGTTTCAATATTACAGACATTTATCAAGAACCTACCTTGGAGGCGGGGCTCGGTGGCTCATGCCTGTAATCAGAGCACTTTGGGAGGCGAAAGCAGGTGGATTTCTTGAGTCCAGGAGTTGAAGACCAGCCTGGGCAACATAGTGAAACCCCATCTCTACAAAAAATACAACAATTAGTTGGGGATAGTGGTATGTTCCTGTAGTCCCAGCTATTCAGGAGGCAGAGGTGGGAGGATCGCTTGAGCCTGGGAAATCGAGGCTGCAGTGAGCTGTGATCATGCCACTGCACTCCAGACTGGGTAACAGAGTGACATACTGTCTCAAAAAAAAAAAAAAAAGAACCTAATATGGACGAGGTACTGTATCTGGAACTAGGGATATATATTAGTGAAGAAATACAGACATAATGCCTTCCCTCACATAGCTTAGAGCCGAATGGAAGAGACAGAAATTATCAAATAATCACACATGTACCTACAAATTTTAAGTATAAAAAGTGCTATGAAATAGAAGTACATGATGCTTTGAAAGGACTTGGTAGCACAGAAAAGTCATCCCCAAGGAAATGATGATTGACCTAGACCAGAAGGGTGAGCAGGAGTTAATGATGAATTGGAAGAAGGAAATTATTTTCTTTCTTTTTTTTTTTTTTTTTTTTTTGAGATGGAGTCTCGCTCTGTCACCCAGGCTGGAGTGAAGTGGAGCAATCTCGGCTCACTGCAGCCTCCGTCTCCTGGGTTCCAGCCATTCTCCTGCCTCAGCCTCCCAGGTAGCTGGGATTGCAGGCATGCGCCACCACACCTGGCTAATTTTTGTATTTTTAGTAGAGACGAGGTGTCACCATGTTGGCCAGGCTGATCTTGAACTCCTGACCTCAGGTGATCTGCCTGCCTTGGCCTCCCAAAGTGCTGGGCTGAGAGGCATGAGCCACTGTGCCTGGTCAGGTAATTAGTTTCTGTACGGGGACAGCATATTATAGGCCCTGGGTCAGGAAAGATTTAGATGCATTCAAAATCTGATAGAAGACCAGTGTAACTGGATATCAAAAAGCAAGGGCACACTGTGATGTTAATCCTGAATGTCAACTTGATTGGATTGAAGGATGCAAAGTATTGTTCCTGAGTGTGTCTGTGAGAGTGTTGCCAAAGGAGATTAACATTTGAATCAGTGGGCTGGGGAAGGCAGACCCACCCTTAATCTGGTGGGCACAATCTAATCAGCGAATATAGAGCAGGCAGAAAAACATGAAAAGGTGAGACTGGCCTAGCCTCCCAGCCTACATCTTTCTCCCATGCTGGATGCTTCCTGCCCTCGAACATCAGACTCCAAGTTCTTCAGTTTTGAGACTCAGACTGGCTCTCCTTGCTCCTCAAACTTGCAGACAGACTATTGTGGGACCTTGTGATTGTGTAAGTTAATACTTAATAAACTCCTATATATATATATATGCATATATATATATGCATATATATATATGCATATATATACGCATATATATATGCATATATATATGCATATATATATGTGTGTATATATATGCATATATATGTGTGTATATATATGCGTATATATGTGTGTATATATATGTGTATATATGTGTGTATATATGTGTATATATATGTATATATATGTGTATATGTGTGTATCTATATATGTATATATATGTGTGTATATATGTGTGTGTGTGTATATATATGTGTGTGTGTGTGTGTATATATATATATATATATATATCCTATTAGTTCTGTCCCTCTAGGGAACCATGACTAATACAGATTTTGGTGCCAGGAGTGGGGTTCCAGAGAAACAGAATATTAAGGATGGAGTTCTTTCATTGGTTTTGGGGTTTCTGGAGTTAGCTGCTTAATATGGTGAGACCTGAAAATGCTAAGGACTCTACTTCTAATAGTATGGAGAACACTGATAGTCCTTGGCATGAACTGCTTATAGAGTTATGCAAAATAAATGCATTTGACACTCCTGATTCACCGCTCATGAGCAACAAGGAGATTAGTGACTCCATACATAGTACCTTTGATTATATGTGAAGAACCAAGGAACATAATGAAGCTGGTTGGTTACTCCTAAGTTCAGTGGACAAAGTGATGAAAGAAAACGATGAACTCAGGGATTCTGTATCCTTGCTTCAGAGGAAGATACTGAGCCTCAAATCTGCTAAGATTGCCATAAATGAGAGTCTTATCTCCTGTAGAGAAAGAGCTGAAATTGTGGAAAAACAGACGCAAGCTCTTATCATGCGAGTGGCTGACCTGCAATGAAATGTGCATGCACAGCCTCTCCAGGTGTCTACTGTTAAAGTGAGGGCATTGACTGGAAAAGAATGGGACCCTGCAACTTAGAATGGGGGATGTGTGGGAGGACCCTGATGAAGCTGGGGCCACTGAGTTTGTAAACTCTGATGAACCTTTTTTGCCAGAAGGAACAGCTTCGCCATCCCAGTAGTGGCAACATCCCCTTGCTGACCCATGCTGCCATCAGCCTTTCCACTTTGTCTGAGGAGATAAACCTTGCACTGCCTGAGGAAATAGTGATGGCCTCCCCTGAGACAGTTGCCAGACAAAATAATGTTGATTTTCCTCAGGGGCCACCCCCAATACCCCTGTTTGCTTTTAGACCTATGACTAGACTAAAGTGCCTTCAGGCCCCTAGCTCCTAGTAGTGAGGTTCAGAGTGTGACCCACGATGAGGTGCACCACACTCGAAAAAGAACTGCTTGAGTTCTCTAATTCATATAAACAGAAATCTGAAGAACAGGCATGGGATTGGATATTAAGGATATGGGATAATGGTAGAAGGAACAAACAGTTGGATCAGGCTGAATTTATTGATCTGGGCCCACCTAAGTAGGGACTCTGCATTTAATGTTGCAGCTCAGGGAGTTAAAAAAAGGTTCTGGCTAGGCATGGTGGCTTATGCCTGTAATCCCAGCACTTTGGAAGGCCGAGGCAGGTGGATCACCTGAGATCAGGAGTTGGAGAGTAGCCTGACCAATATCATGAAACCCCATCTCTACAAAAAATAAAAAAAATTAGTCAGGCGTGGTGGCATGCACCTGTAGTCCCAGCTACTCGGGAGGCTGAGAGAGGAGAATTGCTTAAACCCAGGAGGTGGGGATTGAAGTGAGCCATCTCAAAGAAAAAAAATTAAAGCACTTATTTGGGCCAGGCACAGTGGCTCATGCCTATAACCCCAGCACTTTGGGAGACTGAGGCAGGTGGATCACCTGAGGTCAGAAGTTCGAGACCAGCCTGGCCAACATGGTGAAACCCCCTCTCTACTAAAAATACAAAAATTAGCTGGGCATGGTGGCAGGCACCTGTAATCCCAGCTACTTGGGAGGCTGAGGCAGGAGAATGGCTGGAACCCGGGAGGTGGAAGTTGCAGTGAGACGAGATCATGCTATGCTACTCTAGCCTGGGCAAAAAGAGTGAAACTCTGTCTCAAAAAAAAAAAAAAGACTCTAATAGCTTATTTGCTTGGTTAGCTGAAATATGGATTAAAAGATGGCCCACTGTGAGACAGCTGGAAATGCCTGATATCCCTTGGTTTAATGTAGAGGAAGGGATCCAAAGGCTTGAGGAGATTGGGATGGTGGAGTGGATTAGTCACTTTATTCCTACTCATTCCAGCTGGAAGGGTCCAGAAGATATACCCTTGACCAATGCCTTGTGAAATAGATTTGTGAGGGCAGCACCTGTATCTTTGAAGAGCCCTGTAATTGCTCTTCTCTGTATGTCAGATCTAACAGTGGGAACCACAGTCACTCAACTATTAAATTTAAATTTAAATTTAAACACAATGGGAATAATTGGATTCTGAGGTGGCACGGGCCAAGTGGCAGCACCCCACCATCAAAGGCAAGGAGGGCGTAGCTACCATAATGGACAGCAGAGGCAAAGCAGCAATCAGAATAGTCTGACTCTTGTAGAGCTCTGTCATTGACTTGAAAGACGCAGGGATGATGATTCCCACCACATCCTTGTTCAACACTCCCATTTGGCCAGTGCAGAAGACAGATGGATCTTGGAGAATGACAGTGGATTATTGTAAGCTTAATCAAGCGATGACCCCAGTTGCAGCTGCTGTACCGGATTTGGTTTGATTGCTTGAGGAAATTAACACATCTCCTGGTACCTGGTGTGCAGCCATTGACTTGGCAAATGCCTTTTTCTCCATTCCTGTCTATAAGGCCCACCAGAAGTAATTTGCCTTCAGCTGGCAAGGCTAGCAATATACCTTTACTGTCCTACCTCAGGGGTATATCAACGCTCAGTCTTTGCGTGGTAATCTTATTAAGAGAGACCTTGATTGCTTTTTGCTTCTGCAAGATATCCACACTGATCCATTACATTGATGACAGCATGCTGATTGGATCCAGTGAGCAAGAAGTAGCTAACACACTGGACTTATTTGTGAGACATTTGCATGCCAGAGAATGGGAAATAAAACTGACTAAAATTCAGGGACCTTCTACCTCAGTAAAATTTCTAGGGGTCCAGTGGTATGGGGCCTGTCAAGATATTCCTTCTAATGTAAAGGATACGTTGCTGCATTTGGCCCCTCCCATAACCAAGAAAGAGGCACAATGCCTACTGGGCCTATTTGGATTTTGGAGGCAACACATTCCTCATTTGGGTGTGTAACTCCAGCCCATTTATCGAATGGCCCAAAAGGCTGCCAGTTTTGAGTGGGTTCCAGAACAGGAGAAGGCTCTGCAACAGGTCCAGGCTGCTGTGCAAGCTGCTCTGCCACTTGGGCCATATGACCCAGCAGATCCAATGGTACCTGAGGTGTCAGTGGCCGATAGGGATGCTGTTTAGAACCTTTGGCGGGCCCCCATAAGTGAATCACACAGAGACCTCTAGGATTTTGGAGGAAGGTTCTGCCATCTTCTGCAGATAACTACTCTCCTTTTGAGAGACAGCTGTTGGCCTGTTACTGGGCTTTGGTGGAAAATGAACCTTTGACTATGGGTCATTAAGTCACCCTGTGAACAGAATTGCCTATCAAGAACTGGGTGCTTTCTGACCCATCTAGCTATAAAGTGGGTTGTGCACAGCAGTATTCCATCATCAAATGGAAGTGGTATATATGTGATTGGGCTCAAGCAAATCCAGAAGGCACAAGTAAGTTACATGAGGAAGTGGCTCAAATGCCCATGGTCCCCTCTCCTGCCACCCCACCTTCTCTTCTCCAGCCTGCATAGATGGCCTCATGGGGAATTCCTTATGGTGAGTTGACAGAGGAAGAGAAGACTAGGGCCTTCTAGTCTAGGAAGGGAAGACATGGTTCACATGGTTCTGCATGATATGCAGGCACCACCCAAAAGTGGACAGCTACAGCACTACAGCCCCTTTCTAGGACATCCCTGAAGGACAGTGGTGAAGGGAAATCTTCCCAGTGGGCAGAGCTTTGAGCAACGTTCCTGGTTGTGCCCTTTGCATGGAAGGAGAAATGGCCAGATATGCAATAATACACTAATTCATGGGCTGTAGTCAATGGTTTGGCTCGATGGTCAGGGACTTGGAAGAAGCACAATTGGAAAATTGGTGACAAAGAAATTTGGGGAAGAGGCATGTGGATGGACCTCTCTGAGTGGTCAAAAACTGTGAAGATATATGTATCCCATGTAAGTGCTCACCAACAGATGACCTCAGCAGAGGAGGATTTTAATAATCAAGTGGATAGGATGACCCGTTCTATGGACACCACACAGCCTCTTTCCCCAACCACTCCTGTCATCACCCAATGGGCCCATGAACAAAGTGACCATGGTGGCAGGGATGGAGATTATACATGGGCTCAGCAACATGGACTTCCACTCACCAAGTCATTCACTTTTGCTAAAGAAGTGTGGCAGTGGGCTCATGCTCATGGAATTCACTGGTCTTATGTTCCCCATCATCCTGAAGCAGCTGGATTGATAGAACGATGGAATGGCCTTTTGAAGTCACAATTAAAATGCCAACTAGGTGACAATACTTTGCAGGGCTGGGGCAAAGTTCTCCAGAAGGCTATGTATGCTCTGAATCAGCATCCAATATATGGTACTGTTTCTCCCATAGCCAGGCTTCATGGGTCCAGGAATCAAGGGGAGGAAGTGGAAGTGGCACCACTCATCATCACCCCTGGTGACCTACTAGCAAAATTTTTGCTTCCTGTTTCCACGACATTACATTCTGCTGGCCTAGGTCTTAGTTCCAGAGGGAGGAACGCTGCCACCAGGAGACACAATAACAATTCCTTTAAACTGGAAGTTAAGATTGCCACCTGGACACTCTGGGCTCCTCCTACCTTTAAGTCAACAGGCTGAGAAGGGAGTTACAGTGTTGGCTGGGGTGATTGACCCAGACTATCAAGATAAATTCAGTCTACTACTCCATAATGGAGTTAAGGAAGTGTATGCATGGAATACTGGAGATCATTAGAGCATCTCTTAGTATTACTATGCCCTGTGATAAAGGTCAATGGGAAACTACAACAGCCCAATCCAGGCAGGACTACAAATGGCCCAGACCCCTCAGGAATGAAGGTTTGAGTCACTCCACCAGGAAAAAAACACTGCCTGCTGAGGTGCTTGCTGAAGGCAAAGGCAATACAGAATGGATAGTAGAAGAAGGTGGTCATCAATACCAGCTAAGATCACGTGACCAGCTGCAGAAACAAGAACTATAATTGTCATGAGTATCTCCTCCTTCTTTTGTTAAAAAGATGGTTGTGCATGTATACATTTGTACTAAGAAAATATCTTCATTTTATTTTCTTTCTGCTTTATCATGTGACATAAGGTGTTGACTTTATATCTGACTTTATTGTTAACTTTATGTAATAGTATTTGGGTTGGGGATTGGTGCGTTCCTGGTTGTGCAAAGATAGTTGTATTATGTTAGGCATAATTGTGACCTTACTATTGTCTTTATTTGAAGATTATGTATGATCTCAGGAGTTGTGTATGGGTTCAAGTTGACAAGGGATGGACTTGTGATGGTTAATACTGAGTGTCAACTTGATTGGATTGAAGGATGCAAAGTATTGTTCCTGGGTGTGTCTGTGAGAGTGTCGCCAAAGGAGATTAACATTTGAATCAGTGGGCTGGGGAAGGCAGACCCACCCTTAATCTGGTAGGCACCATCTAATAAGCTGCCAGCAAACATACAGCAGACAGAAAAACGTGAAAAGACGAGACTGGCCTAGCCTTCCAGCCTACATCATTCTCCTGTGCTGGATGTTTCCTGTCCTCAAACATCGGACTCCAAGTTCTTCAGTTTTGAGACTCGAATTGGCTCTCCTTGCTCCTCAAGCTTGCAGACAGCCTGTTGTTGGACCATGTGATTGTGTAAGTTAATACTTAATAAATATATATATATACACTATTAGTTCTGTCCCTCTAGGGAACCCTGACTAATACATACACCTATAAAATGAGGCTGCAGCAGTAGATGGAGCCAGGCTTTACAAGGCATTGAGGACTATGCAAACAATTTGGGTCTTTATGCTAAGAGCCATGCTTAAGAGAGGAGGTGGAAAAGATGAAAAGAAAAAATATGATCAGATTTGCATTGTGAAAATATCACTGTGGATGATGCATGGAAAAAAGATTGAAAGGAGGTAAAAATTGATGTTTTCGTAGTTAAAATGGTGAGAAGTCTACTGCAGAGGGTTAGGTGAGAGATGATGTTAGCTTGAATCAGGGAAGTGGTAATAGAAAAGGAGAGAAGGTAATGTTGTCAGAGATATTTTGGACATAAAATCAATAGGCTTTAGTATTGCATTGTATTGGGAGGGGATTCCTCTGCTTTCCATGAAGAGAAATTTTCTTTATCTTTTTCTGGCTTCTTGCTCCTTCCATGTGATTAATGACTTTGGGACAGTAACTGAGCTTGAGAGGCTCAGGTCTTCCTGCCTTTTCTTTAGCACTGGCCTGTCTGCCGGGAGCGTGTGCTTTCAGTCTGCATAGAGGCCAGACTTTTTAATGAAGATCCTGTTTTTGTGGGGAGAGGGCTGTAGTATTTTAGTGCCATCAGGGACTGGCTAGGTTAATCTTCCTAAAGCTGGAGTTCAAAGTTAGCAAGCTGATTTTTACCACACACCTAAGTCACATTCTTCATTCTGGACTTTTGTCAGTAGTTAAGCTGGCATAGTGATTCCTATCTTCCTGACTCATAATGTACTTATTAATTTATTTCAATCCTGAATGAGGGTTGGAGGAGGAAAGAGAGAATGAACAATGATGATTCCTGTGTTTCTAGCTTATGAACTGAATGGATTATGGTATCATTTTTTTTCCTTCCTTCTTTCTGTTTTTTTTTTTTTTCTTTTTTGGATGGGGCAGATGAAACTCACAAATTGAATTTGGGAAACGTTGAATTTGAGATAACTATGTGTGGAAATGTCAAGCAGACAATTGTGTATATAGGTCTGAGGCTCAAGGGCTGAAGGTAGAAAACAGAAAATTGGGAGCTGTCAGGATGTAGATCACAACTATGGACATGAATGAGCTCACTCAGGGAGGGCTTCTAGAGAAGGGAAGGGGGCTAGGCCTGAGTGTCAATGAACTACAATATTAAATCATCATTTTGAGGAGGATGAGTATGAGAATGTAGACCAATTTACTGATATTGGAGTAGATACAGAAGTCAGATAGAAAGGGCTTAAAAGATGGATAATGGAGGAAGGGCTGAACTGGGGACCAGGAAATACAGATCATTATAGGGATAATGGTACATAAAAGATATAATGCTTACATTTAGGTAGGCTTACATTTTAGACGTTAACTAGTGAAAACAGGGTTCAGATTTAGTCTCAAGTCTTGTAGTGATTTAATTACTTATTCAATTATGTACTATTTAATTATTATAAATAAATTATTTATTATATATAATGCCTAATTTCCTCTCCAGATAGAGACTCTGTAAGGCTGTCATTTTTTGTTCACTGCTAAATGCCCACGCATAGCAGCACAATTCCTTGAACAAAGTAAGGATCCGGGATCTTTTGACTTCTTAGCTCTATATTAACTGATAAAAAAAAAAGACCTGAGAAAGAGAAGCCTGGGAGCATTTCTTAGGTGAAGCACTAGTTATGGACACAAAGGGAAGGGAGTAGTGGTGAAAAGAAATATGTATTTGTTATTCACTGCATTTCATATGGAAGAAATGCATCCCTTTACTCATTATTATTAGCCAGAAGTCTTTTCCTTTCATGTTATAATTAAGCATTTGATTTTTTTTGATGGAGTTTCACTCTGTCACCCAGGCTGGAGTGCAGTGGTGCAATCTCAGCTCACTACAATCTCCACCCTCTGGGTTCAAATGATTTTCCTGCCTCAGCCTCCCGAGTGGCTGGGATTACAGGCGCCCACCACCATGCTCTGCTAATTTTTGTGTTTTTAGTGGAGACAGAGTTTCACCATGTTGGCCGGACTGGTCTCAAACTCCTGATCTCAAGTGATCCGCCCACCTCAGCCTCCCAAAGTGCTGGGATTACAGGCGTGAGCCACCTAGCCTAGCCAAGCATTGGATTTTATAAAGCCTTTCATCAAATAATTCAAAAAAATCTTCAGGCTCATAAAATTGTTATTTCAACCATGTTAAAATATGTATTAAAACAAGACTAGAAGGGAGTGTGGTAATGTGCTCCTAGCAGCATGAGAGTGATTTTTCCCCTTTAGAAATTTATCTAGTTTCTAAATATTTCAGTTATTCTATTACTATTTTAAATGTGTTTTTAAAAACACTGTGGATATTAATCTTTGTCATTGATTGGATGTTGTAAATATTTTCTCACAGTATGGTACTTTTTAAAACAGTGTTTGTAATTACAATAGTAATGTGTTATTATTATTATTGTTTGTGCAAGAAGGCCCTCAACTGATGCTGATGCTTTACTCTTATACTTCCCAGCCTCCAGAAATGTGAGAAAACAAATTTCTCCTATTTATAAATTAACCCAGAATCGGGTATTCTGTTATAGCAGTACAAATGGACTAACACGGTGTCCTTAGAACAAATACTTTAATTTTTTATGGAGTTAAATTTCTCAATTTTAAACTTCGTCTGTGCTTTTTAAAATCATATCTAAGGAATTGCCTAACTCAAGATCACAAAGATTTTTCCCATTTTCTTCTGAAAGTTCTTTCATTTTTAGTTTCTTACATTTGGGTCTATTGTATATTTTGAGTGAATTTTTGTGTATGGGTGAGATAAGAAACAACTTGTTGTTTTGTTTTGTTTGCATAAAGATGCCAATTATGCCAGCACTGCTTTCTGAAAAAAAAAAAAAATCCTTTTCTACTGATTTAGCTCAGCAACTTTGTCAAAAACAATTAATTAGCCATATATTTATTTTTGGTCTCCCTATTCTGTTTCATTGATCTATATGTTTACCTTTGTGGCAAAATCATATTGTTTTGATTACAGTACCTTTTTTTTTTTTTTTTTGAGACTGAGTCTCACTCTGTCTGGAGGGCAGTCACACTATCTTGGATCACTACAACTTCCACCTCCTGGATTCAAGAGATTCTCCTGCCTTAGCCTGCCGAGTAGCTGGGATTACAGGTGCTAGCCACCACACCCAGCCAATTTTTGTACTTTTAGTAGAGACAGAGTTTCACCATGTTGGCCAGGCTGGTCTTAAACTCCTGACCTCAAGCGATCTGCCCATCTCGGCCTCCCAAAATGCTGGGATTACAGGCGTGAGCCACCGTGCCCAGCTGATCACTGTATCTTTATAGCATGTTTTAAAATAACATATAAAAGTCCTCCAACACAGTCGGCTTGACTACACTGTGTGGAACAAGTTTTAAAGAAGCAAAGGACTCAGAATTCATGCTTGAAGAAATGCAGGCAGACCTGTTATCCTAAACTAGGGTTTTTAATGACCACAGCAAGCAAGCATGCAGTTTACCACTTGAAAGGGTCTTGCCTCACCTAAGCTGGAGTGCAGTGGCCCTTTGAGGCTTACTGTAGCCTCGAACTCCTGGGCTCAAGTGATCCTTAGCCTCCCAATGGTCTTTGTAGACAGCCTGATGGAGTCTCATGGCACAAGAAGATTAAAACAATGTCTCCAATTTTAATAAATTTGTGCAATCCAAAAAAAAAAGTCCTCCAACATTTTTCATCTATTTCAAAATTGTTTTGTCTATTCTAGGTTTTTTGTATTTTTGTATAAAGTTTGGGGTCAGCTTCAATTTCTACCAAAAAAAAGAAAAAGCTGCTGAGATTTTGTTAAGGATTTCATTGAATCTGTTGATCAGTTTGGGGAGAATTGCCTCTTAACAATGTTTACTTTTCTAGTTCTTGAACATGATATTGCTCTCCATTTATTTAAGTGTCTTATGTGCATTTTTATTATGAGGAAAAAAAATCAACAATATGTCTCCCCTTTCCTCCAATCATTTTCTGTTGGTACCATATACTCTTAAATGGGAATGGATTTCTCCTGTAGCTACTTGTTACAGCTGAATTTCAGTGTCCCAGAGGAGGTCTCAGGGAACTGCTCTGAACTATTCAGAACATCCCTGGCACTGGTAGTTTACTGTGGAAGAAAGAAAGTGAGGCATAAGACTTTCGGTTGCAGAGGTCAATAGGTCAAAATCATTCTGTGCTATGCTTCTTTTCTACTTGTTTAGGATACTCGTAAGAAAGGATCATTCAGTTTGTCCATCTCCATCAATACTAAATATATAATCTTATAGAAAATAGTACTTGGTCGGGCGCGGTGGCTCATGCCTGTAATCCCTGCACTTTGGGAAGCCGAGGCAGGTAGATCACTTGAGGTCAGGAGTTCGAGACCAGCCTGGCCAACATGGTGAAACACCGTCTCTACTAAAAATACAAAAATTAGCCAGGCATGGTGGCGTGTACCTGTAATCCCAGCTACTCGGGAGGCTGAGGCAGGAGAATCCCTTGAGCCTGGGAGGTGGAGGTTGCAGTGAGCCAAGATCATGCCACTGAATAAAAGAAGTACTCAAGTATTGAACAGTTTTCAGTTATTAGAAGATTATTTTAAAAATTCTGGAATAATTGTTTTCAACAGCACTTTCAACACATAAAGAATAACAGGTGAAAATATTGCTGTTTTTTAGAGGTTATTGTTTATCTTAAGACTTGCCGCATTTTACTGATAAAGTAAATTATCTTGAGATGGGTATTCTTACCCAAACCAGACAGTTTCTATGCATTAAAGAGTGTCACCCAAATATCAATCCCAGTATAAGTACGTTGTAACTATAATAAATCTACTGGAAGATACTTTAAAATACTGTTATCTGTTAATGTATTGTAAAATATTAGATGTATAAAGTAGCTTTAATAAGTGAAATAGCTACAACAATAAACCTTCCTTCACATGAAGTGAAAAAATTTTTTTTTAATTTTTCTATTTGAGGAAGTGAAATACATTTACACTAAGACAGAGTAAGCAAAAGAAAAAGTGCAAGCAATAGCCTGCAGAAAATAAAATGTAACATTCTGTAGCTCCAATTACAGAACTGCTAATACAAAAGAAATGGCCGGGCGTGGTCGCTCAGGCCTGTAATCCCAGCACTTGGGAGGCCGAGGCAGGTGGATCACCTGAGGTCAGGAGTTCGAGACCAGCCTGGCCAACATGGTGAAACCCCGTCTCTACTAAAAAATACAAAATTAGCCGAGCATGGTGGTGGGTGCCTGTAATCCCAACTACTTGGGAGGCTGAGGCATGAGAATTGCTTGAACCCAGGAGGTGGAGGTTGCAGTGAGCTGAGATCGCACCATTGGACTCCAGCCTGGGCGACAAGAGCAAAACTCTTCAAAAAATAAAAAAAAAAGAAATAAATAAATTAGACACAACAAATATAAATACTTTATAGCTCTTATATTCAATGCTTCATGTTATCAGCTTCTATTACAAAAAAAGAACATAGTTTGTAGTAAAAAAGAAAAAATATAAAGCTAACACAATTGTATTTATGAATCTATAAAATTTCCTCAACTATAAAAGGATACCTTTCAAAAACATCAACAATGATAATGCCACCAATAATAGAACATATTAGAATTCAAATATTCCCACATATTTAATAACCTGTCCAACATTAAAACATTAAAAGGCTTTATTAATAGCCCTATTATAACTACTAATTATAGGTAGAAAATAAATTTTCTAGATAGAAGATAGATGGATAGATAGTTATAAATAGACAAATAGACATAGACATAAACATATGTAACACTTCTAGTATAGATTTTTTTTTACTGTATTTTTGTCTCTCTGAAGGGAACTACAGACCATTTAGTAGGAAAATAAAAATGTTTTGAATGTAGAAATAAATTAATCTGTCTTGATTACTTCATTTCAGAGATCACAGACTTGAGGTGCAAAGAAGTTAAATGACATTCATTCACTGATTGATTCATGCATGCATATGTTTACTGAACAAATAATTTTTGAATATTTACTATGTGCCAAACCCTATGCTAAGAACTGAGAATTCAAGGATAAACCAAAAGCCTTGCAGTACCTAGTCTATGATATTTTGAGCCTAGTGAGAAGAGATACACTTTACCTGCACAAGTAAATTACAACTGTGGGTAAGTACCCAAAAGGTGCTATATGGAGGTGTGCAGAAGAGAAGAAAATGATGTAGTCAGAGAGATCAAGAAACAGTCTGCAAGGTAAAGGCATCTGAGTGGAAGTCTGGAAGTTTCTCTCCTCCTCTGGTCTTCAAGAGTAAGGTGCTGTAGCCCCAGGTAAAGAGCATAGTGTTTGGAATCAGACAATCCTGGTTTGAATTCTACCTCTATTAGTTACTCGTTATGGGATTTAGGGCAAGTTACATAACCTCCTTTAGGCTTAGTTTCCTTTTCCGGAACATGAGAATAAAAATAATCTCCTTTTACTTGTTTTATTATAAGGATGAAGTTAGATGTTTAAAAGTAAATACTCAATAAAAGATTTTTCTTTTCTTAACAAAATTCTTAAGGACAAACAAACAAACCTGTGCCAGTACCTACATGTCTTAATTCGCTAGACAGGCATTACTTTCATATCAAATACAAGAAAGGATTTTACATATCTTATCCACACTTTATGCAAAGAAAGACTTAGGTCTGTTTGTTAGTCTGGAAAGGAGTCAGTACATACAATTAATTTTGTTTTAAAATAATATCCTCTAAATATGTTAAGAACCCTTATAAATAATACTATGTTGAAAATGATCAACATAACCATTTGAGTAATTTTCTAATTATGAATAACTCTTCAACAAAATGTGGAGTTATCTTCAGTGCCTCAGGAAATGTATCATTTTTCCTTCAAACCTGCTCCTTCTTACCCTATCTCACCAAATGACACTACTTGGGAGTCATCCCTGAGTCTTCCTGGCCACAATCCCCACATCTAATCAGTTACCAAATCTGAAAATAAAAATCTATTAAATATTTCTTAGTTCAGCCCTTCCTGATTTGATTTCAGTCCTTCATTGTTATTGACCTAGAGTAGTCACCATATTACTAGTCTTGTCCCCCTTCAATTCTGGTTCAATGACCTCACACAGCCTGCTGAGTAATCCAATAAGAAAATGTGATCACAGAATGTGAAGGTAGAGTACTCCCGCACACACCCCAAAAGGCACCCTAATCTCTGGAGCCTTTGAATATGTTACATTGCATGCCAAAGTAATTACGGTGTTTAATTTTAAGATACAGAAATTATTCTGGGATATCGAAATGGGCCCAGTGTAATCACATGAGTCCTTAAAAACAGAGGACTATCTCTAGCTGAAGTTGGACAGAGATGAAGAGGAAGAAGAGGGATGCAGCAGAAGGAGAAGTCAGAGAGATATCAAGTGAGAGAAGGGCAATATGCTGTTCCTGGCTCTGAGATGGAGGAGTTGGAGTGCAAGTACCAAAAGAGGCTCTAGGAGCTAAGAGCAGCACGCTGTTGGCAGTCAGGGAGAAAACAAGGCCCCAGTCCTATCACCACAGGGAACTGGATTCTGCCCACAACCTGAATAGGCTTGGGAGCAAGTTCTCCCCTAGAGCTCCAGTGAGAAACACAGCCCTGCTGACACGTTTATTTTAGCCCACTGAGACCCACATCAGGCTTCTAACCTGCAGGTGTTGCTTTAAGTGGTGGTAATTTGTTATGGCAACAATAGAAAACTAACACAGAAGGCCTCACAGCTCAAAATTAACCACTGGCTTCAGTCACTCCAGGATAAAATCTGAACTCCTTAGCACAGTATAAAACTCTTATCATTCTCCGTTCCCAACTTACTTATCTATCTTACTTTCTGACATCACCTCCCTCCCACCCCTCTCCACTCGTGTTCTCTTTATATCCCAATTCTCAGAATATGTAGTATTCTCTCACCTGAATGTCAACCTGGCCAATTTGAGTTCATTATTCATGCCCTCACCCAAAAGATACCTTCCCTGTGAAGACTTCATTAACTCTCCCGGACAGTTTTTCTTTCATTTACTCCATAAATATTTATTGAGCACCTACTAGGTGCCAGGTTCTCTTCTAGGTGCTGTGAACAAGATAGTAAAAGTCCAACCTCTCAGGGAGCTTCCATTCCAGTCTGGGGGTTGGAAGGTAAGGGGAGAATAGTGACATTAAACAAATAAGCATTTAATATACATAATTAGGATCATTTCGCATTGTGGTAAGTGCTGTGAAGGAAATGAACAGGGTGACACGATAGAGAGAGTTTTGATGCAGGAGAAGCTACTTTAGGTAGGGTGAAAAAGCTTTGAAGGCAGATCTGTAGGATGGGAATGAGCTGGCCACATAGAAGAGCTGTGGAAAGGGACTTCAGATGGAGGAATCTCCATAAAGGGGTCCTGGAGCTTAGAATGCTCCAAGTCAAGAAAAGATGTTGGAATAGCAGGACAGCAGTGCAGAGGGGACTTGTAGACCAAGCTGAGCCTTACAGGCAGCAGCCAGATGGTGCAGGGCCTTGCAGGCTGTGGGAAAAAGTTAGGATTTTATGCTAAGTGCAAAAATAAGGTTGTGAGCAAGATAGGAAGATGACTTGATTGGCATGGAAGGGTCTCACTCTAGCTGCTCTGTGGAAAGTGGGCTATAGAAGAGTTAGCACAGGAGCAGGAAGGATTGCGACAAGGCTACTCCAGCAGTTCAGAGTGAGAAGGCAGAGGTGGGCTGAGAGTGGTAGCAGCCAAGATGAAGCCAAGCAGACAAACTGGAAGTGAAACCAAGAGCATTTCCTGCTAAATAAAAGATTAGCCAGGAGATAAAACCCATTAGATATTCCTTAGTTTCAGCTTTTTTTCTTGATTTCTTGATTCCTTCCTTTCCTTGGGCTGACTGCAAGGTTTTAGCTCAAGCTACTGGGTGGATGGTGCCATTTATCAAGTGAGGGAAGTCAGAGGGAGGAGCAGGTTTAGGGTGAAAAAATCAAGAGCTCTGTTTATATTGTGTTAAGTTTATGCCTGTTAGACATCAATGAGAAAGTGTCAAGACAGTTTTCTGTATGTGTCTGGAGTAGGAGAGGGGTTGTGCTAGTCAGGGTTCTCTAGAGGGACAGAACTAATAGGATAGATGTATATATAAAGGGGAGTTTATTAAGGAGTATTGATAAACATGATCACAAGGTGAGGTCCCACAATAGACCATCTGCAAGCTGAGGAGCCAGGAAGCGAGTCTGAGTCCCAAAGCTGGAGAACTTGGGAGTCTGATGTTTGAGGGCAGGAAGCATCCAGCCTGGGAGAAAGATGTAGGCTCAGAGGCTAAGCCAGTCTAATCTTTCCACGTTCTTCTGCCTGCTTTTATTTTGGCTGTGCTGGCAACTGATTAGATTGTGCCCACCCAGATTGAGGGTGGATCTGCCTTCCCCAGTCCACTGACTCAGTTAATCTTTGGCAACACTCTCACAGACACACCCAGGATCAATACTTTGCATCGTTCAATCCAATCAAATTGACACCAGTATTAACCATCACAAGTCCACCCCTTGACAACTTGAACCCATACACAACTCCTGAGATCATACGTAATCTTCAAATAAGGACAATAACAAGGTCATAATTACACTTAACGTAATACAACTATCCTTTATATAACCAGAAATGCACCAATCTCCAACCCAAATACTATTACATAAAGTTAACAATACTTAAATGCTAATATGAAGTCTGTAAATCTTATGTCACATGATAAAGGAAAAAGGAAATAAAATGAAAGTATCTTCTTAGTACAAGTGTATACATGCACAGACATGTTCTTAACAAAATATGGAGGAAACACTCATCACAATTTCAGTCCTCGATTCTGCAACTGGTCATGTGGTCATAGCTGGTAGTGACAACTACCTTCCTCTACTATCCATTCTGTATTCCCTTTGCCTTCAGCAAGCACCTCAGCAGTTTGTATTTTTTTTTCCTGGTGGAGTGACTCAAACCTTCATTCCTGAAGGGTCTGGGCCATTTGTAATCCTGCCTGGATTGGGCTGTTTTAGTTTCCCATTGACCTTAATCACAGGGCATGGTAATACTAATGGATGCCCTAAAGGATCTCCTGTATTCCATGTATACTCTTTTTTACCTCCATTGTGGAGTAGTAGACTTGTTTCATCTTCATAGTCCGGGTCAATCACCCCAGCCTATAACTCCCTTCTTAGCCTGCTGACCTAAAGGTAGGAGGAGCCCAAAGTTGCCAGGTGGCAATCTTAACTTCTAGTTTAATGGGATTGTTGTGTGTCCTGGTGGCAGCGTTCCTCCCTCTGGAACTAAGACCTCCAGGCCAGCAGAACATAATGTCATGGGAACAGGAAGCAAGAATTTTGCTTGTGGGTCACCAGGGGTGATGGTGAGTGGTGCCACCTCCACTTCCATACCTTGATTCCTAGACCCATGAATCGTGGCTATGGGAGAAACAGTACCATATATTAGATGCTGATTCAGAGCATACATGGGCTTCTGGAGAACTTTGCCCCAGCCCTGCAAAGTATTGTCACCTAGTTGGCATTGTAATTGTGACTTCAAAAGGCCATTCCACCCCTCTATCAACCCAGCTGCTTCAGGATAATCAGCAACATGGTAAGACCAGTGAATTCCATGAGCATGAGCCCACTGCCATACTTCTTTAGCCATAAAGTGAGTGCGTTGGTCAGAGGCAATGCTGTGTGGAATAGGGGTCAAGGTTAGAAATGTGAAACCTCATCAGCACATAAGTGGTGTTAGACATAAATGCTCTTTTTACGTTTTTTTTGTTTGTTTTTCTTTTGAGATGAGTCTTGCTCTGTTGCCCAGGCTGGAGTGCAATGGCGCAATCTCGGCTCACTGCAACCTCTGCCTCCTGTGTTCAAGGGATTCTCCTGCTTCAGCCTCCCAAGTAGCTGGGATTACAGGTGCGTGCCACCACACCCAGCTAATTTTTGTATTTTCAGTAGATACAGGGTTTCACCGTTTTGGCCAGGCTGGTCTCAAACTCCTGACCTCAGGTGATCCACCCGCCTTGGCCTCGCAAAGTGCTGGGATTACAGGCGTGAGCCACCGCACCGCCCTCTTTTCATGTCCTTACTGTACTTTGTAGAGACCTTCAATTCAGTATTATCATACTGTCTCGTAATTGAACCTTGCATGACTAACTTCCCACTAGATTTGTAAGCCTTTGAGGCAAGAATTGTGTTGTGTATTTATCCTCCCTGATTTATACCCAGTGCCTGTTATATGGTAATGCTCAGTAAATAATTGTTGAAAAATAACAATAGCAACCAGCATATGTTCAGAAGTTCCAATGCATTAAATTGTGAAGTATGATCCTATTTCTAACTATATATATATGTGCGTGTGTGTATATGTACATACACACACGCACATATATACTTACATATATGCATATAAAAAGGTCTAGAAGGCATACACCAACTCTCATCAATGGTTGCCCCTGGGGAGTAGGACCAGTTGGATGAGAGAGGTTCACTTTGTACTTTCTATTGTTTAAATTTTTTCAGAGAGCAGTTCATCTTTTTTTGTACAACATTTATAATTTTTTAAACCAATGAAAATAAATAAAAGGAAATAAAAAATAAAACCAAAGCATTCTTTCCTTGTCAAAGGAGGAAAACTTTGATATTCCACTTCGTGTAACAAAGGAACACGGAAAGCAGAAACAGATGTCCCTCATTCAAGCATAGAGAAGGAAGTGAAAATAGGAGAACTGTTTAAGAAGGTTAAAAACAAGTCATCTCTCAGAATCTAATCTGCACAAGCACATATGGCTGCCACTGGTTTTTTGAAAAATAATTTTATAAATGTAAAGAAACAGAAATAACTTGTTCATTTAACCACTATGAACAAAAAATACATTTGATAGCTATGAATATTTTGCCAAATAGAAAGTGTCCAAGAAAAGACAAAGGAAGCAAAATAATGCACAACATTTCTCAGCTAGATCAATATTATATGTGATTAAGATGAGAAACCTTTTAGAGTGAACACATGAAATTGCCAATTTTCTAAGTCAAAAATACGGGAAAGTCAGTAGTTTTATATGGTTCAACCAAACACATAGAAGAGTTTCTACATTGTATAAGCTTTTTTGAGAAAATAGCAAAAGTAAAAAAATAAATAAAGCTCAAGTTTTGTTTGTTATTACTGTTTTACATCCCACAAAGCTTTATGAGATAAATCTGAGACCCCCACTTTATTTTTCAGACAGGAAAACTCATTTTTTTCTTAATAAATTACAAGTATAAAGGTTAATATTTCATAGGGTCATTTAGATATTCTTTGTGCCTAATTAGTGTTCAAAGCAGAAAAGAAGAAAACAACTCAAAAATTTATCTTTCATGAAATATTGGTGTTCAAACAATGAGGAGATAAAATTTAGAGAAAGTTTTTCCACTGACAGCTAAATTTGAAACAATCTCTAGACAAAGGGAAATCATCGCAGCACAGATTGTTCCAAATCTAAATCCATTTTTTAAAAGCAAAGGAAAACAAAGACTTACTTAGCTGTGCACAAATGGATTAAGTCTCAACAGCATAACCTATAGATAGCCGGTTCAGAGTGAAAAATATGAAACAATAATGAAATAAAATAAAAGTAGAGAAAAGAATTTTTCTATAAATTGGGATCCTTAATTTATTCATCAAAATATGCAATTCCACCTAGAAACTCATTGTTAAATAGTAAAACTCATTGTTAAATAGTAAAACCCTCAAAAAAGAGAAAAACTTCAAAAACAGATTAGTTTGTTTAATCAAAGCTAAGACTCCATGTACAAGAAATTTCTATATTTCAAAGCACAAATCCACAACTGTTGTCCCTGTCATAATATCAGAATAATGTCATCACCAAAGACTCTATCCTAATAGAATATACTTTTAATTGCAAATAATAGATACATACTCAAAATAGCTAAAACAATAGGAAAAGAAAAAGAGAAAGAATGAAAGGGAGAAGGAATGAAGAAAGGAGGGAGGAAGGAGGAGAAAAGGTAGACGGAGGTTTTCTAACACTGTAGGGCTATCTCAGGAAGCTGGTGAGTCAAATGTATCCTTGAACTTCATGATGAACGGGGAACCTAGAAAGAACTCAAAGCCATGTGCTCTACCCACTTCTTTCTCTTCAGGAGAACATGCTCTCTCATCTCTTTCTTTGCACATTCATTCTTTTCTTTCTGCAGACCACTTTTCTCTGTTTTTTCATAAGTATGGCAAGAGATTATTACCTGACTTTAGGTGCTAAGTAAGACTGATTAGCATTCACATCTCTGAATGTAAAATTCCAAATTCCTAGCAAGAACTAATCCAATTAGTGTAGCTTGGTGTATTTATTCCTCATTCAGTCAATGTGGATGAAATCTCATAGACTAAAATATGTCTGCTCCCGTGAGTGGGAGGGTAAGATATAGATGTGTGTGGGTGAAGGAGGGAGTTGTGGACTGGTGAAACACTCCCTAAACTCCCTAATACATACCCTGATCCTAAAATTCTGTCTGCACTTCCAGGCTGACAATAGTCACATCTACAAAATATTCTGAAATAAGTGTATGTGCCCTTAATCCAGTCCATATTTGTAATATTTGTATTACTCGTCCATATTACAAATATATTCACCAAAAAAAAGTTAGTATTGAAAACTAGGAATGCTGTAAATTTTATAACAAATTAATCTGATTTTTTTTTCTTTCAGACAGGTTCTCACTCTGTCACACCTCAGCCTCCCAAGTAGCTGGGACTACAATCACATGCCCCCACACTCAGCTAATTTTTGTGTATTTTGTAGAGAGAGGGTTATGCCATGTTTGCCCATGTTGGTCTTGAACTACTGGGCTCAAGTGATCCTCCCGCCTCAGCCTCCCAAAGTGCTGGGGCTACAGGTGTGAGCCACCACACCCAGCCTGAATTTTTTGTTTTTCCAACAAATCAATGTGGTAGGCTAAACAATGGCTCCCAAAGATATCCACACCTTAATCCCCCAAACCTGTGAATGCTACCTTATATGGAACTTTGCAGGTGTGACGAAATTAAGGACCTGGGGATGGGACAATTATCCATGTAGCACCTAAATGTCATAATCATAAGTGTTCTTACAAGAAGGAGAGAGCAAGAGATTATACTACACAGAGGAGCAGGCCATGTGATGCTGGCAGCAGCAATTGGAGTGATGCACCTGGGAGAGGAGGAAGGGGTCACAAGCCAAGGAACATGGGAGCCATTAGAAGCTAAAAACATCAAGGAAACGGATTTTCTGTTGGAGGCTCCAGAAGGAATCGGCACTGCCAATACCTTGATTTAGGTCCAGTGAAACTGATTTTGGACTTCTGACCTCAAGAATTATAAAAGAGGCCCAGGCAGGTAGATCACTTGAGGTCAGGAGTTCGAGACCAGCCTGGCCAATATGGTGAAACCCCGTCTCTACTAAAAATACAAAAATTAACCAGGCATGGTGGCAAGCACCTGTTAATCCTTGCTACTCAGGAGGCTGAGGCAAGAGAATCACTTGAACCCAGGAGGCAGAAGTTGCAGTGAGCCAAGATTGCGCCACTGCACTCCAGCCTGGGTGACAGAGCAAGATTCCATTTTTTTTTTTAAATAAAGATGAAAACAGATACTGATACACAGTTTCCTTTCCTTTAATACAGGATAGCTTTTCTTTTGATAAAATTTAATATTATGTCCTTTATGTTATAAAGCTCTTTGTTTGTTTGTATCTGAAGCATTAGTTGTGTGCAGACTTTACCATACATTTTCTTGTCTAATCTCCTTTTGATGACAACACTCATTCATTGATGTATTCAAAAAATGCATACTAAACACTTATTCTGTGCTAAGCATTCAATTAACAAATATTTATGGAATATCACGTATGTGGTGTGCTTCATGTTGGGACACTATGGATGAATGGCAGGAATGGTCCATGCCCTCATGGAGCTTATAGTCTAGCAGGGAAGAAAGAGAGTTAAACCAATGATTATCATAAAGTATAAGGCATGTTATGATTTGGAGAAGTACAGGATATTATGAACATGTATAATGGGCAACTCACTTAGCTTGGGACAGGAAGGGAAGGCCTCTCAATGGAGATTATAATTGAGTTGAGATCTGATTTGAGACCTAAGAATGCAGGGATGAAATCACAGCCCCTGTCCTCAGGAAGCTTACAGTTTAGTAGGAATCTAAGCTGTATAAACTAACACCCTCAACACGACATGATAAAAACTACAAAGGTGGAGTATACAAGGCACAGCACAGAAGAAAAAGGCCCTGATCATATCTGTGTTGGGGTGGGGCATCAGAAAAGATCTGGTTTTCGAATGGTGTCTCAAAGGAAGTGCAAACCTTAGGTGGTCAAGTGCATGAAGGCCTGTCTGAGGCTGAGGGTGCACTGTGGCACTGCAGAGCATGTTGTTGAGCTGTGCTGTCTAATATGCAGGGATTCACCATATGTAGCTATTGATCCATGAAAATGTTCACACATACACAAAGTTGAAAGAATATTTTGGTGAATACCCATACACTGCTTCCCAGATCTTACCATCAATATTTCTATGCTATTTTATTACATATCTATCCAAATTTTCAAATATTAAAAAGAAAGAAAAAAATTATGTGCTATTAAGGATACTTTTAGGCTATCATAAATTATCACGTTTTTGTGGCTATTTTCAAAGTTGGACTTCCACTAGAATTAGAGGTCATAGGAATATAAAATTTTTATAAAACCTCAAATAAAGAAGTTAAGGGTTTTAAATAAATAAAAGAAAATACTATTATGGAAAAATATAATCCATAGACTACAAAATGCCTTAATCTATCAAGAAGGTATTTTTGTTTGCTTTATTTTTATTTTGGCAACTGTAAAAGGGTTTATGCTGATTAGGAATACAGTACTAGGTTTGTGATTCAAATTACAGTCAGCAGTCTAAATTCCTCCATTCAACTGACAACTGGATTTCCAGTTTCTAGATTTTTATGAAGACTATGCCATCAAGCATTCTTGGGATTTTTAAAGTTTTATACACTCTTTATGGTAATTTAAGTATGCTAGTAAGAATCTGCTATGAATACTTATTATAAATACGAAAATGAAAAGATGTGCTGAGCAATAATCTCACTCATAAATGAGTGCTTTGCTAATGCATATTCCAGGTGAGAAGGATTTAGAAAAAGTGGCATTTCTGGGAATGTATGAGATCTAATTTGAAACCATGTCTTAGTTCAGTTGTTCCAAACTTTGGTGCTCATGAGTTATCTACAGAGCTTATCAATGTGGATCTGGATTGATTCCAAAATTCTAATCAGCAGGCCTAGGGTGGGGCTCCAGAATCTACCAAAGGATGAAGACAAGGCAAGAGCACACTTTTAGAGACACTACTGAGCAAGTCCCCATTCTTTATTTTACTTTGTTTTTTTGAGATGGAGTCTTGCTCTGTTGCTCAGGCTGGAGTGCAGTGGAGTGATCTTGGCTCACTGCAACCTCTGCCTCCCAGGTTCAAGCGATTCTCCTGCCTCAGCCTCCCCAAGTCCTCATTCTGAGTACATATTAGTTTATCTCTCTGGTCATTTGTGCAAGATATTAGTGACCTTTTATTGAGGACTTATAATATATTAATATTAGTACTATGGGGACAGGTTATTTGAACTAATCCTCTTGCTAAACACAACAAAAAAATGCTGGACAAAAATATATTTAAAATATCGTCTTAAAAGCATCTTACATTTAGGTAATAAATTATCAGGCCAAAATCTAAGTGAAGGCAGAAATCCTGAGGGTAGCTGAGAACCAAAGCTACTTTTGCCCTGATGTTGTTTGCTGAAAGGGGGAAAATTGTGGCACAGTTTTCATAGTTTTGGCTTATGGGACACCTGTTAATAGGAAACCCTCTCTGAAGAAAACTGAGACTCTATAAAGGCCTAGAACCCAGGGTAGAATAATTCAGAACCAAGTCCCCTCCCCAACCAACCCTCATCCCCAAAGTAAATAAGGAAAACTGCCTTGGTTCTGGCGCTAAGGAGGAAAAGAGGACCATTCTATGAGAAGCTGCAACCACAACTGGTATTTGTGCTGTTTTTCAGGCCAAATCTATCTTACCTGGTGATATGGTTTGGCTGTGTCCCCACCCAAATCTCAACTTGAATTGTATCTCCCAGAATTCCCATGTGTTGTGGGAGGGACCCAGGGGGAGGTTAATTGAATCATAGGGGCTGGTTTCTCCCATGCCATTCTTGTGATAGTGAATAAGTCTCACGAGATCTGATGGGTTTATCAGGGATTTCCCCTTTTGCTTCTTCCTCATTTCTCTCTTTCCACCACCGTGTAAGAAGGGCCTTTCACTTCCCGCCGTGATTCTGAGGCCTCCCTAGCCATGTGGAACTGTAAGTCCAATTAAACCTCTTTTTGTTTCCAGTTTCAGGTATGTCTTTGTCAGCAGCATGAAAATGAACTAATACATCTGAGTAGTACCAGAAATCTCAAGGCATGAATTTAGTTTGGAATAGTCCCGGACTAGCACATCTTTAGTTACCTGGCAAAGACACTAAGTCCTTTCTGGTGGACTATCACTTCATCCTAGGCCTCAAAGATGTCCTATAAATAATTTTCCAAGGGAAATGAGTGTGATAGATTGCAACAATGGCCCCAAGTCTTTTCTCCTCTTCAGAGCCATGCCTTTCACCATATAACTTTGCAGTGCACTCCTACTCCTCCCCTTGACATTGGCCTTAATCATGTGATTTGCCTTTGCGAAGGGAGTTTTTTAGATAAGACACAAGCAGAGGCTTGAAATGGGCTCCTTAGAATTTGCTTTTTGCACCTTTGCCAAAGCCATGAGAATACGCCCGGGCGATCTTGCCACCAGGTCTGAAAAAAATTAAGGTAGACCTAAATGAATCTTTGTAACTGGACAAAAAAGACTTCCAAGAGTCTTAAGGGACATTTGTCCCACAGTTAACTTGACATGCTCAAAGTAATAATGATTAAGTCTAAAGACAGAGGCTTGTCTCAAGAAAACACTAGAGGTGTGTTTTTTGGTAAGTGGAGGGATTTGGAATTGAAAACACAAAAATCCCACAGAGTTTTTGAGAGACTTGTATTGACAAAAGCACTGTTGGCCTGGACTGAAACTGTACAAAATGATGAGGGCAGGGAAAGGCTTACGGGCCCTCAACTTTCTTTGGGAAAGAAGTAGGGTGAGAAAGTTGCCAAAAGCTATTTTCCAAAGTTCTCCATAGAAATGGCCAAGGAGAATGAAGGAAAAGGAGAGACATCTCAGAGCGAGAGCCAAGAAGCATGGAGACTCAAGGGCCTCAGGAAGCCAAACCAGAGCCTAATCAAGGAGCATTCTCCACCGCAGAGTAGGGAACATTTGCCAAGCAGGGTTTCAGAATTATTACGGACCAGGGACTGTTGTATACCTCCTGTTCTTTCCCATTTTTTGAATGGGAGTCTTTGTTGTAATTACCCTGTACCTGTTCAACAATTGTTGGGTGGGTAGGGGACAGATAACGTTGTTAGCTCATGGGACTCCAGATTCAGAGGAGCTGCATCTGATCTGGATCTGATGTAGATCATAAGATCTTGGACTTTGAGCCTGTGGCTGTGACTGGATAAGACTTTTTTTTTTGTTTTTTTGAGACAGAGTCTCACTGTCACCCAGGCTGGAGTGCGGTGGTGCAGTCTCGGCTCACTGAAACATCCACCTCCCAGGTTCAAGCGATTTTCCTGCCTCAGCCTCCTGAGTAGCTGGGATTACAGGCATGGACCACCACGCCTGGCTAATTTTTGTATTTTTAGTAGAGACAGGGTTTCACCATGTTGGCCAGGCTTGTCTCGAACTCCTGACCTTAGGTGATCCACCCGCCTCGGCCTCCCAAAGTGCTGGGACTACAGGCATGAGCCACCAGCCCTGGATAAGACTTTAAGGGGTCTGGAATGGGTATGAGCATATTTTTCACTGAAAGGAACATGAATAATTTTGATTATGAGGGCAGCCTCTGGCAGATTGAAGAAATAGTCCTAATTTTTTTACTTCTCTCTGTATCTATACTTTTTGCCAAGTAATTTTATGATGCCTTCCCACCATAAGAAGAGAGAACTGCCTCATTCGTCAAAAGAAGTCTGACCATGAGATGTACTTTGGCCAACATCCTGGCGAGATGTACTTTGGCCAGCATGTTGACAGGCATGAAAAAAGCAGAGGCTTAAAATTGACTTGCTTTCTTGTGCCTCAGCCATTATTGTGAGAAAATGCCCAGACTCACCTGATAGTCCCAGGAATGAGATTATGAGAAACAAATGGAGCAGAGTCCCACGCAGCCAAGGTGAGCCTATTTCAGCCCACAGCCTGCTGACTCCCAAACGTGTGAATGAGCCTTGCTGCATTCAGTGGAGCCACCTAGCTGATCTGCAGTTGACCCCAGATGTGTGAACAACTAATGCTTATTCTAATTTTGATTCTCCTCTGTAGAAACCACCCCCTTTTTGTTAACACAGATGTTTTTTCAAGTTGTTAAATGTGAAGTAAGTTCTTTAAAAAGACTACTCTCCAAACATGAGAAACGGAGGCCTCCTAAGTACCTAAAGCTCTGTGTCTCACCCAGGAAGAGAAAACCTCCTCCCATGTTGGGCAATACCCAAAGTGGTAGAAGATATTTGACATCAAGAGACTATGATATGGTATTAAAGACATTAAAATCTGCAAAGGAACCCACACTGTAAAGAAGTGGTTTTTAATATCAAAGACAACAAGGTTCAGTGTCTTGACTGAAACCTTTGAGACATAAGTCAAATATTTAATTGTTCCCTGACTCCCAAAATAGCACTGACTTTTTTTTTTTTAGTTAGAGTCTCTCTCTATTGCCCGTGCTGGCATGCAGTGGCATGATCTCAGCTCACTGGACCTCCACCTCCTGGGTTCAAGAAATTCTTCTGCCTCAGCCTCCCAAGTAGCTGGGATTACAGGCGCCTGCCACCACGCCCGGCTAATTTTTGTATTTTTAGTAGAGATGGGGTTTCACCATCTTGGCCAGGCTGGTCTCGAACTCCTGACCTCAAGTGATCTATCTGCCTTGGCCTCCCAAAGTGCTGGGATTACAGACATGAGCCACTGCACCCGGCCTGACCTTTTTTTTTATGTGTTGAAGAAAAACGTATATAACAGAGATTATTACTGTCTCTGGGATGCATTTCCTCTGCTTTCCTTTTGGTAATAGAATCCCTGTGAGTTTTAGCAAACACAGACACCCAGCTAGGAGCTACATGTCTCAGCCTCTTTTGCAGCTAAGTATGTGGCCTTATGATTAATCTCTCACCAATGGAATCTGAATGGCAATGATTTGTGTGACTCCTATGTCACCATCTTGAAAAAAAATAGGTTTCCCTCTACTTCCTTTCTTCTCCTTTCTCATACACTGGATGCAAATGTGGTGTTAAACCAGTTTGAACCATGCTGTCAAGAGCAACGCCCCAGGGCAGTGCTTCTCAAACTTTAGTGCACAAGAACCACCTGGGGATCTGCTAAAATGCAGATTCTGATTCAGTAGGTCTGGAGCTGATTGAGATTCTGCAATTCTAACAAGCTCCCAGGTATTGCTCATGTTGCTGTTCTGAACACTGCACTTTGCAGTCCTAGGGGACAGTTGATCAGCAAGATTGAAGAAATCTGAGTTCCTGGAGGACTTTGAGGTGCAGAGCTCCCCATTCACTTCAGTCTGCCCCTCCACCCCCATTATATTTGAATCACAGTATTTTATGCTGTCTTTGTTATAGCAGCTTGGCATGTGCCCCAACTAACACATCATATAAGCAGAATGGGGGCGCATGGCCAACCTGGAGGCTCATAGAGTAGGAACTTGCCAGGGGGAACTCTCCAGCCTAATCCAGAGTTAAGGGTACATGACATTTTGCTCCCCACTCCTCTTTTTGTTAGCAAAGATGATAGTTTAATTGCTCCAGCAAGGAACACCACCAGTGTAACGCTCTGGTTTTTATTTCCTTGTTTAATGTATTGCCTAGTTGCCTGCTGATTAAAAAATATCTCACAGAGATATTTCCATAGGCTCAGAATATATCAGTGAGTGAATACTAGAATTTTGACAGTTGTATAAATTGGCATTCTGCTTTATATACCAGTCTTTTGAATTCAGATGTGTCTGTCCCCTAGACACTGTTTGCTTCTGGGTGTTCTGGCAAGAATGAAGTTTCTCAGTCTGCAGAGCTAAAAACCACACCCTGGTCTGTAACGTCTTCCATAACATATTGCTGTGCTTGGAAGTCTTGTCTGGAGCCCGCCAGCCAGGCCAACAACCCATTACTTCTGCACGAGTATAAGACATTTCTCTCCCAACTCAGCACACTCAACAGAAGCATTTAATGTTTTCCAGAAAACCCTTATAAACCAGAAGCAGATCAGGTATGCTATCACTGAAAAGAGCATTACCCTAGGAGTCCGAGGAGTAGGTTTAAATTCCACCTCTGCTACTTGATAGCTTGATGGTTGTGTGTTGTTTAGACAATTTCATCATCTGTAAAACAGGGTTGATAATATTTAACTCATGATATAATCATGAAGATTAAATGGAATAACATATATGAATATGTCTGACATTTAATAATAAATGTTAGTTTTCTTCCTTGCTTCCACTACCTTATTTTATTTCATTTATATATATATTTTTGAGACCGAGTTTTGCTCTTCTTACCCAGGCTGGAGTGCAATGGTGCGATCTCAGCTCACTGCAACCTCCACTTTCGGATTCAAGTGATTCTCCAACCTCAGCCTCCCAAGTAGCTGAAACTACAGGCACCTGCCACCACGCCTGGCTAATTTTTGTATTTTTAGTAGAGACGGGGTTTCCCCATGTTGGCCAGGCTGGTCTTGAACTCCTGACCTCAGGTGATCTGCCCAACTCAGCCTCCCAAAGTGCTGGGATTACAGGCGTGAGCCACTACACCCGGCCTCTACTTTATAATAATGCAGACACATTTTAGAATTTTCCTCCCTCATCCTATCAGGTTTGTGTCTGAGGGGCTTGTGGTCAGAATGTTGCTGATGATAACCGCAGTAATGATAGCAGTAGTACAGAAAAATCAGTGCCAGCTTTTGTCAAGAACATTTGGTTTTCTACATTCCTCCCATACTCCTAAGGAAAGAGAAAAGGAAACTGCATAGATTAAGAAGCAGAGGTCACAAAAGTATGAGGAAAAGCAGCCGAGAGCAATATCCCAGAGGCCAAAGAAGAAAGAATTTCAGAGAGAGAGTGATGGAAATCTTGTAGAAGTTCAAATCAGCTCAAATATTGGAGAGAAATCAACTAAAATAAAGATTGAGAACTGTCCATTGGAGTTAGTAACATGGAGGCCACTGATGGCATTAGCAAGAGTGTTTTGGTGGAATTGGGCGAGAAATCAGTGTGAAGAGAGAGTGGGAGAAAAGAAAGTAGACCTGAAGAGTTTGGACAAGTGTTCTCAAGTGTGGCTATGAAGAGAAGGGAAGAGGTAGGTCAGTAGCTATAGGAGGACACTGAATTGAGAAAGCTCATTTGTTTAAATACAAGGGCACAATACAAGTTAAAATACTGGATAAGGAGGTGACAACAGAGAAGACAGAGGATAACGGAGAAAGGGAAGTTCTTGAAGAGGCAGAAGAGGCTAGGACCAGGGCTGAGGCGGAAAGACAAGCCTTAGAAGCAGGGACAACTCCTTCACTGCAGCAGGAAAAGGCAGGATGTACACACATGTCCATTGATAGATTTGGAGCCAGAAAGTTAAGGGAGCACTTCTTGAATGGCGTCTGTTTTCTCTGTGAAATAGAAATTTAGTTTGTTTTCTGAGAGTAAGGAGGAAAGAGAAAGATGGCTAGATGGTGGAGGGAAGTGAAGAAAATCAGAAAAAAAATAGCATCTGGAGCAGGAAGAGAAAACTGACCAGAGCAGCATAAAAGACTGCAGAGCAGTGCTGAGGGCCCAGCTGAAGCTGATGGGTTTCCTATTGGTGTTGATATGTCAGTGTATTAGGCCATTCTCATCCTGCTATAAAGACAGACCCGAGACTGGGTTATTTATAAAGGAAAGAGGTTTAATTGACTCACAGTTCCACAAGGCTGGGGAGGCCTCAGGAAACTTACAATCATGGTGGAAGGGGAAGAGACACGTCTTACATGGTGGCAGGCAAGAGTGTGTGAGAGCACAGGAAAAACTACCATTTATAAACCACCAGATCTCACGAGAATTCACTTGCTATTATGATAACAGAATGGGGGAACTGCCCCCATAATCCCATTATTTCCCACCAGTTCTCTCCCTAAACACCTGAGGATTACAACTCAGGATGAGATTTGGGTGCGGACGCAAAGCCTAACCACATCATTAGAGCTCTGCTTTCCTTGGCTCTGTAGACTAAATAGCTGGGCCTTCCCATTGTGTTGCATGAAGATGTGCTGGTAAATACTTCACAACTGGCTTTAGGCAGTGTGATGGCAGGAAGCCTGATTTGTTTGTTTTGAGACAGGGTCTCATTCTGTCACCTACACTGGAGTGCAGTGACAAGATCACAGCTCACTGCAGCCTCGACATCCCTAGGCTCAGATGATCCTCCCACCTTCAGCCTTTCAAGTAGCTGGGACTACAGGCATGCGCCACTATACCCAGCTAATTTTTTGTATTTTTTTTTTTTTTTGTAGAGATGGTTTTGCCATGTTGCCTAGGCTAGTCTCGAAATCCTGGGCCCAAGCCATCTGCCCACCTCGGCCTCTCAAAGTGCCGGGATTACAGGCGTGAGCCACTGTACCCGGCCAGAACCCTGATTTGCATCAGTGGTGTAAACCATGACAGATTTCAAGCTACCGATATGATGCCACTGAACTCAGGCTGGGAAAGAGATGCCCACACTATTATATACCATTTCCATGACACAGATATAATGGACATAAATAACTTTCAATGCATAAAAAATAATAACATGTAGTAAAATAATTAGGCAGTGGTGAGTCCGGACTATTTATAATCTTTGTTTTTATATAGCTTTCTTGATTTCAAGTTTATATTATTTAATTTTTAATGATAACTGTTTTAACATCCAGCTTGCAAAATTCCTAAAAATTTTATAATCAGCTCTCTTGAGACAGCATGAGCTGGCTCCAGCATTCCACCCATCGTATAAAGCCAGGTTGAAGTGGCCTGCACTAAAGGATAGAGGGTGTGGGAGGGAGCTGAAACATAAATGGCAAGATTGCTTTCCAGTGGAGGAAGCTTGAGTTCACTATGAAAGAGAGTGGCAAAGGATTGAAAAAAAGCCTGAGTTTGTAGCAGGAAGAGGGGTGTAAGGTGGGATGTGGATCGAGTGTCAAACAATTCAGTACTGGGATAGTTTCCAAGTTTGTATTTATTGTGTGATCCTGAGTTTCGCTCAGTGTATTAAAAACAGTTTATAAAAGTCTTATGAAGCGGAGCAGGAGGCACGATGGAGAGAGGGAGGGGTACTTAAAGGAGAAAGGCAGGGAACAGGATTATGAGCCCAGGGGCAGAGAACCTGGGCCCCAGATAATGTCAGAGGAAAGTCACCCCTGAAAAGGCAAAACAACCTGGGAATCCTGCTGTTGGCAGATCCCTGCACTGTGTTTTGTTATAGGTTGGCAGAGAGATATTTGGAGAATAGAAGCTCTTTTTGGTTTTAAAATTACACTATAGGAATTAATGACTATACCTGAGGATCTCATTTTAAGAAGCTTACTAAATAAACTTAGAAAAAAATTATTTTTGCTTAAAGTTCTCTATATATGGCACAAGAATAATTTTGCCTCAATTCTATTCAATACGCTCTTCTGATATTAGAAAGTCACTTTCCACAAAAGAGCTAATATGTTATGGAGTCAGTTTCACTTTTATAATCATGACTGTGTGTAATTCAGAAGCATGTTTGGTGTAAGAGACCTCAGCAGGCAGCATTGTCACTCTTTTCAGGGAAAATATTTCAGAGAGTAACTGTGTTGTCAATATCTCTGTTTGCAAAAATCCTGCCTGTTCAGGATACAGTTGCAATCACAAAGACATTGACAAATTTCATTATATTTCATCAGATATTAGAAGCAATAACAAAAAGAGGAGGAGAATCTAGGGCAAAAATAGACAAACTTTGTACACACACACACACACACACACACACACACACAAACATGCATTCATGCAGTACTTCCTAGAGAGATAACAATAACATTTTGCAGGAGGTAGGAAGGTTGACAGGGGGAGGCTTTGGAGGGGGCAGGGCAAACACATAATTGCCAGGTTAAGACATTAAAAAGAAATTACTGGTTGCCGTCACCTTTTCATAAAATAAAGGTATTTTAACACCAGGTAGGTAGGAGAAAAAAAATCTTAGAATAAAATTCCTTTTATTATTATTAAAAAGTCAAAAAACAACAGACGCTGGTGAGGCTGGGGAGAAAAGGGAATGCTTATACACTGCTGGTGGGAATGTAAATTAGTTCAGTCACTGTGCAAACCAGATTGGAGATTTCTCAAAGAACTTAAAACAAAACTACCGTTCGACCCAATAATCCCATCGCTGGGTATATATCCAAAAGAAAATAATTCATTTTACCAAAAAGATACACGCACTTATATGTTGATTTCAGCACTATTCACAATAGCAAAGACATAGAATCAACCTAGTGCCCATCAAAAGTAAATTGGCTAAAGAAAATTTGGTACATATGCACCATGGAATACTACACACCCATAAAAAAGAATGAAATCACGTTCTTTGCAGCAACATGGATGCAGCTGGAGGCCATTATCCTAAGTAAATTCACACAGGAACAGAAAACCAAATACCTCATGTTCTCACTTATAAGTGGGAGCTAAACTTTAGGTACACATGGACATGAAGATGGTAACAATAGACACCGGGGATTACTAGACGGAGGTAGGAGGGAGGGGGCAAGGGCTGCAAAACTAACTATTGGAAACGATGTTCACTATCTGGTTGATGGGATCAATTGTACCCCAAACCTCAGCATCACATAGTATACCCAAGTAACAAACCTGCACATGTACCCCCAAATGTAAAATAAAAGTTGAAATTATTTTTTTAAAAAGTCATTTTTAAAGAATACATTTAGTTTATGGGGCAACAGAGGACATTGTTTTTATTTTTCTCATTTAAGGCTAAGTGGTGAAACTATCCTTATTAACCATTGCGGGACAATGATATTTGAGGGTTTGTTTGTTTGTTTGTTTGTTTGTTTTTGAGGCAGAGTTTCAGTCTTGTCACCCAGGCTGGAGTGCAATGGCATGATCTCGGCTCACTGCAACCTCCACCTCCCAGGTTCAAGCGATTCTCCTGCCTCAGCCTCCCGAGTAGCTGGGATTACAGGCATGCGCCACCATGCCCAGCTAATTTTTTTTTTTTGTATTAATAGTAGAGACGGGGTTTCTCCATGTTGGTCAGGCCAGTCTTGAACTCCTGACCTCAGGTGATCTGCCTGCCTCAGCCTCCCACAGTGCTGGGATTACAAGCATGAGCCACAGTGCCTGGCCTGAGCCACTGCGCCCAGAAGGGTTTTTTTAATTTAGTGATTTTGTTCTTTTACCCCTTTTATAAGTCCTTAATATTCTGCTACCAAAAAAAAAAAAAAAAGGGAAGAATAGGAGCAATGTAATATTCTTTTAAAAGTAAGAACTACAAGGGGGTTCCCATTGCTCTGATAAGAAGAAGAAGAATGTGACTGGGAGGAAAGTTTGGTTACCCGCAGTCTGGCATCAGGGAGAGAATGTAGTTCTCCGAACTGGGCTGGCCTAGTTTCAAATCTCAGTCCTGCCACTTACAAACTAGGAAACTATGGGCAAGTCATTGAACCTCAGTTTTCTTCTCTTCAAAAGTACGATAATGATAAGTACTTTCCAGGTGGCCACCATGATTTTATGAGCTAAAATTTGTTAAGAACCCAGTAAAGTGCCTAGCATTCAGCAATTTCTCTCACGTTTTCTCTTCTCCGTATCTTTCTTTTAAAAATGACAATGACAGAAACGCAATCATTTCTTTTTAATGCCCTGAACTTGACTTTATGTTTGGTGACTCTGCTCCCTTTGGACACACACACACCCTTTACTACCCATGCCAATGTTTCTGGTTTGGAAACTGCTGCACTAGCACAGACTTCCCACAGGTGAATGTTTTAAACCACAGTTTGATTTCCTCTGTCCTACAACCCGCACTTTTTGCTTTGGTTAACAACATTACTTTCCTATGGCTGTGGATTTTACAGGTACCAAATGGTCACAGGTTCTCTTGTGTAAACACTATTATCTTGTTTCAAATGAAATAGCTAAACTGACTTTACCTACAGTGGAATAGGGGATTTGGTCACCTTCTAATGTAATGGTTAAGAGTCTGGACTCTAGAATTGGATGACTTGGCTTCACTTCTCAATTTTACCACCTACCAAATTACTAAGGCAATTTATTTATATTCATCCCATTGCCACTTGGTTTCTCCTCCATAAAATGATCATAAGAATAGAAATAGCTAACGTGGACCAGGTGCGGTGGCTCACGCCCGTAATCCCAGCACTTTGGGAGGCCAAGGCAGGCAGATGACCTGAGGTCAGGAGTTCGAGACCAGCCTGGCCAACATGGTGAAACCCCATCGCTACTAAAAATACAAAAAGTTAGCTCAGCATGGTGGTGCACGCCTCTAGTCCCAACTACTCAGGAGGCTGAGGCAGGAAAATAGCTTGAACCTGGGAAGTGGAGATTGCAGTGAACTGAGATCGTGCCACTGTATTCCAGCCTGGGCAACAGAGCGAGTCTCTGTCTCAAAAAAAAAAAAAAAAAAAAGAAATGACTAACATGTACATAGTGCTTACTATATGCTCATCTACTTTACTCCTTAAATGTTAACTCACTTAAGAATTATCTTATGGAGCTATTATGAAAATTAAACATGTTAATATTTGTAAAGAGCATATAGTAGTAAGCCTCTAGCACATAGTAAGTCCCCACTAAAGGTTAGCTATTATGGTTTTGCATAGTTTAGTATTTTCCTTATATGTTTCAAAATAAATTTCTCATCTTATTAATTGGTTTTGCACTCTCATTAATCATGGCATTTTCCAAATTTGATCCACGTGAACCACTGAGTTACTGAGCGTGCTGCTCATGGTGACAAAACAGGCAAGACCCCAGAGTGGTCCTGGCTGCTTAGCTAATGCTTTCTGTCACATGGTGTCCAAGTCTGCCCTGGCTGCTTTGCGTTTCCATACCTCTAATGTTTTATTGTATTTTATTCTACTATGGAAGAAGTATAAGGTTGAATGTCAGTTAAGTCAAATTTAGCACAGTGGAGTGGAGAAGGTGCTTTATTTGTTGCATTAACATTGTCCACAGCGAAGTATTGTGTGGGTTAGATGCTGGGGTTGTGTTAAAAAAACAAAACAAGGCTGGGTGTGGTGGCTCCTGCCTGTAATCCCAGCACTTTAGGAGGCCGAGGTGGGCGGATCACCTAAGGTCAAGAGTTCAAGACCAGGCTGGTCAACAGGGTGAAACCCTGCCTCTACAAAAACACAAAAAATTAGCTGAGTGTGTTGGCATGCACCTGTAATCCCAGCTACTTGGGAGGCTGAGGCAGGAGAATCGCTTGCACCCAGGAGGCAGAGGTTGCAGTGAGCCAAGATCTCGCCACTGCACTCTAGCCTGGGCAAGAAAGCGAGACTCCATCTCAAAAAAAAAAAAAGAACCACAGTTCCTGCCCTCATGAAGCTGACAATCTAGTGCAGGTGACAGCCACATAAACAATTAGACATTTAGCAAAGAGTGTCGGTAGGGGTCTTCATGGGGATGGGTGAGGGGGCGGTGATGGAATGTGATGAGCTTCTCAGTGAGGACCCAGGCTTAGACTCAGCCCTAGGGGCCGAGTAAGGGTAAACCAGATGGAGGGGCAGGTGGCATTCAAAGCAGAAGAATGGTATGAATAAAGGCAGGGACGCTAGAAGCTTGGTGGGTGTGTGTGTGTGTGTGTGTGTGTGTGTGTGTTCATGTGTGAAAAGCTGCAAAGAGTTCTGATCTGCTGGAATACAAAACATCTTCTAGAAGGGGAGGGGTAGGAAGGTGAGTGTGGGCTGTAGGGTAGGAGCGGGAGGTGAGTGTGGGCTGTAGGGTAGGAGCGGGAGGTGAGTGTGGGCTGTAGGGTAGGAGTGGGAGGTGAGTGTGGGCTGTAGGGTAGGAGTGGGAGGTGAGTGTGGGCGGCAGGCAGAGGCCAGAGCATTAAAGACTCCAGAATCCCTGTACCAGCAACCAGGAGCTCTTGGGGAACCAATGGCAAGGTCAGATTTGTCATCTCGGTGTCCTGCGCTCATGCAACGCCCTCTGCCTGAAATGCCTGCTCACTCACACCACAAGAACGCAGCCCTTGTCACTCAAATCCACTTTTCCTCTGACTCCCTCGGGCCAGAGCAGTCTCTGCCTCCTCTAAACTCTTACAATGGTCACTGTATACATGTTATGTCAGTTAATATTCATGGCCCTGCCCTGAGAGTTATTTCTCTTTCAAAATATTTCCTGGCTCTTCCATAAGTTCCTTAAATAGGACTTGCTTCTTCAGCTGCTTCCTGTCCTCCACGGAGGCCATACTAGAGCTGGGACACACTAACTGCTCAACCAACATCTGTTCAATAATCAGTTGTGGCTTTGGGGAGGGAAGGAACCAGGGCCAGATCCAGAAGTCTGACGTTCAGGGGAACTTCCTGCTTGCCAGGCCATGAGAAGGGAAATGGGATAACACTCATGAGATCTTTTTCCTTCAGTTCTCAAGTTACTACACTCCTCTGGTTTCTTCCCAGCTTTCTGGCTGTTCCATCTGAATCCCCTTTGCCAGCTTTTCTTCCTCTACCCTAAGTTTAGATCCTAGAGAGACCCTCCTTTCTTTGGAGCTCTCTCTCCCTTGATGATTTCAGCCCACTCCTGAAGCTTCAAGTTGGCAATTTTATACCAATAGCTATCAAATCAGGAGCTCCAGCCCAGGCCTCCTCTCTGAGCTCCAAAGCCCCTCCCACTCCCATTCCTGATGACACCTTAACCTCTCTGCTTGGGTGAGTGTTATGGACTGTTTGTTCCCCTCTCCCTCCAGATTCCTCTACTGAGGCCCTAACCCCTGTGTGGCTGTATTTGGAAATGGGGCTTCCAAGGAAGTAATTAAGGTTAACGAGGTCATAAGGGTAGGGTCCTGATCCAACAGAATTAGTGTCTCTACAAAAAGAGGACACCAAGGCGCTCTTTCTCTCTCTCTCTGCCCTCTCCAAGGGCACAAAGAAGTCATGTGAGCACACAGCAAGATGGTGGCCCCCGACAAATCAAGAGAAGAGGCCTCAGAATGAAACGTACCTGGTCAGCATCTTGATCATGGCCTTTCCAGTCCCCAGAGCTATAAGAAATAAGTTTCTGCTGTCTGAGCCACCAAGTCTGTGGTATTTTGTTATGCCAGCCCAAGCTGCCTAATACAATGTTGTCATAGGCACCCCAAATTCAGTGGGTCCAAAACTGAATTCATCATACTCTCCCCTATCTTTTAAAACAAACAATAACAGCAAAACAAACAAAAAACCCTGCCTTTCCTCCAGTGTTGCCCTGCTTCATAAATAGCCCAGGCTCTCAGCTGCTCAAGTCAAAAGCCTGGGAGTCTTCTTTGCCTCCTTCTTCTACTTCCTACCTACTCTCCTGACCTCTGGTCTCAATCCTGCAGCTAGACAAAAACTTGTAAAAATGCAGATGAGATCATGTGACTTCCTTGTTTAGCACTCTTCAGTGGCTTCCCACTGTCCTTAGAATGAGCCAAAGACTCCTGCAGACTTTAGCCCTTATGCCTCCTCATCACGCTTCCCCTTAGTCTGCATACCCCAGCACTCCTGGACTTATTTCCATGAGCATCCCAGGCTCTCTCTCATCTCTAGGCATGCTGCTCTCTCTTCCTGCAATGCTTTACACTCTCAATCTCACCCTGACTAGCAAATAAACTAGGAATCACTTGGTGCTGCTATGATTGCCAACATGAACAAGGCAAGAGGTGGTAGGATCTAGAATATTGAATGGTTCAGTCTTGGCTTTAGTCAAACTTCATGTTTCTTATTTACAAAAGCTAGTGATATATCTGTATGTTCTTGTCCTGCATTCTGGCATATGTTCTCACCGGATCCATGATCCTCAGGATAACTAATTTCATGAGTGTGTGCTAAGCCGTATTCTAGGTGTAGTTTGGAGGCCCGTGCTGTACCCTCTCTAGTGTGTAAGTGTTTTAACCTATGTAATGGTCATGAATATTCTATTTGTTCTAGAGAAATGTGTATCCCAGAGATAAGATACAATAATAGGGAATGTGTGCTCCAAGAAAAGAAATATCACAATAGATGTTTTTAAAAATTGGGTTGCTGCTAATGTCTATGCTGTCTTCTAATAATTCCCCCAAGAAACTAATTAAATCTGGGTGTCAACTTACTGAGCAATACTGTATTTCACCAACAATTGAACCAGAGTGCTGAAAGGACATTAAAATTAAATAAATAACTTAATCTCCTCTGTAAAATTAGCATATGATTCTAATTCACACTTATCAAAAAAGAATTTATTTCTATCCAAATTAACCAATCAGTAAATATAATGTAAGGCAATTATATTAGACAATCTTTCCAAGAGATTGAATTACATCAAATTAATCCCATGTTGGCTGAGATTTCCAGGCCAGGTATTTCCAGGGGCCATGTGTGATGAATATTTGTGCCATGTCTGGGTTTCTGTGAGCCAAAAGGCCTACTCATAATCATAACATGTATTACACACATACATAAGAGCTCTACTATAATGAACAGTAGTAAACCATTTTGGAACAATCAAGTAGGAAAGGTTACAGAGGCTAATGGCTATGTTGAGAAAGGAAAAAATTCAACTACCAGCAATGAAACAGTAAAAAAAAAACTTTATTTCTAGAACAACTCATACACTATAAATGAGTATTTGTAACGGTCAGCACTGTGTCCAGAATGCCTTTCAAAGCTCGATAACTCAATAGTTGTATATCTTTACCAACATCCTATCACATGTATACATATAAATCCAAATCAAAAAAAATTTTCTTCTCATTAGGCACAATTTAATATATTTAAAATGGCAGGCGCGGTGGCTCACACCTGTAATCCCAGCACTTTGGGAGGCTGAGACAGGTGCATCACCTGAGGTCAGGAGTTCAAGACCAGCCTGGCTAACATGGTAAAACCCCGCCTCTACTAATAATACAAAAATTAGCTGGACATGGTGGTGCATGCCTGTAATCCCAGCTACTCCGGAGGCTGAGGTGGGAGAATCGCTTGAACCAGGGAGGTGAAGACTGCAATGAACCGAGATCATGCCATTGCACTCCAGCCTGGGTGACAAGAGGGAAACTCTGTCTCAAAAAAAAAAAAAAATATATATATATATATACACACACACACACACACATATATATGTGTATATATGTATATATACACATATATGTGTGTGTATATATACACATATGTGTGTGTATATATACACATATATGTGTGTGTATATACACATATGTGTGTGTATATATACACATATATGTGTGTGTATATACACATATGTGTGTGTGTATATATACACATATATGTATATATCAAGTTGCCAAAAAATTATTTAAAAACAATGTATATATACATATATACGTATATATGTATACATATGTACATATACATGTGTATGTATATACGCATGTATATACGTATATACGCATGTATATAGTATATACGTATATGTGCGTATATACGTATATACATATATACGTATATATGTATATATGTGTATATATACACCTATATACGTATATATACACCTATATATACGTATATATGTGTATATATACGTATATATAGGTGTATATATACACGTATATATATACACGTATATATGTGTATATATAAATTGTTTTTAAATAATCTTTTGGCAACTTGATAGAAACAGAGAAAAGTTCTGTCCACCTGAGAAAATGGTAATAAAGAACTGCATACCATATTTCTGAGTCAGAATTTGCTTCTTTAACTATTTATGCCAGATGTATCAGTGGGCATTACAGACTCTCTTTGGTTGTCAGTATCCCGAGGGTGCCATAATGTAATTCCTTCTCAGGAAGGAAAGAAACTGACATCATTTCAGTGTTTAATATGAGCCAGCTAGTCAGTTATATGCTATCTAGTTTAATCTCCCTCCAACAGCTTTATTGGTAGAGAGGCATTAACATCCCAATTTTGCCAGTGAGAAAACTGAAGCCCAGCAAACTGAAAGGGTTTGCCTTAAGTTTCATGACTAATTTTGTCAGAGCCAGGGTTAGAACCCAGGCTCTTCAAGCCATCCAAGCACATTTCATTTTCCTCCAGCTGCCTCTCCTAGCACAAACCCATGCTGTAAGAAACTACTCTAACATGTGATTCCACTGAAGGTCAGAGACCAAGCCTGGATGATCAGGAGATGATTGCTGATTGAAGGAGCCACAACAAAATGTCAACCCAAATAGAAACTTCCCTTTCAGATTCAAGGAAGATTTGGATTTAAATCCAGCAATTATTTATTGAACACCTTCTATGACCAGATCCTATGCTATGTATTTATACATGTCTTTTAAAATCATCTCAACAAATGATTTTCTTGTTTTGTTTTAAGGTAACACAAACTTAATATCAAAAAAAAAAAAAAAAAAGGAGTGCACCCTGTGGTTAAGAAGACACAGTTTTGGCCGGGCCCCATGGCACACACCTGTAATCCCAGCACTTTGGAAGGCTGAGGCGGGTGGATCACCTGAGGTCAGGAGTTTGAGACCAGCCTAGCCAACATGGTGAAACCGCGTCTCTACTAAAAATACGAAAACTAGCCGGGCGTGGTGGTGGGCACCTGTAATCCCACCTACTTGGGAGGCTGAGGCAGGAGAATCGCTTGAACCTGGGAGGCAGAGGTTGCAGTGAGCCGAGACCGCACTACTGCACTCCAGCCTGGGCAACAAGTGCGAAACTCCGACTCAAAAAGCAAAAAAAAAAAAAAAAAAGACATAGTTTTGGAAATTTCTCTGCATCCCCTACTCTTGGGAAGGGATGTGATTTCTGTCTTAAAAGCAAGCTCATTTCTGAGATAGTGCCACTGCACTCCAGCCTGGGCAACAGAGGGAGACTCCATCTCAAAAAAAAAGAAAGAAAAGAAAAAGCAAGTTCATTTCAATGCCCAAACATCACTTTATAGACTTGTATGTCGTTCTTTCCTTTAATCAAGCTTAGTGTTTTTCAGTCCTTAGTGTGACTAAGAATTAGGGATGTGTAACCAATTTAGATATTTTTGAGGATGATTTTAAATACGTAATGTTTCTCCTTCAGACTGACCCTAGAACCTAATCCCTATTTCAGATATGATCTTTGGTTGTTGGGGCTAGGGAGGCTGCCACAGTAATGCCCCAAGTCAGAGTCATTTCCTTCTTTGGGGAAACCACCCATCTTTCCTGCAGTCTAATCCTGTAGTCAGAATGCAAATGGACATCCTCTCATATGACTCTGCTTCCCTGGCCTCAGTGATTGGTCGAAGAGATTGGCACATAACCCAAGTTGGAATGACACAACTCTTTCCCAGAATTTTTCAAAGTGGAGCTGTTCAGATTCACAGGCACACTTTCTCCTTTCATGTTGCCACCCTCTGAGAGTATGAGCCTGGAACCACCGGTGCTCCCATGAAGAGGGAGAGAGATAAGCCTGATGGTACCCAGTCCTCTGCATTCCGTCTTTTCTCAGGCCAGCTCTATTCCTGCCTTCTTACAATTTAGCTATGTAAGTTGATAGATGTATCTGTTTTGTTTAGGCAAAAGTTGAGGCTTTGTCTCATCCAGCCAGAATTCTAACAAACTACTTCAATAAAACCTTTTTTGTTTGTGTATTTACTCAAGAGGGAGTATGCTGTAAGAGAAGGCATATAGACTTGAAATGCTATCAAAAAGAACTTTGAATGTTATGAGGCACTGTATGGTATGGGGGTAGAGTGTGAAAGAGAGTTTGCCCAACTCAAGATTGGTCTGTCTGCTGCTGGGACCCATCACAGCTCTCTTCACAGCCTAGGTACGATGACTGCCTCAAGCTGCCTGTTGCCCATCGAGTTGTAGGGCTCCATCCTCTGTTAACCTTAGGCCCACAGACAAGGAAAAGTCCTTACTGTCCTTCCAATGACTGAGCTAACCCTAAGGCCAAATGTGATGAAGACAACCTGAGCACTGGCTGTAGTTACAAATACATATTCACAAGAAATGCTAAACTATTGAACCAACAGAAGCGGGGATAAAGAGTGAGGGAATTTATTTATTTATTTATCGTGAGATGGAGTCTCGCTCTGTGGCCAGAGCTGGAGTGCAGGCATGAACTCTGCTCACTGCAACTTCCACCTCCCAGGTTCAAACAATTCTCCTGCCTCAGCCTCCGAGTAGCTGGGATTACAGGTGCACGCCACCATGCCTGGCTAATTTTTGTATTTTTAGTAGAGATGGGGTTTCACCATGTTGGCCATACTGGTCTCAAACTCCTGACCTCAGGTGATCCGCCCACCTCGGCCTCCCAAAGTGCTGGGATTACAGGCATGAGCCACCGTGCCCAGCCCAGAATTAGGTTTTAACTTAACTATTTTGCTTACTAACTCTGTGAATTCGCTGAGCACCAGATTTTTCATCTGTAAAGTGGGAATAATGACACTTTAACCTTTGGTGCTTTTATACGAATTAATTTAAGTAACTGTGAGCCAGGCACAGTAGCTCATGCCTGTAATCCTAGCACTTTGGGAGGCTGAGGTGGGCGGATTGCCTGAGCTCAGGAGTTCAAGACCAGCCTGGGCAACACGGTGAAACCCCATCTCTACTAAAAATACAAAAAATTAACCAGGTGTGGTGGCCGGCACCTGTAATCCCAGCTAGTCGGGAGGCTGAGTTAGGAGAATCGCATGAATCCGTGAGGCGGCGGTTGCAGTGAGCCGAGATTGCACCACTGCACTTCAGCCTGGGCGACAGAGTGAGAATCTGCCTCAATAAATAAATAAACAAACAAACTATGGAAAGTACCCAGTACAATGCCCATACTAGGTGGCAGCTAATACGTGGTAGTTGTGGTGATGATGTGGTGGTTGGTGATGATAAAGATGGTGGACATTTTGACTGTAAACCATTCTTATACTTCCCAGTCAAGAAATGGAACAGGGGAGAGTGGTTCTTCTTCTTCAGGACCATGTGATGAGTCACTGACAAAGATGAGACTCAAATAACAGACTCATTCTGGAGATTTCTGTGTTCTTAGGAGCCGAAGGACTTAAATGATGGAAGTGCTTAGTTAATTTCATGGCAGTGAGTGTGAATAGTATCTTGCTTTTGGTTTGTTTCTATATTTCAGTTCACAAAATAAAATTTAATGGACGTGTACTTTTAAAATGTCTTTGACTCCAATTTGGGGTAACAGTTTCCTATCTCTTAGATTATTCTAAAAGTGTACTTCTAAATTCTTCCTTCTTGGTTCTAATTTTTTACTAACTTTTCATTTTAAAATTTTCTTTGCGTGTTCTTAGTTAAAAAAATGAAACCCTATTGCATTTTTCCCCAAAATGATGTCTTGAGGAAAGGCAGATCCCTGAGAGGGTATTATTAACTGCATGCTTCTTATAATTGAGGCCTCTTCTCAGACAACTCTGCTGTTTAATCTCAGCTCTCACCAATAACCCTTTCCTCTTTTTGATCAAGTGTTTAATTTCCTTGAAAGATTTTCTCAGATTTCAACTATTACTGAGAGGATTTTCATCTTACCCTAACCCTTTAATGGCTAAATCTTGCATATCCATTATTTCAAAAAAGGATATTTCTGTTCATCTAAGTAAATAGTTCAAGGATTTGATCTTCTTTTCTTGCCTATTACTGCTGAAATGAGGAATTATTTGGAAATTTCTATTGCTAAATGACTATCTTGTAAAAGCAGGTAAAATTAAACATTTACAAAAACCGATCTCAGACAACTCTCAGTTACCTAGAGGAATGTAGAACAATGCATAGATTACTGAAAACAGATAAACTCCTGAGCCTGATTGTGGTCATTCTTTTACTTTCTTCTTTGAAAGGCAAAATGTATGTGTTTAACATTCAGTTCAGTTTTTCTACCCATCTTTAAAAGCTTTCTAATTTTAGGAAAACATGAGCTTTTCAGAAAGAGGTAACAAGAAAAAAAAAAGAATAGCCAGGATAAAATTAAAATCTAGGGGTAAGAATTATTGCTATTAATATTTTAGTATAAAAGGAATATAATTTTTAAGAAATTTTTTTGAGACAGGGTCTTACTGTCACCCAGGCTGGAGTGCAGTGGCATGATCTTGGCTCACTGCAACCTAGACCTCTGGGGCTCAAGCAATCCTCTCACCTCAGCTCCCCAAGTAGCTGGGACTACAGGCACATAACAAACCCAGCTAATTTTTGTATTTTTTTGTAGAGACAGTTTACCCATGTTGGTCAGGCTGGCCTTGAACTCCTGAGTGCAAGCAGTCTGCCCACTTTGGCCTCCCAAAGTGCTGGGATTGAAATCGCCTTTGCAAAATTATGACTGAGACAGTGAAAGAGATCTAACTTAACTAACTCCATCTTGCTTGGAACCTCCAAGCTGTCTTTGTTCATTCCTGAGCCTAGGCTGAACTAACTTTGGGAGAAACTTAGTTTATAGTTTAAACAAAGATGGTAACAGCCGTTTCCCAAAGCAGACTTCCTTCTTGCCTGGGGACTAGATTGCTTTGTAGGACTAACATTAGCCACAAGATTAGAAATTATGGTTTAGGAATCATGCAGTTGGAGGATGCAAGATTCTGACCCCCTTTAAACCGCTCCTAAGATCAGTGCTTGAGATATTTTGCAGACCCTGCACTTGATGGATCAGCTGGCACCACCCAGATCAATAAACTGGCTCAGTTGATCTTGTGGCCCCCACCCAGGAACTTACTGAGCACAAGAAGACAGCTCTGACTCCTTGTGATTTCATCTCTGACCAATCAGCACTCCTGGCTCACTGGCTTCCCCCCACCCACCAAGTTATCCTTAAAAACTCTGCTCCCTGAATGCTTGGAGAGACTGATTTGAGTAATAATAAAACTCTGGTCTCCCGCACAGCTGGCTCTGCATGAATTACTCTTTCTCTATTGCAATTCCCCTGTCTTGATGAAGTGGCTCTGTCTATGCAGCAGGCAAGATGAACCCCTTGGGTGGCTATAAATTTGGTTTGCCCTTGTGGCTACCTCCCCAGCGTTCAGTCTCCCCTCCTCCCTCAGCGATGGATCTGGAAGCCAGCCCAAGTGGCTGCCTAGTTGTCTTGGACTGGGGGCTGACTCTGGTACTCTCTCTCTAGCAGGGCACTGCTGACCCAATGTGCATGGATTTAATTGCAATGGAGAAATAGTCCTGGGGAGACGTCTTTTAACTATAGCCCTATGACAGGGTGTCTGTCTGTAGCCCCACTGTGGGGTGTCTGGATTGGTGAGTATCCTAAGCGCTGCCAACACCTCCTTCCTTCTCCTAACTGGTTATGTATCCCTATGGTGGGGTGTCTGTGGCCCCATTGAAGGGTGTCTGTATCTCTACCATAGGGTGTCTGTGTCTGTAGCCTCACTGTGGGATATCTGGCTCCTGGAGGTCTTGATTGGCTCTTTCTAACTGGTAGGAAGGGTCTTGGTTTGGGAGACTTCTCCTCAATCAGGAAAATTTCCAGGAGGTTTCTCAGACAGAAAATAGGAGGATAGTTTGGAAAGGATACTCTTGGAGTTCTTGGTTAGGGGTCTGATTTGGAAGGCCTTCTGTCCATCTCATCTTTGTGTGTGTTTGTATATGTGGAAGGGATCTCAGAGGGGTTGTTGATGGAAGTCCAGCAGGCCTAACTCAGAGAACCCTTCTTATTTGTCTGGTCACATTAGATGAACCCTAAAGAAGGCTCAAGAAGCCTATCTCTTGGGGTGACTATCTGCTCTTCCCCTTGCCCAGAGACCGCATTGTGAATTACTGTTCAGAAGTCGTCCATCCCCACCTGGAGTGGATCAAAGGCAACAGGGACCAACGGGAAAAAGTTTGAGCTTTGCCAGGTTGATATTGGATGCTGAATGAGGTGACTAATGCTTGTTTTGTTGTGTGTATTTTGCTGGGATGGAAAATGTTAATTCAGTTCCCCATGCAGCCTATTGGGCAGCATCTTGCACATTAAGAATCTTACCTATGGTTCCATAAAACAGTAAAGGGTGATTTTCACTTGTAAAGTGACTTGAACCCCACAGCTATAGCACAAGCGAGCAGGGTCATCAGAAGCCGCTCCATTCTTCAGGAAGCTGCAGAGAAAGGGAACCCAGAAACCTGGTATGCTAGTTAAAAGGGTAAGAAATTCTTACCAGCCAAGTTTCTGGTCTCTCTCTCTCTTTCTCTGTGTGGGTAAAACAGTAAACTATTGGTCTCCTCTGCACGGGTTTAATTAATAGAAAAAAGGATTTGTGAGACTAGTCTTAGGCTGTAGCAAATCTGGTGTACTTTGAGCTAAGAATTTGTCTGTGTTCTGTGATTGAGAGAGGGGTATCACAGGATAGAACGTGGGTTTAGGACCACTGTAAGCCTGCTTTTCAAGCCAGCTTGGCAGACTGGTCAGTTGCAAACTTTGCTATGGGTCCCTGAAACCAATGCTGTATGAAATTTCTCTGTCTTTTTTTGTGTCCTTAAGAGCTTAACTGTGTGACCATGTGGGGATACTTTCTTTTGGTTTCCACCGTCCAAAGGACAAGAATTTTGGGGTTCATGTCATAGTCCTAAAAATTTTTCTTGAGCAGTTAAAAGCCCTGCAAGCTTGAAATTGGCTTCTCTAGGCTTCTTCTGGGAAAAGCAATAGAAACTGCTCAGTGCTGTATAGCTCAGTAGCTAAGCCTTTATCTTTTGACAGTGGTGGCCTGGGTTCAATTGTTGGCTTCTGGAATTTTTCCATCTGTTATTTGTGTAACTTTGCCATTTATTGAGTGTGTTTTTGGTAAAAGATTATAAAAAGGCACAGGAATATGGCTTTTAATGAGAAGGTAATTTTGTCTAGTTCAGAGGGTTTTAAAGATTGTCTTAACCTAAAAGAGTAAAGGAACAAAACTGAAGGTTTAAGCAAAGTGAAAAGGGTTTGTAGAGGGTTGATCTTATAAAAATTATGTGGATATAAACAAGTTGGCTAAGATTTAAAAGAAATTATTTAGCTTTTTTCCTTAGGTTAAAACATTAAAATCATATGATGTAGGGCCAGAATTTGGGCCCATGTGTCCAAATAACACAGTTTTCTTAGAAAATTGATCTACTGTTTGATGTAAAATTGTAAAGGGTTCTAAAAAGTTGATGAAAATCTTACCTTATGGTCAAATTAATTAAAACTGGATAGAGCTATAAAATTTTATTTAAAAAACTAGCTTTAATATTAAAGATGCACTAATGTAAACATGAGGTTTGGTTTTCTCTTTTGAAGATGATTTTTATGTAATGTTAAAAGATAATGAAAGGGTTTTGTTTTCTCCTTTGGGTAAATGGCAGGAAAAAAAAGGAGGAGAGAGGGAAGAGACAGAATCAGTTGGCCTCATCCTATCTTCATTGGGTCTTGTTTGGAAAGCTAAGTTTCCTCTATCAGAGTAAAGGTTTTTCTTTTTTAAAAAAATTTTTGGAGTTATCATTTTGCCCAAATGAATGACTTATGGTGACCTGGGATTCTATTTTGTGATATCCAGTGTTTTAAAGCTTTGATATTTGACAAACTTTCCAAAATCAAATTATAAATTATGTCTCTTTCTTATCTAATATTTTAGATATTAGGTCCTCTAAAGTCCAAAAGTGACATTTGGCTTATTTGGTACAAAAATCATACAGGAAGCATTGTCAGATATGAAATGATGTTTGGCTTTCTTTCGTCTATTTTTGTGTAAATGTGTTATTGGTATATGTTCCAAAATTATGTAAAACTCTTATAATTCTAATATTACTTAATATATGTTATCAGTAATAATTATAATTATTATGTTAACAGGCTATGTGCTGCAGATGTAACAAATTTCCTTGTCAATCGTGTCTTTAATTGTGGCTGCCCTAAAATGTTTTTGTCATCCACAGACAATTGTCTTGTTTTGTTCCTGTTTAAAAGATGGTTTTATAATCAGCTATAAAATTTGACAGGTGCTCTTAATGCAGGATTCTGATTAATAACACTGGAGATTGTGACATTAGAATAGAGGAAAAACTTTCAAATACAAGAGTGAATGGTGTTTGGTCTATTTTGGACTGTATTTGTATAAATATGTTATTAGTATGTGTTCTAAAATTATAAGAAACTTCTATAATGTTGCTATAATTTATGTACATTATTAGTAACTATAATTGTTATGTAAAATTTTTGTATGCCACAGAAGTAACCAAAATTGCTAATCAACTGTAGCTTTAATAGTGACTATAGACTTTTGTCATCCACAGACATTTTGGCTTGCTTTGGTCCTTTTCAAAAGGCAGTTTATACTCAGATATAGGACTCTAAGTGCAGGTCTCAGATAAAACTTTAAAAACTGTGCTAGTCCAAACTTCTAGGATTCTCATGGAGAGCTAATGTATTAAATATTGCGAAACCTTTTGTTTTCAGAGTCAAGAGAATTTATTTCTTTAGAGCTACTTTCAACTTTTTTTTTTTTCTTTGAGATCGAGTCTCGCTCTGTCACCCAGGCTGGAGTGCAGTGGTGCGATCTCGGCTCACTGCAAGCTCCGCCTCCTGGGTCGGAGTGATTCTCCTGCCTCAGCCTCCGGAGTAGCTGGGACTACAGGCGCCCACCACCACACCCGGCTCTTTTTTTTTTTGTAATTTTAGTAGAGACAGGGTGTTACCGTGTTAGCCAGGATGGTGTCGATCTCCTGACCTCATGATCTGCCCCCCTCGGCCTCCCAAAGTGCTGGGATTACAGGGCTATTTGCAACTTTTAACAAGTGAGTAAAATATACTCCTGTGAACAAAATTTGGAGCATATTTGTTCCTCTCTACCTGATTGCTCCAGAATTTGGAAACTGTTTATGAATATTCTTAATTTATGGCAGTATAGCTAATTGCACAAGTGCAAAAAGAATCCATTTTCTTTTGTAACAGGACACAATTGGAGAAATTGGTTATTTTGCTAAGGCTTTGACTGGAATGGCATGCTTCCTTTAAAGAATCAAAGTTGACTTGTATAGCCAATTAAAGCCTGTTGGGGAATCTGGCCTCATACCTTATCCACACAGAGTGCCTGTACAAGGTTCCTGACCTGTGGTAAGTAAAGAATGTCACTTTCTAACAGGCCCAGGAACCCCAGGTTATCTTGGGACCTCAAGAGGAGAGGAATTTGTCCAACTCAGGGGTATTTGAGGGTACAAACCCATGGCTGGGCTGGGCTTTTTAAAAGCCTTATTTAGGCTGGGCATGGTGGTTCACGCCTGTAATCCCACACTTTGGGATGCTGAGGCAGGCAGATCAACTGAGGTCAGGAGTTCAAGACCAGCCTGGCCAAGATGGTGAAACCCCATCTCTACTAAAAATACAAAAATCATCTGGGCGTGGTGGCATGCACCTGTAATCGCAGCTACCAGGAGGCTGAGGCAGGAGAATTGCTGGAACCTGGGAGGCAGAGGCTGCAGTGAGCCAAGATCACGCCATTGCACTGCAGCCTGGGTGGCAGAGTGAGACTCTGTCTCAAAAAAAAAAAAAAAGTCTTATCTGAGATTCTTCACAGAACAACGCTCTATCAAAGCCAATTTTAAAAGCCTAAGTGAAAAATAATTATTCTTGCTGCATTTCATGCAAATAATCAGGCCACGTATAGTAAGACTAAAGTTTATTTTGTAAACAAATAAGTTCTGTCATGATTTGTTTTTAATAAAAATGAGGACTGGAGAGAGAAAAATTATGCTTTCACAGAAAAACTATAGCTGTTCTTGAGGTTTTTTTCTGCAGTTTAGACTAAATTCTAAATTCTTTGTGGGTTAGAAGTCCTCAAACTAATGCTTTCAAATCTTTGCTTTTAATATTGGGAATTGTAGTCGGGCACGGTGGCTCAAGCATGTAATCTCAGCACTTTGGGAGGCCAAGGTGGGCGGATCACGAGGTCAGGAGATCGAGACCATCCTGGCTAACATGGTGAAACCCCGTCTCTACTAAAAATAAAAAAAATCAGCCAGGTGTGGTGGCACATGCCTGTAGTCCCAGCTACTTGGGAGGGCGAGACAGGAGAATCACTTGAACCCAGGAGGCAGAGGTTGCAGTGAGCCAAGATCACGCCACTGCACTCCAGCTTGGGCGACAGAGCGAGACTCGGTCTCAAAAAAAAAAAAAAAAAGCTGGGCGCAGTGGCTCACACCTCTAATCCCAGCACTTTGGGAAGCTGAGGCAGGTGGATCACAAGGTCAGGGGATCAAGACCATCCTGGCTGACATGGTGAGACTCGGTCTCTACTAAAGATACAAAAAAATTAGCCAGGTGTGATGGCATGTGCCTGTAGTCCCAGCTACTCCGGAGGCTGAGGCAGGAGAATGGCATGAACCCAGGAGGCAGAGCTTGCAGTGAGCCAAGATTGCACCACTGCACTCCAGGCTGGGCGACAGAGTGAGACTCAGTCTCAAAAAAAAAAAAAAACAATTGGGAATTGTACTCCTTATCCTAGGACTCATTATTTACCTTATAGTAGGCTATTCACTTAAACACTGTACTAAAACTATAGATGAAAGTACTAATGTTTTTGCCATGCAAGCCTTGAAAGCCCAGCCAGGCCTGCATGAGTTGCTGAGACAATTGCAAAGCAGTTCCACTCTTCTCACCTTGGGGTTCACTCCCATTCCCACTACGTTCCCTATCAGCAAGAAGAAGCCAGAGCGATCAATGGTCTTTTCCCATCTTCATACCCTACACCTCAAGGTTAAGGTGTTATAAAACCCAAAGGGAGGGATTGAAACCGCCTTTGCAAAATTATGACAGAGACAGTGAAAGAGATCTAACTTAACCTACTCCATCTTGCTTCTAACCTCCAAGCTGTCCTTGTTCGTTCCTGGGCCTAGGCTGAACTAACTTTGGGAGAAACTTAGTTTATAGTTTATAGTTTAAACAAAGATGGTAATAGCCCTTTCCCAAAGCAGACCTCCTTCTTGCCTGGGGACTAGATTGCCTTTGTAGGACTAATAATAGCCACAAGATTAGAAATTATGGTTTAGGAATCATGCAGTTGGAGGATGCAAGATTCTGACCCCCTTTAAACCGCTCCTAAGATCAGTGCTTGAGATATTTTGCAGACCCTGCACTTGATGGATCAGCTGGCACCACCCAGATCAATAAACTGGCTCAGCTGATCTTGTGGCCCCCACCCAGGAACTGACTGAGCACAAGAAGACAGCTCTGACTCCCTGTGATTTCATCTCTGACCAGTCAGCACTCCTGGCTCACTGGCTTCCCCCCACCCACCAAGTTATCCTTAAAAACTCTGCTCCCTGAATGCTTGGAGAGACTGATTTGAGTAATAATAAAACTCTGGTCTCCCGCACAGCTGGCTCTGCATGAATTACTCTTTCTCTATTGCAATTCCCCTGTCTTGATGAAGTGGCCCTGTCTACGCAGCAGGCAAGGTGAACTTCTTGGGCGGTTACAGGATTACAGGAATGAGCCAATGCTCCCAGCCCTGATTCTTTTTTTACATAAAAATATCAGTAACAAATCAATCCATCATGGCTTTTGTCAGATTCTTCTGCTGACTTCAATTAGACTTCAACTTATCTCAACCCTAACCATAAAGCTTGGCTCCCAAATTCTTTGTAGTAAAGAATTTGGCCTCACCAAAGAATATATCTGGCTTTTACTCTAGACCTCTAGGAGGTACTCTGTCATACCTGACAGGAGAGTCTCTGTTTAGGATGGCGGATGGCCACACCAGATTTCAGCGTGGGGTTTATCACACCTAACAGTCTTAGGGTGGGAATGAGCCATACCAGAAAGGCCAATGATGTGACCTAGGGTCAGGGCTTTGGGTCTTGCGGTATCATAAAAACTGAAGTCTGAATTCAACCGCATGGCAATCAATCAGTCAATCAATAAATTAATCCTGCTCATGTAATGAATCCCCAATAAAAATTCTGGACACTGAGATGGGTGCAGTGACACGTGCCTAAAGTCCCCGCTACTCAGGAGGCTGAGGCAGGGCGATCACTTGAGCCAAGGCGTTCAAGACCAGCCTGAGCAACATACCAAGACCCTGTCTAAGAGATAAAATTTTTTTAAAAAAATTTAAAACCCCACAGGTCAGGCAAGATGGCTCACACCTATAATCCCAGCACTTTGGGAGGCCAAGGCGGGTGGATCACCTGAGGTCAGGAGTTCGAGACTAGCCTAGTCAACATGGCGAAACCCCATCTCTACTAAAAATCCAAAAACTTAGCCGGGGGAGGTGGATCACGCCTGTAGTCCCAGCTACTTGGGAGGCTGAGACAGGAGAATTGCTTGAACCCGGGAGGCAGGGGTTGCAGTAAGCCAACATCGTGCCACTGCACTCCCGCCTGGGTGACAGAGTGAGACTCCACCTTAAATAAGTAAATAAATAAATGAAACCACAAAACTCTGGACACTGAAGCTCAAGTGAGCTTCCTGGTTGGCAATATTCCATGCACATTGTCTCACATCAATGCTGAGAGGGTAACACTTCCTGACTTCGGGGGGATGGGACGATGGACGCTTCACAATTGAAAACCTCTCAGATTCTGCTCTGTGTGCCTCTTCCTTTGGCTGATTTTTATCTGTATCCTTTCCCTGTAATTAAACCGTCACTGGGAGAATAATAGCTTTCTGTAAGTTCTGTGTCTTTATAGAATCCTAGCATCTGAGGGTAGTTTGGGAAACTCCTGAACATGGAGTTGGTGAGAGCCGTCTTGAGGATTAGCCCTCAGCCTTTGAAGTCTGGCTGATGGAGTAATGCTCCTCTTCAGCTCTCCCACAGCACTTGGTCACCATCTCTATCACAGCATCTAACATGTGCTTTTCGTTGTTTGCTTTTTAAATATTTAATTATGTAATGGCAAAAAAAAAATGCTCAAGGAGTGGAAAAGAGTTTACAGTGTGTGGTCATTTCATTTGTAGTGGTAGTGCAGTAATGGGGGGGAAACTGAGGCTCAAAGGGATAAGTAAATTGCTCAAAGCCACACAGTTAATAGAGCCAAGATTCATCGAAACTTAGTCATTCTAGCTCCAGTCAAGCTTCTAATCACCACATCACTCTGCCTCAGCATTCGTTGCCAATAATAGAAACAAAACACAAAGGTTAAGCTTAAATCCCGCCCCCCACAAAAAAAATAACAAACAAGGAATTCACGGTTGTCAGTTTCCCTCCCCCACCCCTTCCTCCTCTCTCTGTTTTTCTCTACTCTGCCTCTGCTTTTGCCTGTGCAAGACTAATGGAAACAATAGACTTCAGTACTGGGGCCAAGGTAGGAATGAATGCATAGATTTCAAAGGGAAAATCCACTGGACCTATAGCTAATGGGATTTGAAAGATAAAGAAGGAAAAAAATCAGCCAAACCTTTGAAGTTTTTGACCTGGTTAACGTGGAGGGTGTTATCGTCCATGATAGTGGTGATTTGGAGAGAAGATAATAAACTTATTTAATTTGAACTCAAATAAGGTAATTTATGTACAATAACATTTACACAGGGTAAGCAGATTGATGAAACAGGTTGATGCCTTTTGGCAAAGGTATGTATTGTGTACCCACCACCTGAAAATCAAGATACACAATTAGCTGGGCATGGTGGCATCCGCCTGTAGTCCCATGTACTTGGAAGGCTGAGGCAGAAGAATCCCTTGAGACCAGCAGTTCAAGGCCACAGTGTGTTTGTATGATTGTGCTGGTGAATAGTCACTGCACTCCAGCCTGGGCAACATAGTGAGACGCTGTCTCTGACAAGAAATATATGTGTGTGTGTGTGTGTGTGTGTGTGTGTGTGTGTGTTTGCCAGTCCCCAGAAAATTCCCATGTGGCCCTTCCTTCCCTTATCATGCCTAATAACCATTAATTTGATTTCTATTACTCTAGATCAATTTTACCTGCTCTAGAACTTTATATAAATACTCATGTTATGTACTCCTTTGTATCTGGTTTCTTTTGCTCAGCATAATAGCTGTGAGATTCATCTATGTTACTTCATATATCAGTAACTTTTTTTTGGCCAAGAGTATTTCATTGTATGAATATATCACAATTTGGTTATCACTTTACCTGTTGAAGAACATTTGGGTAATTTGCAAATTAGAGTAATTATAAATGAAGCTGTCACAAACATTGAAGTACAGCCCTTTCATGGACAGACAGATGTTTTCATTTCTCTTCTTGTGTGTAAATACCTAGGAAGCTGAATTGCTGGCTCATAGGGTTGATGTATGTTACCTTTTCAAGAAACTGCCAAATGGTTTTCTGGAGGGGTTGCCCCATTTCATATTCACACCAGCAATGCATGAATATTCTTGTTGCTCTCCATCCCTTGCCAACCCATGTTATTGCATCTTTTCCATTTTAGCTATTCTGGTGAGTATGAAGTAGTGTTTTACTGTGTTTTTTAAACAGCTTTATTGAGGTGTAGTTTACATACCATAAAAATTCACCATTGTAAGGGTACAGTTGAATGATATTTTTATTAAGTCTAGAGATTTGTGTAAACATCACAACAAGCCAGTTTTTGAAAATTTCTATCACTCCAAAAAGCTTCTTCATGTCCATTTGCAATCAGTCTCTGCTCCCACTCTCAGCCCAAGGGAATCACTCATCTGCTTTCTTTCTCTATAAATTTACCTTTTCTGGATATTTCATGTAACTAGAATAATACAATAGGTAGTCTTTTGCTTCTGGCTTCTTTCACTTATCATAATATTTTTGAGGCTCATTCATGTTTCGCTTATATATCAAGAACTATGGAAGGTCTGAGATTTTACCCTACTTGCAGGCTAATCAGGTAGCCTGCCACAGTTTCATGTCTACTGACAGAAACCATGAGACTCCTGCATCATGGGCAAAGGACTTCATTACTCATGGCTCAGCAGGCAGCTTTGTGTTTGTGCTGTTTCTCCATGCCCCTCAGGTCCCAGGGAGTGGTACAGGGGGCCTAGATGGATGCTGCACAGGCAGTGGACATAAACGTGTCAAAGCGAAGGGACCACAGGCTAAGGAAACCTTTATTTATATTTATTTATTTATTTATGACAGGGTCTTGCACTGTCACCAAGGCTGGAGTGCAGTGCCATGATCACAGCTCACTGCAGCCTTAACCTCCTAAGCTTAAGCAATCCTCCTACCTCAGCCTCCCAAGTAGCTGCAACTACAGGCACGTACTCAGATAATTTTGGTTTTGTTTGTTTTTTCGGAGAGAGAAGGTCCCACTATATTGCCCAGGCTGGTCTCCACCTCCTGGGCTCAAGTGATGTGCCCACCTTGGCCTCCCAAAGTGCTGAAATTACAGACATAAGCCACCATGCCTAGCTCTAATTTTTTATAAGAGCCTTCAAGCAAACCTACTCAACCTTTGTCTTGGAGAGGGACATTGTCTTCATTAAACTGGATATCACACAAGCCATCTCTCTGCTTTAGAGAGAGGTATTATCTCAATCTTCCAAAGCTGAAGCTGTTTGCTATACAATCATCCTTGAAAGGATGGTCTGGAACAGGCAATCAGTGCCTCAGACCATGGAGAATTTTTTTTTTTTTTTTTTTTTTTTTTTTGAGACGGAGTTTTCGCTCTTGTTGCCCAGGCTGGAGTGCAATGGCGCGATCTCAGCTCACCGCAACCTCCACCTCCCAGGTTCAAGCGATTCTCCTGCCTCAGCCTCCCAAGTAGCTGGGATTACAGGCATGCGCCTCCACGCCTGGCTAATTTTGTATTTTTAGTAGAGACAGGGTTTCTCCATGTTGGTCAGGCTGGTCTCGAACTCCCGACCTCAGGTGATCTGCCCACCTCAGCCTCCCAAAGTGCTGGGGTTACAGGTGTGAGCCACCGCGCCCAGCCGGAGAGTTGTCTTCTAACAATATATCATTTATTTGTTCTTTCTTTCCTGCTTGCTCGCTTTCTTGCTTTCTTTTTCTTTTCTTTCTTTCTTTTCTTCTTTTTCTTCTTTCTCTCTCTCTTCTTTCTTTCTCTCTCTCTCTTTCTTTCTTTTCTTTCTTCTTTCTCTCTCTTTCTTTCTTTTCTTTCTTCCTTTCTTTTTGTTTTGTGCTGAATAGTAATATAAATTCTCTGTTCCAGAAAGCATGAAATACATAGGCATGGCCAGGCACAGTGGCTTACGCCTGTAATCCCAGCGCTTTGGGAGGCCGAGGCGGGCAGATCACGAAGATCACGAAGTCAGGAGATGGAGACCATCCTGGCTAACACGGTGAAACCCCGTCTCTACTAAAAATACAAAAAAATTAGCCGGGTGTGGTGGCGGGCGCCTGTAGTCCCAGCTACTCGGGGGGCTGAGGCAGGAGAATGACGTGAACCCGGGAGGCGGAGCTTGCAGTGAGCCGAGATCGCGCCACTGCACTCCAGCCTGAGCAACAGAGCTAGACTCCGCCTCAAAAAAAATAAAAATAAAAAATTAGTCGGACATGGTGGTTTGCTCATGTAGTCCCAGCTACTCGGGAGGCCGAGGCAGGAGAATCGCTTGAACCCAGGAGGCGGAGGTTGCAGTGAGCCAAGATCACACCACTGCACTCCAGCCTGGGCAACAGAGTGAGACTTCGTCTCAAAAAAAAAAAAAAAAAAAAAAAAAGAAAGAAAGAAAAACTGCCAAACTGTTTTCTAAAGTGTCTACATCTTTTACATTCCCACCAGCAGTGTAAGAGAATCAGCCTAGTAGATGTGAATTGGTATCTTATCGTGATTTTCATTCACATTTCCCTAATAACTAAATGATGTTGAGTACATTTTTGTGTGCATATTCACCAGTTGTATATCTTTGGGAAAAAGTTCATTTGAATCATTTGCCTATTTTCTAATTCATTATTTTTTAATTGTTAAGTTATAAGAATTCTTTTATATTCTAGATACAAGTGCCTTAACCGATTAGTGGTATTTTTGGAAGTACCAATGTTTTAAATTTTGATAAAATGCAATTCATCATGTTTTCAAAAAATAGGTTTACTTTTGATAAATCTAAGAAACCTTTGCCTAATACGAAGTCACAAATATTTTCTGCTATATTTTCTTTTTTTTTTTTTTTTTTTTTTGAGGCAGAGTCTCGCTCTGTCACCCAGGCTAGAGTGCAGTGGTGCGATCTCAGCTCACTGCAAGTTCCGCCTCCCAGGTACATGCCATTCTCCCGCCTCAGCCTCCCGAGCAGCTGGGACTGCAGGTGCCCACCACCATGCCTGGGTAATTTTTTTTTGTATTTTTAGTAGAGACAGGGTTTCACCGTGTTAGCCAGGATGGTCTCGATCTGCTGACCTAGTGATCCGCCTGCCTCGGCCACCCAAAGTGCTGGGATTACAGGCGTGAGCCACCACGCCCGGCCCTCCTTTTTTTTTTTTTTTTTTTTGAGATGGAGTTTTGTTCTTGTTGCCCAGGCTCGAGTGCAATAGCCCCATCCTGGCTCACCACAACCCCTCCCTCCTGGGTTCAAGCGATTCTCCTGCCTCAGCCTCCCAAGTAGCTGGGATTACAGGCATGTGCCACCACACCTGGCTAATTTTGTATTTTTAGTAGAGAGGAGGTTTCTCCATGTTGGTCAGGCTGGTCTGGAACTCCTGACCTCAGGTGATCTGCCCGCCTCATCCTCCCAAAGTGCTGGGATTACAGACATGAGCCACCACACCTGGCCTCTGCTATATTTTCTTCTAGGAGGTTTATCATTTTAGCTGTTACATTTAAGTCTATGATCCTACATTTAAGTCTATGATCCTACATTTAAGTCTATGAGATAATCTTTGTGTATTTTATGACGGAAGTTCACTTTTCTGTATATGGGTATCTATTAATAATTGTCCCAGCACCATTGTTGGAAAGGCTACAATTTCCTCATTGAATTGTTTTGACACCTTTGTTAAAAATCAATTCCCCATAAATGTAAGGTTTATTTCTGGACTGTCAATTCTGTTTCATTGATCTATATGCCTGTCCTTGCGTTAATACTACACTGTCTTGACTACTGTGGCCTTACAGTAAATTTTAATATTTAGCAGTATAAATCCCCCACCTCTGTTCTCTTTTTAAAAAATTATTTTGACTTTTCTAGGTCTTTTACATTTTCATATAAATTTTAAAATTCATTTGTGAATTAACAAAAAAAAAGCTGCTATGATTTTGATAGGGATGCATTAAATTTATAAATCAATTTGGGAAAGATTGCCATCTCGACATATTGAGTCTTTGAATATGAACATGGAATGTCTTTTCACTTATTTAGATCTTCTTTAATGTGTCTCATTTATGTTTTGTAGTTTTTAGTGTACATTTTCTACTTTTTATTAAATTTATTGCTACATATATTTTTGGTGCTACTATAAATGAAATTGTTTTCCTAATTTTATTTTTGGATTGCTTGCTGTTAATATATAGAAGTATAATTTTTTTGTGTGTATTGTTCTTGTATCTTATAACCTCACAACCTGTTCATTAATTCCATTAGTTTTTTGTGGATTCCTTGGGATTTTCTACATACAATATTGTGTTATTAGTGAATAAAGACAGTTTTACATATTCCTGTCCAATCAGAAAGCATTTATTTATTTATTTACCTTATAGAAGGGTAAGAGTAAACATCCTTGCCTTGTTCCCGACTTAAGGGGAAAGCATTTAGTTCTTCATTATTAAGTATAATGTTAGTTGCATGAAATTACTCTCCAAGAATTTTCAGAAACACAGCAAGTAAGACTGTTCTTCTCGATGACAGTGTTCTTTGTCCCCCTAATTGGCTCAGATAAATCATAAGTACAATACTGGAACCAAATATTTTGCAAGCTGGGAAATATCAGAGGCTGGAAGGAGAAGAGAGACAGAGACAGAGATAGAGATAGAGAAAGATATAGAGATGATACAGAGAGAGAATGGTAAAGGCGTGAGTGACTCATCTAAATGACATCAGCCAAGTGGATTCTATCAATGGGTTGTAACCGAGATGGCTTGGAGGGCCCGGACAGGAAATGGTAAAAATCAAGAGAATGCCCAGTAGCTTTCTATCAGCATGAAGGACCTTATCTCAAAATAAGAGTAAGTGCTAGCTTACTCTGAGGACTGGGAAAATAGAGGCCCCCTGAACTGGCATTATCTGTGTGGGAAATGCTGTTGGAAGGACTGGGACAGGATGTAGACATGCATTAAGGGAGGGCAAATCCCCACAGTGTGAAAGCAGAGCTTGAAATATTACATTAGCCAAGTGTACCAGCTGCCCTGCCCATTAAATATTCATGCTAAAATCCCTGTCAATCAACAGAAACAACCTTGTCCCACTCAGACCTGCTAAAGAAGAGCTGTGCAGGTTATTCAGCAAATAGTAAGGGGAAAGGGACTTGGCTTTTGTTGTCCACAGTGATGCCAAAGAAGCATTCAGTATTGAAGGTCACACTGTTCCCTTCCTTGTCTGTCTTTTGATTGAATGCTTCTGGGAGGCTGGGGAGTGTGGCTGTGGTTCTCAAACTTGGATGTCTGTGGGACTGAACTGTAGCCTTATGAAATGCAGATTTCTGGGCTCCCACTCTTGTCTGATTCCATAGGTGAGAGTGGGGTTAGGGGAGAGAGTGTGCATCAGGCGATTTTGATATATGTAGCCTGCAGGCCATTCCTTGAGAAACACTGGGCCAGTGCAGTGGCTCACGCCTGTAATCCCAGCACTTTGGGAGGCAGAGGCGGGTGGATCAGGAGGTCAGGAGTTCAAGACCAGCCTGACCAACATGGAGAAACCCCGTCTCTACTAAAAATAGAAAAATTAGCCAGGCATGGTGGCGCGTGCCTGTAATCCCAGCTACTCAGGAGGTGAGGCAGGAGAATTGCTTGAACCCAGGAGGCGGAGGTTGAAGTGAGCCAAAATTGTGCCACTGCACTCCAGCCTGGGCGACAGAGCAAGGAAAAAAAAAAGAGCGAGTTAAATGATCAATTTGTTACAGGAAAGGGGTCCCAATCCAGACCCCAAGAGAGGGTTCTTGGATCTAGCACAAGAAAGATCCCAAGAGAGGGTTCTTGGATCTAGCACAAGAAAGACCCCAAGAGAGGGTTCTTGGATCTAGCACAAAAAAGAATTCAGGGCGAGTCCACAGCGCAAAGTGAAAGCAAGTTTAATTAAGAAAATAAAGGAATAAAAGAATGGCTGATCCATAGAGCAGCCCCATGGGCTGCTGGTTGCCCATTTTTATGGTTATTTCTTGATGATATGCTAAACAAGGGGTGGATTATTCATGCCTCCCCTTTTTAGACCATATAGGGTAACTTCCTGACGTTGCCATGGCATTTTTGTAAACTGTCATGGCAATGGTGAAAGTATAGCAGTGAGGACTACCAGAGGTCACTGTCATCGCTATTTTGGTTTTGGTGGGTTTGGCCAGCTCCTTTACTGCAACCTGTTTTATCAACAAGGTCTTTATGACCTGTATTTTGTGTTGACCTCCTATCTCATCCTGTGACTCAGAATGCCTTAAGTGTCTGGGAATGCAGCCCAGTAGGTTTCAGCCTCATTTTACCCAGATCCTATTTGAGATGGAGTTGCTCTGGTTCACATCCCTCTGACAAATTCATAATGGCTCCAAGTTCATCAGCAGATAACTTAAACCCAGCGCCCCCTCACTTTCACTCTGCCTCTCATGACCATAGTATAAATTGGGACGTAGCAAAGAGTTAAATACCCACAAAGGGCTTTGGTTTGGCACAGAGCCTGATACAGGAAGCTGTAGCTTCCCACAGAGAGGTGGTGGCCTGACCTGTGGGGACATGGTGCAGTGATCTACTGGCCAGGTCTGCTTTGTAAAACTCTGACCGCAGGGGTCTATGTGACCTGCGTCTTTCTCTTACTTTGCCTCTGCAGTGAAGGGCCTGCAGGGAATGTCAGCGGTTCAGGATCAGTGCTGTGTGAAGGAAGGCACACTGACCCAGTTTCCTATTCTGCCTCTCCCTCTTGTAAGCTGAGAGGTTTTGCACATGTCAGGTCACTTCTGTCAACTTTAGTTTCCTTATGTTCCAAAATAAGGGCAGATCAGATCTTTGTATGTGGGCAGGGTGGTTTAGCACTTTCACATATGGTCTCCCTTTTGATTCCCACAAGACTGTGGATTCCACAAAACAGGAATTCTATCTCAGTTCACAAGTGAGCAAATGGAGACTAAAATGGTGAAAGGACGTGTTCAAAGTCACAGGGCGAGTGCGGAACTCCAGCCCGACTCGTGTCCAGTGGTCTATACTACATTGCTATGCCCTCATTCTCTACCTTGAAGGCCAGCTGTGAGGATTAAAAAAGGTTATGGATGTGAAAGTTCATGGTACACTTTGAGGCACCATGCCACATCCTCGTCAGCCATAACAGGACATAAAGGTGGATGTCTATTTATGGAGAGTGACCATTTGGCTTTGGACTAACATGCCATTGTATTTTATAGAGAATACTCAACCATATGTGCTTAGCCTACTGAGAGCTCTTCAATGTATTACACGGAAAATGTATATTTTCATCATCATGTTATTATCATCATCTTCCTTATCAGTAACAACTTCGTTTATAACATACTGGGCATACTACATACAGGGCCCTTGTAGAGTACTTTAAATATAACGTCACATTTATTCTCAACAATGTCAAGTGAGGAATTAAAAATATCTATGAGAAAGACACTATTATTATCCTCATTATATAGGAGGAAGAGTTTAAGCATTTGGCCTCTACTCTGCCTGACTCTAGTCTTCCTGTTAATATCATCCTGCTCTATAGCTTCTGTTTAGAGGTGACATAGATAATGTAGGAATCAGGAGATATTTTTCTTCCCCTGTGAATGTTCACGTCTAAGTCTATTGAAATGAAATGACAATAGATAGATTAATAGAAAAAAAGTGTAAGAATTTATTAATGTGGAATTTATTAAACATGCGAGTTCTGCAAATAGGAGACTCAAAGAGCCAGATGGTTGAAGCATGACTGAGGCATGTTGGCACAGCAGCACTGGGGAGTTTCGGTTGGACTAAGGAGTGTGGGGATAGGTGGGAGGAAGACAGAGAGGAGGGAAATGAAAGTAATATTTACTGAGTATTTCCATATTGAAGGAAGGAGCTTTCTGCGTATTCCATTATAAATATTCACAACAACCCCGTGAGAGAGATGTTGTTATTTCTATTACATAAATAAAGATACTTAGATTTAGAGAACATAAAAACTTTGTCCCAGGACAAAACATAAATAAGTAACAGGACTGGCAGTAGAATCCACACTTTGGAGTTGGCTGCAAAACCCATTGCTCTTCCCGTAATTCCTGATACTACTATGATCTTCTCAGATTATTCCATTAAAGGAATGCAGGGAACCCAAAATATGGCCCCCTAGTATAATGAGTATTTTCAATTAAAGGCCCTTAGAGAACAACAGATGCTGGAAGAGACTTTTCTCCTACCTGCATAAAGACCTGACAGATCCAACAAGGAGAACAATTGTTTTTTTCTCCTCCCTTCCTGTCTCTCAATCCTCTACTTCTCCCAAAGACAGGATGTTGTTCTCTGAAATTTCCTCATCTGCCAAAATTCAGACCTCCCTGTATTAGGGTTCTCTAGAAGGACAGAATTAATAGGATAGATGTACATTTAAAGAGGAGTTTATTAAGGAGTATTGATTCACGTGATCACAAGGTGAGGCCCCACAAAAGGCCATCTGCAAGCTGAGGAGCAAGGAAGCCAGTCCGAGTCCCAAAGCTGGAGAACTTGGAGTCTGATGTTTGAGGGCAGGAAGCATCCAGCACGGGAGAAAGATGTAGGCTCAGACGCCAAGCCAGTCTAATCTTTCCATGTTCTTCTGCCTGCTTTTATTCTGGCCTCGCTGGCAGCTAATTAGATTGTGCCCACCCAGATTGAAGGTGGGTCTGCCTTTCCCAGTCCACTGACTGAAATGTTAATCTCCTTTGGCAACACCCTCACAGACACACCCAGGAACAATACTTTGCATCCTTTAACCCAATCAAGTTGACATTCAATATTAACTGTCACACTCCCCAAAAGGAAAACAATTACCTCTGGTCCCTTCCCTGAGTTTCCATTAACTGAACTCATATTTCAGGAAGAATGACTGAAGTCAGTCAACACACCTGGACAGACTTGTCACAAACCACTATTCACTCTGCAGGCCAAACCAGCTTATGCCAGGCCATTTTTATGTTCCTCAAACCCACTAAATTATCCAATCACCTGAGGCTGGGAGTTCGAGACCAGCCTGGCCAACATGGCAAAACCCTGTCTCTACTAAAAATACAAATATTAGCTGAGCTGGGCATGGTGGCACTTGCCTATACTCCCAGCTACTCGGGTTGTAACTGCCCAAGGGGTTCGCCTTAGCTGAAGCCTAGGCAGAGTTTATTCATCAAGACAGGGGAATTTCAATAGAGAAAGAGTAATTCACGCAGAGCCAGCTGTGAGGGACACTGGAGTTTTATTATTACTCTCCGAGCTTTCGGGGAGCAGTGTTTTTGAGGATAACTTGGTGGGTGGGGGGAAGCCAGTGAGCCAGGAGTGCTGATTGGTCAGAGATGAAATCACAGGGAGTCAGAGCTCTCTTGTGCTCAGTCAGTTCCTGGGTGGGGGCCACAAGATCAGCTGAGCCAGTTTATTGATCTGGGTGGTGCCAGCTGATCCATCAAGTGCAGGGTCTGCAAAATATCTCAAGCACTGATCTTGGGAGCAATGTAGAGAAAGTCAGAATCTTGTATCCTCCGGCTGCATGACTCCTAAACCATAATTTCTCATCTTGTGACTAATGTTAGTCCTACAAAGGCAATCTAGTCCCCAGGCAAGAAGGAAGTCTGCTTTGGGAAAGGGCTGTTACCATCTTTGTTTAAACTATAAACTAAGTTTCTCCCAAAGTTAATTTAGCCTAGGCCCAGGAATGAACAAGGACAGCTTGGAGGTTAGAAGCAAGATGGAGTCAATTAAGTTAGTTCTCTTTCACTGTCTCAGTCATAATTTTGCAAAGGCGGTTTCAGAGTGGCTGGGACACAAGAATGGCTTGAACCCAGGAGGTGGAGGTTGCAATGAGCTGAGGTTGCACCTCACAGAGTGAGGCCCTGTCTCAAAAAAAAAAAAAAATTTAAGAATTATTTACTATTCCCCTGAAATTATCCATATTTTCCTATCTCCCCCTACCCCTCTGTGAAATAAAGTTATATAAGTATTTTGACTCCATTGGTATATTGGGTAATCACTCTGTGATTCTCCTTTGAGTACACATTTATAAATTTGTATGCCTTCTCTCAAATTAGTCTGCCTTTTGTAAGTTGATTTTTTCAGCGAACCTTCCAAGGGCAAAGGGGAAGCCCTACACCATATATCTAGACTGTCCCATATGTCTAGAATCCCCAAACTGAATTTATAGAGGCTAAATCTTACCTATGCTGGGTTTCAACTTAAAATTTCTTTTTCTTCTGTCTCCACAAAGCCCAAGGAAAGACTCTTCCTTTTGAAATGCAGGTAATTTGTGATGTTTGAGAGGCAAAGTGTATTAATAAACATGTGCGACCTAAAACCTGCAGAGATCACATGGTGGAATGAAAAGCTAGCACTTTGCTGCTGATGCCTGGGTTTCGGCCCACGTTCTGCCACTAACTGGCTTTACTGAGCTTCAGCAGCTCAACGCTTTAAGCCAGTGCAGTTGGTTGAAAAGCTTTTTATGGATCTACTGTTTAATGCATTTAACTGGGCTTTTTGATTTTATAAAGGTGGAATTTGACAGTAAAACCCATAGTGAAGGTTGATTGTGTAGCGCCTTCTATTCATCAGGAAAACTTTTTTTGCATTCTGGGTTTGTCAGCCATTAGCCAAATGAAAATCATGGAAGAGACAGAAGATTTTAAATGAGAGAAAAGGAAGGGTGAGTCAAAAAGTAACACTAGACTGGGCTCTTGCTTTTAGCAGGTAATCCCCAATAATCCACATAAAGTAAGAATAAAACACCACAGTTATTAAATGCCCTGAGGTTCTTGCTTTTAATCCCCCTTTTCTTAAAGAGTTATCTGTTCCATATGTACAAGGCACTTCCCATCCTCCCCTGACTCTCTCTATCACCACCTTCCCCGGTGCTAGAGAGATTCGTTTATTCAAGGATTTATTTAGTATCGATCAACAGCCCATCTGCCTTGCATAAAAAAATTAAAAAGCAAAATATGGTCCTTTTCTGTTCTTTTAACACAGGAATGTGTGCCCTTCCCCCACACTTCTCACTGATACACCTCCTTTTTCAATTATTTTGTAGGTAAAGCAAAGAAATTCCTTGCTTCAGCTATCCTCCTAAGCTTACCAAATCTAGGCTTTGTTCCTAGGCCCCTAAAATTCACTCCTCCAGAAACTCAAGTCTTTGAGGAGCATGGTTGGCCCCTAGCTGGCATTTTGTAAATCAATCTCTTTGAGAGCTTTACCCACCTGTGAAGTCTTTTCAAAGTCTTTATGATTCTGGATAAACACCAGGATGCAAACTCCAATAGGGGGAGTCTCAGGAAAGGTTGTTTTTCCTTTCTTTTGGGCTATTTGCATGAATCTTGGTCAAGATTTTTGCAAAGAAATGATTAAAATATGACAGCAACACTAAGTGGTGATTAGAACAAGAAAATGGACAAATGTCACGAGCATAGACTGAAGGTGAAGTCAGTGAAATTAAGTGATTTTGGTAAAACAAAAGAGCCAATTTCCACATTAAGGTCTATCTTTGCTTTTTCTAAATCAGCCACATTCAGAATAGCTTGCTTGCTTGCTTGCTTGCTTGCTTGCTTTCCTTCTTTCTCTTTCTTTTTTTCTTTCTCTGTCTTTCTGTCTTTCTTTCTTTCTTTCAGATGGAGTCTTGCTCTGTTGCCCAGGTTGGAGTGCAGTGGTACGATCTCGGCCTACTGCAAACTTGGCCTAGGTTCAAGCAATTCTCCTGCCTCAGCCTCCTGAGTAGCTGGGACTACAGGCACCCGCCACCACTCCCAGCCAACTTAGAGTAGGTAACTTTTTAAGCTATGTTTTTTCTCCTGCGGCATCTGAAAACCTGTAGTACTAAACTCAGATAGTTGATCACGAACAAACACCTAATCATCTGCTCTAAGAAACAGAATGCTGTTGCTTCTTGCACAATATAGTCATGCAAAAGAAAAACATTTGCCTCTTGCTAGAGATGGATTGGATGCAGTGATGGGGAGGTAGAAGGTGTGCCGCTTTGTCTTAGAACGCCCAGATATTCACAATACTTATGACTTTTAAATTAGCTGCCAAAAACTGACATGGACTTCATTTTGATCCAGGAGAAGTTAGCCATCTTCTTTTGATTACTAAGGCCTCCCCCCCAAAAAAGTTTTATGGACACCTTAGGGTTGCACATCTGTGAAAGCAGATGCAATATCAGACAGAAGGTGGTAAGGGTGGAGGCTCAGAGTGAGTGAACCTTTGGAAACATAGGAGAGAGCCAATTGGTCAGTATTTGTCTTTCAGCACAGTGTTTTCAATGTCTGGCTGGCCTGGGGACCACCTACATCAGCAATTCCCACGAGGATTGTTTAAAATGCAGATGCCCCAGATCTATTAAATCAGAGTCTCTGTGGGTGGGCTCTGGACTCTAGAGTTTAACTAACTTTTCAGATGCTTATTCTGCATGTTGGAGTTTAAAAAGCATTGTTTTAAAATTGGTGTAGCCAGGCTTACCTATTGCAACTTGGAATTAGAAAGAGATGATCATTGACAAAAATGCCAAACTCAGTAAAATATTTGAAGAGATTTATTCTGAGCCAAATATGAGTGACCATGGCCTGAGGCACAGCCTAAAGAGGTCTTGAGAACATGACCCAAGGCAGTTGAGTTACAGCTTGGTTTTATACATTTTAGGGAGACATAAGACATCAATCAATACATGTGAGGTATACATTGGTTCAGCCCAAAAAGGCAAGACAACTCAAAGGGAGGGCATACAGATCATAGGCAGATTCAAAGATTTTCTGATGACAATTGGTTGAAAGAGTTAAGTTTTATCTAAAAATCTGGAATCAATAGAAAGGAGTGTCTGGGTTAAGATAAGTAGTTGTGGGTTGGGCGTGGTGGCTCATGCCTGTAATCCCAGCACTTTGGGAGGCCAAGGCAGGCAGATCACTTGAGGTCAGGAGTTCAAGACCTGCCTGACCAACATGGTGAATCCCTGTCTCTACTAAAAATACTAAAGTTGTTGGGCGTGGTGGTGGGCACCTGTAATCCCAGCTACTTGGGAGGCTGAGGCAGGAGAATCACTTGAAACCAGAAGCCGGAGGTTGCAGTGAGCCGAGATCACACATCTGCACTCCAGCCTAGGCTACAGAGTGAGACTCCTCTGTCAAAAAAAAAAAAAAAAGATAAGTAGTTGTGAAGACCAAGGTTCTTATCACATAAATGAAGTCTCATAAGTGGCTACTCTTAGAGACAATAGATGGCCAATGTTTCCTGCAGAATGCAGTTTTCTCCCATAAGAGACAGCTGTGCAGGGTCATTCTAAAATATGTCAAAGAAATATATTTTGGAGTAAAACACTTTTATTTCTTTTAGGGTCTGTTATTTGTTATATGAAGCTACACTACAGTCAGGTTAGAATTTAGTATCTTATTGCTAGAAAGTCTGTGTTTTCAGTCTTAAGACCTCTGTTTTAATGTTAATGCTACTCAGTTATGCCTGAACTCCAAAAGGAGGAGAGTATAATGAGGCATGTCTGACCCTCTCTTCTCATTATGGCCTGAACCACTTATTTAGGTTTCTTTGGGTCTCCTTGGCTAAGAGAAGGGTCTATTCAGTCATTTGGGGGCTTCAATTTTTATTTTTGGTTTACATGATTATCCATTGTTTCTAGAAAATAAATGTACTTTTAATTGTGGCCTGTTTTATGTGGGTGCCTGATTAGCACCTAAACAGAACCTTTGGGGCCCCATTCTGCCTGCAGAAAGTCACTACACTGAGACTTGATACTTTAAGTTTTAGGATACATGTGCACAACGTGCAGGTTAGTTACATATGTATACATGTGCCATGCTGGTGTGCTGCACCCATTAACTCGTCATTTACATTAGGTATATCTCCTAATGCTATCCCTCCCCACTCCCCCAACCCCACAACAGGCCCCGGTGTGTGATGTTCCCCTTCCTGTGTCCAAGTGTTCTCATTGTTCAATTCCCACCTATGAGTGAGAACAGGCGGTGTTTGGTTTTTTGTCCTTGCGATAGTTTGCTCAGAATGATGGTTTCCAGCTTCATCCATGTCCCTACAAAGGACATGAACTCATCCTTTTTTATGGCTGCATAGTATTCCATGGTGTATATGTGCCACATTTTCTTAATCCAGTCTATCATTGATGGACATTTGGGTTGGTTCCAAGTCTTTGCTATTGTGAATAGTGCCACAATAAACATATGTGTGCATGTCTCTTTATAGCAGCATGATTTATAATCCTTTGGGTATAGACCCAGTAATGGGATGGCTGGGTCAAATGGTATTTCTAGTTTTAGATCCTTGAGGAATCGCCACACTGTCTTCCACAATGGTTGAACTAGTTTACAGTCCCACCAACAGTGTAAAAGTGTTCCTATTTCTCCACATCCTCTCCAGCACGTTGTTTCCTGACTTTTCAATGATCGCCATTCTAACTGGTGTGAGATGGTATCTCATTGTGGTTTTGATTTGCATTTCTCTGATGGCCAGTGATGATGAGCATTTTTTCATGTGTCTGTTAGCTGCATAAATGTCTTCTTTTGAGAAGTGTCTTTTCATATCCTTTGGCCACTTTTTGATGGGGTTGTTTGATTTTTTTCTTGTAAATTTGTTTGAGTTCATTGTAGATTCTGGATATTAGCCCTTTGTCAGATGAGTAGATTGCAAAAATTTTCTCCCATTCTGTAGGTTGCCTGTTCACTCTGATGGTAGTTTCTTTTGCTGTGCAGAAGCTCTTTAGTTTAATTAGATCCAATTTGTCAATTTTGGCTTTTGTTGCCATTGCTTTTGGTGTTTTAGACATGAAGTCCTTGCCCATGCCTATGTCCTGAATGGTATTGCCTAGGTTTTCTTCTAGGGTTTTTATGGTTTTAGGTCTAACATGTAAGTCTTTAATCCATCTTGAATTAATTTTTGTATATGGTGTAAGAAAGGGATCCGGTTTCAGCTTTCTATATTTGGCTAGCCAGTTTTCTCAGCACCATTTATTAAATAGGGAATCCTTTCCCCATTTCTTGTTTTTGTCAGGTTTGTCAAAGATCAGATGGTTGTAGATGTGTGGTATTACTTCTGAGGCCTCTGTTCTGTTCCATTGGTCTATATCTCTGTTTTGGTACCAGTACCATGCTGTTTTGGTTACTGTAGCCTTGTAGTATAGTTTGAAGTCAGGTAGCATGATGCCTCAAGCTTTGTTCTTTTGGCTTAGGATTGTCTTGGCAATGCAGGCTCTTTTTTGGTTCCATATGAACTTTGAAGTAGTTGTTTCCAATTCTGTGAAGAAAGTCATTGGTAGCTTGATGGGGATGGCATTGAATCTATCAATTACCTTGGGCAGTATGGCCATTTTCCCGATATTGATTCTTCCTACCCATGAGCATGGGATGTTCTTCCATTTGTTTGTGTCCTCTTTTATTTCGTTGAGCAGTGGTTTGTAGTTCTCCTCTAAGAGGTCCTTCACATCCCTTGTAAGTTGGATTCCTAGGTATTTTATTCTCTTTGAAGCAATTGTGAATGGCAGTTCACTCATAATTTGGCTCTGTTAGTCTGTTATTGGTGTATAAGAATGCTTGTGATTTTTGCACATTGATTTTGTATCCTGAGACTTTGCTGAAGTTGCTTATCAGCTTAAGGAGATTTTGGGCTGAGACGATGGGGTTTTCTAGATATACAATCATGTCATCTGCAAACAGGGACAATTTGACTTCCTCTTTTCCTAATTGAATACCCTTTATTTCTTTCTCCTGCCTGATTGCCCTGGCCAGAACTTCCAACACTATGTTGAATAGGAGTGGTGAGAGAGGGCATCCCTGTCTTGTGCCAGTTTTCAAAGGGAATGCTTCCAGTTTTTGCCCATTCAGTACGATATTGGCTGTGGGTTTGTCATAAATAGCTCTTATTATTTTGAGATACGTCCCATCAATACCTAATTTATTGAGAGTTTTTAGCATGAAGCGCTGTTGAATTTTGTCTGACCAGCTCCTATTAATCTCAACTCCTCCATCCTTTTATCTCCTTTTTCTATACTATACACTGTAAAGGAGTAGTTTCCAGACTGTTTTGTTGTTTTGTAAATCAGTAAAAGAGCAAAATAAATAAAAACCAAAAACATTTTGGTGATCAACTTAGGGCCACTTACTTTTCTTTTTCCAAGTAATATTGAAAAATAATAACTATCCCATGGCAGTAGTAAGTTCTTACTTTTCAATAATAACCGTAAAAGTAAATGCACTAAACTCTCCTATAAAAAGGCATAGAGTGGCTGATTGGATAAAAAACTATATCTAAGGATCTGCTGCCTATAAGAAACACATTTCAACTATAAAGACATACACAGACTGAAAATAAAGAGATGGGAAAAAATATTCCATGCAAATGGAAACCAAAAAAGAACAGAAGTAGCTTTACTTCTGTCAGATAAAATAGATTTCAAGACAAAGAAGGTCATTATATAGTGATAAAAAGGTTAATTCAGAAAGAGGATATAACAATTGTAAATATATATATGCACCCAACACTGGAGCACCCAGATATATAAAGCAAATATTATTAGAACTAAGGAGATAGATAGACCCCAATACAATAATAGATAGAGACTTGAACATCCCACTGTCAGCATTCAACAGGTCTTTCAGACAGAAAAACAACAAAGAAACATTGGACTTAATTTGCACTATAGACCAAATGAACCTCATAGACACCTACAGAACATTTCATCCAATGGCTGCAGAATACACATTCTTCTCCTCAGCACATAGATTATTATCAAGGATAGACCATAAGGCCGTAAAACAAGTCCTAAAAATTTTGAAAATGTTGAAATCACATCAAGACTCTCATCTGACTACAATGGAATAAAACCGGAAATCAATTACAAGAGAAACTTTTGAAATTATACAGGCACATGGAAATTAAATGATATGCTCCTGAATGACGAGTGAGGCAATGAAGAAATTAAGAAAAAAATTGAAAAATTTCTTAAAACAAATGAAAATGGAAATACATACAAAAACCTATGGGATACAGCAAAAGCACTACTAAGAGGAAAGTTTATAGCAATAAGTGCCTACATTAAAAAAGTAGAAAACTTCAAATAAACAACCTAATGATGCAGCTTAAAGAACTGGAAAAGCAAGAGCAAAACAAGTTCAAAATTATTAGAAGAAAAGAAATAAAGATTAGGGCAGAAACAAATGAAATTGAAACAAAAAAATCAATGTGATATATCACAAAAATCAACAAAATGAAAAGTTGGTTTTTTAAAAAGATAAGCAAAAGAAAGAAACTTTTAGCCAGCCTAAGAAAAAAAAGAGAGAAGACCCAAATAAATAAAATCAGAGATGAGAAAGGAGACATGACAACTTATACCACAGAAATTCAAAGGATCACTGGGGACTACTATGAGCAACCATATGCCAATAAATTGAAAAACCTAGAAGAAATGAATAAATTCTGAGACACATACAACCTACCAAGATCAAACCATTAAGACACTGGAAACCTGAATAGACAAATAATGAGTAGAGAGAGTGAAGCCATAATTAAATGTCTCCCAGGAAAAAAAAAAAAAAAAGCCTAAGACCTAATGGCTTCACTGCTGAATTTTACCAAACATTTAAAGAACTAATATCAATCCTACTCAAACTAGTCTAAAAAAAAGAGGAGGACAGAATACTTCCAAACTCATTCTACAAGACTAGTATTACTCTGATACCAAAACCACACAAAGATACATCAAAAAAGCAAAAAGAAAGAGAACTATAAGCCAGTATCTCTCTTGAACATTGATGCAAATATTCTCAACAAAATACCAACAACCCAAATTCAACAACACATTAAAAGGTCATTCATCATGACCAAGTGAGGTTTATCCCAGGGATGCAAGGATGGTATAACATAAACAAATCAATATGATACATTGTATCAACAGAATGAAGGACAAAAGCCCTATGACCATTTCAATTGATTCTGAAAAAGCATTTGATAAAATCCAACATCGCTTTATGATAAAAACCCTAAAAAGAAAGCAGGGTATAGAAGGAACATATCTCAACACAATAAAAGCCATATATGACAGATCCACAGCTAGTACTGAATGGGGAAGAACTAAAAGCCTTTCCTCTAAGAGCTGAAACATGACAAAGATGTCCACTTTTACCACTTTTATTCAACATAGTACTTGAAGTCCTAGCTAAAGCAATCAGATAAGGGAAAAACAAGTAAGAATTCAAATTATCCTTATTTGCAGATGATATGGCCTTATATTTGGAAAAACCTAAGGACTACACCAAAAAAATTATTTGAACTGGTAAACAAATTCAGTAAAGTTGCAGGATACAAAATTTACATATGAAAACTAGTAGCATTTCTATGCCAACAACGATCTGAAAAAGAAATCAAGAGAATAATCTCATTTACAAGTAAAAGATCTCTCCAATAAAAACTAAAAAACATTGATGCAATAAATTGAAGAGAATACACAAAAAAATGGGAATATATTCCATGTTCATGGATTAGAAGAATCAATATTGTTAAAATGTCCACAGTACTCAGAGCAGTCTATAGATTTATGCAATCTCTATCAAAATATCAATGGCATTCTTCACAGAAATAGACAAAATAGTTCTAAAGTTTATATGGAACCACAAAAGACCCCAGAATAGCCAAAGTCATCTTGAGTAAAAAGAAAACGGGAAGAATCACATTACCTAACTTCAGATTATACCACAGAGTTATAATAATGCCAGCATGGTACTGGCTTAAAAACAGACACATAAACAAATGGAACACAATAGAAAGCCCAGAAATAAATCCATACATGTACAATGAGCTAATTTTCGACAAAGGTGCCAAGAACTTACACTGGGGAAAGAATACTTTCATCAATAAACGGTACTGGGAAAACTGTAAATCCATATAGAGGAAAATGAAACTAGACCCCTCTCTCCATATACAAAAATCAAATCAAAATGGATTAAATACTTAAAATCTAAGGCCAAAAATTATGAAACTACTAAAAGAAAATATTGGAGAAACTCTCCAAGACATTGGTCTGAGCAAAGATTTCTTGCATCATACCCCAAAAGCACAGGCAACCAAAGATAAAATGTACAAATGGGATCACATCAAGTTAAAAAGCATCTGCACAGCAAAGGAAATAATACAGTAAAGAGACAACAGGCAGAATTAGAGAAAATATTTGCAAACTATCTCACAGGGGATTATTAATTATTATTAGTAGTAAAGTATTAGAGCTCAAACAACTCAATATGAAAAAAATCTAATAATCTGATTTTAAAATGGGCAAAATAGGCAGAATACATTGGATGTGGTGGCTCAGGCTTTTAGTCCCAGCACTTTGGGAGGCTGAAGTAGGTGGATTTCTTGAGCTCAGGAGTTTGAGACCAGCCTGGGCAATATGGTGAAACCCCATCTCTACAAAAAAAAAAAAAAAAAAAAAATTAGCCGGGTGTGGTGGCATATGCATGTAGTCCCAGCTAGACATTTCTCAAAAGAAGACATACAAATGGCAAACAGGCATATAAAAAGGTGCCCAAAGGCTGGAAACAGTGGCTCACACCTGTAATCTCAGCACTTTGGGAGGCCGAGGTGGGCAGATCACCTGAGATCAGGAGTTCAAGACCAGCCTGGACAACATGGCTAAACCCCATCTCTACTAAAAATACAAAATTAGCCAAGTGTGATGGCACATGCCTATAATCCCAGCTACAAGGGAGACTGAGGCAGGAGAATTGCTTCAGCCAGGGAGATGGAGGTTGCAGTGAGCTGGGATCTTGCCACTCCACTCCAGTCTGGGCAACAGAGCGAGATTACGTCTCAACCAAAAAAAAAAAAAAAAAAAAAGGTCTAAACGTCATTGATCATCAGAGAAATGAAAATCAAAACTACAATGAGATGTCATCTCACCCCAGTTAATTGGCTTTTATCCAAACAACAGGCAATAACAAATGCTGGTGAAGATGTAGAGAAAAGGGAACTCTCATACACTGTTGGTGAGAATGTAAATTATTACAGGCACTATGGAGAACAGTATGGAGGTTCCTCAAAAAACTCAAAATAAAACTATCATGTGATCTAGCAATCCCACTGCTGGTTATATACCCAAAAGAAAGGAAATCAGTATATCAGAGAGATATCTGCACTCCCATGTTTATTGTAGCACTGTTTATGATGGCCAATATTTGGAATTAACCTAAGCATCCATCAACAGATGAATGGATAAAGAAAATGTGATACATATGCACAATGGAGTACTATTCAGCCATAAAAAGGAGATCTAGTCATTTGCAAGAGCATGAACAGAACTGGAGGACATTATGTTAAGTGAAATAAGCCAGGCACTGAAAGATAAACTTCACCTGTTCTCACTCAGTTGTGGGAGCTGAAAATTAAAACAATCGAACTCATAGAGATAGACAGTAGAATGATGGTTAATAGAGGCTGAGATGAGTAGTGGGGTTGGCAGGGAGGAGTGGAGATGGTTAATAGGTACAAAGATACAGTTAGATAGAACAAATAAGATCTAGTATTTGATAGCACAAATGTGACTACAGTCAACAATAATTTATAGTACATTTAAAAATAACTAAAATAGACTAATTGGAACATTTGCAATACAAAGAAATAATAAATGTTTGAGGTGATGCATACCCCATTTACCTCAATGTGATTATTACCCATTATATGCCTGTATTAAAGTATCTCATGTATCTCATAAATATATACACCTACTATATATTAGTCTGTTCTCACATTGCTATAAAGATTACGGCAGCTCACGCCCGTAATCCCAGCACTTTAGGAGGCCAAGGCAGGCAGATCACCTGAGGTCAGGAGTTTGAGACCAGCCTGCCCAACATAGTGAAACCCCATCACTACTGAAAATACAAAAAATTAGCCAGGCATGGTGGTGGGCACCTGTAATCCCAGCTACTTGGGAGGCTCGAGACAGGAGAATCGCTTGAACCCAGGAAGCGGAGGTTGCAGTGAGCTGAGATGGCGCCATTGGACTCCAGCCTGGGCAACAAGAGTGAAACTCCGTCTCAAAAAAAAAAAAAAAAAAAAAAAGATACTACCAGAGACAGGGTAATTTATAAACAAAGGAAATGTAGTTGTGTCACAGTTCCACATGGCTAGGGAGGCCTCAGGAAATTCACAATCATGGCAGAAGAGGAAGCAGGCGTCTTCTTCACAAGGTGCAGGAGAGTGTGAGTGTGTGGAGGAACTTCCAAACACTTATAAAACCATCAGATCTCAAGAGAACTCACTCACTATCATGAGAACAGCATGGGGGACCACCACCATGATCCAGTCACCTCCCTCCCTCAACATGTGGGGATTATAGGTCCCTCTCTTGACACATGGGGATTACAATTCAAGATGAGATTTGGTTGGGAGGCCGAGGCGGGTGGATCACGAGGTCAGAAACCATGGTGAAACCCCGTCTCTACTAAAAATACAAAAAATTAGCCGGGCGCGGTGGTGGGCGCCTGTAGTCCCAGCTACTTGGGGGGCTGAGGCAGGAATGTGGCGTGAACCCGGGAGGCGGAGCTTGCAGTGAGCAGAGATCAGGCCACTGCACTCCAGCCTGGGTGACAGAGCGAGACTCCGTCTCAAAAAATAAAAAAAAAAAGATGAGATTTGGTGGGGATACAGTGCCAAACTATATAATACTATGTACCCATAAAAATAAAAAATGAAAGAAAAGATGAAGGCCACTAAAAAAAAAGTAGCTATCATCTATCATTACCATGATTATATAAAATAAAGAGGATTCTAGCACTGATTTTAAAAAGGAGAAAGATATGTGAATTGGTTTATAAAACTCACTATGTTATTATAATTTTTCTCTATGTTGCCTTTTTTTTTTTTTTTGAGAGGGAGTCTTGCTCTGTCGCCCAGGCTGGAGTGCAGTGGCGCGATCTTGGCTCACTGCAACCTCCACCTCCTGAGTTCAAGTGATTCTCCTGCCTCAGCCTCAGGAGTAGCTGGGATTACAGGCGCCCGCCACCATGCCCAGCTAATTTTTGTAATTTTTATATTTTAGTAGAGACAGGGTTTCACTATGTAGGTCAAGCTGGTCTCGAACCTCCGACCTCAAATGATCCGCCCTCCTTGGCCTCCCAAAGTGCTGGGATTACAGGCGTGAGCCACCACACCCGGCATCTATATTGCCTTTTTTAAAGAACTAGTGGTGCAGAAGGCTGAATGTATCCAAGGGCAACACAACCTGGCTCATTGGAATTGATTAAATGAGGGAATAATTAGCAAAGGAGAGCTACCTTCTCTGTCTGGGGAGAGGAAAGGACATTTAAGGAAGTAGGTTTGAGCAGGATTTTGAATGGTAGGGGGATTTTAATGTATCATAGTCAGTTTTTACAGGTGAGAGAGCAGGAACCTAGCCATGGAAGCTTGGTGTGTGGAGTGCACTGGGTGCTGGAAGGTAGTAAATCTGGTGGGTCTCTCAGGCTAAAATTGGAGAGATCTTAATAGCAATAATCATAGCTGACCACCATGTGCGTATTTAGTATGTCCCCTTTGATTTTCATAACAAGCCTACAAGGTGGAGTTCTACCTTGCCAATGCGTAAACTGAAGCACAGAAAGATTAAGTTACTTTTCTGAGACCACAAATATATAGATTTGAGCCAACATATTTCCAGATCTGACACCAAAGCACACGTTCTCTCTTTTTTTTTTTTTTTTTGACACAGAGTTTCGCTCTTGTTGTCCAGGCTGGAGTGCAATGGAGCAATCTCGGCTCACCGCAACCTCCGCTTGTCGGGTTCAAGCGATTCTCCTGACTCACTCAGCCTCCTAAGTAGCTGGGATTACAGGCATGTGCCACCATGCCCGGCTAATTTTTTATTTATTTATTTATTTTTTATTTAGTAGAGACAGGATTTCACTATGTTGGTCAGGCTGGTCTCGAACTCCTGACCTCAGGTGATCCACCTGCCTCAGCCTCCCAAAATGCTGGGATTACAGGTGTGAGCCACCACGCCTGGCCCACATGTTCTTTTTTGTACCACCTTTCTCCCTTGACCTTGACTAACAGGATAAATAATTATCATTGTCACTTTACATCTAACACTTCCTGTGTGCCAGGAACTGCAAATGTGTGAAGTGCTTCGCATACATCAGCTCATTGTGGTAGAAAGGTGTGAGACCTTTCCTCACCCATCATAAAGGTCACAACTGGCATTCCTATAACAAAAGACAGATTAACAACATAAAAGAGTAGCAAATTTATTTAATCAAAATTCTGTGTGACATGGGAGCCTGCAGAAATGAAGACCCAAAGATCCAGGGAAAACCGTCTATTTTATAGTTAGGGATAGACAGCCATGTAGAAATGTGATTGGACAAAAGGGTGTGATCGAATGGTAATTGACATGGGGAAAGCCAGTGAGGCCTGTCTGTTCAGATGCTTTTTGGTGTCTCTGTAAAGCATTCCCCGCCTCCCGTGGGTCAGGGGCCCTCTGAATTGAGGTTCTTTAAGGGCAAAGGGAGAAGGGAAAGAGTGTGGCCTTTTTAGGTTTTACAGCTCGCTTTGGGGAAGAGGAGTTCTAGTTTCTATGACCCGGCTTGTGATGGAGAAATTCTGGTTTCTATGACTCCCTTCAGGGGAGAAAGAAGGGCAGGAGAAGGTCGGAGAGACTTTGCTCCTGAGGCCTTTCCAATCTTCAGTTCAAAGTATTCAGCACATCAAGGTGTCATACTTTGGGGTACTGTGTTCTGAGCCCCAACAAGCTCATTTATTCTTTAGAATAAGCCTATATTGGGGTTCAGGATATGCTACACCAAAATATGACATCTTGGCATTTGAGAAAACAGCAGAAGCAGAAGGGTCACTCTTACCTTCCTCTCATCCTTCTCCCCTGAGCATGCCAAAAAAGAATTCTTTCACCTTTCTCTGAAATAGATCATAAGACCTTCCAGAGATACCTTCTCTATACCTGGGGAAAAGAAATGTCACACTGAGATTTAGAAAAATCTGAACAGGTGTAGCTAAGTTCCCCCCGCCCCCAGTTTATTACCATTAGATCATACCACCCTTGTCTAACCATACATACTCCACAAATATCCACACCTTCATCAAACTTAACATAAAAATACATAGGTTTCCCCATTTCTTTGGGTCTTTATTTCCAAAGGCTACTACTATGTCACATAAAACTTATATTAAATGTGTTCCTATGCTTTTCTCTTGTTAATCTGTCTTTTGTTAGAGATGCCTCAGCCATGAACTTAAAACGGGTAAAAAAGATATTTTCTTTTCCTCTTCATCTAAAATAAGCTATTTTTCCCCCTGGGATAATTTCTCCCTTCACTCTGTTAGTGACCCAATCTTTATGATTTTTTGCATCAATAGTCTACTGAGTATGAATAGGCATTGTGTGCACCAGTACTGTCTAATAGAAATATAATGAAACCCACATATGCAATAAGAAATGTCCTAGTAGCCCCATTAAAAAAAGACAAACAGAAACAGGTGAAATTAATTTTAATAGTATGTTTAACCAATATGTTGAAATCTTTTTTTTTTTTTTTTTGAGACGGAGTTTTGCTCTTGTTGCCCAGGCTGGAGTGCAATGGTGCAATCGCAGCTCATCGCAACCTCCACCTACCAGGTTCAAGAGATTCTCCTGCCTCAGCCTCCCAAGTAGCTGGCATTACAGGAGTGTGCCACCACCATGCCTGGCTTTTTTTTTTTTGAGGCAGTCTCACACTGTCACCTGGGCTGGAGTGCTGTGGCACGATCTCAGCTCACTGCAACCTCTGCCTCCTGGGTTCAAGTGATTCTCCTGCCTCAGCCTCCAGAGTAGCTGGGACTACAGGCGCCCACCACCACGCCTGGCTAATTTTTGTATTTTTTACTAAAAAAAATACAAAATACTACAGGCGCCCACCACCACGCCCAGCCACACCCGGCTAATTTTGTATTTTTAGTAGAGATGGAGTTTCTTCATGTTGGTCAGGCTGGTCTCGAACTCCTGACCTCAGGTGATCCACCTGCCTCGGCCTCCCAAAGTGCTGGGATTACAGGCGTGAGCCACCATGCCTGGCCTGAAATATTATATTTTAATATGTGATCAATGCTAAAAATTACTGAGATATTTTACATTTTGTTTTTGTAGTAAGTCTTCAAAATTCAGACAATCCACATTTCAAGTACTCAGTAGTGGTAAATGACCTGTGGTTACCATACTGGACCACACAGACCTACATAAAGCCAAGTAAAGAATAGAAACATGGCTGGGCGCGGTGGCTCACTTCTGTAATCCCAGCACTTTGGGAGGCCGAGGCGGGCGGATCACGAGGTCAGGAGATTGGGTCCATCCTGGCTAACATAGTGAAACCCCATCTCTCCTAAAAATACAAACAATTAGCTGGGAGTGGTGGCGGGCACCTGTAGTCCCAGCCACTCAGGAGGCTGAGGCAGGAGAATGGCGTGAACCCGGGAGGTTGAGCTTGCAGTGAGCCCAGATCGCGCCACTGCACTCCAGCCTGGGCAACAGAGTGAGACTCCGTCTGAAAAAAAAAAAAAAAAAAAAAGGCCAGGCGCAGTGGCTCACGCCTGTAATCCCAGCACTTTGGGAGCCCGAGGCAGGTGGATCAGGAGGTCAAGAGATTGAGACCATCCTGGCCAACACGGTGAAACCCCGACTCTAATAAAAATAAGCTGGATGTGGTGGCATGCGCCTGTAGCCTGTAATCCCAGCTACTCGGGAGGCTGAGGCAGGAGAATCGCTTGAACTCAGGAGGCGGAGGTTGCAGTGAGCTGAGATCGTGCCATTGCACTCCAGCCTGGCGACAGAGCGAGACTCCATCCCCCCTCCCCCACACACACCCCTACCCCCAGCCAAAAAAAAAAAAGAAAAAAAAGAATAGAAACACACTGGGCATGGTGGCTCACGCCTGTAATCCCAGCACTTTGGGAGGCTGAGGCAGGACAATCACTTGAGGCCAGGAGTTTGAGACTAGCCTGGGCAACATAGTGATACCACTGTCTCTACAAAAAATGTAAAAATTAGCCAGCCATGGTGGCGTGCACCTGCAGTCCTAGCAACTCAGGAGGCCAAGGTGGGAAGATTGCTTGAGGCCAGGAGTGTAGGCTGCAGGGAGCTCTGATCATGCTGCCACTGGACACCAGCCTAGGTGACAGAGCGAGATCTTGTCTCTAAAATAGCTAACTAAATAAGTAAAAGAATAGAAACAGTATGATAATTCAAGTCAAAAATCTATGCCTAAGTGGGGGCATGGTCGCTCATGTCTATAATCCCAGCACTTTGAGAGGCCAAGGTGGGTAGATTGCCTGAGCTCAGGAGTTGGAGACGAGCCTGGGCAACATGGCGTAACTCCATCTCTGCAACAAATACAAAAATTAGCTGGGTTTGGTGGCCACACCTGTAGTTCTAGCTACTTGGGGGGCTAGGGCGGGAGGATCACTTGAGCCCAGGAGGTCCAGGCTGCAGTGAGCTGTGATTGTGCCCCTACACTCCAGCCTAAGTGACAGAGCGAGACCACATCTCTAAAAAAATAAAATAAAAATAAAAATCCGTGCCTAAATTAATAGCCTATTTTGGAGGAAAGTGCTTATTGCTGCTTAGATTTTTGGTTCCTCAATAATTTGGACTATCCTGCCACTTTCTCCTGGGTTCCAGCTGAGTTGAGCATGGAGAGTTCTGAGCATAGGCGCAGATACACATATAAAGAAGAAAACTACAAACAAGGAACTGCATGTTCTTTCTCCACTGTGGAGCCCGGCTGAGCACATTGTGAAGAGGCCATTCCTAGGCCTGCTTTCGCAACATCCCCAGGTGTTTCCAGTTATCTCAAAGGGGTGTCATGAAGTTTGCAAAACAAAATACAATTTAAATTCTTAGATATGTAAAAAGCAGTTACTGTATATGCTTTGTGGAAGGGAGAATTGTGAAACCCAGTAAACAATGAAGGATGATGTTGTAATTCTCAAAAGGCTGCAAATCACAAACAAAAGTAATGTGACAGAGGTAATAAAGGCATTATGAGAAAACATTGGGTTGGGGTTTGGAAAACCCAGTTTTCCCTGAGCATGCTCACCAAATGACTTATCTATTCAATAATGTTGAATGAACATTCCACTTTTCCCTCTGTGAAAAAATTTTTGACCCTACCCTTTTCATTTGCTGTAAGAGTTTCAGCTACTTTTGCTTATTAGCTCTCAAAATAACTGCACTCATGCTCTATTTTTTTCATTATTTATTCATTTTGTAAACATTTACTGAGTACTCCTCTGTTTCCAGGGCTGAGCTCAGCACTGGGGTTGGGAGGGGAATTTAAAAAATGCTCACCATCTAGTGGGTGAGACAGAGAAGCAAACGAATGTGCTGCAGAGATCATTGCTGGCAGCAAGTTCTGAACAAAGGGTTAAGGGAGTCCAGCTAGAGAACTATGAAGTCACTTCTGGGTCTGGCTAAGTAAGGATTAGCCTGTAGGGATGACCTTTTAGGCTAGTATTACTTGATTCATTGGAAGGTGGGGCAGAGGTAGAGGAAGCCTATCAAAGCAAATGGGCTGAGCCAGGGGAGCAAATGTGTTCAACCTCTATCAATGAACAATGGCATGGTCAGTTAATATCTCTGTAGCTTGTGGTTGGACTGGGACCCCAATAGGTGCCAAAGCAGGCAGGGTAGGGATGACTGATAAGAGGCAACCTTTACTGACTTTCAACACATTTTTCTCCTTCCTCCTCTCTGTTGCCTAAGAGCTCACCCAGCTTTGTTCTGATGCTGTGTCTGGGAGCTTTGGGAGTGTCCAGGGTTCACTCCTTTGGTGAACTTTGACATTGGCTCGTCTCTGAGTCACCTGAAGGCCAAAGCCCATGGGCCTGCGGGGCCAGACACATGGCAGCAGGAGCCACAGTAGAGCAGGCATTGTGATGACAGCAGCTGACCAACTGGGCATAAAATGTGTCCCCTCTGGGGACACTTGGGGGTGTGGACTTAGGTCATACTATTAAAAAAATTGAGGCAATCAAGCAGTAGATGTAGACCTATGATAATTATAATTACCATTTAGTGACTGCTTGCTGTAGGGTACCATGCCCTACATGAATTACAGCCATTTTCTCATTTCACTCCTCAAAAGCAAGTAGCTTTGGCTGGCACAGTGTGTGTTTTGCTGGGAGCTGGTGGAAGTGGATGACACTGGGGGAAGAAAATGAAGGAAATGAGTATTGCTTGGTTTCCAGATTGTGCGTAGCTAAAAAACAAGAAATGCCATATAAACCAAATTAGAATTTAAAAAAAAAATAAAGAAAAGAAAAATGCCTGATTTCTACATTTAGCAGCAGAAAACGTCCTTAGGATTTCACTGGTCATTATTATTACTTTTGCTTGTCAATCTAGGAGAAGTCCTAGAGACTATTTTATCCAGATTCTTCCCAAGCATGGATGAAGAAACTGTAACTTGGGTGGAGAGTGTAGTGACGTACCCAAGCTCACAGTCAGCTACTGGCGTCACCTGCAGAGAATACCTGCTGGAGAACCATTTGCTTGGCAGGTGGAGGGTCCATCCTTGGTCACAGCCTGACAGAATATTCTTTACAGCCCTGTCACTGCTTATCAGCATGTTTGTTGCCTTTGAATTCTAGGGCTGGAAAGTCAGGTTTCTCAAGACTAAAAATCCCACAATCTATTCTTCATTTCCCCAGCCCTGCCTCAGGAAATAGGCTTCTGACACCTGAACTCTGTTGAGATTGATTTGTAAACAGCAAAGCTAATAATTTACAACCAGATGCAGTCTATTTTGGAATCTCTTTACCTGGTAGTAGGTGTCCTTGTGAAATCAAAAACATGATTGGAAGATTACCTGATGGGCAGAGAATTATACAACAGGAAGAATAGGCCTAGTAAAATATACTCAATATTGAGGCTGGGAAAATCTGCTACCATTTTTATTTCCCCATGGAAAGAGTTGCATCTTGGGTTGAATTCTAACTCTGACATTATTAGCTGTGTGATGTTGGGCAAGTTGTTTAATCCCTCTGATACTTTATTTCTCCATAGATGTAATGAGAATACCTGCCAAATATAGTGTCTCTTCCTTAGATGTGGTTGAATGCACTGAGATTTGGATTCTCAAATGCTGCTAAATGGACCATAATTTTCACCATTCCTTTGCCAGGTGAAAAAGGACAATGTAGAGCGTTTTCATCATGCAAGTTCATTAAAATATTTGATGTTTAAATATCCTTTATTTCATTATAAAAAACTATAAAAATATAGTTTTTAAAAAGTATCTTTACCTTGCAATATAAGAAGTTGGCATCTTAATCCATTCACTCGGGATTTCTGCCAGCATAGCCAGGAATATTTGGATTAGGTGACTGCAGCAAAATAAGAGGTGTATTCTCTTTGGTTTTCAGGTCTTTTATTTGGTTTGTGGTTTCAGTTAATTTAGGAATAAGAACTGAAATGTGTAAAACAGAATATTAAAGTCCATGCTATTCAATCTCGTTTTTGTAATTTGTTTCAAGAGAGAACATTAGCATTTGATGGCATCCAGGTTTTTGTGGATTTTCTTCCTCATCTGCCTACCGCATCTGCCTTTGTTGCCCTTTGATTACTTGGGTGTCTGGTGACATGGGTTATGGGAGGTCTTTGATTGAGGATGCAGATACAACAACTGAACCTGGTTAGAGTCCCGTTTTTCTGTTTAGAGGTTTGTCCAACAGGCAGAGCCAGGAGAAGGGAACTTTGGAGCCAGCACACCAATGTCCCACTCTGCCCAAGGGTCAGTGACTTCCAGAATCAGCAGGAGGGACAGGTGAGGCAGCTGAGAAAGACTACAGCCTGTGGCTTTATATAAAGAGAAAAGCAAAAGGAAAAGAGAAAGTGAGAGGAAGGAAGGGAGGAGGGAAGGAAGGAAGGGAGGGAAAGGAGGGAGGGAGAGAAAAAAGAAGGGATTATTATCTGAGCCAGACAAGCCATTTTAAAAAAATCCCTATGGCTCTCTGGAGAAAAATACAAAACAGTTAAAATTTGGGAGCTACATTGTGAGGGACACCTGTTGTATTTAGAGGCAGAATTATTTAAATAGCAGCACCCCAGGCACCACTTCAGGTATATATAAGCTGTTATTTTGCACTGGAAACTTGAGCCACGGGGAGGAAGAAGGAAAAAGAGCCTGGGTAAACTAGCTAAATCTGAGGTCGAGTAGACAAAGGTCATGGCTGTCTGCTGCTGCAAGCCTCGGATACCTGGTAACTTCAGCAAAAGCGCCCTGAGTAGGCACTCTAGCTCAATCTCTCATCCCTGCCAGACAGTCATCTGGTTCCATTTTGAGCCAGCTAGCAAAAGCCAAGGTTTCACCCCTTCATAAGTTTGCAAAGTCTTTAGTATAACCTGTAGTTGTAGAGCCTGTAACCATTTTGATTCTTGTGAATCTTTTCATGTAAATCAGGAGTGGTTGAAAACCCAAACAAGGCCTTTCTAGCAGCTTTCTGGGCTGCCCGCTTCTTGGAAGAGTTGAGGAGAAATATTATGCCAGAATATCTGAGGTGTTTGCAAATGTGACGCTAGGAAGATGAGCTAATTGTGGAAGAGAATCTCTTTGCCTATCCTTACCGGAAATAGGCCCATGTCTTTTGGACTGGAAGCAAGACTGTGGATGCAAGTGGGGAGAGAGCCACACCTCTCACCTTCATATATTATAGCAATAGCAGGAAAAATCCTGATGATATGCAGTGTTGGTGGTGGTTGTATTTGTGGTGTAGGCAAGGGGTTTTAGTCACTGTAATGAAGTTTGTGACTAAATGCTGGAGTTAGCTCCAGCTGTATGCTCAAAGGAGAGGAAAGTTTAAGCTACAAATGTCTTATGTCCGGAGTAGCCTCCCAAATAGTTTTCTTGCCTCCGGGGCACTGAAGCCTGCTTTAATGGCTCATAACAGCTAATTGTGCATGCCTCTTCATAGTGTTCAGTGACATCAAATTTGCAAGCTTGAAATTAGCCATGGTGGAAATATTTACACTACAGAAATTGGCAAGCACCATGAGTCAAGGCGTTTGGGTTTTCCCTGAAGATCTGATTTGTCAGCACAGTACTTCACCATGTGCACTCCCATCCCCCTACATTTTACTCCACAGCTGCCGTGATCTATCCAAAGATAAAGCTGATCATTGTCACCAATTGTTTAAACCATTCATTGTCTTCCCATTGCTCTGAAAAAGCCCACAATCTTTACCACAGCTTATGAGACCAGCCTACATGATCTGGCCCTAGAGGTCTCCTCAGCCTTTTTCTGCATTACATCTTATCTCACTGTATGTGCTCTATTAGTTCATTCAATCGAACTACAGTTTCTCACCACAAGTTCTTTGCACATAGTGTTTCCAGCCATTTGTGGCTCACCAAATATTCACAAACTGTCTCACATTTTCTAGCCCACTTGCAGTTGGGTGGGGCCATGTGACCAGTTCTGCCAAGTGAGCAGTGAGTGGCAGTGACACACAGAAGAATATTGAAGAGTGGTGTGCCGTCTTCCAGCTTTCTCTTCTGCAGCTGCAATCCTAGAGGCCATGTGTTGAGACAGCAGAACCGCACAATGGAGTAACCTGGATTGCTGAGTCAGCACATGGAGGACAGCTGTCTTTAGAAACTTGCTTGATGGTGCATGAGTGGGAAATAAACATTTGTGGTGTTAAGCCACTGAAATTCAAGACAACTTTGTTACTGCAAAATAATTTATCCCAGTAGTTCTCAAACATTTTGGTCTCAGGATCCCTTTAAACTCTTAAAATTTATTGATGATCCCAAAGAGCTTTGGTTTATGTGGGTTACATCCATCAATATTTCCATATCAGAAATCAAAACTGAGAAAATTTTAAGATGTGTATATATTAATTTTAAAATAACAATAATAAAACAATTACAGTTTAACCTAAATATTTTTATGAAAAACAGCTAGCTGCCAAAACAAACTCATGGCAGTGTTTTATATTTTTGCAAATCTCTGGATTAATTGAAGACAGCTGAATTCTGATATCTGCTTCTGCATTTAATCAGTTGCAGTCTGTTTTGTTGTTGTTTTTGTTGTTGAGATATGTGAAGAAAATCTGGCCTCACACAGATAACATAGTTGAAAAGAAGTGTATTTTAGTATCCTCTTCTGATAATCGTGGATATTCTTTTTAGACACTACATCAAAACTCTTTAAGTGGTAGTTTCTTTTTATTTCTTTTTTCTTTTCTTTTCTTTTTTTTTTGTCCTTTTTTTTAAATTTATTTTTATTTTTTATTGAGACAGAGTCTCTCTCTGTTGCCCAGGCTGGAATCTTGGCTCTCTGCAACCTGTGCTGCTCGGGTACCATCGATTCTCATGCCTCACCTCCTGAGTAGCTGGGATTACAGGCGCCCACCACCATGCCCAGCTAATTTTTTTGTATTTTTAGTAGAGACAGGTTTTGCCATGTTGGCCAGGCTGTTCTCAAACTCCTGTCCTCAGGTGATCCTCCGGCCTCGGCCTCCCAAAGTACTGGGATTACAAGTGTGAGCCACCATGCCTGGCCCAAGTGGTAGTTTCTTAAAAGTTAGTTACAGTGTAGAATCTGAAATCATGTCAATGAACTTTTGATACTCTGCTACATTAAAATCTGTTAGGCTCTCTTGCACTTTGAAAGGATCCTTTACCCATACATGGTCTTATAACCTTATGATGGGTTATTTGGAGAAGACTAGTTCACTGAGTTACACAGATCTTCCAAATGTTAACATATTTCTTTATACAATATTTAAAAAAATCACATTAATTAATATCACCATCAATCTTATTGGAGTCTTTAAGTACTGGAAGCTGTCTAGCTGATAGTGGTGGCTACAAGTTTTCTAACATTCCAATTTTTGTTTGAAAGCTTGCATTTTATCTTTAGCAACAAACACTGTCAGTCATTTTTCTTGAAGTGACAGGCTCACTTTATTCATTTTCAAGAAAATGTCTGCCAGCTACCCAAGTTTGAATAACTATAGTTTGTCAGTTTTTTCAAGTAAAAATGTCATTCCATGATAAAAGCAGCTAGTTCTGTTTGCAACTGAAAAAATCAAACAAGTGCTTTTCCTCAAGACAACCATCATAGTTCGGTATGCAGTAGGAGGGTTTTATGCATACTTCTCATTTGTCACACAGAATATTAAACAGATGTGTACTCCTGGATAGTGATTTAATAAGAGAAATAACTTTTACACTCCTGGGTAGTGATTTAATAAAAGATATAACTTTTACACTTAGTCAAAGGCGTTTTAAAGTAAAACAGGTTTTGTTTTTTTGTTTTTCTCCTGAAGTGCATGGAGTAAAGAATACAAATACAATGACAATTAGTACAGTTTGATTAGTGCTCAGGCATCAGAAGTTTTACCCACCAGTGCTTTTATATCATCAGTGCAAATGTAATCAAATGAAAAGGGTAGTAACATCTTAGTGTCATTATAAAAAACAATTTTGACCATACAAAACCTCTGAAGGCATCTCTGGAACTCCCAGTGGTCTGAGATCACTTTGAGAATCACCAATCCAACCCATTCTCACTAATTCACTCACACCGTTCCTTCTGACTAGAATGTGCCCCACTCCCACCCTCTTCACCAGGCCATCACGCTCTGTGCCCTAGAGCCTGGGTTCATGATCAACTTCTCAGGGGTCCTTCCATGACTTCCTATGTTCCCCCTTTAACATTCTCACATGCCTTATGTACATCTTACTGCAACAGTAATTTTAAATTGATATCTATTTTCCTTGCTAGATTTTAAGCACCACTAGAGTAGAGATGGTTTTTTGGCTTACTATTCCATTTCCAGTGTCTAGGATGGTGTCTGGTGCATAATAGGACTCAAATCTTGAATAAATGTAGGGGTCTGGAATGGTCCTCTGAAAAGGCCTAATGAGCTCAGTGGGAAGCTCTTGTTAATTTGGGACTAACTAGAGGGACTCTGGGGCCTTGCTTAAACTTAGCTCACCCAGGTGTTTCTACAAACAGGTCTGTATAAAAAAAGATAGCAGGCCTGTGACTGGTGTGTAAAATATATATGTTTGGCTCTTTCCTGTTTTGGAAGGTGTGTGTGTATGTGTGCCACATATGTGAATGGATCTGGAGAAGGGATATTGATAACTCTTTATTACTTCTATAATGGGGCAAAGCACCAATAATCCTTCAAAATGTTGTAAAATTTGACATTTTTATCTCACCCTATGGAACCTTTAATAGGAGCTGTAAATAAGTAGGAAACTGATTTCCATACCACTGCATTTGCTTTCCCTAGCGAAGGTTAGTAAGTTCTTTGAGGATAAGGATCATGTCTTTCTCTTCCTTTCTTTTTCCTAACGGTGCCCAGCCCAGTGCCTGGCATATAGAAGACATTCAATAAATGTTCATTAAATTGTCATGTGGCAAGAAGTAAGGCAATGTGACAGGAAGAAGGAAAAGCAAAGGCCTTGTGTTGGGAGCTGAAAACCCAGGATTATCACCACCACCATGTTCCCCGTTCATTAATAAAATTGGGCATGTTGGACTACCCAATGGTTGCTCTTGGTCACAGTTAGCAGTTCTCAGACTCACCTCCTTCTGTTCCATTTTCCATATCCAAGATGTCCAGCAGGACCAAATCACTCCATCTGCTACAGAATCACCCAAACAGAAAAGGAGGGGGGCCACACCGATGGTTCTCAACATGGGCTGCACATTAGGTCCTCCCAAGGAGCTTGTAAAAAGTACCGTCTCTTGAGGGAGGGGCCCAAGAATCAGTATTTTAAGAGTTCCCTAGGTTATTCTGAAATGCAGCCAGGAAACAGAACTACTGGGCTAGACAAGGAGCGGGACACTCAGGTATTCATGGGGCTCCCCCTTCCTCTATGGGGACAAGTTAAAAACTAGGTGATGAGTCCCTAGAAAATTAACATATGGCAGCCCATGGCCATGATGGCTGTCACTGCTAGAGAAGAGTGCATGGGATTGGAACCAGCTCCCAGTCTGCGTCCTGAGCCATGGGACCATCCCAGAGTGGTCTCAGCCTTGTGCTGCTTGGGGGCTCTTTGCACAATCTACTTTTAAAGCACCAGGATCTCAAAATCAGTTGTTCACACCTTTCGGTTACTTGAATAAGAGGCAAGTGGAGTGGCATGATGCCCTAGAAAGACAGATGTGCGATTACATTCTGCTTACGGTGAAACTCCCAAAGGAGATCACATGCTGACAGTACTGGGAGTGGTGCTTATAATAAGCCCTTGTTTATAGTTCAATCAGAGTTCAATAGCTTACAGACCCCTATGTCCCCCTTCTGCTCCCCAGCCTCCTACCCAATGGCTTCCTCTAATAAGGTTTTTTAAGCTACTCTCTAATGGTGGGGTGGGTACACAACCAGTTATACTTTAATGGTGTTTAGACAGTCAAAGCAGTTCAGCTTGTTAGACCATCGAGCTGCCAGGACAGCAGAGCATCAGTTCAGGGCTCTGTGAAATTAACCTTTAGTCAGTTTTCCCTAATTGATCCCATGCTTCAATCTCAGAGCATTCTAAGTATTTAAAAGTGTGTAATGTAAGATCTGACTAGCCTGTAACCATGGTGGTTAAGAGAACTGCTACAGTATTCCTTTTGAAATATCCCAGTGAATTAAAAATTATTTAGAAGATATTTGACTGAACATAAATTATTTCATTTTGGGTGAAATTAGTCTCTAAACTTAGACCAAAGATGTATGTACATAAAATAACTTGTTCTACACTCAAGGAAGAGTTGAAGCAATGCTGATGTCTTCACTTGGTCAGAATGCTGGTGGGAGTCAGTATCCCCCGCAGCTTCTATTAGTAGAGGAGCACACTTTGTGACCTTTGCCTCAACATGTCAACAAATGGAGGTTAAACTTCAGAGGTGTGTAAACTTCAGAGAACTGTCCCACGCTGTAATTGGGTTTCAGCTCTGGCCAGAATTTTGCCAGTCAGAGGATAATGGAGTGGACAGCATAGGATCTGGTATGGGAGAGACCCAGGTTAAAATCTCAGATCTCACATTTCCTGGTTTTGTGACCTAGGTCAGTCTCTTAATGCCTTTAAGCTACCGTTTTCATATCTGGGAAATGGAGATGATAATAGTACCTGCCTCTCAGAGTTGCTATGAGAATTAGCACAGATAACACGTGCCAAATGCTTAGTATAGTACTTGGCAAGTAGTAAGCATACAATAAATATTAGCAAAACAAAAATGAAACAAAACAACAAAAGCAGGACAAGAAGCCCTGAAGAGCCACGTAAAGTTGTTTAGCTGCTTGACACTGCCACTGCCCCCTTCCTTTTCTCCCTTGTCTGCAAGCATGCTAATTACAGTGAACGTCAAAGAAAGTTATATTTAAATAAATATGTTATAGCGACTTAAAGTTCAAGTGCTCATAGTATGCTCAGGACAAAATTGCAATCTGGGAACTGGTCCCAGAATAGACTTCTAGAACTTGTCTTGGAATAGACTTCTAGAACTTGTCCCGGAATAGACTTCTAGAACTGACAAATGTCTATGAGGGCTCTTCTTCCTGAGCACACAGTATGACAACTTCTCTCAACCTCCCGTGCAATTAGATGGAGCCACCAGAATGAGTTCTGGACAATGGAACTTGGGTGGGAGTGAGGTGTGCCACTTTCAGTCCTGGCCTGTAAAACCCTCCCGGTATAATCCTGGCTCTCTCTTTTTCATTTCCTGGTGAAATAGAATACCAAGGACACTAACAGCCTAAGAGAGGGCCAGCCCAGAGGGAAGAGAAGAGGTTCCCCTCTTTCCCTCTTCCCTACATAAGACTGTGATGTAAATGAGAAATAAATTCGTATTGTATTAAGCTACTGATATTTTAATTAAATAGTTGTGGTAGTGGTGGTAGCAGCTTGCCTATTCTAATAGGTACAATGAGCTTTTCCAGGTTTTGCTGGTCTCTGAAGGTTGATTAAAGCACCAGATAGGCTGTCAGGAAAGCTGGTCATAGTTTGGGCTCTACCTGTCTCTTTCTGATAGCTCTAAATGCGCTTAGAAAAATGAAGAGCATTCAGACAGTCTAAGAAAGTCATGCTGAGTGACTCACACCTGTAATTTCAGGACTTTAGGAGGCCAAGGCAAGAGGATTGCTTGAGGCCAAGAGTCAAGACCCGCCTGGGCAAAACAGCAAGACCCTGTCTCTACAAAAATAGAAAATTAAAAAAAGGGTGGCTGGCAAGATGACCAAATAGGAACAGCTCGGGTCTGCAGCTCCCAGCAAGATCAACACAGAAGGCGGGTGATTTCTGCATTTCCAAGTGAGGTACCCGGCTCATCTCACTGGGACTGGTTAGATAGCGGGTGCAGCCCATGGAGGGCGAGCCAAAGCAGGGTGGGGTGTCACCTCACCTGGGAAGTGCAAGGGGTCAGGGAACTCCCTCCCCTAGCCATGAGGGAGTGTGCCATGAGGAATGGTGCACTCTGGCCCAGATACTATGCTTTTCTCATGGTCTTTGCAACCCGCAGACCAGGAGATTCCCTTGGGTGCCTACACCACCAGGGCCCTGGGTTTCAAGCACAAAAATGGGCGGCCATTTGGGCAGACACCAAGCTAGCTGCAGGAGTTTGTTCTCATACTCCAGTGGAGCCTGGAAGACCAGCGAGACAGAACCGTTCACTCCCCTGGAAAGGCGGCTGAAGCCAGGGAGCCAAGTGGTCTAGCTCAGCAGATCCCACTCCCATGAAGACCAGCAAACTAAGATCCACTGGCTTGAAATTCTTGCTGCCAGCACAGCAGTCTGAAGTCAACCTGGGATGCTTGAGCTTGGTGCAGGGAGGGGCATCTGCCATTACTGAGGCTTGAGTAGGCGGTTTTTCCCTTTTGTGTAAACAAAGCCCGGGAAATTCGACCTGTAGCCAGACTGTAGCCAGACTGCCTCTCTAGATTCCTCCTCTCTGGGCAGGGCATCTCTGAAAGAAAGGCAATGGCCCCAATCAGGGGCTTATAGATAAACTCCCATCTCATGGGGCAGAGTACCTGGGGGAAGGGGCAGCTGTGGGTGCAGCTTCAGCAAACTTAAATGTTCCTGCCTGCCAGCTCTGAAGAAATCAGTGGATCTCCCAGCACAGCGCTCGAGCTCTGCTAAGGGGCAGACTGCCTCCTCAAGTGGGTCCCTGGCCGCTATGCCTCCTGATTGGGAGACATCTCCCAGCAGGGGTTGACAAACACCTCATACAGGAGGGCCCCAGCTGGCATCTGGCAGGTGACCCTCTGGGACAAAGCTTCCAGAGGAAGGAATAGGCAGAAATCTTTGCTGTTCTGCAGCCTCCACTGGTGATACCCAGGCAAACAGGGACTGGAGTGGACCTCCAGCAAACTCCAGCAGACCTGCAGCAGAGGGGCCTGAGTGTTAGAAGGAAAACTAACAAGCAGAAAGGAATAGCATCAACATCAACAAAAAGGACGTCCACACAAAAACCTCATCAGAAGGTCACCAACATCTAAGACTAAAGGTAGAGAAATCCACAAAGATGAGGAAAAACCAGTGCAAAAAGGCTGAAAATTCCAAAAACCAGAATGCTGCTTCTCCTGCAAAGGATCACAACTCCTCGCCAGCAAGGGAACAAAACTGAACAGAGAATGAGTTTGACAAAGTGACAGAAGTAGGCTTCAGAAGGTGGGTAATAACAAACTCCTCCGAGCGAAAGGAGCATATTCTAACCCAATGCAAGGAAGCTAAAAACCTTGAAAAATGGTTAGAGGAATTGCTAACTAGAATAACCACTTTAGAGAAGAATATAAATGACCTGATGGAGCTGAAAAACACAGCATGAGAATTTCATGAAGCATACACAAGTATCAGTAGCCGAATCGATCAAGCAGCAGAAAGGATGTCAGAGATTGAAGATCAACTTAACGAAATAAAGCATGAAGACAAGACTAGAGGAAATAGAATGAAAAGGAACGAATGAAACCTCCAAGAAATATGGGACTATAAGAAAAGACCAAACCTACGTTTGATTGGTGTACCCGAAAGTAACAGGGAGAATTGAACCAAGTTAGAAAACACTCTTCAGGATATTATCCAGGAGAACTTCCCCAAACTAGCAAGAGAGGCCAGCATTTAAATTCAGGAAATACAGAGAACACCACAAAGATACTCCTTGAGAAGAGCAACCCCAAGACACATAATCATCAGATTCACCAAGGTTGAAATGAAGGAAAAAATGTTAAGGGCAGCCAGAGAGATAGGTCGGGTTGGAAACCATCATGCTCAACAAACTAACAGAAGAACAGAAAACCAAACACTGCATGTGCTCACTCATATGTGGGAGTTGAACAATGAGAACACATGGACACAGGGAGGGGAACATCAGACACCGGGGCCTGTTGGGGGCTGGGGGGTTAGGGGAGGGATAGCATTAGGAGAAATACCTAATGTAGATGACAGGTTGATGGGTGCAGCAAACCACCATGGCACATGTATGCCTATGTAACAAACCTGCACAGTCTGCACATGTATCCCAGAACTTAGAGTATAATTAAAAAAAAAAAAGAAAGAAAGAAAAGAAAAAAAAGAAAGTCAATGATTCCGTCCTCTCTGATGATGACACAATTGCCTCTCTGCCTATGCAGAGACTTGGCCAAGAAAGGAGATTTGCTAAGCCCTTGGAGGAACATGCCGGCCACCTTTCCCCTCCTTTTTCTCCTGGAACTTATGTGCAGGCTCTGCAGCTCAGCACACTGAAAATGTTATATGATTTGGTTGTCTTTTAAACTAGTTTTATTACTTTGGCCAAAGTTCCTTAACCACTTTGTGCGTCGGTTTCCTTGTCCACATAAGAGGAACAATGATGCACCTACCAAATAGAGTTCTAGTGAGAAGTAGAAATAGTTTCTGTAAAGCGTCGATCACAGTGCCTGGCACTAGTAGTCACACAATAAGGGTTGTTGCTATTCAATTTATGTGCTTAATACTTGATTTATTTCGCAAACATTTGCGAAGCTCTTGCTATGGCCAGGCAAATTGCTCGAGTTACACAGGCAGAGTGGACAAACCTCTGCCCTCAATGCATTTAGGCTCTAGTCCTGGCATCCTCTGACCTCCTCTTGCCATCCCCACCTCTCGCCCCAAATACACACATAGGCACGACATGGCAATATGAAGTGGAAAACAAAGAAGTGAATTTTGGAAGGGACAAATGCAAAAGGGGCCTGGGGCCAGATTTCTTCTCTTCCTCTAGGTTGTTACATGGGATCAGGTAGTCCTTCCTTAAGGAATTTCTCCCTCTAAGTCCAAGGGTTGGCAAAATTCTCTAGTTAGACCCTGGACAGGAGAAGTCAAATCTCAGAGGTCTCTCAGGAGAGAAGCGAATCTTTAGTTGCAGCTTCTGCCTGACTCCCATGGTCTGAAGGAGTCTGGGGAGACGGGAGAGGTCAGAGTTCAGATTCATTGCTCTGCTTCTCTGGAGTGGAGATGAGGGAAGCTGAAGTCTTACAAAGTGTTAAGAAGGGGCACAGATAATTAATTATATGTCCACACATGTGTTGTTATTCTAATTGTAAAATCTCCAGTAGTCATTCCACACACAACACAGCAAAGCCTTTAAGGACAAGCCTAAGAAGGATTAATTTACAAAGACTCAACAACTGGAAACCTCTAAAATCATTGTAAAGGAAGAAATGATACTCAAAATCACAGAGTTTAAGAGCTGGAGAGACCCTCGACGGTCATCTAACGCAGATTCTCAAATGCCAATCCATGACGAAATTTCCACTGGTCCATGATGAAAACAATTAACAATTTTTTGTCTTTCCGTGCAATACATTTTATTCATTTTAAATGATTTATCTTTTATTCTAATATTATGGTCATCCTAGTTTTTTGGTGCTGAAATATTCCTTGTATTACAGAATGAAGATAGTATCTAGATGGTAGTTTGTTTTTAGTTTTTATTTTTTGTACGTGGATTTTTAAAAATCTCTACCTTTAAAAACAAAAAGTTGGCAATTCTGTGTCATCTCCAAGTTTTTTGAAATTTTATTGTTTGCTGAAATTCATAATCTAGAAACGACTCATCAAACTCAACCACCACGTATAATATACTAACCCTTATCTCGTCTTCCCTGAAAATTCTTGCCGTGACACTTGAGGCTGCTCCATTTACCCTGAGATAACTTTGCCACGAAATATCTAGGTTTTAATATTATTTTACTATCGCTCTAGTATATGACTTTGGAAACAAAAGACATCGTTCTATTTATAGCATTCTGTTTTTAGCAGTAGTATTTCCATTTGCAAAATATAGTGATTCTCAATCGCTAAAAATGTCAAATCCTAGAAAACATAGCATTTCTACACTTGATGTTAACATTGTTCTTGAACGGTTGTTGATGGAAGATTCATTTTGTGAATCTGATTTTTCCAAAATAGACGATTTTGATGTTAGTTCTGTTTAGAAAGAACTCCAATAAAAGTTATTATATTTTATTTTCACGTTGAAAATTAGTCGAACTTGCTTCAGCCTCAAAGAGTGTGTTTATGTAAAATTAAATGAGCGCTGGCAGCGAGCTGCACTTTCTTTTTCCTAAGCGGGAAAAGGTTAAGAAATTAATTCCTAAGCCCGGGCGCGGTGGCTCACGCCTGTAATCCCAGCACTTTGGGAGGCCGAGGCGGGTGGATCACGAGGTCAGGAGTTCGAGACCAGCCTGGCCAACGTAGTGAAACCCCGTCTCTACTAAAAATACAAAAATTAGTCAGGCGTGGTGGCGGGCACCTGTAATCCCAGCTACTCAGGAGGCCGAGGCAGGAGAATCACTTGAATCCGGGAGGCAGAGGTTGCAATTGAGCCGAGATCGTGCCATCACACTCCAGCCTGGGTGGCAGACAGACTCCATCTCAAAAAAAAAAAAAAAAAGAAAGAAAGAAAGAAATTAATTCCTGAAAAGTACGTAATTTCTCCAAGTTTTGAGCATATATCTGAATATGGAAGCTGGCTTTGACAAATGAAAAGAAGAAACAACTCCCTCAAGCAAAATGAACCTGGTTTTCATTGTTATCTGAAGATAGCATTTCTGCAGATGCTAATAAAAGTGGCCTAAAAGATAGAAACATATAAACGTATTGTGATGGTTAACATTAGGTGTCAACTTGACTGGATTGAGGGATGCCTAGATAGCTGGTAAAGTCTTGTATCTGGGTGTGTCTGGGCGGGAATTTCCAGAGAAGATTGACATTTGAATGGTGCACTGGGAGAGGAAGACCCACCCTCAATGTGGGTGGGCGCTATCCAATCGGCTGCAAGCGCGGTTGGAACAAAGCCGGGGAAGAAGGGGGATCAACCTGCTTGCTGCATCTTCTGGATTGCTGTCTTCCCGAGCTGGACGCTTGCTTGCTCTCCTCCTGCCCGTGGACATCTAGACTCCAGGTTCTTCGGCCTTTAGACTCTGGGACTGCACCTGTGGCTTGCCGAGGTTCGTAGGCCTTCACCACTAACTGCAGACCACACTGTTGGCTTCCTGGTTTTGAGGCTTCTCGTTTCCTCAGCTTGCAGACGGCTATCCTGGGACTTCACCTTGTAATTGTGTGAGCCAGTTCTTCCTAATAAACTCATATCTATATCAATCTGCATCCATATCTATCTATCTATCTATCTATCTATCTATCTATCTATCTATCACCTATCTTCTATTGGTCTGTCTCTCTGGAGAACCCTAATACACTTATAAAGTATAATAGAAAACCCCTGAAATGAAAGCAGTGTCCTGGTTCTAGTCCTTGTTGTGCTTTAACAGTATTTGCAATCTAGGTAAAATCATTTCACTTGCCTGGGCTTCAGTTTCTCCATCTGTAAAACGAGCCAGTGGGGGCAAGTTAATCTTCAAGACCATTGGTTAGCGGTTAGTCTAATTAGTGTTAATGGCAGAAATTTGAGGCTGTAGAAGAGACACCCTGGTTTGAATACTGACTTTGATACTTTCTGACCAAGGGACCTTGGGTAAATTACTTAATCTCTCTGTGCCTTAGTTTCTTCATTAATTAAGTGGGGATAATGGGGAAACATGCTTCATGAGGGCTAAATTAGATAAAATTTACAAAGCACTTAGCATAGGGTCTGATATTTTTAAAACTCTCAATAAATGCTAGCTATTATTAGTAACATCTATGCTTTTTCGAAATGTAATGTTTTGTGCTCATTGCTTGGTAATATAATTGTTCTGCATAAATTGGACTACAGCACACAGCAGATCCTGCTCTAAAAGGATAAGCAGCTCAGGAGATTGCCAAGAGGATTTCAAATGGCGAAATATAATAATATATACATTAATTTTTAGACTGGACACAGTGGCTCATGCCTGTAATCCCAGTGCTTTGGGAGGCTGAGGCAGGAGGATCCCTTGGGGCCAGGAGTTCAAGACCAGCCTGGGCAACTAGTAAGATCCCATCTCTACAAAAAGTAAAAACATTGGCTGGGTATAGTGGCACATGCCTGTAGTCCTAGCTACTCAGAAAGCTGAGGAGGGAGAATCTCTTGAGCCGAGGAGTTGGAGGCTACAGTGAGCTGTGATCATGCCACTGCACTCTAGCCTGCATGACAGAGCAAGACCCCATCTCAAATAAATAAATAAATAAATAAATAAATAAATAAATAAATAAGCTATTCAGAGCACTTTACATATATTATTTAGTCCTCACAACAAATCTCTCAGATAAGTAGAATATATTGGTTCCTTAGCCATAGTCCAAACCAAAAGCTCATTACAGGCAATCCTCCACTTTGCCCTGCATCATGAATCTCCTCTCTTGAGGGTTGAGGTAAGGGATGGAGTATTCAGTGGGTAGAGTAAGGGGTGCTGGTGATTACAGCCAGCAGAGAAGGCACCTCTTTGTCTGAGCAGCAGCTGCTGAGCCACAGCAGAGTGGGTCATGGGAAAGGGGAAGATGGCCTGGGGCAAGTGATGGGAACTAGAGAATGAAGCCAAGGGATTATGGAAGGCCAGCTGGAAGTCAGTGTAGGTGGAGAGCTGTTATTGGAGCTGTGGACCAAAGCTGCTTTTTAGGTACTTCCTATGTAAGTAGGCCTACCCCATTTAAAGGGCTAGGGATGGAGTGGACACTGGGCAGCAGCTTGTTGATGTAGGAATAGGTAAAACAAGTTTCTAAAAATCTCTGATATCATTCCAGGATAGTGCTTGAAAGATCACTATAAGGCCGGGTGCGGTGGCTCACGCCTGTAATCCCAGCACTTTGGAAGGCCGAGGGAGGTGAATCACCTGAGGTCAGGAGTTCAAGACCAGCCTGACCAACATGGCGAAACCCCATCTCTACTAAAAATACAAAATTCGCCCGCATGCTGGTGGTGTGCATGCCTGTAATCCCAGCTACTCGGGAGGCTGAGGCAGGAGAATCTCTTGAACCCGCGAGGCAGAGGTTGCAGTAAGCTGAGATCGCACCATTGCACTCCAACCTGGGCAACAACAGCAAAACTCTGTCTCAAAAACAGAAAAAAAACAAAAGAAAAAAAGAGCAAGTTCACTATGAATCCTCTCCCTTACAACATATGAAGCACATAACTATGGTCTTCCATCTTCTATCCACAAAAGTAATACTCACAGGGCCAAACTTAGAAACTTGGTGCATCAGAGATACCTGGCAAGATTCCCCCCGGCCCTTTATCCCCTTATGAAGGGTATCTGCCCTTCCACACAATTCTGTTGTAGAAAGCAGGGTCTTAGGCTGGGATTGAAACAAGGGTGGCCACTGGACCAGACTAGTTTGGGGCAGCCAGCAAAGGCAGCTAATCCTGGGATTGGACACATGTATGAGATGGTCCTATCTGAGGAGCTCTGCCCGGGAGACTACTTCAAGCAAGTTTGAATGAGGAGCCAGAGGAAGAGCCAGCTGTCAGTAGGGAGAAGAAAGTGATGTCGCACACAAAGATACACAGGGCCAGAGTAGGAGGCACCCTAGCAAGAGAGCACGAGAATGGAGATCTTGACATCTTGTAACTGAGGAGGGTGACAAAACTACTCAGATCTGAGACCTGTCTTGGATCTTGAAGGGGAGGGGGCAGGCTGCCCTTGGTTTCTATGAGATTCTTCACCTGTCTCTTACCCCCATAGTTATGTTAATAACAAACTCCATTACTTAAGTGGTTTGAAGGAATTTCTATCCCTTGCAACCAAAAGAACATAACAAATGTCAATCTTGGTCTTAGTGCATATGAACTGGGACCATGTGGGAAAATGTAATTTACCAAACCACACAGAGGAGAAAGTCTCTTCCAGGGGACACAGCTGATGCGGGAATAAAGACACAGAAGGCCAAGGAGAGTCCAGAGAGTGGTGGGAAAATCAGTGTGACCAGAGGGAAGGATGAAGGAGGATGACAGACTGTGAGGGTGGAATAGCAGGATCCAGATTGTCGGGGGTCTGCTTGTCATGCTGATGCTTGGACAAGATGCTTAAGCAGCAGGGAGGATGGGTACATGATCAGATTCACCTCTGCTCGTTCCCTTCAGGTTACAAAGAGCAGTTAATGTTGGTAAAGATACACACTGAGAAGAAGGCCAAGAATGTATCACATCAGCTGCATATTCAGGTCTCATGGAGAAACAGAATGTCAGTCAGGGCACAGTTATAGCTCTAGGGAATTTAAATTGGGGCTTTAAAAACAGTATTTTAAATTCTAAACGATGCCATTTTGCTTTTCACAACTTGGCATTCCAATCACAGAATTGCCCTCTTGCACCGTTTTCCTACTTGAAGTTTCCAGGGCTTGAATAAAAGACGTGTAAGGAATATTTTCAAATTGTCTTTCACACTTAAATTCAAATGTTCATGCTTAATGAACCACAGACCACTGATCTAAACCAGAGAGCATTAATTGTTCTAGGGCCAGTGTGAAGTCAGCATTAGTGTGAGGCAGGGAATTCATTTGACCACACTATTTAAATTACAGGATGTTTGTCCTTCATGAAGCATGGCAAGAAAGGCCTGGGTAATATGTGGTAATTAAAATAATCATAAAAATGTTTTCTTCATTTTCTAGTTAGTAAGCACCATGGCTTATAAAGACTGAATCACTGTGATGTGATGGGCTTCTCATTTTTATGATCCTACAGGAACAATTTTAAAAACATAGTAAACTTTAAGGGCTAGAGAAAAAAATATGTGATCTGTATTGGGCCCTAAAAGCTTCGTTTCATAAGCTTTAAAGGAAAACACTCTTAAAAAATAATTCGATCTAATGTCTCAAACAAGGGCAATACATACAGCAGGTTGCTTTCCCACTGTAGTTTCTATAATGAAAATTGTTTATAACTTATAAAAAATCGCTGTTTGCAAACACTCCCACAGTGCTGGTCAGTGTTGTAAATTGGTGCACACTTTCTGGAGGACCATTTGATGATGTGTACCAGAGACCTTATAAATGATCACATACTTTAACTTAGACATTCTACCTGTAGGAATAGTATCCTAGGGATCCTAATCAGAGAAGTTTCAAGATTGTTATCCAAGGATGTTTATAACAGCATTATTTATGCTAGAGCCAACTTAAAGCAACAAAAAGGTCGAAATATAGGGAACTTGTCAAATAAATGATGACAGAGTGATACGGTGAATGTTAAGAAGTCATAAAAATGTTGTTTCAAAGAATATTTAATGTCATGGAAAATTACAACACAACTTTGAGAAAAGAAGGACATAAAACAATGCATATGCATATATATACATACATAATAAAGTTTTTAATATGCATTTATATATTTTAAAAAATGCTTTAAAAGAAAATCTGGAAGAAAATAACACCAAGTTGAAATAGGAAATAATCAAAATGTTAAGAGCATTTATCTGTTCACAGTAGGATTATGTGTTTTAATATTTTCTTTTTAAATTTCCAAATACTTATCAATGTATTATATGCTATTAATAATCAGAAAAAAAGCTATTTAAGCCACATACATATATATATATAAATACACACACATATATATAAAAACACACACACACGTGTGTATATATATATATATATATATATACATATATATATTTTTTTTTAGATGGAGTCTCGCGCTATCGCCCAGGCTGGAGTGCAGTGGCACGATCTCGGCTCACTCCTACCTCAGCCTCCTGTATAGCTGGAATTATAGGCACTTGCCACCACGCCCAGCTAATTTTTGTATTTTTAGTAGAGACGGGGTTTCACCATGTTGGCCAGGCTAGTCTTGAACTCATGACCTCAAGTGATCTGCCTGCTTTGGCCTCCTCAAGTGTTGGAGATTACAGGCGTGAGCCACCGTGCCCGGCCTACAAAAAATATTATTTAGGTTAGTCTTTAGTTGAAAGGATAATTATATTCAGAAAACAAAGAACAGAGACAGAGGTTTTCCCTACTCTCAACCTATTGACACAATTACAGGGAACAAGCAGGTGACCTGATTTGCATTTCTGTTCTTTTTCCAGCTTACTCCTTGGGAGAGGTGACAAAGGCAAACCCAAAGTCAGTTCCACTGAAATCTTCAATGCCTTCTCTTTGTCATCATCATTGCTAACAATTAACAAGCTTGTACCAGGTGCCGGGCATGGTTGGAAAGGTTTTGGATATATTGCCAATCAACCCTCATAACAGACCTTTGAAATAGATAGTATTATTTTTCCTGTTTTACTGATGAAGAAGCCAAGGAATAGAGAAACTTGTTCAAGATCACACAGTTAGTAAGGGGTGGAGCTGGATTCAGACCCCAGGCAACCTCACTTGTTAGAATACAATGCTCAGTGCTACATGCCTCTGAGAAAGCAACATAGAATATTGGAATTTTGGAATTAGAGAAGACCACAAAAGTTTTGGTTTTTTGGGGGTTTTTTTGAGACAGAGTCTCTCTCTGCCGCCCAGGCTGGAGTGCAATGGCGTGATCTCGGCTCACTGCAACCTCCACCTCCTGGGTTCGAGCAATTCTCCTGCCTCAGCCTCCTGGGTAGCTGGGATTACAGGAATCCAACACCACACCTGGCTAATTTTTTGTATTTTTAGTAGAGACAGGGTTTTGCCATGTTGGCCAGGCTGGTCTCGAACTCCTGACCTCAGGTGATCCACCTTCCTTGGCCTCCCAAAGTGCTGGGATTACAGGTGTGAGGCACTGCACCCGGCCATTGTTTTAAGCAAAGAAATTTTTTTCACATCATACTGTGTAATTCCAACGTCTAAAACTTTTTTAAAGGAGGATTTACTTCCAGTCTAGCTTAGGTAGAGACTGTGCTTCTCCCTCGTTTCCTATTGAGGTCACTGTGGTGCCTTTGTTTTGTGCAACTCTTCTGGGAAACTATTGTCCCACTCCAATCACTTCTACTTAGAGATGAGAAACCTGGGCCCAGAGCTTTAAAAGAACCTCCCCAGGGCACCCATTTAGTATGTGCATAAGCCAGTGCTTTTCTAATACTACCTCATAGTACACATATATATTATTCAGAACTCCTTTTGTTGTAAGAAACAGAAACCCAACTCAAATTTGCTTAGACAGAAAAAGGAATTTATTAGTTCAAATAACTAGGCAGTTCAAGGACAATCTGGGTCAGATATAACTAGCTCCATGAGCCCAATATTAACAGAAGAGGTTCTGTTCTTCCTACCATTTGTTAGCTCTGCCTCCCTATGAACTGACTTCATTCTCAGATGGGTTCTCAGCACCATACACCTATACCAGAACAGCTCTAGATGTGCAGGATCCCTGAATGGGGAACTGAATAGTCACTATCATCTGTGTATTCTTCTTGTAAGGAAGATTTGGTTGGCTTTTATTTTTGTTGATGGTATGACTAAGTTAGGTCACCTGCTCCCTTGCCCCAATTTAAAAAAAAATAAAAGAAATGAACACGTAGTGGTCCATAACATGGACCACTATCCTTGGCACGTCTGATAAAAGTGAATTCCTGGAATCCAGGCAATCTGTTCCACTGATCTTTTTTCCCACCTATATCACACCATCTTGATTACAGTAGTTTTACCAAACTCAGGTAGAGAAACTCTTCTAGATGTTGTTGTTCCTGCTCTCCTTCTCCTTTTCTTTTTCTTCTTCCTTCTTCACCTTCTTCTATTAGATTTATTGATGTATAATTTACATATAATAAAATTCATCAATTTTAAGTGTGAAATTTGACAAGTGCTTATAAATAATAAAGTCTCATAATCATCACAGTCATGGTATAGAACAGTTTCAAAACTCCGAAAACTTTCCTTGTGCTTCTTTGCAATTGATGCCCTGTTATCACCTTCTAGGCCCTAGCGTCTACCTTCTTTCATGTAATTAGAGTCAGTATGTTGCCTGTTGTGTCTGGTTTCTTTCACTTAACATAATGCTTTCAGATTCATTTCTCTTTTTGCATTTATCAGTTTGTTCCTTTCTAATTTTTAGTGGTACTACCTTATATGAATATGCCAACATTCGTTTATTCATTCACAAGTTCATGTACATTTGCATTTTTTCTAGTTTTTTGCTATTGCAAATAAAGCTTCTATGAACATCTGTGTACAAGTTTTTGGGTGAAAAAATGATTTCATTTCTTTTCTTTTTTCTTTTTTTTTGAGACAGAGTCTCACTCTGTTGCCCAGGCTGGAGTGCAGTGGCATGATCTCAGCTCACTGCAACCTCTGCCTCCTGGGTTCAAGTGATTCTCCTGACTTAGCCACCAAGTAGCTGGGACAACAGGCATACACCATCATGCCCAGCTAATTTTTGCATTCTTAGTAGACACAGGGTTTCACCATGTTGGCCAGACTGGTCTTGAACTGCTGACCTTAAGTGATCCTTCTGCCTTGGCTTCCCAAAGTGCTGAGATTACAGGTGTGCACCACTGCTCCTGGTCACCTTTCTTTTTGGTAAATATCTAAGAGTGGAATTGCTGAACTGTATGGTAAGTTGATTAATTTTAAAGAAATTTCCAATTTGTTTTCCAGATTGGCTATACTATTTTACATTCCCGCCAGTGGCTTATGATGGCTCTAATTTCTCCACATTTTCCCCAGAACTTGGTATTTTCACTCTTTTTTATAACAGCCATTTTAGTGGCTATGTGGTGGTGTCTTATTTTAATTTCAATATGCATTTCCTAATGTCTAATGATGTACAGCAGCTTTTCATGTGCCTGTTTGCCATCTGTATATCTTCTTTGGTGGAGTCACTGTTCAGACCCCATTTTTTAATTGTGTTGTTTGAGTTATAGAAATTCTTTATGTATCATATTAGGTTGGTGCAAAAGTAATTGCAGTTTTGGGCCGTGAATTTTAAATCATTGTAAGTAGGATCAAACACATCTTTATTAATCAAAATAGGAACAATTCCAATCAACACATTTTTGCCAACGAGAAATAAGTTTGTTTTTTCCTGTAGCGTAAAAATCCATGCTTCGGAATTTGATGAACTCTTGGAAAGCATTTTCTGCATCCTGCTGGTTGTGGAAGTGTTTTCCCTGTGAAAAGTTGTCAAGATGCTTGAAGAAGTGGCAGTCAGTTGGCGAGAGGTCAAGTGAATATGGCAGATGAGGCAAAACTTTGTAGCCCAATTCACTCAACTTTTGAAGCGTTGTGGTCAGGGGTTGTTGTGGAGAAGAATTGGGCCCTTTCTGTTGAGCAATGCCCGTGTGATTGTTGCAGTTTTCGGTGCATCTCATTGATTTGCTGAGCATACTTCTCAGATATAATGGTTTTGTTGGGATTCAGAGAGCTGTAGTGGATCAGACCGGCAGCAGACCACAGTGACCATGACCTTTTTTTGTGCAAGTTTGGCTTTGGGAAGTGCATTGGAGCTTATTCGCAGTCCAGTCATTGATCTGGTCATCACCAGTTGTCATATAAAATCCACTTTTTGTCACACATCACAATCTGATCAAGAAATGGTTCATTGTTGTTGCACAGAATAAGAGAAGACGATACTTCAAAACGACAATTTTTTTTATTTTCACTCAGCTCATGAGGCACCCACTTATGGAGCTTTTTCACCTTTTCAGTTTGCTTCAAATGCTGAATGACCATAGAATGATCAACACTGAGTTCTTGAGCAACTTCTTGTGTAGTTGTAAGGGGATCAGCTTAGATGATTGCTCTCAGTTGGTCGTTGTCAGCTTCCCATAGCCGGCCACTGTGCTCCTCATCTTCAAGGCTCTCCTCTCCTTTGCAAAACTTCTCGAGCCACCACTGCACTGTATGTTGGTTAGCAGCTCCTGGGCCAAATGCATTGTTGATGTTGCAAATTATCTCTGCTGCTTTACGACCCATTTTGAACTCGAATAATATCATTTCCATAGTCTAAAATAAACATAAAATAAACAGCAAGTAATAAGTTATTAGCAAAAAACATAAAGTGAAAAATGCACATTAAAATGATGTATAACATAACCACATTTATTTAAGAATGTATTCCAAGATCAAATGGCAAATTCCAACAATGCAAAAACCGCAATTACTTTTGCACTCACCTAATAGATATCTTTTGTTGGATGTATGTTTCAAAATATTTTCTCCCAGTCTATGACTTGCCTTTTTATTTTCTTAATAGTGCCTTAAAAGAGCTAATGTGTTTAATTTCGGTGAAGTCCAATTTTTAAATTTTTCTTTTTCTTTTTTTGAAATGGAATCTCACTCTGTTGCCAGGCTGGAGTGCAGTGGCGTGATCTCAGCTCGCTGCAACCTCTGCCTCCCGGGTTCAAGCGATTCTCCTGCCTCAGCCTCCCGAGTAGCTGGGACTACAGGCACTCACCACCACGTCCAGCTAATTTTTGTATTTTTAGTAGAGTTGGGGTTTCATAATGTTGGCCTGGATGGTCTCGATCTCTTGACCTCATGATCTGCCCGCTTCGGCCTCCCAAAGTGCCAGGATTACCAGCATGAGCCACCGTGCCCGGCCAATTTTTCTTTATATGTTATGCTGTTTGAGTCATACTTAAGAAATATTTTTTAAACCTAAGACCATTAAGTGTTTTTATTGTTTTTTTTTTGTTTTTTGATTTTGCTTTTTGTTTTTTTGTTTTTTGAGATGGAGTCTCACTCTGTCACCCTGGCTGGAGTGCAGTGGTGCAATCTCAGCTCACTGCAACCTCCACCTCCCGGGTTCAAGCAATTCTTCTGCCTCAGCCACCCTAGTTGCTGGAACTACAGGCATGCGCCACCACACCCGGCTAATTTTTGTATTTTTAGTAGGGATGAGGTTTCACCATATTGGCCAGGCTGGTCTCGAACTCCTGACCTCATTATCCACCCGCCTTGGCCTCCCAAGTGCTGGGATTATAAGCGTGAGCCATGGCACCCAGCCTGTTTTCTTCATTTAATTTATTTCTGCCGTGATCTTTATTATTTCTTTTCTTCTACTAATTTTGAATTTGGTTTGCTCTTGCTTTTCTACTTATTTAAGATGTATTGTTAGTTTATTTATTTGAAGATGTTCTTCTTTTTTTGATGTAGGTGCTTATTGCTATAAACTTTCCCTTTAGTACTCCTTTTGCTATATCCCATAGGTTTGATATGTCATGTTTCCATTATCATTTGTTACAATAAAATTTTTAATTTCCTTCTGATTTCTTCATTGACCCACTGGTCATTCATGAGCATATTGTTTAATTTCCACATGTTTGTATGGTTTCCAAAATTCCTCTTGCTATTGATTTCTAGTTTTATTCCATTGTGGTCGAGAAGATGTTTGATATTATTTAAAATTTTTTGAATGTTTTAAGATTTGTTTTGTGACCTACCACATGACCTATCCTTAAGAATGATCCATGTGCTGAGGAGAAGAATGTATATTCTGCAGCCATTGGATGAAATGTTCTGTAAATATCTATTAGGTCCATTCGGTCTACAGTGCAGGTTAAGCCCAATGTTTATTTGATGATTTTCTGTCTGGAAGATTTGTTCAATGTTCAAAGTGGGGTGTTAAATTCTCCAGCTATTATTATATTGGGGTCTATCTCTCTCTTTAGCTCTAATAACATTTAGCTTATATATCTGGGTGCTCCAGTACTGGGTGGATATATATTTTAAATTGTTATATCCTTTTGCTGGATTAACCCTTTTATAATTATGTAATAACCTTCTTTGTTTCTTTTTATAGTTGTCTTGAAATCAATTTTGTCTGACATAAGTATAACTAATTCTGCTGCCTTTTTTTTTTTTTTTTTTTGGTTTCCATTTGCATGAAATACCTTTCTCCAGCCCTTTATTTTCAGTCTGTGTGTGTCTTTATAGGTGAAGTGTGTTTCTTGTAGGCAGGAGATCTTTGGGCCTTCTTTTGTTGTTATCCATTCAGCTACTCTGTAAGGATAAAAGTCCATTTACAGCAATATTATTATTGGTAAATAAGGACTTATTCCTGCCATTTTGTTGTTTTCTGGTCTTCTCTTCCTTTTTCTCTTCCTTTCTGTCTTCCTTTAGTTGAAGGTGATTTTCTCAGGTTGTATGATTTAATTTTTGCTTTTTATTTTTTGTGTATCTGTCACTTTTTTTTTTTTTTTTGAGATGAAGTCTTACTGTTTTACCCAGCCTGGAGTGCAGTGGCACAATCTCAGCTCACTGCACCCTTTGCCTCCCAGGTTCAAGCAATTCTCCTGCCTCAGCATTCTGAGTAGATGGGATTACAGGTGCCCACCACCATGCCTGGCTAATTTTTGTATTTTTAGTAGAGACGGGGTTTCACCACGTTTGCCAGGCTGCTGACCTCAAATGATCTGCCTGCCTTGGCCTCCCAAAGTGCTGGGATTACAGGCATGAGCCACCACACCTGGCTTGTCATATATTTTTTGATTTGAGGTTACTATGAGGCTTCCAAATACGGTATAACCCATTATTTTAATCTGCTGACAACATAGATTACATAAACAAGCAAGCAAATAAAAACTTTACACTTTAACTTTGTCCTCTTGCTTATTAACTTTTTGTGGTTTCTATTTATATCTTATTGTACTATGTCTTGAAAAGTTGTTGTAATTATTATTTTGATTGGTTTATCTTTTAGTCTTTCTACTTAAGAGTAGTTTACACACCAAAAGTATAGTGTTAAAATATTCATGTTTTCATGTGTACTTAATATTACCAGTGAGTTTTATACCTTCAGATGACTTCTTATTGCTCATTAACATTTTTTTTCTTTCTGATTGAAGAACTCCCTTTAGCATTTCTTGTAGGACAGGTCTGGTGTTGATGAAATCCCTCAGCTTTTGTTTGTCTGGGAAAGTCTTTTTTTTCTCCTTCATGTTTGAAGGATATTTTCACCTAATATTCTAGGGTCAAAGTTCTTTTTCTTCAACACTTTATCATGTCACTCTCTCCTGGCCTGTACAGTTTCCACTGAAAAGTCTGCCGCCAGATGTTTTGGAGCGCCATTGTATTGTTGTTTCTTTTTTCTTGTGGCTTTAGGATCTTTTCTTTATCCCTTACCTTTGGGAGTTTGATTATTTAAAGCCTTGAAGTAGTTTTCTTTTGGTTAAATTTTCTTGGTGTTTTATAACCTTCTTTTACTTGAATTTGGTATCTTTCTCCTGGTTTGCGAAGTTCTCTCTTATTATCCATTTGAACACACTTTTTACCTGTATCTCTTTCTCTACCTCCTCTTTAAGGCCAGTAACTCTTAGATTTGCCCTTTTAAGGCTATTTTCTAGATCATGATTCATTCTTTTTTATTATTTTTTCTTTTGTCTGCTGTGACTGTGTATTTTCAAATAGCTTGTTTGAAAGCTCACTAATTCTTTCTTCTGCTTGATCAATTCTGCTATTAACAGACTCTGATGCATTCTTCAGTATGCATCATTTTTCAGCTTCAGAATTTCTGCTTGATTCTTTTAATTATTTCAATCTGTTTGTTAAATTTATTTGATAAAATTCTGAATTCCTTCTCTGCATTATCTTGAATTTCTCTTGGTTTTCTCACCTCCCCTCTCTCCTCAAGCAGAAGGAAGGAATCATTTTTGTTGTTGCAAGCTGTGCTCCCTGTGGTTGGGAGAGGGGTGGCACAAGCACTTCCTTAGTTGCCCCAGCTGGTGTCTCACTAGGTCATGTGCCCCTCAATCTACTGGCTTTAAGCCCAGTACAGCACTAGGAATTGCCTAGAAATTGCAGTTGTCGCCTAGACAGCTTTTCAAGTTTATTTAGGATCGTGAAATGTATACAAGTTTGTTTAGCCCATGGTGGTGAGGCTTGCCAAAACTCCAGTTCTGACTGCTGGGATGGGCGATTTCCCTCTGGTTAGGGCTGTTCTAAATGCTCCCTCTGTGCATGGGTGTCAGCTGTGTTAAGCCTGGTTTTGGTTTTCACTCTGACAGGGCAGAACTGAGTTCAGTGCAGTGTCCCACAATCACTGTGCTCCCCCTTTCCCAAACTCAGAGATTCTCCATGTCACCCAGCCACTACCAGGGAGGTGGGGCAGGTATGGCAATTAAAGACTGTCTTTTTATTGTTTTTATTTTGAGACAGAGTTTCACTCTGTCGTCCAGGCTGGAGTGCAGTGGTGCAATCTCGGCTTACTGCAACCTCCGCCTCCCAAGTTCAAGCAATTCTCCTGCCTGAGCCTCCCAAGTAGCTGGGATTACAGGTGCCCACCACCACGCCCAGCTGATTTTTTTTTTTTTTTGTATTTTTAGTAGAGACGGGGTTTCACCATGTTGGCCAGGCTGGTTTCGAACTCCAGACCTCAAGTGATCCACTTGCCTCAGCCTCCCAAAGTACTAGGATTACAGGTGTAAGTCACCGTGCCTGGACAAGACTGTCTTTCCCACTCTCTTCAGAGCTTCTTTCAGAGATATGAAAGAAGGTTAAAACCAGGTACTGTAATTGCTCACTTGATTTTTGGTTCTTATGAAGGTGGTTTTTTCGTATAGACTGTTGTTAAATTTGGTGTTCCTGTGTGTGGGATGATTGATAAAGGCTTCTATTTAGCCGTCTTGCTCCAACCCCCTCCTATTCATATATGAGAAACCCACAGCCATCATGATACTCAATGATGAACACTGAAAGCTTTTCCTCTAAGATCAGAACAAGATCATTGTTCTAATTTCCTTTAATAAGTTTCCCTTTGCATTCACAACTTGGCTAACTGTTCTGTGCAAGAGATTTATCTTTCAGCCTATCTTGGCTTTTGGCATGCCTTCTCATTGAGTTTAATTATTTCTGGCTTTTGATATAAAATGAGAGACATATGACTTTTTCACTTGAACACTTAGAGGCCATTGTAGGTTTTTAAATTGGCCTAATTCCAATATAATTGTGTCTCAGGGAATAGAGAGGCCCGAAGAGACAGAGAGAGACAGATGAAGGAACAACTGGTCTGTGGAGCAGTCAGATATACACAACTTTTGATTGATTAAATTTGCCATCTTAATCAAATTAAATATAGGTACAGTCTGTGGCAACCCAAAACAGTGATAATAGTAACATCAGAGATCACTGATCACAGATCACCATAATAAATATAACATTAATGAAAAGTTTGAAATAACTGTGATTATTACCAACAGGTGACACAGAGATACATAGTGAGCACAAGTTATTGAAAAAATGGCAACAATAGACTTCCTCAACATAGAATTGCCACAAACCTTCAAGCAAAGTATAATGAGGTATGCCTATACGTTTCTAGGAGTTTATCTATTTCTTCTAGGTTTTCCAATTTGTTGGCATATTAAATTTTCATAATAGTCTCCCATAAATCTTTATATTTCTTTGGTATCAGTTTTATGTCTCCTCTTTTGTTTGTAATTTTATTTGATTTTTGTATTTATTTAGTCTAGTTTAAGGTTTGTCTATTTTGTTTATCTTTCCTAAAAATGTTTACTTTCATTGGTTTTTAAAATTGTATTTCTAATCTATTTCACTTACTTCTCTTCTGACCTTTATTATTTCATTCCTTCTGCTAACTTTGGGCCTAGTTTGTTCTTCTTTTTCTGTTTCCTTGAGGTATAATGTTATGTTGTTTATTTGAGTTTTTTCTTGTTTTACAGTGTGGGTGTTTATCACTATAAACTTCCCTCTTAGAATTACTTTTGCTGCATTCCATACATTTTGGTATTTTGTGTTTCCATTTCCATTTGCTTCAAGATTATTTTTTATTTTCCTTTTAAGTTTTTGTTTGACTTAATTGTTAAGGAGCGTTTGTTTAATTTCCATATATTTGTGAATTTTCCAGTTTTTCTTCTCATATTTTCTTATTTCATACCATTGCGATCAGCAAAGATGCTTGACATGATTTCAGTCCTCTTAAACTTGATAAAACTTGTTTTGTGGCCTAACATATGATGTATCCTGGAGAATGTTTGTGTATTTGTTAACAATGTGTATTGTGCTGCTGTTTGATAGAATGTTCCATATGTCTTAGGTCCATTTGATGTCCACTGTTTCCTTATTGATTTTCTATCTGGATGATCTATCCATTGTGGAAAGTGGGATGTTGAAGTCCTCTCTTATTGTATTTCTGTCTGTTTTTCCCTTCAGTTCCACCATATCTGGCTAACTTTTAGAAACTTTGTGTAGAGGTGTGGTCTTACTATGTTGTCCACACTGGCCTCAAACTCCTGGCCTCAAACGATCCTCCTGCCTTGGCCTCTCAAAGTGCTGGGATTACAGGCATGAGCCACTGTACCTGGCCCAGATTATATTTCTTATAAAAGTTCTGTGATGTGGGTTTGATTATCTTCTTGTGGAAGAAGAAACTGAGGTTTACCAAGACCAATGTCTTGCCTAAGGTTTCAGAGCCCATCAACAACTGAGTTTAGAATATGGGCCTAAGTCTTCTGACTCTTGTCTTGAGTAAGCTTTCCATGACGCCAATTACCCTAATCTTCTGGGAGCACTAGGACCTCATTTTAATAGTTAAAATATGCTTATACTACCTCCTACCATGACAGTAGTTTCTAGTGAGCTAAAACATAAATCCATGGGTTTGCATTGTATTGTTCACAACAGCTTCTACAAACACTTTTAAATAGTCATACATATGCATACAATAGGTATTAGGTATTTAAGACTACAAATTATGCTTGGATTTGAGTTCTGTCATAATAGCTCCAAATTCAGAGGTCTGAAGCCGTGGGACACAGCCTTGCAATGTAGTGGCCATTGAGATGACTGTTGCTACAATGGTTTAGGGTACTTGTAGGCAATCATTTGATCATTGCTAGAGTCACAAAAAGAGGAACTGCCATTTCTTAGTGTAATGTATTATGTGACATGGGTGCTATGATTTTATTAAATTCTAGGTTTCTTAGAAAAGAAACTGTTGCATCCAAAAGCAAAAAATGGGTCACCATTTTTGGATGAAAACAACTAAAAGGGTACAAGGCCTATTTTAGCAGAAAGGCTCCATGTAAAATTGACTCTAAATAAATATCTGCCTGTAATCCCAGTACTTTGGGAGGCCAAGGTGGGTGGATCACCTGAGGTCAGGAGTTTGAGACCATCCTGGCCAACATGGTGAAACTCTGTCTCTACTAAAAATATAAAAATTAGCTGGGCATGGTGGTGGGTACCTGTAATCCCAGCTACTCGGGAGGCTGAGGCAGGAAAATTGCTCGAATCCGGTGGGCAGAGGTTGCAGTGAGCCGAGATCGTGCCACCGCACTCCAGCCTGGGTGACGGAGCGAGACTCTGTCTCAAAATAAATAAGAATAAATAAATATCTGGAAAAAAACGAATAAAGTTCATTTCAGGGCTGGAAAAGAGGCTGACACACTCCTTGGTTTTGCCTGTGCTCAAGTAGATGGAGGAATTCAAGTAGGGCACTCAGGAATGTTCAGTGCGCACCTCAGCTGCTGAGATAAGATGGAAAGTATGGCTGCAATGGGGATTCTCTTCATCCGTTTCATCTTCCTGATTTCCCTAGGCCCATCTTCAGGCTGAGAGTGATGACACTGACCTCCCCATTGAGAATATATGTGGAAAGAAGAAGCAACTACATTGATTAAAAGTAGCAATGGTTTAAGGAAACAAAGAGGCTGGAACTCTGCCTGCCACAGGGAAAGAAATGCTGGGAAGCCTGGTGGGAGCAGGTTAGAAACAGGCTTGCAGCCCCAGCCCAGATGCCTGCATTTAGGTGATGAGCAATATTCTTTGTGTGTTTTGTCAGTCCTGAGAGAAGCTTCTTTCCAAAAATAATTACTCTATATTTGTAGCAGGAAAACCTTTTATCTTCTGTTTAAATTCATATCTTCATCTGTGTTATGGAAGCCCTGCCCTCACTAAGCCTTTGACTTGGAGATGTTGGCTGTCCTCTCTGCCACAGTCAGCTCTTCTTCAGGACATTTTAATCAGTAGTGACTTTAGAAAGAGAAAGGGGGACTGGGATCCCATGATGAAAAATACTGAACAGAAACAGAGAGAAAAATCTCTGTGGTCACTAGTAGAAATCAATATGTAAGTGAATGGACCAGTTTTCTTGAGAAATGGGCATTTCTCTGTTCACCTGCCTGGGCTCCCCCAAAAGCAGAGCCTGAGACAAAGGATTATGTACAGATAGGTAACTTGAGATGTGGTTCCAGGGGGTCAGGGATGAGCAATGAAAGCCAATATAAGGATGTATTGTCGAGTTGGCCACAGCCATAGGCAACTAGAGCTCAACTCAGTGGAACTTTCTGCAGAGCCAGATGAGATGTGTTTCAGAATATCCATTGTGGAAATGGAAGAGTAAAACATCTATTTATCAGCTCTCATCTGCCACTGGTCAACAGTGGCCCCAGGAGGTTAACTCCCTATGTTTTGAGTTGTCCTGTAGAAATGTTGTGCCATGGTGTCCCATGGTGTGACATCAGAGAAGTCACAAAGCAGGAAGTGAGAGGATGGGAGACACAGGATGAGGCAAGGCACTGCCTGCTTACTTGTGCATGAGGCAAACTGAAGCCTGCACAGAACTGGCTGAGTTTTCCATGACTGGAGGAAGAGGTAGGGCTGAAGGGATTTGGAGTGGTACTAACGACATGTCAATAAACCAACCAATTGCAATGAAATATTCTTAAGATTCTAGATGACTCCTATGATCTCTTCGTCTCTCATTCATTGTAAGGGAGAAATAGGGTGACTTTGGCCTTCTTCAGTCCTAGGTTTGAATCCTGGCTCTATCATTTATGAGTGTTGTTCTCATAAGTAAGCGACTTAACTTCTTTGAGCCTTAGTTTACCTTGTAAAATTAAGACAGTATATCTATCTCATCCTGTTGTAGTGAGAATGACCTGAGATACTGTATGTTAAGTTCTTAGCACCTAGCCTGGTGCATGGCAAGGGCTGAAGTCATGTCAGCTTGTATTATTGTGATTTGACATCACAACAGCAGTAGTCATGGGGCATAAAGGAGCATAGAAAGGGGGCTATTAGGGACTAGGACTGGAGGGAGGATGAACCAGGTAGACTCCCAATAGGAATGTGAGGTGGGGATTGTGCCTCTGTTTAACAAGTCAGGATACAGCTTCTGGGATGGAACTGGCCAAAGTTTGATGAAGTATCAAGGCTTGCATTAAGGGTGCTGAGGTCTCAGAAGGGAAACTGGGATGCTACAGAGGAAATAGCAGCAGCTATGAGCAGTTACATATTCTGGGAATTAGAGGACTGCAGAAGGGTTCAAGGAAGTGCCCAGGGAGCCTGATGGGTGCAGAGAGTTTGATGAGGTATCAAGACTTCCATTAAGGGTGCTGAGGTCTCAGAAGGGAAACTGGAATGCTACAGAGGAAACAGCAGCAGTTATGAGCAGTTACATATTCTAGGAATTGGGGGACGGCAGAAGGGTTCAAGGAAGTGCCCAGACAGCCTGATGGGTGCAGAGATGCTTCCAGGCTGTCCCTAAGCCCATTCCCAGGCTTACAGCAGCCTGACTAACCTCATGCCAAGCATCGAGTCCCTTTGAGTTTACTGTTTCAGCCGTATACATGTTGTGATTCCTAGGCTCAGAATGCGGGAGGGCTAAGCCTACAAGTTGAGGGTATTGGTGCCATCAGTTAGGGTTGGGGGTGACAAATGACAGACTTGCCTGACTCTCAGCTTAGCTTCAGCTGAGCAGGAGGCCCCTGCCATAGAGCGACTGGCACATGACCCCTGACCCCAGCCCTGGTCTGACATATCCAGGCACTGGACCCTCAGATCATAGGTTAACTAGGCCTCCTTGTCTGGGCTGATGAGGTGACTGCCTTGTCATTAACACTTAATCCTTTGAGGGCCAGACCAAACTCTCAGGCAGAACAAGTAGCTCACTGGGCCAAGACAACATAAAAAACCATGTATCCCAAACCTTAACCCACAGTTTCGCTGTTCAAATCATTTTGGGGGGAAGAGCCATACTTTATTATGATGGGCCAGTCCTTTAATCTCACATATGTATGTGTTCACATGGTAAAAATGTAACCAAATTCATTCCTACAAACTCTCCATTTTAATATTTTTAATATTAACACCTTTCTTTTATGTTGTTCAAAGAATTCACTCAGATTCTCTAGGTTTTTGTGAAGAAGAATATGATTAAAATCAACACATTGAATTGATGTTTTTGATTGAAACAAATACGTCTGGAGCAAATTTAAATTAAACATGTGGTTTTACATGTAGTTGGTTAGGAGTAGCAATCAATAGGTTAGCATACCTTTATTTTCTTCAAAGAAAAAAAAATTCCAATTGAATGATGCTTTGAAAATAGCTAACTGGAAGCGTGAGGGACTTGTTTAGAAAGTTGAGGTGACAACTGAAAGTCAAGACTACACATGCTCATGTGTTTGCAAGGGGAAAAAAATCTCCAATTTAAAGAGATGTGGGTACTGCTGTTATTTCTTCAGATATAATACATAGGGATGGAAAAGATGGCTTTTCTTATGGAAACATTAGTTGTAAATTGAAGAAAAATGAGTATAAAAAGTGAGACTGTTTTTTGTTCTGAAGATTTTCCTCTTATCTCTTCATAGTTTTATTATGCAGAGATTTGATACTGACATCTTTAACTGCGTGCTTAAACACACTCATCTTTCCAGCAGCACACGGGGGCATAGGGATGGTTTGTCTTTAGGAAACAGAAGGCTCGCCTCTGCCCATGGGCTCCTCACCCTTGGTCTATTGCCATTTCTGGTGCGCCTCCCCATCTCTGAGGTCCTGTCCTCAACATCCTGTGTCCCATCCTCAGCTCTGTCCTCATGCAATCCCATGTGAACACCTCTCTTCCCTGTTCATGGAGCTGCACTGTCCTGGTCCCCTTTCTCATTTCCTGGCTACCTAGTCACCATCTTTTAAGATTAATCGCACAGTACAGAGTTGATGAGCAGTCTGAGTTCTCAAATGGTTTACATTTGGATCAAGGTGGAAAATCGCAATAATTGAATTGCTGCGATCAAATAAATTTTGCACCAACCTAATACAGAAACAGGCACTTATCCACCAGGTATCCTTCCAGCATTTTTAGCTCTTGAACACTATGATAAAAATCAGCAGAAAATGTTCTAAGCGACAATTCAAATAGCTGTCACAGAATCTACATAACTTTATTCCTTTGATTACATTTAACAAACAGTTATTGAGTATTTTCTATCTGCCAGATGCTGTCCAGGTTGGTAGAAATACTGAGATGAATAATTTATTTCTCTCCCACCTTGTTCCAGAAAGGATGTGAGGCAGCTTGTAGCAGAAACATATAAAATAAAACATTCAAATGCAGGTTTTTAAAACTCAGAGCAAGGGAAATATGAATTAAAATAGGTCAAGTCCAGAGAGAAAAGAGGACACAGATACACAGCACATGCAGGCCTTCCTAATTGTTATACCTGAGTTGGATATTTTACCCTAAGCACATTAGGGGGCCAGAGAAAAGGAAAACATGGTCAATACACATTCCCACTGTAGAAACAGAGAAATTATAGAGTTACTTACAGGAAAAAGTATGAATAAGACCTGGTTCCTAATGACAAGGAATTCAGAACTCAACAGGAAAGACAGATCTGTAGCAAACATCTGTAAAACAAAACGTATTATGAGGATCTGCATAAAGTGCTAAGGAAATAGGGGTACAGGAACAACTTATTTGGCTTATGAGAAAGAAAAGAGGCTACATGAACAATGCTTCAAAAGGAGGCAGCCAAGAAGGGGGAATGGCTCGGGAGAAAGAACTTGGTGGCTCTAGGTGAGTGACCCCAGCTGGAGTGAGCACAGAAATGGTTTCCTGCACTTGCTGATTCTGATTCAGAGGGACTGGCATTTTTTACAAGCACCCCAGGTGATGCTAATTCTGGTGCTCAAGAAACTTCGGGGAAAACTGTCATAGATTCCTGGATGTGTGGAGCAATGAACACCGAGGTTGGAAAAGCAGGCTGGGCCCATGTGGGATGGACTTCAAATGCCATGGTGAGAAACTTGCACTTTATGTCAGGGGGAGCCACTGGATGCTTTTAAGCCTGAGCAGGTGAATGACACTATCAGATTTCTGTGTGTTTTTTACTCTTCTTTTTCCTGATTACAAGAACAGATCGAGGATGAAAAATGGAAGGAAAGAGATTGAGGATATGGAACCACCTAGAAGAGTGTTGCGTGGTCCAAATCAAAGAGAATAAGGACGTGATTAGGACAGTGGTGGGGGACATGGAGCAAGGTGAACACTTTTTTGTAGTGAGCATGAACCTGTTATTTTATTATCAGTCACAGATTTACTTTCCAATATTGTTGTTCATGTCTCACCAGCTGGGACTCTACTTCAGTTTCTGCTATCTGGCATCTGGGCTACTCCAACTGGCAGGGGAGATGGTCCATGCCAAGCTGGCCTGGTCCCTGTGCGGGTGATGGAGCTGGGTGGAAGGTCTGGGAGTGATGCTTGCTCACTACAGTGTAAGGGAAGCAACTTACAGTGAACTCACATTGGAGGGTGTATTAGTCGGGGATCTCTTAGAGGGACAGAACTAATAGGATGTATATATATAAAGGGGAGTTTATTAAGTGTTAACTTACATGATCACAAGGTCCCATTATAGGCTGTCTGCAAGTTTGAGTCCCAAAACTGAAGAACTTGTAGTCTGATGTTCGAGGGCAGGACGCATCCAGCATGGGAGAAAAATATAGGTGGGGGGGCTACGCTAGTCTCTCTTTTCACATTTTTCTGCCTGCTTTGTACTGGAAGCTGATTAGATTGTGCCCACCAGATTAAGGGTGGGTCTGCCTTTCCCAGCCCACTGACTCAAATGTTAATCTCTTTTGGCAACACCCTCACAGACACACCCAGGATCAATACTTTGTATCCTTCAATCAAGTTGACAGTATTAACCATCACAGAGGATAACACAGAATATATGTATTTGTTTGTTGTACAAAAGTAGCCAATGATGTCCAGTTCAGTGGATTCTGGGAACACAACCTTTCCTCTCAAAAACAGCAGAAAATACCAACACCTTTCACTGTCGTATATAAAAATCAGTGAGCCTGGAGCCGGACGGTGTCCCATGCAAAGACCAATTGTTTTGAGTCTCCTCTCATGCTGGTAGGGTGTTTGTAAGCAACAGGCCTGTGGTCTAGGACATTATTTCATTTATGGTAGGGGGCTACCGACCACAGTCCCACGACAAGGTCAAGTGAAAGTCATTTGGCCAGGATCTGCTGTCTAATCCTGTGGTAGGCAGAATAATGGCCCTGTCCCCCCAAAGATTCCGATGTCTGAATCCTCAGAATCTGTGAATATGTTACCTTAAGTGGCAAAAGAGATGTATTAGTTTGCTATGGATACTGTAGCAAACTACCACAAACTAGGTGGCTTAAATGACAGAAATTTACTGTGGCACCATTCTAGAGGCTAGAAGTAAGAAATCAAGGCATCCCCAGGATTGGTTCCTCCTGAGGGCTGTGAATAAAAGATCTGTTCCAGGCCTCTTTCCTTGCCTTGGAGATGGCCGTCTTCAACCTTTATCTCTTCATCTCATCCTTCCTCTTTGCATGGGTGCGGGTCCAAGTTTCCCCCCCTTTTTTTTTTGAGTTGGGGTCTCGCTCTGTCGCCCAGGCTGGAGTGCAGTGGCGCCATCTTGGCTTACTGAAAGCTCTGCCTCCCAGTTCACGCCATTCTCCTGCCTCAGCCTCCAGAGTAGCTGGGACTACAGGTGCCCGCCACCACGCCCGGCTAATTTTTTGTATTTTTAGTAGAGATGGGGTTTCACCGTGTTAGCCAGGATGGTCTCGATCTCCTGACTTCGTGATCCGCCCACCTCGGCCTCCCAAAGTGCTGGGATTACAGGCGCAAGCCACTGTGCCCAGCCAAAGTTTCCCCTTTTTATAAGGATGCCTTATTTTGGATTAGGGCTTACCGTAAGATCTCAACATAACTAATTACAATGGCAGCAACCCTATTTCCAAGTACGGTCCCATTCTGGGGGTTAGGACACCGATATATGAATTGTTGGGGGACATGATTCAACTCCTAACAAGGGACTTTGCAGAAGATTAAAGTTATAGCTTTGAGATGGGAAAATTATTCTGAATTATCCTGGGGGGCCCAATTTAGTTACTTGAGTCCTTAAAAGTGGAGAATCTTCTTTGGGAGGCCGAGGCGGGCGGATCACGAGGTCAGGAGATCGAGACCATCCCGGCTAAAACGGTGAAACCCCGTCTCTACTAAAAATACGAAAAATTAGCCGGGCGTAGTGGCGGGCGCCTGTAGTCCCAGCTACTTGGGAGGCTGAGGCAGGAGAATGGCGTGAACCCGGGAGGCGGAGCTTGCAGTGAGCCGAGATCCCGCCACTGCACTCCAGCCTGGGCGACAGAGCGAGACTCCGTCTCAAAAAAAAAAAAAAAAAAAAAAAAAAGTGGAGAATCTTTCCCATCTGCAGTCAGGGAGAGATTGGTGACGATGGAAGGGTCAGAGAAATGCAACATTGCCAGCTTTGAAGATGGAGGAAGGTGCCATGAGCCAAGAAATGATGGTCGCCTCAGAGGCTAGAAAAGGCAAGGAAGCAGGTTCTCCCCTGAAGCCTCCAGAAAGGAATCAGACGCCGTGTTCCTAGTTCAGTGGCCTGTGTTGGATGTCTGAACTACAGTTGTAAGATCATACATTTGTGTTATTTTAAGCCACTACGTTTGTAGTAATTTGTTATAACAGCCATAGAAAACTACTAATACAACCTCCCCCAACCACAGCTCCTAAGTTTGCCATGTGATCTCTCATCCCCCGATAAATAATGCTTCTATGCTGGGAGTAAGTCACTACAGAAGTCCCACCCCTGCTGTTACTGGCGGTGAATCCTTATGGGTCTGCAACAACCTCAATTCTTGCCTCCACAGGAGAAAGAATTGGACCAAGGGGCATGAGGCAGAAGGTGAGACCGAGGAAAGTATTAGAGCAGGAGTGAAAGCTTATTAAAAAGCTTTAGAGGCTGGGCGCTACTAGTAGCTCACACCTGTAGTCCCAGCACGTTGGGAGGCCAAGGCGGGTGGTGCATCACCTGAGGTCGGGAGGTCAAGACCAGCCTGAACAACATGGAGAAAACCCATCTCTACTAAAAATACAAAATTAGACAGGCCTGGTGGCACAGGCCTCTAATTCCAGCTACTCAGGAGGCTGAGGCAGGAGAATCTCTTGAACCCAGGAGGCGGAGGTTGCGGTGAGCCAAGATCGTGCCATCGCACTCCAGCCTGGCAACAAGAGCGAAACTCTGTCTCAAAACAAAACAAAACAAAAAGCTTTAGAACAGGAAGGAAAGGAAGAAAAGTATACTTGGAAGAGGGCCAACCGGGCAACTTGAAAGACAAGTGCTCAATTTGACCTTTTGACTTGGGATTTTATATGCTGGCATGCTTCTGGAGTCTTGCCTTCCTTCTCCCCTGACTTCCTTTGGGGTGGGATGTCCGCATGCGCAGTTGTCTGCCAAAGCCTGGGAGGGGATCATGCGCAGTGTGTTTACTGGAGTTGTGCGTATGCTCAACTTGAGGTGTTTTTGTTTTTTTTTTTCCCTTACCAGCTGAATGTCCCTAAGATCATATACCAGTTAAACTCCACCATTTTGCCTCTTAATGCGCACACTTGCGTTCACTCACGCAACTCCTGAGATCTTATCAGGAAGCTGCTGATTATTTTCAGGTTTTTTTCTCTCTATAGGGAGACTGCCTTGCCCTGGCGCCGGCTGCCACCAACTGTTATTTTAGAGAGACAGCGTAACAACTGCCTGACCACCACCTGATGGTCGCCTGGAATTCCTGGTGGGGTAGTGAGGCCCTCTCTTGCCCTGTTCATGTCTGATTCGCTACCTACTGTAACACTGCCACAGCCACTCATCAAAACCAAGTTGTATGAAGTGGCAGATTTCTCCTAGGGTGTCTGGCCAGCCATGACCTGCTCCTTTGGTCACCTCCCGAAGTCCAAGATGAGTTTCAAGAGCCACATGTCTATGAGACCCTCCTACCTGGACTTAGCTGACTGCAGCAGGAGGGACATGTGATCCAAGCTGGAGCACACAGAATCTCTCTCCTGGGATGTGGAGCTGAGAGACACTGAGATCAGGAGATGGGAGCTGATTCCTATTAATGACAGGTCTGGAGCGAAGGTCTGTACATCAGCGCTGTTAAGTTTCTGAGGGCTGTTCTGTTTTGTTTAAGCCAGTTTGTAGCGGGTTTGTGCAACTTGGCTAAAGAGCCTCCAGCACTTAGATTTGCTAAGCCAGGGAGTACCCCCCGGACCGTGTGGCAGTGGACTGAAGGAGACAGGAAGGCAAGGAAAGGCCCAGGGCAGGCGCTGCTACCGAAGGGCCTGGCTTGGGAGAAGGCTGCCGCTCCTGGCAAAAATGAGTCTCAGAAGAGTTTCTGGGTTCATTGACAATGAAATGCTGTCAAAGGACCCTCTGCTTTTCCTCGGAAACTAATATTCAATTTCTGGAGGCCTAGTTTTCTTCTAGAAGAGGCAAACTGCACATCTCATTTTAGGTGGTGGCTGGTTCTGGTATCATGGGCATGTTACCGCTTTTTACACAAAAGATTGCAATATGTGCAATGCCTGTCTGTGCTTTTGTTTTCTATGGTTTTGTTTTGTTTTAACATGTTTGATTTTTTTAAAGCTGTTAAGCCCAAGATTGGAAGCTCTCAGATGATCAGATCTTCTCTGGTGTCAGGATGCAAACACGCTAGTCCCTGCTTAAACAAGGCTCTAGTCTTTTCTTTGTATCTATTCCATCAGGAACTGCTGGAGATAAAAGCAAATGTCTTAGAAGAGCAAGTGTGATATGTGGTACGCTATCAGGAATAAATCTCTTCCTGCCAAGCAAGACTGTAAGGCAATCTGGAACCAGTTACTAAACAAACTTGTTTTATTTCAAAACAGAATCACCTGACTTACTTTTCTATTTATTTCTTGTCTTGAATTCTTTTTTGATATCAAGATGCTACTAATGAAACACAGTGGACCCGAATTTTCCAGGTGAATCGAGAGAAAGGGGTTTGTAAAAAGGACTTAAAGGGAAAGAGCCCTCATTTCCTTTAGATTTTGAAAGGATGGTGTTAACAGCAGAGGCTGAAAAGGTACCATGGAAACTTAGCCTGGGAAGGGAATGGAAGGGCAGGGAGAGTGACAGAAGGAGGCAGAGGAGGGAACTGGTGGTGTTCTGATGCCAAAAACCCCTCTCTTAGGTGTTGGCTTAAGGAGTGGCAAATACGCAATGCGTTATGCACTGATGTGCGCCGTGGAATCCGATGTCTGTGGGGCTGCTGTGCGGTGTGTGGGGCCCTCAGATGAAAGGGCACTGGAGAGTAGGCCTGTGCCCAAGGAACTTACTCTCAACTGTGCCACACCCAGGCAGGGACTTTGTGAAAGCCCTGGGGTGACTGACAGGTGATGGAGGTACCTGGTAGCTGTCTGTGTTGACCAGATAGTGCCCCAGCACCCTGGCTTTTCCAGGTGCTGGTGTCTTCCCAGATGAGGATGCAACATAAAAAAAACCTGGAGATTCCATTTGGCAGGGGAATCCATACATCCTCAGTGCAGGCACAAAGACTGCAGGTAGCAGGCCTGTGGTGAAGGGCCAGCATTTGTATCATGGTCCTGACATTTTCTCACATACTTGGTGTTGCTATTGTTGTTGTTGTTTTGTTTTTGAGACAGGGTCTCACTGTGTTGCCCTGTCTGCAGTGCACTGGGGCTCACTGTAGCCTCCACTTCCTGGACTCAAGCGATCTTCCTGCCTCAGCCTCCCAAGGAGTTGGGACAGCAGGCTTATGCCACCACACTCGGCTATTTTTTTTTAATTTTTTGTAGAGACAATTTTTTGTGTTGCACAAGCTGGTCTCAAACGCCTGGACTCAAGTGATCCTCCTGCCTCAACCTCCCAAAGTGCTAAGATTACAGGCATGAGCCACAGCGCCCAGCCTCTCACATACTTTGATATACAAGATCTCATAACACTCTGCAAAGAAACCCGGAAAGGAAGCTGCCAATTTTCCCATTCTACAAATGAGGATGTGGAGGCTCAGAGGCTGGCTGACCTCCTTAAAAGCTCTGAGCTGTTCAGCTGAGGAAGTAAGTCTCAAGTCCTGTTCATCTGACTCTATGGCAAGGGTCTGAAACTCGAGTGCTCAGGGGAGCAGTGGAGTCATTTCAGTGAGAGCAGCGGCCTGGAGACCATTCACACCGTCTAAAGGGGCAGCCCACGCTCAGTGCTAGCAGAGTGCTGCCATCCAAAAATGCAGGCCCAAAGCTGCTAGAACCTTCTGTTCTTCAAGAGAAACTACAATATAGATTTTTGTGTGAGAGCGCAATTTATTCAAAACAATTTATTTTTTAAAACTTTAAAAAAGAAAAACTTTGTGTGGCCCCAAACAACATGCCTCACTGCCCCGTCCCGCTTCCCTGCCAGTATGCAACTCCTGCTGTGGCACATTTCACGTTTATTGAGCACCTGCCATGTCCAGGAACTGTGCCGAGTGCTGGGGGACAGGCACAGCCCCTGTTTGAATGAAGCCTGCCTGCTGGTGCAGGGCTTCTCTATCCACGTCCACTCAGTCTATATCAATTCAGCTTCTATTCCTGCTCCTGGGCTGGCTGCTGTGGATGTTTTAAAAAATACCACATGGTTGTACAACAGTGTGCGCGGACTTAATGCCACTGAATTGTGCAGTTAAAAACAGTGAAAATGGTTAACCTTTACATTATGTATATTTTACCAAAATTAAAAAGTCAGTCTACAGAAGACACATGTAATTTTTATCCACAAGAAAGATAAAACCTAAATGAGAAGAGAGAACATAGTGCTATCAAATATTTCAGTTCAATAGACATTTGAGTCCCCATTGTGTATCAAGCACCATCTTAGGTGTGCACACAAAGTTAAGGAAGTTAGTTCCTGTCTTGAAAGTCACTTCCTACCCTGATGAGAGCAATGTCGGGAGCAGCCTTGGTTTTTGCGGTTAACAAGAGCTGCCCTTTACGGAATGCAAAATCTCTGCCAGGTCTTTAGTAAGTGTTTTATGTGCACCGTCAATCTCACTGGAGCCTCACAGCAAACCTATGGGGCAGATGCTAATACCAACCCCATTTTACAAAGGGGGCAGAAGCTCAGAGAGGTTTAGTAACTTCCCCAAAGTCACACAGAGTTAATAGGTAGAGAAGCCAGGTTTTGAACCCAGTTTAGAGTAAAGTTACTCTAAACCCCATGGGCAGAGGGATGCAAAGAGGCCTGGTGTAGCCAGCTCAGAGGGGATCAGTGTGGGCTTGAGAGACAGGAGCTCTTGAGGAGGCTGGGCCAGAGGAGCTGCAGGACCCAGGTGAAGGCACCACACCTTCAATCCAGGTGAGTCTCCTGTTACAAATGCAGGAGCAGGTTCACAGAGAAGGCCGTCAATGCTGATTCCTAAAGGATGATAGAGGGACAAAATGGGAACAACATTCTGGCCACACGGAACAGGGAAGAGGGGCCCACCGATGTCATTGAGCCCTTGGTGCCCACTGTGGCTCAGTGAAGGTGACATCACACGATGTAGGTGAACTCTGAGGGAGATGGCAGCTGTGGCGGGCCTTCATGGGCTTGGCGGGCCTCAGAAACTTTAGCACAGACACTCCACTGGGAACTGGACTGGAGGAAACTGCCAGGTACCACATGGCAGCTGAATGGGCTAAAACAGAAGAATATTGAAATAGTGAGAGAGTGGGCTTTTATGAGAGACTGGAGGTTCTCCCAACATGCACAGTGGAGATGAAGGCTGAGACGGGCAGACAAGATGACGTTAGAACAGGACCAGATCATATTGGGCCTTGTCAGCTCCAGGCTACAAATGCACATGTACTGTGGACGTGGGGGAGCAGCCTCAACGCTGCCTCAGGGGGTAAGAGGCTCCTGGACAAGGTAGAAAGGGGCCAGGGAAAGCCGGCCTGGCTATGTGGTGAACTCCGTGAGGTGGGCTGTCAGTCCACAACGCTGTGTCTAGAGAGACTTGGAAAATTCAAGCCTGGTTCGAGAGAGCACGGTCATGCAGAGCAGAACGTGGCTGTGGACATCCAGGAGGGAAGAGGGCAGCCAGGTCAGCCCCAGCTGGTGGGTTGAGTTTCGGGCAACACAGGGAAAGATCCCTGGAGGAGGGGGCCCGCTGGACTGGGCAGGTATGTCAGGGCTTACCGGTAACAGAAGCCAAAGTCCAGGAAACATCTAAGTCACACCTTAGCAGGCTGAAGGGGGGTTGTAGTGGAGGGAGGCTTTTGTGCGGAAGGGTGACCGTCTAGCACCAAGCTCAGTCCCAGATGGAGCAATGGCGATAAGGCTTGTTTGGGCGCCACCTGCTGGTAGGCTGCGGCTACTGTTACTCTGGCCCTGGGCAGGTCCACCTCAGATGGAGGCCAGGAGGGAATTTGTAACAGCACTCATGATGGGATTTTTACTATTTTAGTTTTGGTTGAGGCATGAATACAATAAATGCTAAATTCCAAAGGGGCTACTGTGCAGAAACTTCAAAGTAGTATTAAGAACAGGGTAAACACCTTTTAAATTCCTGAGCCATTAGGAAAAGGCAAAGAGGATTTGCAAAGAGAATTTTTAAAGTGAGAAGCTGTTAAATCCCTTCTCTCCCAGGGTTGGTGGGAGGGGATCTGTGGCTGCGCCCTGCATGAAGTCTGGAGAGAGACTCTAAGAAGAATACTTGGAAAGCTTGTTAAGTTTTTCCTGAATAAAAAGGCACTGGACTAAGGTCAGACTTCTGCCTAGAAAATCAGACAGGTAAGAAATGGGCTGGCCGGCTGCACCAGAAACCGAATTAAGGGGAGTTGGTTGCTGCTTCAGGCAGAGTTAGTAGAGGCAAAGCATGTGCATGCGTGCTTCCAGATGTGCTTGTGCAGAGAGAGAAAGGAGGGGGTTTTTCGTGATGGTGATTGTAGTTGTTGCTTTTCAAGGAAATGTCAGGTATTGATGAATTAACCAAGTATAATAAACAAATGCCACAAGATACGAAATATTTGTGTAAGTGACTGTCCCTATTTTATTTTTTTAGAAATAAAACTCCCAATCAAAATTCAAACAGCTCAACAATATACATTAGCAGAGAACGAATTTCCCCTTAATTGTATTCCCCACGCTGACCTTTAGGGCCTTTTCCAGCATTAATGCTCTCCATCTACTTTCTAGAGCACATTGTGCTTTGCAGCCAGCAGGTGGCAGCGCTCCACTGCTTTACGGGGACCCAGAAAATAAGTGGATTTGGGAGGCAAGTCCCATAGAGCAGAGAGCTTTGAAAAATCGTTTTCCTTAAAAACAATTTTTAAGTTTTCTAAAAAAAATCAGGAAAACCCTGTGATTTTGTTTTTTACCTGTTTAGAACTGGCCAGTTCCAACTACTGTGCTCTAGGTGAGACATTATTGTCCCTGAGCTCTGAGCTTTTGCAAGCAAGAAAGAAAGGTTTAGAAAACAAAGGGGCTATATTGGGTCCTGTGACTGAAAAGTCCAGAGGTCTGCTCTGTAGGGAGGAAGATCCCATTTTGATTCATTTTGATCCCATTTGATTCACCCCATCATCAGGGCCTTAAACCATTTTTCTGATGTTTTCTGCTTTCCACAGGCCAGCTTTGTTGTAGGCGTGCCTCCCTCATGATGGAAAATAGCTGCAGCAGTTCCCGGCCTCACATCTGCACATTTCACCTTCCAAAGCCCCCAGAAAAATGTTGCCATGAGCCTCAGTGGCCTGAATGGAATCACTTGACCATTCTTGTTTTGTTTTTGTTTTTGTTTTTGTTTTTTTGAGACGGAGTCTTACTCTGTCACTCAGGCTGGAGTTGGAGTGCAGTGGCACGATCTCAGCTCGCTGCAACCTCTGCCTCCCGGGTTCAAGAGATTCTCCTGCCTCAGCCTCCTGAGTAGCTGGGATTACAGGCACGCACTATCATGCCCAGCTAATTTTTGTATTTTAAGTAGAGATGGGATTTCGCCATGTTGGCCAGGCTGATCTGGAGCTCCTGACCTCAGGTGATCCACCTGCCTAGGCCTCCCAAAGTGCTGAGATTACAGGCGTGAGCCACTGCACCTGGCCACTTGACCATTTTTAAAGCAAATACTATGACCAGAGGGATACAGTTGTGCTTATTCACTTGAGCCTAAGCCTCATGCCCATTGGGTGCAGTAAAGTGTCCCCCGTGGGTACATGAGCTGTGTTGTGGTGACGGAATACCTGGATAATTAAGGATAGTTACCACAGAGTGAGGGATAGATATTTGGTGGCACATGTGGAACGTCATCGTGAGCCTGTTGCCATCGGTCTCTAGGAAGCCCTGTTGTTCACTAAGGAAGTGGTGAACCCAAGCATCACTCAGGGAAGCCAGCTGAACATCTTCCAGGTCTGTCCGCTCCGATCCATCCTCTACCAGTCAGCCCCCAAGTGACTGCACATTTGCACAGTTCCTCTGCTGAAAACCCTACTGGTGGCTCCCATTATCCAAGCTAAAGTCCTGTTCCATTCAGGAACATGAGTCCTATACCGTGGCTCCTGGTCTCTCTGGCCTCGTCACCCTCCCCTCCCTCTGGCACCTTAGCCTCCAGCCACACTGATCCGCTCGTTCATTCTCTCCACTCTTACTTGGAGGGTCTTTTCATTTTTTCCTCCTAGATTTACTTCTCTTCCTCCTTTCAAACTTAGCTCAAGTGTCAGTAACTCCTGGAGAGCACCTTCCACACATGCCCTGGGCCTGGCTTGGTGCCCTTGTCCTTGGCTTCCCCACAACCCCGTGAATACCCAAAGCATGGCTCTAACCACACTGTGTTGAGAAGATGTTCACTGTGTGCCTCCCTCTACTAAACCATGAGGTTCTTAGTGGCACAGGACTGTGGTAGGTTGGTAGATGCTCCAGGAGTGTCATGGAACTGCTGGAATACATCCTCAGTCCTCACTTATGCAGCACAGGACTGCATTGTCTGCATTTGGCTCTGGGAGGCAGGTAGTGGATTTTGCCTCTCAAGAACAGAACTCCCTCAGTCAACTGTCTTTCCCCTGGACCGCACGATTCATTGGCCTGAGTGATGTTGTAGGGTCCTTCCCTGTCTTAAAGTGTATGATTCTCACTGGCAGTAGCATTGGAGAAGCTGAAGAAGAGAGGACGTCCTGCTGATCTAAGGTGATGCCTCCCTGAGGGCCTTCCTCTATAGGAAGTCAAATTGGACCATCAGGGAACAGCCCCAATTTTTGGATCTACTGGATTCCTAGTGAATCATATAAACACCCGTGGTGTATAACCTTTCCCCTCAAAAGACATTTTCATTTTTCAGAGATTTCTAATTTTTTTTTCTTCTGGCTTCCTGGTTGACCTGCCAGGGTGGAAAGGACCCAGTGTTCTTTGTGTGTGTGTGTGTGTGTGTGTGTGTGTGTGTGTGTGTGTGTGTATACATATATGTCTATGTAGACATATATAGACATGTCTACATGTCTACACGTGTAGACATATATCTACATGTCTACACGTGTACACATATGTCTACATGTCTACACGTGTACACATATGTCTACATGTCTACACGTGTACACATATGTCTACATGTCTACACGTGTACACATGTCTATGTCTACACGTGTACACATATGTCTATATACACATATACATATATACATATACATATATACACATACATATATACATATATACACATATACACATATACATATATACATATACACATATACATACATGTATGTGTATACATGTGTATACATCTATGTATATGCATGTATGTGTATACATATATGTATACATATATACGTATGTATGTGTATATGTATATATACATATATACGTATGTATGTGTATATGTACATACACATATACATATATACACATATATACATATATACATAGACATATATACATATATACATATGTATATACGTCTACAGAGACATATATGTACGAATATACATATGTATATACGTCTACATAGACATATATGTACGAATATACATATGTATATACGTCTACATAGACATATATGTACGAATATACATATGTATATACGTCTACATAGACATATATGTACGAATATACATATGTATATACGTCTACAGAGACATATATGTACGAATATACATATGTATATACGTCTAGACATATAGGTACATATATACATATGTATATACGTCTACATAGACATATAGGTACATATACACACGTATATACGTGTATACACGTATATACATGTGTATATACGTGTATACACATATATGTATATATACGTATATACACATATATGTATATGCATTTATACGCATATATACATATACACATATGTATATATGTATATATGTATATATGTATGTATATATACATATATATACATACATACATATATACATATATACATATGTATATATGTCTACATAGACATATATGTACTATATATATAGTGTGTGTACACGTGCGTGTGTGTGTGTTGTGTATTTTTTTTTTTTTCAAGAGACAGGGTTCTCTGTTGCCCAGGCTGGTCTTGAACTCCTGGCCTCAAGTGATCCTCCCACATCAGTCTCCTGAGCAGCTGGGATTACAGGCAGGCACCACCAAACCCAGCAGACCCAGTATACTTTGAGTGAGCAGAGAGGTCAATGGAGTTGGGCCATTTGGAATGACATTACCATGATTAATAAACACAGCTCACAGTTTCTGAGTGCTCACTTTGTTAGCTATCATTTTTAACAATAATACATGCATTAAATCATTCAGTGTTTACAACATCCTACAAGGTAGGCACCAATATCATCCCCATTTTACAAACAAGGAAATGGATACAGAAAATTTAAATTTCTTACCTGAGGCCATGAAGCTAGTCAGTGACAGAGACAGGATTCAAATGCAGGCCTTCTGGCTTCCGTACCCTCAACCACTCTCCTTTACTGCCAATCTTATCCAGGCTGTGGAGGAAGGATGAGGGAGAGAGGCCAGTTTGGAAAGGGGCATCCAACCTCATGGGACTCATTCTACCATCGCTGCCACAGCTTCTAGCCCACAAGACCAAACCTAGTTCAGTTCTATCCCAGGAGTCTTTAAATCATAAGTACAATTATTATGTGTAAAATGCTTGCTATTAATTTACCACATTATAGATCTCAGAACACATCCCAAGCCTTACTTCATTAGAGACTGACAATGGCTCTGTGACATAGTTGTATTAGCCTCATTTTAGAGGAGGAGAGGCCAAGGCAAGGCTAAGTGACCACCCAAGGCCCCAAACAGATAGACAGAGAGCTAGAACTTGCTCCTATGTCACCTGCCTATGGACTCAGGGCCAACATCACACAATCTCTTCCTTTGCGGGTGAGGGCCTCTGGATTTCGGAAGTCTCCAGGGAAATGGGTCTAGGGTGTCTCATTCTTACTTACTCTTCCATTCCCCATCTCCCCCAGACAACACTCAGATAGTTGCTTCCCCAATTCACAGCCCCCTGCTCAGAGGGCAAGGCAGGTCTGAGGATGGAGATACCTGCCCTCAGGACTGGGGCAGCTTTGCACAGCTATCCGCCCCCCAACCCATGCCCATGTCCATTCTCTCAAACAGACCCTTACCCTTTTGCCTAGAATGTTTAAAACTCGATAGTTTATGCCTGCGAAGTCAGTAGAGGCCCTTGGCTGGTGGCCAAGTTTTTTCCCCATCATCTGCACAGGGCAGGACTTGTTGCTTTCAAGGGCTCCCTGTACCCTTCAGAGTCCTTCCTGGGTCTGTGGGCTTTCAGTGACATTATAACCTGAAGCGCTGTCCAAAGCCAGATCCAGACATCACCACCTTTTCCAGGGTCCATCAAGGACTCCTTAGAGATGGCATTGGGGTGGAAAGAAGCATGAAGGTCCTGCTTCCAGTCTTCCTTTTAAGGAGCAGACATTGATACAGTCATTCAAAGTGCTAAGGGAAGCACACTCCCAGGAAAAAAAAAAAGCCCTATTTACTTTACCAGAATCCCTGAGGCCCCAGCAAATAGCTCCTCTAAGTAAACCCAATAACCATCACTTTTTTACACAGAGACTTAGGCTGTAGAAGGAAGTTCAATGGAGTAGGCTATTTGGAAAGGCATTATTATGTCTAGTAAGAACAGCTCATATTTTTTGAGAACTCACTTTGTTAGCTAAGACTTATTGAGCTCTTACTAGCGCAAGCTATCATTTTAGCTTTTAGTTTATATAATAGATATATACACCATTCACTATTCATAACATCCTATGAAGTAGGCAACACTATCATTCCCATTTCATAGACAAAAAAAAAAAAAAACTTAAAGAAAGGTTCACTATCTTGCCTAAGGTTTTGAAGGTAGAAGGTAGGGTGAATAAGAGAAGCCAGAGGCTAAAATCAATCCCTGATCCATCCCCAGGCTCCCCAAGCAGGTGGACACATTCACCCATTCATCTCAAGTGCCTGCTGTATGCCTGGTAAGTGCCAAATTCAGGTCATACAAAGACAATAAGGCCTGGGCCAGACATCACCACCCCTTCTGGGGTCCATCGAGGACTCCTTAGAAATGGTATTGTAAGGAGCAGACATTGATATTTAGTCATTCAAAGTGCTAAGAGAAGCACACTCCATAAGTTCAATGCCCAATAGTGAAGACAAATATGTAAGTTATAGTATAGTGCTGAGAGAGAGGTAGGTGGGAAGTGTGTGAGAACGAAATGAGGAGTTCACTGATCAAGAAGCGTATTTCAGATGGCAGGAGTTGCTTGAAACAAAGTTCAGAGCCACCCCGCAAAAAGATGTCCTTCCTGGGGAACTGCTCGATGATGCATAGACTTGCTGGGCCCCCTTAGGCAGGGAGGGTGGCACATTTGCCAGATAGCTGGATCACCCCCCCAGACTCACAGTCACGGGCCAAATATCCAATCGACCCTTTCTGTGGAGATTCAATGTTGAGTGACGGGAAAAATGGGGAAATTGCCAGGAATCTTTCATGACAGTGTAAATCCAGCTTGCTGGGCTCTTAAAATGCATGCCGTGGCTTTCTGATGTTTTCCCTATGTCACAGAATTTACGAGTCTGATCTCACAGAGCAGCCAGAAAGCTCAGAGGCAGTTGATGATGTATGTGGACCGTCTGGCTCCTCTGAGAAAGGATTCAATTCTGTCTCTTAAAGTGATTTAATCCTAAATCTTAGGCTGGAACAAATAGAAAATGCAAATCTGTCTTCCTTGTTTAAGGATTTTGTATTCTTTGATAGTTTCAAAACAATCATGCAGAGAAAAAAAACATATCTTAACAAATATATCATGTTGGAAAGTGTAGATGCTTTGACAAATTACAAAGCCAACCAAGTCAGATACTTCCTTGTCAACTTTTGCTTCCAGCTGGCAAGCATTTAAAATAATATTCCAAGGAGGTTTAACATTCATGATTACATTGTTTGATTATTGCACTTTCTAGATAATGGTTTTTCAAAATTGTATCTTGCAGCTAAAAATTAAATAGCGACTTCTGGGTATGCATGACATTCTTTAATAAAATGAGACCCAATATAATATTCTCAGAGGCTGAGCAGTAATATAGAAGAGATTTACTGTAGTCCAAATGAGTGAGATCACTGATCCTATAGGATTCTTATTATTTTCTCAAGCTAAACTCCAGAGAATGCTGGGAATGGAGCCACAGACTCTGTTCATGTCTAGCAGGATCCTAGATGGGCTTTCCTTTTCTACATGGATATCTAAAGAATTCTTGGGGTCTTTGGGCTGTGGAAAAATGCCTTTTAGGAGAAAGCTGTGGACAAAGTTGTTTATTTGTGTCCACTAACAGTGGACACAAATTGTAACAAACGAATCATTCTGGTGAGGAATGTTGATAATGGGGGAGGCTAATTATGCACATGGGTTGGGGCAAGGGGTATATGGGAACTCTCTGTACTTTCTGCTCAATTTTGCTGTGAACCTAAAACTGCTCTTAAAAAATATATACACCATGCAAGCCTTCCCTGCCAATGCAGGCAGCCATGGCGCCGCCGGCACTGCATTTTCAGAACGATCCCTTCTTCCTGCTCTACTGCAGTTTCTGCAAGCTCCTACCCCTTGATTTTGCTTCCTGCTTGTCTCTGGATCAGGATGAAGGATGTTGTCCTTCCTTCCTTCAACCCATGTTTGTGGAGATTCTGATATGTGGCAGGCACTGGCTTACATTTGGATTCAAGCTTTGATCTGGCTACGCTTCAAGGACCTTAGCTTAGATTCAGCCTTAAAACAGTCCACTTTGAGTAGGTCCCAGGTAAGTTTGGGCACAATAGTAGGTCTGATGGGCTTTTCCATCTGGAATATTTATTCAATAAGAAAATCATTCACAAATGTGCTGGAAAGTATGGAGCTGGCTGGATTCCCAGAGTGAAAACGTCCTGGGTGGTGCGTGCATCCTGTGTTCGTGCATCAGAACAAAGAGACAGAGGAATCTGGGGATGGACTCCATGGAGTGTTGGCAGCATGCTGACTCGCTGGGCTTGCCCACCTCCCTCAGTCAGGCGAGGCTGGGCTAAGCGTGGCAAGAAACAACTGCAAAAGCTTAGTGGCTTAACACAATAAAAGCTATTCTTCATTCACACAAGGTCCCCTGTGAATATCACAGGTCAGGCAACTTTAAGTCATGAGTTCAGGGGTTCAGCTCCTGACATGGCATGTGGTTCTGACTTCTCAGAGTCCTTTGCTCCAGGAACATAGCTAGCAAAGAGAGGGACCGCAAAAGAGCTTGCGGGGCATTTTAGGGGCCAAGCCTTGAAGTGGTATACACGTTGTGCCCACATTGGATAGAACCCAGTCATACCGCCCCTCCTAACTGCAAGGAGGCTGGGAACAGAGGAACCTGTGGTCTCAGTGAACACGAGCAGTCTCTGCTACACATAGTAGGGAGCCACTTCTGCTGGGGACAATTTTAAAGCTCAAAGATCGATTTTCATACTTTCCAGGGAGTTTCTCTTCCATTTATCAGGTCTTTTGTTTTCTATGTCCAGCATCATTAAATCAAAGCCCCTTCAGCACAGGTGTCCTGAATGATTCACCTCCTGCCCAGAACCACAGGACAGCCCTGTACAGTAGGGTAGGAGTGCACGGGGGACAGCCTCTTCATTTGTCAAGAAATGGATACTAATAATGCAAGAAATGCAACAACATATGCAGCAAGAATTCTGTAAAGGGAACTAACTAGTAAGGAAGTCAAAACCACCCTATTATTGTGGGGACCCACAAATAAACCCAGAGGAAATGGCATAACTTGAGTTGTGTGTTAAACTTAAATTTTCTGATCATTATTTACAATTATTTGTCACTAAAGTTCTGTTGTACTAAGTCATTTTAGAAAAAGTTATAATAGCTAAGTGCGGTGGCTCACACCTGTAATCCCAACAGTTTGGGAGGCCAAGACTGGCTGATCTCTTGAGCCCAGGAGTTCAAGACCAACCTGGAGAACATGATGAAACCCTGTTTACACAAAAACTACAAAAATTAGCAGGGCATGGTGGCACGCACCTGTAGTCCCAGCTACTCGGGAGGCTTGAAGTGGGAGGATTGCCTGAGGTGGGGAAAGTTGAGGCTGCAGTGAGCTGTGGTCGTGCCACTGTCCCCCAGCCTGAGCAACAGAGCAAGACTCTGTCTCAAAAAAAGAAGAGAGAGAGAAAGTTATAATAATGAACTCTGTTAAGCTTAAGGGAAAATACAGATATTTCTCTTTGTTACTTTGGGTCATTACATTTTCATTCAAAAGAATTTTGTCACTAGAGATCTCGAAGCAAAGGCTACAAAGAGGAAGTGTGTGTGCATGTGTTTTCACACTTGTGCTGTATACAGGTAACTGTCAAAGTCCAACTCCTTTTGTAGTCTCAAGTATGTTATGATGATGGTGCCCTTATTTGTGTACTTGGGGCGTTAGTAAGGTACTCTCTCACCTCACCCTGCTTCCCTGAGAACCAGAAATAAGACTGCCCTTTGAGAGCCAAACAACAAGATCAATATCAGAAAGAATCGAAGTTTCTTGATGAAGGCAAAATGGCTCCAGGGCCTCTAAAACTCCACTAGCAATCCAGGGAAGAGGTAACATAGATAAAGGAAGAATATGCCCATTAGAAGAAAAGCTAGTCAGCTTTGGCAGCTTAGAGGAAGGAGAGGTGCCAGGGCATGTGCTAGTGGCACAAGCAAAAGGGCCTTGAATCCCAGTGCAAAGGAATTGCGGCTGGATCCCAGAGGCCGTGGGAAATCAGGGAAGAGAATCCCACCCTATAGAGGTTCCTACTTAATTACTGATTCTTGACTATAAATGGTTATCATATATGCTCAAATATAAGATGAGGATTTTGTTTTTAAGTATCCCTTGGTAAAGAGGTAGTAGCCTTACTTTTAAGACTGCAAAAACGTTTTCCTGAGAATGCTTTCTTGATTATTGTGAATAGCAGAGTGCCATTTGGGGAAGATTCACTTAAAGGAAGTTAAAGGAGGTCAAACTCAACAAACTGAGTCACTCCCTCTCATTGGCAAAAGTATCCTTAATGTGAAGATGAATGAATGTGCGGGGTAAGGCCAATTGAGTTCCAGTCTTCTAGCCCCAGTTAGTTCTATTGCTCAGTGGAAGGACTGAGCAGTATTAGTTTTATTTCACTAAATGTTCAAGTCATCTAACTTTTCTTTTTCTGATGATACACTTCCCCAGGAGTCTTCTGATCATGACTTGGAGTGGGCTTCAGGAAAAGAATGTGCTGGTCATGTAGACTTTGGAGCATTTCAGCCCCTTTGACAGTTACTTCTCGTTGGTAATTAGTACCCTGGCATAGTCCTTTTATCCTTCAATCTCACTCCTTAGCTAATGGGTCTCTCTCAGAAAAATGGATCTACTCTTGGTATGTTTTCTAAGTTCTGAATCTGCAAGGCTGAAGTCCAACCTAGCTCATGGACAATTGACAAAGGCAATGAAGTCCACCAGTCAAGGCTTCCCAGCAGGTGGACTGCTGATCTTGTTCTTCAAGAAAACTTTCTGACTTGTTGGATGCATGAAAAGAGAGCTAATTTTTTTCTATTGTCATATAATCAGAAATTTTCCATCTCAAATGGCAAGATTCCAATTTTCATCTCTGCACAGCTTCAAGTTGCTTCTCTTTTGTGCCCTGAAAATGAATTTTGCAAGTAATACCCACAAGTTCTATGTTACTGGCAATTTGGGGAGCAACAAATGTGTCAGTTCTTACTAGCAATTCCCAAACATCACAGAACACTCAACATGAAGTGTGTATAAGAGCTAAGCTGATGCCAACTATGCCCTCAAGATCTGAAGACAAAGTCTGAAGCCAAGAAGATTGACAAACAATACTTTCTCATTTTGGCTTAAGCCTCCCTCCCCAAGCTCCTTAGGGAGTCCATTTCTTGGAAGGCACTTCTGTAAGGCACTTCCTAAGCTTTGAGGGATGCTTGAGTTTGCTACCAGTTTTTTGTTGTTGTTGTTGTTGTTTGACAACTCTATTCTAGAAATGTTAGGTTGGCTTTCTCTAAGGGAGGCTCGTTTAGAACATGGATTTTAAACAAAAACTGAAAACATCAGGAGCCACTGACTACATAAGAACTTGGGAAATGGGAAAGCTTCCCTGGAAGTTTTGCAAGGCAGGAAAGCAGAGGTCTACACCTGTAATGGAATAAACTAAGTGGATAATTCTGGTAGACTTCTTCTAACTCCATGGAACACACTCACGTGGTACCCTGTCCTCTCATAACTTTTCACCATGGTTGTAGTCGATTATGTAATTATTGAGTTAATGTCTAAATTCCTGCTACATTTTAGGTTCCAAGAAGGTGGGCTTTCCCCCCTCTGAAAACTCAGCACCTACTACAGTGCCTTGCACATGGAAGATGTTTAGTAAAGATTAGATGAACATGTAATATACCATCCAAGGGACTAGGTTTTTTATCTTGGAGCCACTAATACCTAGCAGAATGCCTGGCAGGAACTCAGGCATCACTTGTAAAAGCAAGGAAGGAAGGAAAGAAGGAAGGGAGGGAGGGGTCGTTTCCATCCCATGGACTCAATGTAGTTGGACTTGAGGTTTCCTGATTAATGTCATCAAAAGGCAAATCCCCTTCTGTTAGCAAAAGATATGAAAAATAAACAGAATGCCATCTAATTTAATTTGAGCACCAAAGAAAGTGACTAACGAGGCATTTCTGTATTTGGGTAGGAGGAGAATACTCTAAGTGCTACCTGGAAATGGCTTTAGTTACTTTGGTGACTGTTATAGTCTTGAGAGAATAATCTCCTCTTAATAAGGACAATTACTTAGATTTATTACTCCTCCGTGGTCTTGTTAAAGATCTAAGAAGAATCCTATTTAAATGAAAAGGACAATAGGAGCTTTTTAACAGAGAGCAAGGTTTAATTAAAACTCCAGCATAGGATTGGTACCTCTGTGGCTAAGCAGAAAAACTAGGTTAAAAAAGAAAAAGAGGAGTAAATAAACAGTGGCACCTACTTCACCTGCTTTTCGGGGGTAAAAGTCCTGTTTCAATGAAAAGTCTCAGAAGATAATGTGTATCCAGGTTACCCAAAACATCCCTTTTGTGAGGATGGCCTTTTGGAATCAAGTCCTCCTTCCTCATTCAATGAAAAATCCTTTGGACTTTAGATAATGAGTTCCCTTACCTGCTGGGAGCCCAATCCAAGAGGGAGAACTGGGATGACTGATGGGAATCACTGGAACAGTATGCAGTGGTACTTAAAAAGTACTTGATAATGTTCCTAGCAAGAAATAGGAACCCAGAATACTCCCAAGGAAGCGCATTGCTCCAGAGAGTCCCAACCCGCAAGTAGAAGTGCAGGATTCTTTCTGCTTGAGTAATAATAACAAGAGCTGTTTAGAAGTCCCAAAAGCTCTGGCCCTGTCATTAAAAAGAATTAACATTATATAAACCCCCAAAACAAAAATACAGAATGAAAACAAGCAAGTGGGATCACACATCGGATGGATGGCTGCTAAGCGATGGGTGTGCGCTGTGGCCGAGAGGCAGCGTCTTGGCTGCCTGACGGGGCTGGTGCTTCTAAGTTGGAGTGGTGCATATAAATACAGCTGTCTGTTTGTAGCATTTTTCTTTTCTAAATAAATAACCAACAACAGTCATATGGATGCATTTTGGGTGACAATGGCACATGCGAACTCTGTTATCTAACCTAAGCTAGAAATATTTCCACATTAAATTATACGATTGGAAACAATGCAGGAGCAACCATGGGGTGGGATAGGGCTGGAGGGGCTCTTGCCTGGCTTCTGGGGTATGTTCTGACTTTATGTCACCCTAGTGGTTAACAAATGTCATACCAAGAACAGATGAGCACTAAATGAATCTGTTCTTGTGATGATTATAACAAGACTGTAAAATGGAAAACAGTAAATATAACTCATCCTTATTAAGACTCACTGGTATTTGTTTCCAGCTAGAGCTCCTAACAAGAAAGTAAACCATACTTGGTCTCCTGTGATTGCTAATTAAAATGCAATAAATTATGGAATCAATTTAAATTCTGGATCAGCTCTACAGTGGGTTCAATAAACCTCCTAAATTTTATTTTCCCCATGGGGTTCCTTTTTCTTGAGGTAGGGAGGTGCGTGTGCATGGCTTCTCTTTTGTTTGATTTTTAATTGCTCCGGCAGCTTCTTTCAGGGCAAGATGGCCAATAGCGGGACAAATCCCCAAATCCTGGCATACATTTTCCTGGCTCCAGGTTATTTTGGACAAGACCGGGACAAGACTTGGAGTTGCTGCCCAAAGTTGTTCATGGTAGTGGCCTTGGCAACACACTTAGAACAACCAAATAGTGTGGGGTCCCCACAGCCTTGTCAAGAACAATGGGGACCAGGTATTCTCTTTCATGTGGTCAGTGTATGAAGGAAGAGTTTGTCAGTGAGGCCCATAGGAGGCTGCTGACATACATGCATGTGTGTATTTGCAGGCTATTTTAGGTCTAGTAGGCTCTACGAGAAAAAAAAAATTCTAAGAAATATTCCCTGAGGAGGCCATTATATACACTAATTAAGGAAACTCAGAAAGCCAATACCCATTTAGTAAGATGGACACCTGAAGCAGAAAGAAGCAGCTTTCCAGGCCCTAAAGAAGGCCTGAACCCAAGCCCCAGTGTTAAGCTTGCCAATGGGGCAAGACTTTTCTTTATATGTCACAGAAGAAACAGGAATAGCTCTAGGAGTCCTTACACAGGTCCGAGGGACGAGCTTGCAACCCGTGGCTTACGTGAGTAAGGAAATTGATGTAGTGGCAAAGGGTTGGCCTCATTATTTATGGATAGTGGCGGCGGCAGCAGTCTTAGTATCTGAAGCAGTTAAAATGATACAGGGAAGAGATCTTACTGTGTGGATGTCTCATGATGTGAATGGCATACTCACTGCTAAAGGAGACTTGTGGCTGTCAGACAACCGTTTGCTTAAATATCAGGCTCTATTACTTGAAGGACCAGTGCTGTGACTGTGCACTTACGCAACTCTTAACCCAGCCACATTTCTTCCAGACAATGAAGAAAAAATAGAACATAAGTCTCAACAAGTAATTGCTCAAACCTGCACCACTCGAGGGGACCTAGAGGTTCCCTTGACTGATCCCGACTCAACTTGTATACTGATGGAAGTCCCTTTGTAGAAAAAGGACTTCGAAAAGCAGGGTATGCAGTGGTCACTGATAATGGAATACTTGCAAGTAATACCCTCACTCTAGGAACTAGCGATCAGCTGGCAGAACTAATAGCCCTCACTCGGGCACTAGAATTAGGAGAAGGAAAAAGGGTAAATATATATACAGATTCTAATATGCTTACCTAGTCCTCCATGCCCATGCAGCAATATGGAGAGAAAGGGAATTCCTAACTTCCGAGGGAACACCTATCAAACATCAGGAAGCCATTAGGAGATTATTATTGGCGGTACAGAAACCTAAAAAGGTGGCAGTCTTAACACTGCTGGGGTCATCAGAAAGGAAAGGAAAGGGAAATAGAAGGGAACCGCCAAGCAGATATTAAAGCCAAAAGAGCCGCAAGACAGGACGCTCCATTAGAAATGCTTATAGAAGGACCCCTAGTATGGGGTAATCCCCTCCGGGAAACCAAGCCCCAGTGCTCAGCAGAAGAAATAGAATGGGGAACCTCATGAGGACATAGTTTCCTCCCCTCAGCATGGCTAGCCACCGAAGAAGGAAAAGTACTTTCACCAGCAGCTAACCAATGAAAATTACTTAAAATCCTTCACCAAACCTTTCACTTAGGCATTGATAGCACCCATCAGATGGCCAAATCATTATTTACTGGACCAGGCCTTTTCAAGACTATCAAGCAGATAGTCAGGGCCTGTGAAGTGTGCCAAAAAAAAAAAATCCCCTGCACTTCAGTCCATACATTTCTATTCCTGTATCTTTAACCTCCTTGTTAAGTTTGTCTCTTCCAGAATCAAAGCTGAAAAGCTGCAAATGGTTCTTCAAATGGAGCCCCAGATGCAATCCATGACTAAAATCTACCATGGCCCCCTGGACCGGCATGCTAGCCCATGCTCTGATGTTAATGACATCAAAGCCACCCCTCCCAAGGAAATCTCAACTGCACGACCCCTACTACGCCCCAATTCAGCAGGAAGCAGTTAGAGCGGTCGTTGGCCAACCTCCCCAACAGCACTTGGGTTTTCCTGTTGAGGGGGGGACTGAGAGACAGGACTAGCTGGATTTCCTAGGCCGACTAAGAATCCCTAAGCCTAGCTGGGAAGGTGACCGCATCCACCTTTAAACACAGGGCTTGCAACTTAGCTCACACCTGACCAATCAGGTAGTAAAGAGAGCTCACTAAAATGCTAATTAGGCAAAAACAGGAGGTAAAGAAATAGCCAATCATTTATCACCTGAGAGCACAGCGGGAGGGAGAATGATCGGGACATAAACCCAGGCATTCAGGCCGGCAACTGCTACCCTCTTTGGGTCCCCTCCCTTTGTATGGGAGCTCTGTTTTCACTCTATTAAATCTTGCAAATGCAAAAAAAAAAAAAAAAAAAAGAAAAAGAAATATTCCCTGAGGAGCTGGGCACAGTGGCTCACACCTGTAATCCCAGCACTTTGGGAGGCTGAGGTGGGAGGATCACCTGAGGTCAGGAGACCAGCCTGACCAACGTGGTGAAACCCCATTTCTACTAAATACAAAAGACTACCAGGCGTGGTGGCTCATGCCTGTAATCCCAGCTACTTGGTAGGCGGAGGCAGGAGAATTGCTTGAACCTGGGAGGCAGAGGTTGCAGTGAGCCGAGATTGCACTATTGCACTCCAGCCTGAGCAACAAGAGTGAAATTCCATCTTAAAAAAAAATGGACTTGCATCAGCTGGGGGCAGGTAAATTGTGGGGAGGAGTGTGTGTGTGTTCCAGCTGGAATATAGGCTGGGCTTGCCCTCTGAGCCAAGCCTGAGATGCAGTCCCAGGTAATACTATGACCTACGTCAGAGTTGAGGCACAACAGAAGACTGTGTAGAATATGCCTAGTCCTTTGCTGCCTCCTTCAGACATCAGCAGTTTCACCCTTTGCTACCTGGGAAGCAATGCTTGACATAGTAAAAATACATGCCACCCTCCCAGTTGTTACCCAACTACAACTCACGAGAATTAGTTTCTGTCTCATCTGAATGTGGGAAGAGTTCTTAGCCCCAATCTTGATGCTGCCCATCTAGTCAATAGTTGATAAACACTTCTTGGTTGTTTGTGAGTATCTTAGTCCATTTGTGCTGCTATAACAAAATATCATCGACTGGGTAACTTATAAACAATAGAAATTTATTCTCATGGCTCTGGAGGCCAGGAGGTCTAAGCTCAAGGTGCCAGCAGGATTGGTGTCTGCTGAGGGCTCCTCTTTGCTTCCAAGATAGTCCCTCATTGCTGCATCTTCCAGAGGGGAGGAACACTGTGTTCTCACTTGGCAGAAGGGGCAGAAGGGCAAGAGAGCTTCCTTCAATTGTAAGCCCTTTTATAAGGTCACTAATCTCATTCATGAGAGTAGAGCCCTCATGACTTAATCACCTCCCAAAGGCCACACTTCCTAATACTGTTGCATTGAGGACTAAGTCTTAACATGAATTTTTGTGGAGACATCATCATTCAAACCATAATAGCCAGGCAAAACACATTTTCACCTTATAGATGGGTCTTTTGGTTGCTTTTAAAGTCATCAAGGTGTAGCTGGCTAAGCATGGGTGTTAGAGTAAGACAGAGTTGCTTAAAAACCTCTGTTTTATCTCTTATTAATGGCATATTTTAAAAAAAGTTACTTTGCCTTATATATAAAGTAGGATTAATAATGCCTACTCAATTGGGGCTATTAGAGAGCTTAACCAAGTTCTTGTATGCCTAGAATATCTAGTAAACATACCAAATAAATATCTAGTAAAACTATTTAAAATGCAGTTTTGTCAATTCTGTTAACTTTATTTTTATATTCATTTATCATTTTTTATTAAAAAATCCATCAAGTATAATCTCCTTCCATGCCCACTGCCTCAGGCTGTTTCCTTAAAAGAACAGCATGACAAGATATATATATATATATTTTTTAAATTATGCTTTAAGGTCTGGGATACATGTGCAGAATGTGCAGGTTTGTTGCATAGGTATACATGTGCCATGGTAGTATGCTGCACCCATCAACCTGTCATCTACGTTAGGCATTTCTCCTAATGCTATCCCTTCTCTAGCCCCCCACCCTTCCACATGCCCTGGTGTGTAATATTCCCCTCCCTGTGTCCATATGTTCTCATTGTTCAACTCTCATTTATGAGTGAGAACATGTGGTGTTTAGTTTTCTGTTCCTATGTTAGTTTGCTGAGAATGATGGTTTCCAGCTTCATCCATGTCCCTGCAAAAAGCATGAATTCATCCTTTTTTATGGCTGCATAGTATTCCATGGTGTACATGTGCCACATTTTCTTTATCCAGTCTATCATTGATAGGCATTTGGGTTGGTTCCAAGTCTTTGCTATTGTGAACAGTGCTACAATAAACATACATGTGCATGTATCTTCAAAGTAGAATGATTTATAATCCTTTGGGTATATACCCAGTAATGGGATTGTGGGTCAAATGGTATTTCTGGTTCTAGATCCTTGAGGGATAGCCACACTGTCTTCCACAATGGTTAAACTAATTTACACTCCCACTGACCGAAAGCATTCCTATTTCTCCACAATAGGAAACAATAGCATCTGTTGTTTCCTGACTTTTTAATGATTGCCATTCTAACTGGTGTGAGATGGTATCTTATTGTGGTTTTGATTTGCATTTCCCTAATGACCAGTGATTATGAGCCTTTTCTCATATTTTTGTTGGCTGCATAATTGTCCTCTTTTGAGAAGTGTCTGTTCATATCCTTCACTCACTTTTTAATGGGGTTGTTTTTTTTCTTGTAAATGTGTTTAAGTTCATTGTAGATTCTGGATATTAGCCATTTGTCAGATGGATAGATTGCAAAAATTTTCTCCCATTCTGTATGTAGGTTGCCTGTTCACTCTGATGGTAGGTTATTTGCTGTGCAGAAACTCTTTAGTTTAATTAGTTCACCTGTGTCAATTTTGGCTTTTGATACCATTGCTTTTGGTGTTTTAGTCATGAAGTCTTTGCCCATGCCTATGTCATGAATGGTATTGCGTAGTTTTTCTTCTAGGGTTTTTATGGTTTTTAGGTGTTACTTTTAAGTCTTTAATCCATCTTGAGTTAATTTTTGTATAAGGTGTAAGGAAGGGGTCCAGTTTCAGTTTTCTGCATATGGTTAGCCAGTTTTCCCAACACCATTTATTAAATAAGGAATCCTTTTCCCATTGCTTGTTTTTGTCAGGTTTGTCAAAGATCAGATGGCTGTAGATGTGTGGCATTATTTCTGAGGCCTCTGTTATGTTCCATTGGTCCATATATCTGTTTTGGTACCAGTACCATGCTGTTTTGGTTACTGTAGCCTTGTAGTATAGTTTGAAGTCAGGTAGCATGATGCCTCCAGTTTTGTTCTTTTTGCTTAGGATTGTCTTAGCTATATAGGATCTTTTTTGGTTCCATATGAAATTTAAAGTAGTTTTTTCTAATTCTGTGAAGCAAGTCAATGGTAGCTTGATGGGGATAGCATTGAATCTATAAATTACTTTGGGCAGTATGGCCATTTTCATGACACTGATTCTTCTTATTTATGAGCATGGAATGTTTTTCCATTTTTTTGTGCTCTCTCTTATTTTGCTGAGCAGTGGTTTGTAGTTCTCCTTGAAGAGGTCCTTCACATCCCTTGTAAGTTGTATTCCTAGGTATTTTATTCTCTTGGTAGCAATTGTGAATGGGAGTTCACTCTTGGTTTGTCTATTATTGGTGTATAGGAATGCTTGTGATTTTTGCACATTGATTTTGTATCCTGAGACTTTGCTGAAGTTGCTTATCAGCTTAAGGAGATTTTGAGCTGAGATGATAGAGTTTTCTAAATATACAATCATGTCATCTGCAAACAATTTGACTTCCTCTGTTCCTATTTGAATACCCTTTATTGCTTTCTCTTGACTGATTGCCCTGGCCAGAACTTCCAGTACTATGTTGAATAGGAGTGGTGAGAGAGGGCATCCTTGTCTTGTGCCGGTTTTCAAAGGGAATGCTTCCAGCTTTTGTCCATTCGGTATGATATTGGCTATGGCTTTGTCATAAATAGCTCTTCTTATTTTGAGATATGTTCCATCAATACCTGGTTTATTGAGAGTTTTTAGCATGAAGAGGTGTTGAATTTGATCACAGGCCTTTTCTGCATCTATTGAAATAATCATGTGCTTTTTGTCATTGGTTCTGTTTATGTGATGGATTACATTTATTGATTTGCATATGTTGAACCAGCCTTGCATCCCAGGGATGAAGCCAACTCAATCATGGTGGATAAGTTTTTGATGTGCTGCTGGATTTGGTTTGCCAGTATTTTATTGAGGATTTTCACATCGATGTTCATCAGGGTTATTGGCCTGAAATTTTTTTTCTGTTGTGTCTCTGCCAGTTTTTGGTAGCAGAATGATGCTGGCCTCATAAAATGAGTTAGGGAGGAGTCCCTCTTTTTCTATTGTTTGGAATAGTTTCAGGAGGAATGGCACCAGCTCCTCTTTGTACCTCTGGTAGAATTTGGCTGTGAATCTCTCTGGTCCTGGGCTGTTTTTTGGTTGGTAGGCTATTAATTACTGCCTTAATGTCAGAACTTGTTATTGGTCTATTCAAGGATTTGACTTCTCCTTGGTTTAGTCTTGGGAGGGTGTCTGTGTCCAGGAATTTATCAATTTTTTCTAGTTTTTCTAGTTTATTTGCATAGAAGTGTTTAAGTGTTCTCTGGTGGTAGATCGTATTTCTGTGGGATCAGCGGTGATATCCCCTTTATCATTTTTTATTGTGTCTATTTGATTCTTCTCTCTTCTTTATGAGTCTGGCTAGCAGTCTATTTATTTTGTTAATCTTTTCAAAAAACCAGCTCCTGGATTTATTGATTTTTTGTAGTGTTTTTTATGTCTCTATCTCCTTCAGTTCTGCACTGATCTTAGTCATTTCTTGTCTTCTTTTGAATTCGTTTGAATTTGTTTGCTCTTGCTTCTCTAATTCTTTTTACTATGATGTTAGGGTGTCAATTTTAGATCTTTCCTGCTTTCTCCTTTAGGTATTTAGTGCTATAAATTTCCCTCTAAACACTGCTTTAGCTGTGTCCCAGAAATTCTGGTATGTTGTGTCCTTGTTCTCATTCGTTTCAAAGAACTTATTTATTTCTGCCTTCATTTTGTTATTTACCCACTAGTCATTCAGGAGCAGGTTGTTCAGTTTCCATGTAGTTGTGTGGTTTTGAGTGAGTTTTTTAATCCTGAGTTCTAATTTGATTGCACTGTGGTCTGAGAGACTGTTCGTTATGATTTCCATTCTTTTGCATTTGCTGAGGAGTGTTTTACTTCCAATTATGTGGTCAATTTTAGAATAAATGCAATGTGGTGCTGAGAAGAATGTATATTCTGTTGATTTGGGGTGGAGAGTTCTGTAGATGTCTATTAGGTCTCCTTGGTCCAGAGCTGAGTTCAAGTCCTGACTGTCCTTGTTAATTTTCTGTCTTGTTGATCTGTCTAATATTGACAGTGGGATGTTAAAGTATCCCATTATTATTGTGTGGGAGTCTAAGTCTCTTGGTAGGTCTCTAAGGACTTGCTTTATGAATCTGGGTGCTCCTGTATTGGGTGCATATATATTTAGGATATTTATCTCTTCTTGGTGCATTGATCCCTTTACCATTATGTAATGCCCTTCTTTGTCTCCTTTGATCTTTGTTGGTTCAAAGTCTGTTTTTATCAGAGACTAGGATTACAATCTCTGCTTTTTTTTTTTTTTTTTTTTTTTTTGCTTTCCATTTGCTTGGTAAATATTCCTCCATCCCTTTATTTTGAGCCTATGTTTGTCTTTGCACGTGAGATGGATCTCCTGAATACAGCACACCAATGGGTTTTGACCCTTTATTCAATTTGCCATTCTGTGTCTTTTAATTGGGGCATTTAGCCCATTTACATTTAAGGTTAATAATATTATGTGTGAATTTGATCCTGTCATTAGGATGCTATCTGGTTATTTTGCCCATTAGTTGATGCAGTTTCTTCACAGTGTCAATGGTCTTTACAATTTGGTATGTTTTTGCAGTGGCTGGGACCAGATTTTCCTTTCCATATCTAGTGCTTCCTTCAGGAGTTCTTGTAAGGCAGGCCTGGTGGTGGCAAAATCTCTCAGCATTTGCTTGTCTGTATAGGATTTTATTTTTCCTTCACTTATGAAGCTTAGTTTGGCTGGATATGATATTCTGTGTTGAAAATTCTTTTCTTTAAGAATGTTGAATATTGGCCCCCACTCTTTTCTGGCTTGAAGAGTTTCTGCAGAGAGATCTGCTATTAGTCTGATGGGCTTCCCTTTGTGGGTAACCCAACCTTTCTCTCTGGCTGACTTAACATTTTTTTCCTCATTTCAACCTTGGTGAATCTGACCATTATGTGTCTTGGGGTTGCTCTTCTCAAGGAGTATCTTTGTGGTGTTCTCTGTATTTCCTGAATTTAAATGTGGCCTGCCTTGCTAGGTTGGGGAAGTTCTCCTGGATAATATCCTGAAGTGTGTTTTCCAACTTGGTTCCATTCTCCCCATCACTTTCAGGTACACCAATCAAACATAGGTTTGTTCTTTTCACACAGTCCCATATTTCTTGGAAGCTGTGTCATTCTTTTTTCTCTAATCTTGTCTTCACACTTTATTTCATTAAGTTGATCTTCAATCTCTGATATCCTTTCTTCTGCTTGATCGATTTGGCTATTGATCCTTGTGTATGCTTCACGAAGTTCTCATGCTGTTTTTCATCTCCATCAGGTCATTTATATTCTTCTCTAAAGAGGTTATTCTAGTTAGTAATTCTTCTAACGTTTTTTCAAGGTTCTTAGCTTTCTTAGTTATTACCCACCTTCTGAAGCCTATTTTTGTCAATTCGTCAAACTCATTCTCCATCCAGTTTTGTTCCCTTGCTGGTGAGGAGTTGTGATCCTTTGGAGGAGAAGAGGCATTCTGGTTTTTGGAATTTTCAGTCTTTTTGCGCTGGTTTTTCCTTATCTTCATGGAGTTATCTACCTTTGGTCTTTGATGTTGGTGACCTTCTAATGGGGTTTTGGTGTGGATGTCCTTTTTGTTGATGTTGATGCTATTCCTTTCTGTTTGTTAGTTTTCCTTCTAACAGTCAGGCCTCTCTGCTGCAGGTCTGTTGGGGTCTGCTGGAGGTCCACTCCAGACCCTGTTTGCCTGGGTATCACCAGTGGAGGCTGCAGAACAGCAAAGATTGCTGCCTGTTCCTTCCTCTAGAATTTTCATCCCAGAGGGACACATGCCTGATGCCAGCCAGAGCTCTCCTGTATGAAGTGTCTGTTGAACCCTGCTGGGAGGTGTCTCCCCATCAGGAGGCATGGGGACCAGGGACTCACTTGAGGAGGCAGTCTGTCCCTTAGCAGAGCTTGAGTGCTGTGCTGAGAGATCCACTTCTCTCTTCCAAGCCAGCAGGCAGGAACGTTTAAGTCTGCTGAAGCTGCACCCACAGCTGCCCTTTCTCCTAGGTGCTCTGTCCCAGGGAGATGGGAGTTTTGTCTATAATCCCATGACTGGGGCTGCTGCCTTTCTTTCAGAGATGCCCTGCCCAGTGAGGAAGAATCTAGACAGGGAGTCTGGCTACATGGTTTTGCTGAGCTACGGTGGGCTCCACCCAGTTCAAACTTCCCAGCAGCTTTGCTTACACTGTGAGGGAAAACCGCTTGCTCAAGCCTTAGTAATGGTGGACGCCCCTCCCCCCACCAAGCTTGAGCACCCAAGTCGACTTCAGACTGCTGTGCTGGCAGTGACAATTTCAAGCCAGTGGATCTTAGCTTGCTGGACTCCATGAGTGTGGGATCCACTGAGCTAGACCACTTGGCTCCCTGGCTTCAGCCCCCTTTCTAGGGGAGGAAACGGTTCTGTCTCACTGGCACTCCAGGCACCACTGGAGTATGAAAAAAAACTCCTGCAGCTAGCTTGGTGTCTGCCCAAATGGCTGCCCAGTTTTGTGCTTGAAACCCAGGGCCCTCGTGGTGTAGTCACCTGAGGGAATCTCCTGGTCTGCGGGTTGCGAAGATCATGGGAAAAACACAGTATCTGGGCTGGAGTGCACCGTTCCTCAGGGCACAGTCTCTCACAGCTTCCCTTGGATAGGGGAGGGAGTTCCCTGACACCTTGCGCTTCCTGGGTGAAGTGACGCCCCACCCTGCTTCGTCTTGCCCTCCGAACCAGTCCCAATCTGATGAGCTGGGTACCTCAGTTGGAAATGCAGAAATCACCCAGCTTCTGTGTTGATCTCGCTGGGAGCTGCAGACTGGAGCTCTTCCTGTTTGGCCTTCTTGCCAGCCACCTGCACCTTGACAAGATATTTTAAACAGCAAGAGTATGTTTTTTCTTGTCTAAGAGAACACACATGTACACAGAGCACAAAGAACATACACACACACACATGCAGATGGACGACTTTCTAAAGCACCCAAACTTGGGATTGTCATCATAATTAAGAAGAGGACATGTTCAGGGTGAGGAAGCACACAGGAGCCATTCATGTGCAGTGTGTCATGCAAGACGGATTCCTCCCTGACCTGTTTTTAAAAATCTGTTCCAACGAGCCCAGCAGGAGCAGGGGGCAGGCCCAGCTGCCCGCAAGTCAGGGCAACCAATGCCATGTGCTTGCATTGGAAGAAATAAAGCAAACCCAAGAACCCAGCCATCACTTGCTGTGGTCCAACTCTGTGGTAGCTGCTCATGAACATTTAATGGTGATTAGTTTTTTCTGCCTGCAACCTCTGATAGGAAAACTGTTGGCAGAGCTACAAACAATAGCTAAAAAAGACTACACCTCTAGAGAGAACAGCCTGGCCACTGAAGGGGTTTCTTCTCTCTGTCCTTCTGATTACCCCTGTATTTTCCATCTGACAGTGTTGGATACAATGTGCCTTTTCTGTTCCTGCTCATTCTTGGACAGTGTGTTAGTCTGTTTTCACACTGCTATAAAGAACTACCTGAGACTGGGTAACTTATGAAGAAAAGAGGTTTAATTGATTCACAATTCCACAGGCTGTACAGGAACTATGGTTGGGGAGACCTCAGGAAACTTACAATCATGGTGGAAGGGCGAAGGGGAATAAAGCACCTTCTTCACAGCATGACAGGTGAGAGAGAAGGGGGAACTGCCACACACTTTTAAGCCATCAGCTCTCCTGAGAACTCACTCACTATCATGAGAACAGCAAGGGGGAAATCTACCGCCACGATCCAATCACCTCCTGCCAGGCCCCTCCACCAGCACTGGAGATGACAATTTGACATGAGATTTGGGTGGGGACACAAGAGCCAAACCATATCAGACAGGTAGTAAATCAAATACCGTCTTCCCATTTGTTTCTTCTGCCAGGTGATGTTTTTGCCTTTAGTATTGCTTGAAGACAGATGGGGTTCCTGGAGAGCCAGTGCCCAGCTGGTGGTCAGGAAACGGGGCCCAGAGAATGTGGGCCAAAGGGTAGAAGCCCCGGCCTGGAGAAAGGCTGTGGGTGACACTGTGCCCAAACAGGAGAAGGCCCTCAGAAAAATTCTGTTGGAAATCCAATGCTTCAAAGGGCTAGAGGAGCACAAGGGAATCCTTTCATCACAGAAGGCTATCAATCTTATAGATTTTTTTTTAAAAAAGGCCAGGTGTGGTGGCTCACATCTGTAATCCCAGCACTTTGGGAGGCCAGAGTGGGTGGATTGCTTGAGGGCAGGAATTTGAGACCTGCCTGAGCAACATGGCAAAACCCCATTTCTACAAAAAATAAAAAAATTAGCCGGGTGTGGTGGTGTGTGCCTGTAGTCCTGGCTACTCCAGAGGCTGAGGTAGAAGGATCCCTTGAGCCCAGGAGGTCAAGAATGCAGTGAGCTGTGATCACACCACTGCACTCCAGCCTGGGCAACAGGAGACCCTGTCTCAAAATTCATTAATTAATATATGAAAAGAAAAAAAAAAAAGTTGAGGGAGACCCCAGAAGGAGGAAGACAGTTGACTTTTATTTGTTTTAAAAATTAAAAACAAAGAATGCAAAATATTGGCTTTAAAAAGTCTGGTTTCATTTATGGCTGGTTAAAGAAGTAGCTGTGAGGAAAAGAAAATAGACGTTAAGATGTTGAGAAAATGTGATGGCTTACGAAGGATGAGCTCAGTTGGGGCACACATTGGGCAATCCCATGAGTCCCAAACACATTTTTACCTTCGGGACCTTGAAGAAGGCAAGTGCAGCACCTGCATGAAACAGAAGGAATCTTTGTAAGCGTTGGTGTTTTCAGAGCAGTGCAAAAGAAAGAAGAGCCTGGCTCAAGATAGAGGCCTGGGAGCCTGCAGTCAACAGGTCAGAAGGAAAAGCACCTGAGTGAAGGCTAAGATGGAATGGAGAAAACCAGTGTAGCCCAGGGCCAAGGCTGGAAAGGTTACTATGCGAGGGTGGCCTCTGAAGTCCAGTGGGAGCACTCCCTGCCCCAGGCCCACCCTCGCCCCATGCACCCACACATTCACGCCCTCTTTACCTCCATGGTCTTGGTCCCCAGAGGTCCAGCCTCCTTATGCCTTTATCCCTCTTTACCTCTGTCCCCATGACAGGCCCCAAACTTAGAGACCATTCCTCATCTTCTGTCCCCTTATGCACATTCTATTCAGAATGTCACATTTTCCAGCCCCATCTCCTCTGCTCCCCCGCTTCTCTTGAAACTTCTGTGCTCTCTGGAACTCACTGCCAGTCATCAGCAAAATCCCCATCTCTGCCACTGCTTCCCTGAATGTTCCCTTTCCCTTGCTGAAACTTGCTCTGCTGAGGAAAAGCAATGGCTTGTTCAGTGGCTCAGTATGCTAGTGACTGTCTTCACTCTCCATCCCCAAATCTAATAATCCCTTTCTCCTTTTGCTGTTCCTTAAGCCCCTCATCTTCTCCTTTCCCAGCCTAAAGTCCATGGTCAGTCATAATTACTCCCCAATCTACATCTCAAGCTTGGAATTGTCTCCTGAGCTAGAACCAGGTATCCAATTGCCTACTTGACATCTCCACTTGGACATCTGATAGGCTCTTCAGACTTCAGCATGTCCAAAGTCAAGCTCATGATCTTTCCCGTCGGCTCTTCCTGCAGTCTCCCTGGTTTTAGTAATTGCTCAGGTCAAGACACTTGATGTCATCTTTAGGTCTTTTATATCTCACAATCTGTCAACAAATCCCATTAGCTCCACCTTAAAATATATCTTGGATTTGACCACATCTCCTACTCCACTGTCACACATTGGTCCAGGCTACCAAAATCTCTTGCCTGGATTCCATAGTAGCCTCCTGCTCTTTTATGCTATTCCCACAGCAGCCAGCCACCCACTAAACTAAGACATGCCATGTTTCCCCACAGCTCAAAACACACCCATGACTTCCCACATCACTCAGAGGAAAAGCCAGGTTCTTCCTCTTCCTGCAAGGACCTACCTGGTCTGATTTCCAGCCCCACCCCGCTCTGGGCTCACCTCCAGCTCTTTTCCCCTGCACTCCGCTGCAGCCATGCTGCCCCCTGCTCTTGCTGGTGAGGTCAGGAGTGGACCGCCACCTCTGGCTTTCCACTTACTTTTCCTACTGCTGGGATCCTGTCTCCAGTCCTTCCTGTCTTAAACCTTCTGAACCTTAAACCTTTGGCTGGACCACCCAAACCCCACCCCAGACTACCTCTCTTCTCCCCTGCTCTATTGTTTCTCTTTATCACTGCTCAACATACTGTGTCTGCCACACACTGTATCTTGGCTGCATTTTATCCTAGTTATTGTTTCTCCTTCCACTCTAAGAAGGCGGGGATTTTAATCTATTCTGTTTACTGCTGAGTCCCCATTGCCCTGAATAGTGCCTGGCACACAGTTGTTGAATAAATGAATGGATACCTGAGGCTCTGGGAGGGTCATTGGTGAAAGTGCAGAAGAGGATGGTGGAGGGGTCATGTAAATGTGACAGGACTGGGCTTCAGAGGGAGTGGGGACACGGAGGAGAGCCAGGAAACCTGGCTGTTTGAGACCAGGACCAACTTTCTGGTTATCATTATATCCCCAGCACTTGGCACACAACCGGGCCCCCAGCAGTCACTTGGAAATAACTATTGAATAGATGAATGTGTTTTCTTCAGATTGGAGATACCTGAACAAGGATGAAGGCAAAATTAATCACTGCTGTTGATTTCATAACCCTCCTATAACCTGAGGTTACACAGAAGTTTATCACCTGGGTGTCCCCTTGCTATGTCACCTTATTATTTACTATTTACTCCTGTATAAACTTAATTCATGTCTGCTGGGCACAGTGGCTCATGCTTGTAATCCTAGCACTTTGGAAGACGGAGGCAGGAGGATCACTTGAGGCCAGGAGTTCGAGACCAGCCTGGGAAATATAGTGAGACCCTCCCATCTCTACAAAAAATTTAAAAATGAGTTGCCCCTGGGGGTGCATGACTGTAGTTCCAGCTACTCAGGAGGCTGCGGCTGAAGGGTGGCTTGAACCCAGGAGTTTGAGGCTGCAGGGAGTTCCAGCTCAACCACTCCCAAACCTCAGTAAATACCTGAGGCCTAAGTTCTCTGAGCTACCTCTCTCACTAAGTTCTCAGGCCTGCTAACTCTGTGCCTGACACATGTTGGAATGGTCTTGGTGCTGTTCTCATCCTGCGGAGACCACTGTACCCTATCAGTACAGAGTGGCATGCACAGCAGGCTCATCCTGAAGTTAGGGGTTTCATCACAGTACAAGACGTCAACACATTTAAGTGGAAAATTCGGTATCCTTCTTCCTAAAAGTCCCTTGGCCACCCCTCCTCTACCCCCCAGGATTTTGCACTGCCCACTTCTCTCCTCAGGCCACACATAGACAGAGGCCTGGCCCACAGCTATAGCTCTCCTCTTTGGGTCTGGTGAGAAGTTCCCTGGGATGCCTTTACCTGCAGTGTCATTAAGTAAAGACATTGAATTAAAGGAGATGAAATAAAAAAACAGCTTTTGGAGACCTGGTCTTAATGTCCAGGTCTCGGAAAGCTGTTTTTTTTATTTCAATTAACCAAGTGTGATTTGAATTGTGACAACATGGTTTAGGATTATCTCAATTAAACGTTTTATGAACACAATTTCCAGTCTAAGTCATTAGAAAATTGCTTCCTTCTCAACCCAGATGTGTGGTGGGAAACTGAGAAGAACAACCAAAATGGGCCTCACCTTACCCATCAGGTAATAATCCAGACCACAAGCCTCACTCATCCCCAGCTCAATCTGCCACTGCAGATTTAGGAGAGAAAATAAGAGCTGGCTGGGCACTGGACTGGGGGCTCCGGCTATTTGCACTTACTAGGCAATGGGGTGCGGGAAGAAATTAAGGCCACAAGAAAATCTGCCTCACACCTCACCTCCGTCATGCTCTTTCTAGGAATCAAGTTGCACATACCCATTGCCCCTAAGATCAGGCTTAGGTTAGTAGAACTAGCTAGAACTAGTGGGCTCGTCAGCCTGCCTCCAGGGAATCCCTAGCCCAGGAAATAGCCTGTGCATGAGGCTGTTGCTTGCACATCAACAGCCATTCTCCACTAGAACACCTAAGGCAGTGGTTCTCAGAGTGTGGTCCCTAGACCAACAAGGTTGGCATCAGCAGCACCTGGGAACTTGTTAGATATGTAAATTCTCAAATCCTACCCTAGACCTACTGAATCAGAAACTCTAGGAATGGGGCTCGGAATCTGTGCTTGAAGAAGCCCTACAGGGATGCTGATGCATGCTCAAATTTGAGAACCACAGAACTGAGGATCTGTTGGGCATCCTGTATAGCTTATATACAAAGTCAGGCCTGCATATACTGTATGGTGAAATCTGTTCAATCATTTTCACATGATGGAAGAACAATTCAAAAACGTAATTGTGCTTATATACAAAGACGAACAGAAAGGCACTGAGAAGATGCTGGATGGTACTGCTTTAAACCCCTAGGCGCTGGACCATTGCGGCAATGGTCTGTCCATGCCTTCAAGGGTGAGGTGTTGGCAAGGTTAGCCCTCTAACACCCAGCAAAGGACATGCAAGTAAATAAATAAGGGCCCTGAACATAAAATGAGCTTTTGCAAAGCTCCAGGGTTTTTTCTTAGAATCTATTTACTTTTAGTTGTACTTTATAGAAGCTGAGGAGTTGATGCCTCAGACCCCAGAAGTCTCTCTGCCTGATTCTATGCTAATATCACTTTGTCTCACAACCCTATGGGTAGGTGCAGGTATTTCTTCTCCATTTTATAAGTGAGAAAACTGACAATACTAAATTTTATATTTATATATATATATATATATATATATATTTTTTTTTTTTTTTTTTTTTTTTTGAGACGGAGTCTTGCTCTGTCACCCAGGCTGGAGTGCAGTGGGACAATCTCAACTCACTGCAACCTCTGCCTGCTGGGTTCAAGCAATTCTCCTGCCTCAGCCTCCTAAGTAGCTGGGATTACAGGCGCGTGCCACCACGCCTGGCTAATTTTTGTATTTTTAGTGGAGGCAAGGTTTCACCATGTTGGCCAGGCTGGTCTCAAACTCCTGAACTCTGGTGATCTGCCCACTTTGGCCTCCCAGAGTGCTGGGATTATAGGCATGAGCCACCACACCTGGCTATATTTTTATTTTTTTAGGGACAGGGTTTCACTCTATCACCTAGGCTGGAGTGCAATAGCATGATTATAGTTCACTGTAACCTTGAACTCCTAGGCTCAAGCAATCCTCCTGCCTCAGCCTCCTGAGTAGCTGGAACTACAGGCATGCACCACCATGCCCAGCTCATTTTAAAATTTTTTTGTAGAGACAGGGTCTCACTATGTTGCCCAGGCTGGTCTCGAACTCCTGGCCTTAAGTGATCCTCCCACCCCTGCCTTCCGAAGCACTGGGATTACAGGCGTGAGCCACCGCGCCCAGTAGATGTTAATTAAGTTTATACAGGTAGTTAGTGGCAGAGCTGGAATTCACTCCAGGTGTGTCAAAGTCCCAAACTCCTGCTCTAGCCTGTTATACTCCACCTCTCTCTGATAGAGAAGAGGTAAGTAGGATTTACAGATAAGCACACGAGAAGCAGGGGAAGATGCTAAGGCAAAGAAGGGGCCTGAACACCACCATCAAAGCATCTTAGGCACCTCAGTAGCCCTGGAAGCCTAGGCGGTAACTGGTAACAATAATTCATTTTCACAAAGAAAAAGTTATGTTTACTTAACATCAAAAGATACGGAAGTATGCAATTGTTTTAGAAAGGCTAAAATGTAACATGGTCACACAGAATGCTTTAAAAGAAAAATACAGTTATTTGGAAGATTCACTTTTATGGAAAACAACTCATTAACTGATGGTGTTAGATAAATGAGGTATTATTGCAATACACTTTTACTGAAGTGCGTGGTGAGTTTTTTGAAGATTGGGTTTTGTGTTAAATTCTGGACAGCTGAATAGTGTAGCCATTCTTGTATTCCACCCCATGAACCCAAGAGAGGACGAGGCAGCTCAAAGCATTTCTTCTGCAATTTGAGCAGTCAGCATCCTCCCAGGAACGCACTTTAAACTAGGAAGTTTATCCAGGGCCAAGCAAATGTAAGCACCGTGTTATTTACTATTACTGTGTTAAAAACATCTTCAGCAAATTTACCAATCTTATCTTCCTGAAAAAAGGATACAATTTTTTCCCTGGTAATAAAGGAACAACTTATGGAAAATATTGCTCTATAATACACAGAATGATGTAGTGATAGGCAACATTCAAACTGGTAATTAATTAGTATTTGGTCTCTTGCTATTTGGAACATGTTTATTAGTTTTGCCCCGGCAAAGTGGGCTGAGGTGTTCCATATGAAACCCTAGAGAAGTCAGCAGCATTCCTATTCTGAGGCAGGAAGAAACATTAATTATTCCTTTGAATTCTATTGTGTAATGTGTTTTTTTTTCTTCCCTTCCCCAAACATAACAGAATTATTTCCTTATAAAACTTCTACTAGGCCAGACAGTGTTAATGGAACATAATTTTTAATATGCTGTGTCCTGGAATCTGACAGATATTGGCAGAGTGGGTGCCCCTGTTTTAAAAAGCTGAACGTGGCTGACAGTAGTATCCCTTCTTCCTCACATCTATTGTAGTCGGTGCAAGGTTAGACAAATACATTCCCACCAGCACAAAACAGCAACCTTCCAAAATGTATGTCAGTGGTGTATTTACAGCCAAATCCAGAAGGAGCTTGTACTTCTTATGCTGCTCCCATTAATGAGACAAATGTCAGCATCCATAAGCTATTTTTTTGTTCCTGCTTATCAAATCTTTCAAAAAATTGATAACTAGTCTTTATAGATTGTGAAAGTCAGATATAACTCCGAATGTATTACTTTACTGGACCCCTTGGGGTAAACTTATCACCTGGAAACCATTTTACATGGACGATTTGACTTTCATGTGGAGTGTCATAATGCACCCTAGATGGAAATCTAAAATAAAATATCTGGACTACAACCTTCCTCTTGGTGGAATTTATGATTCCCTCAGTACAATAATTTTGAAAATTGTATCCCTTAAGCTACAAGACTTGATATATTATTAACTGCTTGAATTGAAGAAGCTTTCCAATAGGCTTACGTGCTGTCTAGAGGCACGGATTAATTTCTATGGAACCACAAGCTTATCTCAAACTGTTTTTCAGCAATCTAAACTGCCGGCTTCATCTTCTTTCTAGGACAGAACCGAGTGTCCATTTCATCTCTGGCAGCTCTGGGATGTGCTGCTTTTAGCCAAGCTCTTCCCAGGGATGATAGGTATTGATCCACTAGAGAACTGGTTGTGTGCAGTCAGTCACACCCCAGAGAGACTGGCATCAACTTGAGGCACTTATCTTTCTATTTCTTATGGCTTTTCTAGTTTTAATTCTACTCTGGCCAAACTGAGCTGTTGTACAGAGAATGCGGGTAGGAGGAAGTCTGGAGGGCATTGTTTTCATGAAGTTAGAGAAGAGCTTAAAAAAAAATCTTTAAGAAGCTTGTGTGCTGCCAGAGGGGAACTGTGTTCAACTACCTTTTACTGCTTTTCACAACCTCTCTTCCCTCATCACAGATCTGGTGCCTTGAAAGCCAGCAATGATCAAACATAAAGAACCTTCAGACTATCCAAAGGCAGAAAGGGCTGGAAATCTTTCAGCAGGGCTCACTCTTAGAGTCTTTCCCCCTGCCCCCTTGGCAGAGTTGAGTTGGGAATACATTAATTGGGGAATATATTTAATTTTGTGTTTCACAGTCCCATCTGTGTATAGTAAAGGTAGCCATCCTGATATAGGGACAGCTTCCAGAAACACACTACCTCCTGCATCCAGGAACACAAAAGTACATGAGAGCATGTTGTAATAGAAAACAATATGCCCAAGGCCCCAGGTACTAGGAAAATGTGGCACTATTTAGGATTAGGCATAAAGTAAGAAAATCTAAAATTCCCACAAATTTTACAGCTCACATGTGAAAGAAAGAAAGGTTTTACCAAATCTTACATTTTTAAAATTTACGTGAAATAATATATTGCAAGTTGTGGAGGTGAAAAAAGTTTTTCTAAACTCCCAATACTAAAAACCAAATTTTTATCAACCGTACTAGAAGACAGACTGAAGAGACAATCAGTTGTAAGGGGAGAAGTATTATAGAGGCATGTCAGCCAGTTAATGATTTCTGTGAGATATATAATATACATATATATTTGACATGGAGTCTCACCCTGTCACCCAGGCTGGAGTGCAGTGGTGCAATCTCAGCTCACTGCAATCTCTGCCTCCCGGGTTTAAGCAATTCTCTGGCTCAGTCTCCTGAGTAGCTGGGATTACAGGTGCCCACCACCATGCCCGATTAATTTTTGTATTTTTAGTAGAGACAGTGTTTCACCATCTTGGCCAGGCTGGTCTTGAACTCCTGACCTTGTGATCTGCCCTCCTCAGCCTCCCAAAGTGTTGGGAGTACAGGCATGAGCCACCGTGCCTGGCAGAGATTTATAATTTGTTGGAATTTATTTTTTGAAATTTATAATTTGTTGTTTTTCTGATTCTAAATAAATATTTAATTTGGTACCCAATACTGTGTCAGTAATTTTGTCTTCTTTTTCTTAAAGAGAGCTCTCCAAATTTTATAAGCTTTAGGCCTTACAATACCTAGATCTACTCCTGGGTGGCCTAAATCACCCTTCTCTTATCCTGGGATGTTGAATGCTGGATAATGTAATCATTTTCTATGTGTATAATTTGATCAATAACTAAGAGTAATCTTTTTAGAATTTATAGTTTCAAAATCTTTGCTAAACCTAAATCACTATAAGTCATTTTAAGAGAATATGTTGAACACATCAGCAAATTGACATTCAGATCTTTTTCCAAGTTGGCATCATAGAGTTCTCAAATGCCTCTAAAGCTTTCTATAAAACACATATTTATGGTGACTTTCTAAATTTTCCTTTTTCCCTGCTAGCTATGTAATGATTTATTGGCCATCTTTAATTATCTTTTATAAAGAGTGTGTGTATACTAAGGACTGTATTCATCCAGTAAATGTTAATACATAGGGTTTAAAAATGTGTTGAAAATTAATGACCTCTGACTTAGTTAATAAATAATTCAATGATAAATGTTGAATTGATATGAATAGAATCCATTACTTCAAGGAGCACAAGATGCGGATTTTCAAAGTGAAAATCTAAAGTTATCTCATAAATAATCATCATTGATGGGGAAACCTTCTCCCTGAGGGAGTTGTGGACTGACTGGCAAAGTTAAGATAGTATTCCACAATATATTATCATGCCTTCCTAGCAGCTAATAGACAACAAGCAGTTTGAAAAAAAGAAAGAAAGAAAGAAAGAAAGAGAGAGAGAGAGAGAGAGAGAGAAAGAAAGAAAGAAAGAAAGAAAGAAAGAAAGAAAGAAAGAAAGAAAGAAAGAAAGAAAGAAAGAAAGAAAGAAAGCAAGAAAGCAAGCCAGCCAGCCATCCTCTGGCCGGACATGGCAGTTCATGTCTATAATCCCAGCACTTTGGGACCCAAGCGAGGCAGGTCGCTTGAGCCCAGGAGTTCAAGACTAGCCTGGCCAGCATGGCGAAACCATCTCTACAACAAAAAAGCAAAAATTAGCTGGGCATGTTGGTGCATGCCAGTGCTCCCAGCGACTTGGGAGGCTGAGGTGGGAGGATCACTTAAGCCCAGCGGAAGGCTGAGGCTGCAGTGAGCCACGATCATGTCAGCTGCAGTGAGCCACGATCATGTCACTCCACTTCAGCCTGGGTGACAGAGTGAGACCCTGCCTCAAAAAAAAAAAAAAAATTACATTGCAGGTGGGGAAGGAGCCAATAAGCACCCTGTCTGACGCAGGGCCAGAATCCCAGGCAGATTTCAGGCGAGCCCACTTACTTCCTCCAATCAGCATAGAGGACTCGTGCTTGGAATCAGTGTGGAGATTCCAGAAGCTGTCTTTTGCCAGCTGTGAACCTCAAAGCACAGGCCCCGGGGGAAGGAAACAATGGTGGGTTCATGGCAAACTTGTGGAAATTTCTGAGCTACAATAATTTCCCCCTAATCTTCAAGCCAAAGTTTTGGAAAACTTCTTAGAATATGGAAACTGAAACTTCCTTGGCTCTTCAAAAAAAGGTTGACCCTGCCATAGAGAGAGAGAAATGAGAGAAAGCTCTGTAGTGTCTTCCCCAGGAGACACCTGAGCACACAACCTTCCTTATTAACTGTGAAGGAAACCAAGTTTGTAGTTGGTAACTTTGCTTGTCACAGAGCCTATACATTTGTAGATCATTTAGCTTATTGACCTGAATGTTCTCATCTTTAGGGGAAAAAATAGTTTAATTAATTCACAATAAAAATCCTCCATTTCATAGAAGATAATATGATATAACCCAAACAGAATCGAATGTGTGATATGATGCCGTCATCAGCATGCAGCAGCCTTAAAAATTACAGTATCTGACCTTAATATGTGCGAATCTATCAGGATTCCATTGTCGACATGTATATTTTTCAATATTCTTCTCTGAGCTGAAATCATGTCATTTATATGCAAATGACCACATCTTCAGCAGCTGCTCCTTCTCCGTTGAAGCCCAGGGACTTATTTGCACTTAATAAAGCCTCATAAATAGGTTTTTCCTCTAAATGGGTGGGGTAGCAGGAAACCCACTGCAGCCTTTTACAGTTACAAGCTTCTTTTTGTTTTGAAAGTGAGAGCAGCCACCTCTAACAGAATGGTTCTCAGTTGTTAGAGAAACGCAGTTCCTCATTCAGCTGCTCTCCCCTTTCCCTCCTTAGAAAAAAAATGCCCTTTTCCTTGATGGTACCTTCTTTCCCATTGCAGCTGTAGGTATGGTACAATCTCCAGTCTGAGTTGGAATTTAATCCAGACTTCATTACAAGGAGAGGTGTCCTCTGAGCACAGTCTCTTGCCAGGTGGTAAGGGCAGGTGTTCAACTGGGAAAGACCTCCCAAGCTCCCATCAGGCTGTCCTGTCTGGGGAGGAGGAGGGGTAACTCCTGGCAGGTGGAGAAGAATTTTTCCTTTTACAAGTTATAAGATTCTCTTTGAAAACACTCTATATAGGGAAGGGACAGTGTATGGAGACTATTTGTACACTCTGATTGCGCAATCAAACAGCAATAAGAGAGCATTGAGAACTCACCGTTAAGTCATGTGATAATCACATAGTACTTCTCCTTCTGACCCCATCCCCACCCTCATCCCACCCCTATTTTCGTAGCTGGTCATTCTTTTTCAAGAGAACTGGATGGAAAAGGAAAAGATTATATGTACTTGGTGTGCATATATCATGAATTCTACCCATTATCTTATAATGCACCTATAAAAATCACTCATGCATCTACTGTGGGGTCAATAGAAATATTCCATTTACCATTTAAGACATGTTTTTTAAAAGCAGAAAAATATTATAGCATAATTGTCTCCTGCTGTCAGATGCAAGACAAACCTGGGCACTTATGAAAAATAAATAATGATGGAAAGCAGGATCGTTTATTTTTAAAGCACTGGCTCACTGACTGCTGATTTGGTAATAATGACCTATTATCCTTGTCAGAGTGATAGACTGTTTCTGGAGCTTCATTTCTGGTGTGTGAGCAACTGGCATAGTAGAGATGATTATACTGTTTGATAAATGTGCATAATCATTGAAGACACTGGTTGACAATACTATCATTAAATTGTCACCAGCTTGGTAAAGAGACAAACATCTCTGCCATGGCAACCTATCAGAGATGTTAATAACTGCAAAAACCTCCAAGCACAATATTAATGTAGAAAACTGAAGACATACACACATACACACATCCACCTCAAAATTCAGACACTGGAAGCAAAGTGCTGCCAGGGATGATTTGGAGGGGAATGAAATCTGGCCCTATAGGTCAGGAATCTTGGGCTCTAGTCTCATTTCTCTGAGCCTCAGTTTCCTTAATTTAAAAAATCATTTCTGTCCCCTAAGTTATTTATATGCCTAATTATATATATATATTTCATACATACATGTACAGTGATACATAAGTTTTATAATTTATAGATTATATATACATTACAAACATATATATAGTTACAAAACATCTTAGATACATCAATCAGTCCCTTTCTTTTCTTTTTTTTTTTTTTTTTAGATACAGGGTCTTACTCTGTCACCCACACTGGATTGCAGTGCTGTGATCATAGCTCACTGCAGCCTCCAACTCCTGGGCTCAAGGGAGCCTCCTGTGCTAGCCTCCCAAAGTGCTGGGATTACAGGCATGAGCCATCATACCTGGCTGAATCAGTCCTAATCTAGAGGATAAGAATCACTGGAAAGCTTAAAAACATGTAGGTGCTCCACCCTCATCCCCAGAGATTCTAATTCATTTTGTCTTAATCAGGCATAGATGTCATTATTCTTAAGTGTCCCCAGGTGATTCTGGTTCTTCTAGTGTGGTGAGCTCCTCCTAACTTTATCCATCCATTAACTATTTAAAATCTTTTAGTCTCTTGCTTATCAAACTGTGGCTTTGGGGTCATGATTATCATAATCACCTGAGAGGTTAGAAATTCAGAATATCAGGCTTCACAGCAGACCTACCAAATCAGAATCTGCATTTATTTATTTATTTATTTATTTATTTATTTATTTATTTAGAGACAGCTTTTCACTCTGTCTCCCAGGCTGGAGTGCAGTGGTGTGATCTCGGCTCACTGCAACCTCCGCCTCTCAGGTTCAAACGATTCTCCCTCCTCAACCTCCCGGATAGCTGAGAGTACAGGCATGCACCTCCATGCCTGTCTAATTTTTGTATTTTTAGTACAGATGGCGTTTCACCATGTTGTCCAGGCTGGTCTTGAACTCCTGACCTCAGGTGATCCACCCACCACGGCCTCCCAAAGTGCTGGGATTACAGACGTGAGCCACCACACCAGGCCAGAATCTGCATTTTAAAGAGGTCCCCAGGTAATCCATCTGAGCATTAAAGTTTGAGAAGGGCTTAACAGTAGAGACAGAGAAATTGGTCACCACACAGTATTCCTTTTCAAATGTCTGCACAATACTCAATAATGTGAACCAGGCTCCCTTTGAAATAGTCAAGGAAGAGAAAGTGAATCTCAGCCCTCATGTGAACGGACAGCAGCTCAAGTCAAATCAGTTCTGTCCCACAGGGAATGGCAGCTGAGCTCAGTAGCCATGACTGCACTTTCCCTGTGGTCACCATTGCTGGCAGTACTGTGGCCAGTTCCTGCCCAATCCATCGAACATTGGCCTCCAAATTGGGCACAGGTGGGTCCACCAGCCCAACACCCCCATGCCGCAGAACAGTGACAGTGTGCATTATGGCTGGGCTGCTTACAACACTCAGCCCTGTCTCCTCACCAGCCATAATCAGCAACATGGAAAGTTCCACTTCTGACCTTTAGGCCTCTCAAAAATGCATGGTGTTCCTCACCTTCATCACAGTGGGATTCTGCTGAACCACCTCTTAGATCTTTGGGCCATGTTTCAGTTGTAGGACAAAGAACACACAGGATCTAATGAATGACTGATCCTAGGATCTTAATGTTGATCTAGTCCAGGCTTCTGTCTGCAGAGTGGAATCCTCTCCACAAAGTCCTGTCAGGTGGTGGTTTTCTCTGTGCTTGAACATCTCTAGGGATGAAAGCAATGACTTATACTGGACGAGAGAGAAAAAAGCCCTTTTATCTGAGGAATGTGAGCCCCTTTAAATGATCAGGCCCAGAAAGGCATTCAAAATGTAACGCCAAGGCTGGGCGTGGTGGCTCACACCTGTAATCCCAGCACTTTGGGAGGCCAAGGTGGGTGGATCACAAGGTCAGCAGATCAAGACCATCCCGGCCAACATGGTGAAAACCCGTCTCTACTAAAAATTTAAAAATTAGCCGGGCGTGCGGCACACACCTGTAGTCCCAGCTACTAGGGAGGCTGAGGCGGGAGAATTGCCTGAACTCGGGAGGCCGAGGTTGCAGTGAGCCGACATTGCGCCACTGTACTCCAGCCTGGGTGACAGAGCAAGACTCCATCTCAAAAATAAATAAATAAATAAATAAATAAATAAATAAATAAATAATAAAATGTAATGCCAGTCACATCTCACTTGTCCTTGAGCTAAATAATTACCTCTTGAAGCCCCTTGCTATGTGAGCTCTAGAATAACTGATGCCAAGTAACCATAAAAATGCCATCCACCCTGTCTTAGTCCATATTCATTGCTGTCAAGGAATACCTGAGACTGGGTAATTGATAAAGAAAAGCAGTTTATTTTGGCTAACGGTTGTGCAGACTGTACAGAAAGCATGGTGCCAGCATCTGCTCCTGGTCAGGCCTCAGGAAGCTTCCAATTGTAGTGAAGGTAAAGTGGGAACAGGCATGTCACATGGCAAGAGAAGGATCAAGCGGGAGGGAGGTGCCAGACTCTTTTTAAACAACCAGATCTCGTATGAACTCAGAGCAAGAACTCCTTCATTACCACCAGGAGGGCACCAAGCCATTCATGCAGGATTTGCCCATATGATGCAAACACCTCCCATCAGACCCCACCTCCAACCCTGGGGATCACATTTCAACATGAAATTTGGAGAGTATGAACATCCAAACTATATCACACCCTGTAGTTTAATAATATATAGCCAGTAACTACCAATGTTATTTCTGTAAACTAAGGAGAATTCCTGATGAACAACTTTTGTAATCACCCCCTCTCCTAATTTGTCCTTTTTTCCTTTAAAATCTTGAGTATCTCTTTTGTTCTCTGGAACACTCCCCAAGGCAACTTGGAAGTGTGTCCTGGGCTGGAGTCCTCAATCTTTGCGCTTGAATAAACTCTCTTTAAATAACATTCTAATTCTCTAATTATCTATACACTCAGCTGAAAAAAGCCAGCCGGAGAATAAAACAAAATAACTGGGAGATCTATTCTTTTTCTTTCTTTCTTTCTTTTTTTCTTTTTCTTTTTTCTTTTTTTCTTTGAGATAGGGTCCTGTTCTGTCATCCAGGCGGGAGTGCAGTGGTACAATCTCAGCTCACTGCAACCTCAACCTCCCAGGCTCAAGCGATCCTCCCATCTCAGCCTCCCGAGTAGCTTTGACTACAGGCATGCACCACCATGCCCAGCTAATTTTGTTTTGTTTTGTTTGTTTGTTGTTGTTGTTGTTTGTTTCTTTTTGAGATGAAGTCTCACTCTGTTGCCCAGGCTGGAGTGCAGTGGCATGATCTTGGCTCACTGCAACCTCTGCCTCCCCAGTTCAAGCGATTCTCCTGCCTCAGCCTCCCGAGTAGCTGAGATTACAGGTGCCCACCACCACACCTGACTAATTTTTTTGTATGTTTAGTAGAGACAGGGTTTCACCATGTTGGCCAGACTGGTTTTGAACTCCTAACCTCAGGTGATCCACCCACCTTGGCCTCCCAAAGTGCTAAGATTACAGGAATGGGCCACTGCGCTCAGCCAATTTTTGTATTTTTTGTAGAGACAGGATTTCGCCATGTTGCCCAAGCTGGTCTCAATCCCCTGAGTTTAAGCATACTACCTGCCTTGGCCTCCCAAAGTGCTAGGATTACAGGTGTGAGCCACCACACCTGGCCAGGGAGATCTATTTCCAACATACTTAGAAGCTTCTAAAAAAGTTTTTGATAAAATCACATATTTACAAGAGGAAAACAAGATTGTCTGAAACAATTTCTAAATTGAAAAATACTGCCAGCATTGATTTTCAGTTAGGTTTCCTATGAGGAACACAGGTTTTCCTGTTGGTTCCTTCATCCTGCATCCATCTGATAGGCAGATACTTTTTAGAATTATACAATACCCACATTTCTTTCTCTTAAAAGAGGGGTAATCACTCTGTGGTTCACCCTCCATGTGTACATTGAAAAATGTGCATGCCATTTCTCCTATTAATCTCCTTTTGTGAGTTCATTTTTCAGTGAAACTTCAGAGGGTGAAGGGGAAGCTTTCCCTTGGCCTATACAGCTTTGGTGCCATGAGCAGGATACCAAAGCTTCTCTGCTAGAAGCCACAGTGAAGGGAACCAGCAAAGAGGTAAGATTTTTTAACCAGACAGGCTCACAGTCTCTCTTTCTGTGAAGTCTGATTTGAGGCAAGAAAATAGGGTCTGGAGGCAGGGAACATAAGACGGATTCACACTTCAGCTATGACAGGAAATAACCTCTTCATAGGGCGTACGCCAAGTAAATGACCTTGTAACTTTACTTCATCCTCCCCATTTACATAGTGTTATATATAAAGTTTCGGTGCCGCAAAAGAAATAGCACTCGAATATAAAATTTTCTTAATTCTCAACAAGGCAAGGTACTTCTACAGAAGGGTGTGTGCCTTTACAGATGGAGCAATGGTAAGGGCACACTTGGACAAGGGAGGGGAAGGGGTTCTTATCGCTGACACACGTGGCCCCTGCTGCGTCATTCCCCTATTGGCTAGGGTTAGACCGCACAGGCTAAGCTAATTCTGGTTGGCTAATTTAAAGAGAATGACGGGGTGAGTGCTTTGGCAGGAGTCAGGGCAGAGCAGGTAGCAGGCAATCGGAATGAGTCAGGGTAGAGTAGGTAATCGAAAAAGCTTGCTTTACGAGGAAGTTGAAAAGTAGAAGGCAAAGAATTGAACATACTGACATATTAATTTTTTTAAAAGACACTTAGAACTCAGGTTGTTAGCAACCTCTCCCCTTGTATTTCCTTACAGCTTTCTTTTCAAACTTTTTTTTTTTTAACATGTCTTGACTTAGTTGTTTTGCTTGATTTCCAAAAGAAGAAGCTTCCATGGATAAGGTGGAGGATAGTTAAGGGAGGTTTTAGTAAGTGCTGATTTTATGAGCCTCTGCATCAACTTACAGATGCATGGTATGACACAGCACCTGACAATAATAAGTATACCTATTACGGCTGCGAGGGAAGTAAGAATTGAGGCTATTATTCTTCCATTTACTGAACTACTTTTCCAGCCATCCTGTAAAGGGGTCATTTACCCCTGAGTTGCTGGCTAACTCATTGGATAGAGCAGTCAGATCTTGCAATGCCTTTGTTATACTTCCATTAAGGGCGGTGTTGTTTGGGATGAAGGTGGAACATTGAGTTTTAATCATAACGCAAACGCCTCCTCTTTCTGCTAATGTCATGTCTAAGGCTATCCTATTTTCCCAAGCTATCTGGCTAGTAGCCCTTAATTGTTCAGCTATTCCTTTAACAGCATCTCTAGTGTAGTTAATAAATTGCTGCTGGTTGTAATAGATGTAGTTTATCTAATCTATATTTTTATTAATTTTCACCCACAAAAATATAGACTCAAATCCTGCAGCTATTTGATTTTGGGCTTTAAATTGATCTGGTATTCCCCGTGGGACTCTAATTGTGTCTAAATAGACATGAGAGTTGAAAGACCTATAAGGGGCTTCTCTCGCTTTACGATGTCTTATTTTTCCTTCCCTCTGGTTGATGAAATGCCAGGATGAAAGGGATAGCCAATTGGATTAAAGCACAAGTGCCACTCTAGTTATTTGGCAGAATGTCCAGTAAAGGTCCACCACAATACCACCTCACATCCACTCGGGGATGAACAAAGGCTGATTGATAAGCTCTTGAAAATACTTAAGCTCACTGCATCCCTTCAGGTCTCCAAGGAATGCTAAGTTTCCTCCCTGTCATGAGAGACACAAAGTGAACTTAGTGTTGGGAGACAGAAGCTAGATGGCCCTCGGGGGCTGACTCGCGGGGTGCCTGACTTCAGGATATAACAGAGAGAGAGCTTGGCACGACTTATTACTCCAGGCTGTAGAATCCTAGAAAAGAGCTACCATGCAGCCCATGCCTAGTCGACTGGAGGACCACCTTAGTGGAAAGGGGACAATCTGGGCCTCTGGCCTGCCATGTGTGCAAGCATAATAATAGCTTTTGTTAAACGTGTGGACAGAATATTTGATCCATTCTAACCAGGCATTTGCATGTTGGTATCCTGTCTTAATTGCCAAAGTTTGTTTTAAGTCTTTAACTTCTATGATCCTCTAGTAAAATGAATGTATGGTTTTAGGAAATTACAAAAACTGGTTGGGAAAGTCCATCCTTGCTCTTTAGTGGTCCACAGAACGTTGGACCAACTACGGCATGAAAGCTCTCCATCAGAGGGCAGGACTCCTGGTTGGCACTGGGGTGTTTATCGAAATCTCCCCAGATTAAATGGTCCTAATTTACTAGTGCCCAGTCTGAGGAGAGTCAGGAGGGACAGAGGTACTTTTCTGAAGTAGAAAGCTGTCTTTGGCTTGGCAAGTCCCCACAGGGTATAACAAGGCAAGCATTAAATGCAATAGTTTGAGGTGAAATTGACTTGGTTATGTCATAACTAGATGGTCAGCAGTAGAGCGAGGAAAGAAGAAAGTAATAGAATAGATGAAAGAGAGTTAAATTTTTCTTAGCTTTAGTTTGGTAGGGTTTTCCCCCGGGACTATGGCCTTCGACTCTGGAGGGGATGGCACTTTCTTGACTCGGGTGTGAGTCCATCCCCTTTCCGCTGTATGAACAGCAGTCTCGGTGGTTAACGGAACAAGGTAGGGTCCTTCCCAGGCCATCTCGAGTATTCCTTTTTCCCAACTTTTGATGAGAACGTGATCATCAGGCTGGTGCTGGTTTACTGGAAATTCTAGGGGTGGTACCTGTGCTAAAAGACTTCTAGTTTTGAGGGAAAGGAAAGTGGAAGATAAACCAAGTATATAATTTCTAAGAAACTGATCTTGTGTTTTAAGTGTGGGGACATCAGCTGTGGACTTTATAGTCCTTGGCGCCTTTTTACTGAGAAATTTCTTTTAGCATCAATTTTTATTATTTTTAGACCAAAGAAAGTCAAACACCATTTTATATTTAACAATATATATAAACCTGTGTGATTTTATACCAGATAAGCTAAATTTCACCTTTATATTAGTGTGTTATTAATGTTAAACTTAAGTTTAATAAAACCTTATAGACATATTTATCCAATTTTTAATGTCTGACCATAAGATTTTTATAGACTCTTTTTAACCTTTTATAATTTTTGTTAATGAGCAGGTTAGTGCTTTAAGAAAAACCCACTGTGCTTTTATTTTAATGTCCAGTTCACAGAAAAACTGGATACCTTTTTAACTTTAGCCAATATGTTTACACACAGAATTTCCTTTACAATTAACGTTTTAAAACTTGCTTAAACCTTCAAAACAAAATTTTTTTAACCTTTTAATGTAGGTAAAAGTCCACATTCTTATGCCTCTTTATAATCCTTTTACCAAAAGTATATTTTGCCTTCCTTATACACCTTGCACACAAACTGTTTCATCAATAGTTTTACATTTAGGAGGCCTAATTACTTCTAAATTATACAATATTTCTTGCATAAATTCCCTTTTATAACTTTTTTTTTCAAAGTTTTCACAATCTTCAACATGCCTCAACCTTCTGACTTGTTGCAAACATCCCTTTCTTTAAACAACCAGTTAATTTATTTTAGGACAAGAATTTACCATATAACATTTTTTATATACATTCTTCCCCCCACCTTTTTTTTTTCTAAAGATGATAACCATTCTTCTCCAAAACGAACTTCCTTCATGTCCGTGGACTAGACTACCTAAGGCCACAAGATTAGAAGTTAGGATAATACAGGTTACACTGTTAACTTTTAGCAAACTTTACTTTTGTTGAAAACCTTGTAAGTTGGGGATTTCAATTATTTGCTATTAATAAAACCTTGTTTAGTCCAAATTAACTTAGGATTGGTATAGATGGTTCCTTCTTGGTTCTGTAAGTACTTTAAGGCTTGGCTGAGTGCAAATAGCAGGCACATTTGAACAGACCAATTATTAGGCAATTTTCCTAACTCTGCTTCTACAAGAGTTTCCTTATCACTTACTGGATACCAATTGTGTCTTTTTCTCTCAATCACCCGCGAGGAACAGTCTATCATCCTGACCTAGAGAGTTCTGCCTAGGTCTGGTCCAACCTTTGTATAGTCATTAATTAAGATTTAGATCCCCTGTTAGGAAACCTGCTGGGTTAAGGGAATTTTTAGTGGTTAATGTTGAATCTTTTTTTTTTTTTTTTTAACAGAATAGCCTCATACTTTCTTCTGTTAGCAAAGCAGTTGTTGCCACAGATGAATGTATTTGGGGCATCCGCAGGTTACTGGGTTAAGGATTTTTGATAGGAAGGGTATGGGTTGTTAGTGGCCTTGGTGCTTTCGGGCTACGCCCTTGTTTACACTGACAACAAGATGGTATTGGAGTGTTACAGGGTCACGGAGAAGACCTTTAATTATCAATTATAGGTTTTAAATTTACCCTGGCTTTTAAAGAACTAGGGTACACTGTTTTTTCTTTACTACTTCTATCTCTCTCTCTGACTTTGTGTCTCTCTCCTTCTCTCTCTTTGACTCCCTCTTTGTCTCTCTGCCTCTCTTTCCCCTCTCTCTCTTTCTCTTGTCTCTGTCTCTCTCTCTCCCTCTCTCCCTCTCTCTCTCCTTCCCCTTCCCCTAGGGGAGGGACTGGCAGGAGTGAAACTGCTCTTTCTTCCCCTGAGAAGAAAGGAAAGAAGTGGTTTGTGTGAGGTTCAACCCTTGAAATTAGCAGAAGGCTCAACCCCTCACACCAGGGATGTCTCGCCTTGCCTTCCCTGGAAGGCTCAACCCCTCACACCACGGAGTGTCTTGCCTGTCCTGAAAGGCTCAACCCCTCAAACCAGGGAGTGTCTTGCCTGTCCTGGAAGGCTCAATCTCTCAAGCCAGGGGGTGTCTTGCCTGTCCTGGAAGGCTCAACCCCTTAAACCAGGGGATGTCTTGCCTTGCCTGCCCTGGAAGGCTCAACCCCTCAAACCAGGGGGTGTCTTACCTTATTTGTCCTGGGAGGTTGATCTGTTTCCCCCCTTTCCCCCACTGAAGGTTCTTTGATACACTTCCCACTTGTGCTGTCCTCTCTGGCTGCTCCCCCAAGTGAGAATTAGGCCCTTCTTAGTGTTGGCATGCTGGTATAAATCCCATGGCAGGACCTGCCCTAAGCCATATGAGGTAGCTACGGAACCGCAGAGAAGACCCACTCACTCTGTCCAGCAGTAGGACTTGTCACCATCCACACGAACAACACCACAAGCAGGGTTGTTTGTGATCATTCACACACACACACACACACACACACACACACACACACACATTTAGCCCTCCAGAATTTGAATATAAAATATTCAATATGTGGGGTTTTGGGGGCCCTAGGTAACACTGTAGCCTTCAGGGTAAATTGAGTATGAAAATTTAGGTTCAGGGCAGACTGCCTCCTCAAGTGGGTCCCTGACCCCTGACCCCCAAGCAGCCTAACTGGGAGGCACCCCCCAGCAGGGGCACACTGACACCTCACACGGCAGGGTATTCCAACAGACCTGCAGCTGAGGGTCCTGTCTGTTAGAAGGAAAACTAACAAACAGAAAGGACATCCACACCGAAAACCCATCTGTACATCACCATCATCAAAGACCAAAAGTAGATAAAACCACAAAGATGGGGAAAAAACAGAACAGAAAAACTGGAAACTCTAAAACGCAGAGCGCCTCTCCTCCTCCAAAGGAACGCAGTTCCTCACCAGCAACGGAACAAAGCTGGTTGGAGAATGACTTTGACGAGCTGAGAGAAGAAGCCTTCAGACGATCAAATTACTCTGAGCTACGGGAGGACATTCAAACCAAAGGCAAAGAAGTTGAAAACTTTGAAAAAAATTTAGAAGAATGTATAACTAGAATAACCAATACAGAGAAGTGCTTAAAGGAGCTGATGGAGCTGAAAACCAAGGTTCGAGAACTACGTGAAGAATGCAGAAGCCTCAGGAGCCGATGCGATCAACTGGAAGAAAGGGTATCAGCAATGGAAGATGAAATGAATGAAATGAAGCGAGAAGGGAAGGTTAGAGAAAAAAGAATAAAAAGAAATGAGCAAAGCCTCCAAGAAATATGGGACTATGTGAAAAGACCAAATCTACGTCTGATTGGTGTACCTGAAAGTGATGGGGAGAATGGAACCAAGTTGGAAAACACTCTACAGGATATTATCCAGGAGAACTTCCCCAATCTAGCAAGGCAGGCTAACGTTCAGATTCAGGAAATACAGAGAACGCCACAAAGATACTCCTCGAGAAGAGCAACTCCAAGACACATAATTGTCAGATTCACCAAAGTTGAAATGAAGGAAAAAATGTTAAGGGCAGCCAGAGAGAAAGGTCGGTTTACCCTCAAAGGGAAGCCCATCAGACTAACAGCGGATCTCTCAGCAGAAACCCTACAAGCCAGAAGAGAGTGGGGGCCAATATTCAACATTCTTAAAGAAAAGAATTTTCAATCCAGAATTTCATATCCAGCCAAACTAAGCTTCATAAGTGAAGGAGAAATAAAATACTTTACAGACAAGCAAATGCTGAGAGATTTTGTCACCACCAGGCCTGCCCTAAAAGAGCTCCTGAAGGAAGCGCTAAACATGGAAAGGAACAACCGGTACCAGCCGCTGCAAAATCATGCCAAAATGTAAAGACCATCGAGACTAGGAAGAAACTGCATCAACTAACGAGCAAAATCACCAGCTAACATCATAATGACAGGATCAAATTCACACATAACAATATTAACTTTAAATGTAAATGGACTAAATGCTCCAATTAAAAGACACAGACTGGCAAGTTGGATAAAGAGTCAAGACCCATCAGTGTGCTGTATTCAGGAAACCCATCTCACGTGCAGAGATACACATAGGCTCAAAATAAAAGGATGGAGGAAGATCTACCAAACAAATGGAAAACAAAAAAAGGCAGGGATTGCAATCCTAGTCTCTGATAAAACAGACTTTAAACCAACAAAGATCAAAAGAGACAAAGAAGGCCATTACATAATGGTAAAGGGATCAATTCAACAAGAGGAGCCAACTATCCTAAATATATATGCACCCAATACAGGAGCACCCAGATTCATAAAGCAAGTCCTGAGTGACCTACAAAGAGACTTAGACTCCCACACATTAATAATGGGAGACTTTAACACCCCACTGTCAACATTAGACAGATCAACGAGACAGAAAGTCAACAAGGATACCCAGGAATTGAACTCAGCTCTGTACCAAGCAGACCTAATAGACATCTACAGAACTCTCCACCCCAAATCAACAGAATATACATTTTTTTCAGCACCACACCACACCTATTCCAAAATTGACCACATACTTGGAAGTAAAGCTCTCCTCAGCAAATGTAAAAGAACAGAAATTATAACAAACTGTCTCTCAGACCACCATGCAATCAAACTAGAACTCAGGATTAAGAATCTCACTCAAAGCCGCTCAACTACATGGAAACTGAACAACCTGCTCCTGAATGACTACTGGGTACATAACGAAATGAAGGCAGAAATAAAGATGTTCTTTGAAACCAACGAGAACAAAGACACAACATACCAGAATCTCTGGGATGCATTCAAAGCAGTGTGTAGAGGGAAATTTATAGCACTAAATGCCCACAAGAGAAAGCAGGAAAGATCCAAAATTGACACCCTAACATCACAATTAGAAGAACTAGAAAAGCAAGAGCAAACACATTCAAAAGCTAGCAGAAGGCAAGAAATAACTAAAATCAGAGCAGAACTGAAGGAAATAGAGACACAAAAAACCCTTCAAAAAATCAATGAATCCAGGAGCTGGTTTTTTGAAAGGATCAACAAAATTGATAGACCGCTAGCAAGACTAATAAAGAAAAAAAGAGAGAAGAATCAAATAGACACAATAAAAAATGATAAAGGGGATATCACCACTGATCCCACAGAAATACAAACTACCATCAGAGAATACTACAAACACCTCTACGCAAATAAACTAGAAAATCTAGAAGAAATGGATACATTCCTCGACACATACACTCTCCCAAGACTAAACCAGGAAGAAGTTGAATCTCTGAATAGACCAATAACAGGAGCTGAAATTGGGGCAATAATCAATAGTTTACCAACCAAAAAGAGTCCAGGACCAGATGGATTCACAGCCGAATTCTACCAGAGGTACAAGGAGGAACTGGTACCATTCCTTCTGAAACTATTCCAATCGATAGAAAAAGAGGGAATCCTCCCTAACTCATTTTATGAGGCCAGCATCATTCTGATACCAAAGCCGGGCAGAGACACAACCAAAAAAGAGAATTTTAGACCAATATCCTTGATGAACATTGATGCAAAAATCCTCAATAAAATACTGGCAAACCGAATCCAGCAGCACATCAAAAAGCTTATCCACCATGATCAAGTGGGCTTCATCCCTGGGATGCAAGGCTGGTTCAATATACGCAAATCAATAAATGTAATCCAGCATATAAACAGAGCCAAAGACAAAAACCACATGATTATCTCAATAGATGCAGAAAAAGCCTTTGACAAAATTCAACAACCCTTCATGCTAAAAACTCTCAATAAATTAGGTATTGATGGGACGTATTTCAAAATAATAAGAGCTATCTATGACAAACCCACAGCCAACATCATACTGAATGGGCAAAAACTGGAAGCATTCCCTTTGAAAACTGGCACAAGACAGGGATGCCCTCTCTCACCACTCCTATTCAACATAGTGTTGGAAGTTCTGGCCAGGGCAATCAGGCAGGAGAAGGAAATAAAGGGTATTCAATTAGGAAAAGCGGAAGTCAAATTGTCCCTGTTTGCAGATGACATGATTGTTTATCTAGAAAACCCCATCATCTCAGCCCAAAATCTCCTTAAGCTGATAAGCAACTTCAGCAAAGTCTCAGGATACAAAATCAATGTACAAAAATCACAAGCATTCTTATACACCAACAACAGACAAACAGAGAGCCAAATCATGAGTGAACTCCCATTCACAATTGCTTCAAAGAGAATAAAATACCTAGGAATCCAACTTACAAGGGATGTGAAGGACCTCTTCAAGGAGAACTACAAACCACTGCTCAAGGAAATAAAAGAGGATACAAACAAATGGAAGAACATTCCATGCTCATGGGTAGGAAGAATCAATATCGTGAAAATGGCCATACTGCCCAAGATAATTTACAGATTCAATGCCATCCCCATCAAGCTACCAATGACTTTCTTCACAGAATTGGAAAAAACTACTTTAAAGTTCATATGGAACCAAAAAAGAGCCCGCATCACCAAGTCAATCCTAAGCCAAAAGAACAAAGCTGGAGGCATCACACTACCTGACTTCAAACTATACTACAAGGCTACAGTAACCAAAACAGCATGGTACTGGTACCAAAACAGAGATATAGATCAATGGAACAGAACAGAGCCCTCAGAAATAACGCCGCATACCTACAACTATCTGATCTTTGACAAACCTGAGAAAAACAAGCAATGGGGAAAGGATTCCCTATTTAATAAATGGTGCTGGGAAAACTGGCTAGCCATATGTAGAAAGCTGAAACTGGATCCCTTCCTTACACCTTATACAAAAATCAATTCAAGATGGATTAAAGATTTAAACGTTAGACCTAAAACCATAAAAACCCTAGAAGAAAACCTAGGCATTACCATTCAGGACATAGGCGTGGGCAAGGACTTCATGTCCAAAACACCAAAAGCAATGGCAACAAAAGCCAAAATTGACAAATGGGATCTAATTAAACTAAAGAGCTTCTGCACAGCAAAAGAAACTACCATCAGAGTGAACAGGCAACCTACAGAATGGGAGAAAATTTTCGCAACCTACTCATCTGACAAAGGGCTAATATCCAGAATCTACAATGAACTCAAGCAAATTTACAAGAAAAAAACAAACAACCCCATCAAAAAGTGGGCGAAGGACATGAACAGACACTTCTCAAAAGAAGACATTTATGCAGCCAAAAAACACATGAAAAAATGCTCATCATCACTGGCCATCAGAGAAATGCAAATCAAAACCACTATGAGATATCATCTCACACCAGTTAGAATGGCAATCATTAAAAAGTCAGAAAACAACAGGTGCTGGAGAGGATGTGGAGAAATAGGAACACTTTTACACTGTTGGTGGGACTGTAAACTAGTTCAACCATTGTGGAAGTCAGTGTGGTGATTCCTCAGGGATCTAGAACTAGAAATACCATTTGACCCAGCCATCCCATTACTGGGTATATACCCAAATGACTATAAATCATGCTGCTATAAAGACACATGCACACGTATGTTTATTGCAGCATTATTCACAATAGCAAAGACTTGGAACCAACCCAAATGTCCAACAATGATAGACTGGATTAAGAAAATGTGGCACATATACACCATGGAATACTATGCAGCCATAAAAAATGATGAGTTCATGTCCTTTGTAGGGACATGGATGAAATTGGAAATCATCATTCTCAGTAAACTATCGCAAGAACAAAAAACCAAACACCGCATATTCTCACTCATAGGTGGGAATTGAACAATGAGATCACATGGACACAGGAAGGGGAATATCACACTCTGGGGACTGTGGTGGGGTGGGGGGAGCGGGGAGGGATAGCATTGGGAGATATACCTAAGGCTAGATGATGAGTTAGTGGGTGCAGCGCACCAGCATGGCACATGTATACATATGTAACTAACCTGCACAATGTGCACATGTACCCTAAAACTTAAAGTACAATAAAAAAAAAGAAAAAAATAATAATATACATAGTACCTTACATGGAATCTGAGCTCTGGATATCACTAATGTAAATTTAGGAAGCAAAACCACACATTCTGTTTTGTTCTATGTTGTTAGGTCAACCTGTCTGCCAGTTGAAACCCAATAAAATATAAATAATACAAAAAAAAAAAAAAGAAAATTTAGGTTCAGTTTTTGTTTATTTATTTTTGCTTCTAGTGTTCATTTGTTGGCTGTTTATTCTCCTCTGGCTTTGCTTATGTATCCTATCCATATATATAAAACCATGCTAGTGGAAGGCTTTTATTTGGTTCTGTGAATAGTTGTTTCCTATGCATTTCTAGCAAGTCGTCATTCATTCCTTTTGTCTGGAATTCCTGAGCTACCTTTGTCGGGTTGCAGAATTAATGGAGCATGCCAGTTTTTTATCCTTAAACTAACTTTTCAGATTTTAGGCTTCCTGATACTTTAACTGTGTTGAGTATACCCTTACAAATAGAATTTGAGTCATATTTCTCTCTCTGCCTAGTTTCTCCAAAATTTGTAAACTATCTATGAATATTCTTAATTCATGGCAATGTATTTGTTTGCATACAGTCAGACAGGGTCGCCAGGACCACTCAGGGAGAAAGAACCCAGAAAACTGGCATGCCAGCAAAAGGGTAATGTAGGAGATCAGTCAGAGTGGTGGAAAAACTATAGGGAAAGGATGCAAACCTTCTGAAAGGTTGGATGGTTCTGCATGGCTTCAGGGGAAAATAGCTGGAGGCAGCTGTTCTATAACCCTGAAGCAGAGGGCAAGGAGTAGGTACAAGGGAATGTGGGGGAATTTATTTTAAACAGGCTTGCTTACATATGTTGACCAGGATCTGATCTTTGATTATCCATGCACGTGATGTTGCCTGAAAGGGGAACAATAAATGTTAATTACCTGCAGGTTGTGTTGGCTTGAGGTTTTCGGCATTGTGCCTGCACTGAATAAAAGCATGTAGCTCCAGCTTCTCTGGGCTGCTCTCTGGCCACTAGAGCCAGGCAGCCATCTAGCTGCTCTTACACTCCATACCTGTGTCTGAGTACTCATTTCATCTGTCAGCCAGGGTCTGCAGCACAGGCCTGGCAGGTGGTACCCCATGTGAGGAACGCTGCAACGGATCGCAATGGAACCCTCAAAAATGAAAGTGAAGTCACTACGCAGTGAGTAATTGGTGGCCGTCGGGGATTTCCAAGTTTGAGGGGATTTGCAAGCTAGGGTTTCATCATGGGACAACAGTTATCAGCTCAACAGCAAAAGTATATAAAAGTATTGAAACAGCTGCTTAAAGCTAGCAGAGCCTCGGTCTCGGAGGCCCAATTAAGGGACCTAATGCTAACTGTTGTTTCCCATCACCCATGGTTCCTAGAAGAAGACATGCTAGACCTAGAGCTCTGGGAACAAGTGGGAAGAAATCTTAAATGACATCATGTACAAGGGCAATGGGTCCCAGTAACATCTTTAATGCTATGGGCCTTAATTAGGGCTGCTTTGGCCCCACTCTACACAGAACAGCCTAAAAACAGAAGGGAAGAGGAACCATCATATACCTTACCACCTCCTCCTTCTCCCTCAGCCCCACCATTACCGGGTAAAGGTGCCACAGAGGAGACAGAGATTTTCCCTGAACCCCCTTCCCCAATAAATTGGAAAAAAGACAAGGGATACACTACAGTTATGGGATCCTGTCTTAAGCAAGAGGCATTAGAAGGGGAGCTCTTGGACTGCCTGGTGATGCAAGATCAACAAGGCAATCAGGTACATGAATCCATTACTTTCAACACTTATAAAGAAAAAAGAAACAGCATTAGAGAAACCAGAGCCACTAGCCCATTTATGAAAGGATTAATTGAGTCCATAGCAGATAATTTTCAATCAATTGCAAGATTATGACCCTGATGTCATAAGAATACCCTTAAGTAAAAAACAATTCGAAGCAGTTCTGTCCCTATCTCTAGACCTTCAGATCGTACTCTCTGATTATGCGGGCCATATAGAACATGCTCTTCCTGCTGATGAACTACTCCAGTTCTTATCTCATACTCCTGTAGTTATGCCTACAAAGGTAGTTCACTCCCCCATACCTAACCCTTAAATGCTTTTCACTGATGGCTCTGGTAAAAATGGAAAAGCAGCTATCTGGTGGGAACCGCAAAACTCCCTTACTCAACCTGGATTTACTAGCACTCAGAGAGCTGAGGTTGGAGCCCTAATATCAGCCCTGGAAACCTTTTCCACTCAGCCCATCAATATTGTTAGTGACTCTGCTTACCCCATTTATTTATTGCAAAACCTTGAAACAGCCCTCATTAAGTCCACTCTTGAGCCCACCCTGTGTCCCCTTTGTCTTTGACTTTAGCAATTGCTGATTCAATGAATACATCTTGTTTTTACCACACACATTCAGGCCCACAGCTCACTGCCTGGCCCACTGGCTCATGGCAATGATCAAGCAGATTTGCAGGTCATGACATCACTACTTGACCAAGCCACACAATCATATCTGTTTCTTCATCAGAATTGGAGAAATTTATCTAAACAATTTCAACTTAGCCAAAGACTAGCAAAACAAATTATTTTACAGTGCCCAGATTGCCAGCTCACAGGCATGTCCCCTCCTTCAACAGGTGTTAACCCTAGAGGACTAGAACCTAATCAGTTATGGTAAATGATGTTACACACATCCCTGAATTTGGAAAACTAAGATCTGTACATGTATCCATTGATATCTATTCCCACCTAATAAGTGCTCACGCTCTTCCTAGAGAGTCAGCCTGATATGTCATTAAACATCTTCTCTTAACCTTTGTGTTTATGGGGAGGCCCACAAAGATTAAAACTGATAGTGGTCTGGCTTACACCAGCTCACAGTTTCAACAATTTTGTCACGCATGGAAGGTCCAACATTCCACAGGTATCCCATATAACCCCCAAGGACAGGCCATAGTGGAACATGCCCATTCTACCCTTAAAAACATGCTCAGAAAACAAAAAAGGGGGAATATGAATAAGGATCCTGCAACACGATTGGCACAAGCCTTATTTACCCTTAATTTGTTAAATTTAGATGATACATTTCAATCAGCTATAGAAAAGCACTTTGCAAAAAACATTCAAGATATAAAACCTTCAGTTTTATGGAAATGTAAATAGTGGTGAAATGTAAATGAAATGTATGGTGTGGTCCAAATGATTTGCTAACGTGGGGAAGAGGATATGCTTGTGTTCACACCCCCTGAGGTCCTCTTTAGATTCCAGCACGATGCATCAAACCTTACCATGGCATGACTGGCACCCAACCTGGTACCAGAAATGAATAAAATGACCCTGCAGGATGCACAACCCTGGATGATGCGGCTTCCTTGGATGCCATAGGCCCCAGATATTACCTGGGGGATGCTGAAGAAGACAACTCAGGAGGCCAAGCAAATCCTGTGCCAGACACAGACACCATTCACTCCAGATAATTTGTTCCTTGCTATGCTTTCTGTTGCACATTGCAACTCTCATAGGGTATTAACCTTTTTTATTATCTCACTTTGCCTGCTACCTGTACCTGCTATATCCTATTGGGCCCATCTTCTAGATCCGCCTTTTTTCCACCCTGTTACTTGGGCAGTCACCCTCTTCCCAGCCTCTAACAATGTGACTGATTGGCTGGGAAGGATTGACATACCCCCAGTGGGGTCCCTCAGTAATGGCACACATTGGACTGAGGTGCCAAGTAACACTACATATCACTCCTTGATTGGAAAAGAATAATACTGATTATACCGATGTTTGTCTTATGTTATTTACTGGTTCTAAGATGCAAAGCTGGAACACAAGCTGTAACTGCTGCGCCTGTCAAGGTTGTCACTGTGCATATCTGTATGCCTCAGTCAACAAAACCTGATGCAAAAAAACAGAAAAGGGAGAGATGTAGGAGATCGGTTACAGTGGTAGAAAAACTATAGGGAAAGGACACAAACCTCTGAACGGTTGGAAGTTTCTGTAGAGCCCTGGGGGAGAATAGCTGAAGGCAGCTGCTCTATAACCCTGAGGCAGAGGGCAAGGAGTAGGTACAAGGGAGTGTGGAGGAATTTATCTTAAACAGGCTTGTTTACTTATGTTGACCAGGAACTGATCTTTGATCATCCATGCGTTCCCTGAAAAGGGAACAACAAATGTTAATTACCTGCAGGTTGTGTTGGCTCCAGGTTTTCGGCATTGTGCCTACACTGAATAAAAGCAAGCAGCTCCAGAGCCGCTCTCTGGCCACTAGAGTGAGGCAGTCACCTAGCTGCTCTTACACTGCATACCTGTGTCTGACTACTCATTTCATCTGTTGGCCAGGGTCTGTGGGATAGGCCCGGCAGGGTAAGAATATCTTACCAGTCAGTCTCTGGCCTTTTTTGTTCTGTGTAAACTGGTTAATCTCCTCTGTGAGGTTTTAAATTAATTGGTTTAATAAGAACTTAATATTTTGTCAGAAAAGTAGAAAGTGTAATGCTTTTTAGTTCACTTGACTTTAGCAATCTTTGGGAAATAAAGACGATTTTAAAGATTATCGGTAAAATACAATTGCCTTCAAAATGTAAACATGTGTTCTAAATTACGTTCAAACATTAGGTTTGCTAAATGCTTTAAGGTCATAAACTGCTTTTGTGGCTTTTGAAAATAGTTTAACTTGACTGCTTTCCAGCTAGGTAAGACCTGGGGACGCGCATGTGGAGTTGGCCATGCCCTAGCTATGCTGGAAACAGTCAAACTTTATCAGAACGTAACTTACCAGTTTTATTACATTCAAGTTGAAATTTCTAAGAGTCGCCATTGTAACATGCAATTAATACCATTAGAAATAGTTTTACATGCAAGGTTTGTAAACAGTAGAATGCGTGTGTGTGTGTGTATGTCTTTTAAAAAGCTTATAAAAGGTTTTTGCTTCTTTATTTTACTAAAATGATGACAGAAATTTTAAATAATTAACCGTAATCTGGAATTCCAAAATCAAACTTCAGTTTCAAAATTGTCTTTCCTAATGCCTGGTTTTCTGGATGGATCAAAAGTCTCCTGAAAACATCCAGAAAAGAGGTAAAAAGGATTATCTGATGTGTTTAGGTACATGGGATTGCCAAAATGATGTTCAATCTTCTTTAGGTTATATTTTTGTGAATAATACTAATATATATTCCAAAATTAGATGGGATTTCTAAAATTTTAATGTCTAAGTATATGCTACTAATCACAATTATAGTTATTATAAACCACAGAAATAACCAAATTTCCTTGAATAAAGCTACTAACCCAAGTAAAACAAAAAATTAATTATCAAGAAAATACTTTCATGTTAAACCAGCTAATACTGAAATTGTTTAAAATAGTTTATAACTAACGTTTGATCCCATATTCCTGGGAAAACAATTAAAGCTTCAGGTACATTTGGTCACCTGGTGGGCCATTTCAACATTTTATGAATGGATTTCATTCAATTGTTATTTTTAATGCAATTTTTCTGGTTGTATAAAAGCTTTCCCATACAAGAGGGCTGATGTTATAACAGTAGATTATTATGCTACAGTGTATTTTTCACCAGGTAAAAACTAGCTTTTTACAGTTTGAATCTTCCGGAAACATCAGGGAAAGACTCTCCTTGCCATCCACACTACAACCAAACTTCGGGACTTTGGGCTTTAGGTTCATGGTCTCGCAACCAAGAAGGGTACCTCCACAATTTTGGAACTATGCACTCATTGGAACCCTTGAGGTAAAGCTAACCAGGGAAATTTTTCCCAAGAAGAAGATGGCGTCCTTGATGTGAACAGCTTTTCTCAAGTTCACAGATTAAGACTTCTACTGTCATGAAACTCTTATCTTTGAATGTTTTTTCTTGCTTATGCCTCTATGAACAGTGGAAGTGGAAAAGGGGTCTGTTATGGGCACTAATGGGGTGTACTTTTATTTGTGAAGGAGTTTGCAGCCAGCCTTATACATGGATTACTTTATACTTTGATAGAATAATGAAGGCCCAATGTAAGTAAGAAACTTTAATGGTACATATGTTCCGTCATAATCAGTCAAAAACAAAACATTGGTTCAGTCCTCTTAACCCACATCATGGCTTAAAGAGAACAATGCCAGAAGGCCTTCACTCTTCTAAAAGGGGATCATTTTTTAGGTCCTTTTTCCATGGTTTAAAGTAAAAGAAGCAATTATTAGAAATGTATCCTGCATGATACGCTGTACAGCAAATTCTACTGTAAAGGGTACAGTTACACAACAGACTTTAAATTGTCTTGTGAAAGTTATGCTAAACAATAGAATTAGCTAAACAGAAAAGTACCTGTGTAGCTGCTGGCACTTGTGGCCTATTCAGAAATACATCAAATGAAGATTATAGAAATTCAGTGGTAAGGGATAGACAAAGAAATTACTTAGTTAAGTGAGTAAACTTTATCTAGCTCATTCTTTGATCAATTTGATTTTAGGAGGTTCAATTTATGGGGACCTTGGGTAAGGAGCATATCCCAAACTCTTGGTATTATCCTCCCAATAGTCATAATAATAGTCTTCCTGGTGCACTGTATTCTCTCAAAGGTTTTAAATGCTTGCATGCAGCCATCTCTAGAATGTCATATGGTCTCTCTTCAACTGGAATAACAGGAGCTGAAAGAAATGTGCAACCATGAGGACACCTATAAATGACGTGCTGAGACCGGAAACTCAAAATGTTGGTAACTGAGAGTGGTGCTAAGGCCCTAAGTTTTGATTACACTCTCACCTAAGTGAGAGCATGACAAAAAAGGGGAAATTTTTTTAAACAAAATTATGGGAGTCTATTGTTTTGGGCTAAGCTCATGCACTAGGCCCCAACAAACCAAGCCAAACCAAAATGGAGTTGCTCATGCTAAGACGTTAAAGAAACACATAGATTCTAGAACAGATGAAGCTTTGTTTTTTCTCCTGCAAATCTCTATAACAAACATTTCTGACAGCATAGGTATCCACTCCGTGAAGTTCCCATTAAATTTTTTAACCAAATTCATTTCTTCTCACCTAGAGACCATCAAGCTTCAGATGATCATGCAACAAAGGTTCCAGCCAGTTCAAGGTGAAGACACCACCCCTGACTGTCAGGGAGCACCTACCCTGCCTCCACCAGACTGAGCAAGGCAAGAGATCCATGATCCACAATACTTAGGGACTATGCCCCAAGCCAGCATGAAGCAGTTACAGAAAAAAAGACCGTTGGTCCCTCTGCCTCCCATAAATATTTACAGGGATCATATCTCTCAGGGGGAAGATGAGGCAAGAAAAATGGGGTCTGGAGGCCGGGAACATAAGGCCGATTCACACTTTAGCTATGACAGGAAATATCCTCTCCATAGGACGTAGGCCAAGTAAATGACTTTATAACTTTACTTCATCCTCTCCATTTACATAAGCCATACCCCAAGTAACCAATGGAATCCTCTAGGGGGTATTTACATCCCCCAAATCTCTGTAATGGGGTCTTTGAGCCCCTATGCTCAGGCCTGCTCCCACACTGTGGAGTATACTTTCATTTTCAATAAATCCTTTCATTCCCACCTTGCTTTGTTTGTGCATTTTGTCCAATTCTTTGTTCAAGACACCAAGAAACTGGACACCCTCCATTGTTAATAGATTGAGTGGACGTTACCATCCAAAATCACTGTTTGCTTCTGTTTCCTCTGCAAAATGTTGATTAATGAGAGAAAAGGATTTGTGTGACTAGTCTTGGTTGTAGGGACTCTGGTATAATTTTTGCTATGATAATTGGACTGAGTTGCTATTGGATTGAGTACACCACTGGAAAGTCTAATCATTGGTGGCCAAAAGATGGATCCTTTAAATTAGAATGACTCCTAAATTTTAAAAAGATATCTCTCATTCCAAGCAATTGCCTTATTTGTATTTATGGGAGATCAAAAAATGTTTTTTTTTAAAGATAAATAATAGTGTTGTGGCCAGCCTCAGAAATTCGGCAAAATTGAAGAGCCAGAATCTGACCTAAAACAAAGCTAAAGCCCTTCATAATTTCAAACAGCCTGCTTTGGAGCTGTTCCACCGTGTAGTCTGGTAGTTAAAATTCTGTGCTTTCACTGCCATGGCCTGGTTCAATTCCCAGTCAGGAAATCAGTTCCTTTGGTTTGATATTTATGTGACTTTTGACCTTTTGGAACACCCATTTGTTATCGATCCCTTCGCCTTCTATGAACAACTTTTGATTTCCTGTCTTCTTCCATCTGTGGGGTCAAACAGAGGTTTTGGGCCTTGTGTATCAATGGTCAACTGAGAAGCTGAGACCCTGAAAGATATGGCCAGATCAATGTGGGCTGTCCCCCTTTTGTGGCTAGCAAAACCTTCCTTTCTTTGAACCATTTCTGGGGTGGTTCTGGATTTTATAAAGACTGCTTTGCACCTCTTTGGAGATGCCTCATGTGTCCTTGGTGAAGGTATAACCTTATTTAAGGCTTATTGGTTTAGTGAGTCACTTGGGAGGGTACCTTCGGTTAAAAAAAAAAAAAAGTTCAAAACCCAGGAATTTCAGCTGTTTATCCTGGCTAAAATCTGATAATAAGATATTTAAAAGGATTTTTAAAAAGCTATTCTATGGTCAGAGGTCAGCTTAGTTAAAAGCTGATATTCAAGATCCTCCTTCCTCTTTGCTGTCTTCAGTGCTACATGAAGAAATCTAGGCCTGGCATGGTGGCTCACACCTGTAATCCCAGCACTTTGGGAGGCTGAGGCGGGTGGATCACTTGAGGTCAGAAGTTCAAGACCAGCCTGACCAACATGATGAAACCCCATCTCTACTAAAAATACAAAAATTAGCTGGGCATGGTGGCGTGCACTTGTAATCCCGGCTACTCGAAAGGCTGAGGCAGGAGAATCACTTGAACTCAGGAGGCAGAGGTTGCAGTGAGCTGAGATTGAGCCATTGCACTCCAGCCTGAGCAACAAGAGCAAAACTCCATCTAAAAAAAAAAAAAGAAAAGAAAACAAATCTGAGCGAACCTCTAATGACTCAGACCCCTTAAGGGACACAGAAAGAGTCACCACTCATCCCCTTTTTAAGGTATTCTGCCTTCCTGTGGAATCTGAAGAGTCATGGACACGTTCCTCTCAAGTCTAAACTCTACTGTCTTTTACATCAATTACCCGATCTCTTTCATTTTTAGGGGTACCAGGGATTACTGGTGAGACTATGAGACAATACGCTTTGGTATGTATGATGACTGGTGGATCACTGGTGAGAGCTACAGTCTGGGAGGTGGCTGACTATGGATGTGAAATCGTCTTTGCAAAAATCATAATTGAGGAAATTATTTCATGAAAGAGATCAGACCTGACTGACCCCATCTTCCTTCTAACCTCTAAACTGCCTTTGTTCATTCCTGGGTGTAGGCCGAACTAGCCTTGCGAAGGAATTTAGTTTATAGTTTAAACTCTGAAACAAAATGGATTAATAGCTCTTTCCCAAAAAAACCCTTCTTGCCTGGGGACCAGTCTGTCTTTGTAAGACTAACAAATTTGCTACAAAATTAGATATCACAGTTTAGGGGCCATGCAGCCTCTGGCTGCAAGAGTCTGAACCTCCCCAAATTGCTCCTGGGAATAACATCACTGTTGTAAAACCTAAGATCAGTGCTTGAGATATTTTGCAGGCCCTACATTCTGATGCAGCAGATGACATCATCCAGACTGATTATCTGGCTCAACCAATTTTGTGATCCCACCCGGGAATGGAAGTCATCAAGGACTCACTTCTACCCCCCGTGATTTTATCTTCAACCGACCAATCAGCACTCCCCACTTTCTAAGCTCATACCCTCCAAATTACCCTTAAAAACTCTGATCTCCGAATGTTCCAGGGGACTGATTTGAGTAATAATAAGACTCCGGTCACCCCGCACACCCGGCTCTGTGTCAATTACTCTTTCACCATTACAATTCCCCAGACTTAATAAACTGGTTCTTTCTAGGCAGCCAGCCCAATGTGAACCCATTAGGCAGTTACAGTTGCAATGAATGGTAGTTACCACAAGGGAATACTCATTTCCTTGTGCATTTATTATTTAGTCTTTTTTAAATTTTAATTTTAAATTCCGGGATATATGTGCAGGATGTGCAGGTTTGTTACAAAGGTAAATGTGTGCCATAGTGGTTATGTAACCGCCCAAGTGGTTCACCTTGCCCTCTGCCTAGACTGAACCAATTTACCAAGACAGGGGAATTGCAATGGAGAAAGAGTAATTCACGCAGAGCTCGCTGAGCGGGAGACTGGAGTATTTTTTTGGCTTGGTTTGATTTTTGTTTTTTGTTTTTGTTTTTTTGAGACGGAGTTTCACTCTTGTAGCCCAGGCTGGAGTGCAATGGGGCGATCTCGGCTCACTGCAACCTCCGCCTCCCGGGTTCAAGCAATTCTCCTGCCTCAGCCTCCCAAGAGTAGCTGGGATTACAGGCGTGCACCACCACTCCTGGCTAACATTTTTTATATTTTTAGTAGAGATGAGGTTTCATCATGTTGGCCAGGCTGGTCTCGAACTTCTGATCTCAGGTGATTCACCCTTCTTGGCCCCCCAAAATGCTGGGATTACAGACGTGAGCCACGCGCCTGGCCCCACAGTTTTATTATTAATCAAATCACTCTACCTGAGCATTCAGGGATCAGAGATTTGGTGGGTAGGGGCTTGGGAAGTGGGGAGTGCTGATTGGTCAGGTTGGAGATGGAATCATAAGGGTTCCAAGTGAGTTTTTCTTGCTGTCTTCTGTTCCTGGGTGAGATGGCATAACTGGTTGAGCCAGATCACCAGTCTGTGTGGTATCAGCTGATCCATCAAGTACAGGGTCTGTAAAATATCTCAAGCACTGAGTTTAGGTTTTGCAATAGTGATGTTATCCCCAGGAGCAATTTGGGGAGGTTCAGACTCTTGGAGCCAGAGGCTGCACGACCCCTAAACTGTAATTTCTAATCTTGTAGCTAATTTGCTAGTTCTGCAAAGGCAGACTGGTTTCTAGGCAAGAAGGGGTGTTTTTCAGGAAAGAGCTGTTATTAATTTTGTTTCAGAGTCAAACCATGAGCTGAATTCCTTCTCAAAGTTAGTTTGGCCTATGCCAAGGAATGAACAAGGACAGCTTAAAGGTTAGAAGCAAGATGGAGTTAGTTAGGTCTGATTTCTTTCACTGTCATGATTTCCTCAGTTATACTTTTGCAAAGGCGGTTTTAGTTTGCTGCACCCATCAAGCAATCACCTACATATTAAGCCCCGTGTGCATTAGGTATTTATCCTGATGCTCTCCCTCCCTTCACCCACTCCCAACAGACCACAGTGTGTCCATGTGCTCTCATTGTTCAGCCCCAATTATCAACGAGAACATGCGGTGTTTGGTTTTCTGTTCGTGTGTTAATTTGCTGAGGATAATGGCTTCCAGCTCCATCCATGTCCCTGCAAGGGACATTATCTCATTCCCTTTTATGGTGGCATAGTATTTCCTGGTGTATATGTACCACATTACCACATTATCTTTATCCAGTCTGTCACTGATAGGTCTCTGGGTTGATTCCATGTCTTTGCTGTTGTGAATAGTGATGCAATGAACATATGTGTGCAGGTATCTTTATAATAGAATGATTTATATTCCTTTGGGTATATACCCAGTAATGGGGTTGCTGAGTCAAATGGTATTTCTGCCTCTAGGTCTTTGAGGAATCACCACAGTCTTCCACAATGGTTGAACTAATTTACATTCCCACCAACAGTGTAAAAGCGTTCCTATTTCTCCACAACCTCACCAGCATCTGTTGCTTCTTGATTTTTTAATAACCACCATTCTGACTGGCATGAGATAGTATCTCATTGTGGTTTTGATTTGTATTTCTCTAATGATCAGTGATGTTGAGCTTTTTTTATGTTTGTTGGCCACATGTATGTCTTCTTTTGAGAAGTGTCTGTTCATGTCCTTTGCCCACTTTTTAATCAGGTTTTTATTTTTCTTGTAAATTTGTTTCAGTTCCTGGTAGATTCTGGATATTAGATCTTTGTCAGATGGATAGATTGCAAAAATTTTCTCCCATTCTCTAGGTTGTCTGTTCACTCTGATGATAGTATCTTTTGCTGTGCAGAGTTCTTTAGTTTAATTCAATTCCATTTGTCAATTTTTGCTTTTGTTACAATTGCTTTTGATGTTTTCATCATGAAATCTTTGCCAGTGCCTATGTCCTAAATGGTATTGCCTAGATGGCCATACTGCCCAAAATAATGTATAGATTCAATGCTTTTTTTTTGTTTTTTTTTTTTTGAGACGGAATTTCACTGTTGTTGCCCAGGCTGGAGTGTAATGGTGCAATCTTGGCTCACTGCAATCTCTGCCTCCCAGGTTCAAGCAATTCTCCTGCCTCAGCCTCCCGAGTAGCTGGAATTACAGGCATGTGCCACCATGCCCAGCTAATTTTGTATTTTTAGTAGAGACAGGGTTTCACCATGTTGGTCAGGCTGGTTTTGAACTCCCGACCTCAGGTGATCCGCCCACCTCAGCCTCCCAAAGTGCTGGGATTACAGGTGTGAGCCACTATGTCTGCCCTTATAGATTCAATGCTATTTCCATTAAACAACTATTGACATTGTTCGCAGATTTAGAAAAAACTAATTTAAAATTCATATGGAACCAAAAAAGAGACCATATAGCCAAGACAATTCTAAGCAAAAAGAACAAAGCTGGAGGTATAATGCTGCCTGACTTCAAACTATACTACAAGTCTACAATAACCAAAACACCGCATGGTACTGGTACAAAAACAGACACACAGACCAGTGGAACAGAATAGAGATCTCAGAAATAAGACCACACCTCTGCAACCATCTGATCCTTATCAAACCTGACAAAAACAAGCAATGGGGAAAGGATTCCCTATTTAATAAATGGTGATGGGAAAACTGGTTAGCCATATGCAGAAAATGGAAACCAGACCCCTTCCTTACACCTTATATAAAAATTAACTCAAGATGGATTAAAGACTTCAATGTAAAACTGAAACCTATAAAAATCCTTGGAGCCCAGGTGCAATGGCTCACACTTGTAATCCCAGCACTTTGGGAGGCTGAGGCAGGTGGATCATTCGAGGTCAGGAGTTCAAGACCAGTCTGACCAACATGGTGAAACCCTGTCTCTACTAAAAATACAAAAAAATTAGCCAGGCATGGTGGTGCATGCCTGTAGTCCCAGCTACTCAGTAGGCTGAGGCAGGAAAATCAGTTGAACCTCGGAGGCAGAGGTTGTAGTGAGCTGAGATCACGCAGTGCACTCCAGCCTGGGTGACAGAGCAAGACTCCATCTCAAAAAAAAAAAAAAAAAAAAAAAGTCCTTGTGCATTTAAATAAAAGTGCAGGTATGAACTCACCACTGAGGGATAAAACTCTTATGGGGGATGGGCTGTTCACAGAGTGGGCTGATTGACATTGGGTTACCTGCCAGCCAGGAGAATGTCTTTGTAGTGAGGTACACTGTGGAAGCCTGTGTCATGGCCTGGTGTCATGGTGTTTCCTTCTTTTTTGGGGAGCCAGGATTCAATATAAAAGGATCCTTGATTTTTAAAGATTTAGATGTGTTGCCCTCCAATTGTGCCTGCTTTTTACATATTAAAATATTTGGCCCTGGAAACTGCAAATATTTTCTTTGCCCTATCATTAAAGGGCTCCACCTGAAGTAGTAATGTGTTTTGTTTTCCACAAACTTTTTTTCGTTTGAGCTATTTATAGCTTATAGCAATTTGGGCAAAGTACACTTTTTTTTTTTTTTAAGACAGGGTCTCACACTGTCACTCAGGCTAGAGTGCAGTGGTGCGATCTCAGCTCACTGCAATCTCCACCTCCTGGCTCCTGGGTTCAAGTGATTCTCATGCCTCACCCTCCGTAGTAGCTGGGATTACATGTGTGTGCCACCACACCCAGCTAATTTTATATTTTTAGTAGAGATGGGGTTTTGCCATGTTGGCCAGGCTAATTTCAAACTCCTGGCTTCAAGTGATCCATCTGCTTCAGCCTACCAAAGTGCTGGGTTTATGGGCATGAGCCACAATGCCCAGCAAAGTATACTTTTGTGAACAAAAATGGAAATATTTGCCTTTCTCTCTACCTGATTCCTCCAGAATTCAGAAACTATTTGCGAGTATTCTTATTTCATAACAATATGGGAATTTACATAAGTTCAATAAAAATCTGTTTTCTTTTGTAACAGGACATATTGGAGACACTGGTAATTTTCCCAAGGCTTTGACTGGAATGACATCTTTTCAGATATGACCAGACGGGTTTGAGGAATTAAAGTTGACTTAAAGAACTGGCCTGATACCTTGTCTACATGGTTCTCTTACAAGGTTCCTGACCTTGTGGTAAGTGAAAAATGTTGTTTTTTGATAGGGCCAGGAACCTCAAGATATTTGGGGACCTCAAAAAGAAAGGAATTCACCCAATTCATACAGGTATTAAAGGCACAGTCTGATGGTGAATCCTTGGCTTGGCTTTATAACTTCAAGAGGCTTTTAAAAGTCTAATCTGAAATTACTTATGAAAGAGTTCCAGCAAAGCCAACTTAAAAAGGAGCCTTGTGAATAGACTGTAAGGACAGAAAAAAAATAAAAATAAAAAATGAAAAAAGAAGCCTATATGGCCAATCACTATTCTTGTTATACTTTGTGCAAATAATCAGGCCAAACATAATACTAAAACTTATTTTACAAGTAAATTGGTCCTACTAAGATTTGTCTTTGGTAGAAATGGGAAACTGGAGAGAGAAATTAAGTTTCAGATAAGAACTATAGCACACCTGTTATTGGATTCTAGCCCTTATCATTGTTTTTGAGTTTTTTTATTTTCCTACCATTTGGACTAAATCCTGAATTACTTCATGGCTACAACAAGTTTCTAAAGAAGAACCTGGGTTTAATTATCTTCATAATGTTTTTAATTGGCTCCCTAAAGGAACAGATTTGGGTGTTTTTGTTTTTCCATTCTGGCATACCAATTTTCTTTTTGGTTATAATCCATATGTGTTACTCCTGAGAAAACTAAAATCATGGTGTTTATGTTTCAACAGGCAACAGCAGCTACATAAATCAATGGCTTGACAGAGTTCTCACTTTTGCCACTCTGTGATGCCATCCTAAATGAGCTTTGAGGGACTCTTAAAAAAAATCCTCACTGAGACTGTCTCCCTTTCCCCCTTTGACATGGGACAGGACTATCTGGAAATGAGCCTTCCCAGTGACAAGGGACACTTTGACAGTCAGATTTTGATCATAAGTGCTTTCAAGAAGAAAGATTTTCATCAAAAGGGGGGAAATAAAAAGAAAAAAACCCTTTTATCTGAGGAATATGAGCCCCTTTACATTATCAGGCCCAGAAAGGCATTTAAAATGTAACACCAGTCCTGTCTCACTCCCCCTTGAGCTAAATAATTATGTCTTGAAGACACTTGTTATGTGGGCCCTAGATCATCTTGATGTCAAATAGCTATAAAATAACATACAGCTATAATTTATCAATGTATAATCAATCACCGCTCAATGTTATTTTTGTAAACCAATGACAATTACTGACAAATAACTTTTTGTAATCACCCCTTCTCCTGATTTGTTCTTTTTTTTTTCTTTGAAACCTTGAACCACTCTTTTGTTCTCCAGAGTATGTCCCAAGGAACTTGGAAGTGTGTCCCAGGATGTATCTCTCAACCTTTGTGTTTGAATAAATCCTCTTTAAACTGTATTCTGACCTTTTTTTTATTATTTTAGGTTGACATGGCCTTGCTCTTGAGTAAAACTTTTAAAGAATACAAGCTTCTAAGACATGTACCCCATCCTCTGCTTATACAGTTTGATGCTGGAACGAAGTAAAAGACTAGACTTTTTTGTGGACAAACTTCATAGTGTTAGACTTGATCTATTGTTTCAGCCATTTCAGAATATTTTGAATTTGAATTTTGTCTCAATAATTTCATTGATCAGCATGCTACAGATGTCAGCATAACAGTCACTGGTGAAACTGCTGAAAAATTTAGGGCTGAGGGACCACCCTCTAAGTTATTCCTCCTAATAAATTTTTTCTTGATTTGGAATATTTCTTAACTAGCACCATTTGGGTTATTCAGCAAGTTAAAAATCCCTCTCTGTGTGACAAGCAGCCCACAGTTCTTTCACAAGACTCTTTCATGAGATTCTTGGTCATGCTGAAATCTGAATACTCTCTGTACATAAAATTCTATTGATTTCCATTAAGTAGCCCTTTAGAAAAAGGAAAATTTACTTACATTGGTATGGCCTCTTCTTACTGAACTCATACTATTCCTAGCATCATTACTTACTTTGTAAACTAAAAAAACTATCTTTAAAATTATTAGTTCTAGTCTTACTGACTATTCACGATATTTATTCTTTTGGCACCATTTTTAAAAGATTACTGATGTCATTGCAGCTAGTCAATGAAAATACCAAATGATAAAATGAGTAGCTAGCATGTATTTATTATGTCCCAGATGCTATGTTAAACTGCTTTAGCTGAATTATCACCCTAGCCCTACGAGGTATTTACAACTGAAATTTATTGCTGTTAAACCATTTGCCAGGAGAACACAGTCGATTTATCTGATTCCAAAACCTGTTTCCTCAATCAATATGATGTTACCATGCCTTGGGATACAGTGATTTAGATGTGGAATCTTAAACAAGTTGGGCCTCCAATTCCTTATTATTTCTACCCTTTCCACTCAACTCTGATGGGCCATTTCTTTCCCCAAGGGGGAAAAAAGGTAGTAAAATAGGAGTACAGAAGTTCTACTTCCTCATTGTTGCTATAAGTTAACCTACCATCATTATTTTCAAGGTGGGGCCTTCCTCTCCCCAGAACTCTTTCTGATCTGAATTTAATGTTTTCTTTAGCATTTTTTTAAAGAGATAGTCTCATTCTGTTGCCTAAGCTGGAGTGCAGTGGCTCAATTGTAGCTCACTGCAGCTTTGACCTCCTAGGCTTAGGTAATCCTCCCACCTAAGCCTCCCAAGCAGCTAGGACCATAGGTACCTACCACCATGCCTGACTAATTTTTAATTTTTTTGTTTGTTTGTTTGTTTTTTGTAGAGATATCGTCTTGTTATGTTGCCCAGGCTGATCTCAAACTCCTGCCTCAAACAGTCTTTCCATCTTGGCTTCCCAAAGCTCCTGGGATTACTGGCATGAACCACCATGCCCAGCCATTCTTTAGCATGTTTATCTTGTTCTGAGCATTAGTCTTCATTCCCAGTGTGTTTTGCTGAGTTACTCCAATACCTTGGGTATGTTGTCATCCTGTCTACTTTTTATCCATGCTTATCAGAAAGCTTGTTGTTTATCCTAATTTGTCTCAATGAATTCCTTCAGCTTTTCTTCCTCAGTGGGACGATTGCAATGATTGGAATCAAAATGTGCAAAATATTCATTTTCATTGTCTGCCTTACTTCTAATGAAGTCACCATCATGGCATCAGTTATCAAGCTTTTCCATTGAGCCAATAAGAACTAGTGCACTTCAGAAAAAGCCAAGCTTGTCCTGCATTGTCTAGCCATTCTCTGCTACCTGCATTTGGCAGTAGGACTTTGCTTGGTGATAATGTGTTTCCTCTAGTAAACTCCTCCTGCATTCTCAGGAATTTTCCTGGGTAGGCAGCACACTTAGAAACTCAAGAAAATGAACCTGCCATGACTACGTCACATAGAAAACTTTCCAAGTTGTTATGGTTCTGATGTGGAGAAGGGAAAGGACATACAATAGTGGTAAACAACTCAAGTATAGAGTGAGTCAGATGTACAGTGAGTCCACCATAGGTAACGGTGCAAATAGTGCCATTTCTTAAGTTTTAATTTCCTCAAATGAAAACTGGTATAAGTGTGGGACAATGGGATAATGCATATGTTCCTTACTGTAATTCAAGTGCTCCTTAGCACAGTAGATGTTAATATTATTCAACTCCTTAGACCCATGTGAAATTTTGATCAGCTGCCCAACGTCATATCCACAGCTTGTGACTCTTGGTGAAGACACTTACCCACCTTCTAAAGGCTTTGTGAACTTTCTCCTCATCCTCCAAGTGGTTCACTCTTGTTTACTTTTGAGCACAAAACAGAAGCCAAGTGATTAAAAGACATTGTTTATAGTTGTAAATATCTTTTGAGACAGTGTCTTTGGGTTTTAAAACCTGGGAGAGAGGAATTAACTCACGAAAGGACTGGTTTCTTCCCACACTTACAAACTTCCACTAGCACTCCATTTTTAAAAAAGCCTGAAACTATATGGGAACAAAGAAGTGAAGTGAGCTTGTGCTGCAAATAAAAAGGCAAAGCCAGATCTTCTGCTGTAGGGTCTCCCTGGGTTGTGGTCATAGTTCTGTTTGGGATTATCACACAGTTTGGGAAAGTCAGTTCAATCCAATGAAAATGATATGAATATAGCTCTGTGCCATGAATCCAAAAACATTGTATTAGTTTCTGTTACTGCTGTAACAAGTTAATTACCACAAATTTAGCAGCTTTAAACAGCACGCATTGATTACAACACAAATTTATGTTCTGGTGGCCAGAAGTCCAAAAATCAGTGTCCCTGAGTGAAAAATGAAGGCTGTTGCTTGATTTCAAAATCCAGAACTGCATTCTTTCTGTAATTTGTGGCCCTTCTTCCATTTTCAAGGCCAGCAATGTAGCATCTTCAATTCTAGCTCCTTCTCTCATTCTCTCTCTGACCTCTGCTCCATGGTCACGTCTCCTTCTCCGACTCTGACTCTCCTGCCTCCCTCCTTCACTTATAAGGACCCTTGTGATTACATTGAGCCCGTCCAGATAACCAGGATAATCTCATCTCAAGATACTTAATTTCACATGTGCAAAGTCCCTTTTGCCATTGTAAGGTACCATATTTATGAAATTTCTGGGATTAGAATGTGGACATCTTCAGGAGCCATTATTTTGTCTACCACAGGTGTGGATTATATGTTCTTTCCATAGTCATAGGGCACAGATATTATCAGACCCAGTTTATATTTTGCAGTCAAGACTTCTAATGGGACAAGTTGGCATTCAGAGAAGCTGAAGTTAATAAAATAAAAAGCAGGTATCAGCATGCACTTTATCACATCACCAAGAGAATCAAAACAGTATGATAGTAAATTTGACTTCTTGTCGTGTTGAATTCTTCTTTCAGTGTTATGTTATCAGAAAGAGGCAGTACTGTTATAATGTAATTTATATAGTGCCTTCCCCTGAGTGATGAACAGAATATTCCTTAGTATCCTCAGAGAATTAGTCTCTCTATCTCTTTTTATCCCCGCTCAGGCACTCCAGCAATATAATATCCAGCAATATAATATCTGTGTGCAAGAAATAAACCAGAGTCACTAAATTTAAGGATGTTCACTTAAAGAAATTCCTTTTGGAGTTTCTTTTTTTTAAATGTCATTTGAAAATGCTCTTCTCTGGGTACAATAGAGCCACTGACCCACATTAGATTAATTAGGTCAATTAGCCTTTACATAGTAATTACCACTCAGATAGCTTTGAATAATATCCTTTTAATGCACACGTTCTTTGAAAAGAGGTTTCCAATTTAAATTCCTGCCACATAATAGCATTAAGAAAACATGCACCTCGCAATTCTTTCTGCAATGTGGTTTTGGGTATAGCAATGATATTGGGTAGATAAAGCTTAAGGACTTTGCGTTGATTAGTTGATTATTCACATTTACATGTTGTTAAAAGCTACATGGGTATTTTCCATTTGGAGAGGCTGTTGGTAACCCAGAATGCCAGGCCTAACTGAGAGTAACTACCTTTCTTCCTCTAACCTGTCAATATCAATTCCCACATTTTAGATTCATTCTGGTCCCAGTACCTAACCGTGGACTCCTACCAGCCATCAGGACTATTTGAAGTTTTTCGCCGTCTGCTTCTCTCCAACAACATCCCTATATGTTATCTTAATAATGACAATAGCTACCACTTAATGATATTTGCTAGGTTCTAGGCATTTCTCATTCATTACTCCTAATTGTTACCTTATTATTCCTAATAGTTAACTTACTAACAAATATTTGTTGAGCTATTTTCTCCATATACTAGAGAGAGAGCCAAGTGAAAATCCTTATCTTCATGTAACAGTTAAAGAAAGTGAGACTTAGAGGAGTTAAGTGACTAGCCCAAGGCCCTGTAGTGCATGGGTACAGGCAAAGCTCAGAGTCTGCCAGGCTCAACAGCATGGCTCAGCCCACCCCACCAGGCTGCTCCAGTTGGGGCACCGGAACTGCTGTCTGATTTTGTTGCAATGTTTGAAAACCCATTCAACTATTTAGGGCATAGGATTATCACTGATGTCAGAACTATCAAGAAAAATTAGGAATTTTTCTTTAGAAATGAGGTCAAGGAGAAATAGAAAACTCAAAATTTCTTAGAACACAGGTTCTACTATTAGTAATTAAAGGCTTTAATTTTAATTTTAATTTTAATTTTTTTGAGATGGAGTCTCACTCTGTCGCCCGGGTTAGAGTGCAGTGGCACGATCTTGGCTCACTGCAACCTGCACCTCCCAGGTTCAAGCCTCAGTCTCCAGAGTAGCTGGGATTACAGGCATGCCACCATGCCCAGCTAATTTTCATATTTTTAGTAGTGATGGGGTTTCACCATGTTGGGCAGGCTGGTCTCAAACTCCTGACCTCAAGTGATCCGCCTGCCTTGGCCTCTCAAAGTGCTGGGATTACGGGCGTGAGCCACCACACCTGGCAAAAAGCTTTAATTTTCTTTTTTTTAACTTCAGGATTCTGATGCACATAGAAAACTTAGCACAAGAAAGTTGATGTACTACTGAAGTGAATACACATAAATGAAATCAGAGGTAGTTCTAGGTGCATCCCTTCTGCTTTCTCTTAGTCCCTGATGCTTAGATCAGACAAAGGCAATGCTAAATTGTCAGTTGTGCACTCTCATTAATGTGTTTCAAAGTCTTTCATTTCACCTAACACTGAACAGAAAAGGCTGTGAGTAAATTTAGGCTATGGATGAGAGCTGGACATTTGGATGGTCTGGAATATGGAGATAATTTTGTTTTTGTTTGTTTTTGTTTGTTTTTGTTTTTTTCAAGGTTGAAAGCTTCAGAGTGCAGGGATCAGAAAGCTTCATATTGGAAATATAAAAATGGTACATTTCTGGAGAGCAATTTGATAATTTGTTTCAATAATTTTTTTTTTTTTGAGAGTGTCTCACCATGTCACCCAGGCTGGAGTGCAGTGGAGCGATCATGGCTCACCACAGTCTCAATCTCCCAGACTCAGGTGATCATCCCACCTCAGCCTCCCAGGCAGCTAGGAATACAGGCAAGCACCACCACGCCCTGCCAATTTTGGTATTTTTTGTAGAGATGGGGTTGCAACATGTTGCCTAGGCGGGTCTTGAACTCCTAGGCTCAAGAGATCTGCCTGCCTCAGCCTCCCAAAGTGCAGGATTACAGGTGTGAGCCACCATGCCCAGCTTGTTTCAATAATTTAAATGTGAATTTCTAACAAAAAGCAAATAAAGCTGTAGGTATAAGCATGCTTATTACAACATTGGTTATAACCAAAAACTGCAAATAATCTAAATATGTATCAATAAGGTAGTCATTAAATAAGTGGGCACATCCATGAATGTATTACATGAAAAACGATTATGTATATCAATACATTTATATTGTATTGTTAAAATTAAAGATTAGCCAGGCGCGGTGGCTCACGCCTGTAATCCCAACACTTTGGGAGGCCGAGGCGGGCGGATCACAAGGTCAGGAGTTCGAGACCAGCCTGATCAACATGGTGAAACCCCGTCTCTACTAAAAATACAAAAATTAGCCGGGCCTGGTGGTGTGCACTATAATCCCAGCTACTCAGGAGGCGGAAGCAGGAGAATCACTTTCAATAATTGAAACAGGGAGGCAGAGGTTGCGATGAGCTAAGATCATGCCACTGCACTCCAGCCTGGGTGACAGAGTGAGACTCCATCTCAAAAAAAAAATTGAAGATTAATAAACAAATTATAATTCTACTTTAAAGTGTGTTTATGTTATCTGGATGGCCGTATGCCAAAATATGTTAACTGTGATCATCACCAAGTAGTGGGATTGATGATGATTTTAACTTCTTTGTACATTTCTTTATTATCTGAAATTTCTTCTTTTATTCTCTTTTATCTCTATTTCCCATGAAGATCACCCAATACCTCCTCCCCCAAAACATACGCACATTATTCTAATGCAGTTTATGTAAATCTTTCAGCTTGTATGTATTTCTACAAAACGCATTTTTGTAATTTAGGTATTTGTATGTAGGTATTTGTATGTAGGTATTTAGATTTACTTAGATAGTATGACATCCTGTTCCTTACATTTTTACATAGTACTATGATTTTTAGATCTATGTTGCTATGTGTATACCTAGTCTACTGCATAGAACTGCTGAATTGTTTTATAATAAAGGCATTATGAACTGTAAGCATGTGCTACCTTCATAATTAGATAAATATACAATAAAGATTTTTTTTTTTTTTCAGATGGAGTTTCACTCTTATTGCCCAGGCTGGAGTGCAATGGCATGATCTTGGCTCACCGAAACCTCCGCCTCCTGGGATGAAGCAATTCTCCTGCCTCAGCCTCCCATGTAGCTGGGATTACAGGTTTGTGCCACCACGCCCAGCTAATTTTGTATTTTTAGTAGAGACAGGGTTTCTCCATGTTGTTCAGGCTGGTCTCAAACCCCTACCTCAGGTGATCCGCCCACCTTGGCCTCCCAAAGTGCTGGGATTACAGGTGTTAGCCACCGCACCTGGCCAATAAAGCTATTTTTATTGTGGAAAAAAGAAAGAAAACTACCCTTCTTTAAACCTAAAAGCATACATAAAGTTGCAAATTATTGCACATAATTTTGTCAATGGAATTATCCAAATGAAGAAATATTTATTACAGTGGAGATTCTGTTTTACCAAGCATCTCTACATTTAAAAAGTATTTAGATATATGGAACTCTTTTCTATAAATACATAAAATTCAGAGAAAAGAGAATATTTATTTCTATGTAGACTAAAATGCTTGACTTATTTTAGAAGGCAAAAATTTCAAAAGACAAAGTTATTTTGAAAGTTAAAAGAAGTGAAAGAAATTATTACAGGGTGTGCTCACTATATATTAAAAATGAAATTAAAATCATTTAAAATAAAAGAAATATGATATTGTAATGCAAACAGAAATTAAGGAAAATCCCAAAAGGATAGGAAACAGTTGATGGACAGCACAGGAATATGAAAAGACAGAGGAAGCAATAAAGCCTATTGGGAAAAACTGAAATTTATATATTGAAAGTTCATAATTTTTAACATAAAAATCTAATAATAACTGCTAATCCCTTTCCTTTCTTTAAACTTTAATTTAAGGATAAAAATAGAACTTCAAGAGTAACTTTATTCAGTCATATTTTTATAACATAGATATCAAATACTCTCAGTAAAGATTTGTGTTTAACTTTCAAACTTTTCTTCAAAACAATATCATATTCCTAGGTGAGAGGTATGAAAGAAAATCACATTTCACTATATACTGTGAGAGGAAATGGCAAGATGAGAGTCATATTTCAAAGCAGATGTTACTGAAGTATTGCAAGTCAAGTAAAGGTCACAAAAAGCTTTCTTCTCTTTCTTATTTAGGCTAGTTTTTACTGATAACAGTGGAGAAGGTTTATAACACAGCATTGGAAGACAATACCAACTTGCCCTTACTAAAGAGTATTTTGTTGAAAACAGGGCCTCCTTTTTCTACCCCTCTCCTGAATATTGGGTTTCAGAATGGAGTCATTGACCTAGGAAAAATAAACAAATAGTCTTCAGGGACCCAGAGCCAGGTCAGAAAAACAAATTAAAGTACAGAAGCTTAAGTGTGAAAACAAACAAAAACCCCACAAAATAGTGATTTGGGAGTCCAGGGCCAAATGGGAAGAAGGACTGAGGGGAAAGGACCCACACAATGACCAGATTATCTAGGGAGAAGGTCACAGCAGTCTTGCTTTCTCTGGAAACTCGAGTTAAACCAGAAACCAAGACTGTAGGATGTGCCTTGAGTAAGAGCTCTCTTGAATTTACTTATGAGTTGATGTAACTTTAAAGATGCAGTCAGCATTTTATTTATTTTTAGGCAGAATGGCATAATGGTTGTGCTGAAGAATCTTGAATCTCACAAAGTTCAAACTTTGTAACCTTTGGCAGTTTATTTAGCTTCCTCATCTACAGAATATATACATAGTAAGAGAATTCACCTTATAGCATTACTAAAAGGATTAAACAAAATAGGCCTTCTAAACAGCTTAGGACAAGTTCTGGCACATAGCATGTATTCAGTAAATGTTAGCTAGTGCTGGTAGAATTACCATTTGAGCATCTATCTGCCTGAGACTGATATCTGAATTTATATACCAATTAAAATTGTTATGTTGTAATGTTTTGATATATCATATTAAATCTAAAGAAGACTTTATTTACTAATATTAAGATATGAAACTTGCACAGATCTATCACTATTGATAATAGAGGGTACAAATCTTAGTCCACAAACTCAAGTATACAAGAAATGTTTTAATTTCTATTTCAAGCCCCCATTACACCCGATGCTAGAAAAATAATCTCAGTCAACTCGAGGTTCCCACTCCCAAACCCAGTTGCATTGGGATTGCATATATGTTCTGGGGGCTATCATCTGTTGTTAGTTGTCAACATCTGACCATGCTACTATCTGTTGAGACTTATGTTCTAGCTGCCAGTCCACAAAGCTGACAGTTTTGTCCTCCTTGTATTGGACACCAGTTTCTGTTGTAGCAGGACAAGCCACAGACAAAACCCCTCAGACACTGAGTTAAAGAAAGATGGGCTATTGTGAATAATGCCGCAATAAACATACGTGTGCATGTGTCTTTATAGCAGCATGATTTATAGTCCTTTGGGTATATACCCAGTAATGGGATAGCTGGGTCAAATGGTATTTCTAGTTCTAGATCCCAAGAAAATGTGGCACATATACACCATGGAATACTATGCAGCCATAAAAAATGATGAGTTCATGTCCTTTGTAGGGACATGGATGAAATTGGAAATCATCATTCTCAGTAAACTATCGCAAGAACAAAAAACCAAACACCGCATATTCTCACTCATAGGTGGGAATTGAACAATGAGATCACATGGACACAGGAAGGGGAATATCACACTCTGGGGACTGTGGTGGGGTGGGGGGAAGGGGGAGGGATAGCATTGGGAGATATACCTAATGCTAGATGACGAGTTAGTGGGTGCAGCACACCAGCATGGCACATGTATAATGTATACATATGTAACTAACCAGCACAATGTGCACATGTACCCTAAAACTTAAGTATAATTAAAAAAAAAAAAAAAAGAAAGAAGGGCTTTATTCAGCCAGGAGCTTCGGCAAGACTCACGTCTCCAACAACCAAGCTCCCTGAGTGAGCAATTCTTGTCCCTTTTAAGGGCTCCCAACTCTAAGGGGGTCTGTGTGAGAGGGTCGTGATCAATTGAGCAAGCAGGGGGTACATGACTGCGGGCTGAATGCACTGGTAATTAGAATGGAACAGAACAGGACAGGGATTTTCACAGTGCTTTTCTATACAATGTCTGTAATCTATAGATAACATAACTGATTAGGTCAGGGGTCGATCTTTAACTACCAGGCCCAGGGTGTGGCGCTGGGCTGTCTGCTTCTGGATTTCATTTCTGCCTTTTAGTTTTTACTTCTTTCTTTGGAGGCAGAAATTGGGCATAAGACAGTATGAGGGGTGGTCTCCCTTACTGTAACTTTTGGGAGAGTGATAAAATTAGTGAGACACTAAAAGTCCCTACCCCATCCCTCTACTAGCCTCTGGCTTATGGGGAATGATCTGCTGCTCCTCCGACCATTATGCTGGGGCACAAAGGTGCTCTGCGAAGCTATTTCAGTCTCCCTTTGTAAGTCTAACATACCATATTGCCATCTCTACTATATTGTTCCTGGGCTAGCATAGGGTGAACTCTGGGGGTGAGCTCTAGCATAGGGTGAACATAGGGTGAACTCCAGATTAAATAGAAAAAATGATGGTCCTTCTGTTCTTGAATTCCCCAAAATTATGCAAAGGGAGATGTTCTACTATCCCTTAAACTTGTACCCCACCCCACCCTCAGAATCAATCCAGGAGAAAGCTGGGCACAGGTCCTTTTTCAGGTACCCAGCATCTAGGCTCTTTTCTTTTCCTCTGACTTCTCTCCTTTTCCACAAGTCTAGAGAGTCTTCAGTCTTGGGAACAGGAAAAACTGGCTTTGACCTGTCAGGCATTTTTCTAATTGTTTTGTCTCAAGGCTGAATCTTGGCTTTTAAAATTTTTAAAAATCAAAGATTTGAAAACTCTTCCAAAAGGAATGTCTAGTTCATAGTCTAGCTGCCTCAATGAGTAAAGTCACAGGGAAAAAAATAAACAAACAAAACAACCAAAAATACTGATTAATATCTCAAAATACATGAAAATAAGAAGGCATATCTGTTTTTTCTTTTTATCTAAAACTACATTTTAAATACATATAAGTAAAATACTTTGATTTTCAAAAATAAATAGTCTTCCAAGTAAAATATTTTCTGCTAGTTAAAAACATGAATTTCATCATGTATTATTGAGAAGTGCTGGATTTTATAATTCCTTTCAGCCCAAATTGCAAATATCAACTATACCCATTACATGCATGCAGATGGTTCTAACATCAGCTTGCCAGCGAGGATTTCTTAGTGTTTTCAGTTCCTATCCTTGCCTCTTCATCTCCTTCTACAATCTGCTGGTCAATCTGTTCCTCAGTGACTTCTTGTTACTCTCCAAATTTACTGCATCCTCTTTCTAAAATCTACTATCCAAAAGAATGTGTAGCTTTTCTTTTTGTAAAATTTGACCATGTCTGCATGTTATCTCCTTAAGAATTTTAGACACAATACATCTTCTGTGGAGTCCAGAGAAAACTTGAAAACAGAGACATTTGGTAATATAATTTGATGGTGGTGATATTAATTTTTAAAGCTCTTGATAATTTCAAAGATCCATATATTTGTATTGCATTTTGATCACTGTTACCTAGGTCATCAATGAGCCCCCTTGAAATACAATACAGCCATATTTATCTCTCTAGGACTTCTTCATGATACAATGGGTAACAGATAGCAACTCTTCAATCACCATTAAATGAAAGAACAATAAGATAGTTGGCTGTTTTCAAACAATAATGCATAGCGAGACTGTTCTACTCTGTCACATACCATATACTGTATGTCCACTATATTTCAAAAGTGTAAGTGTAAGTGTAGCAACAATTATGGGTAACAATGTGTTTAGAATTGGATTATTATAAGTCCATAGCAGAAAAGAGTTCCTTAACACATTTAAGGAAGAAGACAGTAAAGTACATTTTACATTTCTGAACAAAAGATAAAAACTTTAAAAAAAGTGAGCATTGAGATATAACCCTCAACATTAGGAATTGAAGTAGGAAAAGCAATAAACCAACCTGGGTTCCAGTTCTCGTTCTACAAATTACTTGCAGAGAAACTACAGGCAAGGCATTTAATATTCTAGGGGGCTGTTTTCCCTTCTATAAGCTGAAATTTTGAACTAGAATCTCTAAGGTTCTTTCATTGTACCATTCAATTATTTCCCTTGTTTAAAAACATGTCAGATAACAGAAAGAATAAAATTACAGAAATTTTAAAAAATGCAGAGTAAATCAGTCATGTAAAAAATTGTGGTAAAACCATTTTAACTTTAAAATTGCTTTTCTAGTTTCTAAATGGTAAAAGGTTTACGTTTCCAAACTGATCAATATAGAAACTTAAAAAAAATACTTTATTATGTATATAATTTCTAAATAATTGAAGCCATCTACTGTCATAAGGAGGTACTTCAGGCAAAATACTGTCAGCTTAATTTTAATTCCTTTTTAAAGTAAAAATGTTATAGCTACAACACACAATACGCAAGTGCAGGTTTATGCACATTTTTCTAAATCTTTCAGAATAGAATATTACCAGGTTTTTTTTTTTTTTTGGTTTGTTTCCATTTTGTTTTGCTAAAGTACGTAGGAATTTTTAAGGTGTATGTTAGTTTATGGAAAGGTTTCCAGACTGAAACAAAGATTGTTCTTTTGAATTATCTGCTTTTATTATGTTAATTAAAACAAAACTTTATAGAGCATCTAAGTGCCTCTCAAGCTACATAAAAAGAATACCCAGTTGATGCATTGGAATTATAAAGATAATTTACACAGTTGGTAAAGGAAACAGCCTATACTGAAAGGCAATTAAACAAGAGCTATATTACATTATATTTAAAATAGGAAATGTATGTGCAGAAAACCAAGTAATCATCATTACTCTTATATTTGTCTCCTGGAATGGATTCTCTTAAAATTCTGATAGTGCCTACTTTCCTTTCCTTTCCACCTTAAACAAGTGCTTCTTACACTTTGGTGTGTACATCATCACCTGGGGATCTTGTTAAAATGCAGATTCTTACTCAGAAAGCCTGGGGTGTGGCCTGAGATGCTGAGCTTCTAACCAGCTCCCAGGGGTTTCCCGTGTTACTAGTCTTCAGATTGAGTGGCAAGGCCCTTAACTATGGGCAGCCAGGAGTTGAAATGACAAAAGATAAGAAGTGCCAGGGTTTTCCTTTTTGTTTTGTTCTACGACCTATTCAAAACCCAGACTGAAATTCTTAGCTTATTTACTTAGCGTAATTCTTAGCTTAGTTACTTTTCCATGCTTTTACTTCCTTCTCACTGGTACCTACTCTATTCCCACAAAAGAAAAGTTCTTAAATATACATACCTGTTATTATCTAGCATGCCATAGGTAATACTATCCATGTGACCCATAGGCTAAGGGTCCTCAAAGAATGGTTCCCTACTGTGCTTGACGAGAATGTTTTCTAGAAATAGGGTCATGGTAAAAAGACTCTGAATGACTCTACTAAGGGGTAAATTGTGCCAAAACTTAAAACAGTGAATAATTCTGCAATCATTTCAATTTGGCTTTAGAATTTATTATAATAGAATTTGCAGGAGATTTATTTATTAATTACATTTTACTTAAGGTAATAAAATATATTTGTATGCCCTGACCATACACCAACTAACAGTGTTGGAGAGGAGGAGATGAAGAGAGGAGGATCTGCCTGAAAGCACGAGGAAGTATATGTAGGAGGGTAGTCTGGGATAAATTCTTTTATGAATAATACACCTGTGGAAAGTCAAGATTTCATCTGTCAAGTTCTAATGCAACCAAAATAATACAAATGGACATTGTATTATTTTCCCCCTTCTCAATGGATTATTTAAAGTGCTGTTAAGAATGTTTTGGGGGTACAAATATCTACCATATGTTGAACCCATACTATGTATCCACATCTAAACTAAGACATCTCTATGCAGTGGCTTAGTAAGTTCTCACTATGTATCTACGTGGTAGGTGCCATTATGCCAATAAGATAGGAAAATATAGCCTATCGAGGAAATTTTCTCTTTATTTTTTATTATACTTTAAGTTCTAGGGTACATGTGCACAATGTGCAGGTTTGTTACATATGTATACATGTGCCATGTTGGTGTGCTGCACCCATTAACTCATCATTTACATTAGGTATATCTCCTAATGCTATCCTTCCCCCCTCCCCCCACCCCACGACAAGCCCCAGTGTGTGATGTTCCCCTTCCTGTGTCCAAGTGTTCTCATTGTTCAATTCCCACCTATGAGTGAGAACAGGCAGTGTTTGGTTTTTTGTCCTTGTGATAGTTTGCTGAGAATGATGGTTTCCAGCTTCATCCATGTCCCTACAAAGGACATGAACTCATCCTTTTTTATGGCTGCATAGTATTCCATGGTGTATATGTGCCACATTTTCTTAATTCAGTCTATCATTGATGGACATTTGGGTTGGTTCCAAGTCTTTGCTATTGTGAATAATGCCGCAATAAACATACGTGTGCATGTGTCTTTATAGCAGCATGATTTATAGTCCTTTGGGTATATACCTAGTAAGGGGATGGCTGGGTCAAATGGTATTTCTAGTTCTAGATCCCTGAGGAATCGCCACACTGACTTCCACAATGGTTGAACTAGTTTACAGTCCCACCAACAGTGTAAAAGTGTTCCTATTTCTCCACATCCTCTCCAGCACCTGTTTTTCCTGACTTTTTAATGATCGCCATTCTAACTGGTGTGAGATGGTATCTCATTGTGGTTTTGATTTGCATATCTCTGATGGCCAGTGATGATGAGCATTTTTTCATGTGTCTTTTGGTTGCATAAATGTCTTCTTTTGAGAAGTGTCTGTTCATATCCTTCACTCACTTTTTGATGGGGTTGTTTTATTCTTGTAAGTTTGTTTGCATTCTTTGTAGATTCTGGATATTAGCCCTTTGTCAGATGAGTAGGTTGCAAAAATTTTCTCCCATTCTGTAGGTTGCCTGTTCACTCTGATAGTAGTTTCTTTTGCTGTGCAGAAGCTCTTTAGTTTAATTAGATCCCATTTGTCAATTTTGGCTTTTGTTGCTGTTGCTTTTGGTGTTTTAGACATGAAGTCCTTGCCCATGCCTATGTCCTGAATGGTATTGCCTAGGATTTCTTCTAGGGTTTTTATGGTTTTAGGTCTAACATGTAAGTCTTTAATCCATCTTGAATTAATTTTTGTATAAGGTGTAAGGAAGGGATCCAGTTTCAGCATTCTACATATGGCTAGCCAGTTTTCCCAGCACCATTTATTAAATAGGGAATCCTTTCCCCATTGCTTGTTTTTCTCAGGTTTGTCAAAGATCAGATGGTTGTAGATGTGTGGTATTATTTCTAAGGGCTCTGTTCTGTTCCATTGGTCTATATCTCTGTTTTGGTACCAGTATCATGCTGTTTTGGTTACTGTAGCCTTGTAGTATAGTTTGAAGTCAGGTAGCGTGATCCCTCCAGCTTTGTTCTTTTGGCTTAGGATTGACTTGGCAATGCAGGCTCTTTTTTGGTTCCATATGAACTTTAGTTTTTTCCAGTTCTGTGAAGAAACTCATTGGTAGCTTGTCGGGGATGGCACTGAATCTATAAATTACCTTGGGCAGTATGGCCATTTTCACGATATTGGTTCTTCCTATCCATGAGCATGGAACTTTCTTCCATTTGTTTGTGTCCTCTTTCATTTTGTTGAGCAGTGGTTTGTAGTTCTCCTTGAAGAGGTCCTTCACATCCTTTGTAAGCTGGATTCCTAAGTATTTTATTCTCTTTGAAGCAATTGTGAATGGGAGTTCACTCATGATTTGGCTGTTTGTCTGTTACTGGTGTATAAGAATGCTTGTGATTTTTGCACATTGATTTTGTATCCTGAGACTTTGCTGAAGTTGCTTATCAGCTTAAGGAGATTTGGGGCTGAGACGATGGGGTTTTCTAGATATACAATCATGTCATCTGCAAACAGGGACAATTTGACTTCCTCTTTTCCTAATTGAATACCCCTTATTTCTTCCTCCTGCCTGATTGTCCTGGCCAGAACTTCCAACACTATGTTGAATAGGAGTGGTGAGAGAGGGCATCCCTGTCTTGTACCAGTTTTCAAAGGGAATGCTTCCAGTTTTTGTCCATTCAGTATGATATTGGCTGTGGGTTTGTCATAAATAGCTCTTATTATTTTGAGATACGTCCCATCAATACCTAATTTATTGAGAGTTTTTAACATGAAGGGCTGTTGAATTTTGTTGAAGGCCTTTTCTGCATCTCTTGAGATCATGTGGTTTTTGTCTTTGGTTCTGTTTATATGCTGGATTACGTTTATTGATTTTCGTGTGTTGAACCAGCCTTGCATCCCCAGGATGAAGCCCACTTGATCATGGTGGATAAGCTTTTTGATGTGCTGCTGGATTCCGTTTGCCAGTATTTTATTGAGGATTTTGCATTGATGTTCATCAGGGATATTGGTCTAAAATTCTCTTTTTTTGTTATGTCTCTGCCAGGCTTTGGTATCAGGATGATCCTGGCCTCATAAAATGATTTAGGGAGGATTCCCTCTTTTTCTATCGATTGGAATAGTTTCAGAAGGAATGGTACCAGCTCCTCCTTGTACCTCTGCTAGAATTTGGCTGTGAATCTGTCTGGTCCTGAACTTTTTTTCGTTGGTAGGCTATTAATTATTGCCTCAATTTCAGAGCCTGTTATTGTTTTATTCAGGGATTCAACTTCTTTCTGGTTTAGTCTTGGGAGGGTGTATGTGTCAAGGAATTTATCCATTTCTTCTAGATTTTCTAGTTTATTTGCGTAGAGGTGTTTATAGTATTCTCTGATGGTAATTTGTATTTCTGTGGGATCAGTGGTGATATCCCCTTTATCATTTTTTATTGCATCTATTTGATTCTTCTCTCTTCTTTATTAGTCTTGCTAGCAGTCTATCTATTTTGTTGATCTTTTCAAAAAACCAGCTCCTGGATTCATTGATGTTTTGAAGGGTTTTTTGTGTCTCTATCTCCTTCAGTTCTGCTCTGATCTTAGTTATTTCTTGCTTTCTGCTAGCTTTTGAATGTGTTTGCTCTTGCTTCTCTAGTTCTTTTAATTGTGATGTTAGGGTGTCAATTTTAGATCTTTCCTGCTTTCTCTTGTGGCATTTAGTGCTATAAATTTCCCTCTACACACTGCTTTGAATGTGTCCCAGAGATTCTGGTATGTTGTGTCTTTGTTCTCATTGGTTTCAAAGAACATCTTTATTTCTGCCTTCATTTCATTATGTACCCAGTAGTCATTCAGGAGCAGGTTGTTCAGTTTCCATGTAGTTATGCAGTTTTGAGTGAATTTCTTAATCCTGAGTTCTAGTTTGATTGCACTGTGGTCTGAGAGACAGTTTGTTATAATTTCTGTTCTTTTACATTTGCTGAGGAGTGCTTTACTTCCAACTATGTGGTCAATTTTGGAATAAGTGTGATGTGGTGCTGAGAAGAATGTATATCCTGTTGATTTGGGGTGGAGAGTTCTGTAGATGTCTATTAGGTCCACATGGTGCAGAGCTGAGTTCAATTCCTGGATATTCTTGTTAACTTTCTGTCTCGTTGATCTGTCTATTGTTGACAGTGGGGTGTTAAAGTCTCCCATTATTATTGTGTGGGAGTCTAAGTCTCTTTGTAGGTCTCTAAGGACTTGCTTTATGAATCTGGGTGCTCCTGTATTGGGTGCATATATAATTAGGACAGTTAGCTCTTCTTGTTGAATTGATCCCTTTACCATTATGTAATGGCCTTCTTTGCCTCTTTTGATCTTTGTTGGTTTAAAGTCTGTTTTATCAGAGACTAGGATTGCAACCTCTGCTTTTTTTTGTTTTCCATTTGCTTGGTAGATCTTCCTCCATCCCTTTATTTTGAGGCTATGTGTGTCTCTGCATGTGAGATGGGTCTCCTGAATACAGCACACTGATGGGTCTTAACTCTTTATCGAATTTACCAGTCTGTGTCTTTTAATTGGAGCACTTAGCCCACTTACATTTAAGGTTAATATTGTTATGTGTGAATTTGATCCTGTCATTATGATGTTAGCTGGTTATTTTGCTTGTTAGTTGATGCAGTTTCTTCTCGAGGAAATTTTTAATTGGGAAACCTTTTGAAAAAATTTAACCCAACTGTGAGTTTTGTGAAAAGCTCCATTGTATGGTTTATCCTATATGAATAAATATATCCAATATATTTAAAACTTAAGGATAGGAAAACTTAGGGTTATTATTCATTTCATGAAAAGAATAGCCAGTGATTGGAGTTAAGTGGCTAGTATACGTAACAGGGATTTTTTGAGTTACATATATTTAATGTACATATAATTTTCCAGGTAAACACTTGCAAAAAGTTTGGCATGTCTACAATAACGCTGTTAATTTTCTATTCATTTTGATTACTTAGGAGATTGTCTTAGTCTGTTTCCTGTTGCTATAATAGAATACCTGTGGCTGAGTAATTTATAAAGGAAAGAGGTCTATTTTAGCTCATGATTCTGGAGGCTGGGAAGTCCAAGATCAGTTAACCACATCCGGCTGGCTTCTGGTAAGGGCCTCATGCTTCATCATAATATGCCAAAGAAGCAGAAGGGGAGGCAGGCAAGTGCAAGGAGACCAAACATGAGAGGTAGCCTCACTGTATATAACCACTTGGCCTCGCAGTAACTAACCAGTCCTGCAGAGTTAGAACTACTCCTTTGAGAATGGCATTAATTCCTCTTAACAACCTAATCACCTTACTTTTCCATGCTTTTACTTCCTCCTCAATACCGCCACACTGGGGACGAAGCCTCAGCATGAGTTCTGGTCAGAAGAAACCACAGCATTCTGCTCCTCACTCCCCAAACTCATGTCCTTCTTACAATGCAAAATCATCCCATCCCCAAAATCGCCAAAATCGTAACTCGTCCTGCACCAACTTAAAAGTCCAAAGCCCAGAGTCTCATCTAGGAAACTATGAAATCAAAACAAGTTATCTATTTTCCAGATACAATGGTGGGACAGGCATAGGGTATACATTCCTATTCCAAAAGGGAGAAACAGGCAAGAAGAAGGGAGTAACAGGCCCAAAGCAAGTTCAAAACCCAGCAGGTTAGACATTAAATTTTAAAGTTGGAGAATAATTTCCCTAAACTCCATGCACACTAGGGTTGGAGGTGGAGCCCTGAAGGCATCAGGCAGCCCTGCCCCTATGGCTTTGTTGGTGCAGCCCATGTGGCTGCTTTCATGGGTTGGAATCTGGTGCCTGTAACTTTCCCGGGCAGGCATTACCCCCTGCCAGTGACTCTACAATTCTGGGGTCTCAAGGGTGGCCCAGCCCCTGTGGCTCTACTAAGCATTACCCTAGTAATGGAACTCAGCAGTGGTTGCACCCCTATGACAAATCACTACCTGGGCCCCTAGGCTTTTCAATCACCCTCAGATATTTAAGTGGGGGAAGCCACACATCCATAGTTCTTGCATTCTGCACATGGAACTACCAAGGCTTACAGCTTGCACCTTCTGTAGTTTGAGCAAGCGCCACATCTGGGCCTGTTTGAATGAAGGTGTGGTGCTGCCAAGGTTTACAGTTTGTACCGTTTGGAGCAACAAGTTGAGCTGTACCTGAGGCCAGTTGAGCCACAACTGGCTGAGGAGTCCTGTTCCTGAATGCAGAGAGCAGAGAGACCCTAGCCTACCCTACCTAGGCTCAAGGCAGCAAGCCCTTGCTGCCCTGAAGATCCTAACATTCTCAGACTGTGATCGGGGGAGCAGCCTCAAAGATCTCTGAAATGCCTTCAGGGTCTTTCTCCCATTGTCCTGATGATTAGTACCAGATTCCCTTCTAGCCATATTAATCTCTTTAGCAAACAGTTTCTGGGTATTGCTGTGATGTATTCTATATTTTATTATTACTTTATTATGTATCTTAACTTCTCTACCAGAATGTAAACTAAGCTCCACAAGAAAAGAAACAGTGTTTTCATCCTTTACAGTACCAAGTACATCTTCACTTAGCAGATCACAATAAGTCATGCTGAATTAAACTGCTGTTTCTTTAGTGTCAACATCTATGTATGTGAGATGAGCAGACTGTAGTGCACCAATTTTTCATTTTAATGGTGTTTAAGAACCTTTAAAGGTTGTAGCCTGATTGATTCAGATGCAGAAACACACCAGTTGTAAAAAGGACTAAAATAAAGGGACGATTATCCTTATTTTTCAACACAGGGACAAAGTCTTAGTTTTGTTTTAAGCTTTTTATCTAAGTTTAATTCATATGATGCCTCATAGATGTTTACCAATAATAACAATAACAATTTCATGTGGGAGTCTCTCTTCTTTACTTCTCTTATCTCCAAGGTTTTTATGCTTAAAGAAAAAAATATTGATACGGAGTTGGACAACATGACTGAACAGAAGTAGCTAGTGTATGCCACTCTCATGAAGAGAAATGTAATGGGTGAGTATAAATACAGCACCTTCAATGGAAACATCCAAGTACACACATTGGAAACGCATCAAGGAAATAAGCTGACCCATGGAGAATGGAGAAAAGCAAGGCAGGATGGCTGCCCACCCAGGAGTGACATGGAGCCAGGAGCACCTCCTCGGCCCAGGGAAGTGGTGAGTGAGTGAACAACCCCTGAGACCCACACTTCTCCCATGAATCTTTGCAACTCTCAGGTCAGGAGATCCTCTCATGGATCCACCCCATCAGGGCCTTCAGTCTGACACGCTGAGCTACATGGAGTCGTGGCAGAGCAGCCACTCAGACACACACACACACAGCCCCAGCAGCCTTAGATACCCAGGCTTCCTAGCAAAAGCAGCTGCAACTCTGGCAAAGCAGGAGGTTAGACCCCTATACATGTCCCTAGGAAATGGGCTGAATCCTGGGGGCCGAGCAGTGACAGTCTGCAGGCCTTGTTTCCATGGCATCTTGCAGGGTAAGACCCACTGGCTTGGGAAACAAGCCAGCCACTGGTGGCAGCATTACACCTCCCTGAGATGGAGCTCCCAAGGGGAGAGAGAGGCCACCATCTCTGTTATTTCACAGCCTTAGCCATTGTTGCCTTTGGGCTCTAGGGAGTCCGAGTTGACTAGGGACTGCAGTGGTCCCTTGGCATAGCCCAGAAGCTATACAGAGAGGCAGTCAAACTGCTTATTCACATGGATCCCAGACCACATTTCTCTTCACTGGGCAGAATCTCCCAGCTGGGGTCTCTAGTCACCCCCACTGGTGTTTTGCAACCCAAAGCCTCTCTGCCATTGCCTCTGCAGTGGTACTACCCCTGCTATCCTCAGACTAATGAAGACCCTAAGTGATTTATCCACACCTCCAACAAGCTGCAGTCAACTGAAGGAGAGGAGGCCAGTCTGTCTCCTATGGATCTCACCCACATCCTCTGCTCATCACCAGGCAGGGAACCCCTGACTTGGGCCCACACACAGAACCCCCCTATCCTGGGCTGATTGCACTGAGCAATTGCTGACCTTCATCTCTCTGGGGGTGGTGCCTACAGGAAACAGGCAAAAGATCCTTGGTCACAACTACTATGAAGATCCCTTCCTCTGCTGCTTCCAAGTTGAGGAGGAAACATAAACCCTGAGATCACCCCAGAGCTGTGGTGGGCAGCCTGGGAGAGGGCCAAGCCATGATCTACAGCCAGTATTCAAGTAGGAGAGGAGCCCACACTTTCAGAGCATTGCGAGGGAGCACAGCTGCAACTGCAGAAATATAGGGGAGCCACACAACTGAGCAAGGGCCTACCTACCAACTGACCACTACCCCTAAGCACCACCTACTGGATCACACCCCAAAGCTTCAACACCAAAAATACCTTGCTAACATACCCACTGTGAAGCCAAAGACAAGAAGTCAACTACAAATAAAGACCATGCAAAAAGCCTTGGCCTTGTGAAAACATCTAGAAAACAGATCTACTGACTGTACTCAATCTACACAGCAGTTAAAGAAACACCCACACACAGAGGTGAGAAAGAACCAATGCAAGAACTCCAGCAACTCAAATGGTCAGTGTCCACGTCCTCCAACAAGGATTCTTAACCAGGCTGTGTTGGCTGAAATGACAGAAACAGAATTCAGAATATAGATAGGAACAAAGATTATTGAGATTCAGGAGAATGGCAAAACCCAATCCAAGGAAACTAAGAAACACAATAAAAGGATACAGGAGCTGACAGATGAAACAGCTGGTATAAAAAAGGACCTAACTGATTGATGGAACTCACCCTACAAGAATTTCACAATGCAATCACAAGTAATAACAGCAGAAAAGACCAAGCTGAGGAAAGAATCTCAGAACTTGAAGACTGGCTTTCTGAAATAAGTCAGACAAAAATAAAGAAAAAAGAATGAAAAGGAATGAACAAGACCTCCAAGAAATGTGGGACTATGAAAAGAGGCCAAATCTACAGATCATTGGCATCCCTCAAAGGGACAGGGAGAAAGCAAATGACCTGGAAAATATATTTCAGGATATCATCCATGAAAATTCCCCAACCTTGCTAGAGAAGCCAACAGTCAAATTCAGGAAATACAGAGAATCCCTGCAAGAGTCTACACAAGAAAATAATCCCCAAGACACATAATCATCAGACTTCTCAAGGTCAAAATGAAAGAGAGAACGTTAAAGGCAGCTAGAGAGAAAAGGCAAGCCACCTACAAAGGGAACCCCATCAAGCTAACAGCAGACTACTCAGCTGAAACCCCATAAGCCAGAAGAGATTGGGGGCCTATATTGAACATTCTTAAAGAAAAAAACTTCAACTAAGGATTTCATATCCAGCCAAACTAAGCTTCCTAAGCAAAGGAGAAATAAAATCCTTTTCAGATAAGCAAATGCTGAAGGAGTTCATTATCAAAAGACCCACCTTACAAGATATCTTGAAAGAAGCACTAAATATGGAAAGGAAAAACCATTACCAGCCAATACAAAAACACACTTAAGGACACAGACTACTGTGACACTATAAAGCAACCACACAAACAAGCTGGCATAATAACCAGCTAACAACACAATTACAGGATCAAATCCACACATATCAATACTAACCTTGCATGTAAATAGGCTAAATGCCCCCATTTAAAAGGCAAAGGGGCTGGGCACTGTAATCCCAGCATTTTGGGAGGCTGAGGTGGGCAGATCACTAAGGCCGGGAGTTTGAGAACAGCCGGGCCAACATAGTGAAGCCCATCTCTACTAAAAATACCGCGGCAGGAGAATGGCGTGAACCTGGGAGGTGGAGCTTGCAGTGAGCCGAGATCGCACCACTGCACTCCAGCCTGGGCGACAGAGCGAGACTCCATCTCAAAAAAAAAAAAAAAAAACAACCAACAATTAGCTGGGCATGGTGGCACATGCCTGTAATCCCAGCTACTCAGGAGCTTGAGACATGAGAATTGCTTAAAACTGGGATGTGGAGGTTTCAGTGATCCGAGATTGTACCACTGTACTCCAGCCAGCCTGAGCAACAGAGTGAGAATCTGTCTTAAAAAAAAAAGGCAAAGTGGCAAGCTGGATAAAAAAGCAAGACCTAATGATGGTATGCTCTCTTCAAGAGACCCATCTCACACACAATGACACCCACAGGCTCAAAATAAAGGGATGGAGAAAAATCACCATGCAAATGGAAATAAGAAAATAGAGGTTACAACCCTAATTTCAGACAAAACAGACTTTAAACCAACAAAGATTTAAAAAGACAAAGAAGGGCATTACATAATGGTAAAGGGTTCAATCCAACAAGAAGACCTAACTATCCTAAATATATATGCACTCAACACAGGAGCACCCAAATTCATAAGGCATGTTCTTAGAGACCTATAAAGAGACTTAGACTCCCACACAATAACAGTTGGAAACTTCAACACTCCACTGACAGTATTAGACAGATCAGTGAGGCAGAAAATTAACAAAGATATTCAGGACCTGAACTCAACATTGGACCAAATGGATCTCACAGACCTCTATAGAACTCTCCACCCCAAAACAACAGACAACATATTCTTCTCCTTGTCACATGGCACCTACTCTAAAATTGACCACAAAATCGGACATAAAATGACCCTCAGCAAATGCAAAAGAACTAAAATCATACAAAACACACTCTTGGACCATAGTGCAATAAAAATAGAAATCAAGACTAAAATAATCACTCAAAACCATGCAATTACATGGAAATTAAACCACCTCCTCCTGAATGACTTTTGGGTAAATAATGAAATTAAGGCAGAAGTCACGAAGTTCTTTGAAACTAATGAGAACAAAGATAAAAACAGAAGAATCTCTGGGACACAGCTAAGGCTGTGGTTGAGAGGGATATACATAGCACTAAATGCCTACATTAGTAAGTTAGATCTCAAATTAACAACTTAACGTCATAACTGAAAAAAATTAGAGAAGCAAGAGCAAACCAAAAACCATTCAAAAGATCAATGAATCTAGGAGTTGGTTATTTAAAAAAATTAATAAGATAGCCTGCTACTAGACTAATAAAGAAAAAAGGGAGACATTTCAAATAAACACAATTAGAAATGACAAAGGGGATGTTACCACTGACCCGACAGAAATAAAAATAAGCATCAGAGGCTGGGCGCGGTGGCTCATGCCTGTAATCCCAGCACTTTGGGAGGCCAAGGTGGGCAGATCACGAGGTCAGGAGATCGAGACCATCCTGGTTAACACAGTGAAACCCCGTTTGTACTAAAAATACAAAAAATTAGCTGGGCATTGTGGCAGGTACCTGCAGTCCCAGCTACTCGGAAGGCTGAGGCAGGAGAATGGCATGAACTCAGGAGGCGGAGCTTGCAGTGAGCCGAATCCCACTGCACCCCAGCCTGGGCAACAGAGTGAGACTCCATCTCAAAAAAATAAAAAAATAAGCATCAGAAACTACTATGAACACCTCTATGCACACAAACTAGAAAACCTTGAAGAGATGGATAAATTCCTAGACACATACGCCCTCTCAAGACTGAACCAGGAAGAAATTGATACCCTGAGCAGACCAGTAATGACCTCCAAAATTGAATCAGTAATAAAAAGGCTGCCAAGCAGCCAGGCGCAGTGGCTCATGCCTGTAATCCCAGTACTTTGGGAGGCTGAGGCGGGCAGATCATGAGGCCAAGAGATCGAGACCATCCTGGCCAACATGGTGAAACCCCGTCTCTACTAAAAAATACAAAAATTAGCTGGGTGTGGTGGCGTGCATCTGTAGTCCCAGCTACTTGGGATGCTGAGGCAGGAGAATCACCTGAACCCCGGAGGCGGCGGTTGCAGTGAGCCAAGATCGCGCCACTGCACTCCAGCCTAGGCAACAAGACCAAGACTCCGTCTCAAAAAAAAAAAGCCTATCAACCAAAAAAAGCCCAGGACCACACACAGATTCACAGACAAATTCTACCAGATGTACAAAGAAGAGCAGGTACAATTCCTACTGAAACTATTCCAAAAAAATCGAGGAAGAGGGACTCCTCCTCAACTCATTCTATGAGGCCCGTATCTTCCTGATTGCAAAACCTGGAAGAGACAACAAAAAGGAAACTTCAGGCCAATATCTTTGATGAACATTGATGCAAAAATCCTCAACAAAATACTTGCCAACCAAATCCAGCAGCACATCAAAAAGTTAATACACTATGATCAAGTAGGCTTCATCCCTGGATGCAAGGCTGTTTCAATATACGCAAATCAATAAATGTGATTCATCACATAAACAGAACTAAGGACAAAAACCACATAATTTTCTCAATAGATGAAGAAAAGGCTTTTGATAAAATTCAACATTCATTCATGTTAAAAAAAACTCTCAATAAACTAGGTACTGAAGGAATATACCTCAAAATAATAAGAGCCATCTATAATAGACCCACAACCAACATCAATGAATGGGGAGAAGCTGGAAGCATTTCCTTTGAAAACTAGTGCAAGACAAGGATGCCTTCTCTCACTACTCCTATTCAACATAGTATTGGAAGTCCTGGCCAGAGCAATCAGGCAAGAGAAAGAAATAAAGAGTATCCAAATAGGAAGAGAGAAACACAAACTATCCTTGTTTGCAGATGACCAGATCCTATATCTAGAAAACCCCATAGTCTTGGCCCAAAAGCCCCTTCAGCTGATAAACAACTTCAGCCAAGTTTCAGGATACGAAATCAATCTACAAAAATAACTAGCATTCTTATACAACAATGACAGCCAAGCCAAGGGCCAAATCAGGAACACAATCCCATTCACAATTGCTACAAAAAGAATAAAATACCTAGGAATACAGCTAACCAAGTAGGTGAAAGAGATCTACAAAGAGAATTACAAAACACTGCTCAAAGAAATCAGAAATGACACAAACAAATGGAAAAACATTCCATCCTCATGGATAAGAATAATCAACATCATTAAAATGGCCATACTGCCCAAAGTAGCATCCAATGCTACTCCTATCAAACTACAAATGACATTCTTCACAGAACTAGAAAAAACTATTTTAAAATTCATATGGAACCCAAAAAAGAGCCCAAATAGCCAAGGCAATCCTAAGCAAAAAGAGCAAAGCTGCAAGTATCACGTTACCCAACTTCAAACTGTACTAAGGGCAACAATAACCAAAACATCATGGTATTGGTACAAAAACAGACACATAGACCAATGTCTATGAATAGAGAGCCCAGAATTAAGGCTGCACACCTACAACCATCTGATCTTTGACAAAGCTGTCAAAAACAAACAATGGGGAAAGGACTCCCTCCCTATTCAATAAATCGTGCTAGGATAACTGGCAAGCTGTATGCAGAAGACTGAACTGGACCCTTCTCTTACACCATATACAAAAACCAATTCAAGATGGATTAAAGACTTAACTGTAAAATGCAAAAATATAAAAAAACCATTTGGGACATAGGAATGGGCAAAGGTTTCATGACAATGATGCCAAAAGCAATGTCAACAAAAGGAAAAACTGACAAATGGGATCTAATTAAACTTAAGAACTTCTGCACAGCAAAAGAAATTATCAGCAGAGTAAAGAAACAACCTACAGAAAGGGAAAAAATTGCAAACTATGCATCTGTACAAAGATCTAATATCCAGAATCTTAAGGAACTTAGATTTACAAGGAAAAAAAAAAACCAAAACAATCTCATTAAAATGTGGGCAAAGAACATGAACAAACATGTTTCAAAAGGAGACATACATGAGGCCAACAAGCATATATATATATAAAAAGCCCAATATCACTGATCATTAGAGAAATGCAAATCAAAACTACAATGAGATACCATCTCACACCAGTCAGAATGGCTCTTATTAAAAAGTTAAAAAATAATAGATGCTGGCAAGGTTGCAGAGAAAAGGGAACACATACACTGTTAGTGGGAGTGTAAATTAGTTCAAGTATTGTGGAAAGCAGTGTGGTGATTCCTCAAAGAGCTAAAAACAGAATCACCATTTGACTCAGCAATCCCATCGCAGGGTATATAGCCAAAGGAATAAAAATCATTCTACCATAAAGACACATGCACACTTATGCTCATCACAGCACTATTCACAATAACAAAGACATGGAATCCACCTAAATGCCCATCAATGGTAGACTGGATAAAGAAAATGTTTTACATATACAGCCATAATAAAGAACAAGACCATGTCTTTTGTGGGAACATGGATGGAGCTGGAACCTTAGTAAACTAACAAAGGAACAGAAAACCAAATACTGCATGTTCTCACTTATAAGTAGGAGCTAAATATGAGAACTCATGGACACAGAGAAGGGAACAACAGACACTGGGGCCTACCTGAGGGTGGACAGTGGGAGGAGGGAGAGGATCAGGAAAAATAACTATTCAGTACTAGGCCTAGTACCTGGGTCATGAAATAATCTGTACAACAAATCCCCATGAAATGAGTTTATCTATGTAACACTCCTGCACAGGTAACACTGAATCTAAAATAAAAGTTTTTAAAAAAAGAAAAAAAATTTTCTAAAAGTTCTTAAGTGGGCTTCAACTTCTCATGGTACCTATTAATAAATTTGATAATAAATATTGCTTAGGGTACCTATATAATACTTATCAATAAATGAATTTGAAATGTAATTCATTGGAAAAAATATAAAATATCTTTTTACTACAGTAAAAGTCAACAAAGTTTTAGAATTGACAACATTGAAAAACAAGCTAAATGAAAACAACAATCTATACTGATTAATGTTTCATTTATTGTTGCTCAAAGTTAGATAACAGTAGGTTCAAATAGCCACTGGATTCTTAAAAATCTTTAGTAAAACAAAATACATGGGAATAATATTAGTGATTAATCCATACAATAAGCAGATTCATTAAGTTAGCATTACTTTGCTTTCATAGAATATTTTTCTTCTTGTTAAGAAAATATAAAAATGAAATTTTACATTGGTTCTTGTCAAAATCCAATTAATAGCCAAATAATTATTTCTAAGTGCAACTTATTTCTAAGTGCAATCAGCCCTTAACTTAAGGGCTTATTGAAACAAAGCCACTGTAAAAGAGCTTTTCAAGAAGTTACAATATAATGGGAAAATAAATCGGCCCATACATTTTGTTGCAAAAAGTGAACAAAGCTAATCAAATACAGGAGAAAAAAATCCGAACAATTATGAACTACTTTTTAAAAATAAAAAGCATGCTTTGTGATTAGGTGTCTTTATTCTTTCTCTTATCAATATAAAAAGTATTTGTTTGTTTTAGAAAATACCATCAAATATTCCCAATAAAGACTTCATTTCATCAGCTTCATCATCAGGATGATACATACTGGGAGAAAGAAGAAAAAGTAAAAATAACTATTTTTTAACACAATTTATTTTAAAATACACAATAAATAATGTAATACTAAACACAATAAAATAAACTTGAAGATTGCTATGAAGTTAATGTATCAAATAAACTTCAGTATGCATAACTTTGTAGGAAGTCTGTTGGGGAAAATTAGACTTCATAAAATGCAAATGGTAGGAACTGTAAAGGTTATTTCTTTAAATATATTGAAAAGTTATGTCATTTAATAAAGGTGTGAATGGCCTGGTCCAAGGGAAGTGTTGTTTACAACTAATTGATCACAACCAGTTACAGATTTCTGTTTCTTCTGCATCCCCACTGCTTCACTTGACTAGTCTTAAACAAAAGCAAAACAGTGTGAACAGGTCTCAAATCTTTTGACTCTTCAAGGAGAGAGAAACTGCAACACAGTTTCCTTTTCTAAAATGGCCAGCAGTGGGGGAACCCATGAGATTTAATCTGACATTTTCATTGAACGTGTTGATTGTGAAATAACTGGTTAACTAAAATACAACTTCAACTTTTGAAAAATTAGCTGATCTCATCTGGATTTCTCAAGTGACTTTACCCTTTACAAAATTAACATACTGTATTCAAATCAGTAAAAGTAAGTTTATCAACTCAATATAATGTTTGAATAAACAGCATCAAACATACGGGTTTTCAAAAACTGAGGTATATGATGTTTGAAACATCTTAAAGAGCTTAGCTCACTGAGGTTTGAAAATTTTAATGTCTTTAATAAATGAAATGTTCAGGCTGTGATCTTTAAAATGAAAAGGAAAACGGAAGGCTGAATTTCTTTGTGAAAAGTTTTTTATTGATATAATCTTAAAGTGTCTTTAAAGAGTTCTTACCTGAAATCAACTTCCTTTTTACATTCACTGTTTCTAATAAAAAAATCCACTTTTTTATAATTTGAAGAATTTGGGTTTTTTTCAGAGAAAGTAAAGCATTGCTTCTCAATCTCTGGTGACAGATTTTGTGGTTTTCTTTCTTGAAAATGGACCTACATTTGAGATAAAAAATAACAATCATTGAAAGTTTAAGCACTCGGGCAAAATTTAAAAGAAAAACAAAGAAGTGCTTCTTCTTACAATAACTGCATTTCCGGCTTGTTGAGGTAATTTTGTCATGGAGGATGCACTGAACTTGGGCATAGCAGAATTTGATAAAGAAATATCCGACATCTCATGTGATGAAACAAAACTAAAAATTAAAATTAATTATTTGTAAAATACGGCAAACAAGAAAAACCATTTTAATTTGGATCATAATGATTTTTGGGGAATATGATCAAAGTTTATCACATTTATCACAAAAATGTAATGCATTGTTTCTAATATTCATGGAGAGCTTGGTATATTTCCTTTCCTTTAGACCAAACCATAATTTACATATCCCAAATTAGGAAAAAGTACTATTTTTAAGGGACTATAGAAATAATTATTCAACAATTTTCTTTAAAATTGAGTCTTATGCTTAATTGTCTATTACATAGAACCCTATAAACATTTTCTAAATTCCACTTGCTTAACTTTTAATCTCCTTTCTCTATTCTGGTCTCATTGTAGTTAGACATCTCTAGTTATCTTATTAGATATAACTGTATAGAAGAATTTACTCTGAACCTTCTGTATTAACTCATTCACTAAAACACATTTATTATTCACTATTATATGCCAGATATTGTACTAGAAGCTGTGTATGAAGTGATAAAGAAAACGTCAGGGAGTTACCATCAAGCAGACAATGAATAAAAACAAATATATAAATAATTATAAATCCTGAAATTATAAAAAGAAAATGAACTGGGTAATAGCATAAGAAATAATAGTGTGGAGCCATAAGCCCATTTTTAAAAGATGATCATCAATGCATCTCTGATGAGGTAACCATTTAAGTTGACACCTGAAGGCTAAAATGTAACAGCCATGTAAGGAGCAATGGGCAGTGTGGGTGGAGACAGGGAAGAATCACATATACTGATAGAATTGGATCGTTTTGTCTCTGACTAATAAATATATATACATGGCAAGGAATTAAAATAGTAAAAAGTGTATAAAAGAAAAAGCAGGCCAGGCACAGTGGCTCACACCTATAATCCCAGCATTTTGGGAGGTTGAGGTGGGAGGACAGCTTGAGTCCAGGAGTTTGAGGCCAGCTTAGTCAACATAGCAAGACCCCCATCTCTAGAAAAAAAAAATTTTTTTTAATTACCCAGGCATAGTGGTGTGTATGTACCTGTAGTCCCAGCTACTTGGGAGGCCGAGGTGGGAGGATCTCTTTAGCCCAAGAGCTTGAGGCTGCAGTAAGCCCTAATTATGCCACTGTACTCTACCTTAAATAAGTAAAAAAGCAAATCTCCTTTCCACCCCAAATCCTCAGGTCCCACAGGCCTTTTCCCCAGCAGCAACTTCTACACCAGGTTCTCAGAGGCTTCTTGTTAGAATCCATTTTTAAGCCCACACATCTTCTGTTGGTCCCTTCTAAACTCTTCCAAAAGTATTTGTTGTTTTTTAAAGGTGTGGTGCACAAAACTGTTCATATGCCTTGTTACCTTCCTCCTTATGATTTACCTACTTTTTGCTTCTCTACACCTACAGCTTTGTCTCACTTGGATGGTTATATCCGTTTATTCTATGTCACTCAAGAGTTACAACCAAAGAAACAAAGTGATAAAAAGACTCATTTTAAGCAAATGTTTTAAAAAGCTATTCAGTGATTTAAGAAATCCTAACATGGAACAAGGGTGAATGAGCTCCTGGTCACTGGAACTGTCTTGGTAGAGGTGGCATGATTACTTGCCAGTGATGTTGAATGATGATTCAAAGATCCAGTGAGAGGGAGACTAAACAATACCAAAGTCGCCCCTAGCTCTGGAATTCTATTAAAACTATGAGTCTGTGATGCTGATACTAATAATCAGTAATGGCCAAATAACAGCAAAAATTCCAAGGGATACCACAAATTTAGTATTTTTTTTTTTTTTTTTTTTTTTTTTTTTGAGACGGAGTCTCGCTCTGTGGCCCAGGTGGAAGTGCAGTGGCGCAATCTCGGCTCACTGCAAGCTCCGCCTCCCGGGTTCACGCCATTCTCCTGCCTCAGCCTCCCGAGTAGCTGGGACTACAGGCGCCCGCCATCACGCCCGGCTAATTTTTTTGTATTTTTAGTAGAGACGGGGTTTCACCGTGTTAGCCAGGATGGTCTCGATCTCCTGACCTCGTGATCCGCCCGCCTCGGCCTCCCAAAGTGCTGGGATTACAAGCGTGAGCCACCGCGAGTATTTTTTTAAAGCAGAGAAATAAATAATCCTTAAGTAGAAAATCAGACCCTGAATAAAAAGTTGTTGGTATTTCTTCTGTTTTGAAAATTTTGGCTTTGGCCATCATTTCTCTCCCTTGACTTCTAATCAAGTCCAGTATTTCCCAATGCATTTTGCATTTTTTGTAAAGATACTTCAAATTGAAGATTTATAAAATTATGTTTTCCATTCTAAATCTCTTATGTTTCCTATATCCTTAAATAACATCTACCTAGGTGCCATTTATTCTTCCCTCTTCCTCAACTATCATATCCTATCAATTGCCACACTGAATCTGCTCTATTTCTGAAATGTTTTAAAAATCCAACCCTACCTCTCTGTTCCCATCACTTCTGCTGTAGTTTAGGCCTCATTATAGTCTGTCTTTCTCATTGGCCACCATGCCTCTGGCAGTCCCACTCCCTACGATTCACTCTGCATACTGCTGCTAGGATGATTTTTTAAATCAAATTGTTTTTTCTGTGCTTAAATATTTTGGATGGTTTCTCACTGCCTACCATACAGGTAAAAACTAGAGGGCCCTAGGACACATCTGGCCTACAGATATTATTATTATTTGGAGGAGGGTGCCACAGAGTATATCACATTTTTTTGAATTAGTTGTCAAAATTTAAAAATAATAAGATATCACATAAAATTTCAGATTCCTAGCTTTTCTTGAAAAGTCAGAATATTTTATAACACTAGACTCACATTGCCTGCACAGTAACAACTGCTTGGAGCTGAGTAGTGGCTGCTCCCTTTAGATGGGACACTCTACAGTTGGCCTTGGCCCACCAAATCTTGAAGGTATTTGGGTTTGCGACCCGACTGGGTACAGGACAGGTGTCTAAGCACAGCACTCAAAGCCCTTACAATAAGACTTCAGCAACAGACTTTGTGCTGTGGCCACACATACCACACTTTACTGATCTTTGAGCACGGGATACCTTTTCAAGCCTTATCCCTTTAGAGATGCTTTCTTATACCTGGAATGCCTATCTGCCTCTGTTCTAGTTGTCAAACTCCTATTCAGTTTTCAAGTCTTGTTAAAAGTGAAGGTTCCTGGGCTCCAGTCCCAGAGACAAAAATTCGGTAGATCTAATGTGGGGCTTAAGAATGTGCATTTTTAATATGCACCTCAAAGTGATTTTGATGCAGGTGGTTTCACAACAGCACTTTGAGAAATACACCTCTAAGATTAAGAGGGTTTAGGTTGGCTAATACCTTTTAGCATCTGTGACATCTAATAACTTGATCCCCATCTCCAACTATGTGTCAAGGGGATATAAAGTTGCAAATATTACAAACCTAAGTTCTAAAACTTGCCTGTTTGACATTTCTCTTTGGAATTTGCTCTTTGACTCTTGAAGGGGTAGCTTACTTCCCCTGGTACTTGAACTCAAAGTGTTTCCAAATCCTATGTGAAGAGATAACATTTTGAAACAAAATGCCAAGAAACAGCTGAATGAAGCTTTTCACAAGTTCTACAACGTTCTCTCCAACAGATATGATCTGATTAAGGAAGGAATGAATAATTCTCAGTAACCTAATTTAATTTGCATAGAAAAATTAGGGGCACAAGGCTAAGGGAGTAAAACTCTAAAACATATAGATTAGCTTATTAGTAACTATATTAAAAGGTCTTCAAGCCACCTGTGTTGTGGTAAAATACGTATTTGGTCTTTGACTCCTGTTTCTAACTCTACTGGGTTGGAAGACACCCAGCTGGTATTCACTGTGGAACTGATTGCTTGCTTGGCGTGTGGGAAAAAACCCACACCCATTTGGTCATAGATGTCTTCTGGGCTGATCATGGTGTGAGAGTGAGGAAAAACAGTTTGTGTTTTTGCACTCACTCTCGTTATTTATGTACTTACATTTTCATTCACATAAATGATCAAGTTGAAGTTCACTCAATATTTTCAGTGGTCTGCTCATAATCATTTAAAGTGCTCTATACATGGGGGAAAATGGCACTTATTGAGACTGATTTTCCCAGTGACAAAGCTGTGCCGTCTTAGGACTAGGCTACCTCAAAGGATCAGTACACATTGCCTATTAACTTGCAGTACCCAATGACACTTAAGTTTGAGGTAGGGAACAGTAGTTGTCTGGTGATAAACAAAATTGTGCCTAATGACCCCACATCATGGAGATTCTCCTGGCCTATTCTGTGAAGGTGGTCAAATCCTGTTCTTTTCAGAAGCAGTATTAGTTCTCTAGGTAATTCTAAGGGCCCCCAAAACAATAACATTTCAACTTCTAACTGCTTCCCTTTGAAATACTCTTTTAAAAACATGAGGTGGGGTATGGTAAGTGGTATCTATAATTGTGGAAATACCAGTCTGCACTGAGAAGGCTGAGGGACTGATTTATTTCTGTCAGCCCTAATGGGAGACAGTATCTCCATTGCTATCTTGTCACATACTGGCCAAGGTTTTCAATTCTCTGTTTTAGTGAAATAGAGTAAATTTGCCTTTCACTCAAAGAGCTAATAAGCCTCATTATTTTGGGGTTGTATATGATTTAAATAGAATTTCTAGTACAGGAGAAACTAATCTTTCTTTCTTATTTACTTATTTATGTATTAACTTATTTATTTACTTCAAGCTGAAAGTCCATATTTCAACTAGAAATAAAAGTTATTTTCTTTGCAAGCAGATGAATAGTTTTAAAAATGTATTTTTTTGTTCTTCACAAATATTAGCAGACCATTTGTGATCTTAGAATGGAGAACAAAATAGTCTGTTTCATGAGAGAAAATTGAATAAACAATTTGAATTTGACTTTTACAAGAGATAGGAGCAATAGAATAGAAAGTGCTCATTTGCTACATTATCATCATGGAATAACCTTGATCTCTGTTCTTAGGGGGGAAATGTTCTTTGTAGAAGAGTCACATTTTCAGTTTTGCTAAAAATTATAATCTTAACAAACCAAATCTAACTAAACAAGCACACACAACAAAGGCAAAGAAACTTAGTTCCAGGAGCTGAAATGAAAAATATTCAAAGAATTCCTAATGAAATGATTGCATGCTAAGTATGATTTTACCTGATATTTTTGTCTTCTCAGTATCAGTTGAAAAGCTAGTAACTTCTAAGTTTTCATCATCAAAATCATCCCAAACTTCATTTCCCAATTCAAAGTTCACATTCAAAACTTCTGAAAATAGAGAATTGCTTTTATCTGCATCTGTCAAATGTTGGTTTCCAGATATATTAAGATTTCTGTTGAAGAACACTGTTTGAGAGACTTTCTCATTTGAAGTTGTAGAACAGTTACATCTAGAAAAATCTGTTATGTGTATGTATAAAAGACTATAGGTACTTTTTAAACCACAAGCATCGTAGTCTATTGATATATCAAACACATCTTTCAACTACTAAACAGAGTTCTTGAGTAATAGTTTTCAAAGGCATTGTGTCAAGCATTGTTGAATACTGTATTCAGCCAATTCTATTAACTGTATAAAGTTGCACTAAATTTAATTTTCAATACATTTTTTAGGCAATTAATTTTTCCTCTTAATTCCCATATTAGAATAACTCTACTCCAAGATTGGATTATAATAGTTTCTAAAATGGTCTTCCTCCTCCAGATCTTCTCCCTAAAGTTAATTTTCAGTATTGTTATAAAAGGTATTTGTCCAAAATAAATAATATTTATTTTTCTCCTGCTAAAAAATCCTCAGTGTTATTCATTGTTTACAGCCTGGATTTAGAGCCAAATTACATAAGTGAAAATTCCACTTCTCTCATTTATTAGTTGTATGGTCTTAGACAGTAATTCAAACTTCCTGATTCTGCAAAATAAGGCAACAACAGTACCTACCTCAAAAGATTGTTATGAGGCGCTAAATGCCTTTAGTTGTACAGTTTTACACAGTATTGTGCTAATAAATGTTTAATAGCTACCTCTACAAAAAGCGTATGCTTATGTATACACATATAAGTTTATTATAATCTTTGCTGATGTAAAGGCTATACAGCACACGTTTTACAAATAACAACATATATGGTATACTTAAATGTAAATTCCATATATCTAATTGATTCTCATTGAATGTTTTCATTAAGTTTTGCCACTGTTTTATCTGTAGTCAACCTATGGCTGCAAGTGACGAATGTAGCTCTCATGTGAATGTTGTTTGATATTTTTGTTGACTCTAACAAGTAAGATGAAAATATTAATAAAACAACAAAGACATCTGTTGGGATTTCACTCATTCACCATTGACTTAAGCAACTTCTTTCCTGAATTAGATAGTAATTTTCAAATACTAGAAGAATATTCTCTCAATTTTTTGTGTTATTCACAATGTAATGGCTACAATAACAACACACATTTGTTTAATCTACAATATTAAAATTTTATCCTTCACTTTCTTAAGTCTAAAAAATAAGCAAAACAATAAATCAAACCCAGATTGGTAGTATTTGCTGATTCCTATGGTATAAATGTTCCCACCATAACTGATTTCAAGCTATTAATGTGACATAATTGAATAAGAAGTTGGGAAAAAATGCACGACAGAACCCTATAATATAGTATTTCTACCATATGGATAAATAATCTCGAGAACACAGATAAGAGTAAAATGCAGTAGAACAATTAGGAAGTGATGAGTTTTGAGTATTTTTGCCTTTGTTTTTAACATAATTTAATTGAAAGTTTATGTAATTAAATTTTCAATAATGGCTGAAAGATTCTTGAAAATTTAATAATCATCTCTCATAAGTTAGTATAAACTTGCTCCAGCATATCACTGAGTTTCCTCCACTTTAAATATCTTCTATGAATTTCTTCACCTGTCCAAACCCTTCCTTATTCTTCAACTGTACCTATAACTACAGTTCACATTACTCTACTTTTGTATGTTGATGTGCACACACTGAGACACACAATGTATATATGTACTAAAAATGGAAGTTTGTACAGAGTGCAATGGGAATGCAGAGGAAGGAGGATCTAAACCTGCAATGGAAGTAAGACATACTCTTCTAAGGTGATACCACATGACAGACAGACTCCTGAGGTGATAACATATGAAGGAAGAGTAGTCGGAATTTCAGCTTGATAGAGCTGTAGTTGTGAAGCAGGGCAAGAGCAAAGGGAACCTATGCTATGAAGGGAGAACACCATGTAAAAGACACAGCAATATGAGAGAACAGAGAATTTGGGGAGAACTGTAAGTTTTCAGGATTTCTGGAGCACAAAGTTGGAGAAGGCAGGGTCCATTGTGTCTGCACAGGTAGTTAAGTGCTAGATCACGTTGAAGCTTATTTGCCATATTAAGGAGATTTTTTTGTTTTTTGTTTTTCTTATAGGTAAAGGATAACTATTGAAGATGTTTCAGCAGAAGGTTTACACAACCAGATATGTCTGTCAGATCACTTTGAATATTATGGATTGAAGGATAATGAGACTGAAAGCAGAGAGAAAAGTAAGTTATTGCAGTAAACAAGAGAGAATGAATGCTTAAGCTAGAGTATCAGCAGAAAGGATAGAGTGGAAATAACAAATATGAGAGATGTGCAGGAGGCAAAATAATTAAGATTTGGTGATTATTTACATGTGGGGTGAGCTATTTAGAAGGACACTTTAGCAGCTTAACAAAGTAAAGAGTTCATTCATTGAGCTAAGGCAAAAAGAAAAGGTGTAGAGTGAGGTAAGAAGAAGACAGAGTTCAGATGCTGACATGTCTGATATGTTAACTGTTAGGTGGATATGTCCAGGAAGGTGATTATACAGATGGATTTGGAGTTAGAAAGAAAGGTCTAGATGGGAGATACAGCTTTAGAAATTATCAAAACATAGTCAGTGATTAAAGACACGGGCTTGGGTGATACTGTATAGGAAAAGTTTTTGAAGTGAGAAGAATAAAAAAAAAAAAAAGAAAAAAGAATCCTTTTGCAACATCAACAGGAAGAAAAGCCCATGCAGTCTAAGAAGTAACAGGAGACCAACATAATGGTTTTACTGAAATCAAAGGAGAGATTTCCAAAAGAAAGGAAAGACCAGTAGTATCAAATACTATAGAGGTCAAAGAGATTAACAGTTGAAAACAGTTCACTGAATTCAGAACTTAGAAAGTCACTAAATGGCCTGAACAAAAACAGCTTCAAAGGACTGATACACAGAAAACCTAAATTTTAATGAATAAAGAGTAACTAGGGTATAAGGAAGCGATGAGCATACTGAGTGTCAATTGCTCTTTCAATTAATTTTTGTTTTGATGAGAAAGCAAGAGATAGAGGGTATGGGGACTCTAGAATTCTGTTTTTTGTCTGCCTGGTATGCTTTCCCTTCTTTTAGTGGGAGTACCCTCCCTTTCCTTTGAGGAAACTGCTTCTACAATTCTACTGGATCCTAGTAAGGCCGTTATTCATGGTGCCCTGCCTTCTCTGGGGCCACAGGTATACAACGACCCAATCGTCAGGTTACTGGGATTGATCAAGGGATAAACACATGACTCAAATGAGGCCAGTTAGAATGAGCTCTGGTCTGCCAAAACTAACAGGGAAGTCTACCTTTTTCCACTGAGGCGCTAAACTGGTAAGATGTAAGTTAGGGGCTACCTGCTGTGTGAGAAACCCTATTAAAAAGTAAAGCCAAGTAGCAACAGGCATAGCTAAAAGATTGAGAGAAAGCCAGAGGCATGAGTGCCTTGATTTAGCCAGAATTAAGCCAGATACTTTTCAGTTTACTTGAGACAATTGGTTCCTTTTCTTGTGCTTAAGTCATTTTGAGTAGAATTTTTATCATTTATAATAAAAAAGTCATGACCAGAAGCTGAAGAAGGAAGAGACTTCAGCATATTTATATGCTAAAGGGAAAGACACAGTGGAGAGGAAACAATGAAAATATGGGAAAGAGGAGATGGATAATGATCTTCTAAAGTCCCAGGGAAAGCAGGATTGGATAGAATTAAGATTACAGGAGGAGAGATATGCCTCGAGTGGAAGAAAAGATAAGTTTTCTTTTAAGACAAATAGATGGTTACAGATGGATGCAGAGACAGGGAAATATATAGTTGAGGGGTGGGGCAAAAAGCTGAAAGAGTTCATATACTACTGGTTCAATTTTCAGTTCTCCACTGATCACTAAAAGTCAATTTCATTTTATAGAAATGGCATTGGGCTGGGAATCAAAAGATATGGAATCTTTTTCTGGCCTTGCCATTAATTAGATATGAAATTTTTGGGCAAGTCATTTAATCTCTTGGAGTCTTGGCTTCTTTCACTATAAAATGAGAAATTGCATAAAGGTCCCTTCCAATTTAAATCTTATGATTCAACATGCTTTCTCATATAATTTGTGACATTTTTTCTTCTTCCCTTTTTGAAATTGGAATACAGAAGATAAAAACTGCCATGCTTTTTAAAAAACATTCTCAAAAGCAGTATTTGAATACATTTAAAGTATGTTTTGCCACCAAAGACTAATATGTGAAAAATATAATAAACATAATTAGTTATTACTAACAGTACCAGAAACCCTAACAGCTTTACATGCATTATCTCATTTAATCCTAAAACCCCTAAAATATAACCAGATGAGCAACTTAGACAAAGTGGTTAAGTAGATTATGAAAGGTTATACTAAATATCAGAGCTAGGACTTGGACAGATGGTTTTCAGATCCTGCGAACTTAACTACTATACCATGCAGCAACTTCTTAAAAAAAAAATGGCCCACTCAGTAAAACAGGGATAGAGTTATTATTGGGGGTTAAAGTATCTAGATGAGACTTTAATATCATAATATAAATTGGATTTGGAATAGTGAGTGGGAAAGAAAAGTAGGAAAACCATGTAAATATAACACAAAAGTAAGCAGAGGGAAGGATAGACAAGCTCTTGTATGCAGAAGGACAGGTAATAATGTAGTAATATAAGGAAGGAGTAAGTTAGAGGGCTACATGTTGAACAAAGATAAATATAAGAAGGTTGACAATTTTATACTTCCTATCCGCTTTGTAATGACATCCAGGCTTTGAATAAGTTGGATAAATGCTCTGGTTCTCCAGGTGAGATTAGGGAACTTTTCTTGATCTCATTATTGGGCCTAATAGCTGCCATGGTATCACAAGAGGTAGTGAATACTCCAGCCCTTGACTCTGTAAAATCTTAAATTATGACTAGAGGAAAAAAAAGTTACAACATGAAGAAAAAAAAATGACAGCATGAAGAAAAGAATGTCAACAGAAGCCAATGCCAAACACATGAAATGATTTTCAGAAAACCCCAAGCTTACCATTTCTACATACAGCCACTTGAAGAAATAACTCAATGGATAGGATTGTCTCATGTTTTAACAGACTGGCTATTAATAGCATTATTCAGGGAAATTATGCTCTATTAATTGCAGGAACCAGAGTAATGATGAACCAGGCAGTGTTGAATTTATATGCATTATCTCATTAATTTAATGACGGACACAGATAAAAAAGCAAATCTAGATTACAAACTAGCTATATCCCACAACCTAAGTTATTTTCTCATACTAACATAGAATTGTAAGAATCATAGGTTTAAGAATTGGAGAGATATTAAAGGTCACCCAGTTCAATACCTTCATCTTAAAGATAAGACTAAAGCCCAAAGAGATTAAATAACTTGCCCAAGGTCACATTGATATTTTGTAAAACTGGACTAGTTTTATAAACATAAAATTATTTTAAATAATTCTAATGATATATGAATGTAATCATTCAGTATGTTAATACTCTATATACCCAAGGATCCCTTATTTGCTCAGGTTTTCCTCATAGTATCTTTAAATTAAAATAGCATTATGTAGGAAAGAGATTTTTTTTTAAAAAGTACAACAAACAGAGTAAGACCATCTCAATAACAGACCCAAGAATTTGAAAATGATTCAGTAATCTAAGAGAAAAATGTTGCCAAGTTAATAATCATAACAATTTCAGATGCCGGTGTTTCAATAACACTACTCGTCAATTCAAAGTAATAATAAGCCATTTACTCTCTCAAGTAAGTATCAATGGTAATTTACCTTTGTCTTGATATTCAGATGGTTCTTGTCTAACTTTTCCATAGATTTCAGGCTGATCCCACTGCTCCATTATAGGCAATTCAGATATGTTTAAATATTCTGACCTTTATAAAGATAAAACCATGAAAATGTTAAAGAAAATATGGAAATTAATCTAAGCCTGAAAACTATTTATTCATATAAACAAAAATAATGATTTATCCATTTAACACTTCTATGATACACTGGACCCAGGCTGGGTAGCAAATAAATAGGTGTTTCATGGAAGTGACCAATACTTTCCTTTACATGCCCTTAGTTAGATAACAAAAGCCAGGATCTCTAGAAGTACTGCTGGCATCTATTCTGATGAGTCAGTTCCTGTTCTGTACTAGTTGTTAAATACATTGAATGTCATTCCTGCATATAGAATGCCCTTATCTAGCAGGGAAATTACATATATGATTGTCCTGTAGGCATCAGGATACAGGAAAAGAACAATGAGTTACCACCTAAGGCCTTCTGCTTGCTAACTAGGAATATGAACTTCAGTTTTTCCATCTATACAATGGGACGAAAAAATACCTCATTTTATGGGCCATGTTGTTGTTTAAGTCAGAAAATATAATGCACAAATGTGTAATTTTCGTATTATAAATCTGAGATATTATTAATATGGACTGAGCTTCTAAATGGAAAGGTTAGACTGTACACCAACATGATTTCCATTTTAAAGTATACTCTTGTCACTTAGTTTATATTCCCTATAAAGAGAGAACCTAAGGGAATGACAGAGGATAGGTAGTTTCCTAGGGAAGAGATGATCTAATGAATGTTATTTCATAACTGCAGAGTTCTAAATAAATTTAGGGTATCAAAGATAATGAAACCATTATGATGTTATTGCTTCACTATGGAACTAAACGATAACTGTGACTTGATGGTAGCCAGTGACTATCTTTCCCTGAATAAGTGGTTACCTGCAGGAACAGAGTTTACGATAAATATTTTACCTTAGATATTAACATTATATTTGTACCTTGATATACTAGGAAGGGAAGGTTTTGGAGTAAAACCAAACTCTTTAAGGTCCACACTTTGAGATTTATTCATCTGTATCTATTAATGAAACAAAAATAAGTTCAACTATCAGTTTCACATCAATAACTTGTAACACATGAGCCAAACAACAAAATTCCTGCTGGTACATAAAGTCCCCAAATCAATGAATTAGGAGAAACTCAGGTTAGTTCTTGACTCGAATATTTCACTCAGGCCCTTCTTAAATGTTGGCATTTTTTTTTTTTTTTTTGAGATGGAGTTTTGTTCTTTCACCCAGGCTGGAGTGCAGTGGTATAATCTCAGCTCACTGCAACCTCTGCCTCCCAGGTTTAAGCAATTCTCTGCCTCAGCCTCCTGACTAGCTGGGATTACAGGTGCCCACCACCATGCCTGGCTAATTTTTGTATTTTTAGTAGAGACAGGGGTTTCACTATGTTGGCCAGGCTGGTCTCGAACTCCTGACCTTGTGATCCACCCGCCTCGGCCTCCCAAAGTGCTGGGATTACAGGCGTGAGCCACCACATCTGGCCTAAATGTTGGCATTCTTCATGGTTCTTTACTAGGTCTCTTCTTACACTACACCTTCTCAATCAAAGATCTCATTTATTCCTGTGGCTTCAATTGTCATCTACATGTGAATGACTCTCAAATTTCTACTTCTCGCTCAGCTCTGTCTCCTGATTTTCAAACAGTTATATCCAGCTGTCTGTAGGACATCCTTAGCTAGACATCTTGCAGGCCCTCTAAATTCAGTGTTTCCCAAGTTGAACTTATCCTGTTCTCTATTTCAGCAAACTTGCTTTTCCTTCAGAATATCTACCTGAATGAGACCCCACTTTTCTCCCAGTTGCTAATGCCAGAAACCTGGGCATCATTTTTGACTGTTCCTTCTATTTTGTCTCTTATAACCAATGAAGTAGCAAGGTAGCGATTCTACCTCTGAAAAATATTTTAACCCAGTCACTTCCCTCCATTGCTATTGCCACTACCCTAAACTAGGCCATTATTTTGCTTAGATTATTGTAAAAACCACCTAATGAGTCCCTTTGTTCCTATTCTATCATCCTCTAATCCCTTTTCTACATTGCAGTCAGAGTGACTTTTACAAAATACAATTTTGATCATGTCACTGGTTAAAATCTTTCATTGGCTTCTCAGTACTTTCATGATAAAGTCTAATCCCTTAAAATAGCAAAAAGGTCTGCATGATCTAGCTCCTACTTGCCTCTTCAGCCTCATCTCTCTCTACTCCTTTACTTGTAATCAAACTCTAGACGTACTGTATTACTGAGAAAGAGTTTCTTTAAAGATCCCTCTCTCTCTCTCTTTCTTTATACCTCTGGACCTTTGTATAATCTCTATGCTTGGAATATTTAGCTATCCCTTCCTACGATCATTCTGGTGCCTGCCCCTCCATCCTTGGCTTATCCTTCAGGTCCCAATCACATCTATTAGGAATCCTTTCTTGGTCCATCAAATGTGGATTGAGTACCTTTTCTGTCTAAACTTAACTGTGTTGTACTTCTGTCACAGAATCACTCATCACACTATATTAAAAAAGCATGTTTACTTACTTGTATCTCTCACTCTACTACAAATTCTATGATTGGGAATAAGACTGTCTTAATCGTCACTGTATCTTAGCACTTTGGCATATTCTTGGTGCTCAAAGAAGATGGAAGGAAAGAAGAAAGATTTAGAAGAAAAAAGGAAAGAAGAAAGAAGGGAAGATGGATTATGAATAATGGTAATATTCTTAGTCAAGCCCACAAGTAATTCTATAGTACACTGTGGATACCTAATTGACAGACAGAACAAAGAATATTTATATACGTTTAACTACAGAACAATGGGAAAAATGTTATTAAAACTAACCTTCAGACGTTTAACTGGAGGAACAGATGAAACAGCATTCCTGTTTCTTAAATCAGATAAATATGAAGAAATTGTTGACTCTTTAATTTCTGACTTCTGTGCAACTCCAATTTTACCTATGAAAAGAAACTTCAGATTCTTTAGGTTAAACTTCAGATCTTATTCTTATAAAGTCAAATTTCTTTAAAATTTCAAATCTAGTATTTACTTTTTTCATGTTGCCCACAGAGAGAAAATTATTTGCATTATTAAGTTGCATAATATAAATATCATACATAATTAGGATGTCATTACTATCCACCAAAGACCTTTCAATTTTGAACACTTTAAATAAACTTGTTTTAAGGAACTCACAGCAGTCATGTCCACATGTATGTTTACTTTTACAAAGATGATTGCATTCTCGGTTCCCAGGTTTTTTGCTGGCAGTCGTTCCTAAATTAATATAAGAAAAACAAATCCATTTGTCACTACATTTATTATTGTTAATTTAATATAATTAATTTTTATCCAGTTTCCTTCCTTTCAGACAATACAAAAATATTGATTTTTATACTTTCTCAAGTGTTTTGTAATCCACGTAATTTTTTTTTTAATAAAGAGATAGGGTCTTGCTATCTTGCCTAGGCTGGAGTGCTATGGCTATTCACAGGCATGATAATTAGTATTACAGCCTCAATCTCCTGGGCTCAAGAGATCCTCCTGTTTCAGCCTTCCAAGTAGCTGGGACTACAGGCACTTACCACCATGCCTGGTAATTTTTAAAACATATTTTTGATAAGTTACTCCCTGCCCCACTATTACTCCCAACAAGAAACATCTAGCCACCTACAAGCTTCTCTCAACCTCCCTGGTGTGTGTGTATAATCTCCCTGGTGGGTGTGTGTGTGTGTGTGTGTGTATACTTTATATATATATAATATATATACTTTAAATATGTATAATATATATACTTTATATATAATATATATACTTTATATATATACTATATACTAATATATATAATATATACTATATATAATATATACTAATATATATAATATATACACTATATATAATATATACTAATATATATTATATATACTTTATATAATATATACTAATATATATAATATATATACTTTATATATAATATATACTAATATATATAATGTATATACTTTATATATAATATATACTAATATATAATATATATACTTTATATATAATATATACTAATATATATTATATATACTTTATATATATAATATATACTTATATATTATATATGCTTATATATAATATATACACTAATATATAATATATATACTTTATATATTATATTTTATATATACTTTATATACATTATATTATATATATATAAAATAGGGCCAAATATGGCCACATATCAGTAACTTTTTTACTAAATGAGGTAAGAATGAGGGTGGAGTTTAAAAACACTTCTGTTGCTTTGTACTCAAGCCTGAAAAACCTGTAAAGAAGTAAACATTATGGCATTTTGATGGTACTGCTGACAGAAGTTAGTAAACAAGATGTAATACATATTTAATACATATTAGAAATAAATGCTTTAGGGATCTAAGAAATTAGCTATATGAATTTACAGGAAAGAGAGATTGTTTCCATCCTGACTCCTCTAAGTTAGAATTAATATATCTAAATATATGATTTACTCTTAATTTATTATATTTTAAATCAGCTTTTTCTTGATCTTAGCTCTCACTAGTAGCACGGGGAAGGAGAGAGATGTTTGAACTGGTCCTTGAAGGACAGATGGAAATACGAACATGAGAATGAGACAAAGGGAAGATATTCCAGGTGGAGGGCAAATACCCAAAAGCAGCAAATCACCGATTGTAAGAGCTGAAATCAGCTTATTTTTGCTGCAGCATAGATTTTAAGTGAACCAGAAATGTTGGAGATAGTGGAGAGCTTGAAAACTTTACAACATTTCTTGGTACTTTACTCTTCATTTTCGGTACCATTGTTCAGTCAAGCTTTCCAAGTCATGGCACGTCTAGACAGTGATAATATACATATTGCAGCCTAGGGTAAATGGATGAGGCTGCTCAACATATGAGGCAACGGCTGGTCCTTAGAGCTGAACAGATCAATGTATTGGGTACTGATAAGGTAAAAAGAAAACACCTGGGCGGCTGGAAGCTGACAGCTAACCACAGTATTCCCAATTGAGCAAACAATTTTGAGAATATAAATACCCAGATAAGGCCACTCTGTGACCATAGTAGAAGAAGACAGAGATAAGACTACCATGTAAATGTTTCTGAAACTAGAGAAAAGAACTCTCAAGAAACATAAAAAATAATGAAACATCCCCCTCTTCTGGCTAACACAGATGACTACTATTTTTTAAATCCTCTCACTTCCAAAAAAAAAATGTACCAAAATATCCAACATCTTACTTCCTGAGAGCATCCAATCTAGAACTGATCTCTGCTTTCCCTAAACCTTCCTAAGAGTCACCCAGCACAAGCTGAAATCCTATAATAAGATTCTGAAATCCTATAATAAGATTCTGAAATCCTATAAGAAAATCCTCCTGGCTCCTTGAGATGACCCACAGTTCTGTGGCTATGGTGCTCTCCTTTGCTGCAGTATGTTAAATAAACCTAACGTTCCTCAGACCCAAGTGTGTTCCTATTAGGCACTGACTGAAAGGCTTTGACTTTAAACTTTGTAAAGTGTGTCACGACTTATTGTTTCAGGTGTTTTGTCCCAAGTCATGGTCCTGTTACCTCTCACTTAGATCAGAACTGGTTTCTTTGAATCCAGTCCTCCATGATACAATTTATTCTACACATTGTTGCTTATTTAATACTTTTAAAGTCCAATGCTGATCAGACCAATTTGCCCACTTAGAAACATGAGTTACTTCCTACTGCCAGCAAAATCAATTCCATCTTCAAGGTCCTGCATGATCCAATTCCAGCTTCCCTTCCTGGGACCCATATTAGCCCTACATCCATCAAAACACATTCAATTGCCATTCTTCAAATAGTTCCATGCCTTTTTATAACTGTAGCTTTGATACTATCTCTTGTCTTAGAAGACCCTCATTTCCTTGCCCAACAGATGCCTACCAACCTTCAAGTCTGACTCAAATGGCACCTCTGGGTTGGAGGTCTATGGTGATCACCTGATCTGATTTCCCTCTCCTTTGGGCCCCTGTGGCATTTTCTCTGTGCCTCTTGCTTACTGTATGCTGCCTTATATTGAATGTATTTACAGAAAAAACATAGTGGTGAAGTACAGGGAACACTAAAATAGAAAAAAAATGAGCTCTAATATAGGCTCTTATTTGGGAAAAAAGATTTAATATCTGTTCTGTTTACCTCACAGAGACGTAAAAATAAAATGTAATTTAAGTATGTAAAAACAATTGACAATTAAGTGATAAACAAATATATTAATGTATATATTATATCCGCTATCTCTACTATTACATCAATCCAAGATTAAACAAATAAATTTTAAACTAAAATTGTTCTGAATGCTGTGAAGGAGTGGTACATCATGCTATGTGGTAACAGGTGAAGCTGTTCTGGTCAGGAACGTTGGGCTGAGCACTGAAGAAAGAAGGGAAGTTAAGAAGGCAAAGAAGGAGGAGAAATTAGAGTTCAGGCAGAGGGGATAGCATATGCTAAAGCTCTATGACAAGGAAAAGCATGGCACATTGGGGAAACTGAAAGGTCAATATGACTGATGCTAGCAAATATGAGAAAGTATGTAAGATGAGACTATAGTGGTAGTAAAGGCAGCCTATGTTTGTAGGGGAACAGTTCCACCATGGCACCATGGCAATTGCATATCTCCATATAGGCCATGTAGGTAAGACTCAACTGTTGGCAGAATGCCCCATGATCATCCTTAAAAATGGCAAGATAGGTAGTCTTGTGAGGAGCTATCAAAGGCCATTTCACATTTGCTCCATACCTTGCAGAAGACCCTCGATCTTGCAGAAGACTTGCCATGCGGCAGTTTCTCATCTGCCTCCCTGATTCCACTAAGGTATGGAACTTTCCATTTTGCCCCTTTCAGATAAAACTGCTTAGCTGAAGCCTAGAGTTCACTTCTCAAAAACAAAGCAACCCACCACTCATGTTGTCTGTCATCTGACCCCCCTAGTTTGGTATCATCCTGTGGAATTGGGGATGTAAGCAGCTAATACCATGCTGATCTTGCTTTGCCATCTGTGTAAGTAATAAACTGTTTAAATCCATTAGGGTGTCCTTACCAGCCAAATCTACAGAAGTGAGGCAAGACCACATAGCAGCTACCACTACATTGCTGCTTAGGGACTGGTTGACCATGTGACCATATAGAACCTTCTAGGGGATGCTAATGATTTAGATTCTAAGAGCTATGGGAAGCCACTGAAATGTTTTAACCGAAGAGGGGGCACAATCAGATCTGCATTGTGAAAAACGTCACCATATAGAGTGTAATATGGAGAACAGATTTGAGATAAGACAGAAAGGATGCAAGAAAACCAGTACAAGTCTAAGCAGAAATCATGGTAACTCCAGAGTGGTGGTGGTAGTAGAGTTACAGAGAATAGACTGATTTGAGAGATATACAGAAGGTAAAAATATTTTTAATGCAGAATCAAGTGGAGTGGTTTTCTTTCTTGAGCAGCATATTGCTTCCCCTGAAGTTTTGCAGCCTTCCTTTTTGTCTAGCAATATCCATCTTGTTTCTTTAAGTTCACTCAATAGTTGAAGGGTAAAAGCAAATACATGGGAATACCTCACCCATTTATTCCCCCCTCATCAATGCCTCCTTCCTTGAACCCTCTATCTGCCTCCTAATGCAATCTAGACCTGTCCTGTAACTGTCACCTTTGAACTTCCTTTCATTAAGTTCCTGGGCTGAATCTACTACAAATGGATTCTTGGGCTTTTTCTTTCTTGTTTTACTGGTGCTCAATTTTGAGCAACTGCCTAAGAAAGGATGTATAAGAATAAAATTTTCTGAATCTTTGAATGTATTAAGGCATCTTTATATTACTTTCATACTTAGTAGTTTGGCTGGGCATAGAACATAAGGTTGAAAATCATTTTTCCCTTGGAATTTTATTTTTTATTATTACAGTTTTGGAGACAGGGTCTCGCTCTGTCACCCAGGCTGGAGTGCAGGTGTGAGACCACAGCTCACCGCAGCCTCGAACTCTTGGGCGCACGCACTCCTGCCTTCTCATTCTTCCAAGTAGCTGAGATTACAGGCACAAACCACTGTGCCTGGCTTCCCCCTGGAATTTTAAATCAATTGACTTTTAGCATCCAACATTGCTCACTAAAAGACTATTACATTTTTAAATTTTTGTGCCTCGTAAGCATTTACAATTTTGTCTTTATCCACAATGTTCTGAAATATTGCAATTAGCTTTATTTGTAGACCTTTCATTCATCCTAACTAGCATTAAGTAAGACTTTTTAATGTGAAGATTTCTGTCTCACTTCAGTTCTGAAAACGTTTCTCAAATTATTTCTTCTGATTTGTTTGTTCTTTCTTGAACACTTATAAGTTAGATACTGGGTTCTTAAATTGCCCCCCTTTTCTCTTATATTTTCTGTCTCCTTGACTTTTTGCTTTCATTGAGAAGGTATTGACTTTATGTTCGAGACCTCCGGTTTTCCTTCCAAACATAATTTTTGCTTCTCTGTGCTTGCTCTGGTTCTTTTTATTTTAAAATGGCATCCTATTCAGTTTTGTGGTTGCAATTTAATCTTTAATTTCTCGGACGTTACTAAAGTTTTATATTAGGTTTTATTACATTCCTGAATTATCCTGTTGCTCTTTCATCCATTTTCTATTTCCTTATTTTGGACTTTCACACATTCTACATTTTCCTAAAATGTCTCATCACCCTTGGTTGTCTGCCTATAAGGTTCCTATTATATCTCCATTTCACCTATGAGAAAATTAATTCTTACAGAGGTTAAGTAAGATGCTCAAGACTATGCTGTTAGTAAGTAGCAAATTTGAGATTCTAATTCAAGGTAGTCTAATTCCAGAGACTGATCTATCAACAATTCTCTCTCTAGTTGTACCAGTTGCTTTAGCTCTCCCAGAGGATTCATTTAAGTTATTTAGAGAAGGAACCTTTGTTTTGAGGTGGGAAGACTTGGAAGAAAAGCTTTGCAAGTTGCTGTTTTAAAATGAAGAATAAAGAGTTGCCTTTGGGTCTTAAATACTAAAGAACTTCTAAAAAAGATGCATGTCTAAACGCTGCCACAAGGTGGTGCACAATGACTAAGCACATTTGCTCCCAGTGGCAGCAACTAGGATCTGGGACTCTAATTAGAGAGATTCCGAGGGCTCCCAAAAATTTCAAGGCAAAGTTGGCAAGTCTTGTCAGGAATGAGGACTGTATGCAAGTTTTGTTTGTTTGTTTATAGAACACTAGCACATGGATACTACCTGACGAAATCTTTTTGCTGTATTTTTGTTACGAATGGTACTTTGAAAATAAAAGTGCTCCCTTTACCCTGCCGCCCTCCCTACCTCCTGAGAATTGTCTGAATTTATCTTATTAGCAAATATAAGCTTACAGATATTGGTAATTAGAAAGATAAGGTTCTCAGAAAAAAAATAATCTAAGCTGTACTCTTCTGAGAAAAAGTCTGGCTCTATCACCTAGGCAGGAGTGCAGTGGCACCATCACGGCTCACTGAAACTTCAGCCTCCCAGGCTCAAGTGATCCTCCCAACTCAGCCCCCTCAGTAGCTGGGACTACAGGCATGCACCACCACACCCAGCTAATTTTTGTATTTTTTGTAGAGACAGGGTTTGTAAAGACCAGCCATGTTGCCCAGGCTGGTCTCGAACCTGTAAGTTCAAGCAATCCACCCACTTCGGCCTCCCAAAGTGCTGAGACTACAGGTGTGAGTCACTGTGCCCAGCCTAAGCTGCACTCTTAAGTATACTCTAAAGATAGCAGATTCCATATTCCATCACTGTCATAATCTGAGGTGCAAATATTTTCATAGTTTTGCCACATATTGTATTAATTTACATGTTATAAAGTCTCTAGTTCCAAGCATTTAAAGTAAATTTATTAATAATATCAAATAGAAATGTATTGAAAGAAAATACTTAAAATTACTTTAACAGAGTCATTAACAGGTGGCGGGGCAAGGGTCACTTCTTTAAAAAAAGAAGTCCAGACAATAAATAAAAAATAGCAAGAATCTCTGTCACACTTAGCATAACTTTCTAATTATAAATTCAAATAATTTGGTCTGTGCAGAAGCTACTGGAGTATTTTTTTAGTATTACTTTCACTTTTGCAGTTCTCCATTTATGCTAATCATAGATTTATGCAATTCATGGTTTTACTTTTTTTAATGATGAGAGAGTCTCCTTTTCATTTTTCTGTCAAATATTTTACTATCATTTTGTTATTTATTTATGCAGAAAAGGAATACACTGAACTGGAGTCCTTGATTTTGCAACTTAATGCACATACACACCAAAGAATATAAAGAAAAGTAGACTGCCTTTTAACTAGTATTTAAATGTACACACAATGTGCCTGAGGACTGGCTTTATCCTTGTATTCATTCAACTACATTAATTATTATTATTATTATATTATTATTATTTTTTTTTTGAGATAGAGTTTTGCCTTTGTTGCCCAGGCTGGAGTGCAGTGGTGCAATCTCAACTCACTGCAACCTCCGCCCAAGGCTCAAGTGATTCACCTGCCTCAGCCTCCCGAGTAGCTCGTATTACATGGGATTACAGGTGCCTGCCACCATGCCCAGCTAATTTTTGTATTTTTAGTAGAGATGGGGTTTCACCACATTGGCCAGGCTAGTCTGGAATTCCTGACCTCAGGTGATCTGCCTGCCTTCGGCCTCCCAAATTGTTGAGATTACAGGTGTGAGCCACTGTACCTAGCTCCAAGACATTCATATTCAGAATAATACTGCAAATGAAGATAAATGTATTAATGTCAAATAGATTTTCTTCAAATTAAGCAAAGCCTGTAATTCTTATTTAGAATGCATTTAAAGGATAAGAAGTTTAAATGCCTAATCTTCATATACTGAGAGCAGGCCTGAAAATTTTTTAATTTTTGTTTTTACAACTTAAAAATATGTCTCACATTGCCATATATTAAAAATAACAAAAATGTTCTTCCTCAAATTATACAAGAATTTTATCTCTTGGAACTATAACCATATGTGAGAAACTGCAGCTAAAAGAATGTTTTCAAAAAGTTTGATATGGTTTGGCTGTGTCCTCACCCAAATCTCATCTTGATTTGCAGCTCCCATAATTTCCACATGTTGTGGGAGAGACCTGGGGGAGATAATTGAATCATGGGGGCAGTTTCCCCCATACTGTTCTTGTGGTAGTGAATAAGTCTCACAAGATTTGATGATTTTATAAGGGGTCTCTCCTTTCGGCTGGCTCTCATTCTCTCTTGTCTGCCACCATGTAAGACGTGCCTTTCACTTTCTGCCATGATTGTGAGGCCTCCCCAGCCACGTGGAACTGTGAGCCCATCGAACCTCATTTTCTTTATAAATTACCCAGTCTCAGTTATGTCTTTATCAGCAGCATGAAAACGGACTAATATAAGTTGTAGAAAGCATGAAAAGAATTTTTCATTATTTTATATTCCCTAAGGTGCATGTTTTTGTTTTTATATATAGTCCTATAATTTGATGATATACAAAATTGAAACATTTGTTCAACTTGAAAGCATATTTGGAAATAGCCATTTAGCAATTATATTCTCTGAACTAAATATCAGTTTGTATCATTTAATAACACCATTTGACAAGGGATTAGAACAACTGAAATTTGGATTGTTTTGAAAAGGCCCAAATTTGGTGTCACAGCCTTAGTAGGGTAATCTATTGCCCCTTAATTGTGTCAGTTACTAAGAAAGAGTGTATGTATGTTAGGTTTAGAGGTATAATTGTGTATCTTTATCCAGGGATATATAAATTTGCATATAAAAATTGAATTGTACAATACGGATGTGCATAAGTTCCTAAGATTTGGATGATTACATACAGTAGCCCCCTTCATCCATGATTTTGCTTTCCACAGTTTCAGTTACCCAAGGTCAACTCTGGTCCGAAAATATTACATGAAAATTTTCAGAAATAAATATTTCATAAGTTTTAAATTGTACATCATTCTGAGTAGCATGATAGAATCTCAGGCTGTCCCACTTCACTCTGTCCTGGATGTGAATCATTCCTTTGCCCAGCATATCCAGGCTGTATATGCTACCCACCCCTTAGTCACTTGGTAGGTGTCTCAATGATCAAATCGACGGTCATGGTATCACAGTACTTGTGTTCAAGTAACCCTTGTTTTACTTAGTAATGGCCCCAAAGCACAAGAGTAGCAATGCTGGCAATTTGGATGTGCCAAAGAGAAGCTGTAGTTTCCTTTAAGTGAAAAGGTGAAAGTTCTTGACTTAATAAGGAAATTATATATATAGAGTTCAGTACTACCCACAACAGAGAAATATCAGCACCCCTAGAAACTATCTTTCTGTCCTATTCTAGTCAACTTTGTCAAGAGTAATCTTTATCTTGACTTTTAACAGCACAGATTAGTATATTAGTTTTCTAGGGTGGCTATAACAAAGTACCACACACTGGATGGCTTAAAACAACAGAAATTTATTCTTTCACAGTTCTGAAGATTAAAAGTCTGAAATAAGTTGCTGGCAGAGCCATACTCCCTCTGAATTCTCTAGGAGAGGATCCTTCCTCAACTCTTCCAGTTTCTGATAGCTCTAGACATTTCTTGGCTTGTGGGAGCATAACTATAATCTCTGCCTCTGTCTTTGCATGGCTGTCTTTCCTCTGTATTGGTATTCTTATGGAGTTTTCTTGGTGTCTGTGTCTTTTTGCCTTTTCATATAAGGACACCAGTCATATTGGATTAGGATGCAGTCATATTGGATTAGGGTCCACCTTAACTTGATTATATCTGTAAACTCTATTCCAGATAAGATCACATTCACGACCGAGGAGCCAAGATGGCCGAATAGGAACATCTCCAGTCTACAGCTCCCAGTGTGAGCGACGCAGAAGACGGGTGATTTCTGCATTTCCATCTGAGGTACCGGGTTCATCTCACTAGGGAGTGCCAGACAGTGGGCACAGGTCAGTGGGTGCAGTGCACCGTGCGCCAGCCGAAGCAAGGCGAGGCGTTGCCTCACTCGGGAAGCGCAAGGGGTCAGGGAGTTCCCTTTCCTAGTCAAAGAAAGGGGTGACAGACGGCACCTGGAAAATTGGGTCACTCCCACCCGAATACTGCGCTTTTCCGACGGGCTTAAAAAACGGCGCACCACGAGATTATATCCCGCACCTGGCTCAGAGGGTCCTACGCCCACGGAGTCTCGCTGATTGCTAGCACAGCAGTCTGAGATCAAACTGCAAGGCGGCAGCGAGGCTGGGGGAGGGGTGCCCGCCACTGCCCAGGATTGCTTAGGTAAACAAAGCAGCCGGGAAGCTCGAACTGGGTGGAGCCCACCACAGCTCATGGAGGCCTGCCTGCCTCTGTAGGCTCCACCTCTGGGGGCAGCGCACAGGCAAACAAAAAGACAGCAGTAACCTCTGCAGACTTAAATGTCCCTGTCTGACAGCTTTGAAGAGAGCAGTGGTTCTCCCAGCATGCAGCTGGAGATCTGAGAAGGGGCAGACTGCCTCCTCAAGTGAGTCCCTGACCCCTGACCCCCAAGCAGCCTAACTGGGAGGCACCCCCTAGCAGGGGCAGACTGACACCTCACACGTCCGGGTACTCCAACAGACCTGCAGCTGAGGGTCCTGTCTGTTAGAAGGAAAACTAACTAACAAACAGAAAGGACATCCACACCAAAAACCCATCTGTACATCACCATCAGCAAAGACCAAAAGTAGATAAAACCACAAAGATAGGGAAAAAACAGAGCAGAAAAACTGGAAACTAAAAAGCAGAGCACCTCTCCTCCTCTAAAGGAACGCAGTTCCTCACCAGCAACAGAACAAAGCTGGACGGAGAATGACTTTGACGAGCTGAGAGAAGAAGTCTTCAGACGATCAAATTACTCCGAGCTACGGGAGGACATTCAAACCAAAGGCAAAGAAGTTGAAAACTTTGAAAAAAATTTAGAAGAATGTATAACTAGAATAACCAATACAGAGAAGTGCTTAAAGGAGCTGATGGAGCTGAAAACCAAGGCTCGAGAACTACGTGAAGAATGCAGAAGCCTCAGGAGCCGATGCGATGAATTGGAAGAAAGGGTATCAGCGATGGAAGATGAAATGAATGAAATGAAGCGAGAAGGGAAGTTTAGAGAAAAAAGAATAAAAAGAAACGAGCAAAGCCTCCAAGAAATATGGGACTATGTGAAAAGACCAAATCTACGTCTGATTGGTGTACCTTAAAGTGACGGGGAGAATGGAACCAAGTTGGAAAACACTCTGCAGGATATTATCCAGGAGAAGTTCCCCAATCTAGCAAGGCAGGCCAACATTCAGATTCAGGAAATACAGAGAACGCCACAGAGATACTCCTCAAGAAGAGCAACACCAAGACACATAATTGTCAGATTCACCAAAGTTGAAATGAAGGAAAAAATGTTAAGGGCAGCCAGAGAGAAAGGTCGGGTTACCCTCAAAGGGAAGCCCATCAGACTAACAGCAGATCTCCCGGCAGAAACTCTACAAGCCAGAAGAGAGTGGGGGCCAATATTCAACATTCTTTTTTTTTTTTTTTTTTTTTTTTTAGTATTTATTGATCATTCTTGGGTGTTTCTCGGGGAGGGGGATTTGGCAGGGTCATAGGACAATAGTGGAGGGAAGGTCAGCAGATAAACATGTGAACAAAGGTCTCTGGTTTTCCTAGGCAGAGGGCCCTGCTGCCTTCCCTAGTGTTTGTGTCCCTGGGTACTTGAGATTAGGGAGTGGTGATGACTCTTAAGGAGTATGCTGCCTTCAAGCATCTGTTTAACAAAGCACATCTTGCACCGCCCTTAATCCATTTAACCCTCAGTGGACACAGCACACGTTTGAGAGCACAGGGTTGGGGGTAAGGTTATAGATTAACAGCATCCCAAGGCAGATGAATTTTTCTTAGTACAGAATAAAATGGAGTCTCCTATGTCTACTTCTTTCTACACAGACACAGTAACAATCTGATCTCTCTTTCTTTTCCCCACATTTCCCCCTTTTCTATTCAACAAAACCGCCATCGTCATCATGGCCCTTTCTCAATGAGCTGTTGGGTACACCTCCCAGACGGGGTGGCGGCCGGGCAGAGGGGCTCCTCACTTCCCAGACGGGCCGGCCGGGCAGAGGCGCCCCCCACCTCCCGGACGGGGCGGCTGGTCAGGTGGGGGCTACCCCCCACCTCCCGGATGGGGCAGCTGGCCGGGCGGGGGCTGCCCCCCACCTCCCGGATGGGGCGGCTGCCGGGCGGAGACACTCCTCACTTCCCAGATGGGGCGGCTGCCAGGCGGAGGGGCTCCTCATTTCTCAGATGGGGCAGCCAGTCAGAGACGCTCCTCACCTCCCAGACGGGGTGGTGGCGGGGCAGAGACACTCCTCAGTTCCAAGACGGGGTCGCGGCCGGACAGAGGCGCTCTTCACATCTCAGACGGGGCGGCGGGGCAGAGGCGCTCCCCACATCCCAGACGATGGGCGGCCGGGCAGAGATGCTCCTCACTTCCTAGACGGGATGACGGCCAGGAAGAGACGCTCCTCACTTCCCAGACTGGGCGGCCGGGCAGAAGGGCTCCTCACATCCCAGACGATGGGCGGCCAGGCAGAGATGCTCCTCACTTCCTAGACAGAGTGGCACCTGGGCAGAGGCTGCAATCTCGGCACTTTGGGAAGCCAAGGCAGGCGGCTGGGAGGTGGAGGTTGTAGCGAGCCAAGAACACGCCACTGCACTCCAGCCTGGGCAACATTGAGCACTGAGTGAGCGAGACTCCGTCTGCAATCCTGGCACCTTGGGAGGCTGAGGCTGGCAGAACACTCGCAGTCAGGAGCTAGAGACCAGCCCGGCCAACACAGCGAAACCCCGTCTCTACCAAAAAATACAAAAACCAGTCAGGCGTGGCGGCGCGCGCCTGCATCCCAGGCACTCGGCAGGCTGAGGCAGGAGAATCAGGCAGGGAGGTTGCAGTGAGCCGAGATGGCGGCAGCACAGTCCAGCCTCAGCTCAGCATCAGAGGGAGACCGTGCAAAGAGGGAGAGGGAGACGAGAGGGAGAGGGAGAGGGAGAGGGTCAACATTCTTAAAGAAAATAATTTTCAGCCCAGAATTTCATATCCAGCCAAACTAAGCTTCATAAGTGAAGGAGAAATAAAATCCTTTACAGACAAGCAAATGCTGAGAGATTTTGTCACCACCAGGCCTGCCCTAAAAGAGCTCCTGAAGGAAGTGCTAAACATGGAAAGGAACAATCGGTACCAGCCGCTGCAAAATCATGCCAAAATGTAAAGACCATCGAGACTAGGAAGAAAACTGCATCAACTAACAAGCAAAATAACCAGCTAACATCATAATGACAGGATCAAATTCAAACACAACAATATTAACTTTAAATGTACATGGACTAAATGCTCCAATTAAAAGACACAGACTGGCAAATTGGATAAAGAGTCAAGACCCATCAGTGTGCTGTATTCAGGAAACCCATCTCACAGGCAGAGACACACATAGGCTTAAAATAAAAGGATGGAGGAAGATCTACCAAGCAAATGGAAAACAAAAAAAGGCAGGGGTTGCAATCCTAGTCTCTGATAAAACAGACTTTAAACCAACAAAGATCAAAAGAGACAAAGAAGGCCATTAATCAATGGTAAAGGGACCAATTCAACAAGAAGAGCTAACTATCCTAAATATATATGCACCCAACACAGGAGCACCCAGATTCATAAAGCAAGTCCTGAGTGACCTACAAAGAGACTTAGACTCCCACACATTAATAATAGGAGACTTTAACACCCCACTGTCAACATTACACAGATCAACGAGACAGAAAGTCAACAAGGATACCCAGGAATTGAACTCAGCTCTGCACCAACCGGACCTAATAGACATCTACAGAACTCTCCACCCCAAATCAACAGAATATACATTTTTTTCAGCACCACACCACACCTATTCCAAAATTGACCACATACTTGGAAGTAAAGCTCTCCTCAGCAAATGTAAAAGAACAGAAATTATAACAAACTATCTCTCAGACCACAGTGCAATCAAACTAGAACTCAGGATTAAGAATCTCATTCAGAACCGCTCAACTACATGGAAATTGAACAACCTGCTCCTAAATGACTACTGGGTACATAACGAAATGAAGGCAGAAATAAAGATGTTCTTTGAAACCAACGAGAACGAAGACACAACATACCAGAATCTCTGGGACACATTCAAAGCAGTGTGTAGAGGGAAATTTATAGCACTAAATGCCCACAATAGAAAGCAGAAAAGATCCAAAATTGACACCCTAACATCACAATTAAAAGAACTAGAAAAGCAAGAGCAAACACATTCAAAAGCTAGCAGAAGTCAAGAAATAACTAAAATCAGAGCAGAACTGAAGGAAATAGAGACACAAAACACCCTTCAAAAAATTAATGAATTCAGGAGCTGGTTTTTTGAAAGGATCAACAAAATTGATAGACCGCTAGCAAGACTAATAAAGAAGAAAAGAGAGAAGAATCAAATAGACACAATAAAAAATGATAAAGGGGATATCACCACCGATCCCACAGAAATACAAACTACCATCAGATAATACTACAAACACCTCTACGCAAATAAACTAGAAAATCTGGAAGAAATGGATACATTCCTCGACACATACACTCTCCCAAGACTAAACCAGGAAGAAGTTGAATCTCTGAATAGACCAATAACAGGAGCTGAAATTGTGGCAATAATCAATAGCTTACCAACGAAAAAGAGTCCAGGACCAGATGGATTCATAGCCGAATTCTACCAGAGGTACAAGTAGGAACTGGTACCATTCCTTCTGAAACTATTCCAATCAATAGAAAAAGAGGGAATCCTCCCTAACTCATTTTATGAGGCCAGCATCATCCTGATACCAAAGACGGGCAGAGACACAACCAAAAAAGAGAATTTTAGACCAATATCCTTGATGAACATTGATGCAAAAATCCTCAATAAAATACTGGCAAACCGAATCCAGCAGCACATCAAAAAGCTTACCCACCATGATCAAGTGGGCTTCATCCCTGGGATGCAAGGCTGGTTCAATATACGCAAATCAATAAATGTAATCCAGCATATAAACAGAACCAAGACAAAAACCACATGATTATCTCAATAGATGCAGAAAAGGTCTTTGACAAAATTCAACAACACTTCATGCTAAAAACTCTCAATAAATTAGGTATTGATGGGACGTATCTCAAAATAATAACAGCTATCTATGACAAACCCACAGCCAAAATCATACTGAATGGACAAAAACTGGAAGCATTCCCTTTGAAAACTGGCACAAGACAGGGATGCCCTCTCTCACCACTCCTATTCAACATAGTGTTGGAAGTTCTGGCCAGGGCAATTAGGCAGGAGAAGGAAATAAAGAGTATTCGATTAGGAAAAGAGGAAGTCAAATTGTCCCTGTTTGCAGATGACATGATTGTATATCTAGAAAACCCCATTGTCTCAGCCCAAAATCTCCTTAAGTTGTTAAGCAACTTCAGCAACGTCTCAGGATACAAAATCAATGTGCAAAAATCACAAGCATTCTTATACACCAATAACAGACAAACAGAGAGCCAAATCATGAGTGAACTCCCATTCACAATTGCTTCAAAGAGAATAAAATACCTAGGAATCCAACTTACAAGGGATGTGAAGGACCTCTTCAAGGAGAACTACAAACCACTGCTCAAGAAAATAAAAGAGCATACAAACAAATGGAAGAACATTCCATGCTCACGGGTAGGAAGAATCAATATCATGAAAATGGCCATACTGCCCAAGGTAATTTACAGATTCAATGCCATCCCCATCAAGCTACCAATGACTTTCTTCACAGAAATGGAAAAAACTACTTTAAAGTTCATATGGAACAAAAAAAGAGCTCGTATCACCAAGTCAATCCTAAGCCAAAAGAAGAAAGCTGGAGGCATCACACTACCTGACTTCAAACTATACTACAAGGCTACAGTAACCAAAACAGCATGGTACTGGTACCAAAACAGAGATATAGATCAATGGAACAGAATAGAGCCCTCAGAAATAACGCCACATATCTACAACTATCTGATCTTTGACAAACCCGACAAAAACAGGAAATGGGGAAAGGATTCCCTATTTAATAAATGGTGCTGGGAAAACTGGCTAGCCATATGTAGAAAGCTGAAACTGGATCCCTTCCTTACACCTTATACAAAAATTAATTCAAGATGGATTAAAGACTTGAACGTTAGACCTAAAACCATAAAAACCCTAGAAGAAAACCTAGGCATTACCATTCAGGACGTAGGCATGGGCAAGGGCTTCATGTCTAAAACACCAAAAGCAATGGCAACAAAAGCCAAAATTGACAAATGGGATCTAATTAAACTAAAGAGCTTCTGCACAGCAAGAAAACTACCATCAGAGTGAACAGGCAACCTACAGAATGGGAGAAAATTTTCGCAACCTACTCATCTGACAAAGGGCTAATATCCAGAATCTACAAAGAACTCAAACAAATTTATAAGAAAAAAACAACCCCATCAAAAAGTGGGCAAAGGACATGAACAGACACTTCTCAAAAGAAGACATTTATGCAGCCAAAAAACACATGAAAAAAGGCTCACCATCACTGGCCATCAGAGAAATGCAAATCAAAACCACAATGAGATACCATCTCACACCAGTTAGAATGGCAATCATTAAAAAGTCAGGAAACAACAGGTGCTGGAGAGGATGTGGAGAAATAGGAACACTTTTACGCTGTTGGTGGGACTGTAAACTAGTTCAACCATTGTGGAAGTCAGTGTGGCGATTCCTCAGGGATCTAGAACTAGAAATACCATTTGACCCAGCCATCCCCTTACTAGGTATATACCCAAAGGACTATAAATCATGCTGCTATAAAGACACATGCACACGTATGTTTATTGCGGCATTATTCACAATAGCAAAGACTTGGAACCAACCCAAATGTCCAACAATGATAGACTGGATTAAGAAAATGTGGCACATATACACCATGGAATACTATGCAGCCATAAAAAATGATGAGTTCATGTCCTTTGTAGGGACATGGATGAAACTGGAAATCATCATTCTCAGCAAACTATCGCAAGAACAAAAAACCAAACACCGCATATTCTCACTCATAGGTGGGAAATGAACAATGAGAACACATGGACACAGGAAGGGGAACATCACACTCTGGGGACTGTGGTGGGGTGGGGGGAGGGGGAAGGGATAGCATTGGGAGATATACCTAATGCTAGATGACGAGTTAGTGGGTGCAGTGCACCAGCATGGCACATGTATACATATGTAACTAACCTGCACATTTTGCACATGTACCCTAAAACTTAAAGTATAATAATAATAAATAAAATAAAAAATAATCAAAATAAAATAATGCCAAAGAAGGAAAAAAAAAAGATCACATTCACAGGTACCAGGGATTAGACCATCAATGTATGTTTTTGTGAAACACAATTCAAACCATGAGAGTTAGTAGTGCTTATTTTTGCAATTTATATACATGGACTCATACAGTATTACCTTTTTGTGTCTGGCTTCTTTTGCTTAACTTTATGTTAGTGATATTCATTCATATTGTTGTGTGTAGTCATAGGTAATTCAATCTCCTTGCTCTATAGCAGGGGTTGGAAACTATAGTTCATGGGCCAACCATCTATTTTTGTAAATAAAGTTTTATTGGAATACACCCATGTCTATTCATTTACATATTGTCTATGGCTGCTTTTGGGTTGCAAACACCTACAAAGACAGAGTTGCATAGATATAAAGAAGATCTATAGTCTGCAAACCAAAAACATTTACTATCTGGCCTTTTAGGAAAGTTTTCTGACCCCTGTAGAATTGTATTGGGTCAATATACCACAATTTATTTGTCCATCTAACTGCTGATGAGCTTTTGGCTGGTTTCCATTTTAGGGCTAATATGATAGTACTGCTATGAACATTCCAAAATACATCTTTTGGTGAACATATATGCACACTTTTATCTGGTATATACCTAGAAGCAGAATTGCTCTATCACATAATATGCAAGGGGAATTACTCTATCATAGAATGCATATGCTAAACTTTAATAAATACTGCTAGTTTTCGGAAGTAGTTGTATCAATCTATAATCACATTAGTGATTAAGAGTAGTAGTTGTTATATATCCTTATCAATACTTGGTATTTTCTTTTTCACTTAAGTCCTTTTGATGGTTGCACAATGATACAGCAATATCTCATTGTAGATTTTCATTCTCACTTTGTCTAATGAACTTAAATACTCTTTCATAGGTTCCTGACTTTTTGGATATCCTCTATTTTGAAGTGTCTGTTTAATTGAGTACCCATTTTTAAAATGTTTACTTATACATATAGGAGTTCTTTATATATTATGTAAAATCGTTCTTTCCAGTGTATTAATTTGTTAAGGCTGCCATAACAAAGTGGCAGATTGAGTGGCTTAAACAACTGAAATTTATTGTTTCACAATTCTAGAGGCTACAAGTCCAAGATCAAGGTGTTGGTAGGGTTGGTATCTCCTGAGGTTCCTCTCCTTGGCTTGTGAATGGCTCTCTCTCATTGTGTCTTCACATGATCTTCCCTCCATGTGTGCCTGTATCCTAATTTCCTCTTCTTATAAGAACACCAGGCATATTGGATTGGGGTTCACACTAAGGAACCCTATTTTAATTCAATTATCTTTTACAGACCCTATCTCCAAATATAGTCGCATTCTGAGGAATTCAGCATATTTATTTGGGGGTAAACACAATTCAGCCCATAACAGCCAGGTATATGTATTCCATTTTTTTCCTCACATTCTGTGAGTTGCACCCTTCACTCTTAATGGTATCTTTTTGATGAACAGAGTTCTTAATTTTAACATAGTCAAATTCATTATGTTTTTATGGTTAGAAAGTTTTGTGCCCTGTTTTTTTAAAAAAGTCAACCTATCCCAAGGTCTCGAAGACCTATTTTTTCTCCTCTAAAAGTTTTATTGTTTTTCTTTCACATTTAAATCAGTCATCTATTTGCAAATAAGTTTTGTGTACAGTGTGAGGTCAGAGTTGACATACAATTTTTTCTTTCTTTTTTTTTGAGACGGAGTCTCACTCTGTCACCCAGGCTGGAGTGCAGTGGCAATCTCGGCTCACTGCAAGCTCTGCCTCCCAGGTTCATGCCATTCACCTCCCGAGTAGCTGGGACTACAGGCACCTGCTACCATGCCCGGCTAATTTTTTGTATTTTTTAGTAGAGATGGGGTTTCACCATGTTAGCCAGGATGGACTCAATCTCCTGACCTCATGATCCGCCCACCTTGGCCTCCCAAAATGCTGGGATTGCAGGCGTGAGCCACCGCGCCCAGACTGACATACAATTTTTTCCATATGGACATCCAGTTGATCTAGCAGCATTTATTGAAAGACTGTCCGTTTTCCAACTGCATGGCACTTCACCTTTGTCAGAAATCAATGACTGTATTATTTGTAGGTGTATTTCTGGACTCTAGTCCATTCCACTGGTTAATGTGTCTATCCTTATGCCTACATCACATTCTTATTATCTACTGTTTAATAACAGGTCTTGATATCTAGTAAAGTAGGTTGCCCAATATGTTTTTCTTCAAGTTTGCCCTGACTACCCTGTCCTTTTGAATTTTCATATGAATTTTATAATTAGCTGGTTATTTCAGAAAAAAAAATGACAACAACAACAAAACCCTGCTGAAATTGGGATGACACTGAATATAAAGATTAATTTGGGGAGAACTGACATCTTTATAATATTAAACTTTTCAGTTCTTGAAACGGTATCTTAATTAAGTATGTTTTCCCTAATTTCCCTTAAACAATGATTTTTAGTTTTCATGTAGTGGTCTTGAGCATCTTTTGTTATTCTATTACAAGGTTGATATTTTATACTACTGTAAATGCTGTTTTAGAATTATAATTTTGAGGGGAGGAGCCAAGATGGCCAAATAGGAACAGCCCCAGTCTACAGCTCCCAGCGTGAGCGATGCAGAAGACAGGTGATTTCTGCATTTCTAACTGAGGTACCGGGTTCATCTCACTGGGGAATGTCAGACAGTGGGTGCAGGACAGTGGGTGCAGTGCACCAAGTGTGAGCCAAAGCAGGGCGAGGCATCGCCTCACCCGGGAAGCACAAGGGGTCAGGGAATTCCCTTTCCTAGTCAAAGAAAGGGGTGACAGACGGCACCTGGAAAATCGGGTCACTCCCACCCTAATACTGCACTTTTCTAATGGTCTTAGCAAACGGCACACCAGGAGATTATATCACGCGCCTGGCTCGGAGGGTCCTACAGCCACAGAGCCTCGCTCATTGCTAGCACAGCAGTCTGAGATCAAACTGCAAGGTGGCAGCGAGTCCGGGGGAGGGGCACCCGCCATTGCCGACGCTTGAGTAGGTAAACAAAGCAGCCGGGAAGCTTGAACTGGGTGGAGCCCACCACAGCTCAAGGAGGCCTGCCTGCCTCTGCAGACTCCACCTCTACGGGCAGGGCATAGCCAAACAAAAGGCAGCAGAAACATCTGCAGACTTAAATGTCCCTGTCTGACAGCTTTGAAGAGAGTAGTGGTTCTCCCAGCATGCAGCTGGAGATCTGAGAACAGGCAGACTGCCTCCTCAAGTGGGTCCCTTACCCCCAAGTAGGCTAACTGGGAGGCGTCCCCCAGTAGGGGCAGACTGACAACTCACACAGCCGGGTACCCCTCTGAGACAAAACTTCCAGAGGAACGATCAGGCAGCAACATTTGCTGTTCACCAATATCTGCTGTTCTGCAGCCTCCGCTGCTGATACCCAGGAAAACAGGGTCTGGAGTGGACCTCCAGCAAACTCCAACAGACCTGCAGCTGAGGGTCCTGACTGTTAGAAGGAAAACTAACAAACAGAAAGGACATCCACACCAAAACCCCATCTGTTCGTCACCATCATCAAAGACCAAAGGTAGATAAGACCACAAAGATGGGGAAAAAACAGAGCAGAAAAACTGGAAACTCTAAAATTCAGAGCGCCTCTCCTCCTCCAAAGGAACGCAGCTCCTCACCAGCAACGGAACAAAGCTGGACGGAGAATGACTTTGATGAGTTGAGAGAAGGCTTCAGATGATCCAACTACTCCAAGCTAAAGGAGGAAGTTTGAACCCATGGCAAAGAAGTTAAAAACCTTGAAAAAAAATTAGATGAACAGCTAACTAGAATAACCAATGCAGAGAAGTCCTTAAAGGACCTGATGGAGCTGAAAACCACAGCACAAGAAGTACCTGACGAATGCACAAGCCTCAGTAGCTGATCCGATGAACTGGAAGAAAGGGTATCAGGGATGGAAGATCAAATTCATGAAATGAAGCGAGAAGAGAAGTTTAGAGAAAAAAGAATAAAAAGAAACAAACAAAGCCTCCAAGAAATATGGGACTATGTGAAAAGACCAAGTCTACATCTGATTGGTGTACCTGAAAGTCACAGGGAGAATGGAACCAAGTTGGAAAACGCTCTGCAGGATATTATCCAGGAGAACTTCCCCAATCTAGCAAGGCAGGCCACATTCAAATTCAGGAAATACAAAGAATGCCACAAAGATACTCCTCAAGAAGAGCAACTCCAAGACACAAAGTTGTCAAATTCACCAAAGTTGAAATGAAGGAAAAAATGTTAAGAGCAGCCAGAGAGAAAGGTTGGGTTACCCACAAAGGGAAATCCATCAGACTAACAGCTGATCTCTTGGCAGAAACTCTACAAACCAGAAGAGAGTGGGGGCAAATATTCAACATTCTTAAAGAAAAGAATTTTCAACCCAGAATTTCATATCCAGCCAAACTAAGCTTCATAAGTGAAGGAGAAGTAAAATCCTTTACAGACAAGCAAATGCTGAGAGATTTTTGTCACCACCAGGCCTGCCCTAAAAGAGCTCCTGAAGGAAGCAATAAACATGGAAAGGAACAACTGGTACCAGCCACTGCAAAAACATGCCAAATTGTAAAGACCATCGAGGCTAGGAAGAAACTGCATCCACTAATGAGCAAAATAACCAGCTAACATCATAATGACAGGATCAAATTCACACATAACAATATTAACCTTAACTGTAAATGGGCTAAATGCTCCAATTAAAAGACACAGACTGGCAAACTGGAGAAAGAGTTAAGACCCATCAGTGTGCTGTATTCAGGAAACCCATCTCACGTGCAGAGACACATATAGGCTCAAAATAAAGGGATGGAGGAAGATCTACCAAGCAAATGGAAAACAAAAAAAGGCAGGGGTTGCAATCCTAGTCTCTGATAAAACAGACTTTAAACCAACAAAGATCAAAAGACACAAAGGCCATTATAATGGTAAAGGGATCAATTCAACAAGAAGAGCTAACTATCCTAAATATATATGCACCCAATACAGGAGCACCCAGATTCATAAAGCAAGTCCTTAGAGACCTACAAAGAGACTTAGACTCCCACACAATAATAATGGGAGACTTTCACACCCCACTGTCAACATTAGACAGATCAACAAGACAGAACGTTAAAAAGGATATCCAGGAACTGAACTCAGCTCTGCACCAACCGGACCTAATAGACATCTACAGAACTCTCCACCCCAAATCAACAGAATATACATTCTTGTCAGCACCACACCACACCTATTCCAAAATTGACCACATAGTTGGAAGTAAAGCTCTCCTCAGCAAATGTAAAAGAACAGAAATTATAACAAACTGTCTCTCAGACCACAGTGCAATCAAACTAGAACTCAGGATTAAGAAATTCACTCAAAACCGCTCAACTACATGGAAACTGAACATCCTGCTCCTGAATGACTACTGGGTACATAACGAAATGAAGGCAGAAATAAAGATGTTCTTTGAAACCAATGAGAACAAAGACACAACATACCAGAATCTCTGGGACACATTCAAAGCAGTGTGTAGAGGGAAATTTATAGCACTAAATGCCCACAAGAAAAAGCAGGAAAGATCTAAAATTGACACCCTAACATCAGAATTAAAAGAACTAGAGAAGTAAGAGCAAACACATTCAAAAGCTAGCAGAAGTCAAGAAATAACTAAGATCAGAGCAGAACTGAAGGAAATAGAGACACAAAAAACCCTTCAAAAAAATCAATGAATCCAGGAGCTGGTTTTTTGAAAGATAACAAAATTGATAGACCGCTAGCAAGACTAATAAAGAAGAAAAGAGAGAAGAATCAAATAGACACAATAAAAAATGATAAAGGGGATATCACCACCGATCCCACAGAAATACAAACTACCATCAGAGAATACTATAAACACCTCTATGCAAATAAACTAGAAAATCTAGAAGAAATGGATAAATTTCTGGACACATACACCCTCCCAAGACTAAACCAGGAAGAAGCTGAATCTCTGAATAGACCAATAACAGGCTCAGAAATTGAGGCAATAATTAATAGCTTACCAACCAAAAAAAGTCCAGGACCAGATGGATTCACAACTGAATTCTAGCAGAGGTACAAGGAGGAGCTGGTACCATTCCTTCTGAAACTATTCCAATCAATAGAAAAAGAGGGAATCCTCCCTAACTCATTTTATGAGGCCAGCATCATCCTGATACCAAAGCCTGGCAGAGACACAACAAAAAAAGAGAATTTTAGACCAATATCCCTGATGAACACCAATGCAAAAATCCTCAATAAAATATTGGCAAACTAAATCTAGCAGCACATCAAAAAGCTTATCCACCATGATCAAGTGGGCTTCATCCCTGGGATGCAAGGCTAGTTCAACATATGCAAATCAATAAACTTAATCCAGCATATAAACAGAATCAACAACAAAAACCACACGATTATCTCAATAGATGCAGAAAAGGCCTTTGACAAAATTCAACAACCCTTCATGCTAAAAACTCTCAATAAATTAGTTATTGATGGGACGTATCTCAAAGTAATAAGAGCTATCTATGACAAACCCACAGCCAATATCATACTGAATGGACAAAAACTGGAAGCATTCCCTTTGAAAACTGGCACAAGACAAGGATGCCCTCTCTCACCACTCCTATTCAACACAGTGTTGGAAGTTCTGGCCAGGGCAATCAGGCAGGAGAAGGAAATAAAGAGTATTCGATTAGGAAAAGAGGAAGTCAAATTGTCCCTGTTTGCAGATGACATGATTGTATATCTAGAAAACCCCATCATCTCAGCCCAAAATCTCTTTAAGCTGATAGGCAACCTCAGCAAAGTCTCAGGATACAAAATCAATGTGCAAAAATCACAAGCATTCTTATACACCAATAACAGACAAACAGAGCCAAATCATGAGTGAACTCCCATTCACAATTGCTTCAAAGAGAATAAAATACCTAGGAATCCAACTTACAAGGGATGTGAAGGACCTCTTCAAGGAGAACTACAAACCACTGCTCAATGAAATAAAAGAAGATACAAACAAATGGAAGAACATTCCATGCTCATGGGTAGGAAGAATCAATATCATGAAAATGGCCATACTGCCCAAGGTAATTTATAGATACAATGCCATCCCCATCAAGCTACAAATGACTTTCTTCACAGAATTGGAAAAAACTACTTTAAAGTTCACATGGAACCGAAAAAGAGCCCGCATTGCCAAGTCAATTCTATGCCAAAAGAACAAAGCTGGAGGCATCACACTACCTGACTTCAAACTATACTACAAGGCTACAGTAACCAAAACAGCATGATACTGGTACCAAAACAGAGATATAGACCAATGGAACAGAACAGAGCCCTCAGAAATAATGCCACATATCTACAACCATCTGATCTTTGACAAACCTGAGAAAAACAAGAAATGGGGAAAGGATTCCCTATTTAATAAATGGTGCTGGGAAAACTGGCTAGCCATATATAGAAAGCTGAAACTGGATCCCTTCCTTACACCTTATACAAAAATTAATTCAAGATGCATTAAAGACTTAAATGTTAGACCTAAAACCATAAAAACCCTAGAAGAAAACCTAGGCAATACCATTCAGGACATAGGCATGGGCAAGGACTTCATGTCTAAAACATTAAAAGCAATGGCAACAAAAGCCAAACTTGACAAATGGGATCTAATTAAAGAGCTTCTGTACAGCAAAAGAAACTACCATCAGAGTGAATAGGCAGCCTACAGAATGGGAGAAAATTTTTGCAATCTACTCATCTGACAAAGGGCTAATATCCAGAATCTACAATGAACTCAAACAAATTTACAAGAAAATATCAAACAACCCCATCAAAAAGTGGTTCGTGAAGGATATGAACAGACACTTCTCAAAAGAAGACATTTATGCAGCCAAAAGACACATGAGAAAATGCTCATCATGATTGGCCATCAGAGAAATGCAAATCAAAACCACAATGAGATACCATCTCACACCAGTTAGAATGGTGATCATTAAAAAGTCAGGAAACAACAGGTGCTGGAGAGGATGTGGAGAAATAGGAACACTTTTACGCTGTTGGTGGGACTGTAAACTAGTTCAACCATTGTGGAAGTCAGTGTGGCGATTCCTCAGGGATCTAGAACTAGAAATACCATTTGACCCAACAATCCCATTATTGGGTATATATCCAAAGGATTATAAAACATGCTGCTATAAAGACACATGCACACGTATGTTTATTGTGGCCCTATTCACAATAGCAAAGACTTGGAACCAACCCAAATGTCCAACAATGATAGACTGGATTAAGACAATGTGGCACATATACACCAGGGAATACTATGCAGCTATAAAAAATGATGAGTTCATGTCCTTTGTAGGGACATGGATGACGCTGGAAACCATCATTCTCAGCAAACTATCGCAAGGACAAAAAACCAAACACTGCATGTTCTTACTCATAGGTGGAATTGAACAATGAGAACACATAGACACAGGAAGTGGAACATCACACTCTGGGGCCTGTTGTGGGGTGGGGGGGAGGGGGAAGGGATAGCATTAGGAGATATACCTAATGTTAAATGATGAGTTAATGGGTGCAGCACACCAACATGGCACATGTATACATATGTAACAAACCCGCACGTTGTGCACATGTACCCTAAAAGTATAATTTAAAATTAAAATAAAATAAAATAAAATTATAATTTATCCTTTTTGCTGGTATACAGGAATACAATGGACTTTTAAATTTCTTAATTAAATTATAATTCATACCATACCATTCACATTTTTAAACTGTACAATTCAGTGGGTTTTTAGTATATTCCCAAGGTTGTGCAACAGTCATCATATAATTCCAGAACACTGTCATCACCATACATACAAAAAACCCACCATATAACTATTATTAGTCATTCCTCATTTATTCCTGCCCTCAACCCCTGACAACCACTAATCTACTTTATGTCTCTATAGATTTACCTGTTCTAGACACTTCATATAAATTGAACCATACAATATCTGGTCTTCTGTGACTAGCTTCTATCTAGCATGTTTTCAAGGCTCATCCGTGCTGTAGCATGCATCAGTAGTTTTTCTTTTTGGCTGAATAATATTCCATTGTATGGATATACCACATTTTGCTTATCTATTCATCAGTTGATAGATATTTGGGTTGTTTCCAGTTTGGGCTATTATAAATAATGCAGCTATATACATTCATGTCTAAGTTTTTGTATGAATATGTTTTCAATTCTTTTGGATATACACCTAGGAGTACAATTGCTGTATCATATGTTAATTCTATGTTAAATTTCTTGAGGAAATACCAACTGTTTTTCAAAGCAGTGCACAATTTTACATTCCCACTAGCAGTGTATGAGGGTTCCAGTTTCTCCATATCCTTATCAACACATGTTATTGTCCATCATTTTGACTAAAGCCACCCTACTGAGTGGGAAGTGGTATCTTACTGTGGTTTTGGTTTGCATTTCTGCATTGACTAACAATGTAGAGCATCTTTTCATATGTGTGTTGACCATTTGTATCACTTCTTTGGAAAATGTCTATGCAGATCCCTTGACTAGTTTTATTTTTATTTTATTTTTGAGACAAAGTCTCACTCTGTCACCCAGGTTGGAGTGCAGTGGCATGATCTTGGCTCACTGCAACCTCTACCTCCTGAGTTCAAGCAATTCTTCCACCTCACCTTCCACTCAATCCTGAGTAGGTGGGATTACAGGCGTGCACCAACACGCCTGGCTAATTTTTGTATTTTTAGTAGAGATGGGGTTTCACCATATTGGCCAGGGTGGTCTTGAACTCCTGACCTCAAGTGATCTACCCGCCTCGGCCTCCCAAAGTGTTGGGATTACAGATGTGAGCCACTGTGCCCGGCCCCTTGACTAGTTTTAATTGGGCTATTTGTCTTTTTACTGTTGAAGTGTAAGATTTCTTTATATATACTCAATACAAGTTAGTTATCAGATATATATGATTTGCAAGTATTTTCTCCCATTCCGTGGGTTGTCTTTTCACTTTCTGAATAGTGTCCTCTGAAGCACAAAAGTTTTCATCTTAAGTCCAATTCATCTATTTTTTCTTTGGTTACTTGAGCTTTATATGTCATACCTAAGAAACTGTTGCCTTGTACAAGGTAATGAATGAAGATATACACCTATGTTTTCTTTTAAGAGTTTTATAGGTTTTTGTTTGTTTGTTTGTTTTTGAGACAGAGTTTCGCTCTTGTTGCCCAGGCTGGAGTGCAATGGAGCGATCTTGGCTCACTGCAACCTCCGCCTCCTGGGTTCAAGCGATTCTCTTGCCTCACCCTCCTGAGTAGCTGGGATTACAGGGGCCCATCACCACAGCCGGCTAATTTTTTTTTTTTTTTTTGTATTTTTAGTAGAGACAGAGTTTCACTATGTTGGCCAAGCTGGTCTTGAACTCTTGACCTCAGGTGATCCACCCACCTCAGCCTCCCAAAGTGCTGGGATTACTGGTGTTAGCCACTGCACCTGGCGAGTTTTATAGTTTTAAGTTTTACCTTTAGGTCTTTGATTCATTTTGAGTTAATTTTTGTATATGGTATGAGGTAGGAGTCCAAATTCATCCTTTTGCATGTGTCTATGCAGTTGCCCAGCCCTATTACTTGAAAAATTATTTTCAAATTCTTTTACCATCAAATTGTTTTGGCATCCTTGTCAAAAATAAACTGGCAGAGAGGTAAAGGTTTATTTCTACACTCTCAGTTGTATTCCATTGATCTTTATGTCTATTATTATGACAGCACCACCTTGTCTTAATCACTGCAGCTTTGTAACAAGTTTTGAAACCAAGAATTGTGAGTCCTCTACCTTCCTTCTTTTTCTTTTCAAGGTTGGCTTAGCTATTCTGGGTCCCTTGTATTTCCACGTGAATTTTAGGATCAGCCTGTGAATTTCTGCAAAAACTACAGCTAGGATTTTGATACAGACTTTGTTGAATTTATGAATTAATATGAGAAGTGCTGCCATCTTAACAATATTGACTTTCAATCCACGAACATAAAATATTTTTCAATTTATTTAGAACTTCTTTAATTTATTTCAATGGTGTTTTGTAGTTTTCAGTGTTCACTTCTTACACTTTTTTGTTCAATTTATTCCTAAGTATTTTATTCTTTTTGATGCTATTGTACAATTGTTTTTTATATTGACTGCATTCAGTGATATTTCTAAACATATTAATTCCAACAGCATGTCTATAGAGTCTTTTGGATTTTCTCTATAAATAATCATGTTGCTTAGAAATAATGACAATTTATTTATTTCTTTTTTTTTCTTTTTTTTGAGACAAGGTCTCACTCTGTTGCCCAGGCTGGAGTGGAGTGGTGTAATCATAGCTCACTGTAACTTCGAACACCTGGACTCAAGTGATCTTCCCATTTCAGCCTCCAGAGGAGCTGGGTCTACAGGCAAGCACCACCACACCTGGCTACTTTTTTCTATTTTTGTAAAGATGGAGTTTCACACTGTTGCCCAGGCTTGTCTTGAACTCCTGGACTCAAGTGATCCTCCTACCTCGGCCTCCCAAAGTTCTGGGATTATAGGTATGAGCCACTGCACCCAGCCCCCTTTTTGCTTTTTTAAAGTATTATTATATTACTAAGACTTCCAGCACAATGTCGAATAGAAATAATAACACAGAGCATTCTTGTAACATTCTCCAACTCAATAGGAAAGTGTTTAATATTTTACTATCGAGTATGACATTTGCTATAGTTTTTGTAGATATTCTTTATATTTAAGAAGTTCCAGGCCAGGCGTGGTGGCTCACCCTGTAATCCCAGCACTTTGGGAGGCCAAGGCAGGCAGATTACCTGAGGTTGGGAGTTCAAGACCAGCCTGACCAACACGGAGAAATCCCATCTCTACTAAAAATACAAAATTAGCTGGGCGTGGTGGTGCATGCCTGTAATCCCAGCACTCGGGAGGCTGAGACAGGAGAATAGCTTGAACCTGGGAGGTGGAGATTATGGTGAGCCGAGATTGCACCATTGCACTCTAGCCTGGGCAACAAGGGTGAAACTCTGTCTCAAAAACAAAAACAAAACAAAACAAAAGAAGTTCCCTTCTATTTCTAGTTTGCTAAGAGTTTTTTTAAATCATAAATGAGTACTGAATTTTGTCAAACTTTTTTGACACCTATCAAGAGGATCAAATCATTTTCTCCTTTTTCTCTGTTAACATAGTGAATTATATTGATCTACTTTTGAATGGTAAGCCTCTCCTGCATACATGCAATAAACCATACTTAATTGTGCTTTTAAAAAATATGGCCAAATTCAGCTTGTGAATATTTCATTAAAGACTTTTGGATCTATGTTCATGAGATATGTTGCTAAATAATTTCCCTTTCTTTTTAATGTCCTTGTCAGGTTTTGACACACTGGCCTCATTAAAAAAACAAAACATTAGAAAATATTCTCTTTTTTTCTATTCTCTGGAAAAGTTTAGGTAAGTTTGATATTATTTCTTCTTAATTAAGAAAAATTAACAGTGAAGTCATCCATGCCTCAAGTTTTCTTTGTGGAAAAATTTTTACTAACAATTGCTTCAATTTCATTACTAGTATCAGACTACTCAGATTTTATTTTCTTCTGTCAGTTTTGGTAAGCTTTGCTTCTCAATAAATATTCTCATTTTAACCCAAACTATGTCAAATTTATCATTATAAAATTGTTAATGTCTTGTTTTTGTGCTTTTGAATATCTTCAGTAACTTTTTGATATACAATGTAATATCCTCTTCTTCATTCTTGATATTGTTACTTGTGTTTTCTTTCTTTCTCTTGATCAGTCTTCATTCATAGAGGGTTCTTAATTTTATTTATCTTTTCTAAGAACCAAATCTCAGCTTTGTTGATTTTTCTCTGTTGTATATTTACATCCTATGTATCGCTGATTTCTGTTTTTCTCTTGTTACATTATTATGTTTGATATGGTATACTCTTGAGATGCAAGCTTGTATTTTTTTGCTTTGCATTTTATTTCCACATATATTTTAAACTCTGTAAGTCATTTCAATTACTGTTTTACATAGTCTACTTATATTTAGTCATATAGTTATCCTTTCTACTCTTCTTCATTCCCCCCAGCATGTCCATGTTTTCATCTGTGATCATTTTCCTCTAAGGAAATCCCTTTAGTATTTATTTTATTTTATTTTTTATTTTGAGACAGGGTCTCGCTCTGTTACCCAGGCTGGAGTGCAGTAGTGTGATCTCAGCTCACTGCAGCCTCAACTTCCCAGGGTCAAATGATCCTCCCACCTCAGCCTCCCAAGTAGCTGGGACCACTGGTGCACATCACCACACTCACTAATTTTTTTTAACTTTTTGTAGAGACAGGGTTTCACCACATTGCCTAGGCTGGTCTTGAACTCCTGGGCTCAAGCGATCTGCCCATCTTGGCCTCCCAAAGTGCTGGGATTATAGGCATGAGCCACTAAGCCTGGCCTTAGTATTCATTTTAATTCAGGCTGATAAATATACTAGTAGTGATAAAGTCATTTAGTTATTTTCTTTCTCTTTCTTCCTCTTTCTTTCTCTTCTTTCTCTTCTTTCTTTTTTCACTTTCATCATGAAGGATATTTTCCACTGGGCAGAAACCTAGGTTGGTAGCATTTTGAATATGACATTCCATTGTCTTCTGTTTTCCATCATTATTGTTGAGAAGTTAGCTGTCAGTTTCACTGTTGTTATTTTGAAGGTAATGCATAAATGATGTGTCTAATTTTAACATTTTCAGCAGTTTTGCTACAATATGTCCAGGTGTGGTTTTCCCTGTATTTGCCTCTGTTTGGGGTTTACCAAAATTCTAAATCTGTTGGTTGGTGTCTTTTATTATTTTGAAATGGACTCTGCCATTGTCTCTTTGAATGTTAATTTTGTCCCATTCTCTCTCTACTCTGCTTCTGGGACTTTAATTATGCATATGTTAGACCTTTTTTTGAGTATTATATTCCTTTGTGTTCTTTCCATTCTCTTATCTCTGGGCTTCAATTTAGATATTTTCTACTGATATGTCTCAAAGCCCACAAATCCTATATTTGGTTATATTGAATCTAATGTTAAGCCTACCCAACTAGCTCTTCATTTCAGATATCGCATTTTTAATTCTAGAAAGTCCATTTAAATCTCTTTATAGATTTTAATTATCTGGTAAAACTTTCCATCTTTTCATGCATTTACCTATTTTTTCTATATTTTCTTTAAAATATTCATAATTATTTTATACTTTTTTTAAAGAGATGTGGTCTTGCTATGTGGTCCAGGCTGGAGTGCAGTGGTAAATTCACAGACATGATCATAGTGCACTACAGCCTCAAACTCCTGGGCTCAAGAAATCCTCCTGCCTTAGCCTCCTGAATATCTAGGACTACCAGTGTGTGTCACCATGTCTGGCTTGTTTCTTGACACAGTTGATTATCAGTCATATGGTCTTATCTCTTTGTGGGCCTCACAATTTTTTTATCATATGACAGACACTGTGTCTGTGGTTTCCAGATTACATTTCACCAGAAGAAGTTTCCCTTTCCCTCTGTCAGGCAAACATGGTGAGTGGCTGATCATGTAAACCCCTTTACAGGGCATGGTCTACCTAGCCTTTTTATTAAGAATTTAGTTCCTTTAGTCCTTAGTGCTTCCACAAATCTCTGATGCCCTAAAAATTATAATTTTATAAGGTATGAAGGTTTTCATAGTTGTAGCTGTGGAAGCACTGGCCTACCACAAAACTATATCCTACCCAGAAATGGAAGCTCTTTTGTGTTCTTCAAAAGGAAGAAGATGAAGGCTCATGAGCTCACAGAATAGTTCTAAATGCGTTCTTCCTGTCACTACTCACTGCAGTTACTATTTATCATAATTGCCAATACTATTCAGAGAGCATGTCTAATCATGCTGCTGCTCTCAAATTCCCCAGTGTCTGTTAACTGCTCCCCTTATGGGGTCAAAAGGGTGAAAACAGGACCAACTGAATAAGAAAGAGCTGTAAGGTAGACTGCCTATGCTGCAAGTGTTTATATATTTAGTGCTTGTTTTGTAGATTTAGTTACAGAGCCATGTAAATGTTTTACATTATTATAAAACAAAATTAATTTTTGAAAGCTAGTCCTAAAAATATAAAATAAAATGAAACAAATGAAAGTATATGTATCCAGAGTGGCATGGCCACATACAGAGGATCTATTCCAAGTGATTTTTAAACACATTAATTTTACTATTGAGATACAGTCTAAGATAGTAAGATACAGCCTAAGAACAAAAATATCTGCAAAATAATTCTCAAATTTTATGATCATATTAAGAGTGATAGTCTGATGCTGCTATTCTCAGACTGTTTATTGTGTGTGTAATGTATATAAAGGATAGAAAATTAGTGATACTCTATTATTTTTGAGCCATTGAGAACCAAGTTTCTCAGCATGATAGAAGGCATATATAGATAATTGAGTTTAAGGATAAATTCTGCATCTCTGAATTTGATAAGTATGAATTCATGATGTCTTTTAAGACAAAAAATAATCACATAATACTTACCTCCATGCATGAAAAAAATCTAAGAGACCATAATCACTCAATGGCAACGAGCTCCTCTAGGACACAGATTGTGATCTCTGAAAACTACTATCATTTAAAAAAAAAGGCTTCTTGGACAAAGGGTTTATTATGTTTGGGACTGAAGCTGGAGATATACGAGATAAGCCTAGAACAGCATATTACTCTGCATAGCAAAGAAGCTGTCAAATCTACTAGAAATACTCAAAAGGACTCAGGAGTTAATCTGGTATATCTAGATGGTATGAAGATGATAATACATCTACAATATTTATGAGACAATTTGAACCCTGACTTAATATTGGATAATATTAGTTTTTATGTGTAAAAGTAATGTAGTTTAAAAAAATCTTTACCATTTAGATAGAGATATATTGAAACATTTACAGAGGAAATAATACGATATCTAAAATTTTCTTCAAAATATGGATGGAAAAAAAAACTAGAGAGGTATAGATGAAACAGTAGCAGCCATGAATTGATCACTGTTTAAAGTGGATAATGAGTAAATGAAAATTCATCTTACACTTCTATCTACTTTTGTATATGTTTGAAAAATTCCCATAATAAAAAATAATAATTCATTTTCACTCTGATTTGCCTTAACAAATCTGTTGATTCTTGTACATCACTTGATCTCCCCTGACAATGGCTATAACAATGGCATAAGTATGGAAAAGGAAAAACGTATACTGACATGGTTTGGCTGTGTCCCCACCAAAATCTCAACTTGAATTGTATCTCCCAGAATTCCCACGTGTTGTGGAAGGGACTGAGGGGGAGGTAATTGAATCATGGAGGCTGGTCTTTCCCTTGCTATTCTCCTGATAGTGAATAAGTCTCAAGAGATCTGATGGGTTTATCAAGGGTTTCTGCTTTTGCTTCTTCCTCATTTTTCTCTTGCCGCCGCCATGTAAGAAGTGCCTTTTAACTCCCACCATGTGATTCTGAGGCCTCCCCAGCCATGTGAAACTGTTAAGTACAATTAAACCTCTTTTCCTTCCCAGTATCAGCTATGTCTTTATCAGCAGTGTGAAAACAGATTAATATAGTAAATTGGTACCAGTAGAGTGGGGACATTGCTGAAAAGATACCCAAATATGTGGAAGCGACTTTGAAACTGGGTAACAGGCAAAGGTTGGAACAGTTTGGAGAGCTCAGAGGAAGACAGGAAAATGTAGGAAAGTTTGGAACTTCCTAGAGAATTGTGGAATGGCTTTGCCCAAAATGCTGATAGCAATATGGACAATAAGGTCCAGGTTGAGGTGGTCTCAGATGAAGATGAGGAACTTGTTGGGAACTGGAGCAAAGGTGACTCTTGTTACGTTTTAGCAAAGAGACTGGTGGCATTTTGCCCCTGCCCAAGAGATTTGTGGAACTTTTAACTTGAGAGAGATGATTTAGGGCATCTGGTGGAAAAAATTTCTAAGCAGCAAAGCATTCAAGAGGTGATATGGTACTCTTAAAGGCATTCAGTTGTAAAAGGGGAACAGGGCATAAAAGTTCAGAAAATTTATCCCAGCACTTCGGGAGGCCGAGGCAGGTGGATCACCTGAGACCAGGAGTTTGAGACCAGCCTGACCAATATGGTGAAACCCTGTCTCTACTAAAAATACAAAAATTAGCCGGGCATGCTGGTGGGTGCCTGTAGTCCCAGCTACTCAGGAGGCAGAGACAGGAGAATTGCTTGAACCCAGGAGGCAGAGGTTGCAGCAAGCCGAGATCGTGCCACTGCACTCCAGCCTGGGTGACAGAGTGAGACTCCATCTCAAAAAAAAAAAAAAGTTCAGAAAATTTGCAGCCTGACTATGCAATAGAAAAGAAAAACCCATTTGCTGGGGAGAAATTCATGCTGGCTGCAGAAATTTGCATAAGTAGCAAGAAGCCTAATGTTAAACCTCAAGACCATGGGGAAAATGTCTCCAGGCCATGTCACAGATGTTTACGGCAGCCCCTTCTATCACAGGCCTGGAGGCCCAGGAGGAAAAAGTGCTTTCATGGGCTGGGCCCAGGTCCCTGTGCTGTGTGCAGCCTAGGGATTTGGTGTCCTATGTCCCAGCTGCTCCAGCCATGGCTGAAAGGGGTCAACATACAGCTCCAGCTGTGGCTTCAAGGCTTGTGGAAGCCCCAAGCCTTGGCAGCTTCCACATGGTATTGAGCCTGTGGGTACACAGAAGTCAAGAATCGAGGTTTGGGAACCTCCACCTGGATTTCAGAAGATGTATGGAAATGCCTGGATGCCCAGGCAAAAGTTTGCTGCAGGAGCAAAGCCCTCATGGAGAACCTCTGGTAAGGCAATGTAGAAGAGAAATGTGGGGTCAGAGCCCCCACACAGAGTCTCTAGTGGGGTGCTGCCTAGTGGAGCTGTGAGAAGAGGGCCACCATCCTCCAGACCCCCGAATGGTAGATCCACCGACAGCTTGAACTGTGCACTTGGAAAAGCTGCAGACACTCAACACCAACCCATGAAAGCAGCCAGTAGGGAGGCTGTGCCCTGCAAAGCCACAGGGGTGGATCTTCCCAAGACCATGGGAACTCACCTCTTGCATCCATGTGACCTAGATGTGAGACCTGGAGTCAAAGGAGATCATTTTGGAGCTTTAAAGTTTGACTGCTCCACTGGATTTCAGACATGCATGGGGCCTGTAAGCCCTTTGTTTTGGCCAATTTCTCCCATTTGGAATGACTGTATTTACCCAATATCTGTACCCCCATTATATCTAGGAAGTAACTAGCTTGCTTTTGATTTTACAGGCTCATAGGCAGAAGGGACTTGCCTTGTCTCAGATGAGACTTTGAACTGTGGACTTTTGGGTTAATGCTGAAATGAGTTAAGGCTTTGGGGGACTGTTGGGAAGGTGTGATTGGTTTTGAAATGTGAGGACATGAGATTTGGAGGGGCTAGGGGTGGAATGATATGGTTTGGCTGTGTCCCCACCAAAATCCCAACTTGAATTGTATCTCCCAGAATTCCCATGTGTTGTGGGAGGGACCCAGGGGGAGGTAACCAAATCATGGGGGCTGGTCTTTTTTGCGCTGTTCTTGTGATAGTGAGTAAGTCTCATGAGATCTGATGGGCTTATCGGGGTTTCTGCTTTTGCTTCTTCCTCATTTTTCTCTCGCCACCACCATGCAAGATGTGCCCTTCACCTCCTGCCATGATTCTGAGGCCTCCCCAGCCATGTGCAACTGTAAGTCCAATTAAACCTCTTTTTCTTCCCAGTCTCAGGTATGTCTTTATCAGCAGCATGAAAATGGACTAATACATATACCAAAAGATGAATAAAAAAATTTGTCCCCCAACCATTACCCCAATTTGACAAATACTAACTTGAAGAATCTCTACTATATACTATTAATGAAATTACTATGAAGCTTAAATATCTTATTCCAGAGTATCCTCAATCTGAGTGTTGCAGTACTATAACACTGATACTCCTTCCTAGCCATATCTTTGCTTTAATATAAAATAGGAATTAATACAGCTATTTACCTTTATTAGGTCCTGCTATTGTAGATATGTCTGAATGTTTAGAATGGGAAATCTGTGTTTCAGATTTTCTTTGCATAGTGATTTGATTTCCAAACCTCTTGGGTTCTAAGTAAAAGACTGTAAGTTTCTGCTGAATATCAAGCCCAACTGGAAAATGAAAAAAAAGTACACAAATGTTTATTTGTCATATAAATCCACATATGAGAACACTTATTTCTTTTTATCTCTCTTACATTTTTATAACTTCTAGAGCTAAGAAGTCCAGAAAGTTAAAATATGTTGAAAGGTTAAAAAATATGACAACTAAAAAATTATATATTTATCATTATAAAAATAAAAATCTTCCAACAATAACTGCAACTTAACTATCTAGGAAAATAAAATATCTATAAATGAAAAGATAAACTTTTAATTATGTCATCTGGTCCATGTTATGTTTTACATATCTAAATACATGAAACTTCCTTTGAAGTTTATTCATATTATCTAAATATATTATTTTTGCATAATACCATTTATACTGTTTTTCTGTACCAGCATAAAGGATGTAATTTTTAAATGCAATTATATTATTTATATTCATGTCTTCATTACTTCAATTAACTTACCAAATTCAGAACTTATTAGATTTATGCTAAGATCTTCAGATTTAAGAGCTCTTTTCACAGCAATCTTTTTAGCCCAACTTCCAGCTTTTAGCAAAACAGAATCCCTGAAAAATAGTATAGTTTAAATAGTGATCCAAACACTGAATGAAATACATATTAATCTTGAAGGGCTGATTGTTCTTAAGAAAGATACTCTCTAGTAGTAAACTGAAATCAATTACTGAAAACTGCTTTCCCCAACTTTTAAGGAGGGAGAATAAAGTATCAATGGAACTCTCTTGACCATGATTTTTAAAAAATTAATTAATTTTCTTTGAGACAGAATCTTACTCTGTTGCCTGGGCTGGAGTGCAGTGGTACAATCATACCTCACTGCAGCCACAAACTCCTAGGCTCAGGCAGTCTTCCTGCCTCGGTCTCCCGAGTAGCTGGGACCACAGGCACATTGGCACTATGCTCAGATTATTTATTTATTTATTTTTGTAGAAATAGGGTCTCACTTTGTTGCCCAGGCTGGTCTGAAACTCTGGGCTTTAAGTGATCCTCCTGCCTCAGCCTCTCAAAGTGCTGAGATTACAGGTGTGAGCCACTCCATCCAATCCCTAATTTTTTTAATTACAGCTGTTTCCAAGTTGCATTTACCATTTTAGTCCCAATAAGAATATATACTTTGTATCAATAACACATGAGCTTGCCCCTAAATCACTACCATTTTAAACTGGCTATACGTTATGAGAACAACTTCAATAGTATTTTTAAATTTATATAAAATGGTTTGTATCTAATAACATCACAAGCCAGCAACCATTTTTATGACTAAACTTATTTTAGTCTCATGTAGTCATAGACTTATTAGTCACAGAGAACAAAGATTTGTACAACAGCATATTCTCTATAAGTGGGTCATGGTTAGCTGCAGGAGAGCAGTTACCAGTGAAAGGGATATCCTGGTCACTGCAGTCCCTTCAGAAACCTTGCATGCGACTTTTTGGGAAGGTATCTTCCAGTATACTGGCACAATTAGGAGATTCCCATTTCAGAATCACTGCCATTCCTGAACTTACAAGTACAGTAATATGGTTGGGAGTCTAGGCTCTGGATTGGGTTCAAATCTAGACTTTGCTATTAACTAGCTATATGACCATGATTAAGGTTTGGTTAATCATAAATCAAACTCATTAAACTCTTTTTGTCTCAATTTCCTCCTCTACAGAATACGGACAGCACCTGTCTCATACAAATATTAAATAATTCAATATTTGGAACCTACTAAGTGCTAAATAATATTAGTTATAGCTGCAACTGATATCCTTAGAGATTGCTTATGACATCCTGGGAGAAAATAATAGTACCTGGAAAAATGCTGAAGTAAAAATTATAGAATGGCATGCTACAGAACTAGATATAAGGGAGGGTACCTCCTCTATACATTTGCTTTGTTTGCTTGGATCCTACAATGGAGCTATAGTAATTTGTTAGATTTTAATTTGGAAGTAGAAGGTATATTTTGAGGTCAGTAGGAGAAAGACTGCATCCAAACAGTAGTAGGGTCATGGATGACTGGAGAAAAGCAGTGAAATAAGAAAGACCTCCTAGAGGTAATCTACTCACTTGTTTCAGATCATGGTGATAGATTTTATACTTTGTTCATCTGAGTACTAAATATAACAATTTAAAACAACAGACCCAATGTTAATATCTTCTTTAATAGAAAAATAGAGAAACCATCCCATTATTGTGTCAGGAAAATGTAATTTAGTTGATCCCACAATGATCTTGTTATTTTTTTTTCAGTAGAATTTTTCTTTTACAGTATATGCTTAGAAATAAGATCAAACATCAGAAATTTCACACTTACGTAATCTTGTGCAGATAAACTACTTGATTATCTGCGTCACCTATGATTAAGGTAACATAGTGAGAATCCGATGCTGTTCTTTTAGTTTGTAGCTGTTCAAAATTTCTTAATATAACAGTCACTAATATTTCTGCCGTCGTATCACTATATCTTGTAATCTTTAAAAAAGGACAAGTATAAAAAGTGTTAAAAATAACCTTACTTCTCATACTCAGCTGAAGCCTATTTATAGGTAGCTTTATTTCTGAAAAGACAATAAAATATCTAAGAAACAGAAAATATTTACCTGTTCCACTTTAAGTTCATATTTTGGTAGATACATCACAGTTTCTTTTATCTGGGTTCCAAAGGGGGGATGTCTGTTTAAAATCTAAAAATATTTACATCATTATATTCTTACCACAACACTTGAAATTCTTTTAGTAAAATATTTTTTAGAATAAATAGCTTTAATAATGCTTATCACCCAAAAGTAAGTTGAAATACTTATAACTATGAGAAGGAAAATAACTTTTAATAGAAATAAAGGTAGGCCTCAGAATTTAGATGGAATTAGGAATAAGTGAATATAACTACCAATTCAAGTTCCCTTGCATCTGTCTCTTCTATTTTTTTAAAGGAAGTCAAACCAGCATTTACGATTGCATTTGACAATGTTATACCTGTGGAAAATTAATCAAACAACAACTTAAAAATAATGCACTTTAAATAAAACATATATTTAAATATTTAACAACTAAATTAGTAAAAAAAAAAAATTTTAAGATCCAGTCAAATAACTAACTTAAAGTTTTTGTAAAAAGTTTTCAGTTGGATTATTGGGTTTGTGACATTATTCAATTATTCATATTTATTCAGACAAATAAAATATGCATTTGCTTTATAAAAGAAAGAGAAACTCTGGTCCACATGATGGATGTTTAGTTCTACTATACGTCATCCATAGTCCAATCACCAAGAGATATGTATTTTTGTACTCATGCTTGAAAGAAAGGCAACATGATTCAAGGATCATGCTTGAATGAAGCGAGGGAATACTGCTTTATGAAGCTATGGCTCTCTGACCATTTCTGTCTTAGAAATACAGTTCTATGTTTCTGTAACTAAACCAGACTATTTTAATCTACTGCCTAAAACTTCCAATGCTTTTCCATTGTATTTAGAATGAAGTGGCAATTTCCTTACTGGAGCCAAATTTCCTTACCTATATAATCTGACTACAGCCTTTGTCTCAAATCTAATTTCCTCTAACTCTCCTCTTGCTGACTACTCTCCAGTCACACTTGCTTTCATTCTATTCCTTAAATACATCAAATTCGGTTGGGCCCAGTGGCTCACACCTGTAATCCCAGCACTTTAGGAGGCCAAGGCGGGCGGATCACCTGAGGTCGGGAGTTCGAGACCAACCTGACCAACATGGAGAAACCCCGTCTCTACTAAAAATACAAAATTAGCCGGGCATGGTGGCACATGCCTGTAATCCCAGCTACTCAGGAGGCTGAGGCAGGAGAATCGCTTGAACCCGAGAGGCGGAGGTTGCGGTGAGCCAAGATCGTGCCATTGTACTCTAGCCTGGGCAACAAAGCAAAACTCCATCTCAAAAACAAACAAACAAACAACAAAAAAAATCAAGTTCATTTTCTTCTTTGGATCTTTCCTATTTCCTTATACTTTCAGAAGGCAGAATTTACAATTCTTATATGCTTATGAATGAATTTATCCAAATCCCCAAATAGAAGACACGGAACAGTATAAAATTCCAAAATATTACTACTTTGTCTAAGGCACATATATTACATGTATTACTGGTGAAGGTATGACCCTATTTCCTTACTCATATATTTACTTGTTCTTGGGAATTTCTCTTAGTTCTTCTTAAGACTCAGCTTCTAGTATTCATAATTCCTTAATGTTCATTTCCATTTCCCCTCAAAATGTTTATTGACTTTTAACTTTTTCATTTATAGCCAACATTAAAATTAATTTGTATGCATTATTTTTTTCAAGATGCCCAATAACAACTTGGATTTGACTTTTTGTTTAGATTCTCTCACTTTTATATGATTTTTTTTTTCTGGGCAATATTTGCTTTTTTCTGTTCAGCTGTAATGAGTGTGTGTGAAAACAGGTTAGTTTCAACAATCTGGAAGGGACAGAATGCAATGGATGCCCATATTGACAATACTCTAGAAAGCCAGAAAGATTGGCTTTTTCAAGTATAATGAAATTTACTAGTAATCACTTAGCCGAATTTCAAAATTTTCTAAATGTTGTATGGAACCACCTTTCCAATTGAGAACTCTTGCCTTTGTGGGATGGATGTGGTATTTGGTTGCCAGGACTTCTGTAAGAAGGTGAGCCTTTCCATCAGGAATCTCTCCCCTTACTTTCACCAGCCAATCCCCACTTCACCCCAGCTCCCATGACTTCCTAGTCAGCCCTCTGCCACCCCACTGATTTCAAATTTCCAGATACAAAAGGTAGGTCTTCTTCATAAACAGTTGGTAATCTTTGTTCAAATAAATAACAAAACATCCCTAAAAATCCATTATTTAATTTGTTGATACCCCCAAGATGCATACAAAATTGTAAAATTAACAAGGCTGTCAGTGATGAGATAGTAACTCTCTTTTTAGAATTCTAGCTATCTAAGAAAGAATAGGGTCACAAGGTCACAGGTACCAAACAGGAAAATCCTTTGTAAATGGTACTCCCTACAGTCTCATAGCACACACTACACAAGGTCCCTATAGACAAAATAATCAGGCACAATCTTTTGTCTACAGAATCTCTATGAAAATCAGTATTAATACCCTACTGTTATTGAAAACAAAAAAAAAATTAAGACATAAAGAGGTGACATAATTTTCTGTAATGAATTAGGAATGGCTGGGACTGCTAACTCCACCTTGTAATTGAGATCAAAACAAAATATTCATCAAAAAAGTGGAAGAGAGGGCATCACATAGTTGCCTAATTACTGTAACCAAATTTCCCTCTTGGTATGAGAAAAAATTTTCAAATGACAGCATTAATTTTTATTAGGTTTCTCATGTACTCATGTATCATTCAGTTGATTTCAAATGGAATCCTTTAAGCAGGAGCAAAGGAAAATCAGATTTTCGAAAGTACAGCACTTATTTAAGCCTACAAACACATACCTTCCTTGAAGGTCTGTAATCATCACAGAATAATTTTACTAACAGTGAATACAAAATAAATTGCAGACATGGCCAAACTGCCTGCCTGTATTCAGTACCTACCAATTTTTTCCAGTTGTTTGGATACATGCAGAGAGTTTTCCCAAAGTTTACACCTAAAACATTTAGCTAAAATCAAACTATTCAATAGTACAGCAAACTTCTTTTCTTGAGCAGCTACAAAATCTGACAACCCTAAAAAAAAAGTTTCCAGTATTAAATCTAATATACCAGTTTATTGGAAAAAATATTTAAAATCCACTAATCCTGTAACATACATCTTGTAATTCGGGAGCCATGTCTGAAAATCTTTGCGGTATCTTGTGTCAAAGCAAAATCTTGTATGGGAATGCATCCTAGTTGAGCCTGAATAAGACTGGGGGAAAGAAAAAAAATTGTTACTCCCTTTTAAGGGTTATCTATCTCCCAGTATTTGATATCACTCACTGAAGTATTCCTTCTTAAAACTTTTCTCTGCCTTAATTTCTGCAATACTACATGATTATCTTGCATAATTATTATTGCAGGTCAATAATAAAAGTTCATTCCTTTTTCCCCAAATCCTCAAAGTTGTCTTTATTTATTTATTTATTTATTGCTCTTCTTTATTCACTCAATCTCTCTCTAAAAGATCTCATTTCTTCTCAGACTTTCATTATAATCTCTAGATTGATACAAATTACAGGAGACTTTCACTTAGACTGTTACTTTAACCTCAACTATCTCAAATTATTTTCATATTCTCCTCCAATACAGATCTATCTTTTGGCTCTACTATTTCTTTTCAAAGAATTAGAGAAAAATAATACAATTTGTTTAATCAACACATTTTTATTAAATGCTTATTAAGTGCCAGGCATAGTATTAGGTGCTGATAATTCTATTCAGTGTATGAAGGTCAGTAGCATATTAGCTGGTTATTCAAAACCAGCAGCTGCTGGGCTACTAAATTTGAGGTGTTAGTTGTTCAAGGGGAAAAAAGACACTAGTGCCTATGTGCCTAGTATATCCCGGGTTCTTTGCTACCTGTTTTGCCCATAAACTTACCTAATCAGGCATTGATATGCAAATCACTGATGGTTCTAACTAAAATTACTGTACTTATTATTACTCTCTTAAGGGGATCTCTTTTAAAAAACAAATTTCTTCCTAAACTCCTCAGTAGAAGGAGGTCTCTCAATAAGACCGAAACAGTCAGCTATACAAAGAAAAACGGCAGAATAGTTATATTTCATGATTTCGTTTAGCACAAGATACATGAAAATTGAAAGAAGTAATCAACTCACTTCCTGGAATGGATGTATACAGCTGAAATTTAAACTATTCACTTTTTTTGGCTATGGTATATGCTTCTGAAAATTATTTTATATCATCTATTAAGAAATAGTTACAAAGATACACAGTATACTATCAAAGAAGGAACTGATGGAAAAATGTAAATGGGGTGCTTTTAAATGCTGGGTAAATAAAACTCCTTGTTAAGCTACCTAGAGATGCACAAATGTGGAGTAAGAAATTGCTGGAGTAAAAATAAGACTTTTGAAGTAATATTTATTTATATTAAAAAGCAATACTTCTAATAATAAATAGGACACTTTTCAACATCATACTTCCCTGTCAGAAATCTTATTTCAAGAAGCAGTAATAAAACAGGGATAGGAGGAAGGACAGGGATTTAAGCTAGTAGGTACAGAACCATGGCAGGGCTCTCTGTTTCTCTGCACCAGATAAGGCAAGCAGTGATGTCCTATGATCTTACCCCTGAGCTTGTCCTCAGTAAAAACAGAAGTGCCACAGCCTCAGGTGAGGTGGCAGCTCTACCACCTCAACTAACAGGGGCAGAGTTACATGGTAGTTATGACTAACCCAGGGTTAGTAAAAGAATTAAATGAGATAAAGTATTGATTCGGTTAGAATTACGTTCATGACCAGACCATATCAGTTTACACACAAACAGTTTATTCTTGTGTGTAAAAGGGGAATCCAGAGTTGGGAAGTCCAGGGCTTCGTATGGTGGCTCCACATCATACCCTGTCAGTTCACTGAAAAATACCAGTTAAAGAAAACAGAGCTAGTGCTGAAGAGGGAAGACCTAGGAATTAAAGCTAGGAAGAATTTAAAAATAGCCTTAAATTAAAAGGGCAGAGCCAGGCACGCTGGCTCACGCCTGTAATCCCAGCACTTTGGGAGGCCGAGGCAGGTGGATCACCTTTGAGGTCAGGAGTTTGGGACAAGACTGGCCAACATGGTGAAACCCCATCTCTACTAAAAATACAAAAATTAGCCAGGTGTGATAGTGTGCTCCTGTAATCACAGCTACTCCAGAGGCTGAGGCAGGAGAATCGCTTGAGCCCGGGAGGCAGAGGTTGCAGTGAGCGGAGATCATGCCCTTGCACTTGAGCCTGGGCCACAGTGTGACACTCTGTCTCAAAATAAATAAATAAATAAATAAAAATAATAAAAAGGGAAGAAACCAGAAACTTGAAGGATAAAATCCTAAAACTAAGAGGATTAACATCTACTTGGAGAAGAACAGATTTGAAGTTCAGCAAAGTAACAGGGATATGACAAAGCCATGAAAAAGGTAACTATTAGCCATCATCACCTACCAAAAGACTATAAATTTTGGATTAAGACCCCTCCATCCCACACGTACACACATTCTCTCTTCTTGGTTATGCTTAAATAAGATGCACAAAGGCGGGAAATGATAATGGGAATCTAAATTATGATATGTATAAAAACAATTATAAAGTATAATAATTAACTTTAAAATTTGACAGCTTCAATCAAAAGAATATACTACCCAATTTAAGGCAAAGTTAATGGAAGCACTGAAAGTGCAAATAAAGTGTTCCCAAGAAAATGAATGTGGAAAAATACTTGATTTAATTTGACTCAATAATTTATGCAACACAGTATACTGGGGGAAAAAATGAGAAAATCAAGAGTTCTAGATAGCAACATAACCTTGGCGAAGTCATAACTTATCTGGGCATCACTTACATCGTTTGTAAAATGAGAGGATTGGGCTATATGATCTCTTAAGTTTACTATGATCTCTAAGGATATATGAATTTATAGAAATAAATATTTGAATATAGAAGTACAGCTAAGAAAATAAACATTAACTTCTGTGGTACAAGCTACAAATCTGCCTGATGAGTTGTAAACAACAATGAGAAGACTGTCTTATAGACGTAAAGGTATTTGGAAGATAAAATTTAATGAGATGTCAGGAAGAATCCCAAAGAAAGAATGGCCTCCTCTAGCTATGGAGGAAAAAGAAATTCTTTGGCTAATTGGTTTTATTGAGCCACATTGAAAAAGATCATTTCACCTTAAATTACATAACACTAAGACCTACATACTCAGAAAGCCAAGCACTCAGTATAGCAGAAAACAGTATCATTGCATTTGTGACTGCAAACTGCTAAAAGTCACAAGTTACAGTGTAACCTTAATTTACTCTTTCAATTACTAGTCTCTGTACAAACTCCCCATTTTTGGCAGAACAGTCATCCACTGTCACATATACACGCCTTTACTCATGATTTTGCTTTTACTCTTTGTCTCTCCCAGAATGCCACTACCATTCAGTAGACATTTATTACACAGGTTTTCATACTGTCCATTATTTTTAAATGTACTACTCTCACTCAAGCTAACTTGAAAGCTCCTGACAATGAGAAGCATAAGAAGCATGTCTTCATTCAACCGTCCACCTTGCCTCAACAGAATACACTCTGAACAAATGTTTGCTAAGAAAAAGCATTCACAAATCATCAATTTTAAAGTCTGAGAGTTGTAAGAAATTAATTTCACATCCACATTCTGACTCATTTTTATGTAATCTTTTCTGTATTAAGAAAAACAAATTAAAAATGTTTTAAAACCAAAAAAAGAAAACTTTCATAAGTATGAATCATCTTTACCAATTTACTTTCATTTCTCTTGTTTTAATTCTTCCTTCCATTGGAAATCTGTAAATAAAACCACATGGCAAAACATTTATTATTATTTATTTTAATTAAATAAAACCTCTTAAAATTATTTAAAACATATGTAATTTCTGTACCTGATAGTTATCCGATTTGGATCTTTGTTCAAAGTATTCAGTGTTTTCTTTTCATTTATCCTTAACTGTATATCTAGAAATTCCTTGCAGCCAGCTATCAATGTAACCTATAACATTTCAGTAGTTGTCCATTTAATGAAGTCTATTTTTTATTTCCTCTCATCCTTTCTCCAAATTTATTTATTTTTCATACTGCCTTAAACCATCACAGTTTTATCAATGAACATAACAGAGTTAAAAACCTGCTTTATACATTTTGCTTCTTTAAGGATTCATTCATTCACTAACAAATGCTTACAAACTCCTATTATATACCAGACACTGCATTAGACACCAGGACTATACCAATAAAACTTTAAAGATTAACAAGATAGAATTTAAAATATCTAGCCCAGTGCCTATCACATAGTAATAAATAAGTCCTCAATAAACACTGTTTTTGTTACTCCTACTCCTAATACTACTACTACTGCTATTCTACTGTTCTATAGTTTGCAAATCATTATCTCAATTGAGGATAATTTAGTCATAGAATGTTTTAGATATTAGGAAATTTGGATTCTAGAGCCTACTTCCACCAGATGACAAACAAAGCAGTCTCTGTGCTTTGGTTTCCCACATATCTAAAATGGAACTAACACTTGTTTTAATTTTCTTACACACTTGCTAAACTCAAGATCAGATGAGTTAATGTTAATAGTGGGTGTTTTCGACTCTTGATTTCTCCTTAGTTAAGAATAATGTTTACACAAAAATACAAACCTTCTATTTTTCATCAATTGTTGTTTATGTGACTCCTCAATCATAACTGGAATTCTACTGTGCAATTTTTACTACAATAATCTTACCACAGTAATCAAATTAGATATTTTAAATAAAAATGAACGGCTTAAATTTGAGAGTAAATATTTTCTTTTATGAATATTGTTTCATATTCATGTCCTGAGTAAAGGGAGAAAGGACCAATGCAGTCGCCATATACCAATGACATGCCTATGGTTCTATTCACTGCTGCAGCTGCAAAGTTGCCCCATTGTTGATATTTTAGCATAACCTGTTATTATTCCCATTTTTTCTACAATCAGTTCTTTTATCTAGGTCATCACCAATACTATTCTATTTCCATTGTTCTCACTGTTCTCACCCAAAATATTTAGGGAAGGGTTGCAAGTACGTGGCACACATGCTGCATGCAACTCACTGTCCTTCACTCATGGTAGACTTTCCTAATATATCACACCACATCATCTTGGAATCTTTCTTACATATTATTACATTGTGTAGCCACTACCAAGGTAATTAGCATTATCACCTAAGTTGTAAAGTAGTTGCCATACCTATTTTAGTTTTGTATATAAGTTTTCTTAGCTCTGATAAGAGTTAAAACAGAAAATATAATATATTCTAAGAAAGACTATTCCATATCTCATGATCAGAATTATACCAGAGGATATATCTTAGAAATGCTTTCTTTTCTGCTCATTCATTCTTAAATTATATGAGATACACAAATTAGTTGTTTCTCAAATATTATTTTATACTATACCACTATGTATTTTTTTTCTAGTGAAAATTAATTTACCAGATCTGATAAGGTTTCTTTTCCACTGATTGTATAAAATTTCTTCACTGTCTCAAATGTAATATAATACCAAGCCATCAATCTTCCTGCTTCTGTAAGAAAAGACAGAAAAATGAACGGTCCCCTCATCAGCTGAACCAACTGTTTTTTTATGTTTAACAAACATTTCCTGAGGGGAGGAGAAGCAAGATGGTAGAACAGAAGCCTAGACCATTGGTCCTCACTGCAGGAACACCAAATTTTAACAACAATCTGCACACACAAAAGCACTCTAATTGCTTTTCTGCACACAGAAAAGTACTGTCACAAGAATCAAAAATCAGGTACCAGCTTGGCCATGGCTGGGTAGAGCAACAAGGAGGCTCTTGGGGTCTCTGAGTCCAGGCCTAGGCTCTTAAGACAGCATTTCTGGACCTGCCCTGGGCCAGAGGGGGAGCCTACTGCCCTGAAGGATGCATAGTCCCAGGCCTGGCAGCATTCACTATAAGCTGACAGAAGAGCCCTTGGGCTTTAAGTGAACATCAGTGATGACTTGGCACAACCCCCTGAGGACCAGTGAAGGTCGTGGCCACAGGCAGAGACTCTTCCAATCCCTGGCTCTCAGACAGTCTCTCAGACAGTATCTCTGGACACACCCAGGACCTGGGGGAACTCACCATCCCGAAGTGAAAGGCCTTGGGAAGGCCCAGTGCTGTGCTGGCTTCAGGTCTGACCCAGCACAGTCCCAGCCCACAGGAGTGCTTACATCAGCATAGCCCCAATTCCAAGTGGCTCAGCACAGAGAGAGAGAATCTGTATTTTTGAGAGAAAGTAAGGGAAAAGAACAAGAGTCTTTGCCTGATAGTCCAGAGAATTCTTCTCCATCTTATCCATGAACACCAAGGTGGTAGGTCTACGAATCTGCAAAAACCACAGCATAATCGGGCTTATGGCCAAAGTCCCTTTGAATACCTAGAAAGCCTTCTCAAGAAGGACAGGCAAAAACAAGCCCAGACTGTGAAGACTAGAATAAATACCTAGCTGCTGAATGCTCAGACACCAAAGAACACCTCCAGGAAAACATGACCTCACCAAGTGAACTAAACAAGGCAGCAGGAATGAATCCTAGAAAAAGAGAGATATGTGACCTTTCAGACAGAGAATTCAAAATAGCTGTTTTGAAGAAACTCAAAGAAATTCAAGATAACACAGAGAAAGGATTCAGAATTCTATCAGATAAATTTAACAAAGAGATTGAAATAATTAAAAAGAATAAAGCAGAAATCCTAGAGTTGGAAAAATGCAATGACATGCCGAACAATGCATCAGAGTATCTTAACAGCAACACTGATCAAGCAGAAGAAACAGTAAGTGAGCTTGAAGACAGGATATTTGAAAATACATAGTCAGAGGAGACAAAAGAAAAAATAATTTTAAAAAAATGAAGTACACCTATAAGATCTGGAAAATAGCCTCAAAAGGGCAAATCTAAGAGTTATTGACCTTAAAGAAGCAGTACAAAAAGAGATGGCAGTAAAGTTTATTCAAAAGCATAGTATCACAGAACATCCCAAACACAGAGAAAGATATCAACATTCAAGTAAAAGAAGGTTATAGAATACCAAGCAGATTTAACCCAAAGAAGGCTACCTCACGGTATTTAATAATCAAACTCCCAAAGGTCAAGGATAAAGAAAGGATCCTAAGAGCAGCAAAAAACAAACAGCATAGAATGGAGCTCCAATGTGTCTGGCAGCAGACTTTTCAGTGGAAACCTTACAGGCCATGAGAGAGTGGCAGGACATATTTAAAGTGCTAAAGAAAAAAAAAACCCTTTTACTCTAGAATAGTATATCTGCTGAAAATATCCTTTAACAATGAAGGAGAAATAAAGAGCTTCCTAGACAAACAAAAGCTGAGGGATTTCATCAACACCAGACGTGTCCTCTAAGAAATGTTCAAGGAAGCTCTTCAATCTGAAAGAAAAGGATGTTAATAAGCAAGAAGAAAATCATTTGAAAGTACAAAACTCACTGGTTATAGTAAGCACACAGAAAAACACAGAATATTATAACACTGTAATTGTGGTGTGTAAACTTCTCTTGACTTAAATAGACTAAATGAAGCAATCAAAAATAATAGCTACAACAGCTTTTCAAGACACAGAATAATAAGATGTAAAGGGAAACAAGAAAAAGGTAAAAAGCATGGGGATGAAGTTAAAGTGTAGAGTGTCTATTAGTTTTCTTTTTACATTTTTGTTTGCTTGTTTAGGCAATCAGTGTTAGGTTATCATCAGTGTGAAATAATGGGTTACGAGACAGTATTTGCAAACCCCATGGTAACCTCAAATTGAAAGACATACAACAGATACACAAAAAATAAAAAGCAAGAAATTAAAGCATGCCACCAGAGAAAATCACCTTCACTGAACAGAAGACAGGAAGACAGAAAGAAGGAAGAGAAGACTGTAAAACAACCAGAAAACAAATAACAAAATGGCAGGAGTAAGTTCCTACTTATCAATAATAACATTGAATGTAAATGGGCTAAAGTCTCCAATAAAAATACATAGACTGAGGCTGGGCACAATGGGTCATGCCTATAATCCCAGCAATTTGCAAGGCCAAGGCAGGAGGATTGCCTGAGCTCAGCACTTTGAGACAAGCGTGAGCAACACGGCAAAACCCCATCTCTACCAAAAATACAAAAAAGTTAGCCAGGAATGGTGGCATGTGCCTGTGATCCCAGCTACTTGGGGGGCTGAGGTAGGAGGGTCACTTGAGCCTGGGACGTGGAGGTTATAGTGAGGAGCACCCAGATATATAAAGCAAATATTATTAGAGATAAAGAGAGAGATAGGCCCCAATATGATGATAGCTGGAGACTTCACCCCACTTTCAGCACTGAACAGATCATCCAGACAGAAAATCGACAAAGAAACATCAAACTTAATCTGCACTATAGACCAAATGGACCTGATAGATATTTACAAAACATTTCATCCAACAGCTGCAGAATACACATCTTTCTCATCAGCACATGGATCATTCAAGGAGAGACCATATGTTAGGTCACAAAACAGGTCTTAAAACAGTTTTAAAAATTGAAATAATATCAAGCATCTTCTGAAATAAAACTAGAAATAAATAGCAAAAGGAATTTTGGAAACTATACAAATACATGGAAATTAAACAACAGGCTCCTAAATGACCAGCGCGTCAATGAATAAATTCAGATGAAAAGTGAAAAATTTTTTGAAACAAATGATAATGGAAACACAACATACCAAAACCAATGGGATACAGCAAAAGTAGTATGAAGAGGAAAGTTTATAGCTACAAGTGCCTACATCAAAAAAGAAGAAAAATGTCAAATAAAAAACCTAATGATGCATCTTAAAGAACTAGAAAAGCAAGTGCTAACCAAACACAAAATTAGTAGAAGAAAAGAAATAATAAATGTCAGAGCAGAAATAAAATTGAAATGAAGAAAACAATACAAAAGACCAATGAAACAAAAATGTTGGTTTCTAGAAAAGGTTAACAAAATTGACAAACCTTTAGCCAGACTAAGAAGAAAAAGAAGGGCTGAGTGTCAGGCGACCCGCAGCTAAGCTGAGGGGGGAAAGTGGGCTTAGGACCGCCTGCCCAGGGCAACCCTGAATCAAGCTTTAGCCGCCGAGGCCTCGTGTCCCAAAGGCCAGTCATCCCTCCTCTGTGTTGCCATGGGTATTCAAGGCCTGGCCAAACTAATTGCTGATGTGGCCCCCAGTGCCACCCGGGAGAATGACATCAAGAGCTACTTTGGCCGTAAGGTGGCCATTGATGCCTCTATGAGCACTTATCAGTTCCTGATTGCTGTTCGCCAGGGTGGGGATGTGCTGCAGAACGAGGAGGGTGAGACCACCAGCCACCTGATAGGCATGTTCTACCGCACTATTCGCGTGATGGAGAACGGCATCAAGCCCATGTATGTCTTTGAGGGCACGCCACCACAGCACAAGTCAGGCGAGCTGGCCAAATGCAGTGAACTGCGGGGCTGAGGCAGAGAAGCAGCTACAGCAGGCTCAGGCTGCTGGGGCCGAGCAGGTGGTGGAAAAATTCACTAAGTGGCTGGTGAAGGTCACTAAGCAGCACAACGATAAGTGCAAACATCTGCTGAGCCTCATGGGCATCCCTTACCTTGATGCACCCATCGAGGCAGAGGCCAGCTGTGCTGCCCTGGTGAAGGCTGGCAAAGTCTATCCTGTGGCTACCGAGGACATGGACTGCTTCACCTTCGGCAGCCCTGTGCTAATGCAACACCTGACTGCCAGTGAAGCCAAAAAGCTGCCAATCCAGGAATTCCACCTGAGCTGGATTCTGCAGGAGCTAGAACCAGGAACAGTTTGTGGATCTGTGCATCCTGCTAGGCAGTGACTACTGTAAGAGTATCTGGAGTATTGGGCCCAAGCGGGCTGTGGATCTAATCCAGAAGCACAAGAGCATCGAGGAGATCGTGCAGCGACTTGACCCCAACAAGTACCCTTTGCCAGAAAATCGGCTCCACAAGGAGGCTTACCAGCTCTTCTTGGAACCTGAGGTGCTGGGCCCAGAGTCTGTGGAGCTGAAGTGGAGCGAGCCAAATGAAGAAGAGCTGGTCAAGTTCGTGTGTGGTGAAAAGCAGTTCTCTGAGGAGCGAATCCACAGTGGGGTCAAGAGGCTGAGTAAGAGTCATTAAGGCAGCACCCAGGGCCGCCTGGATGATTTCTTCAAGGTGACTGGCTCACTCTCTTCAGCTAAGTGCAAGGAGCCAGAATCAAAGGGATCCACTAAGAAGAAGGCAAAGACTGGGGCAGCAAGGAAGTTTAAAAGGGGAAAATAAATGTGTTTCCCCATTATACCTCCTTGACACCAGAATATTTGCCCTCTTGTACCCTTAAGAGCTACAGCTAGAGAAACCTTCACAGGGGTGGAGAGAGCATTCTAAGGTTTTTCTAGCGTGACCCTTTTCAGTAGTGCTAGTCCCTTTTTTACTTGATCTTAATGGCAAGAAGGCCACAGAGGTACTTTTCCTTTTTTAGCTCAGGAAAATATGTCAGGCTCAAACCACTTCTCAGGCAGTTTAGTGGATGGACAATAAGTCCATTGTTACATGAAAGTGATAGATAGCAACAAGTTTTGGAGAAGAGAGAGGGAGATAAAAGGGGGAGACAAAAGATGTACAAAAATGATTTCCTGGCTGGCCAACTGGTGGCCAGTGGGAGGTGATGGTGGACCTAGACTGCTTTTCTGTCTTGTTCAGCCTTGACCCACCTTGAGAGACAGCCATCAGGAAGGCGCATCTTAGCAGATGGGAGGAACTGCTGAGAGAAGATAGGCAGAGAGCTGGAGCCCCTGGAGTTGACTGTGTCTATGTCTGTGACTGATTGCTGGCTGTGTCTTGGGTGGGCAGACACTCGAACTTGCTATGTAATTTGTGTCTAGTTATTCAGAGGAGTAAGACGGTGATGTTCATCTGGCAATCAGCTGAGTTGAGACTTTGGGATAAGACACTGGTTTTCATGTGCTGTTTTTGTTTTAAAGTTATAAAGAAAAAAGTCAATAAAATTATAAAAGTAAAAAAAAAGAAGAAGAAGAAAAAGAAAATATCCAAATAAATAAAATCAGAGATGAAAAAGGAGGCATTACAACTGATACCATACAAATTCAAAGGATCATTAGTGGCTACTAGCAGCAACTACATGCCAATATATTGGAAAATCTAGAAGAAATGAACAAATTCCTAGACACATACAACCTACTAAGATTGAACCATGAAGAAACCCAAAACCTGAACAGAAAAATAATAAGTAATGAGATTGAAACCATAATAAAGTCTCCCTGTAAAGAGAAGCCTGGGACCCAATGGCTTCACTGCTGAATTCTACCAAACATTTAAAGAAGAACTACCACAAATCCTGCTCAAAAACTGTTTCAAAAAATAGAGGAGGAGGGAATACTTCCAAACTTACTCTACTAGGACGTTATTACCCTGATACCACAACCAGACAAAGACATATCAAAAAAGGGAAACTACAGGCCAATATCTTTGATGAATATTGATGCAAAACCCTCAACAAAATACTAGCAAACCAAATTCAACAACACACTAAAAAGATTATTCAACATGACCAAGTGGGGTTTATCCCAGGGATGCAAGGATAGTTCAACGTATACAAATCAACCAATGTGATACATCATATCAAGACAATGAAGAACAAAAATCACAATTGATGCTTAAAAAGCATTCGATAAAATTCAACATCCATTCATGATAAATACCCTCAAAAAGCTGGGTATAGAAGGAATAATAAAGCCATATATCATGACCCACAGCTAGTATCATACTGAATGGGGATAAACGGAAAAGCTTTCCTCTAAGATATGGAATATGACAAGGATGCCCACTTTCACCACTGTTATTCACCATAGTATTGGAAGTCCTAGCTAGAGCAATCAGATAGGAGAAATTAATAAAGGACATTCGCTTGGAAAGGAAGAAGTCAAATTATCCTTGTTTGCAGATGAAATAATCTTATATTTGGAAAAACATAAAGAATCCACAAGAAAACTGTCAGAAATAATAAATTCAGTAATGTTGCAGGATACAACATCAACATGCAAAAATCAGTAGCATTCCTATATGCCAACAGTGAAAACTCTGAAAAAGAAATAAAAAGTAATCCATTTATAATAGCCACAACTAAAATTAAATATCTAGAAAGTAATAAAAGAAGTAAAAGATCTTTGTAATTAAAACTATAAAACACTGATGAAATAAATTGAAGAGGACACCAAAAAATGAAAAAATATTCCATGAAAAACCTGAAAAAGAAATAAAAAAGTAATCCCATTTATAATAGCCACAATTAAAATTAAATATCTAGGAATTAATGAAAGAAGTGAAAGATCTTTGTAATTAAAACTATAAAACACTGGTTGGGTGCAGTGGCTCATGCCTGTAATCCCAGCATTTTGGAAGGCAAAGGCAGGCAGATCACTTCAGGTCAGGAGTTTGAGACTAGCCTGGCCAACATGGCGAAACCCTGTCTCTAGTAAAAATACAAAAATTAGCTGGGTGTGATGGCAGGCGCCTGTAATCCCAGCTACTCAGGAGGCTGAGGCAGGAGAATCACTTGAACCCGAGAGGCAGAGGTTGCAGTGAGCCAAGATCGCACCACTGCACTCTAGCCTGGGCGACAGAGGGAGACTCCATCTCAAAAACAAACAAACAAAGAAACACAAAAACTATAAAACACTGATGAAAGAAATTGAAGAGGACACCAAAAAATGAAAAAATATTCCATGTTCATGGATTGGAAAAATCAATATTATTAAAATTTCCATATTACCCAAAGTAATCTAGAGATTCAGTGCAATCCCTATCAAAATACCAATGACATTCTTCACAGAAAGGGAAAAAAAAATCCTAAAATTTATATGGAACTACAAAAGATCCAGAATAGCCAAAGCTAGTCTAAGCAAAAAGAACAAAACTGGAGGAATTACATTACCTGATTTCAAACTATACTACAGAGCTATAGTAACCAAAACAATATGGTACTGGCATAAAAACAGACACATCAATCAATGGAACAGAATAAGGAACCCAGAAAGAAATCCACACACATCCAGTGAACTCATTTTTGACAAAGGTGCCAAGAACATACATTAGGGAAGACAGTCTCTTCAATAAATGGTGCTGAGAAAACTGGATATCCACATGCAGAAAAATGAAACTAGACCCCCTATCTCTTGATATATATAAAAATCAAATCAAAATGGATTAAAGACTTAAATCTAACAACTCAAACTACAAAACTACTACAAGAAAATATTAGGGAAACTCTCCAGGTCATTGGTCTGGGCAAAAATTTCTTGAGTAATACCCTACAAGCACAGGCAACAAAAAATGGACAAATGGGAACATATCAAGTTAAGAACTTTCTACACAGCAAAGGAAACAATCAACAAAGTGAAAAGAAAACCCACAGAATGGGAGAAAATATTTGCAAACTACCCATCTGACAAAAGATTAATAATTAGAATATATAAGGAGCTCAAACAACTCTACAGGAAAAAATCTAATAATCCAGTTGAAAAATGGGCAAAAGATTTGAATCAACATTTCTCAAAAGAAGACATACAAACAGCAAACAGGCATATGAAAAGGTGCTCAACATCACTGATCATCAGAGAAATGCAAATCAAAAGTACAATGAGATATCATCTCACCGCAGTTACAATGGCTTTTATCCAAATAACAGGCAATAATAAATGCTGGTGAAGATGTGAAGAAAAGGGAACCCCTGTACACTGTGGGTGGGAATGTAAATTAGTACAACCACTATGGAGAATAGTTTGGAGGTTCCTCAAAAAACTAAAAAGAGAGCTACTATATGATCCAGCAATCCCACTGCTGGGTATATACCCAAAAGAAAGGAAATCAGTATATCAAAGAGGTATCTACACTCTCAGTGTTTATTGCAGCAGTGTTCACAATAGCCAAGATTTGGAAGCAACTTAGTGTCCATCAACAGATGAATGGATAAAGAAAATGTGGTACATATGCACAATGGAGTATTAATCAGCCACAGAAAGAATGAGATCCTATCATTTGCAACAACATGGATGGAACCCCAGGTCATTATGCTGAGTGAAATAAGACAGGCACAGAAAGACCAACATTGCATGTTCTTACTTATTTGTGGAATCTGAAAATCAAAATAATTGAACTCATGGACATAGAGAGTAGAAAGATGGTTACCAGAGGCTGGGAAGGGTAGTGGGAGGGTGGAGGGGAGTTTGGTGGGGATGGTTAATGGGTACAAAAATAAAAAAAAAACAGAAAGAATGAATAAGACCTAGTATTTGATAGCATAACAGGGTGACGATAGTCAATAATAATTTGACTGTACATTTTAAAAATAACTTAAACAGTATAATTGGACTGTCTGTAACACAAAGGATAAATACTTGAGGGGATGGATTTTCCATGATATCATTATACACATTGCATACCTGCACCAAAATATCTCATGAACTCTATAAATATATATACTTACCATTTACCGACAAAAATTTAAAAATAATTTAAAACATTTTCTTAACATGTACTTTGTGCCTGTAATGCCACCAGGCACAAAAGACATACCAAAAAATGTAGAAGACACAATCTCTAGAATTTATAGGTTGGCTAGGAAGATAACTACATGCTAAGTACCTAGACGACAAAAAATCAGCTAATGTTAGTATTTACATACAAACTTGAGTATGGAGGAAATCAAACCTAAGAGGAATGGTCAGTGTAGAGTGGCCTACTACAAATAATGGATCTTGAGAAGGGTTTTTAAAGTGACTAATATGCTTTAGTAGAGAGGAAATAATGCCATTATGACGTTGGGGAAAATCCTGTTTATCCAAAGAGTAAAGTTAAAAAGACTATCTTTAGAATACTGTAATGATGGCTGGAAAAACATATGGCTTGACAGTGATTATGAGTCCTGATCAGACTGAGTTGATTAGAATCGCTGCTCCTCCTCTTATTGGGTATGCAAGTGATCATGCACAAGTTACGTGACCAGTTTCTTAATGTAATGTGGGAATAATAAAACTACCCACACCTCAGAAGTTTGTTGTGGAGAAGATTAAGTGCAATTAAAAATGGATATATAGTACTTAGCATGGTGCCTAATATTTAATGTGTTACCTATTTTTATTATTAAAACATGACAAATGATAGAGAGGCCCTGAAAGAGCCCTCAAATGATATTAAAAGAGGTTATATTTTGGATTTGATTTATAAAATAACAGGTGACCACTTAAAATTCTTGAGCAATATTTTAATTAAACTGGAGTCTGAAAATAAGTTATTCCGGAAATAGAACAGCAGATTGGTTGTGGGTAGGAGTATGGGAGAAATGGGGGTAACTAACTGATGAAATGGAATTCACTTAAGAGGTTACTGGATTCGGCCGGGCGCATTGGCTCACACCTGTAATCCCAGCACTTTGGGAGGCCGAGGCAGGTGGATCATGAGGTCAGGAGTTCGAGACCAGCCTGGTCAAGATGGTGAAACCCTGTCTCTACTAAAAATACAAAAATTAGCTGGGCGTGGTGGCGGGCACCTGTAGTCCCAGCTACTCAGGAGGCTGAGGCAGGAGAATCGCTTGAACCCGGGAGGTGGAGGTTGCAGTGAGCCGAGATCGTGCCACTGTACTCTAGCCTGGGTGACAGAGCAAGACTCTCTGTCTCAAAAAAAAAAAAAAAGTTACTGGATTCGATAAGTTGTCTAAAAACATTCCAAAGAATTTCAAGCCTTATGAACACATAGAAAACAGCTGGGAAGAAGAAAGTAGCATCCTGCTTCTCAAGGAAAGGGCTAACATTTACGTATGTGCTAAATGTTTTGCTGAAGAAGAAAAGATTTTTGGCATTCCAACAGAGTTACAAGCACCAAGGACATGGTACAATAGATAAAACTAACAATCAGGAATAGAGAAGTAGCCAGGCTCTCAATTAGGATCCTGGTGAATATGTTCAGCCAACATGTGAATAATGGATTAGTTTATAAAAAGGAGCTTCTGAGAGAAGGGTGTGAAATATCAAGATTATAATTACCACGAGAACTAGTTAACCATTGCAGTATATTTAAAGATGGTCCTCTTACCCTAAATATTTATAAGTTAATATAAGGTCTCTTCCTGATAGAGAAAATGAAAGGTTTTAAGAAAAGACTTAATACTTGTTGGCTTATTAATAGAGATGAAGCTTTCCTAGGTAAGACAGAAAAACATAACCTAGAAAGGAAAGCATAAGGAAAATGAGTCAAAGCAGAGGGAATGAAAAGTAATTTTTAAAGATTTGCAAGTAAAGCAAGGAAATAAAGAAACAACTTGCTATTAATATAGCTACTGAATGATTAATATTCTTACAGGAAATTCAGGATATTTCAAAGATTAATATTCTAACAGGAAATTCAGGATATTTCAAAGATTAATATTCTAACAGGAAATTCAGGATATTTCATAAAATACAGTGGTAGGGAGCATGGAGGACATGAGAATGTACCTTTCAGACCTCCTACTGCAAGACGTGTCAGTGACTGATGGCCCCAGCTGCTGTGCTCTGAATCATCATCATGTTTACACCGAGATCATACTTTCATGAGATGGCCCCAGTCAATGACTGAGCATGGCAGGGATGCTAAGGTACATCTATAAGAGTTCCTATCAACTTTGCCAAATGTTCTTAGGATTGCACTGCAGGCTAAGACCCCTCTCTCCCTCCCTCTCTCCCTCTCTCCTTCCCTCCTTGTAAGCTAAGATCCTCCAAGGGCTTTCTCTCTCCCATCCTCCTTGGAGGCTAAAATCCCTCCTGCCCTCCCCTCCTCCCTCCCTTCTTGCAAGCTAAGATCCTCCAAGGGCTTTCTCTGTCCCATCCTCCTTGGAGGCTAAAATCCCTCCTACCCTCCCCTCCTCCTTCCCTTCTTGCAAGCTAAGATCCCTGCCTCCCTCCTTGCAGGCTAAGATCTATCTCTATCTCTCTCTCCCTCCCTCCCTCCCTTCCTTCCTCCCTTCCTTCCAGAGTTATGGGATTCAATTATAAGTTGTCTAAAAACATCCCTTCCTCCATCCCATCCTTCCTTCCTCTCATACTTTCTCCCTCTCTGCCCCACCATGTTCCCTCCCCCTGCATTCCTTCCTACCCTCCTCCCCTTTCCCTCCTTACCTCCATCCCTTCTTTTCCTACTTCCCTCCATCCTGTCCTTTCTTCTTTCCCTCTATCCCTATCCTTCAAAGAGGTAAGATCTGCATCCCAGTTTAGTGACTCTTCCAGACTATTGCAGTTACCACCTATCTTCAGAAGGTTAATCTTTCTTAAATTCACAGTAGAAATTAAACAACAGAAGCCGGCAAGATTGCAGATTAAAAGGAATGCTTCTACACTGTTGGTGGGAGTGTAAATAAGTTCAACCACTGCGGAAGACAGTGTGGCAATTCCTATAAGACCTAGAACCAGAAATACCATTTGACCCAGCAATCCCATTACTGGGTATATACCCAAAGGAATACAAATCATTCTTTTGTAAAGATACATGCACACGTATGTTCACTGCAGCACTATTCACAATATCAAAGACATGGAATCAACCTAAATCCCCATCAATGAAAGACTGGATAAAGAAAACGTGGTACACATACACCATGGGATACTATGCAGCCATGAAAAGGAATGAGATATGTCCTCTGCAGGAAAATGGATGGAGCTGGAAGCCGTTATCCTCAGCAAACCAACACAGGAACGGAAAACCAAGCACCGCATGTTCTCATTTATAAATGGGAGCTGAACAATGAGAACACGTGGACGCGTTGTGGGGAACAACACACGTTGGGGTCTGTTGGGGAGGGCGAGGGGAAGGAGAGCATCAGGAAGAATAGCTAATGGATGCTGGGCTTGATACACAGGTGATGGTATGATCTGTGCAGCAAACCACCATGCCACATGTTTACCTGTAACGAACCTGCACATCTGCTCATATACCAGAACAGTTGAAGCGGGAAAAAATTGGCCTTTTGAGCCCTTCTCTCAGTACACATTATCTGGCAAACAGGTAAAAACCTCAATGCAAACATACAGATGAAAATACCTAGATACTTGAGTATTATGATTACAACCTAAAAAGCAAAAACTATATGAAGCAGAATTATAGGAACATACAAACTAAAAACTGATATACAAAAAATAAACTCAAAGAGACAAAATAAAGTATTAGTAATATGAAGGAATAAGAAGTCATAAAAATGAATTAATTAGAAATACTATGTAAGAAAATTACATCTACATTAATAACAGGCTAAGAAATTACAAACCCAGCATGGTGCAGCATCTTCCACAATTTGATGGGGAAGCTCAGAGTCCCGTCTCCAGTACTGCATCCCCTTTTTTCCGGGAGGCCTCAGGTAACTTGGCTGCAGCCTCTGTCACCCTGTGACCTGCAGATACTGGGAGATCCATAGGGAGAACTCTGGAACACCAGAAAAGCCAAGAAATTACATGTACAAATAAGAAATCATGTGAGCACACAGCATGAAGATGACTGTGTGCAAAGGAAGAGAACCCTCAACAGAATCTGACCATGTCAGCACACTTAACTCAGGCTTCCATCCTTCAGGAACTGAGAAAGGAGGAGGAGAACCAAGAGGGCCAACTGGACACAGCCAGGAAGAGCATCTCCCACCAAAAGACCAGACCATCAGGAAGACCAGCACACTCGAAGCAGATCTTCAGAAGGAAGTCATTGAGGGTGGTTGGAGGGAAGACACAGACCCTAGGTAGAAGCTGGGAACACTGCAGTGGGCTTCAAAGCACCAGGACTCATTCCCAGCCCCTGGTGGCTCCTGGGGAAGGGTGAGTTAAACAGGTGAGGAGTGGCCCACTCTTGTCACGGACCTCTGGAATCTTAGCTGCAGAAGACCTCATGACCCCCACAGACATTTAAATTGGCAGAGAGAACTGCCTGGAGAAATGGCAGGGACAGGACTCCACCCTGTGTGGAGCCCAAAGGGTTTGGCACAGGAATGGCTACAGTGGAGTACAGTCAGGAATGCCAATCCCCCAAGGCCTGCCATGCTCCTCTAAGTGGTTTTGGCCTTTGTTGACTGTTGGACCTAGACAGAGCAGGGCAGTCTTGTCCATGTGATGGGGCCAGTCTTATCTGAGTGCCCCCTGACTGCCAGCCTCTTCTGGGGTCCCTCCATGGCCAAGCTCACTTGCAGTGTGGCCTCAGTTGCCCAACTGGGGCACCGCCTAGTGGCCACCACCATAGCTCCTTAGCCAGCAGATGCCACTGAACCATTAGATGGACCCTGCCGATGTGCACCCACCAACAGCCTCCTCACACTGCTTTGCCAACACACACCTGTCTGCAGCCTCCCCCAACCACTCTGCTGGCATGCACTCAACCATGGCCTCCCCACATCACTTTGCTAGCATGCACATGGTGCACGGACCTTGTCACCACGGCCGTGGCCCCACCAGTGCACCACCGGTACATGCGGATCCCACTATGCTGCTGTCTTGCCACTGCTGATACACTGCAAACATGGACCCTGCTGTGCCACCACCACTGGTGCACATACCCAGACCTCACCATGCTACTATACAGCCACTGTTGGCATTACACATGAGTGCGTAACCTTCTGCCACTGCCCCATTTAAGTGTGATTGCCAGTGAACCAGGAACACCTCTAACCCTCCAGTGCAGCAGGTACTTAACCTCGAGGGGCCAGCAAACAAAGCCATGAGCATGCAGCCCAGGAGCACTGAGCTGAGCCCAAGCCCTCTGAAATCATCCAGAAACAAAGCCAGTCAACTAAACCCAACTTATGCCACAGTAAATCTCAATGACATCAAGGAATATAAAAGAAAAAGCCCCATCTGAAGGACAGCAACTTCAAATATTAAAGGAACATCAGCCCAGACAGACGAAAAACAATTAGTCTGTCTGGGCTGATGTTCTTGCCAGAAAGCAAGAACCCTGGCAACTCAAAATACCAGAGTGTTTTCTTACTTCCAAACAACCACACAGCTCCCCAGCAATGGTTCTTAACCAGGCTGAAATGGCTGAAATGTCAGACCTAGAATTCAGAATCTGGATGGCAATGAAGATCATCAAGATTCATCAGAAAGTTGAAGTCCAATCCAAGAAATCTAAGGAACCCAGTAAAATGATTAACAGGTGAAGGACAAAATCGCCATTTTAACAAAGAACCAAACTGATCTGATAGAGCTGAAAAACTCACTGCAAGAATTTCATAATACAATTGGAAGTATTAACAGCAGAATAAACCAAGCTGAGGAAACAATCTCAGAGCTCAAAAACCAGGTTTTCAAGTCTACTCAGTCAGAGAAAAATACAGAAAAAAGAATAAAAAAGAATGAACAAAACTTCCAAGAAATATGGGATTATGTAGAGACCAAAATTTAAAACTCATTGGTAGCCCTGAAAGAGAGGGAGAGAGAGAGAGAGCAAGAAACTTGGAAAATATAATTGAGAATACAGTTCAAAACATTTCCCTGACCTTGCTAGAGGGGTCAACATTCAAATTCAGAAAATTCAGAGAGCCCCAGTGAGATACTATATAGAACAGCCATCCCCCAAGACACATAGTCATTACATTCTCCAAGATCAATGGGAAAGAAAAAATATTCAGGGCAACTAGACAGAAAGGTATATGTTACCTACAAAGGGAAACATATAAAGCTAACAGCAGATCTTTCAGCAGCTCTTTCAGCAAAAATCCTACACGCCAGAAGAGTTTGGGGGCCTATATTAAGCATTTTTTTTGACAGGGTCTTACTCTGTCACCCAGGATGGATGGCAGTGGTGCAATCTTGGCTCACTGCAACCTCCTCCTCCCAGGCTCAAGTGATCCTGCCACCTCAGCATCCTAAGTAGCCGGGACTATAGACACATGCCATCATGCTCAGCTAATTTTTAGAAAAATTTTTTGTAGAGACAAGGTGTCACTATATTGCTCAGACTGGTCTCAAACTCCTGGGCTCAAATAATCTTCCTGCCTCAGCCTCCCAAAGTGCTGGGATTACAGGCACAAGCCACTGTGCCCAGCCTTGGCATTCTTAAAGAAAAGAAACTCCAACCATAAGTTTCATATCCAGCCAAAATAAGCTTCATCAATGAAGGAGAAACAAAATCCTTTTCAGATAAGCTAAGGGAATTGTTTGCATCAGACCTGTCTTATGAGAGGTCCTTAAGACAGTACTAAACATAGAAATGAAAGACCATTACTGGCCACCACAAAGACACACTTTAGTATCTAGACCATTGACACTATAAAGCAACTACATAACATAACATAACAAGTCTACATAACAACACAATGACAAATCTACACATACCAATATCAACCTTGAATATAAACAGACTATAATACCCCACTTAAAAGGCGCAGAGTGACAAGTTGGATAAAGAAGCAAAACCCAACTGTATGTTGTCTTCAAGAGACCCATCTCATATGCAATAACACCCATAGGCTTAAAGGGATGGAGAAAAATCTACCAAGCAAATGGAAAACAAAAAAAGCAGGGGTTGCTATTCTAATTTCAGACAAGACAGACTTTACACCTTAACTATCAAAAAGGACAAAGAAGGACACTGATAATGATGAAAAAGTTCAACACAACAAAAAGATTTAACTATCCTAAATATATATGCATCTAATACTAGAGCACACAGATTCATAAAACAAGTTTTTATAGACCTACAAAGAGACTTAGATACCTACACAATGTTGGGAGGCTTCAACACCCCACTGACAGTATTAGACAGATCATCAGGGCAGAAAACAAATAAAAATGTTCAGGACCTAAACTTGACACTTGACCAAATGGACCTAACAGACATCTACAGAACACTCTATCCAACAACAACAAAATATACATTCTTGTCATCTGCACATGTAACATACTCTAAAATCAACCACACATTCAGCTATAAAGCAATTCTCAACAAATTCAAAAAAAATCATACCAGGCACATTCTTAGACCACAATGCAGTAAAAACAGAAATCAATACTAAGATCTTTCAAAGCCATACAATTACATGGAAATTAAACAACATGCTTCTGAAAGACTTTTCTGAAAATAATGAACTTAAGGCAGAAATCAAGATACTCTTTGTAACTGATGAAAACAAAGGCAGAACATAGCAGAATCTCTGATATACAGGTAAAACAATGTTCAGAGAAAAGTTTATGGCACTAAATGCTCACATCAAAAAGCTAGAAGTATCACATTAGCAACCTCACTAATATCACACCTAGAGGAACTAGAAAAGCAAGAGCAAATCAACCCCAAAGCTGGCAGAGGAATAGAAATAACCAAAATCAGAGCTGAAGTGAACAAAATTGAGAGACACAGAACCACACAAATGATCAACAAAACCAGATATTGGTTCTTTGAAAGAATAAATAAGATTGATAGACTGCTAGCTAGAATAACAAACAAAAAAACAGAAACCAGACAAATAAACACAATCAGAAATGACAAAGAAGATACGACCACCAATCTCACAGAAATACAAAAAAAAAACCCAGAAACTGTTATGAACACCTTTATACACACAAACTAGAAAACCTAGAAGAAATGGGGAGATAGACTGCTGGAAACACAACCTCCCAAGGTTGATCCAGGAAGAAACTGAAACCCTGAACAGACCAATAACAAGTTTCAAAATTGAATCAGAAATAAAAAGACTATCAACAAGAAAAAGCCCTGGACCAGACTGATTCACAGCCAAATTCTACCAAATATATAAAGAAGAGCTGGCACCAATCCTACTGAAACTATTCCAAAAATTTGAGGAGGGACTCCTCCCTAACTCATTCTATGAGGCCAGCATCATTCTGATACCAAAACTTGGCAGAGACACAATGAAAAAAAAAAAAAAAAAATTCAGGCGAATATTCCTGATGAACATAGATGCAAAAATCCTCAACAAAATACTAGCAAACCAAATCCAGAAGCACATCAAAAAGCTAATCCACCGTGAGAGAGAGAGAAAGAGAGAGAGATAGGATTCAGGACACGCTATCCCAAAATGGAGCATCTTGGCTTATTGAATATTTTAAGCTGTAGGAATTTGAGAAACAACATGTACAGGAAGAATTCTTCTGGCCTTTCCCTGAAGCAAGTAATAACACCATCATGTGAGAGGTGCCCTCCCTATACCTAAAGAATGGAGCATCTTTATCTCCATAGACACAGAGTGGAATTTGAATGAACAGGCTTTGCTAAATTTCCCCCAATTTATTACACTTAGTTCATATCCCCTTTGTCCTATCATATTTCTCCATGACTTTTCAATCTTCATCACACCTGGCATAAAAACATTCAGGTTTAACCATTTCTTTGGGTCTTCATTTCCTTATAAAGGCCCCCATGTCACATAAAACATATTAAATAAAGTTGTATGCTTTTCTCTTGTTAATACATTTTGTTATATGAGTCCCAGTTAATGAACCTAAGATGAGTAGAAGGAAAAGATATTTTTACTAACCTTACAGAAGTCTAACCACCAGATTATCAATGGTTGAATATTTAAGAATATAAAAAGCATATTAAAAGCATACCAATAAAAGTATATCTATAATAGTTATAACAGGTTTAAAGCAACCCAAAGATTCAAGCATTTCATTCCTCTGCCAAAAGTCACCAGAATCAGTGAAGACAAATTCTGTGCACCTGTGCCCAGGCACGGTGGCTCAAGCCTGTAATCCCAGCACTTTGGGAGCCCGAGGTGGGCAGATCACAAGGTCAGGAGATCGAGACCATCCTAGCTAACATGGTGAAACCCCGTCTCTACTAAAAATACAAAAAAAAAATTGGCCGGGCATGGTGGCAGGCGCCTGTAGTCCCAGCTACTCGGGAGGCTGAGGCAGGAGAATGGCATGAACCCGGGAGGCGGAGCTTGCATTGAGCTGAGATCTCGCCACTGCACTCCAGCCTGGGCAAAAGAGTGAGACTCTGTCTCAAAAAAAAAAAAAAAAAAAAAAACTATTACAAATAGGACTTGTTTAAATTTATCATGCCTATGGCTAATAATGATGATACCCTGTTGAGAACTGAGATCACAATTTAGTTTTATCACCATCTAAATTTTAGTAAAACAAAATTTTAATTTAGTCTTAAGTAAACAATTGCTAAATTTACTGACAATGATAAGAAATTACCAGTTGGTTTGAAATTAACACCTTCATCCATCTTTATTAAGTCCAGGGATGATAAATCATTCAGATTCTTCAAACATAATTCTGTTTAATTATAGAAAACACATTTTAATTTTAGTAAAATAGGGAAGTAGGGAAAAATAATTTATTATTAAATATGCTAAAGTTGTGCTATTACTGTGTAACTGTTCTAGAAGAACCATAGTCCCTACTTAAGCAGTAAGAGAAAGCTCATTTAAATAAAAAAGCTAACTAATATGCTAAAAACATTTTCTAAAAGTAACAAGAATACAAGTAATAAAAATAACATTCAGTAAGTAGAAATAACACTTAAAACTTGGAGTATTTAAATGATACACATGTATTACCTCATTTAATCTTCAAAACATCACAATAAGGTAGACACCGATATTTTCATATATAGGTTAGGAAACTAAAGAATAGAGGCTAAGTAACTTGCTCCAGGTCTAAGTAACCACTTTGCTATCTGCCCTCCATTAAGGCAATAGTTTTCTTTTTCTTTTTTCTTTAAACTTCTATCAAAGATATATTAATGTATGCACAAATTATAAGAAGTCAAATAGTTCTGCAAAGATTATTCCAAAAACCACCAGTTCTTCCCCTCCTCCCTGTTTGCCACTTTCTTGAAGCAAAAACTTAAAACTGTTTTAACTGATGCTTTTAGGTGTTTACTTTTGTTTCTCTGACAGGAAGCAATGCTAGTTCATGCTCACTATTGATGGGGATCAGAGCAATTGTAGTAATCTGCTGCTGACAGTTCCTTCTCTGCCTCATGCTATAGTCCAGGAGATATAAGATAGTTCAGAGCAGACAGTGGGAATACTGTAATAGTTCAATCCTAAATAGAGCAGCCACTCAAAAAAACACCCTTGGAGTTCTTTGGGAAATATTTTAGTTTAAGCAACACTCTTTAGACAGCTTGATAGTGTTAAGCGTTTGGTTAAGTAAAGATTTTGAAGTCTTTTCTAATTTTCTTAATTACCCACTATTAAATCAGTTCATTACCCACTCACTACTCGATAAGTCAATGAAAAATGCTTACTTTACCATAAGCTGAGCATGATTCTAAGCTCTATGTTTACAGCAGTTAACAAGATAAGGTTCTTCTCTTTAGAACTTATATTTTACAGAAGAAAGCAATTAACATACAAATAAATAATAAGGTTTCACATATACTATAAAGAAACATAAGGCTAAGAACCTATATAGAATGACTGTGTAATTTTAAATCTTTTTACTAAACCTTATCTTTATTTCCTTTCCTTTCTTTTTCTTTCTTTTTATTTTCATTTCTTTTCTTTTCTTGTTTTTTTTTTTGAGACTTGGTCTCACTCTGTTGCCCAGGCTAAAATACAGTAGCATGATCACAGCTCACTGCAGCCTCAACCTCCCAGGCCCAAGCAATCTTCCCACCTCAGTCTCCCGAGTAGCTGGAACTACAGGCATGTACCACCACAACACCAGCTCATTTTTTTTAAAAACTTTGTAAAGGTGGGATCTCCCTATGTTGTCCAGGCTGGTCTCAAACTCCTGAGCTCAAGGCAATCTGCCCACCTTGGAATCCCAAAGGTATTACAGGCATGAACCACCATGCCCAACCTATATGTATTTCTCATAAACGCTACATATTTTGATATAGAGTAAGGCTATCCTCACCCTAATTGTCAAAATAAACACATTACCTTTTCTAAAAACAAGGAAAACAACAACATCATAGAATCATTTTGTCTTCCTCTCAGTAAGATACCACAGGAAGACCTCTCTAAAAGTTAATATTTGAACAGAGACCTGAATAAAATGAAGGTGTAAAATATGCAAGGAGTGTTCCAAAAATAAGGAACAAAGTGTGCAAAGGACTTGATGTGGGAACAAGCTTGGTGTGTTTAAGGAATAGCAAGAAGGCCAATTTGGTGAGAGTAGAATAAAAGAGACAGAAAGTGATAAGAGATGTAGTTAGAGAAATAGGCAGGGAGATATCAAGCAGGATTTTGTGGGCTGTGGTGAAAGTTTGTATTTTATTCTAAGAGTGACGGGGAAGCTATTAAGAGTATACTAAGCAAGAAAGTATAATCAAGTTTAGGAAACAGCATATACTATGCTAAGGATCCTTCCTGACAGATTTAAGGCAGAGCTCCAAGGATAATAGCAGGGCTCAGAAAATGCTGACTCAAGGCATTTCGAACTCAATAAGACTAAGAGGACTTCAGAAACAAGAAAGTCACTCTGATCTTTCCCTGCCTTTCTGTGTGAAGCATGGTCATAAAGGAATTCTCTGACCTACCTTGTCTAAAAGTCTAAGACCCTCATTCCAGGGTGGAATGGTCCTGTCTCATACCCACGGAATGGTCCTATCTCATGCCCGAGAAGAAAGAATGCTACATAGAGAGGCCAAGAAGAATCTGAACAAACAGGCCTTGTTAAGTTCCTCCCAGTTTATTAACATTAGATAATACCCTTTTTGTCCAGTCATGTTTCTCAACAACTATCCATTTTTTTCATTAGAATTGCCAGAGAAATTCAGTTTTCCCTGGGTCTTTGGGTCTTAATTTCTGAAGGCTCCCATATCATACACAACTTTGATTAAATAAATTTGTTATGCTTTTCTCTTGTTAATCTGTCTTGTTACAGGAGTGTCAGCTGTGAACATTGCAATGAATGAGGAAAAGATGTTACTTTTTTTCTCTCCTACAATTCCAAAACCTTAATATTCAGTTATATTTAGCTATTCTTGTTTATAAGGCAAAACTTTGCTAACCCTATACTGACTGAAGACAAGGCAAGTATGAGCTGTGATTCTGCTAATTTAACAAGAGATAAAACATTAAAGTTATCTGAATATAGCAATATATCTCTTTGTCTAATTTCTTGAGTGTATTTGATCATTATTTTCAAAATATATGTTTAATTAAAAATTCCATTACAAAATTTATCAATACCTTGAAGATAACACAACTTATAATCTGTATTTCAACGTGAATACAGCAGCATTATGAATATATGCTATTGGTTATGACCATGTTTTAAGAACATATTTATTCTTTAAGCAAGACAATTTTACTGCTTTATCTTTATCTCTGCATTTTTATTTGCCACACATGTATATCCAAGTAGAGAATAAATTTAAATTGGCTAAATATTTTTAGAGGACCTAACATATTTTCTTTTACTAAGGAGACAGTTTCAACACAATGAAAAGGTAGCAATTTCTAATCTGAATAAATGCCTAACAATATTTTATATTTTAAAAAACAAGTAAGAAACACTAGTTGATTAACTAAATAACAAAGCTGAGGTTGGATAGGAATACATCTTTGGCACAGGTTGGGATACAAAGCCCATAATCAATCTAGGCTTATATTTTTCAATTAAAATTAAGTAGAAAAGAAAAATACATGTTGGGCATGGTCGCTCACAGCTACATTCTCAGTGTTTTGGAAGGCAGAGGTAGTAGGATAACTTGAGGCCAGGAGTTTGAGACCAGGCTGGAAAATACAGTGAGAACCCCTTTCTAAAAAAAATACAAAATTAACCAGTTGTGGTGGCTCACGCCTATAGTCCCAGCTACTCAGGAGGATCATTTGAGCTCAGGAGTTCAAGGTTACAATGAGCTATGATCACGCCACTGCATTCCATCCTGGGTGACAGAGTAAGACTGTCTCTTTTAAAAAAAAGAAAAAATACAGAGTGTGTATCTGTAGGCATATTTTCAAAGACCAGGGTGATGTTAGAAATAAAAACCAAATAAACCAAGTTAACATATTATACAAAGAAAGATATTCTGATAGAATAAATTGATTAATTCAGCAAAAAAGTATATATGCCAAGCTTTTTGTGTGAAAAAGAAATAGTTCACATTATTTTTCTGCAGACAAGTTTCCTTTTTAAAAAATGATTTACAAAAGCATATTCTTACTTTCACAATAACTGAACTTTTTCACTAAAATATATAGAATCTAATTTTTAGAATGAAATGCATCTAACCTTGTAATTTTGCTTCAATTCCATCTTTGTTCAATCCAGATGCAAAACCTGCATGTCATGAAAAAGTAAAATAGAATTTAGCTCATCTTTACAGGCTCAGTTTATACCCCAGTTAACTAGTGAAGAGCAGTCTAATGAAATCTTATATAAGAAAAAAAAATCTCAGCTGATTGAGTTCAAACAAGGCTTAAATATCCACAGAAACAATGAACAGGAATATCATATTTTAACAAGAATGGTATGGAATAAATTTCCAAATGTTTTATACATAGCAAGTATCTATCAAGTGATTAATATCTTCTAATGAACTTTCATTATAACATGAATGTTCCTAGGAAAATATGTTTGGTAATAACAACCATTTTGTGCTATTCACTAAAGCTGAAACTACACATACCCTTTAACACAATAATTTCACTCCTAGGCACATACCCACAGATATACATATACATGTGTATCAAAAGATATACATATAACAATGTTCACAGCAGCATTATTTAAAATTAATAATTTCCTTTCATCAAAAGATTTATATTCATATAAACGGAATCTTTTCAAGAATAGATAAAGCTAGCCTATGGTATGTAAGTCAGAATAGCATTGACTTCTGGGGGCAAATACTGACAGAAAAGGAGCATGAGGGAACATCTAGAAAATGTTCTATATCTTAATCTGGGCTGTGGTTACATGTGTGTATATGTGTGTATAAACACATATATAAAACTTCATTGACCTCTACACCTCATATTTGTGCAGTTTACTATAAGTGATATCTCAATACAAAAAAGTAACTACAGAAAATAAAGTAACTATGAAAAGGAAGAAATGAAAATTAAAACATGAAAAGATACCAATATTCATACATAATATTGATAAAAATACACAAGCATACACCCTGAAGGAAAGGCTGGAGAAACAAAATATGGCACTTTTGAACACTGCTGGTAGATATATGAGCTACTAAGGTACCAATTTAGCCACAGGTATCAAATTTATAAATGCATATATCCTTTGACACAGGAATTTCATTTCTAGAGATTTATCATACGGATAGATTCATACATGTAAAAAATGAAGGGTTTTTTTGCTGCATTGTTCGTAAGAGCAAACAATTAGACAAAGTATAAATGTCCATCAATTGGGGATCATTTAAATAAGTGATACATAAGTAAATGGAATATTATTTAGCTATTACAAAAAAAAGCTTCCAGCCAGGCATGGTGGCTCACAGCTATAATCACAGCACTTTGGGAGGGTGAAATCAGAGGATTGCTTGAGCCCACAAGTTCTAGACCAGCCTAGGCAGCATAGGGAAGCTCTGCCTCTACAATTTTTTTTTTCAAAAGTTAGCCAGGTGTGCTGGCATGTGCCTGTAGTACCAGCTACTCTGGTGGCTGAGGTGAGAAGATCACTTGAGCCCAGAAGGTTGAAGCTGCAGTAAGCTGTGATCACACCATTGGACTTCAGCCTGGGCAACAGAGTGACAGCCTGTCTCAAAAAAGCTTCCAAGACATACTAAGAAAAAAAGGAATGTGCAGAAGACTAAAATAATGGAGGTTTAAAAAAATATGCCACAAGGCCAGGCATGGTGGCTCACACCTGTAATACCAGCACTTTGGGAGGCCAAGGCAGGTGGATCACCTGAGATCAGGAGTTTGAGACCAGCCTGGTCAACATGGTGAAGCGCCGTCTCTGCTAAAAATAGAAAAAATTAGCCAGGTGTGGTGGTGCGTGCCTGTAGTCTGAGCTACTCAGAAGGGTAAGGCAGAGAATTGCTTGAACCTGTGAGGTGGAGATTGCAGTGAGCCAAGATTGTGCCACTGCACTCCAGTCTGGGCAATCAAGAGAGGCTATCTCAAAAAAAAAAAAAATGCCCAGAAATTCTTTGATATTCTGCCCTCTGAGAGATGAACTTAATCCCTCTCGCCTTCATGTGACCAGGACTCAGTGACTTGCTTCTAAAAAACAGAATAAAGCAGAAGTAATGATGTGTGACTTCAGAGACAAAGTTATAAAAAAGTACTGCTGCTTCTGATTTAGTCTGTCTCTGTCTCTGTCTCTCTCTCTCTTTCTCTCTCAGATCATTCATCCTGAGAAAAGTCAGCTGCCATGCTATGAGGAAAGATCCACCTGGCAAAAGACTGAGGCCTGCCAACAACTGTGAGAAACTGAGGCCTCTAACTTATAGCTCTGTGAGTGAGACAATTTACAAGTGAATCTTCAAGACCCAGGAAAGCCTTCAGATGACTGCAGCCCTAGCTGACATATGTTGCAATCTGAAGAGAGCATCTGACCCACAGCCACCTAGCTAAGACACTCCCAGATTCCTAACCCACATAAGCTGTGTGAGATAATAAATTCTGGTTGTTTCTAGATGATTTGTTTCAGGGTAATTTGTTAAAAGGAATGGAAAACTAATACAATATGCCACGATTTGTGTTTAAAAGGTGCGAAACTAAAATTACATTTTCTTATTTACTTTTATATGCAAGAATTATACAAAAAAGATATACCAATGATTACAGAACTAGGGGAAGGAAAGGCAAGAGATAGGAATTGAACAACTGTGTGGGTGGGGATATACATGGAAGAATTTTAGTTGTATATATTCCTTCACTTTATGATTTTTGAACTAAGTAAATGTATTACCTAGTTGAAATATAAGTTTTTAAGTGATATGAGTATTTATATAGATATTCTTTTAATATAGGCTTATATTAATTACTCTTTGAGATCTGAAAGTTTTGAACCTCTGTACATTAGAATGATACTTCAACAAGTCAGGCTTTAATTTGGTATTTCAACAACCCCAAGTTGAATGAATGAGTGAAAAAACCCTCTGGAAGCCACATAACCAGATGTGGGTTAGCTTTAGAAGCAAGATGAAAATTGTGGCAGCAACAGTAGTACTATATACTTTCATTTCTTATAAACTGAAAAATAAACAGTCATAAACTCAGAAAAAGTGAGTAGCTGAACACTAAGTACAGAAAAAATTCAAAACTTTTTGTAACTAACTTATTTTCAATGATTTAGACATTTCTGTTATTTTTATTGGAGCTGAATTTTTTTCTACTAGATCTATTTTTAATGGTGTTGATTTCAAACCTTGTTGAAACACTAGAAGTAAAACAGATAAAAATTTCTCAGCTTGTCTACTCTTGTCTCTAAATGTATTTGGGACTGTTGTTACCTTTTGTTTTGTTACCTATTAGTTTCTGTAATCTATCTATCCTGTAACTTATTAGTATAAATACAGGCCTAGCTGGCTTGAAAAAATTACTACTTTTCCAAGTCAAAGTAACAAACCATAATGAGATGGATTTTTCAAGGCTCTGATATAAAGCAGAGTTGATCGTATCCATTCCACAGCAATATTCACATCCGTGATGGTATGCAGTACTATCTCTGCATTTAAATGTTCAATAAGATGTCTGTGCAAACTAATGAAAAAAAACTTTGCATTATGAATATGCAGTTCAATGCCATAACTCTTACTTTTTAACTTTAATAATATAGAATATACCCATTGCTACTTTACTAATTCATGAAATATAACTTAATTTCCAAAAACATAAAAGAAAACCTTAAAAAGTCAGTTCAACTTCTAAAAGGCTTCAGATATACCTCTCTACTCTATGGCTGTAGAAGACAGGTTATTGCTTTAACAAAAGTTGAAGCGTAAATTATATCCTACTTTCTCCAAAAGAGAATACATTAAATACTTTACTAATAGGTTCCAGATTTCCTCTATTATTAAGTTAAAATAAGAAGTGAAAATGATATTTCTCCTTTATTACAAATTAGTAATTATAAATTTACATAATTTCATATATAAATTATAACATAATCATAATTACTAAGGCTTTATTACAAATTAGGGTTTGTTATAAACAAGAATACATGCTTGCCAAGAAATACCACTGAATAAAACTAGTACCTTTTAAAAAAATTATTAAATTCCCTAAAATGACACAAACTTTCTAGTTAAATAGTTGAAAACTTTACAGAAAATTGCCTTAAAAAAATCTCCAAACCAAATTTCCCTTTGATATTTTAAAAGGAAATAAAATAAGCTATATTAGCATTAGTATCTTTTTGGAACTTTTTTTTATACTACCTGCTTTCTACAGTGTCTCTACAAGCTAACATCTGAATGTACTTGTCCCTTGTGCTTAATCGAGTCATGATAACTGCAGTAGCTGTAGTGTCAAACTGGGGAGAAAACAAACAGAAATTTAGTGAAGAAGAGCACATCTTGGTAGCAGTCCTCTTCAATAACTGAAGACTTCCATTTTATATTAAACAGTCTCCTTGTCTGAAATAATACTTCAAAAAGGCCTTAAAAATGCTCTCATTTTTTTAACCTAAAATTTAATTTAAAAGCCTTCCAAGAGTATAGCTGTAAATATCACTTTGGTTTCAATGTAACATAATTTTGGCAATGTTAAAATCAAAACAAACTTTGGTAACTGTATAAAAGTTGTAAGATTTGGTATAATTTACATATAATCTGATTTACTCTATGAAATTGTAGAACTGTACAACATAATATTTACAAATGTTTTGAAAATATAATCTTCCTGATGTTCCCATAATACCTATAAAAATGACTTATTCATGTATTTGTCAGAGTAGGGTATGTTTTGAAATGTATTTGGACTTTTGTCATAATTCCTGGGAACACAATTAGCATTTAGTGCTAGGACCTAGGGATGTTTCATGTTCTGTAATGTGACAGCCCTAAGCAAGGAAAACCTGTTCCATCCAAAATGCTAAGAGTACCCCCATTCAGAATTTAAAAAAAAAAAAAAACAGTCAAAATCAAAAAGACCTTTAACAGCATACCCATTCATAAACCCATCCCCTCATCAGCCAAGACAAGCTTAGACAGAATGAAGGAAGTATGTCCCAGTTGGTGAGGCTTGTCTTACTTTTATTCCTCCACTAAAGGTAAATTTTCTCTGCTATATTACTTTTAAGCCTGATACAATTATGACATGCTAATCAAAAAATACACAATTTTTTTGTTTTTATCATGTTTTTAAGTATAAAAAGCAAAGTTATTGTCACTTACTTGAGGTCGACCAGCTCTACCAATCATCTGTAGAATATCTGTTTCACTGTACTCTTCAAACAGTCCTCCAGCATAATGCATTGTAGATTTTATAACTACTAGGTGAGCAGGCAAATTTACTCCCATAGCTAAAGTACTGGTAGTAACTGCATCAGATTAAGACATAGTAATTTTGAGCCATTTAACTTTGTTGCTTCAGGAACATTTTTTAATAAAAGACATTCTTATAAATGTAATAAAAACTCATACATAAGAAATTTAGAAAAGAAAAAAGAGCATTACAATCTAAAATAGTAACACACCTTAAATCCAAAAACCTATTAAATTCTTGTTTTTCAAATTACACCATGTTCAACAATATGATAAAGAACTAAACACTACCAAAGAATTTACTGTAGCATCTACATGCATAGGTAACCACTTAATTTTATATTCTCAGAAGAAAAGCAGAAACAAGCAGAACACTTGCGCTTTTTCCTTTTTTCCTCTTAAAAATAATTTTCCAAAATATTTTATAGTATCCACGAGAAATATGTTTTACTTACAAAGAACTGGTAAATCTCCAACAGTAAAAGCTCCCTCAACTACTTTTCTATCTGACAGCTCCATACCAGCATGATGATAAGCAGCACCATCTTTTAAGATATCTGTAATAGAAATATATCAGCTGTTACTATTAATATTTCATCAATAATTGGCACCTTTCATCTATATGTGAAAATGCTATTCAAAAATTATCTCTAAACCTACCTCTCAGTTTTGAATCTCTTACGGAATATGCATACTTCTGTAACCTATTTAAAAATACCATAAAATTATTGAGTTACTCCCAGTAACATTAGAGAACTCTGAAACAGTTTATTATTTTAAAACTTAGAGATATCAAAAAATTTTCACAATATCATTATCTGAAAACTATTTTAAGAAGTAGAAAATATCCAACTTTCATATTCAAAAGTCCCTAAACTTATGAGCTACAATATTAAAGCTCACTTTTAAACCAAGAATTTGGAAAACTCACTTTCCCCAAGAAAACAACATAATTGGTGATTAACAAGTCAGTATAAAAGTCTACTCTCATAATTTGCCTAAAAAAAATTATAAGAAGTAACCATTTCTAAAACTACTATATTACTAGTAAATAAGCAAAAAAAAAAAAAAAAAAAACATGGAAATAAACCATAGTGTTTCCAGTGCTCTGAGACATGGCATTTAAAAAAACTAGGTTAGGAGGAAGCAAGATGGTCAACTAGAGATGCCTAATGCTCATCTTCCCCACAAAAAAGAGCAAAACAATGAATAAACAACTAACTACATTTTGAACAGAATGACTAAAGGAAAGTGCCTCTCTATAAATTTGAAAGAGGTGATTATTCCACTAGTTGTGCAGACATCAATAGAGGGACACAGGAAACATGAAAAAAAAAAAAAACCAACCAAAAAACCAGGAAATACACCACCAACAAAGGAACGCAATAATTCTCCAGTAACTGATTCCAAAAAACAGAAATTTGTAAACTGTCTGAAAAGGAGTTCAAAGTAATGATCCTAAGAAAACTCACTGAGATACAAGAGAATACAGATAGACAGGTCAATGAAATCAGGAAAACAATTCATTATCTGCACAAGAAAGTTATTCAAAAAGAACCAAACAGAAATCTTGGAGCTAAAGAATTAAATGAATGAAATCAAAAATAGAGAGCTTCAACAGCAAACCAAAACAAGCAGAAGAAAGAATCTGTGAAATGAAGTTAGGTTTCTGAAATAGCCTAGTCAGAGGGAAAAAAAAGAAAGAGAAAAGAACAAAAAAGAGTGAACAAAGCCTATAGGACTTATGGGACACCATTAAGCAAACAAGTATTCATATTATGGAGGTTCCAGAAGGAGAAGAATGAGGAAAAGGCATAGAAAGTTTATTTAATAAAATAATTGCTGAAAACTTCCCAAGTCTTGGGAGAGACATGGACATCCAGTTCCATGAATCTCAAAATCACCAAACACGTTCAAACCCAAAAAGGTCCTCACTGAGGCACATTATAACCAAAATGTGGAAAGTCAAAGACAAAGAGAGAATTTTAAAAGTAGCAAGAGAAAAGTGTCAAGTGATTTATAGGGGAATCTCCATTAGACTATCAGTGTTTCTCAGCAGAAACCTTGCAGGCCAGGAGAGCATGAGATGATACATTCAAAGTCCTGAAAGAAGACAATATTGCCAGTAAACAATACTATACAAAGCAAAGCTGTTCATCAGAAATGAGGAGAAATAAAGTCTCAGCCAGATAAATAAAAGCTGAAGAAATTCACCACTAGACCTGCCTTATAAGAAATGATTAAAGCAGTTCTTCTACCAGATACAAAAGAATGATAATTAGTATCATGAAAACATATGAAAGCATAAAACACACTGGTAGAGGTAAATACACAGTCAAATTCAGAATGTGCCACCACTGTAATGGTGGTGTGCAAATCTTTCAAATCTCTATTATGAAGGTGAAAAATCAAAATAGTCAAAAATACAGCTACAATGAGTTGTTAAGGAATACTGAATATAAAAAGATGTAAACTGTGTCAACAAACATAAATTGTGGGGGGAGGGCAAAAATCTAGAGTAGTTGTATGTGACTGAAGTTCAGTTTAAAATAGTCTATTATAACTCTAAGATATTTTACGTAAGCCTTGTGGTAACTGCAAAGCAAGAAGCTACAGAAGATACAGATGAGAAAGAGAAAGGAATCAAAGCTTAGCGCTACAGAAAAACAACAAATCACAAACTTATACAACAAGAGGAAGAAAGGAACAACTGATCTACCAAGCAACCAGAAAACAATTAAAATGGCAGGAGTAAGTCCTTATCTATCAATAATAACCCTGAAGGCAAATGAATTAAATTCTCCAATCAAGACATATAGTGTCTAAATTGATAGAAGAAAAAAAAAAAACCAAGATCCAACTACATGCTGCCTACCAGAGATCCATCTTAGCTATAAGGACACCGGCTGAAAGTTAAGGGGTAAAAGAAAATATTCTACATAAATAGTAACCAAAAGAGAGCAGGGTGGCTATTCTTACATCAGTTAAAATGACTTTAAGTCAAAAACTGTTACAAGAGGCAAAGAAGGTCATAATTTAACGACAAAGGGGTCAATTCATCAAGAGCACATAAGAATTGTAAATATATAAGCACCCAACACTGAAGCATAACATATATATAAAACATTATTAAAGGACATGAAGAGAGAAATAGACAACAATACAATAATAGGAGGGGTCTTCAATATCCCACTTTCAATAATGATAGATTAACCAGACCGAAAGTTAACAAAGAAATACTGGACTTGAATTGTACTTTGAGTCAAATGGACCTAACAGACAAATATAGAACTTTGCATTCAATAGCAGCAGAATGTATACGCTTCTCTAGAGCATACGAAACATTCTACAGGACAGATCATACATTAAGCCACAAAACTAGATTTAACTATTTTTAATTAATCTAAATTCAAGACGATTGAAATCATATGTAGTATCATTTCTGACCACAACAATATGAAACTAGAAATCAATAACAGGAAAAATCTTGAAAAAAATCACAAGTATGTGGAAACTAAACAACATGCTCCTAAACAATCAATGGTCAAAGAAACCAAAAGGGAAATTAAAAAATATCTTGAGACAAGTAACAATGGAAAGACAACACACCAAAACCTATGAGATGCAGCAAAAGTGGTTCTAAGAGGAATTTTTTTTTTTTTTTTGAGACAGAGTTTCACTCTTGTTGCCTAGGCTGGAGTGCAATGGCATGATCTCGGCTCACTGCAACCTATGCCTCCCAGGTTCAAGCGATTCTCCTGCCTCAGCCTCCTGAGTAGCTGGGATTACAGGCATGTACCACCACGCCTGGCTAATTTTGTATTTTTAGTAGAGACATGGTTTCCCCATGTTGGTCAGGCTGGTCTTGAACTCAAGAGGAAATTTTATGCAATAAGTGCCTATATTAAAAAAAGAAGATACTAAATAGACAGCCTAACATTATACCTACAGGAGCTAGCAAAAGAACAAACTAAATGCAAAGTTAGCAGAAGAAAGGAAATAATAAAGATCAGAACAGAAATAAATCAAATAGAGATCCACCAAAAAAACATAGAAAATGATCAATAAAACCAAGACTTGGTTCTTTGAAAAAATAAAATAAACAAATATCTAGCTAGACTAAGGAAAAAAAAAGAAGAAACAAATAAAATAAAAAATGAAACTGGAGAAATCACCAACAGATGCCTCAGAAATCAAAGAGATCATAAGGGGCTATTATGAACAATTATATATTAATACTAACAAATTGGATAACCTACAGGAAATGGACAAACTCCTAGAAAAATACAACCTGCTAAGTTTGAATCAGGAAGAAATAGAAAGCTTAAACAGACCAATAACACATAATGAGATTGAAGTAGTAATGAAGAATCTTCCAACAAGGAAAAGCCCAGAACCAGACAGCATCACAACTGAATTCTACCAAACATTCAAAGAAGAATTACCACCAATACTTCATAAACTATTCCAAAAAATACAGCTACAGGGAATACTTCCAAACATATTTTGTGAGGCTACTATCACGTTGATACCTAGGCCACATAAAGACACTACAAGAAAACTATAGGCTAGTATCTCTGATGAATATTGATGCAAAAATCCTCAATAAAATATATGCAAACTGAATTCAACAACACATCAAAAAGGATTATACACCATGGCCAAGTGGATTTATTCCTGGCAAGCAAGGCTGGTTTAATATATGCCAATCAACCACTGTGATATATCACATTAACAGAATGAAAGATAAAAAACACAAGACCATCTCAATTGGTGCAGAAAAAGCATTTGACAGCAAGTTCAACATCCTTTCTTGATAAAATCTCTTAACACGCAGGCATATAAGGAAAACTTCTCAACTAATGTAACAAAGGCCATTTATGAAAAGCCCACAGCCAACATCATAATCAATGGGGAACAACTGAAAGCTTTTCCACCAAGATACAGTACAAGGCAGGGATGCCCACTCTCACTGCTTCTATTCAACACAGTACTGGAAGTACTACCAAGAGCAATCAGATAAGAAAAAAATAAAAGGAATTCAAATTTGAAAGGAAGAAGTAAAACTATCTTTATTTGCAGACAACATTATCTTACATGTAAAAAAACCTCAAAGATTCATTAAAAAACTGTTAGAACTAATAATTCAGTAAAGTTGCAGGATTCAAAATCCATATACAGAGATTAGTAGCATTTTTAAACAAAAATAATAATTTAACTGAAAAAGAAATCTAGAAAACAATCCCAGTTATGACAGCATAAAAAAATAAAATGCTTAGGAATAAGTTTAATTAAGGAGGTAAAAGATCTGTACACTGAAAGCTATCAAACAATGGTGACAGAAATCCAAGACAAAAATAAATGGAAAGATATCCTGTGTTGATGGATTGAAAGAATTAATATTGTTAAAATGTCCATACTACCCAAAGAAGTACAGATTCAATACAATCCCTATCAAAATTCCAATGGCATCCTTCACAGAAATAGAAGAAAAAATCATAAAATTAACTTTGGGATGCCGAGATGGGTGGATCACAAGGTCAGGAGATCAAGACTATCCTGGCTAACATGGTGAAACCCCATCTCTACTAAAAATACAAATGGTGTGAACCTGGGAGGCGGACCTTGCAGTGAGCCGAGATCGCGCCACTGCACTCCAGCCTGGGCAACAGAGCAAGACTCCATCTCAAAAAAAAAATTTTTTTTCATAAAATTAGTATGGAACCACAATAAACCCTGGATAGTGACAGCAAAACTGAGAAGGAAAAGAAAGTTGGAGCTACACACTTTCTGATTTAAAATTATACTACAAAGCTGGACTAACCAAAACAATATAGTACTTGCATAAAAACAGAAACACAGACCAATGGAACAGAACAGAGAGCCCAGAAATAAGTCCAAACATACACAGTCAACTAATTTTCCATTAGGGCACCAAAAAAAATGGGGAAACAATAGTTTCTTCTATAAATGAGGCTGGAAAAACAATTTCCATATCCAAAAGAATAAAATTGCACCCTTATACCATACACAAAAATCAACTCAAAAATTGACAAAAGATCTAAATGTAAGACCTGAAATCATAAAACTCCCAGAAGAGAACATAGGGCAAAGCACCTTGATATTGGCCTTGGCAATGCAGCACACCTGCTCTACCAAAAAAACAGTCAGACTGTTTCTTTGGGGGGGTCCCTGATCCTGTTCCACTGACTGGGTGAGACATCCCAACTGGGGTTTCCAGCCACCTCCTAAAGGTACATGCAGACTGGCAACAGGTCAGTACTCCCTGGGGATGGAGCTTCTAGAGGAAGTAGCTGGCTGTCATCTTTGCTGTTTCACAGTCTTCACTGGTGATATTTCCAGGTACGGGAGAAACTGAGGCAACTAGGGTTTGGAGCAGATCCCCAGCAAACTGCGGCAGCTCTACAGTAGAGTGGCCTGTTAAAAGCAAAACAAACAGAAAACACCACCACCAACAACAAAAAAGATCCCATAAAAACCTCATTCAAAGGTCAGCAACATCAAAGATCAAAGGTAGATAAGCCCACAAAGATGAGAAAGAGTCAACGTAAAAACACTGAAAACTGAAAAAGCCATAGTGTCTCTTCTCCTAATGACTGTAACATTTCTCCAGCTAAGAACTGGGCTGGAGGCTGAGATGGCTGAATCGACAGAAGTAGGCTACAGAAGGTGGGTAATAACAAACTTCACTGAGCTAAAGGAGCATGTTATAACCTAATGCAAAAAAAGGTAAGAACCATGGTAAAACAGTACAGGAGCTGATAGCCAGAACAGCCAGTTTAGAGAGGAACATAACTGATCTGATGGAGGTGAGAAACACAACACGAGAACTTCACAATGCAATCGCAAGTATCAATAACAGAATAGACCAAATGGAGGAAAGAATCTCTGAGCTAGAAGATTATCTTTCTGAAATAAGACAGGCAGACAAGAATACAAAAAAAAAAAAAAAGGAAGAAGAAGAATGAAAAGGAATGAACAAAACCTCCAAGAAATATGGGATTAAGTAAAGAAACCAAACTTACAACTGACTGGTACCTGAAAGAAACAGGGAGAACAAAACCACACTGGAAAACATACTTCAAGAGAACTTCCAGGAGAACTTCCCCAACCTAGCAAGACAGCCCAGCATTCAAATTCAGGAAATGCAGAGAACCCCAGGAAGATACTCCACACGAACATCAACCTGAAAAGACATAATCATCAGATTCTCCAACGTTGAAATGAAAGAGAAATGTTAAGGGCAGCCAGAGAGAAAGTCAGGTCACCTACAAAGGGAAACTCATCAAACTAACAGTGGATCTCTCAGCAGAAAACCTACAAGCCAGAAGAGACTGGGAGCCAATATTCAACATTCTTAAAGAAAAAAATTTCTGACCCAGAATTTCCTATCTGGCCAAACAAAGCTTCATAAGCAAAGGAGAAATAAGGTTCTTTTCAGAGACAGCAAATGCTGAGGGAAGTCGCCAGGCCTGCCTTGCAAGAGTTCCTGAAGGAAGCACTAAATATGGAAAGGATAAACAAGTCTGAAAAATAACCAGCTAGCATCATGATGACAGGATCAAATTCACACATAACAATACCAATCTTAAATTGTAAATGGGCTAAATGCCCCAATTAAAAGGCACAGAATGGCAAGCTGGATAAAGAGCCAAGACCCACTGGTATGCAGTCTTCAAGAGACCCATCTCAGATGCAAAGACACACAGGCTCAAAATAAAGGGATGAAGGAAAACTTACCAAGCAAATGGAAAACAGAAAAAAGCAAGGGTTGCAATCCTAGTTTCTGACAAAATAGACTTTAAACCAACAAAGATCAAAAAAGACAAAGAAGGGCATTACATAATGGTAAAGGGATCAATGCAACAAGAAGAGCTAACTATCCTAAATATATATGCACCCAATACAGGAGCACCCAGATTCATAAAGCAAGTTCTTAGAGATCTACAAAGAGACTCAGACTCCCAGACAATAATACTGGAGACTTTAACAACCCATTGACAATATTAGACAGATCACTGAGACAGAAAATTAACAAAGATATTCAGGACCTGAACTCAGCTCTGGATCAAGTGGACCTGACAGATAGCTACAGAACTCTCCACTCAAATTCAACAGAATATACATTTTTCTGATAGCTACATGGCATGTACTCTAAAACTGATCACATAATTGGAAGTAAAACACTTCTCAGCAAATGTAAAAGAATGGAAATCATAACAAACAGTCTCTCAGACCAGAGCACAATCAAATTAGAACTCAAGATTAAGAAATACACTCAAAACCACACAACTACATGAAAACTGAACAACCTGCTCCTGAATGACTCTTGGGTAAATAATGAAATTAAGGCAGAAATCAAGAAGTTCTTTGAAACTAATGAGAACAAAGAGACAATGTACCTGAATCTCTGGGACACAGTTAAAGCAGTGTTAAGAGAGAAACATATAGCACCAAATTCCCCCATCAAAAAGCTAGAAATATCCCAAGTTAACAACCTAACATCTCAACTAAAAGAACTAGAGAACCAAGAGCAAACAAACCCCAAAGCTAGCAGAAGACAAGAAATAACGAAGATCAGAGCTGAACCGAAGGAGATAGAGACATGAAAAAACCCTTCAAAAAAAAAAAATCACCAAATCCAGGAGCTAGTTTTTTGAAAAAATTAACACAATATATAGACTGCTAGCTAGACTAATAAAGAAGAAAGGAGAGAAGGATCAAATAAACACAATCAGAAATGATATGGGGGATATCACCACTGACCCCATAGAAATACAAACAACCATCAGAGAATACTGTAAAGACCTCTATGCACATAAACTAGAAAATCTAGAAGAAATGGATGAAATCCTGGACACACACTCTCTTCCAAGACTGAACCAGGAAGAAATTGAATCCCTGAGCAGACCAATAATGAGTTCTGGAATTGAGACAGTAATAACTAGCTTACCAACCAAAAAAAGCCCAGGACCAGAAAGATCCACAGCTAAATTCTACCATGGGTACAAAGAAAAGCTGTCACCATTTCTACTGAAACTATTCCAAAAGACTGAAAAGGAGGGACTCCTCCCTAACCCATTTATGAGGCCAGCATCATCCTGATACCAAAACCTGGTGGAGATACAACAAAAAAGGAAAACGTCAGGCCAATATCCTTAATGAACACTGATGCAAAAAGCTTCAATAAAATACTGGCAAACTGAATCCAGCAGCACATCAAAAAGCTTACCCACCATGATCAAGTTGGCTTCATCCCCAGGATGCAAGGTTGGTTCAATGTACACAAACCAATAAATGTGATGCATCACATAAACAGAATGAAAGACATTATTATCCCAATAGACACAGAAAAGGACTTCGATACAATTCAACACTCCTTCATGTTAAAAACTCTCAACAAACTAGGTATTGAAGGAACATACCTCAAAATAATAAGAGCTATATATGACAAACCCATAGCCAATACCATATTGAATGGGCAAAAACTGGAATCATTCCCCTTGAAAACTGGCACAAGAAAAGGATCCCTTCTCTCACCACTCCTATTCAACACAGTTTTGGAAGTTCTGGCAAGGGCAATCAGGAAAGAGAAAGAAATACAGGTATTTAAATAGGAAGAGAGGAAGTCAAATTATCTTTGTTTGCAGATGACATGATCCTATATTTAGAAAACGTCATCTTCTCAGCACAAAAGCTTCTTAAGCTATTAAGCAATTTCAGCAAAGTCTCAGGATACAAAATCAATGTGCAAAAATCTCTAGCATTCCTATACACCAACAACAGGCAGTCAGAGAGCCAAACAGTGAATGAACTCCCATTCACAATTGCTACAAAAAGAATAAAATACCTAGGAATACAGCTAACTAGGGAGGTAAAGAAACTTTTCAAGGAAAACTACAAACCACTGCTCAAAGAAATCAAAGTGGATACAAGCAAATAGAGAAACATTCCATGCTCATGGATAGGAAGAATCAATATTGTGAAAATGGCCATACTGCCCAAAGTAATTTATAGATTCAATGCTGTTCCCACTAAACTACCATTGACATTATTCACAGAATCAGAAAAAAACTATTGTAAAATTTATATGGAACCAAATAGCTGAGATGATCCTAAGCAAAAGAACAAAGCTGGAGGTATCATTCTACCCATCTTCAAACTATACTATTATAGTAACCAAAACAGCATGGGGCTGGTACAAGAACAGACACATAGACCAAAGGAAAAGAATAGAGAACCCAGAAATAAGACGACACACCTACAAACATCTGATCTTCAACAAATGTGACAAAAGCAAGCAATGGGGAAAGGACACCCTATTTAATAAATGGTGCTGGGAGAGCTGGCTAGCCATATGCAGAAAATTGAAACTGGACCCCTTCCTTACACCCTACACAAGAATTAACTCAAGATGGATTACAGACTTAAATGTAAAACCGAAAACTATAAAAACCCCAGAAGAAAATCTAGGCAATACCCTTCAAGTCATAGGCACGGGCAAAGATTTCATGAAGAAAACACCAAAAGCAATTACAACAAAAGCAAAAATTGACAAATGGCATCAAATTAAAATCAAAATAAGGAGCTTCCATTCAGCAAAAGAAATATCATGAGAGTAAATAGACAACCCACAGAATAGGAGAAAATTTCTGCAATCTATCTATCTGACAAAGGTCTCATATCCAGAGTCTACAAGGAACTTGAACAAAATTACAAGAAAAAAAACAAACAACCCCATTAAAAAGCGGGCAATGGACATGAACAGACACTTTTCAAAAGATGACACACGTGGCCAACCAATATTATGAAAAAAAGCTCAACATCACTGATCATTAGAGAAATGTAAATCAAAACCACAATGAGATACCATCTCATGTCAGTCAAAATGGCAATTACTAAAAAGTCAAAAAAAAAAAAAACAGATGCTGGCGAGGTTGCAGAGAAAAAGGAACGCTTTTACACTGTTTGTAGTGTAAATTAGTTCAACCATTGTGGAAGACGTTGTGGCAATTCCTCAAAGACCTACAACCAGAAATACCATTTGACCTAGCAATCCCATTACTGGGTATATACCCAAAGGAATATAAATTATTATTTTATAAGGATACATGAACACATATGTTCATTGCAGCATTATTCACAATAGCAAAGACATGGAATCAACCTAAATGCCCATCAGTGATAGACTGGATAAAGAAAATGTGGCACATATATACTCTGGAATACTACACAGCCGTAAAAAGGAATGATATCATGTCCTTTGCAGAGACATGGATGGAGATGGAAGCCATTATCCTCAGCAAACTAACACAGGAACAGAAAAGCAAACACCACATGTTCTCACTTATAAGTGGGAGCTGAATGATGATAACACATGGACATATGGAGGGGAACACATTGGGACCTGTTGGGGAGGTTGGGGAGGGAGAGCATTAAGAATAATAGCTAATGGATGCTGAGCTTAATACCTAGGTTATGCGATGATTTGTACAGCAATCCACCATGTCACATGTTTACCTATATAACAAACCCATACATCCTGCACATGTACCCTTAAACTTAAAAGTGGAAGGAAAAAAAAAACATAAGAATGGCCAACAGGTATATGAAAAGGTGTTGAACATCACTAATTATCAGGAAATGTAAATTAAAACCACTATATTATAGACAACAAATACAGGTGATGGTGTGGAAAAAAGGGAATCCTAGTACACTGTTGGTGGGAATGCAGATTGGTACAGCCATTATGGAAATAGTATTGAGATTTCTAAAGATATTAAAAATGGAATTACCATATTACCAAGCAACCTCTTCTCTGGGTATATACCCAAAGAAGAGATCATTACCTCATAAAGATATCTGCACTCCCATGTTCCTTGCAGATTGTTCATAGTAGTTAAGATATGGAAACAGCCTAAAGGTCTGTTGATGAACTAATGCATAAGAAAAATGTGGTATCTGTGTGTGTATATATACATATACATATACATATATATATATATATATATATATATTTTTTTTTTTTTTTTGAGACAGAGTCTTGCTCTGTCGCCCAGGCTGGAGTGTGCAGTGGCACGATCTCAGCTTACTGCAAGCTCTGCCCCCCGGGGTTCACGCCATTCTCCTGCCTCAGCCTCCAGGGTAGCTGGGACTACAGGCACCAGCCACCACGCCCGGCTAATTTTTTGTATTTTTAGTAGAGATGGGGTTTCACCATGTTAGCCAGGGTGGTCTTGATCTCCTGACCTCATGATTCGCCTGCCTCGGCCTCCCAAAGTGCTGGGACTACAGGCGTGAGCCACCGCGCCTGGTGTGTATATATATATAACATAGTATACACACACATACACACACACATGCACACACACAATGGAATATTATTCAGCCTTATAAAAGAATGAGATTCTGCGACTTGCCACAACATGGCTGGACCTGGAGTACATTGCTAAGACACTAACTGAAATAAGCCAGTCACAGAAAGAAAAATATTGTATGTTCTCACTCACATGTGAAACGTGTTTTTAAAAAGTCAACTATACAGAGATAGAGAATAAAATAGTAGTTATCAGAGGCAGGAAGGGTGGGAACGGGGGAAGAAATGGGGAGATGTAGGTCAAAGGATATACAGAAAAGCAGATACATAGTGTGAACAAATCTAGAGACCTAATGTACAACATAAAGACTATAGTTAATAAAAATTATTTTGGATTAGGGATTCTTGTTAAGTAAGTAGATTTAGCTGCTCTTGTCAAAAAAAAAACTATGTGAGATGAGAGATATATTAATTTGCATCACTACAGTAACCATTTTACTAGCTATATGAATCACATAACATCATGTTGTAAACCTCAAATATGCCATATAAAATTTATTTTTTAAAAAAGAAAACTAGGTGAAAAGACAAGAGGAAGTTAAGAAAGTGTGTTGATAATTTGAAAATGAATTCTGGGTACATTAAAAGATTTTGGAAGTTGGTAGGCTTGGTTCTTAAGTATATAAAAACATCTAGTATTTTTCTACTTCCTTGTTGCAGATATGACACTAGGATGAATTATTTTTATGATAACACTCATGACTTTTTTTAAGGATTCACAATGGAATGAAGATAAGGCAAGAGGAAAGGCATGTTACTATTAAGTACAAACTCTGCTACCCACTGTTAGGTATCTTAGAAATGTCGCTTATTTAATTATCATAGAAACATGGTGAGATGATTGATTCTCACATATACAATATTGATTAAGAAATTGAAGTTGAAAGAAGTTAAGTAATATGTCCAATAGTACACAGCTAGTAAAAGTAGCAGCACTGTAATTCAAATCTGAGTCTCTAACTCCGGTATGTTCCTGAAAAAAAAAAAAAAACAGGAATAAAAAGAGATAAAGAAAAAATAAGGGGCAAAGACTGAAGAAAGAAGAGAGGAGAGTTAAAGGAGAGAGAAACTTTCCATTAGTAACTAGGTAAGAGTGGGAAATGAGAAAAGGAATTAAGATATATGTTTGCAAAAAAATGATTATCTGAAACAAAATTAGCTAATTTGTTCACAACAGAAAAAAGGGAGAGGATAAATTGTAAATTAGTTTTAAAGGAACTTGTAGTGTATTTCAATTCCCTACTCATATAGATAAGTTCAGCTCAAAAATGTTTATTATGTATTCACCTTAGGACACCAGATATTTCTATGTGAATCATGCTGCCATTGCACAAAGAATTCCGTAAGTCTCTCAAAACTGCCTTCAGAGTTAAGTTTATGAGCAAGCAAACAAGCCTCATTACTTGATCCCCACATCTTGTTTCTGACAAAAAGTGATATGAACCAACTTGATCATCTAGTTTATTCACCCAACAAGTAGAAAGCTTCAAATTGTTTAGACCTACTTACAGCCTCTCTACCCTATACCTACACGTTTTAAAAAAATCCCAGTTTACCTTTATTCTATTACTAGTTTTATAATGAACTGGTCAATGTTTTTGAAACCCCATCTTTGTTTTAAAAACTTAGAAAATTAATAAGAGGTGGGTGGAGCCAAGATGGACAAATAGGAACAGCTCCAGTCTACACCTCCCAGCGTGAGCAATGCAGAAGACAGGTGATTTCTGCATTTCCAACTGAGGTACTGGGTTCATCTCACTGGGGAGTGTCAGATAGCGGGTGCAGTGCACCGAGCTTGAGCTGAAGCAGGGCGAGGCATCGCCTCACCCGGGAAATGCAAGGGGTCAGGGAATTCCCTTTCCTAGTCAAAGAAAGGGGTGACAGACAGCACCTGGAAAATCGGGTCACTCCCACCCTAAAACTGCACTTTCCTAATGGTCTTAGCAAACGGCACACCAGGAGATTATATCCTGCGCCTGGCTTGGAGGGTCCTACACCCACAGAGCCTCGCTCATTGCTAGCACAGCAGTCTGAGATCAAACTGCAAGGCGGCAGTGAGGCTGGGGGAGGGGCACCCGCCATTGCCGAGGCTTGAGTAGGTAAACAAAGCAGCCAGGAAGCTCGAACTGGGTGGAGCGCACCGCAGCTCAAGGAGGGCTCCCTGCCTCTGTAGACTCCACCTCTGGGGGCAGGGCATAGCCAAACAAAAGGCAGCAGAAACCTCTGCAGACTTAAATGTCCCTGTCTGACACATTGGAAGACAGTAGTGGTTCTCCCAGCACGCAGCTTGAGATCTGAGAACGGACAGACTACCTCCACAAGTGGGTCCCTGACCCCCAAGCCTAACTGAGAGGCACCGACCAGTAGGGGCGGACTGACACCTCACACAGCTGGGTACTCCTCTGAGACAAAACTTCCAGAGGAACAATCAGGCAGCAGCATTTGCGGTTCACCAATATCCGCTGTTCTGCAGCCACCGCTGCTGATACCCAGGCAAACAGGGTCTGGAGTGGACCTCCAGTAAACTCCAACAGACCTGCAGCTGAGGGTCCTGACTGTTAGAAGGAAAACTAACAAACAGAAAGGACATCCACACCAAAAACCCACCTGTACGTCACCATCATCAAAGACCAAAGGTAGATAAAACCATAAAGATGGGGAAAAAACAGAGCAGAAAAACCGGAAACTCTAAAAATCAGAGTGCCTATCCTCCTCCAAAGGAACACAGCTCCTCACCAGCAATGGAACACAGCTGGACGGAGAATGACTGACGAGTTGAGAGAGGAAGGCTTCAGAAGATCAAACTACTCCAAGCTAAAGGAGGAAGTTTGAACCCATGGCAAAGAAGTTAAAAACCTTGAAAAAAAATTAGACGAATGGCTAACTAGAATAACCAACGCAGAGAAGTCCTTAAAGGACCTGATGGAGCTGAAAACCACAGCACGAGAACTATGTGACGAATGCACAAGCCTCAGTAGCCGATGTGATCAACTGGAAGAAAGGGTATCAGGGATGGAAGATCAAATAAATGAAATGAAGTGAGAAGTTTAGAGAAAAAAGAATAAAAAGAAACAAACAAAGCCTCCAAGAAATATGGGACTATGTGAAAAGACCAAAACTACATCTCATTGGTGTACCTGAAAGTGACGGGGAGAATGGAACCAAGTTGGAAAACTCTCTGCAGGATATTATCCAGGAGAACTTCTCCAATCTAGCAAGGCAGGCCAACATTCAAATTTAGGAAATACAGAGAACGCCACAAAGATACTCCTCAAGAAGAGCAACTCCAAGACACATAATTGTCAGATTCACCAAAGTTGAAATGAAGGAAAAAATGTTAAGAGTAGCCAGAGAGAAAGGTTGGGTTACCAACAAAGGGAAACCCAACAGACTAACAGCTGATCTCTCGGCAGAAACTCTACAAACCAGAAGAGAGTGGGGGCAAATATTCAACATTCTTAAAGAAACGAATTTTCAACCCAGAATTTCATATCCAGCCAAACTAAGCTTCATAAGTGAAGGAGAAATAAAATCCTTTACAGACAAGCAAATGCTGAGAGATTTTTGTCACCACCAGCCCTGCCCTAAAAGAGCTCCTGAAGGAAGCAATAAACATGGAAAGGAACAACTGGTACCAGCCACTGCAAAAACATGCCAAATTGTAAAGACCATCAAGGCTAGGAAGAAACTGCATCCACTAACGAGCAAAATAACCAGCTAACATCATAATGACAGGATCAAATTCACACATAACAATATTAACCTTAACTGTAAATGGGCTAAATGCTCCAATTAAAAGACACAGACTGGCAAACTGGAGAAAGAGTTAAGACCCATCAGTGTGCTGTATTCAGGAAACCCATCTCACGTGCAGAGACACATATATGCTCAAAATAAAGGGATGGAGGAAGATCTACCAAGCAAATGGAAAACAAAAAAAGGCAGGGGTTGCAATCCTAGTCTCTGATAAAACAGACTTTAAGCCAACAAAGATCAAAAGAGGCAAAGAAGACTATTACATAATGGTAAACGGATCAATTCAACAAGAAGAGCTAACTATCCTAAATATATATGCACCCAATACAGGAGCACCCAGATTCATAAAGCAAGTCCTTAGAGACCTACAAAGAGACTTAGACTCCCACACAATAATAATGGGAGACTTTCACACCCCACTGTCAACATTAGACAGATCAACGAGACAGAACATTAACAAGGATATCCAGGAACTGAACTCAGCACTGCACCAACCAGACCTAATAGACATCTACAGAACTCTCCACCCCAAATAAACAGAATATACATTCTTTTCAGCACCACACCACACCTATTCCAAAATTGACCACATAGTTGGAAGTAAAGCACTCCTCAGCAAATGTAAAAGAACAGAAATTATAACAAACTGTCTCTCAGACCACAGTGCAATCACACTAGAACTCAGGATTAAGAAACTCACTCAAAACCGCTCAACTACATGGAAACTGAACAACCTGAATGACTACTGGGTACATAATGAAATGAAGGCAGAAATAAAGATGTTCTTTGAAACCAATGAGAACAAAGACACAATGTAACAATCTCTGGGACACATTCAAAACAGTGTGTAGAGGGAAATTTATAGCACTAAATGCCCACAAGAGAAAGCAGGAAAGATAAAAATTGACACCCTAACATCACAATTAAAAGAACTAGGGAAGCAAGAGCAAACACATTCAAAAGCTAGCAGAAGGCAAGAAATAACTAAGATCAGAGCAGAACTGAAGGAAATAGAGACACAAAAAACCCTTCCAAAAATCAATGAATCCAGGAACTGGTTTTTTGAGAAGATCAACAAAATTGATAAACCACTAGCAAGACTAATAAAGAAGAAAAGAGAGAAGAATCAAATAGACGCAATAAAAAATGATAAAGGGGATATAGCCACCGATCCCACAGAAATACAAACTACCATCAGAGAATACTATAAACACCTCTACGCAAATAAACTAGAAAATCTAGAAGAAATGGATAAATTCCTCAACACATACACCCTCCCAAGACTAACCCAGGAGAAGTTGAATCTCTGAATAGACCAATAACAGGCTCTAAAATTGAGGCAATAATTAATAGCTTACCAACCAAAAAAAGTCCAGGACCAGATGGATTCACAGCCGAATTCTACCAGAGGTACAAGGAGGAGTTGTTACCATTCCTTCTGAAACTATTCCAATCAATAGAAAAAGAGGGAATCCTCCCTAACGCATTTTATGAGGCCAGCATCATCCTGATACCAAAGCCTGGCAGAGACACAACAAAAAAAGAGAATTTTAGACCAATATCCCTGATGAACATCGATGCAAAAATCCTCAATAAAATACTGGCAAACCAAATCCAGCAGCACATCAAAAAGCTTGTCCACCATGATCAAGTGGGCTTCATCCCTGGGATGCAAGCCTGGTTCAACACACGAAAATCAATACACGTAATCCAGCATATAAACAGAACCAAAGACAAAAACCACATGATTATCTCAATAGATGCAGAAAAGGCCTTTGACAAAATTCAACAACCCTTCATGCTAAAAACTCTCAATAAATTAGGTATTGATTGGATGTATCTCAAAATAATAAGAGCTATCTATGACAAACCCACAGCCAATATCATACTGAATGGGCAAAAACTGGAAGCATTCCCTTTGAAAACTGGCACAAGATAGGGATGCCCTCTCTCACCACTCCTATTCAACATAGTGTTGGAAGTTCTGGCCAGGGCAATCAGGCAGGAGAAAGAAATAAAGGGTATTCAATTAGGAAAAGAGGAAGTCAAATTGTCCCTGTTTGCAGAAGACATGATTGTATATTTAGAAAACCCCATGTTCCCAGCGCAAAATCTCCTTAAGCTGATAGATAACTTCAGCAAAGTCTCAGGATACAAAATCAATGTACAAAAATCACAAGCATTCTTATACACCAATAACAGACAAACAGAGAGCCAAATCATGAGTGAACTCCCATTCACAATTGCTTCAAAGAGAATAAAATACTTAGGAATCCAACTTACAAGGGATGTGAAGGACCTCTTCAAGGAGAACTACAAACCACTGCTCAAGGAAATAAAAGAGGATACAAACAAATGGAAGAACATTCCATGCTCATGGGTAGGAAGAATCAATATCCTGAAAATGGCCATACTGCCCAAGGTAATTTATAGATTCAATGCCATCCCCATCAAGCTACAAATGACTTTCTTCACAGAATTGGAAAAAACTACTTTAAAGTTCACATGGAACCGAAAAAGAGCCCGCATTGCCAAGTCAATTCTATGCCAAAAGAACAAAGCTGGAGGCATCACACTACCTGACTTCAAACTATACTACAAGGCTACAGTAACCAAAACAGCATGATACTGGTACCAAAACAGAGATATAGACCAATGGAACAGAACAGAGCCCTCAGAAATAATGCCACATATCTACAACCATCTGATCTTTGACAAACCTGAGAAAAACAAGAAATGGGGAAAGGATTCCCTATTTAATAAATGGTGCTGGGAAAACTGGCTAGCCATATATAGAAAGCTGAAACTGGATCCCTTCCTTACACCTTATACAAAAATTAATTCAAGATGCATTAAAGACTTAAATGTTAGACCTAAAACCATAAAAACCCTAGAAGAAAACCTAGGCAATACCATTCAGGACATAGGCATGGGCAAGGACTTCATGTCTAAAACATTAAAAGCAATGGCAACAAAAGCCAAACTTGACAAATGGGATCTAATTAAAGAGCTTCTGTACAGCAAAAGAAACTACCATCAGAGTGAATAGGCAGCCTACAGAATGGGAGAAAATTTTTGCCATCTACTCATCTGACAAAGGGCTAATATCCAGAATCTACAATGAACTCAAACAAATTTACAAGAAAAAAACAAACAACCCCAACAAAAAGTGGGTGAAGGATATGAACAGACACTTCTCAAAAGAAGACATTTATGCAGCCAACAGACACATGAAAAAATGCTCATCATCACTGGCCATCAGAGAAATGAAAATCAAAACCACAATGAGATACCATCTCACACCAGTTAGAATGGTGATCATTAAAAAGTCAGGAAACAACAGGTGCTGGAGAGGATGTGGAGAAATAGGAACACTTTTACACTGTTGGTGGGACTGTAAACTAGTTCAACCATTGTGGAAGTCATTGTGGCGATTCCTCGGGGATCTACAACTAGAAATACCATTTGATCCAGCCATCCCATTACTGGGTATATACCCAAAGGATTACAAATCATGCTGCTATAAAGGCACATGTGCACGTGTGTTTATTGAGGCACTATTCACAATAGCAAAGACTTGGAACCAACCCAAATGTCCAACAATGATAGACTGGATTAAGAAAATGTGGCACATGTACACCATGGAATACTATGCAGCCATAAAAAATGATGAGTTATGTCCTTTGTAGGGACATGGATGAACCTGGAAACTATCATTCGCAGCAAACTATCGCAAGGACAAAAAACCAAACACCACATGTTCTCATTCATAGGTGGGAATTGAACAATGAGAACACATGGACACAGGAAGGGGAACATCACACACTGGGGCCTGTTGTGGGTGGGGTGAATGGGGAGGGATAGCATTAGGAGATATCCCTAATGTTAAATGATGAGTTAATGGGTGCAGCACACCAACACCACATGTATACATATGTAACAAAACTGCACGTTGTGCACATGTACCCTAAAACTTAAAGTATAATAAAAAAAAGAAAATTCATAAGAATGCTATAAAACTACATGCAGTTGGTATGAAAATTATTAATCATTTTTTGATGGTATTCTTATTAGCAATAATTTCACTTTCTCCCTTTCTTTCTACCTCTCAGACTTCATCTACTTTTTGACTGTGAGCTCTTTGTTGGTTTTTCTCATTCTGTCTTGCTCTCTACTGTTTCTTATTGCTTAATCTTGCTTTGTTGACGTGTATTATAAAAGAACTACTCTACATGCTTCACACCCTAGAGATTTTTTTTCATATGGTAGTAACTAAGAAGATCAAGTTAAATCCTTTAAATGGAAGGAAAAGTGTCAAAATAGTATCTAGAGGGTGAATAAGTGGCTATGTTTGTAATTCTTTAATAGACTATCTTTATAGTCTACCTTTTTAGTGGATTAAAAAAAAACAAAGAATGTAAAGAAGACTAAATTGGCTCCTCTAGGCTTGCTACATATCTTTGGTTGACAAGCAACCAGAGGTGGTGGCAAAGGAACAGACTGGTAATTGGAAAGCTGATCTGACCCAAAGCGGAGAGAAGTATATTCCCCCACCATACAAAATTAGGCAGAAAAAATAAGTATCTGCTCATATCCACATGTCCAATTTTAGTCTGAGGTCTACCACTAAACATATTTACTGATTTCCAGAAGTTATTAACAATAATAATAAGTTAATGTTCATTACATAGTAATCATGTGCTAGCACTCTGCTGAGACCTTCTGCTATAATTTGGATGCTGTCCATTTAAATCTCATGCTAAATTGTAATCTCCAGTATTGAAGGTGAGGCCTGGTAGGAGGTGAATGGATCATGGGGGCAGATCCTCATGGCTTGGTGCTATTCTTACAATAGTGAGTGAGTTTTTGTGACATCTAGTTGCTTAAAAGTGTATGGTACCCCCCGACCCCTACTCCTGCTCTCACCATGTGATACACCAACTCATCCTTTGCCTTCTGCCATGACTGTAAGCAGCCCAAGGCCTCACCAGAAGCCGAGCAGATGTGGTGCCATGTTTCTTGTACAGCCTGCAAAACTGTGAGCCAATTAAACCTCCCTTCTTTATAAATTACCCAGGCTCAGAAATTTCTTTATATCAATGCAAGAATGACCTAATACACCTGCTAAGATTGAGTGGTAAGCAGGATGAACATGAGTCCCCCTTTCCTCAAGAAGTTGATAATCTAATTAATAGAAAAGATATTAAAATAACTATTAAACAAAAGGATATTATAATTATAGTAAGTGCTATGAAATCAAGTACAGGTTGCTTATAAAAGTAAATACAGGGAAACTGATGGCTATGGAAAACTGATATTAAAGTTTAGACATGAAGGATAAATAGGAGTTAGGTGAAAACCATTCCAGTAAAAGCAAGCACCATGCAAGACAATGCTGTACAGAGTAACAGTTTGGTGTATTCACAGAACACAGAGGCTAATACAGCTTGACCGTGATGATTAAAGGGGGAGAATGGTCATGAAAAGTCTGGAGAATTGGCTAGGCATCACATTACATGGGCTACTGCAGGCTACACTAAGGATTTAGCATTTAATCCCCAGAACAATAAGAATCTATTAAAGGGTTTTAGGCAGGAAACTGCCATTTAGATTTGCAATCTTACACAATCTATGCTATGTAGAGAATAAAGCTGGATAAGAGAGTGTGTGTGTAGTGATTAAAGAAAAGGATACAGCCTAGGCAAGAGATTACTAGTGACTTGAATTAGGGAAGTGGCAGTGTTGATGGAGACAAAATGACATATTTGAGATATATTTAGAAGTAAGAATAAACAGGACTTCGTAATTGATTGTGGGGTATAAGGTGAAGAAGATATCAATCATAGTTTTCTGCTATGAGTAACTAAGGAGATAATGTATAATTAAGATGGGGAACACTGGAGAAGGAGCTGGTCTGAGAGCAAGAACCAAGGTTCTATTTGGTACATAGTGAGTTTGAGATAACTGTTGGTAGACATACAACTGGATTCAGTTACACAGATGGACTATAGGCCTGGAGCTCAGTAAGGAAGTCTGGGCCGAAGGCATAAATGTGGGAATTCATAGACATGCATAAATATTATCTGAACTTCATGTGAGTACTTACAAACACCTAAGAGTGTGGCATTAGAAAGAATGAACCTCAGGTATACTCACTCGAATGTCAACATTTAAGAGTTGGGTAGAAGAGGTGAAAAGGGGACTGAGAACGAACAGCCTGCAAAGGAGGAAGAAAATCAGTAGAAATGATCATGGAAGCACAGAGTCCAGAGTGTTTAAGTAAGGTGGAAGTGGCCAAATATGATAGAGAGTCCTTAAAGATTAATTCGCAAGATCAGCTTTAGTGAAAGACTATAAAAGATGCTGGATTGAAATTAGGTTAAAAAAAATAGATAGTAGTATGGATAATCTTTATCATTCAAGAAATCTGGATCACCCCTGTACGAAGATTCACTATCTCACTTAATCCTCAAAATTATCATTATCCTTATTTTATAGATGAGGACACTGAGGTTTACCCCAAGGTTATGGGACAAGCCTAATTTTCTCATGTCATCTAGATGAGCCCTAAAAGTCCTTCTACTTCCATGAAAAAATAAAATACTATACCTCTGTTTCTGTTCCACAGTCATAATAAATTTAGCATCTTTCACAAGAACAGAAGCAGCCTGTTGCACACCCTTCCTTGTTGCACAAAACTGAAAATAAATTCATAACGTTTGTATTAATCATGTTAAAAACTGAATATACTAAAAAATAAGCTATCAACAATCCATACCACAAGTGTGGGTTTCTGATCAGAGTACATTTGTATAACACTGGCAATTTTGTAGTTGAGGGTTAAATCAAACTTAAACTCAGTTTGGTTACTACTGCAGGGAAATCCAAGGACCACTTTCTGAAGTTTCACTGGTCTATGGCTCTCATCCATTTTCAGACACACAGCTGGTCTTTCACCATCTGAAAGCCATTCTGCAATCTTTGAAACACAAAAATATGTGCATTAAAATTTTCTTCTAGTAAAGTTTTATTGCTAAAAACAACCCAATTACAAAGCACTTTAAGGTCAAGCTATAAAAGTATTTAATCAAGTATGCTGTCTTTTTCAATATTACATATTCCATTAATATTATTCTGTTGATATAGTGGTCAACACTACCAATAGTAGTATTTCAAGATTATACCCACTTTTCACCATGGTAAACTTCCAATTAATTATTATTATTTTGTTTTATTTTCCTTCATAAGAATCCAAAGAAAAATTATCAATTTTGTCATAGAGGCCAAATTTCTCACTATTATTTTAACTTCTTTGCTATTTTTGAAAACTACGCCTCAAAATGGCTGACATCTCTTTTGTGTTGTCCTAAATATTAGATAAATAGCAGCAAATTAATAGTTGGTTTAGGTTGGCAAGGGTTGACAAGTTTTTAAGCAAACAACAAACACTTGAGAGATGCCAGTGCCAAAAGCAAACTTCAGACTCAAGCTAGATTCTGGAACTGTGGTAAGCAATCCTTATCTTTACATAGCCCAGTTAATAATCAGGCTCCATGCTCTGCTATGAAATTGACTGTTGTTTTGACAGGTAGAAAACATTAAAATAATCTCAAGGTTATCATGAGTAGGGATAAGATCACATAAGAATTTACAGACAGAGGGGAGCAGAAGGCCAAGAATAAAAACCTTAATTTAGGGAAAAACGGAGGAAGAAGATCTGACAAAAGAGACAGAAACAGCATTCACACAAGTAGTGTTTATCACAAAGGGGAAAAGTTTCAAGAATTAGACAGTACTAGTACATAATAATTGCTTACAAATAAGTTAAGAAAAATTTAGTATTCCAATGTGAAAAAAAGGCAAATGACATAACCTGGCAAGTTTTAAAAAAAGAACTCAAAGTAGTTGATAAATATATTTAAAATTTTACCTTAGTAGAAATCAAAGAAGTAAAAAATTTTTAAATGAGATACTACACTCAACAATAAATCCTATAAATATTTAAAAATAATAATAGCAATAATAATTCCATTATTATACTATCCAGTGTTAGGATACAGGAAAATAGCCTCTGGTAGAAGTGTAAATGAATATAACATTTATTGAAAGAAGCACTTCTTTAGAGTTTTATATATCCTTTGATTCAGTTAATTCATTCTAGAAGTTCATCCTAAGGAAATAATCATGGATGTTTCAGATACATTAATTTCACTGTTTACAATAGCAAAAATTGGAAATAACTTAATCTTCCATTGTTATAGTGTTTGATAAATAAATTACAATAAAACCACAAAAATAGTATTGAAGAATATTTAATGATATAAAAATGTTTAAAGGTGAAATGCAGGTCAAAAAAAGAGTATGTACATTATGATTCCTACATGCTTACAAAAAAAAGTATGTACATTATGCTTCCTACATGTGTAAAGATAAACGCTAGGATTTAGTTTTGTTGTTGTAATAAACTTTAAATTTTTCTATATTATTCTTGAAAAATATGAACAAAACAAGTTGTCATTTCAAGAACAAGAAAATGATTAATTGTGCCAAATTAACGATAAAGACAAAATATTCCATTGGAATAGACAATATAGTGGCTATTTGTGAAAACAATTTCTAAGAAGTAGTAGGGGAAAACCAGTATTATAGTAGGCTGAGAAGTAAGTAGGAGTGAGAAAGTAGAGTGAGACTATTATTTTTCAAGACGTTTACTTAAAAATTGAAGAAAAAATTAAGTCATATATTCATTATGGAAAGTATAATAGTGCACATGATTATTTCTTTACATGTCCATGTACCCCATTAACCATGAGATCCTCCTCAAGGACGGAGTCCATATATTTTCACTTTTGCATCTATATTTAGTGCTTACCACAATGCCAAGCATACAGAATTGAGGAGCAAGTGGTAATCATCTAAGCAATTATTTTTATTCTCCACCATACTTTGCTATACAATTAGAGTCAGCTAGTTACAACAACCATCACATATTGTTAGTGAAGTTACTATGAGGCACCTGAAACCCAGGAAACTAAGACTGTTAGATACTAGCAAACGAGATGTCCACATGTCCACAAAAAATGTTTTATTAAACCTGATTAACCAAATTTTATGGCCTTAATACTGTTATATTTATGAGATCTAGCCACAACTTTCTACAACATACTTTCCTATTAAAGGAAAGGACAAAAAAATTCACTTTTCTCTATGATCAAGATGACTAAATATTTCACAAGTCATAAAAAACCTAAGAGCTCAGTTAAAATTGTAACTCACATCCTCAGCATTTGGAATTGTTGCAGATACAGCTACAAATCGCATTGGAATAGCAGTGCTGGTATTTTTTAAAGTCTGAGAAACAGACTGTACAGTTTTCATTCTGCTAACTACAACTTCAAGAGTTGGACCACGATTTTCATCTTTTACAATATGTACCTAAGCAGGAAATCAAGAAAAAATCATTAGCTATAGAATTAAAAATACATTTAATCAATTAAAATATTCAATAATATTAACATTCTTGCTTGAGAAAATGAGCATTTTCCACTTGAAGGGATAAAACAAACATATAGTTTGGTTGCAATGTCTTTTTTCTTTCTGTCTTATTCTAATTATCCTTTTATGTTTATCTCTGAAAGCGAATGCATTCATTACCTCATCAATGAGAAACAGTCGAACCAGCTGAACCAAAGAGTTGTCTCTCCATTTCCTAGTCATGCTATCCCATTTTTCCTAGAGAGAAAAAAAAGCATACAAGTAGTTTAATGTGATAAGGAATTATAATAAATATTAAGATATCAAAAACATTTTTAACATGACGTATTACAAATAATAGGCAATTTTGGTTGATCCCTTAAGAGTATTCTGAAAAATATTTTAAAATTAAAAAATACTTAAAGAATTTTTACAGTCTTAAAGGTATTTTTAAAACTGGGCCCTCAATTGTTTTTACACTGAACCACAAAATATTCAAAGTCCAAGTTTTGTTACCTATTTTTAAATTCTACCAAGGACCTCCCTCTATAAAACATACTACTTAGGTAAAAGAAAAAAGCAATAAATATGATTACAAAGTATCCACAATAACAAACTGCCTATTCTTTGTCAATTTTTCCAATTTGGTCATTTGTCTTTTACTTACTGATTTGTAGGTATTCTGTCTGTACCTTGAATTGTAGTATTTTTTTAATGTTTGTTTGTTTGCATTGTAAATATATGTTTCTAGTTTATATTTTTTAAACTTTTTATCTCAGTAAAGAAAAATAGGTATTTTCTAACAAACTAAAGAAATCATAAAGTATAAATAATACCTACTGGAGTTGTCATAATAATATGGGCATGCTGAATCTCAAATAGATCATCCATTACTGTATCTCCAGTAAGTTCTTTACAATTCAATCCTATTGGTCCAAATTTTTCTTTCCAGTCATCAAAACGCTGACTGCACAAGGCTTTTATTGGTGCCACTGTAACAATATAAAATATTTACTTTGAACATCAGTTCAATTTTAAAATTCTTTTCACAAACTTTGGTTAATAAAGTTAGCATAAAAAATACACATCTACATACTCCTAATATTGATAAATTAAAAATGAACAATATAGGCACATTATTTACAGCAGGGGTGTCCAGTCTTTTGGCTTCCCTGGGCCACACTGGAAGAAGAACTGTATTGAGCCACACATAAAATATGCTAACACTGACGATGACTGATAAGCTAAAGAAAAAAAATTCTCATAATGTTTTACAAACATTACAAATTTGTCGTAAGTTTACAAATTTGTGCTGGGCCGCATTCAAAGCCATCCTGGGCCACATGCAGCCTGCAGGCCACAAGTTAGACAAGCTTGATTTAGAGATATCAAGGTAATAGCCAAAAAGAACTAAAAATAGAAATAGAAATGATTTCTCAGGCAAGTGTAACTAAAAGTGGAGAAAGGTAGGGCAGAAGATTATTGCTTTTCACTATAAGGCCTTTACTGATATTTGATTTTTAATCCATATACATATATTACTTTGATTAAAAAAAATTTTTTAAATACATACCTAAGAAAGGAGAGTAAAAGTTCCTATGCAAATTTCTAGAATTACAAAATATTTGATTTTATTTGTTCATTTTGCCTGTCCTTTAAAAAATAAGCATGTAAAAGTCAAATTCTCAATTCAAATATTACTTTTTATTTATAATTTTGGAAAATGTGTTTTAAATTTAATGACAAATAAGACCAGACTTTACTAGAAATATATAGAAAATCAAGTAATTCCTGAGGCCAGAAACTGAATTTATTTCTTCATTTTGCTTCAATGGTTTTTCATTATTATAATTAGTCATCACTCTTATAATAAATACTTACTGTAAACAATTTTAATATTCAACCATGGCAATGGTACTTCCATTAACAATCTTGTTATAGCTAGTTCAAACACTACAGTTTTTCCAGAACCAGTTGGAGCACAAATCACAAAATTCCTATCTGTGTAAAGAAGCTAAAAAATAAAAAGTAATCAATCATGTAACATATAGACTTTTTCACACACATTCTCAATTTGTTAAAAAAAAAGTCTTAGTAAGAATCTAAGGAATAATAGTTCAAACATTTTTCCTCTAAAGTTATAAAAATTGTAACTTTGCTCCAGAGCCTCCACTCTCGAAAAATAACACTATTAGTATTTTATCATGCTGTTTTATTTGTCAATGTAGACCTAGGAGAAAATCATTCCTGGCTGAGTGCGATGGCTTACACCTGTAATCCCAGCACTTTGGGAAGCCAAGGAAGGCAGATCACTTGAGGTCAGGAGTTCGAGACCAGCCTGGCCAACAGAGCAAAACTCTGTCTCCACTACAAATAGAAAACTTAGCCAGGAGTGGTGTCTCAAGCCTGTAATCCCAGTTACTTGGGTGGCTGAGGCAGGAAAATCGCTTGAACCTGGGAAGCAGAAGTTGCAGTGAGCTGAGATTTCACCACTGCACTCAAATACAAACAAATCCACCTATGAAAATCACATGTATTCATTTACCAAATATTTTCTGAGCTCCTAAATGTGCTAGACATGGAGTGTGGCAGTGCAGACATAAAGATCTAGTAAATCCCAGCTGTCCCAATCTAGTGATCATAACCTAGTGAAAGGTAGAAAAATAAATAAGTAAAATAAAATACTTACATCATCAAAGGCCTTGGACTGTATATAGTTGAAATATGGAAATTCTTTGAAAATACTTCTAAATTTTGCCGCTTACAATAACATTAAGGAGTCAAATATTTCAGAATTTAAAAAATTAGTTACTTTTATTTTAAAACTAAGTTACATTAATATAGATTCTGACAATATTTAATGATGAGGTTTTAACATTTGCTATCTGGCATCTTAGGAAAAGAATTATCATAAATTATTCTAGTCTCCAGTCACACTCCATATTCTGAAAAGAATTTGCAAAGTTCTTATAGGGAAATAAGAGATTATATAAGGGTTATACCTGAGTGCTAAATATGATGGAAGAGATGCAAGTACATAATGGCAAGTAAATCAGAACTACACTTCTAGTTTATCTTTTCCAGAGTAGTGCTTTTTCTTATTTACCTTGACAAGGCCACTTGATTTTTATCTCTTCTTTAATGTACAGAATTTCACTCAACTATTTCATTAAGCATTGATTGTACTTCATTAGCTGATGTGTTTCTGGTTACCTAATACCAAATCTCTTTGTTTTTGATAATTTGGTTGTGTTAAGTGGTGGGTTTAATTATAACTATCAACATACTGGCTTGACAGGAAGAACTTAAATCATCCTTCCCCTGTAAGAAAGTTCAAAAATATTAACAGATATGAAGAATAAACTGTCCCCTCTCCAAGGTGAGGGTCTATTGACAGATTGGGAGATATCTGTATTTACATGGTATTCTTCTTACAATATATCAACTACAGTCATTGAACACTATATACAGAATACATTACTAGATTTAGAAAGCTGTGGGAAGCTATAAATAAAGAAGAAAATGAGTTCCTACAATTGAGACTGTTATAATCTATTAGAAGTTATAAGATGGTTAAGAACATATCTGAGAACACAAGTACACAGTTACTTAAACAACTGGATTTTTATAAAGATATACAAGAACTGATGGATTGCTGTAGTGATCCTGTTTAAACTTACATCATATTACTTCTCTGATCAAATTCCTCCCTTTCTCTCAAAGTGTATGGCTATAAGGCTCCACATGATCGTCTCCCCACTGCCACTCCCTCCCCGCATCAGCCCCTGCCTTTATCTCTCTGACATCATGTCCTACTACTCTTTCTCCCTGACTCATCTCCTCTAGCTATACTGAACTCTGCTGTTCTTCAAAAACATCAGCTACGATCCTGCCATGAGGCCTTCCCTCTGCCTAGACTGTTATTCCTTCCATATTTCCTTGGCTCTTTTCCCTCCATTAAGTGCTTAAATCTGACCTTCTCAAGGTCTACCCTAAGTACTGTTTAATTCTACACCCTGAGCCACAAATCCCAGCAGTCCCAATTTAACCCGCTTACCCTGCTCTACTTTTTTCTTTTCCCATAATAGTCACCACTTTCTAAAAAACTCTGACTTATTTATATGTTATTATAGTTGTTGAGATCTAGCTTCCTCCCCACCCTCATCCCAAGAATGTCATCTCCTCAAAAGCAAGGATTCATTGTCTGTTTTCTTAAGTGACATATCCCAAATACTTAGAACAGTGCCTGACACATAACTCAGTTAATATAGGTTTGCAATTATTACATCAAGCAGTTAATTTATAAATCCTCATTTTACTTTCTGATGTGCAAAGTGTCATATCTGTGCCAAAACAAAAACGTAATTTTGAGTTTGAAAATCCATCAGCTTTAGAAGGAATCTCAATTTTCCTTCAAAACATGTCTCTTTCTATCAAATATTTATTTGTAACAAGCCCACGAGTGGGCCATCATGTTGGTTTTTCTCTCATTAGATAGTTCCATATCATTCACAAAATGAATCTTTGATTCAGAGTATAGAATCAGTATTTCAGCTCATAAGAAAACTCAACTGCTAACATCATTTATCATCACTATCAACACTTGAAATCAATTTTTTTCCTTACATTCAATAAACTCTCAGCAGTGTCACTGAAATAATGGGGAAATGTCTGCAGAACTGAAAATGACAAGACTACTGTGGTAGGACCAATCTGAGAAAACGTCTATTGCCCTGAGGATTCAAATGCAGTAAAATATTTAAAGAGAATAAGAAAATAAGGTGTGTCCAAGTAATCTACAAACTCTCAAATTATCACAAATAGCATTCAGTCTTCCACTTTAAAATACATACTTGGAAACAATAAGGTATAGGACAATGAGTTTTACACAAAATGAACTTTTTGGACAATAAATCAGTGGACACAAGTGTAGGCAGTAGTCCTAACTAATAAAGACCCCTAAACAACAGAATCACTTCAGCTGTGCTAATATAGCATAAAAATCCTCAAAGCTCTTTAAAAGCCAGTGTCATATTATGGAAAGGCTTTCCAGTAAGGGATAAGAAGAATCAGCCATCGTACAGATAATTAAACATCTTTAACAGCTTACTGCTAATATATTTCCTATGTTTCCATCCTATTTTGATCACCACAGAAAAGAAAATGTGGCAGCATTGAGACACTATGCTGAATAAAGTGCTAAACACTGGCTATGTTTATAGTTACTATATCAACATGTATAACTCTCTTATTGATCCCTCTCCCTCATTTTTAATCAAATCAGCCATCTGCATTGGAGGCAACTTTTCATGAGAAGTCAGGCAAGTATTTTCTAACCATACTTCAGAATTATGTCAGATGATCCTTCGAGTGCCCAGGATTAGAGTTATTGTTGCCTAGATTTCTCTAGCACAGCTATGCAATATCTGGAATTCATTTTTCATTTTGTCAACTAGACCATAACTTTTGTGGATGCTAGAGCATTGCCAAGCATTGAGTCACTAATTATATATTCCTAAAGCATAGTTTAAATGATATTTGAACTGCTTAAAAAATATTGCATGGTTTCTCCTCATTACAGAGATTGCATTTTCACTACAAAAAAGAAGTAACTATGAGAGGCGATAGATACATTAATTAGCCTGATTGTGGTAATTATTTTTGCAATGTTTACATATTAAAAAATATCATGTTGTACTCCTTAAAAAATATACCATTTTTATTTGTCAATTATACCTCAACAAAGCTGGGGGAAAAAATAAAAAATAAAAATAAAATAAAAAAACCTTTGACCTTGGTATTCATGACATTATATGATATGATTCTAAGATAACTATCTAATATTTCTTATTACTTCTTTAATCATATCTGTCACTTTAGCCAAACTGGAAAGCTTATTCTTTCCAAATGTATTTCATACTTTTTTACCTCCACCCTTGCTTATGTCTCTACTTTTGCCAGAACAATTTCCTTACTTTACCTGCCTTACTTTATCTGCCTTTCAATGTATTTGGAAATAGGCAGGTAAATAAGTCATGATGTTTGCCTTCAAAGAGTTCATAGATCATGGGGAAACAGTCACATAAACTGCTGGTGAATTAAAACAAAATAAGTGCACTATCATAGGCATACACAGGGTATTAAAGAAGCAAAAACAATGTTACCTCCAGAACACACAAACATACTCAAAATATTTACACTGGAAATGTCCAGACATGAAAATTGGATTCTAGGTATAAACTCCAAATTAGATTTTCAAAAATACTAGATCTGTAGAAATGTCCCCAATCCACACAATATCCCATTCTCATCCATTTCCCCTACCCAGTTCAACCCAATTTGGCTGCTCTTTCTCAAAGGATGAGAAATTATCTGTACCTATTTGTAAGTAAATATGCTCAGAGTTCTGCCAATAATACAAATCTGACTTCTGTACTTAATTTGCCATAAACTGATAACAAACAGGTCACAAATCGGCACCAGTCTGCAATCACACCCTGAGTAGCACTATCACACACATACATCTTTTTTTTTTTTTTTGAGATGGAGTCTCACTCTTTTGCCATGCTAGAATGCAATGGCACAATCTCAGCTCACTGCAACCTCTGCCTCCCAGGTTCAAGCGATTCTCCTCCCTCAGCCCCCTGAGTAGCTGGGATTACAGGTGCACACCACCAGGCCCAGCTAATTTTTTACATTTTTAGTAGAGACAAGGTTTCACCATGTTAGTCAGGCTGGTCTCGAACTCCTGACCTCGTGATCTGCCTGCCTCAGCCTCCCAAAGTGCTGGAATTACAGGTGTGAACCACCGCACCCGGCCACATGTACCTCTTACAACACCAAAAAGATTAATTTTTCCCTCTTTTTCTCCATCAACCAAAATAAACAAACACAATTAAACAAATGTTTTAAAATTATGATTTAATAAATACAAAGCAGCTATTGTAAATAACTTAAAGGATACGAATTTCTGTGACAGCCTTCAAGGAACCTAAACCATTTTCTGTTACCTCTGAAAAAAAAATGCTACATATTTATATAAATATCAAAAAAAAATTAATGGTCAGAAGCTAGGACCTGAAATGAATATTTTTAACCTTTCCATAAAAACTGTTTCAATAAAACTAACACAACTTTTTATTGAGAGCAAAGTTAAAAATATTTTTAGCACACAGGATAAAATATTTTAACACACAGCACAGCTTAGAAAATAATGCAATATAATAAAAAAATGCAGAAATTGCACAGAGAGATAATTTACTCAAATTTACTATATTTTTACATTTTCCCCCATGCTAAGAAATGTGGTTTAGTCTGTACTCATAAAATGAACTGAAAAAGCAAGAAATTACCTTGAATATCATGAGGTTGGAAAGCAACTGAAAAAGATGGTGCTTTGAACATGCCTTCTCCGATTTCAGAAGCAGAAAAAGCATTATTTGCTGTAAACACATTTGCAGAATACTGAAATTTTTGCTTACTATTGCTATAGTTCCTTGATTTCCCTTTGTTCATTTCTGTTTGTACAATTTTCACTGAGCCAATGTGAGAGTCCAATTCATTGTCATTAGAATAAGCACTCCCATGTATATTGTCAGATATTTTAAATAATCTGCAAACAAAAAAAAGACCCACATATTTTCTCACGTGTAACACTTGCTTGGAATATGAAAAACTAGCATAAAATTGGCCCCCTTAAAAACACTCATAGATTATGGTTTACTCAAACAAAAAAGCTAAACATTCTCCTAAAATATAACTTGCTAGTTTACCACTGAAGTATGTCTTTCTACTTTCCTAAAACTCAGATAAATCCATTTGTGGCAGTCATCCTCCAAAACAGCCCAATGATCCTTGCCTGCTCCTCACCCCTTTACAGTCTCCTACAAATTGAATCGCTGAATCAGGACTGGCCTGTCTAACTAGCAGAGTACTGCAGAAGTGTAAATGTTTGACTTACAAGGCTAGGTAATAAAAGACATTGCCCCTTCCCCATGGTCTCTTAGATCTCTCACTCTGTGGAGAGCTAGTCACAATATAAAGAAAGCACTCAAACAACCCTATGAAGAGGCCCAGGTGGAGAGGTACTGAGGTCTCCTGCCAACAACCAGCACTGACTTTTCAGTCAAGGACAGCAAGCCACCTTGAAGAGAGACCTGATAGCTCCTGTCAAGCTTTCAGATGACTGCAGCATGGCTAACATTTTGATTGTGGCCTTCTTGTGAGAGGCCCCCAATACCTTTACGCATTCTCACAAGAGAGCCTAAGCCAGAACTACTAGCTAAGTTGTTCCTAAATTCCTAGCCTGGAGAAACTGTGAGAGATAATAATGTTCATTGTTGTTTTAAACTACTACATTTTGGGATAATTTTATTATACAACAACAGATAACTAATGTTCCATTTAAAGTCAGTAAAGTGCTTAAGAGAGAGAAAAAGCCACTAAATATAGTCACAGTAAATAGTAAATTTCATAACACCTAATAGTATTTAAATTTAACTGAAGTGATTCAAGTTACTGAATTATATTAACATATTCAATTTATAGGAATAAGTTAACAGACTTGTTATGAATTAAAAGTTGTCAGCAACTGCATTTCACGCCACAGAAGCTACCAGATAAGACAGTTTTCCTAGCCAATCAAATCAGCATTGTGTATCCCCCCAAAAAGGAAAAGATATAAACTAAGTATATTAGCAGATTAAATCATCCCAAACACTATATCCAATAACCATTTCAATGTAAGAACTACTTCTCTGCAAAGTTCTAAAAACAAGGAAACACTTTATGACTGTACTGTATTATATTTGATCAAAAGACAATCTATCGAAGTAACTTGTTCACAATATCCCTAAGGGATGAAGTAACCGTTAAGGTTCCTAATAAAACATTCACATCTTATAGAATAAGTAATGGAGATGACTTATCCATTCAGGGGCTGAAGATCAAGTTTAATTAGCAATGGCCAGTGATTTCATCAGTCTTGTCTATGAAATAGAACCTCCAGCTCACGTTCCCTATTAGTGGGTGAACAATCCAACGCTTGGTGAATTCTGCTTCACAATGATAGGAAGAGCCGACATCGAAGGATCAAAAAGCGACGTCGCTATGAACGCTTGGCCGCCACAAGCCAGTTATCCCTGTGGTAACTTTTCTGACACCTCCTGCTTAAAACCCAAAAGGTCAGAAGGATCGTGAGGCCCCGCTTTCACGGTCTGTATTCGTACTGAAAATCAAGATCAAGCGAGCTTTTGCCCTTCTGCTCCACGGGAGGTTTCTGTCCTCCCTGAGCTCGCCTTAGGACACCTGCGTTACCGTTTGACAGGTGTACAGCCCCAGTCAAACTCCCCACCTGGCACTGTCCCCGGAAATGATGAGTTCATGTCCTTTGTAGGGACATGGATGAAATTGGAAACCATCATTCTCAGTAAACTATCGCAAGAACAAAAAACCAAACACCGCATATTCTCACTCATAGGTGGGAATTGAACAATGAGATCACATGGACACAGGAAGGGGAATATCACACTCTGGGGACTGTGGTGGGGTCGGGGGAGGGGGGAGGGATAGCATTGGGAGATATACCTAATGCTAGATGACACGTTAGTGGGTGCAGTGCACCAGCATGGCACATGTATACATATGTAACTAACCTGCACAATGTGCACATGTACCCTAAAACTTAGAGTATAATTAAAAAAAAAAAATTAAAAAAAAAAAAAAAAGATTTTTAAAACAAACAAACAAAAAAAAGAAATAGAACCTCCATTAAAATGCCTAAACAACAGGGTTCTGAGAGCTTCTGGAATGGTGAACACATCAAGGTGCTGACAGAGTGTCATGCTCAGAGAAGTTATGGGAACTCTGCACCCCCTCCCTCATATTTTGCCATATGTATCTCTTTCATTTGGAGTTGTACCCTTTATAATAAGCTGGTAAATGTAAGTAAAGTGTTTCCCTTAGGTCTCTGAGTCATTCTAGCAAATTATTAAACCTAAGATGGGGTCATGGGAAGCCTCAAATTTGTAGTTGGCCAGACAGAAATGTGGGTAGCCTGGGAATCTCATTTTCAGCTGGAATTCAAAGTGAGGTCAGTCTTACAGAACTGAGCCTTCAACCTGTGGGGTCTGACGCTAATTCCAGGAGTTAAGTTTCAAATTGATTTAAATTGTTAGATGCCAAGTTGGTGTCAGAGAATCAGTCGGTGTCAGTCAACACCCAGTCTTTACATTTATGGTCAGTTGATTTCCAATGACAGTGTCATGACATTCAGTAGGGAAAGAACAGTCTTTTCAACAAATGAGGCTGGAACATCTGAATATCTACATGCAAAAAGAATGAGAATGAACTCCTACTTCACACAAATATTTAAAATATGAAATAATAGATCACAAATGTAAACATAAGAGCTAAAAACTCTGAAACCCTTAGAAGAAAACTTAAGAGTAAATCTTCATGACCTTGGATTAGGCAATAGTTTCTTAGATATGACACCAAAACCATAAGCAACCAAAGTGACGCCAAATCAGTATTACATCAAAGCAAAAGCATAAGCATAAAAGAAAAATTAGATAAACTGGACTCTATCAAAATTTAAAACTTGCGCTGCGAAGAACACCATCAAAAAAGTGAAAACCCACAGAATGGGGGAAATACTTGCAAATCATACAGATGATAAGAGACTGTTATTGGGAATAAAGAACTCTTAAAACTCAACAATTAAAAGACAAATAGCCCAATTAAAATATGGACAAAGGATCTGAATAAGACATTACTCCAAAGAAGACATACGAATGGCTGATAATCACATGAAAATATTCTTAACATTATTGCTACAGACTGGATATTAATGTCCCTCCCTCCAGATTCATATGTTGAGGCCCTAATCCCCAGTGGGTTTTTTTGTTGGGTTTTTTTTTTTTTTTTTTTTTTGAGATTGAGTCTGGCTCTGTCACCCAGGCTGGAGTCTCGCTCTGTCACCCAGGCTGGAGTGCAGTGGTGTGATCTCGGCTCACTGCAAGCTCCGCCTCCCGGGTTCAAGTGATTCTCCTGCCTCAGCCTCCTGAGTAGCTAGGATTACAGGCGCATGCCACCACATCTGGCTAATTTTCGTATTTTTAGTAGAGACAGGGTTTTACCATGTTGGTCAGACTGGTCTCGAACTCCTGACCTTGTGATCTGCCCGCCTCAGCCTCCCAATGTTATGGTATTTGGAGGTGGGGCCTTTGGCAGGTAATTGGGTTTAGATGAGGTCATGAGGGTACCTCCCCATGATGGAATTAATGCCCTTATAAAAAGAGGATGAAACATGAGCTCTCTCTGTTCATACACACACCAAAGAAAAACCATGGGAGAACATAACTAGGAAGAGGGTCGTCATCAAGAACCCAACAATGCTGGCACTCTGATTTCTGACTTCCAGCCTCCAGAATCGTGTAAACAAATGTTTGTTATTTACACCACCCAATCTACAGTATTTCATTATACCAGCTCAAAATAACTAAGACAATTAGTCATTAAGAAAATGAGATACACCACAATGAGATACCTCTTCACATACCCAGTAGGATGGCTATAATAAAAAAGACAGAAAATAACAAGTACTGGACAGAATGTGGAGAAACTGGAACTCTCAAATATTGCTGATGGGACTATAAAGTGACGCAGCCACTTTGGAAAACAATTTGGCAGTTCCTCAGAAAAGTTAAATATAAAGTTACCATATGACCCAGCAATTCTACTTCTGGGTTTATATCCAAAGAATTGAAAACACACATTCACACAAAAACTTGCATGCATTTTCATAGCAATATTATTCACAATAGACAAAAAGTGAAAACAACCCAAACATCCATCAACTGATAAGTAAATAAACAAAATGTGATATATCCATTTAATGGATTATTATTTGGCCATTAAAACAAAATGAAATACTGGCCAGGCATGGTAGCTTACGCCTGTAATCCCAATACTGGGAGGCCGAGGCAGACAGATCACACAGTCAGGAGATGAAGACCATCCTGGTCAACATGGTGAAATTCCGTCTCTACTAAAAATACAAAAATTAGCCGGGTGTGGTGGCGCACGCCTGTAGTTCTAGCTACTCGGGAGGCTGAGGCAGGAGAATTGCCTGAACCTGGGAGGCAGAGGCTGTAGCGAACCAAGATCACACCACTGCACTCAAGCCTGGGTGACAGAGTAAGACTCCCAAAGAAAAAAAAAAAAAGAGAGAAAGAAAGGAAGGAAGGAAGGAAGGAGGGAGGCAGGGAGGGAAAGAATGAAAGACTGATACATAACACAACATGCATGAACCTTAAAAATATTAAGTGCAGCCATTCATGCTAAAAACTCTCAATAAACTAGGAATTCATGGGATATACCTCAAAATAATAAGAGCTATTTATGACAGACCCACAGCCAATATCATACTGAATGGGCAAAAACTGGAAGCATTCCCTTTGAAAACTGGCACAAGACAGGGATGCCCTCTCTCACCACTCCTATTCAACATAGTGTTGGAAGTTCTGGCCAGGGCAATCAGGTAGGAGAAAGAAATAATGGGTATTCAATTAGGAAAAGAGGAAGTCAAATTGTCCCTGTTTGCAGAAGACATGATTGTATATTTAGAAAACCCCATTGTCCCAGCCCAAAATCTCCTTAAGCTGATAAGCAACTTCAGCAAAGTCTCAGGATACAAAATCAACATGCAAAAATCACAAGTATTCCTGTACACCAATAACAGACAGAGAGCCAAATCATGAGTGAACTCCCATTCACAATTGCTACAAAGAGAATAAAATACCTAGGAATCCAACTTACAAGGGATGTGAAGGACCTCTTCAAGGAGAACTACAAACCACTGCTCAATGAAATAAAAGAGGACACAAACAAATGGAAGAACATTCCATGCTCATGGATAGGAAGAATCAATATTGTGAAAATGGCCATACTGCCCAAGGTAATTGATAGATTCAATGCCATCCCCATCAAGCTACCAATGACTTTCTTCACAGAATTGGAAAAAACTACTTTAAAGTCCACAGGGAACCAAAACAGAGCCCGCATTGCCAAGGCAATCCTAAGCAAAAAGAACAAAGCTGGAGGCATCACGCTACCTAACTTCAAACTATACTACAAGGCTACAGTAACCAAAACAGCATGATACTGGTACCAAAACAGAGATATAGACCAACAGAAAAGAACAGAGCCCTCAGAAATAATATCACACATCTACAACCATCTGATCTTTGACAAACCTGACAAAAACAAGAAATGGGGAAAGGATTCCCTATTTAATAAATGGTGCTGGGAAAACTGGCTAGCCATATGTAGAAAGCTGAAACTGGATTCCTTCCTTACACCTTATACGAAAATTAATTCAAGATGGATTAAAGACTTAAATGTTAGACTAAAACCATAAAAACCCTAGAAGAAAACCTAGGCAATACCACTCAGGACATAGGCATGGGCAAGGACTTCATGACTAAAACACCAAAAGCAACGGCAACAAAAGCCAAAATAAACAAATGGGATCTAATTACACTAAAGAGCTTCTGCACAGCAAAGAAACTACCATCAGAGTGAACAGGCAACCAATGGGAGAAAACTTTTGCAATCTACCCATATGACAGAGGGCTAATATCCAGAATCTACAAAGAACTTAAACAAATTTACAAGAAAAAAATCAAACAACCCCATTAAAAAGTTGGCAAAGGATATGAACAGACGATTCTCAAAAGAAGACATTTATGCAGCCAACAGACACATGAAAAAATGCTCATCATCACTGGCCATCAGAGAAATGAAAATCAAAACCACAATGAGATACCATCTCACACCAGTTAGAATGGTGATCATTAAAAAGTCAGGAAACAACAGGTGCTGGAGAGGATGTGGAGAAATAGGAACACTTTTACACTGTTGGTGGGACTGTAAACTAGTTCAACCATTGTGGAAGACAATATGGCAATTCCTCAAGGATCTAGAACTAGAAATACCATTTGACCCAGCCATCCCATTACTGGGTATATACCCAAAGGATTATAAATCATGCTACTATAAAGACACGTGCACACGTATGTTTATTGCGGCACTATTCGCAATAGCAAAGACTTGGAACCAACCAAATGTCCATCAATGATAGACTGGATTAAGAAAATGTGGCACATATACATCATGGAATACTATGCAGCCATAAAAAAGGATGAGTTCATGTCCTTTGCAGGGACATGGATGAATCTGGAAACCATCATTCTGAGCAAACTGTCGTAAGGAAAGAAAACCAAACACCACGTGTTCTCACTCATAGATGGGAATTGAACAATGAGAACACTTGCATACAGGGTGGGGAACATCACACACCGGGGCCTGTCATGGGGTTGGGGGTGGGGAAGGGATAGCATTAGAAGAAATACCTAATGTAAATGACGAGTTAATGGGTGCAGCACACCAACATGGCACATGTATACATATGTAACAAACCTGCATGTTGTGCACAGGTACTCTATAACTTGAAGTATAATTTAAAAAGAAAAGAAAAATATTCACCTCCAAAAAAAAATGTTACGTTAAGTGAAAGAAGCCAGGCACAAATAGCCATATTTTGTATAATTGCACTTATATGAAATGTTTAGAATAGATAAATCCATAGAGATGATAGAGACAGAAAGTAGATTAGTGGCCACCAGGTGCTGTGGAAAGGGAGAAATGAAGAGTAACTGTTAATTAGTAAGGAATTTATTTTGCAGGAGGTGAAAATGTTTTAAAATTAGTTAATAATGATGGTTGCAAAAGTATGCATTATAAAAACCAACGTGGGTAAATACATAAGAATGAAAAAAATAAGAAAATAAAATAATTCTACACTTTAAAAAGGTGAATTTTATGGTATGTGAATTATATCTTAATAAAGCTGTTATTACAAACATTATAGAAATCAACCTCAGCTGGACCCTTTACAGTGTCCATCAGTCCTACCATTATTCTAATTAGACTGCTTTCCCATTCTCCATAATTTATTCCATTCTTCTCATTCTTGCTCAATACTCTCACTTTCTCTCTCAAACTCCACAGATAACCACATCTCCTATGTCACAGAAAACAAAAACAATCAACTAAACTTCTTCTGAATCTTGAATCCACATACCCAACTGAATATCTGAACTATTTATAAATATCTAAAATCAACATGTCCATATCTGTACTCATCACCTTCCCCCGAACCTGTTCTTACTTTATAGTTCTTTAAATCAAAAAAGGGCACTACCAACCTTCATCATTCTGGCTCAAACCAAAAACCTAGGAGTCAGATCTCATATCCAATAATCACTTAAGTCCTGTGGGATTTTATCTCCTAAATAATTCTGGATTGTTTCCATTCCTGATACCACTGTCCTAGGTCAGGCTACCATTTTCTCCCATCTAGACTAATAAGATAACCTTTCAAGTGGACCTTCATATTTTAACTCCCTTCTATTATAATTTATCCTCCATACTGGGGCCAAAATGAACTCTTAAAGAAAAGAAAGTCTAATTTCACTCCTCTGTTCAAACCCAAGGCATTAGGAAAATGGGTCTCAAACTTTTGTGTGCATAATAATCACCTAGAAAATTTGTTAAAAATGAAGATTCCTGTGTCCCACCTGGACTGTTGTGGTACCATTTATAGTAGATAGTTATATATTACAATTATGGTTATTTTTATGTGTAGGACCAGGACTATGACACCAGGAATGGAGAAAGTAAGGAATTATTTAGGAGATAGAATTTTGCTGTTTTTCTCATTCACATTGTACCATATTTAATACTTTTATATGTACAAATATTCAACTTTATTCACAGAATATTATTTAGTTTAATTATAATAATTACCTTTTCCGGAATACTGATGTGCTCTCTCCTTTATCTTCTGCAAAATTAACTAATTTTGTATCATCAGGAACACTCTTCTCAGGTGCTATCTCAGTGCCAATGTGATTTTTATATTTCTGAGAAGCATATGTCAGCTTGCCAGCAATATGTGATAAGTCATTATTACCTACCCCTTCTAAATTTAGATCATCCTGTTCATATTTATCAGAAGGAAAGGCAAACTGGAATTTTTGTGTTAGTGAAATATAATTTGTATCTTCATTAGTTATCTTTAAATTTGATGTTAACATTTTTGGCCTCTTTTCCTGACCTACAAAAAAGGAATATCTTAATTATTACATGTTCTCCATTAAAGGAAATTTTCAAAATGATGATGAAAAACTTTAATAAAAATTCCAAGTTAAGTATGAAAGCCAAAAGCAAAGCACTAGTAATAAGCTCATCTGTAATACCATATACGGTTTTAAAATATAGGTGATTGTTACACTTATGGTATATTACATCATTAACAGACACTCAGAAATTAATGTGGAAGTATTGAATTAAATTTGAAGTTTATATGGCACTGCATTATAAAATAGATTTAATTTCTTTCTGACCCATAACAAATGATATAATTATACAATTATGAAGATTTAAAATTTATATAAATGATTTACACACAGAAATACAATGACCAATTATATAAAATGTTACCAAACACAATTCATTATTAACATATCTAATGCTTTTAAGTTTGCAATCTTGCTTCTAAAATCAAAATAAAGGAATGTTTTCATCAGAGTGACAGAAGTTTAAAGGTTTCTTTAGAGGCTTTGCAAGAATTTTTAGGGAAGTTTAGGGGGAATTTGGACGTCTTACTAGAACTTAAATTTGCTTTAGCATCTATGTATCTACATTATACACTATGCTATATATTATTTGATATAAGTATATATATAACATATATGTAAATTACAAAGCTTAATAATAAAATGAATGTGCATGAACCTATGACCCAATTTAAAAATTAAAATTTTACTAATATTACATTAGGTCACATACATTGTTTGAGTGTGCTTGTTTTTGAGCTTTTTAAAAATGGTATCACCCTATATTTAATCTTCTGCATCTAGCTTTTTTCACTCAATATTTCTGGGATCTGGTTACCAGGCGATCTTACCTTTAGGAAATGGCAAGGCAAAAACTGAACAGCAGTGATAGGAGTTTAATAGTCACAGAAAAAATATTCATAAAACAAAAATCAAAACATGTAGTAGTGTATTATGTGCATTTATGTACACGTATGTATGTGTATTATATGTATAGAGAAGAAAAATATTTTAAATTTTAAGATTTGGTGGGCACTATTTTGTTTTTGGGGGTATGTATGTATTTAGAGATGAGGAGGATCTGTTTGTTTGTTTATATATTTATTTATTTATTTAGAGATAGGGTCCCACTATGTTGCCCAGGCTGGAGTGCAGTGGCTATTCACAGACTCCCAAGTAGCTGGGACTACAGGTGTCAACTGCATCCAGCTTGGTGAGCACTCTTTTTAATAAAAGAAGGATCTGACTTTCATTTTATTTCATTAAAATAAAGAAATTTTAATTGTTTACATAACGAGTATACATATTTTGGGGGGGTATCTGATATTTTGATACATGCATATACAATGTGTAATGATCAAATCAGAGTTTTTAAAAAAATATTGCCATGAACTGTATGGGTTTGGCTTCACAACAAATATGTGATAATTTGCCTAACAGTTTATTACTTTTTTTTTTTTTTTGAGACAGAGTCTCCCTCTATTGCCCAGGATAGAGTGCAGTGGTGCAATCTCAGCTAACTGCAACCTCTGCCTCCTGGGTTCAAGCCATTCTCCTGCCTCAGCCTCCCGAGTAGCTGGGACTACAGGTGTACACCACCACGCCTAGCTAGTTTTTTTGTATTTTTAGTAGAGATGGGGTTTCATCATATTGGCCAGGCTGGGTGATCTGCCCACCTCGGCCTCCCAGACTTTCTAATTCTTCCTTTAACTCCTGAGTATCTGAAATTTCTGAAATCAATACCCAATATGAGTATACATATTTTGGGGGCATATGCATTATTTTGATACATGTATACACAACGTGTAACAATCAAATCAGGGTTTTTTAAAAAAATATTGCCATGAACTGTATGGGTTTGGCTTCAAAACAAATATGTGATAATTTACCTAACAGTTTATGACTTTCTAATTCTTCCTCTAACTCCTGAGTATCTGGAATTTCTGAAATCAATGGAGCAGGAGGGAGAAACCAATCCAATGACTTTTCATTGTCTGGATGGCTATATAAAATATAAAAATGTGAGTATATATGTTAATAAAGATATAACATGAGAAGCTATGTGTTTATTAAACATTACTCAATTGGACTCTTAAACATTCTATAAATTAACTTTCTGTCAGCACTTTGATTTATCCCTATACAGCAGTGTTCTCAACCTTTTACCCTTATATATCATAGGATTAATGATACCGCTGTGTGAGATATGCTACCTAAATAATGGCAATAACTCTATCTCCTTTTCTCCAATTCAAATGCCAGTAACAGGAATCTTAAATCTGCTCCAATATAAAAACAAAGTAGTAAATCATTCTCAAACTTTAGCATTTTAACTATTACAAGTAACAAATTACTTGACATATCTCACAACTAATCACGGGTCATCAATGTGTAAACGATACCATTACTGGTATTCCAGAGCTGGGATCCCCAACCCCTGGGCCGCAGACTGATGCTGGCCTGTTAGGAACCCGGCTGCACAGCAAGAGGTGAGCAGTGAGCAAGTGAGCATTACTGCCTGAGCTCTGACTTCTGTCAGATCAGCAACGACATTAGATTCTCACAGGAGTGCGAGCCCTATCATGAACTGTACATGAGAGGGCTCTAGGTTGCATGCTCCTTATGAGAATCTAACTAATGTCTGATGATCTGAGGTGGAACAGTTTCATCCCGAAACCATCTGTGGAAAAACTGTCCACAAATTCAGTGTCTGGTGCCAAGAAGGTTGGGGACCGTTGTTCTAGAGTATTCCTATAACATTATTACAAATTAATGTCCTAACCGAAATATTCTTAGTCCAAACCATCTACAAACTACAGAAAAATCCAAGAAATCATTTGAAACTGATGACCTCTTTATAACCTATAGTAATTGATATTTTTGCCACCCTGTTGGCATCATTAACTACCCCTCCTCATCTTTCAACTGTGATCGTGTTAACTGATACTGCTTTAATGGTTCCTTTCCCATCAAAGTTGACTTGTTCTTCATTAGGACAAAAAGATAAGTGTTAGGTGACAGGAAATAAAGTTGAGAAGAGCATCATATATTTTGTCTATACCAAGTCCCAAAGATTTTATGATCTAGTCATTTAGGATGTTACGCTCTCTAAAGTGAGAAACTCAGTCTTTTACTTTTCTGTCTCTCCGAGCACCTAGCACATAGCTACTCTGACCATATTTTCCAAGTAAAAAATCTACAACACATTATCTGGCAACGTCTAACAGACTGTTTAATAACAAGCCAGATCTTTTAAAATTTAGGACTGTGTCAGAGGGTCCCCAAGATCACCCCCAGTTCAATAATATCCTAAAATGACTCATAAGACTCAGCATGTAGTCCTACTCACGGCTACCAGGACGAAGTCCAAGGAAAACCAGGCATGAGCTTTCAAGAGTCTTCTCCCAGCAGACTCTGCGGGAGGCACTTAATTATCTGAGTAATGACTTAGGACAATACCCATGAAATGTTGCCAAAGAAGGGAAGCTCTTCAGGGACCCAATGCCCAGGTTTTTATTGGGGGCTAACATTAACATAAGCATCCCCTGTCTGGCACACACCTAAATTCCAGAATCTCAGAAAAAAAGCAGGTGTTCAACATAAACCACACTATTTGTATAAACAGTTTACACATAGTAAGCCACTGTTGTCAGTTAATGGAAGGGATCTTCCTGAAATCTAAGTTCTCAGACTCTAGCCAAAGCCGCCCTCGCAAACAGGCCTTTTCAAGAACAGCAGTTTAGGTCTGCTATATTAACTCTTTTCTACACAAGGACTATTTCAGAAAACCTAAGAAAGAGGAATAATAGCTGTACTATTCTGCCTCTTAATAAAATCAAATCTTCCTTATAATTTCCCAATTTTTTTCCAGAGGTGACATCATCATCCCAGTCACCCAGAATCCAAACCATAGTATCTTTTTTACTAACTATATCTAGATACATATTAGGTCTTACTGTATATTCCTTGTAATGCTTCTTAAATTTATCATTTCCTTTGTGTTTCCACGGTCATTATCATAATCAAGGCTCTTACTAACTTGTTTTAACTGCCCTCACTGCCTCCAGGCTTTCTCTCTATTTTACAAGTTCCTACCACATTCATTTGGAATTGTTTTCATTACATTACTCCATTCAAAATTCTTCAATGGCTTTCAAAGATTGCCAAACTTCCTAGTGGCCTTAGACCACCTTATAGTTTTAACTCTCCTACACATACCTTACAGTCCAAACTAAACTGAACTCCCTGTTGTATAACAAATAGATAATGCATTGTCTCTCCTCATCTTTTTTTTTTTTTCCCTCCTGAGACAAGAGTCTCACTCTGCCACCCAGGTTGGAGTGCAGTGGCCAGATCTCAGATCACCACAACCTCCACCTCCTGGGTTCAAGTGATTCTCATGCCTCAGCCTCCCCAGTAGCTGGGATTACAGGCATATACCACCATGTCTGGCTAATTTTTGTATTTTTAGTAGAGATGGCGTTTCACCATGTTGGCCAGGCTAGTCTCAAACTCCGGGACTCAAGTGATTCGCCCACCTCAACCTCCCAAAGTGCTGGGATTACAGGTGTGAGCCACCGTGCCTCGTCACTCCTCACCCTCATTCAAAGATATTTACTCAGCTTGCCCCTGTGCCCTGCCCCACTCCGATATCTACATGCAGAAGTTCTACTATTTTATTCATTCATTAATCCATTCAGTAATTACTTACTGAGTACTATGTGCCAGGTATTGTTCTAGGCACTAGAGCTTATATTCAAAGGCTGGCTCAAATCCTACCTTTTCCAAGAAATCTCCCTAGGTTCCCAAAGATTTTCTCCTCCCTTCTTCTTATAGAGGGAACCTATAATATGTATTATAGTCTGCCTTGAGCTGTGTGAATGTACAGATAGATAATAGAGAGAAACAGATAAGCAAATGGATAGCTTTGACAGATAGATATTTGATACTCCCTCTAGATTATACCTACAGTTTTATTTTTACGTCCATTTACATCAGCAGTACTTAGCAAAGTCCTTTACATAATTTCAATAAATAATTGTTGATTTAATTCAATGGCTTTTAACCCACAGTGAATTATATCCAAAATCCTTATTCCAGCATTCAACGCACATCACCATCTAACCTCAACTTAGAATTTCTAACTTTATGTCCCAAAGTTCCTCCTTCATGAATTGTCTATTCCAGGAAACTTCTCTACATGTTATCCCTTAAAAGTACCATGAATGTCCTATCTCCATTCTTTTTCTCTTGCTCTAACACTCTGCCTTCAAATGCCCACTTCTTCTCTTTCTATAGGAATTATCAAATCCTTCAAAGCCTCCTGAAGTCTCCCCCTACTACCCAAAAAGCCTGACCTGACTGTGTACTCCAAGACGACCTTCCTTCCAAGTCTGAAATTTCATTGCATGAACATATGCTTGTCATTTGCTTTGCACATATTTTTGACCATATTTTCAGAAAAACAACCGTATATTACAAAATTTGCATTGGCCAGACCTGATTAACACATGTTGCCCCAGTTGGATGTGCTCTTTCACTCTCAAAAGTGTCACAGTATAGATGATTATTTACATGGTCCTATTACTTATTAATGTCTTTCCATTTGTGTGTTTAATCTCTTCAACTAGATTTTAAGTACTTTGTAAGTAAAAGTCTGTTTCATCCTTTTTATAACCCTTTCAACTTTCAATCAATATTTGAATGAACAAGTAAAATAATGAGGCAATTAATACACCTCATTAAAATAGGATAATACAATACACTAAAAATACACAGAAAATTCAAAATTGAACAATGCACATGAAAATCCATAAAAGCCAGTATTTAACATACTACCTACTCTCTAGTCTTGTTTTCTTTGGTCTCACATCTTTATTCCCGCCCCTACTTCCTGCCAGCATTTAATGTGCCTATCATACTTTGCCTTTGGCATACTGTCCATTCTGTTTCCAGATGGTGACGTCATTCCTTGTCCTGAGCTACTCTTTGAGCATTATTTCCCATCTTTAGCTTGGCCAAAAATAATCTGAACAAACCAGAAATACAAATAAATGCAAGCCAAATAGGCAAGAATCTTTTTTTTTTTTTTTTCTTTTGATAGAGTTTCACTCTGTTGCTCTGGCTGGAGTGCAGTGGCGCCACCTTAGCTCACTGCAACCTCCGCCTCCGGGCTTCAAGCAATTCTCATGCCTCAGCCTCCCAAGTAGCTGGGATTAGAGGCATGCGCCACCAGGCCTGGCTAATTTTTTTGTGCTTTTAGTAGAGACAGGGTTTCACCATGTTGGCTAGGCTGGTCTTGAACTCCTGATTTCAGGTGATTCACCCGCCTCAGCCTTCCAAAGTGCTGGGATTACAGGCGTGAGCCACTGCGCCTGGCCCAAATCTATTCTATTTTTAAAATTATAACATTTAAGATGTTAAACTTCAGTTACTCCCCTATACTACTGGTAAGAGAATTCCATGTTTACCAAATATGTAACTGAAATATCGTTCTGTTGATTCCTCATTTTTATTTGTATATTTACCAGAGAGAAAGCTAAAACTCACCCAAATTCAAAAAACCCTAAAGTAATATACTATGCTATCAATCTTTAAGGGAGACTTACTTTTCAACTTCATCTGGTTTTTCAAAAAACAAATTTTCCAAAGAAAACAGGCAATCATTTGATTTCAGCATTGTTGAAAACTGGACTTTGTCATAAATCTACAAAATATGGAAAAAGTAGTTTATATTTTATTTATAAAGATGTAAAAAAATATTTCTGTATAATCACTAATTTTCCACAGTCTCCTGTAAAATATAACCACAGACTATCCTTCCAGCTTCATCGTCTGCAACTTCCTTCAAAGCACCTCAATATTCACATACATTATTCTCTGTTTTCCATTCATTCATGGATTCACACTTGCTCCCTTCTCTTCATAGTGCTCCAATGCTTGGAATGTGTTTTCTGCCATTCTCCAACTGGCAAATTCCTAACCATCCTTCAAGTTATAGGTCAAATGTCATTTCTTCTTCAAAGGCTTTTCTGAATTTGTCTTCTTCCTCAAGGCAGAATTAATCAGTCTTCTTGGGCTCTTAATACTTTGTTCACACCATTATTTTCAAGTTAGGACAGCACATTTTATTGTGAATGTGTGCACCTCTAACAATATACTATGTACATATGCAGGGATTTGCTTCAAAATAAAGGGGAGAGATGAAGGAGTATTGAAATAATATTGACAATGAGTTGATCAAAGCTAAAGCTATGTAATAGGTACATGGGGTTCATTATAATATTTTTTCATAGGTTTGAACTTTTTCAAAATAAAAAAATTACAAGTTTAACATACATATGCATATTTATTTATATGAGTTAATGCATATACTACACACGTTTACATTCTTTTTTAAAAGATAATTTTTGCACTCAGAGATATTATCTAAACATAAAGGATAAAAACATTCAGCATTGGCCACCTTTGAACATAACAAAAATCTGGGGCTGAACAAAGATGCAAATGTGATTAAAAAAAAAAACTAGTCTCTAGATACATACATTGCTCCCATTAGAATTATTTTTCCCTGCATATCCTATTTTTTTCTAAATTCTTAAACATCATAGAACATTCTATATGACAAACCATAAAATCAGACGAACAAACTGTAAAACATAAATCACATTTCTGTTTCTTCTGTTTTAGTTAATACATTGTAAATTTGTCCTCAAGATAGAAACTACAATCAAAGAAATTCTATTAATGCCATCTAGTGGAGAAATACGCATTACCAAGTCAGATTATGTCTCTCCAATTTTGAATCCTCCTTGATGTGGGGATGAGATACAAGTGGGAGTGATATGGGGAAGGGAGAATGTTTCCACATACAACACTTGACAAATGCTACTGTATGAGAACTAAACCTGTATATATACTTCAGGGCTGTTCTTACTGATATAGAATATTGTGGGGTTTTTCACTGTTTTCGTTATTGGGTTCTTCCCCCTTCCATCTGTTTAATATAATTGCCCTCTTCATTTTTCTCTATCTATTAATCAGTTACCAACAAAAACAAGTAGTAAAAATGAAACAAACTAGTGTGGTTCTATAAATGTCTAAAACAATTTGACTATACGAAAAATAGAAGCCTAGGATAATAGGGCAGGAGGTAGAGGGAGTCATTCAGAAATATGCGAAGTCTTTAACAGCTTTAAGTAAACAATTTCAGAACTTGAAAACAATTATCTGAAAAAGTATAAATGAAAATGTTAATCATGTTTTTATATTGCCCAAAAAGTAACAAATAAAATGTTCCCTTTCTAGTTTTAGGAAAACTATGTTCAAACAAAAGAAACTTTTCCTAAAATAAACCTCACCAGACCAGTTTCATATGGCTTTGCTACCTCAGAATTTAAGTCAAAAATCTTAAGGCTAACATTTATACACTTGAATACTTTCTTCCTAAAGCAACTACAAATAGACAACAAAACTACAAATTTAAAACATTTGGGAAGAAAAGCGTTGCATAAACTGACAAAAACCTCCTATACAAACAGCAAATATTTTCAAAAGAATTTTTGATTTCTAGTTCTAGCATACAAGAATATAACTTGTTTGGGTTCAGAATAAAAATATCATGTACATATTTTAGTTCTTATATACTCCTGTGAAAAAACACCCCTTATCTAAAACTGCATCCTCTCATTCCGCATTATTTTTCTTCATAGCATGAACTGATAACTAACATTATAGTATATGCTTAGTTGTTTATTATGTTTCTCCCTTTAGAGCAAGCAGGGACTTTTTGCTCATTAATGTGTTCCAATAACCCAGAATAGTGCCTGGCACACAGTAAATGGTCCATAAGAATGCATTGTGGAATAAATGCATTAGCAAGAACCAGTTTATAAAAATAGTGTCAAATAAAAATAATTTTCTGTTAATTTAGAAACTTAAAATTTGAGCCCCAATCTTCAACGTTCAGTTAAAAAATGTGAAATTTTTTTCTAGTTCAGGATTTATGTAAATAAAATCATGAAGGTTCTAAAAGATGATGAATTTGGCACTTTCATTATGTAAATCTTTTTTTAAAAAAGAAACACAGGTCCTAAAAGGGACCTTGCTACAGTTCAGTATGAGTTTGTGATGTGAGGGGATGCTATTTTAAATTAATTAAAGTTCTAGGTTTAGATTCAGATTTTTTAAGTTCCTATTATTTATTATTAAAGTTTTAGTTTCAGCACGTGGCACAAAATTAGATTGCCAAACACAATAAACAATATCATCCCAGGTAGTTTTAAGTGTCTGCTCTGCTATAATCACTGTTAAAATACTTAAGCTATTTTTGAGTCTACATAATTTGCGGTGCCGACCTTCTCTAGTTATATTAATGACAATCTCTAGTTAAATATTAATACAACTAGATACAATTAATCTTTAGTTATATTAATGACAATTCACCATTTTGTCTTCTGTAATCTTTACTTATTGTATAAAATTATTGTATACAATTATTGTATAAACTTATTGTATAAAATTGCAGGCCTATTACTTCTTACAATTTTTACTCAGAAACATACTCCTTATTTTAAAAGTACAGAAACTCAGATAAAAATTATTGATTTGCTAGAAATTTTTGTGAGTTAAGGAAGAAGTAGGGACCAACATTTACGGGAATAACCGACCGTCACAAATAACTGCAGAGAATCTGACAAAGAAGGAAAAATCAACGGGAACAAATTACTCCGAGGCTCGGCCTGGGAAAGGACCATACAATTGTCGGAGCCCCAGATCTCACCCCCTCTCCCCAGGCACCAACAGGGCTGGCTGGAAGGGTCCGGCTGGGGACCGAATCAGCACCTAAAGCAAAATAACAGCTCTGTGGATTTCCTAAGGAGAATATCCTAAATCCAAGGCAGAGGCCTTAGGGCCCCGAGAGTGGCACAAGAACGGGGCGCTGGGGCGCGTCACTCCACCCCCCGGGTCCCGTTTCCTCCCACCGCTGTGAAACCCGCGGCTCAGACAGATGGGTACGTCCCCCCCAGCGCTCGCTCAGGGGGCGCCACACACCGGAACACAAGACACAGGAACCGAACACCAATCAGCCGACTTTAGGGGCGGGCCGGACGCCCAGCCGGTCCCACCTCGCGGGGAGCTGGGCCCGCCCTGCGCCCGAGCGCGCCGCAGGCCTCACCGCTTTCTGACTGGAAATGCGGCTGAGGCGCTGGCGCGGGCCGGCGGCCTGGAGACGCCTGGTGACCAACAACTCGCCGCGCCCGTCCGCTGCCTGCCCGGCAGACGGCTCTAGAGATCGACCGCTGCCCGGACGGCTCGGCTGGGTCCCCACTTCCCCGCGGGCGTCGGGCCCCCGTCCCCACCTTCCCCGCGGGCGTCCGGGCCCCTCTCCTCACCTCCCTGCGGACAGCTCCTAGGCCAGTCGAGCGCCGATTTATCAGCCCCTCTGAGGACCGCCAAGCCTGGCTAAGCCGAGCTCCAAGCAATGGATCGCCCAAGCCCCCAACCTCTCCCTTCCTACCTTTTTTTCTCCGAAAGTTTATAACTGGTTTTGAATATATCTCTTGCAGTTTACTGTGTCTATTCTCTTTAAATACAGCTCCTAATCCTGGGTTCTAAGGGTCTACTAAATGGTACCCTTTCCCTAAGCTAACCTGCTTCTCTACCCCCACAACCACCACTCCACAAACATACCCCAACCTGCCTTTCTCATCAAAGTTAGCCAGGCCTCAGCTCTGGGACTTCCGGTCTCTTCGTACCTAAAAAGTGTTTTACCTATATTATTTATAAAATATCACAGTGGCACTCATGAGGTCGGTATTACTGGGGAACTTGATTCAGAAATAAAGTTAAATTTCAGAAATAAATATTCTAAAACACAATGATATTTAAATGTGTTTAGCCAACATGAATTTATAAAAACAGGGCAATAATGTGTTCTTAGGCTGTAAACATGAACAAACTATAAATTATCCTTTTAAGTTTCTTTAGAATTGTCCTCTGAAGATTTGGCAGGGAATGTTTTGTAGATGATAAAATAGCAACGAATCAATGATGCTTTTCTTACAGAGACATTTATCTTTCCTTTGGAAACCCCCACCTGTGACATCTAGGGCCAACCTACTGCTGTCTGACTGCCCTATTCCTGTTCTCTTTTTTCTTGCAGTTCTACTGTTCATTAGCTATATGACCTTGGAAAAGACCCAACCTTTAAGTCTTAATTCTGCATCCTCAGTGATACTCATAAGCTCTAACTCCTAGATACTGCTGCAAGGGTTAAATAAAATAATATTTGCAGTAGTCCTACCACACAGTAAATGCTCATGAATATTAATTTCTTTCACCTTCTCTGAAATGTAAAATTATTCCAGTAATTGGGTGAGCCAGTTATTTGGATACTGATAAAATAACAAGTCTTTGTCTCTTGGAGAAAATAACATTTTGACTGCATAAACTATTCTTAATAGAAAGGTTGAATTATCATTCCTCTCAAAAATACTGGAGAGGAAAGTTACTTTCCATAGACTGCATAGAGGAAAATAACGAAACAGTGCATTTGTTATAGTGAACCCCTCAATGTGTTGAAATTCATACATTGAATTCTAACCCCCGATGTGATGATATTTGAACGTGGGACTTTTGTGAGGTAATTAACTCAAAAGGGTAGAGCCTTCATGAGTAGGATTGTGCCCTTTTAAGAGGCCAGAGAGTTAGCTCGCTCTTTTCCTACCATGTGAGGATACAGGAGGACGGTATCTGCAAGCCAGGAAGGAGGCCCTCGCCAAATACCGGATCTGCCTGCACTGTGATCTTGGACTTCTCAGGCACCAAAATTGTGACAAATGTTTGTTGTTTAAGCCACCCAGCCTATGGTAATTTGTTATAGCAGCTTGAACTAAGATAGGGTTTGAGTGATAGAATTGTAGAATTCAGCAACAGGCAGGTACAGGGGAGTCTTACTGTCAAAGCACACAGTAGCAAATGGCCACCATGTTCATAAACAAAAACATTCATTCATTCACTCACTCATTTATTCAAGAATGCATGTGGAATCTATAGAGCCTTACTTTCTCTTAAAATAATGTAATAAAAATGTCAAAGCTGCAGTTTTTAAAAGGAAGCCTCAGGACAGTGATAAAGTTACTAAAAATCCCATTTTGGGGGGAGGGATTACCATGGTTTTTAGTAATGTTGCCACATTTCTCAAGAAAACATTTTAATCCTAAAGATTTAATTTTACAACCAGTGCAACAATGTCATAAGCAATCCTCCAAATTGAATAACATAACTAACATTTGAAATATAGTCTTCCCGGTCAACTTCTGGCATGACTGCATAAAGAGCTTTGCTACCTCACTTCTCAGTGAAACTGGTGAAAATTCTAGAAAAATGACTCAGACCCTCTGGAAATGATCCTAAGGGCAAACAGCAAAAGAAGAAACATCTTTTCAAGAAAGAGATACAAAAATTTGGTAAGAAAGGCAAGGCTCTGTGGTATTTTATCCAAGACTCCCAAGTTCCAGCTTAGCAAGACAGGCTCCATTCTAGACAGCTGCAGCCAAGAATACAGAGCTCTCTCTGCACCCAGCTCCCACTAGAAGGCGCGCTTTCTTTCTTTCATTGTGGTAAAACATGCGTAATATTTATAATTTTAACCATATATAAGTGTATAATTCAGGGACATTAAATACACTCATAGTGTTGTATAACCATCACTCTTATCCATACCCAAAACTTTTTCATTATCCCCAACAAGAAATTTGTGCCCATTCAGGGAGGGGAACTTCACACACTGGGGCCCGTTGGGGGGTGAGGGGCTGGGGGAAGGATAGCATTGGGAGAAATACTTAATGTAAATGACGAGTTGATGGGTGCAGCAAACCGACATGGCACATGTATATCTATGTAACAAACCTGCACGTTGTGCACATGTACCCCAAAACTTAAAGTATAAGAAAAAAAAAAAGAAATTTCTGCCCATTAAACAGGAACTCCTTCTTTTCCCCTTTCCCTAATTCCTGGTAACCTCTATTCTACTTTCTATTTCTATGAGTTTACCTATCCTAAGTACTTCATATAAGTGGGATCATACAATATTTGTTCTTCTATTTCTGGATTATTCACTTAGCATAATGTTTTCAATGTTCATCCATGTTGTAGCATGGATCAGAATTTTACTCCTTTTTAAGGCTCAATAATATTCTATTGTATTTATATACCACATTTTGTTTATCCATTTGTAATCCTGGCTAAGGGACATTTGAGTTGTTTCCACATTTCCACCTTTTGGCTATTGTGAATAATGCTTCTATGAACATTCGTGTGTAAATATCTCCGTTCAAGTCCCTGCTTTCAATTCCTTTGGATATGTACCTAGGAGTGGAATTGCTGGGACATATGGTAATGCTATTACAGCCAATGCCATGAGTTCTAGCTGATGTATCCAACATAACCAAAATTTTCTTCACTTTGTAACATCCACATCTTTTACACCCTGATTAGTCAGTAGAAATTGATATTGAAAAATTAGTCTCAGGCTGGGCAACACAGCGAGACTTCATCTCTACCAAAATTTTAAAAACTAACCAGGTGTGGTGGTGTGTGCCTGTAGTCCTAGCTGCTTGGCAGGCTGAGGCAGGAGAATGGCTTGAACCAAGGAATTCCAGGCTGCAGTGAGCTGTGATCCCACTACTGCACTCCAACCTGGGCAATAGAGCAAGATCCTGTATCTAAAAAAGCAAGAAAGAAAAAAGAAAAATTAGTGTTGATGGCTCTAGAGAAGCAGGAACCAAGAAATGTTGAGGTTTCAAGACTATTTTTCTGCAGATGACAGCCAGAAATGTGTTGTGTTTTTTATTGTCAGATTTGGACAAGAAACAGTGAAGAGATCATTTGGGAAGAATCTGAGAATTACAAAATTAATTTCTGAGAAAAAAACAGAAAAAAAGGAAATAAAGGTAGTTTGATATGATGGGATTCTCAGGAGGAAAGAAAAGTTTAGGGAGTTAGGGCCAATTCAGTAGATACTTAAATAACAAAAGGAAGACTGAATTAAGCACAAACCAAAAAAAAAAAATCTTTCTGTTCTTTCTTTCTTTTTCTTTGTTTCTCTTTTCTTTCTTTCTTTCTCTTTTCTCTCTTCCTCCCTTCCTCCCCTTCCTTCCTTCCCTCCCTCCCTCCCTTCTTTTTTCCCCTTCCTTCCTTTCTTTCCCTCTTTCTTTCTCTTTCTTTTCCTTCTTTCTTTCCTTCCTTCCTTCTTTCCTTCTTTCTTTCTTTCTTTCTTTCTTTCTTTCTTTCTTTCTTTCTTTCTTTCTTTTTCTTTCTTTCTTCAGGGTCTTGCTCTGTTGCCCAAGCTAGAGGGCAATTATGTGATGCCTCACTGTAACCTCATGGCTCACCATAACCTCAACCTCCTGGGCTCAAGCAACCCTCCTGCCTTAGCCTCCCAAGTAGCTGGGACCACACATACATACCACCACACCACACCCTGCTAATTTTTTAAAAATTATTTTTATTTTTTGTAGAGATGAGGTCTTGCTATGTTACCCAGGCTGGTCTCAAACTCGTTGCCTCAAGCAATCCGCCCACCTTGACCTCCCAAAGTGCTCAAACAGAAAAACAAGTGGCTTTGAAGAAATATATTAGTACCAGTATAAACATTACTGGTGTGAGCCACCATGCCTGGCCAGGATAATTTTTCTTTAGGAAAGATTTAGTAAGTATGTATGTAACCAAGAACATAATGACATAAATTGATTAGAAAGCAATTCCTTGAGTTCCAAATGGCTAAGGAGAGTGTTTAATGGTGTTGTATAAGATCCTATACTCTTATTTCAGGAAATCTGTTTTTTTTTTTCTTTTCAGGCAGAAATTGACTCCTCCTACCAAAATGAATTTAAAATATTTTCTGCTCTCCAAAGTCAAGAATCTTGATCCTAATAGAACTGCCAGACAGGGTGTTCCAATTAGGCCTAGAAGCAATGCACCATACAACGACAGCCAGCTAAGGTATATTACAAAGAACATAAGCTTTCCATAGAAATCAGTTGAGAAAGATTCAGCATTCAATGGCTGTTCTTTGTACTTGACTGTATAAGTAGATTCTAAAATGTGTTAACACAAACCCTGAACTAGGAAGCAAATATCCCAGTATATAAACTTGAGGACAAAGGGAAATATTCCACAACAGCATAGATTATTTCCTAAGTAAAAATTAATGCCAGTTTCTTCAGGAAGAGTATGTGGGGACTCATAACCAGTGTATGCATGTTTTATGGTTAGTTGTATTCAGGTTTGTGAGGCAAACTATACATACTTCACATTGAGTATACTAGGTTTAGTCATTCTTAGCAAATTCTTTTGCCATTATTATAAAGTCCCCGTATAAATAAGAATTAACAATTAACATATTCCTTCAGGTGGTTAGTGTCTGGAGTAGACTTTACCTGACTATTATAATTAAGATTCTGGCATCCAGAATCTTATATAAGATTGTATTAATGAAACATGCAACATATTATATCTTCAAAAAGATTATTTAAAGGAAATTTTAGAAGCCACTGACAGATATCTTTAAAAGATATTTAAATGTCAGAAATCAGAGTAGAAAACATACTTTTAAAAAAGCATTTTTGTTATGTTTTGTTTTGTTTTTTGTCTCAGGCCAAAAAGTAATTGGCAGTATCTTGCAGCCATATGATCAAAGATTGATTAATATTATATATATGTTGTCCAGAAATAAGATAGCTTCTACAGGTGATATAATTTAGTAGTTAATCAAGAGATATTGCAACGGTACAAATAACCAGTTAAGATACTGAACAAATTGATGTGTAGACAGAATAAGAAATAAGAAACACTGTGTAGAAGTAGAAATAATGCATTTGTCTGGAATCCTTTCCAGGAAATGGGGAGAGGGAAGAGATGCTATCACAACTGGCAGATGATTATTCATTTGTGATATATGTTGAGTTAGGATGCATTTAAGCATGGGTTATCTCATGTTTAAATTTGTCAAAGCATTGAGAAAGCACAGTACATACAATAGCATATATTTTAGCATCTTGAGTAAAAAGCATCTTGGAACAAAGTTGAGAGTGTTGTATACATGTCTACCCAGAGTCTGAAGCCACCACAAAAGGAAATAGACACATCAGTTTTACACAACATCTGCCACCACCAATAACCACTAGAGAAGGAAAAAGGGATAAATTTGAACATTTTCTCTAGAACTTCTGGCTGCTTTTGGCTTCAACCAGTCCTGAGAACATGAAATAGCTTTCAGGAGGGAGAGGGAGATGTTGAAGTGCAAAAGTAATAGAGCAGCTCTTTGGTAGGGAATGAGTGGTAAAGTTAGGACCCTCTCAGCCCAGTGCCCAGCACCCTAAGGGAGACACATTTGCATCCAGGGAGCAGCAGATGGAGCAAGATGCAGCAAGAGAAGCTGCAGGGACCAGCCTGTGGAGGAGAGGCGGCTTAAGCAATACTCACAGACCATTCCCTGGGCCTGGCCCCACTAAGCCTTCCAGAGTTGAGAATCCTGCCTTGGGCGAGATCTGCTAGCCTCAGAACAACATGTTGCCAGGGTAGAGGCGCTGAAGCAGGCAGCAGAACTGTCACCATGGCTGCAGGGGCAGTTCTAGAACTAGGAGCTGTGAAATCAACCAGGAATGTAAGCCTGGTTTATGAAAAGTATATGCTATTATGATGGTTCATTGAACTGATTGCTAAAACCAGGAGTTTGTCAAGCCCCTTCTCCTAGTTGTCAGCTGGGAAACCAGAGGGACTATTGAGTAGGGAGTGTCAGAGAATCTAGGATTCCAACAACTGGGACATGTTCTCAGAGTAATAATGCTTCATGGTTTTTGGTAGGAAATGAGTTACCTGCATGGTTATTTTGCTTTGTCTAACTCAGATTAGTGGCCTATGAAACATCAGTGTCACAACAAAATTTAGTAGCACTCTACGGTTTAAAAGCACTTGCTCATTTAATGGATGGGGAAAATTTCTGAGAATTCATAAAAATGGTGTTGTGTGCATGTCTGAATGAGTGGCTGAGGGTAGGTGCCTTGTATGTGTGTGTTATGGGGAGGGGAGGACAATGGCATGAAACCAAGCAGATGGAGAACATATTAGATACATATATTAGATGTATTAGAACATCATCCTTCCGCTAGTAAATAGAGTACTGTGGGTTAAAGCAAGTCCCAGTGAAAGAGTTCTGCCCAGAAACACAACTCCAAAGGTGAAGTCTGAGGATTTAAGAAGACATGGAGACCGAGTGGGAATTAAAATTTCATATGCCCAGAAAACAACAAGTAAGATAAGAGAGTAATTAATATAAAAGTAAAATGAGTTAATGTATATTGGACATCTTTCAGATACCTGTGAAGTAAAAGAGCTATCAAACTGTAAGATGTCATTGAACATTAAGAACTTTATCTTTATTCACCTATTTTATGTGTTTCTTAATTAACAGAAAATATAAAATTTGCTACCCCAGAAAAAAAATGACAGCATTAGCTCTGAAAAGGAGTCCTGCCAATTCCTGCAATTTGTGCTCAGACTGTCTATTCCATCCACACATTAGGAATGAGCAAGTAGCTCACTCAAGTAGTAGGAAGCTTCTTTTTCCAGCAGGATGCTTTGTATCACAAGTCATTTGGGGGAAGTTTTGACAAAATAAGTTATTTTGTAGGCCATAAGGTATAATACTGGGGAGTTTAAACATATTTTTTTTCTGGACAAAAGTACCATTCACATGATTTAGCTGATATTTTCCCCAAATTGGGAAGTATCCTAGACATGAATATTTGATATCTAATACAGTGATTTTGCCTGAATTCAATTCCCCTATATGTGATCTCCAGCTCTTTCTACAAACCACACTATTTCCCTTGAATAGCAGTTAACACTGATTTTTGTTGTTACTTAAAGATTACAATCAGAAGAAGTATATTTTTAAAATATCTGGCTTTGAACAAATTCCCATTTTATTTGTAATATCTACTGCTGTCCACAGTGGACTTAAAGCATAAAGATTTTTTCTTTCAACTTCACTCCCAAGTGACATCTTTCCCAACATATTCATATACACAAGTCACATTAAAATATATATAGCAAAGAATCCTCTAAACAGCTATTTCTCCCAACCTAACATCTGAGCTGCCATATGTTATGAATGTTTTGAACTCACAGAGATTTTGTAGCAAGTCACAAACCTGCATGGTCTGAAAGCACATGACTGCATCACTTCTCAGCCTTTTGGCTAAGATCAAGTGCAGTATTTGTTATTAGTTTAAAGCACATGACTGGAAAAATCTCCAACATCAGAAATTAGGGGCTAATGATACATATGCAAATAGAAAAATGGATACAAATTAAATACAAAGCTAAATGATTCTTTTCAAATCATACCGAAAAATTTTTTTTAATTTTCTATGATTACCCTAACATCTAAACCAAAAAATATTTTTAGGCCTCAGTAACTTGTGATCAGAATGTCTCAGTTGATTTGTATTTCTTCATTGAGAAAGTTTCTCAGAAGTTTCTTACCCATACTTTCATTTCTGGATACTAAAAATGAATAAAATCTTAGGTAAAATAAATAATTCCAACTCCCTCATTATTCTGAGAAATATATAGTTATTGCTTTGCTTAAGATAAAAAAAAAAAGACTGTCATTGGCAGAGCCAGCAAACTCAAATTTCTATATACCCAGTCTCCTGCTCTTTCCACAAGTCATACTCTTCCCATTGAACAAGACTTAGCAGATAACACTTGGAGTTTTGCATTTGGTTTATAAGGAATATTGACAACAAAGTGTTTTCAAAGGTGGGAAAATAGGAAAGTTAAAGAGCCTAGGACTTAAACAATATGTAAAAAAAAAAAAAAAACAAGCTGGAGGATTGAGGAAGTGTAGTATATAATATAGAGAAGAAAAGGCTAAAAAAAATTGGCTCTTTTCAAATATTTAAGGGACTCGTAGTGGAATAAATATTCTTTGTTTATGCTTTTATAGGCGTGGTTTCAGAAGGCTGAACTAGTACCATTAAATTAGGGTTGTTATTGGGTGAGAAATAGATTTCAACTATGAAAAATTATACGAAAAAGGTTTTCCTGTTTTTTTTCTTATAAAATTTATTGATGAATAATTTAAGCACAATAAACTGCATCTATTTAAAAGGCACAATTTAATGAGTTACAATAGTTATATATATCTGTGAAATCACCACCTTAACAAAAAAAAAATACAGAACATTTCTAGGAACCCCCCTCCCCCCGCCAAATTCTTCATTTCCTTTACAGTCAATTGTTCCACCTGCCCTTGGCTGCAGGCAAACACTGATCTGCTTTTTATTATTATATAGTAGTTGTATTTTATATAAACAGAATCATATATCATGTATTCTTTTGTGTCTGGTTTCTTTCATTTAGTCTAATGATTTTCAGATTTATCCCTATTGTTTTATGTATGAATAATTCATTCCTTTTGCTGAATATTATTCAATATAGTTTAGTATTATTGGAGAATACTATTCCATATATGAATATAATACACTTTTTAATCCATTCACGGGCTGACGGGCATTCGGGTTGTTTTCAGTTTGGAGTTATAGTGAATAACATTGCTATGAACATTCGTGTAAAAGTTTTTATATGGTCATATGTTTCCATTTATTTTGGGTATATACCTAGGAGTAGAATAACTAGATTATATGATAGGCAAATGTTTACCTTTTTAAGAAAGTTCCATATTGTTTTTCAAAGTAATTGTACCATTTTGCATTCCTGCCAGCTGTGTTTGAGTTCCAGTTAATTCTGCTTTGCCAACACTTGCTTTGTCAGTCTTTTCCATTTTACCCTTTCTAATGGTTGTAATGGTATCTAATGACTAAAAAAGTTGAGCATCTTTTCATGTACTCAGTATCTTTTATAAAATGTTATTGAGGTGTCTTCTTATCGTTGAGTTGAGGTCTTTATCTAAATACCAGTCAGTCCTTTGTCAAATGCATGACAGAGAGTATTTTCCCCCATACTGTGGCCTGTCTTTTCATTTTCGTAATAGTGTCTTCCAAAGAGAAAATATTTCATGTTGATGAAATCTAATTCACAAATTTTTTCTTTCATGATTAATTTTTTTGTGTCTTATTCTAAGAAATGTTTGCCTATGTCAAGTTGGTGAAGATTTGCACCTATCTTATTTTCCAGTAGTTTTGCAGTTTTAGCTTATCTTTAGGTCTGTCATACATTTCAGTTAATTTTCCATATTATGTGACATAAGAGTAGATGTTCTTTTTTTCTTTTTGTTCCTATATGGACATCCAGATTTTCCAGCAGTTTGTTGATTTCATTTTCCCATTGAATTGTTTTGGCAACTTCACTGAAAAATCAATCAGCCATGTATGTGTGGTTCTGTTTCTGGACTATAATTCCATTAATGTAAATATCTATATTTTTATCTTATTTTTATTTTTATACTTAAAGTGTATCTTCATATTTAGAGTACTTCCTTGTAGTCAGCAGGTGGTCACGTCTGCTTTTTAATCTAGTCTGATAATCTTTGTTTCTTCATTGGAGTGTTTAGTCAATTTATATTTAATGTAATTATTGATATGGTTGGGTTCAGTCTACTATTTTATTAATTTTCTACTTGTCATCTCAGTTTTCATTTCTTCATTCTCCCTTTCCTGCCCTCTTTCAGATTATTAAACATTTCTTATATTTTTATTTGAATCTCTTAGCTTTTTTTTTTTTTTTTTTTTGAGATAGAGTTTTGCTCTGTCACCCAGGCTGGAGTGCAGTGGTGTGATCTCGGCTCACTGCAACCTCCACCTCCTGGGTTCAAGAAATTCTCTGCCTCAGCCTCCCAAGCGCTTGCCACCACACCTGGCTAATTTTTGTATTTTTAGTAGAGACAGGGTTTTGCCATCTTATCCAGGCTGGTCTTGAAGTCCTGACCTCGTGATCCACCCACCTCGGCCTCCCAAAGTGCTGGGATTACAGGCTTGAGCCACCGTGCCTGGCCTCTCTTCACTTTTTAATCATACCTTTTCACAGTTTTTAAAGTAGTTGCTTTAGGTATTGCAGTATATATCCTTAAACTTTTCACGGTCTGCTTAGAGTTAATATAGTACTTTTTGTAGCAATCTAGGTCTATTTACCCCCATTCCTGCCATAATTTATGTTATAGTTGTTCTATACATTACTTCTACATAATATTTTAAACCCCTCAAGGCAATGTTCTAATTTTTGCTTTTCAAAATTATATATATTTTAAAGAAATTAATAGAAAAAGTAGTTTTCCATAGTTACCCACATATTTTGCATTTCTCATGCTTCTCATTTCTTCCTCCATACCAGAAGCAATAAATTGGTATGTACAATGTTTATGTACAATAAACTGCACCTATTTAAAAGATACAATTTAATGAATTATGATAGTTGTATATATCAGTGAAATCACTACCTTAATAAAAATACAGAACACGACTTATTTTAAGTCTTGTATATTACTAAAATATTGGGCCAAGATATGTGATTTCCTTAAATACACCAAGACTTGTATAAAATGTTCTTTCTAGTTTTATCCAAAACCAGAAAGTAAGATTATCTTCCAGTATCTTACTCTATGTACTCTAAATCACAAAGTCTCATATTCTGTAACTAACAAGGCTATACTTTCAGTGTGTTAATATGAACTTTCAAGCAAATTTTGAGGATTATTGCTTTATAAACTTACTGCAAAAAGGAACTTCTGCCTTCATTTCTTTATAGTAACTACATCGCTCCCAACTTTCAATGTGTTTGCTTATTTATCATTAATAATTCGACTTAGAAAAAGAGGGAACAGAAAATCTTAAAGATATAGACTTAGAAATCTTGGTCATTTAAAGATAAGTCAAAATTGGGGATAAAAATTCTCTGCAACTGTAATGTACAATGGTAGTTTCAAAAATCATAATTTTCAGAATTTGAGAATATTTTACAATAAATGGTGTATGCAACCGTAGTATGAACAAAGTTCAACTATATATTTCTTTACTAATAGGTGTAAAATAATTTGAGTGATTCTGTTTAACTTTCTCTATTCTTCCTGGATAGATACTGCCAAATATCCACCAACATCCATTTTTCTAATCTTTCGTATAAAGGAATTTATAACTGGGCTTATCTCACTAGGGACAGCGTTTGTGACCCCAACTTGCAGTTAAGTGGAATAACACAACTGAGTTCCTGCCAATAAAATGTGATGAAAGTGAAGTGTGTCACTTCTGATTCAGACATTCAGATACATTCTCTTTCCCACCAGTGACCCACTTTTAACCATGCAGATGGCAGCAATGCCCCAGGGATGACAGTACAATACGATGGATGAAACATGGGTCCTTAAATTATCACCATCAGAAGGGTTGTCTGCTAGCCTGGGACAATCACAGCAGACTATTACTTGGGTGGAACAAACCTTTACTTCTGATATGGTTTGGTTGTATTCTCACCCAAAATCTCATCTTGAATTATAATCCCCAAAACCCCCACTTGTCAAGGGCGGGACTAGGTGGAGGTAATTGGATCACGGGTGCAGTTTCCCTCATGCTGTTCTTATGATAGTGAGTGAGTCTCAAAAGATCCAATGGTTTTATAAGAGTCTGGCATTTCCTCTGCCTGCACTCACTCCATCCTGCCACCCTGTGAAGAAGGTGCCTGCTTCTCCTTTGCCTTCTGCCACGATTATTAAGTTTCCTGAATCCTCCTCAGCCATGTGGAACTGGGTCAATTAAGCCTCTCTCCTTTATAAATTACTCAGTCTCGGGTATTTCTTTATAGCAGTGTGAGAGCAGACTAATATACCTTCTTTTAAAAAAACTGAATTTATGTAGTCTTTGTTTCAGCAGGCTAGCCTTATCCTAACACACCTTGGGTTCAGTCTCAGCGCTTCTAGGTGGTAATAAGGACAGGGAGAATAGTCAAAGCAGCAGATTCTACAATTCCATGTCCTTTACACAGGGCACCAGAAGAATGTGCACCTGTCATTCCAAGTGTAAGATTCCTTCTAGGCAGCTATGTGAGTTGATTAGGCAGAGAGACAATGTAGATACAAGTTATTGTCTACAGCAACTTTGACCAAGGTTGACAGAAGAAATAACAGATATGCTTAATTCCCAGTAGCTCTCTTACATGAGAAGACCAAAATTAACTGTCTTAAAATAACACATTCTTCACCTCCCGACCTTATTTTCTGAGACATAAACCCCACCCTCTTGTCCCCAGTCTTCTCCCAAAGCGAAGCTAAGTGTTTAGGAACACCATTTTGAACAACTCCAAGAGGTGGCATTCACATCAGAGTCTAATTACTGTTTCCTACATGTTTTTCTTTATTATAATTATTACCATTAAGTACAGCTTCCATTGTCAGGGATGTTGGGAAGTGGGTAAAACCTGAGGTTTTCCTGTGAGAATTTAACTCTTTTGGTGAAATATGTACTATATTCTTGACTTCCTTACTCTCGAGGGCAAAAGAATGCAAAATATTTTATAGTCCTGCCTGCCTTGTCTCTCTGTTTTGTTTCCCTCTCCTTAAAGTCTCACTGACCTGTACAGTATCTCAAGAATTCACTAACTTCCCAACAGTCTGCTTCAAATATTTAACCTTGATATATTTCTTCCTCTAATACGATAGAGGCTCCATCTCAATTTTTCTTCTAATTACTATCTCCCTCACAAAAACCTCTTTCTTTGAAATCATGAAAGGCTGTTCCTTTTCCTACTTTTTTTTTAATCTCTGAATGCGACAGGATTCCTGATTAAGATGCCATTTTGTAACTCTTTCTGTTAGAATGCCCATTCCCTGGCAGTTCTTTGTTGAGCATTTCTCTAGTGACCTCATGGTCTGTCTTGGGTTCCAGATGTGTCAGAGATATCTGGAGCCTCACTAAATGTGTTTGTTCTTCTTCTGCACAGTGTTTACTACATTTCCCAGTCCCGCTGTCTTTTACAGGATCAAGAGACTAATTCTTACTGTGTGATTGGAAGGGATGTGTCATCCCAGGGCCAAGGCGGTTAACAAATAGTATGTCTTTTCCACTTTCTATTTGCTCCTTGGCTGTCCAGACAGAGGATCCAGGAGGAACTCAAGATCCTAGAAGAAAGCAGAGTCATGAGACAGAAAGAGCCTGAGTCCCTGAATCAAGTGGAAAGCCACGTGTCAAACATCTCATTAGACTGTTAAGTGCAAGAAATAAACTTTTGTTGTTTTAAGCCATTGAGATTTGGGAGCAGGGAGGTGAAGGGGAGGGGAGAACATTGTTACCACATTGTAGCTTCACCTACCCTAATACACCATGTAATTTTTCTTCAGTTATACCTGAATATCCTCTAATTGGGATGTTAGAATAAAAGTAATTGTATGAAATTAATTAAATCACACAAAAGATAAATTTTAAACACTTTTTCTGAAATGTTTAACTCTAATAATTTCTGCTACTAATTTTTCTTAATAAGTTGCTATTGAGGTTATAGCCACCAATGCCCTCTCACTAAGGAGAGAGATTTAGAGGTTTGGACGTCTTAATTCTTAAGCAAATGCTTTAATTGAGTTCTAGCACACCTACATACAGAAAAGTACAAAAATCTTAAGTATATAGCTTCATGATTTTTTACAAAGTGAACACTTTTGTATTCCCATCCCATCCCACAATCAAGAAATAAAAAATCTCCCTCCAATACAACTTCCATAAATAAATATTGCCTGTACTTGAACTTTACATAAATTGAATCATATAATATGTACTCTTATGTTACTGCCTTCCTTTGCTCAATATTATGTTCATGCTTATGATTATTTCATGTAGTAGATTTGTTGACTTTCATTGCTGTCTAGTGTTCCAATTTAAGAATAAACCAAATTTGTTTATGCATTCTTTTGTTGATAGATATTTTGGTTTTTCCTGTTTGGGAGCTATTACAAATAATGTTGCTGTGAACATTCATACACATGTTTCTTAGTGCACTTATGAATGTATCTCTGTCTGGTTTATAACTGGGAGCAGAATCTCTGGGTCATACAACATGCACATGTTCAGTTTTAGCAGATACTGCCAAGCTATTTTTCAAAATGGTTGTACCAATTTACACTTTGACTAATTGCTCCACACCCTAGCTAATTCCACTTTTTTTTTTTTAAGATAGTCTCACTCTGTCACCCAGGCTAGAGTGGAGTGGCACAATCTTGGCTCTCCGCCTCCCAGGTTCAAGCTATTCTCCTACCTCAGCCTCCAGAGTAGCTGGAACTACAGGTGCACACCACCTTGCCCAGCTAATTTTTGTATTTTTGGTAGAGGCGGGGTTTCGCCATGTTGCTCAGGATGGTCTCAACTCCTGAGCTCAGGTGATCCACCTGCCTCGGCCTCTCAAAGTGCTGGTATTACAGATGTGAGTCACCGCACCCTACCTAATTCTTGGTAGTATTCTGGAAAGTGTGAGGTAGTATCCCACTGTGGTTTTAATTTATATTTCCTCCCCGCCTTTTTTTTTTTTTTTCTGGAGTCTCCCTCTGTCACCCACACTGGAGAGCAATGGCATGATCTCGGCTCACTGCAACCTCTGCCTCCCGGGTTCAAGCAATTCTCCCACCTCAGTCTCCTGAGTAGCTGGGATTACAGGCATGTGCCACCACGCCGGGCTAACTTTTTGTATTTTTAGTAGAGATGGGGTTTCACCATGTTGGCCAAGCTGGTCTCGAACTCCTGGCTTCAGATGATCCACCCGCCTCAGCCTCCCAAACTGTTGGGATTACAGGCATGAACCACCGCGCCCGGCCTAATTTATATTTCTTTTATTGCCAAGGAGCCTGGGCACTTTTTCACATTTTATTGTCCATTTATGTAACTTTTGGGGGGCATATACCAAATGCCTGTCCCAATTTTTACCTCCTCTAAATAAGGTCCTTTGATAAATGGAAATTCTTCATTTTAGTGATGCTCAATTTATCAATATTTTCCTTTTTGATTAGCTCCTGGTTTAAGAAATCTTGGCCTATCCCAGGTCATAAAGCTATATGTTATCTTCTAGAAGTGTTACTGCTTTCATTTGCACAAGTATTGATTTTGTGTATTAATTTTCCATATGAATATTCAATTAATCTGGCACTATTTATTGAAAAGACCACCTTTTCCCTCACAAAACTACAGGGGCACCTTTGTCATATACCAAAGGTGAGTTTGTTTTTGAGCTCTAGAGTGTTCCATTGTCTGTTTTTCTATCGTTATGCCAATACCACATTGTCTAAATTACCACTTTAAAATAAGTCTTGGTATTCAGTAATAGAGGTTTTCTAACCTTATTCTTTAAGACTTCCTTTTTATATGAGTTTCCATATAAATTTGAGAATTGGTTTGTCAAATTCCACAAAAAGTCCCGCTGGGATTTTTATTGGCATTGCATTGAGTCAACAGATTGATTTGGGGAGAACTGAAATCTTACAATATTGTTATTATCAGCTGATTTCCTGTTTATTAAATTTTAAATTTTGTCTTGTTTCATAAACTGGGATGTAAAGCTCAATGTTTATTCATCTTATTTAATGCTGTATTCCAGAACTGAAGAATACTCGGCACATTGTGGGTTCTCAGTAAATATTTTTTGAAGCAGCAAATTAATATTCTACTGAGGTACCTATTTTGCACTCCTTACCCCCTTTTCTTGACCAGTCCTACTAATTCTTCAGATCTGAAATCATATGCTGTTTCCTCAGGGGATGATCCTTGACTGATCTCCCAGACAGGGTCAGGCTCCCCTGTTGCCTGTCCCTATTTTGACATCCTCCATTCTTACATTCATACTGTTGCATAATAAAACATTATACAGTAACTATATAATTATTTAGTATCAGTCTTCCATCTACAGTGTTAGCGCCCTGAGAATGAGGACCAAGTCTGTCTTAATTTCTAACTCACTTCTGCACTCCTAGTATCTAGCCTATTACTGTGTACAAGGCAGGTGTCAACAAATATTATTAAATTATTTTCTAAAAGAGGCCTAGACCCCCTCTGCTTTTTCTTAAAATTATGTTATTATATTGCCAACATTTTGCTACCCTAACATCAAAAATCTCTCTAGATGTTTTCTGCTGCTTTTATTCTCTGGCTTATTTAATGGATGTTTTCTATCAGATTTTCTAGGGTGGGAAAGGGGGTTTTTCATGTCCCCCCACCCCCAGCCCAGATTGGCTGAATCAGCAGACTCGGTTCTAAGCCGAAGTCCTAAATTACAGCTGGAGAAGCTACATTGCTAACAAGCTCTGCAAGTAACTGCTGCACTGGTGAGTTTGGCACCCACTCTTTTGGGTTACATTCATGACATTGCTGCTTTATCTCTGCACTCCATAATCTTTGTAACCCTGCTCTGGGTCCAGTTTCTCTCATCATTTTGGCCCATGCTGTGTTCTGCTTTTGCTCTCAAGGCTGCATTTTTTATTTTGGCCACCTGCCCTTTAAGGACAGGTGGAAGGCCACCCCAGCTTCCTAGTTAAGAAGCTCATTAATCTCATCTTTATCTTCCTGGTCATGCTGACCAACCCAGCTTTATGGGCCACACATTGTCACAGTTCTCTGATCCAACTTCATAGACAGTGCAAAGGAAATAGCCCAAGATTTGAAATAAGGAAAGCAGAATGCATCTGCACACAATTGTTTGCTATCTGTGTGACCTTGAAAATGTTACTTAACTTCTCTTCACTTCAGGTATAATAATAATATCTGTCCTCCTTACCTCAGAGATGTGAGGATCAAATGACATGATGTATTATGCCACAACTTTATAAACTGTAAGTGGATATATACATAGTAATTATAAATAATAACCTCAGCCATCTTACTCTTCGCATGATGGGGGGAACTATTTACACACTGACACCTTTAATAAGAAAAGACATTCTTCCTAGCACTGTCTTGTTCCTTCTTTTTAAAAAAGTTTATTTATTATACTTCAAGTTCTGGGATACATGTGCAGAACGTGCAGGTTTTTTACATAGGTATATATGTACTATGTTGGTTTGCTGCACCCATCAACCCATCATCTAGGTTTTAAGCCCCACATGCATTAGGTATTTGTCCTAATGCTCTCCCTCCCATGGCTCCCCACCCTATGACAGGTCCTGGTGTGTGATATTCCACTCCCTGTGTCTATGCGTTCTCATTGTTCAACTCCCACTTATGAATGAGAATATGTGGTGCTTGGTTTTCTATTCCTGTGTTGGTTTGCTGAGAATGATGGTTTCCAGCTTCATCCATGTCCCTGCAAAGAACACGAATTCATTCTTTTTTATGGCTGCATAGTATTCCATGGTGTATATGTGCTACATTTTCTTTACCCAGTCTAACATTGATGGGTATTTGGGTTGGTTCCAAGTCTTTGCTATTGTGAATAGTGCTGCAATAAACATACGTGTGCATGTGTCTTTATAGAACGATTTATAATCCTCTGGGTATATACCCAGTAATGGGATTGCTGGGTCAAATGATATTTCTGGTTCAAGATCCTTGAGGAATCACCATTATTTTCCACAATGGTTGAACTAATTTACATGCCCACCAACAGTGTAAAAGCATTCCTATTTCTCCACATTTTCTCCAGCATCTGTTGTTTCCTGACTTTTAACAATCACCATTCCAACTTGCCTGAGATGGTATCTAATTGTGGTTTTGATTTGCATTTCCCCAGTGATCAGTGATGATGAGCTTTTTTTCATGTTTGTGGTTTGCATAAATGTCTTCTTTTGAGAAGTTTCTCTTCATATTCTTTGCCCACTTTTTGATGGGGTTGTTTGTTTTTTTCTCATAAATTTGTTTAAGTTCTTTGTAGATCCTGGATATTAGCCCTTTATCAGATGGGTAGATTGCAAAAATTTTCTCCCATTCCTTAGGTTGCCTGTTCACTCTGGTGATAGTTTCTTTTGCCGTGCAGAAACTCTTTAGTTTAATTAGATCCCATTTGTCAATTCTGGCTTTTGTTGCCATTGCTTTTGGTGTTTTAGTCACGAAGTCTTTGCCCATGTTTATGTTCTGAATGGTATTACCTAGGTTTTCTTCTAGGGTTTTTATGGCTTTAGGTTTTACATGTAAGTCTTTAATCCATCTTGAGTTAATTTTTGTATAAGGTGTAAGGAAGGAGTCCAGTTTCAGTCTTCTGCATATGGCTAGCCAGTTTTCCCAGCACCATTTATTAAATAGGGAATCCATTCCCCATTGCTTGTTTTTGTCAGGTTTGTCAAAGATCACATGGTTTTAGATGTGTGGTGTTATTTCTGTGGCCTCTGTTCTGTTCTATTGGTCCATATATCTCTTTTGGTAACAGTACCATGCTATTTTGGTCACTGTAGCCTTGTAGTATAGTTTGAAGTCAGGTAGCTTGATGCCTCCAGCTTTGTTCTTTTTGCTCAGGATTGTCTTGGCTATACAGGCTCTTTTTTGGCTCCATATGAAATTTAAAGTAGTTTTTTTGATTCTGTGAAGAAAGCCAATGGTAGCTTGATTGGAAGAGCATTGAATCTATAAATTACTTTGGGCAGTATGGCCATTTTCACGATATTGATTCTTCCTATCCATGAGCATGGAATGTTTTTCCACTTGTTTGTGTCCTCTCTTATTTCCTTGAGCAGTGGTTTATAGTTCTCCTTGAAGAGGTCCTTCACATCCCTTGTAAGTTGTATTACTAGGTATTTTATTTTCTTTGTAGCAATTGTGAATGGGAGTTCACTGATGATTTGGCTCTCTGTTTGTCTATTATTGGTGTATAGGAATGCTTGTGATTTTTGCACATTGATTTTGCATCCTGAGACTTTGCTGAAGTTGTTTATCAGCTTAAGGGGTTTTGGGGCTGAAATGATGGGGTTTTCTAAATATACAATCATCTCATCTGCAAACAGAGACAATTTGACTTCCTCTCTTCCTATTTGAATACCTTTATTTCTTTCTCTTGCCTGATTTCCCTGGCCAGAATTTCCAATACTATGTTGAATTGGAGTTGTGAGAGAGGGCATCCTTGTCTTGTACCAGTTTTCAAAGGGAATGCTTCCAGCTTTTGCCCATTCAGTATAATATTGGCTGTGGGTTTGTCATAAATAGCTCTTATTATTTTGAGATATGTCCCATCAATACCTAGTTTACTGAGTGTTTTTAGCGTGAAGAGATGTTGAATTTTGTTGAAAACTTTTTCTGCATCTATTGAGATAATCATGCGGTTTTTGTCGTTGGTTCTGTTTATGTGATGGATTACGTTTATTGATTTGCATATGTTGAACCAGCCTTGCATCCCAGGGATGAAGCCAACTTGATTGTGGTGGATAAGCTTTTTGATGTACTGCTGTATTCAGTTTGCCAGTATTTTATTGAGGATTTTCGCATTGATGTTCATCAGGGATATTGGGCTGAAATTTTCTTTTTGTGTGTGTGTGTCTCTGCCAGGTATTGGTATCAGGATGATGCTGGCCTCATAAAATGGGTTAGGGAGGAGTCCCTCTTTTTCTATTGTTTGGAATAGTTTCAGGAGGAATGGCACCAGCTCCTCTTTGTACCTCTGGTAGAATTCGGCTGTAAATCCATCTGGTGCTGGGCTTTTTTTTGGTTGGTAGGTTATTAATTACTGCCTCAATTTCAGAACTTGTTATTGGTCTATTCAGGGATTCAACTTCTTCCTGGTTTAGCCTTGGGAGGGTGTACATGTCCAGGAATTTATCTATTTCTTCTAGATTTTCTAGTTTATTTGCATAGAGGTGTTTATAGTATTCTCTGATGGTAGTTTGTATTTCTGTGGGATCAGTGGTGATATCCCCTTTATCATTTTTTATTGCATCTATTTGATTCTTCTCTCTTTTCTTCTTTATGAGTCTGGCTAGCAATCTATCTACTTTGTTAATCTTTTCAAAAAACCAGCTCCTGGATTCATTGATTTTTTTGAAGGGTTTTTTGTGTCTCTATCTCCTTGAGTTCTGCTCTTAGTTATTTCTTGCCTTCTGCTAGCTTTTGAATGTGTTTGCTCTTGCTTCTCTCGTTCTTTTAATTGTGATGTTAGGGTGTCAATTTTAGATCTTTCTTGCTTTCTGATGTGGGTGTTTAGTGCTATAAATTTCCCTCTTAACACTGCGTTAGCTGTGTCCCAGAGATTCTGGTACATTGCATCTTTGTTCTCATTGGTTTCAAAGAACATCTTTACTTCTGCCTTCATTTCATTATTTACCCAGTAGTCATTCAGGAGCAGGTTGTTCAGTTTCCATGTAGTGCAGTTTTGAGTGAGTTTCTTAATCCTGAGTTCTAATTTGATTGCACTGTTGTCTAAGAGACTGTTCGTTATGATTTCTGTTCTTTGAACTGTTTGTCTATGAGACTGTTTGTTATGATTTCTGTTCTTTTGCATTTGCTGAGGAGTCTTTTACTTCCAATTATGTGGCCTATTTTAGAATAAGTGCTATGTGGTGCTGAGAATAATGTATATTCTGTTGATTTGGGGTTGAGAGTTATGTTTATGTGATGGATTATGTCAATTAGGTCCACTTGGTCCAGAGTTGATTTCAAGTCCTGAATATCCTTGTTAATTTTCTGTCTTGTTGATCTAATATTGACAGTGGGGTGTTAAAGTCTCCCACTATTATTGTGTGGGAGTCTAAGTCTCTTTGTAGGTCTCTAAGAACTTGCTTCATGAATCTGGGTGCTCCTGTATTGGGTGCATATATATTTAGGATAGTTAGCTCTTCTTGTTGCATTGATCCCTTTGCCATTATGTAATGCCCTTCTTTGTCTTTTTTGATCTTTGTTGGTTTAAAGTCTGTTTTATCAGAGACTAGAATTGCAACCCCTGCTTTTTTTTGCTTTCCATTTGCTTGGTAAATATTCCTCCATCCCTTTATTTTGAGCCTATGTGTGTCTTTACACATGAAATGGGTCTCCTGAATACAGCATACCAATGGGTCCTGACTCTATCCAATTTGCCAGTCTGTGTCTTTTAACTGGGGCATTTAGACCATTTACACTTAAGGTTAATATTGTTATGTGTGAATTTGATCCTGCCATCATGATGCTAGCTGGTTATTTTGCACATTAGTTGATGCAGTTTCTTCACAGTGTTATTGGCCTTTATATTTTGGTATGTTTTTGCAGTGGCTGGTACCAGTTTTTCCTTTCCATATTTAGTGCTTCCTTCAGGAGCTCTTGTAAGGCAGGCCTGGTAGTGACAAAATCCCTCAGCATTTGCTTGTCTGTAAAGGATTTTATTTCTCCTTCACCTACTTCTGTCAATTTGTTGCTTATGGAGCTTAGTTTGGCTGGATATGAAATTCTGGGTTGAAAATTCTTTTCTTTAAGAATGTTGAATATTGACCCCCCCTCTCTTCTGGCTTTCAGGGTTTCTGCAAAGAGATCCACTGTTAGTCTGATGGGCTTCCCTTTGTAGGTAACCTGACCTTTCTCTCTGGTTGCCCTTAACATTTTTTCCTTCATTTCAACCTTGAAGAATCTGATGATTATGTGTCTTGGGGTTGCTCTTCTCAAGGAGTATTTTAGTGGTGTTCTCTGTATTTCCTGAATTTGAATGTTGGCCTATCTTGCTAGGTTGGAGAAGTTCTCCTGGATAATAACCTGAAGTGTGTTTTCCAACTTCATTCCATTCTCCCTGTCACTTTCAATCGTCGGTTTGGTCTTTTCACATAGTCCCACATTTCTTGGAGGCTTTGTTCATTCTTTTCTATTCATTCTTCTCTAATCTTGTCTTCATGCTTTATTTCATTAAGTTGATCTCTAATCTCTGATATCCTTTCTTCCACTTGATTGATTCGGCTATTGATACTTCTGTATGCTTCATGAAGTTCTCATGCTGTGTTTTTCAGCTCCATCAGGTCATTTATGTTCTTCTCTAAACTGGTTATTCTAGTTAGCAATTCCTGCAGACTTTTATCAAGGTTCTTAGCTTCCATGCATTGGGTTAGAACATGTGCCTTTAGCTCAGAGGAGTTTGTTATTACCCACCTTCTGAAGCCTACTCCTGTCAATTTGTCAAACTCATTCTCCATCCAGTTTTGTGCCCTTGCTGGAGAGGAGTTGCAATCATTTGGAGGAAAAGAGGCGTTCTGGTTTTTGGAATTTTCAGTATTTTCGCACTAGTTTTTCTTCATCTTCGTGGATTTATCTATCTTTCATCTTTGATGTTGATGGCCTTTCGATGGGGTTTTGATGTCCTTTTTGTTGATGTTGATGTTGATGTTATTGCTTTCTGTTTTTTAGTTTTCCTTCTAACAGTCAGGCCCTTCTGCTGCAGGTCTGCTGGAGTTTGCTGGAGGTCCACTCCAGAACCTGTTGCCTGGGTATCACCAGTGGAGGCTGCAGAACAGCAAAGATTTCTGCCTATTCCTTCCTCTGGAAGCTTCATCCCAGAAGGGCACCTGCCTGATGCCAGCTGGAGCTCTCCCGTATGAGGTGTCTGCCGACCCCTGCTGGGAGGTATCAACCAGTCAGGAGGCATGACCGTCAGGAACCCACTTGAGGAGGCAGTCTGTCCCTTAGCAGAGCTCAAGCGTGGTGCTGGGAGATCCGCTGCTCTCTTCGGAGCCACCAGTCAGGGACGTTTAAGTCTGCTGAAGCTGTGCCCGCAGCCGCCCCCGCCCCTCACTCCCCACCCCACCACCGCCCCCACCCCTCCGCCGCCAGGTGCTCTGTCCCAGGGAGATGGGAATTTTATCTATAAGCCCCTGACTAGAGCTGCTGCCTTTCTTTCAGAGATGCCCTGCCCAGTGAGGAGGAATCTAGAGAGGCAGTCTGGACACAGCCACTTTGCCGTGCTGCAGTCAGTTCCCCCAAACTTCCCAGCAGCTTCCTTAACACTGTGAGGGGAAAACCGCTTACTCAAGCCTCAGTAATGGCGGATGCCCCGCCCCCCACCAAGTTCAATTGTCTCAGGTCAGCTTCAGACTACTGTGCTGGCAGCAAGAATTTCAAGCCGGTGGTTCTTAGCTTGCTGGGCTCTGTGGGAGTGGGACCTGCTGAGCGAGACCACTTGGCTCCCTGGCTTCAGCCTCCTTTCCAGGGGAGTGAACGGTTCTGTCTCACTGGGGTTCCCGGCACCACTGGGGTATGGAAAAAAAAAAACTGCAGCTAGCTCAGTGCCTGCCCAAACAGCTGCCCAGGGCCCTGGTGATGTAGGCACACTAGGGAATCTCCTGGTCTGCAGGTTGCAAAACTGCGGGAAAAGCATAGTATCTGGGACTGATAGCATAGTCCCTCACAGCTTCCCTTGGCTGGTGGAGGGAGGCTCCCTGCTCCTTGCACTTCTCGAGTGAGGTGACGCCCCACCCTGCTTCTGCTCACCCTCTGTGGGCTGCACCCACCGTCTAACCAGTCCTAGTGAGATGAACCGGGTACCTCAGTTGGAAATGCAGAAATCACCCACTTTCTGCATTGGTCTCACTGGGAGCTGTAGACTGGAGCTGTTCCTATTCGACCATCTTGCCAGATCTGTCTTGTTCCTTCTAAGAAATAAACCAGGCACATGTGATGGCTCATGTCTGTAATCCCAGCACTTTGGGAGGCTGAGGCTGGCAGATCACCTGAGGTTAGGAGTTTAAGACCAGCCTGGACAACATGGTGAAACCCTATCTCTACTAAAAATACAAAATTAGCTGGGTGTGGTGGTGCATGCCTGTCATTCCAGTTACTTGGGAGGCTGAGGCAGGAGAATCACCTGAGTCTGGGAGGTGGAGGTTGCAGTGAGCTGACATTGCACCACTGCACTCCAGCCTGGGCAACAGAGCAAAACTCCATCTCAAAAAAAAAAAAAAAAAAAAAAAAAAGAAGAAATAAACCAACTGGCTAATTATCGTCTATCGTCTTCTCTGACCTCAAAATATCCTTTACACTGTGTCTCTGGCTATACAATAAAATATCTTAACATTTTTTGAGCCTTTCTATTTTTCAGTACTCATCTGTGTGGGTTACACAAACTTGTCTTGATAAAAGTAATATTTCTCAAGCAATGGAAGTAGAAAGTCTCAAGTTGTTCCTTTGAAAAGCTGAAAGTATTGATCTACTATGTGACTCATAATTCCCACCTCTCTAATGAACTTTAATTATCCGTCCCCTGCAATCTATCACCCACTTCTGTTGATTCTATTCACTAACTCTCAATTCCTTTCCCTCTCCTCTGTTGCCATTGTCTTATTCAAATCTTCCTCATCCTTAATGGCTACCATTATAATTCCCTCCTAACTTGTTTAACTGCCTTAATTTGCTGTCTTCCAATTGTTCCTCTATACTGCCATTAGGAATCAACAAACTATAGCTTTTGGATGAAAGCCAGGCCATAAAATTTTTTGGAACATAGTCACACTCTTTCATTTATGTATTGTCTATGGCTGCTTTGGTGCTACTGTACTGAGTAGTTTCAACTCAGTAACTACATGGCCTGTGAAGTGGGTTGAGTGATGGCCCCAAAAAGATATGTTCACCTCCTAGTTTCTGGGACCTCAGAATGTTAACTTATTTGGAAAAAAGTCTTTTCAGATATAATTAAATTAGAATCTTGAGATGAGCTCATCCTGGATTACCCAGGTAGGCCCTAAATTTAACAACAAATGTCCTTAAAAGAAACACACAGAAGACACATACGGAGTAGAAGGCAATGTAAAGATGAAGGCAGAGATTGGAGTAATGTGGCCACAAGCCAAAGAAGCCAAGGAACGCCTGGAAGACACAAGGAACCTTGTCTTCCCTTATAGCTTCTGGAGGCAGTGCAGCCTTACCAACACCTTGATTTTGGTATCTCGGTCTCCAGAACTGTGGGAAAATAAATTTTGGTTGTTTTAAGCCACTAAAGTCATGGTCATTTTATTACATCAGGCTTGGGAACTAATACGGCACATAATTCTAAAATATTGACTACCTGGTCCTTTAAGAGAAAAGTACGCCAATCTTTGCATTAAAGTTACATTTTCTAAAATGCAAATCTAATCATTTCATTCCCTCACTTCAGAAAAAGTCAAACTTATTAGCATGACATGAGAAACTTCTTAACTGACCCCTGCCCACTTCCTCAGCTGTATACTGCCTACTTCTTCTTTCTTTCCTCCTTCTTTTAAATAAACTGGTAATTTTATAATAGTTCTACATTTACAAAAAAGTTGCAATGGTATTATAGAGGATTCCTTATATTTTGAATGCAGTTTTCCCTTATTATTAACATTTTGCATTAGTATGGTACATTTATCACAGCTAAAAAACCAATATTGACACATTATTATTAACTAAAGTCCATACTTTATCTAGATTTCCTAGTTTTTAATCTGTCTTCTTTCCTTGAATCTCATTTAAAATACCACATTACATTTAATCATTATATCTCTTTTTATCTTTCCCTTTCCCTTCCTTCTCTTCTTATTTGTTTGTTTCTCTTCTGTGCTAAACACTGGGAATATAAACAAGCATGGCTTTCCTTAAAGTTCACAGTCTAGTAGTCAGTAAAACTAAAAATGAAAAAGTTAATTAATTAATATGGTTAAGATACATGCTATGAAGGACATGAGCAGCAGACAGGCTGAAGCCGTGTTACACAGAGCCGTAATAAGGACTAACTGTATCTGACTTTTTTTTTTTTTTTTTTTTTTTTTAGACCGAGTCTCGCTCTGTCATCCAGGCTGGAGGGCAGTGGCATGATCCCGGCTCACTGCAACCTCTGCCTTCTGGGCTCAAGCAATTCTCCCGCCTGAGCCTCCCAAGTACTTGGAATTACAGGTGTGCACCACCACACCTGGCTGATTTTTGTATTTATAGTATAGACGGGGTTTCACCATGTTGGCCAGGCTGGTCTCAAACTCCTGATCTCAGATGATCTGCCTGCCTCGGCCTCTCAAAGTGCTGGGATTACAGGTGTGAGCCACCGTGCCTGGCTTCTGATTTTTTAAAATGATTATTCTTAGTGGGAGTAAAAGTGACAGCAGAAACACCTATTAAGGAAGCTATTGCAATGGTCCCCATTAGAGATGATAGTGGCTTGGAGTGAGTGGGTGAAGTGGAGATGGAATTAGAGAGAGTAGCCATATTCCAGAGATATTTCTGAGATAGAAACAAGGGGACTTGATAAATGTTGATGTGGAGAAGGAGAAACAAAGTGAAATCAATTACCAACCTCTCAGTGTAGGTCTGTCTGCCCCAGCCATACTAAACACTTGTTGCTGTCATATTTACCAAGAGAGCTAGAGTCCAAAGCTTTTAGAGTTACTGAACTCTCTGGTTAAATGCCTTTCTCTCCCCCCAGTTACCTGATTGGCAAATAATTTCTCTTCAATATTCTGTTCTCTTCACTGTTCCTCACCTGCTCTGGGAAGCCTTCCCTGACAATGCCTCAGTATTCCAACCTCCACTCTACCTCCCAGAATTAGAGAGGCTTTCCTTCCTCTGTGTTTCCACAGCAGCGTGTGCATAATTCTATGCTAGCTTGTAGCACTCATATTGTTGTACTGTTACCATTTGTTTACATATCTATTTTTTGAAGGCATGTGTCATATTTATAGTACAATCCCTGGCACAAAGAAAAGTAAATAAATGTTTAATCGATCAATTCTTTACTATAATTCACAGAAACAGAAAAAATAACATTACTTAAAATTTACATACAAGAAAGTCATTATCAAAGCCATTACTAGTAAATCTGAAATATGGTTGAGCGCGGTGACTCACGCCTGTAATCCCAACACTGGGAGGCCAAGGCAGGAGGATCACTTGAGGTCAGGAGTTCAAGACCAGCCTGGCCAACATGGTGAAACCCTGTCTCTACTAAAAATACAAAAATTAGCCAGGCATGGTGGTGGGCACCTGTAATCTCAGCTACTCAGGAGGCTGAGGCAGGAGAATCGCTTGAACCTGAGAGGTGGAGGTTGCAGTGAGCGCGATCGAGCCACTGCACTCTAGCCTGAGCAACAAGAGCAAAACTCTGTCTCAAAAAAAAAAAAAACTGAAATATAACTAATGTCATCCACAGTGTACTTGTGTACTTATTACTTCTAATCTTTTCAAGCGCATTTCTGTTTAAAACCTATGATCTTATTAAGTCTCTTTTATCATAAATTATATTTTATAGACTCTATTGAGAGACATCTAAAGTAAAGCCATATTATTTGTAAAGTTTCAACTTTCTTTTTTTTCTTTCTTTTTTTAAGAGACTGGGTCTCACTATGTTGCCCAGGCTGACCCCAAACTCCTGGGCTCAAGAGATTCTCCCGCCTCAGCCTACTGAGTAGTTTGGAGTGCAGTGGCGTGATCTCGGCTCACTGTAACCTCCACCTCCCCAGTTCAAGTGATCCTCCCACCTCAGCCTTCTGAGTAGCTGGGATTACAGGTGAGCGCCACCATGCCTGGTTAATTATTTTGTATTTTTAGCAGAGATGGGGTTTCACCAAGTTGGCCAGGCTGGTCTCGAACTCCTGACGTCAAGTGATTCGCCAGCCTCAGCCTCCCAAAATGCTGGGCTTACAGACATGAGCCACCGCACCTGGCCTCAATTCCTTTAGAACACTGTCTTTCATTTCAACAAAATTAGATTATGGTTATGTAGCTTATTTAATTAGATTGATGGCAAGAAGTTTTATAAACTGAATCAATGTGATTATGAGAGTGTTTTTCTCCTTATAAATAGAAACATTTGCCTTGTATTTATTTTCATATTACAGATATGTTCACAAGTTGGTCATATTTTTACAAATAATAGACACTACTTCCTAAGATCAAGAGCAATTTCCAACGAGTATGCCTTGTTCAACTTTTATAGGTTTCTTTCAAGAGTGTTCTCAGGAAGGAATAAAAAAAGATGTTTCTTATCTAATGCAACATTGGGTAAAATACTTAGAAAGCCTATAGCTGAGGCTATTTTTTCAACGCTTTCAGGACATCACAATCTTTAAAATGCTAGCTAATTCTCTGCAAAGGGGTGCTGTAGAAGACTTAACTCCACAGTGGGAGTCAGAAAATTATAGCATATTCCCACATCACAAAAACTCAAAGTTGGTCACTGAACTTAGGTAAACTACAAATATTTTGCTATTTAATCCTTTTGTGTATAGCACACTCTTTTTTATGTTTACTTGTTAGCTTGCGTCAATAATAGCAACTTTAACATTTAAATTCCTAGAAGACAGGATCTGATTCTATTAAACATACCCTACTTACATTTTGGATACTGATGTATGTATATATGAACATGTTTACAGTAATATTATGACAGCTTTCAAAAGTTTCTCCTGGGATGACACTTTTTCGCCCTTACATCATCAAACATAAATAAGATAGTTAGATGGGCCATATTCAATTGAAGTCTCTCTTTCAAAGAATCTTTTACTATTGAAGAATTCTGACCTCTAACCCCGCTTTATTTTTAAGAATAAAATTTGAGGCCAGGTGCGGTGGCTCACACCTGTAATCCCAGCACTTTGGGAGTCCAAGGCAGGCAGATCACCTGAGTCTGGGAGTTCGAGACCAGCCTGACCAACATGGAGAAACCCCGTCTCTACTAAAAATACAAAATTAGCCAGGCCTGGTGGCTCATGCCTATAATCCCAGCTACTCAGGAGGCTGAGGGAGGAGAATCACTTGAACCTGGGAGGCGGAGGTTGCGGTGAGCCAAGACCATGCCATTGCACTCCAGCCTGGGCAACAAGAGCAAAGCTCCGTCAAAAAAAAAAAAAAAGTATTCAACTTCCACCACTCTGAGCTAGTACTGATGTCTTTGGCTTTTTTCTCCGAGGACCATTTTGAAGATGAAACTGAGCACTGAGTATGAACACTCTGTTACTTCTGTCAGACTCAAAACCACAGTGTATATTAAGATACAAGACTTGTTGCTAGTAATAAAACTAAGAATACAATGCCTTTCTAAAAATGTGTTTATTAATTCCTGGTGGATTATAATTACTTCTTTTTTTAATTTAATTTAATTAATTTATTTATTTGAGACAGAGTTTCACTCTTGTTGCCCAGGCTGGAGTACAGTGGCAGGAACCCGGCTCACTGCAACCTCCGCCTCCCGAGTTCAAGCAATTCTCCTGCCTCAGCTTCCCGAGTAGCTGGGATTACAGGCACCCGCCACCATGCCTGGCTAATTTTTTTTGTATTTTTTTTTTAGTAGAGACGGGGTTTCACCATGTTGGCCAGGCTGGTTTCAGACTCCTGACCTCAAGTGATCCGCCTGCCTCAGCCTCCCAAAGTGCTAGGATTACAGGCGTGAGCCATTGTGCCCGGATGATAATTACTTCTTTAATATGAGAAGTATGCATGCCTTCTTTATAATATTTATATTATAATATAATTATAATATATAATTACCTTCTTTATAATGTTTATAATTATAATATAATTTTAATTTTAATCAATTAACAAAATTAAGACAGGGTCTCACTCTGTTGCCAAGGGTGGAGTGCAGTGTCACAATCATAGCTCACTGCAGCCTCAAACTCCTGGGTACAAGTGGTCTCCCTGCCTCAGCCTCCCAAGTAGCTGGGACTACAGGCACATGCCACCATGCCTGGCTAATTTTTTTAAATTTTTTTGTAGAGAAAAGGTCTTGCTTTGTTGCCTAGGCTGGTCTCAAACTCCTGGCTTTAATTAATCCTCCTGCCTCAGCCTCTCTGAAAGTGCTAGGATTACAGGCATGAGCTACCGCACCTGGCCTATAACCCAACATTGATATGAAGTTTCATCTTCATGAGGAAAAATGAGTAAACACAGTATCCATACCAAATACTGGAAAAGAAAAACATGCTAAATATTACAAATCAACTAAACGTTTCATAACAATGATGTTGATAAATTACTGTTATTATTTGGTAAAATTAAGAACTTTATGATACTACTTGTCCAGTTGATTTAATTCAAAATTAAAAGTCAGCAAAATTGGCATCTTTAATGCTGGAAAAGTTTCTTTACTTTTCTTTCTCTCTTTTTTTTTTTTGCGGGGGGTGCCTAGTCATAGTACACAATGATGCTTACTAGAAATAGAACTTCAAGGGTGAAGAGGAATAAACAGGGTCTTGTTTCCTGTGATTCTTAGCCCTTTAATCATAGTGCTCCTAGGGTAGGAGAAGAGTGGGCTAGACTAAAGCAGCTTCAGGGAACTAGCTACTTTGGAGTACTAAACCACAGTCCCCGAGCAAATTCTAACAACAGCCACAGAATCCTTTCTAAAGTCTTGCCTCACCTTTAGTGTTTTAAGCCCAATGCCTTAAGTGATATACTGGTTATTTTCTTCTCCCTAGACGATTCTTGCTTGGATGGGTTGCTTTATGTCTTAGGGTTTCAGTGTATCGTCTACTGGGCATGGCAAAAACATTTCACATTTGCCTACTGAGTTTTCCCCACACTTCTGACAAGCTGTTGGATTTATGTGAAAAGTAAGGTTTTCTCTCAGTGTGTTTTTTGTTCTACACTGGGGTTTTAAATAATTATTTTTATAAATCCTCAGCCTTTTTCTCTTACTGGAATTGGGTGGAAAACAAGAGATCTTATTATAGTTTACTTTTTGACCTAAGCAGTACAATAGAAGATCTTTTGAAATGTGTAATCTTCACGACTGAAAAGTTTATAGATTTCAGTTTTTTACAAATTAAAGTTAAGGAGACCAAGTTATATTATGGAAAAATTATGATGCGAAATAGTGTTTTCCAAGATTTGCATATAGTCGGTGCTTAACAAATTCATGTTAGTTTCTTTCAAGTCAATCAGGAGTTTCTTCCTTCATCTATGAACAAAATTATTATTAAGACAAAGTTATCCTTGAAACTCTCATACACTTGGGATAATTATGCTTAATGAGCATCTGATTTTTTTCTTACTATATTCCAAAATTGGACTTTGAAAATCCCCATTGCATTTATTATTAGGAGAATGGCTGTGGGGAGAAGCATAGGTTGTGGTTAGGAGCATGGGCTTTTGCATTACCTGGACCTGAGTTGGAGCCCGTGTTGGAGCCGAGTGCGCGGGGATGAGTCACTGAACTTCTCTGTACCTCACTTTTCTTACCTGTAACAAGGGAGAAATAATACTCACCTGAAAAGGCGTTGGTGAAGAAATGAGATGATGTACGTAGAGCCTGTCACAGTAACTTACATTATAAGGGTTCAACAAGTGAGTATTGTTATTATTCCCATTATTATCAAATATTTGATGTGTCAGGAGAAAAACAACGAATGTAAGTTTTAATATATTTATAATGGTATGTCCTTTGTGCCTATCTGTACTAAATTAGCGCTTTCTACAAGTGATATGAAGAACATGAGAAAACTGTTATTTTCTGGAGAAGATACAGAAGCATCAGATTTTATCAATATTATCAAAAATTATTTTTTATTTACATGCATATGGAACCAGGAAACTATTTGGGGGGCAGGAAGGGGATAGCAAAAACCAAAAAACCCTGGGCCTTTATGTAATTCTTTTTTCAGTCCTTCTAAGGGTTCCAGATTAAATAACATTAGTTTAATTTTTTTCTTGCTTTAAAATTTTTCCCTGTAATACATTCTCACTGTTACTGGAGGTAATAAGTTAGCCACTGGAAAGAGCCAACATGAAGGTCATATCACACTTTTTAATACTTTTTATTTTAATGATATTCTATAAGCTTGATAATTAAATGAAATGAATCAGTATAACAAGGTTAAAAAATCCTCAGAGTAAAGCAAAACACAAGTTTAAAAAAGTCTTCCTAAGACATACATATCAATAGTAAGCACTATTCCAGTTTATAATATTATCTAGAGATTTTAATACACTGACTCAACTCTTTCTTATTGTAATTCAACTTGCCTCATCCCAAGTTATCTTTTTTAGAAAAATCTTAATCCTCGTCCCTACCCATTCTTCTTATACCAGTTTGCTTCTACCTTACATCCAACATTTGCCATGTTTTCTCTGGAACTCCTTGTCTAATATCAACCTAGCACATCATTGCCCTAAAATCTCCCTTAGATTTCTTTCTTACTTAGATAGGCTGGCTTAATGCAATCCTTCCCTTTGTCTTTTCCTTACAAAATATGCAGCATATATAGTCACAAGTCACTTAACAACAAGGCTATGTTCTGAGAAATGCTTTGTTAGGTGATTTTGTCATTGTGCAAACATCACCATGTACTTACGAAAACCTAGATGACATAGTCTGCCATGTACCTAGGCTATAGTCTATTGCTCCTAGGCTACAAACCTATACAGCATATTACTGTATTTTACAGTATTTTTACTGTATTTTAGTGTATTTTACAGTATTACAGTAATATTACATATTACTGTAGTTTCAATGGTAAGTATTTTTGTTATCTAAACATATCTAAATATAGAGAAGGTGCAGTAAAAATACATACTACAAACTTGTGGGACCACAGTCGTACATGTGGTCCCTCACTGAAACCTTGTTATGTGGCACATGACTACATAAACTCCATTTTTTAAGATTTAAGATTTTTCATACAAAAGTAAGAAACTACAACAATGTAATTATTGATATAATTAGGTTTAAACCTATTATCTTGCTATTTGTTTTCTGTTTTTTTCATTTATTTGTTGTTCCCTTTTTCCTCCTTTTCTACTTTCTTTCATATTAATTGAACATTTGGTATCATTATAATGTGTTTCCTTTGTTAACTTGTTAGCTGTATCTTTTTTGTTGTGAAGGTTGCTCTAGGGTTTATAATAAGTGATATCCATCTTCAAGTGATATTTTGCCACTTCATGTATAGTGTAAGAAACTTACAATAATATATTTCCATTTCTTTTCTCATAGCCTTTGTGCTCCTTATGTCATCATTTGTTGTAATGTCAGATCTATGTTTCTCAGCTGATATCATTTTCCTTCTGCCTGAAAGACATCCTTTAGCATTTCTTGCAGTAAAGTTCTGCTGGTGATGAATTCTTTCAGATTTTTTTTCTCCCCATCTCTTTCAATATCTTTCAGCCTTTTTATGTCTGCTAAAGCACTTTTTTTCCTTTCATTTTTGAAAGGTATTTTCACTGGATATAGATTTCAGGTTGACAGAGGATTTTTTTTCTTTCAATATATTAAAGATGTTGTTTCACCATCTTCTCACTTGCATTGCTTTCAGTGACAAATCTGCTGCCATTCTAATTTTTGTTCCTTTGTACATAAAGTGATTTTTTTCTCCTCTGGCTGCTTTTATTTTTTTTTTTTCTTAATCAATAGGATTGAGCAGTTTGAATGTGATGTTCCTTTCTGCAATTTTCTTTGGGTTCATTAAGCTTCTTTGTTCTGTGGGTTTGTACTTTTCATCAAGTTTGGAATATTTTTGGCTATTACGTCTTCAGATTTTTTTTCTATTTCTCCCTTCCTCTCCTCTCTTTCAGGGACTCCAGTTAGATGTCTATTAGACTGCCTGACTGTTCCCCTGTGGCTGTTTTTTTAATTCTCCTTCTTTTGTCTCATTTTAGATTGTTTCTATTATTATCTTCAAGTTCACTAAGTTTTTCTTCTGTAACATCATATATGCTGTTACTTCTCTCCAGTATAAGTATATTTTTATCTCACATATTATTGTTTCATCTCTAAAATTAGATTTGGGTCTCTATTTTGCTTTTTGATGGTATGGAATACAACTATCACAATCATTTTAATGTCTTTGCTCATTCTAACTCTATATCAGTTATGATTCAGTTTCAGCTGATTAATTTTCTCCTCATTATGGGTCATATTTTCCTGCTTCCTGTACAGCTGGTTATTGGTTATTTTTACTGGGTTCCAGACATCATGAACTTTAACTTGTTGGGTGCTAGATATTTTTGTAATTCTATAAACATTGTTGGGCTTCATTCCAGAAGACAGTTAAGTTATTTGGAAGCTGTTTGGTGCTTTTGTATCTTGCTCTTAAGATTGTCTGGTGGAAGCAGAGCAGTGCTCAATCTAAGCCTACTTATTCCCAACTATTGAGGCAGAAGCTTTTATATACTCTACCAGTGCTGCATAAACCTTGAAGTTTTTCTGTCTGGCTGGTGAGGAATAGGCATTATTTCTGGCCCTATTACTTCTGATTTATTTGGGTCTTTCCTTGCCAAAAGTACATGTTTCCTGGCTAATGGTAAGAGTCTTTCCTTACATGGTTGTGCTTATCAGTACACAGCTGAATATTCGAGGGGATCCTCTGCAGATATCTGGAGTTCTCTCTGTGCATCTCTCTTCTCTCTGAAATTCTTTCCATTAAACTGTATCTGCTTTGGTCTCCCGGGACTCTAAGGCCTCAACTCAGGGATTCTTCAAGACTCCATCTAGTTCCCCCTTCCTGTGCCGTGGCCTAGAAACTCTCTTTGGACAGACCCCACCCCCAAGCCATAAATAGAGCACCGAGAAAATAACTTATAGAGACTTGGGTGTTCACAATACAGGGAGACTAGAATCTCATTCCCCAGGTGGACAACTTCCTAGGCAGTAGTCTTATTGACCTGTCCCACAACTACATTTCAAGGAAAAGGAAATTGGAGATGGGTAGAGAGAAGCAGTCGTTGGAAATAAGCATAGCAAGACTGCATGTTTTCATGTATCAAATACCAAGAGAGTAGGAGGACTTTAGCCATGTTTCTCATGCCCCAGCAAGTAGGCATTCTGCTGGTTGAAGTGACTCCAGCAGCAAGAGACAAGGGGGGTATGCCAATGGGGTACACCACCCCTTGAAGGTGTCAAGAAAATGGTTCCCCTGAAGAAACTCACGAGTGCTCCCACCAGAACCAGCAGTAGGAAACCTGCCACGGAGAGGGTACAAATATCTAGTCAACATTTGCCAGAGAAGCAGTAATGCATAGCAATTTTAGTAATGAGCTCAACTAGTTAAAAAGACTGGTGCCCTTTCCTTTTAATCTCTCCTCCATGCCCTCAAACTCAAGAGAGCTTGGAAAGGAAGAAGAAGGTGAGAACAGTGAACAAACAGCTCTTGTCTCCCTGTCCTTGTCCCTTGAGTTACAATTAAGCAGGGGCTGAGGAAGGAGGGAAGATGAAAATAGAGCTTATAAATGGCTAGACATTGTTTAATAACTGAAGGTAACTAGCAAGTTATGTATCTGCCTAGGATTCTATTGAGAGAGCAGTGACTGGAGAAACATAAAACTAATTCATGTTTATTCTCCAGTGAGTTCAAACTGCCAGATTAACTGGTTATCTTTCTATCACCCAACACAGAGTCTCCAGTACCTAAGACCTATTTCCTAAATTAGCCAACTAATAAACCTTAATTATTTGGAATTACAATTTTCAGTTGATATGAGTAAATAATTCAAATTTTAAAATCTTTCAAGACTAAATCTTAGACATTAGGAAGCAGCATTGATGCTCCAATACTTAGTTTGATCAAAGAAATTCAACCATATGAATCATAGTTTTGATTATAAAAGTAATTATTTTAACTTTTTGATTACTGAGCTAGTTACTCCCTTTGTGTTGTTTTTCAGTATTTGTGGTGAATTTCTCTTTTCTCTACATTAAGAAAAACAATACACTTTTTACAAAATACTGTCTGAGGCTAACCTGATATCTCTATGTGACAGTTCTTTGTTGTAACTCCCACCCTCATACAGCATCATATGTAATCCACAAGGTATTTATAATGCCCATTGTGATAGATAGGTCTCTTTACCACTAGATGGCCTGATCATCTCAAAAAATGAAGGAAAGCAATTGGTGACTCTGGCATTAATTGCCCTAGAAGTGAAGAGAACTATTTCAAGTAAGCGTATGGAACTGAAATATTTTAATCATAACAAATAAGCTTTAATTGGCTTTCCCTGATTTCTTTAGAAAGGATTATTCTCACTTCTGCTAATATATCTTAGTTAATATCTCTCCATTTTATGTTTTTCCCACATGGTATATGCTATTTATTACTATTGCCTTTTAAATTTTTCAGACTATCTTGCTATGGTAGTGATTAGGAATAAGCTGTCTAATTCCCATTACCACACATCTTTTTAAACCATATACTTGTAGCTTCATCATTAGAAAGACATTCATTGTCTTTCAAAAGTTTCATTATGGCTGGGTGTGGTGGCTTACGCCTGTAGTCCCAGCACTTTGGGAGGCCAAAGCAGGTGGATCACCTGAGGTCAGGAGTTCAAGACCAGCCTGGCCAACATGGTGAAACCCAGTCTCTACTAAAAATACAAAAAGTAGCTGGGGGTGGGGGCATGCACCTGTAATCCCAGCTACTTTGGAGGCTGAGGTAGGAGAATTGCTTGAACCCAGGAGGCAGAGGTTGCAGTGAGCCGAGATCACACCACTGAACTCCAGTCTGGGGGACAGAGTGAGACTCAATCTCAAAAAAAAAAAAAAAAAAAGTTTAATTAGGAGAAAAAAATGAAGAGGATTCATTGTTTAAAAAAAAAAAAAAAAAAAAAAAGGTGGAGGTGGGGTCTTTTCCAAGATGGCCAAATAGGAACAACTCTGGTCTGCAGCTCCTAGCGTGATCGACACAGAAGACGGGTGATTTCTGCATTTCCAACTGAGGTACCTGATTCATCTCATTGGGACTGGTTGGACAGTGGATGCAGCCCATGGACGGTGAGCCAAAGCAGGGCAGGGCATCACCTCACCCAGGAAGTACAAGGAGTTGGGGATTTCCCTTTCCTAGCCAAGGGAGGCTGTGACAGACTGTACCTGGAAAAATGGGACACTCCCACCTAAATACTGCACTTTTCCAGTGGTCTTAGCAAACAGCACACCAGGAGATTATATCCTGCACCTGGCTTGGCGGGTCCCACGCCCACGGAGCCTGGCTCACTGCTAGCGCAGCAGTCTGAGATCAACCTGCAAGGCAGCAGCCTGGTAGCAGGAGGAGCGTCTGCCATTGCTGAGGCTTGAGTAGGTAAACAAAGCAGCCAGGGAAGCTTGAACTGGACAGAGCCCACCACAGCTCAGCAAGGCCTGCTGCCTCTGTTCACTCCACCTCTGGGAGCAGGGCATAGCTGAACAAAAGGCAGCAGAAACTTCTGCAGACTTAAACATCCCTGTCTGACAGCTCTGAAGAGAGCAGTGGTTCTCCCAGCTGGTGTTTGAGCTCTGAGAATGGACAGATTGCCTCCTCAGGTGGGTCCCTGACCACCGTGTAGCCTAACTGGGAGAAACCTCCTAGTAGGGGCCGAGTGACACCTCATACAGGCGGGTGCCCCTCTGGGATGAAGCTTCCAGACGAAGGATCAGGCAGCAGTATTTGCTGTTCTGCAATATATGCTGTTCTGCAATTTTTGCTGTCCTGCAGCCTCCGCTGGTGCTACCCAGTAAACAGGGTTGCGAGTGGACCTCCAGCAAATTCCAACAGACCTGCAGCTGAGGGTCCTGACTGTTAGAAGGAAAACTAACAAACAGAAAGGATAGTACCAACATTAACAAAAACGACATCCACACCAAAACCCCATCTGTAGGTTGCCAACATCAAAGACCAAAGGTAGATAAAACCACAAAGATGGGGAGAAACCAGAGCAGAAAAGCTGAAAATTCTAAAAACTGAGCACCTCTTCTCCTCCAAAGGATTGCAGCTCCTCATCAGCAATGGAACAAAGCTGGACAGAGAATGACTTTGACGAGTTGACAGAAGTAGGCTTCAGAGGATCGGTAATAACAAACTTCTCTGAGCTAAAGGAGGATGTTTGAACCCATTGTGAGGAAGCTAAAAACCTTGAAAAAAGACTGGATGAATGGCTAACTGGAATAAACAGTGTAGAGAAGACCTGAAATGACATGACGGAGCTGAAAACCATGGCAAGAGAACTACATGACGCATGCACGAGCTTCAGTAGCTGATTCAATCAAGTGGAAGAAAGGGTATCAGTGATTGAAGATCAAATTAATGAAATAAAGCGAGAAGAGAAGTTTAGAGAAAAAAGACTAAAAAGAAATGAACAAATCCTCCAAGAAATATGGGACTATGTGAAAAGACCAAATCTATGTTTGACTGGTGTACCTGAAAGTGATGGGGAGAATGGAGCCAAGTTGGAAAACACTCTTCAGGATATTATCCAGGAGAACTTCCCCAACCTAGTTAGGCAGGCCAACATTTAAACTGAGGAAATACAGAGAACACCACAGAGATACTCCTTTAGAAGAGCAACCCCAAGACACATAATTGTCAGATTCACCAAGGATGAAATGAAGGAAAAAATGTTAAGGGCAGCCAGAGAGAAAGGTTGGGTTACTCACAAAAGGAAGCCCATCAGACTAACAGCAGATCTCTCGGCAGAAACTCTACAAGCCAGAAGAGAGTGGGGGCCAATATTCAACATTCTTAAAGAAAAAAATTTTCAACCCAGAATTTCATACACAGCCAAACTAAGCTTCATAAGTGAAGGAGAAATAAAATACTTTACAGACAAGCAAATGCTGAGAGATTTTTGTCACCACGAGGCCTGCCTTACAAGAGCTCCTGAAGGAAGCAATAAACATGAAAAGGAACAACTGGTACCAGCCACTGCAAAAACATGCCAAATTGTAAAGACCATCGATGCTAGGAAGAAACTGCATCAACTAATGGTCTAAATAACCAGCTAACATCATAATGACAGGATCAAATTCACACATAACAATATTAACCTTAAATGTAAATGGGCTAAATGCTCCAATTAAAAGACACAGACTGGCAAATTGGATAAAGAGTTAAGACCCATCAGTGTGCTGTATTCAGGAGACCCATCTCACGTACAGAGACAGATATAGGCTCAAAATAAAGGAATTCAGGAAGATCTACCAAGCAAATGGAAAGCAAAAAAAAAAAAAAAAAAAAAAAAAAGCAGGGGTTGCAATCCTAGTTTCTGATATAACAGACTTTAAACCAACAAAGATCAAAAGAGACAAAGAAAGCCATTACATAATGGTAAAGGGATCAATTCAACAAGAAGAGCTAACTATCCTAAATATATATGCACCCATACAGGAGCACCCAGATTCATAAAGCAAGTCCTTAGAGACTTACGGAGAGACTTAGACTCCCACACAATAATAGTGGGAAACTTTAACACCCCACTGTCAATATTAGACAGATCAACAAGACAGAAGGTTAACAAGGATATCCAGGAGTTGAACTCAGCTCTGCACCAAGCAAACCTAATAGACATCTACAGAATCGCAACCCCAAATCAACAGAATATACATTCTTGTCAGCACCACATCACACTTATTCCAAAATTGACCACATAGTTGGAAGTTAAGGACTCCTCAGCCAATGTAAAAGAACAGAAATTATAACAAACTGTCTCTCAGACCACAGTGCAATCAAATTAGAACTTGGGATTAAGAAACTCACTCAAAACCGCTCAACTACATGGAAACTGAACAACCTGCTCCTAAATGACTACTGGGTAAATAATGAAATGAAGGCGGAAATAAAGATGTTCTTTGAAACCAATGAGAACAAAGATGCAATGTACCAGAATCTCTGGGACACATTTAAAGCAGTGTGTAGAGGGAAATTTGTAGCACTAAATGCCCACAAGAGAAAGCAGGAAAGATCTAAAATTGACACCCTAACATCACAATTAAAAGAAGTAGAGAAGCAAGAGCAAACACATTCAAAAGCTAGCAGAAGGCAAGAAATAACTAAGATCAGAGCAGAACTGAAGGAAAGAGAGACACAAAAAACCCTTCAAAAAATCAATGAATCCAGGAGCTGGTTTTCTGAAAAGATCAACAAAATAGATAGACCACTAGCAAGACTAATAAAGAAGAAAAGAGACAAGAATCAAATAGATGCAATAAAAAATTATAAAGGGGATATCACCACCAATCCCACAGAAATACAAACTACCATCAGAGAATACTATAAACACCTCTATGCAAATAAACTAGAAAACCTAGAAGAAATGGATAAATTCCTCGACACATTCACCCTCCCAAGACTAAACCAGAAAGAAGTTGAATCTCTGAATAGACCAATAACAGGCTCTGAAATTGAGGCAATAATCAATAGCCTACCAACAAAAAAAGTCCACTACCAGATGGATTCACAGCCGAATCCCACCAGAGGTACAAAGAGGAGCTGGAACCATTCCTTCTGAAACTATTCCAATCAATAGAAAAAGAGGGAATCCTCCCTAACTCATTTCATGAGGCCAGCATCATCCTGATACCAAAGCCTGGCAGAGACACAACAAAAAAAGAGAATTTTAGACCAATATCCCTGATGAACATTGATGCAAAAATCCTCAATAAAATACTGGCAAACTGAATCCAGCAGCACATCAAAAAGCTTGTCCACCATGATCAAGTGGGCTTCATCCCTGGGATGCAAGGCTGGTTCAACATACAAAAATCAATAAATGTAATCCAACATATAAACAGAACCAAAGACAAAAACCACATGATTATCTCAATAGATGCAGAAAAGGCCTTTGACAAAATTCAACAACACTTCATGCTAAAAACTCTCAATAAATTAGGTATTGGTGGGACGTATCTCAAAATAATAAGAGCTATCTATGACAAACCCACAGCCAATATCATACTGAATGGCAAAAACTGGAAGCATTCCCTTTGAAAACTGGCAAAAGACAGTGATGCCCTCTCTCACCACTCCTATTCAACATAGTGTTGGAAGTTCTGGCCAGGGCAATCAGGCAGGAGAAAGAAATAAAGGGTATTCAATTAGGAAAAGAGGAAGTCAAATTGTTCCTGTTTGCAGACGACATGATTGTATATTTAGAAAACCCCATCGTCCCAGCCCAAAATCTCCTTAAGCTGATAAGCAACTTCAGCAAAGTCTCAGGATACAAAATCAACATGCAAAAATCACAAGCATTCCCATACACCAATAACAGACAAACAGAGAGCAAAATCCCGAGTGAACTCCCATTCACAATTGCTATAAAAAGAATAAAATACCTAGGAATCCAACTTACAAGGGATGTGAAGGCCCTCTTCAATAAGAACTACAAACCACTGCTCAATGAAATAAAGGAGGACACAAACAAATGGAAGAACATTCCATGCTCATGGATAGGAAGAATCAATATCAGGAAAATGGCCATACTGCCCAAGGTAATTTATAGATTCAATGCCAACCCCATCAAGCTACCAATGACTTTCTTCACAGAATTGGAAAAAACTACTTTAAAGTTCATACGGAACTAAAAAAGAGCCCGCATTGCCAAGACAATCCTAAGCAAAAAGAACAGAGCTGGAGGCATCACCCTACCTGACTTCAAACTGTACTACAACGCTACAGTAACCAAAACAGCATGGTAATGGTACCAAAACAGAGATATAGATCAATGGAACAGAACAGAGGCCTCAGAAATAACACCACACATCTACAACCATCTGATTTTTGACAAACCTGACAAAAACAAGAAATGGGGAAAGGATTCCCTATTTACTAAATGGTGCTGGGAAAACTGGCTAGCCATATGTAGAAAGCTGAAACTGGATCCCTTCCTTACACCTTATACAAAAATTAATTCAAGATGGATTAAAGACTTAAATGTTAGACCTAAAACCATAAAAACCCTAGAAGAAAACCTAGGTAATGCCATTCAGGACATAGGCATGGGCAAGGACTTCATGACTAAAACACCAAAAGCAATGGCAACAAAAGCCAAAATAGACAAATGGGATCTAATTAAACTAAAGAGCTCCTGCACAGCAAAAGAAACTACCATCAGAGTGAACAGGCAACTTACAGAATGGAAGAAAATTTTTGCAATCTACCCATCTGACAAAGGGCTAATATCCAGAATCTACAAAGAACTTAAACAAATTTATAAGAAAAAACAACCACATCAAAAAGTGGGCAAAGGATATGAGCAGACACTTCGCAAAAGAAGACATTTATGCAACCAACAGACACATGAAAAAATGCTCATCATCCGGCCAGGCACGGTGGCTCACGCTTGTAATCTCAGCACTTTGGGTGGCCGAGGCGGGCGGATCACGAGGTCAGGAGATCGAGACCATCCTGGCTAACATGGTGAAACCCCATCTCTACTAAAAATACAAAAAATTAGCCAGGCGTGGTGGTGGGCGCCTGTAGTCCCAGCTACTCAGGAGGCTGAGGCAGGAGAATGGTGCGAACCCGGGAGGCGGAGCTTGCAGTGAGCCGAGATCGTGCCACTGCACTCCAACCTGGGTGACAGAGCGAGACTCCATCTCAAAAAAAAAGAAAAAAAATTCTCATCATCACTGGTCATTAGAGAAATGCAAATCAAAACCACAATGAGATACCATCTCACAGCAGTTGGAATGGTGATCACTAAAAAGTCAGGAAACAACAGATGCTGGAGAGAATGTGGAGAAATAGGAACGCTTTTATACTGTTGGTGGGAGTGTAAATTAGTTCAACCATTGTGGAAGACAGTGTAGTGATTCCTCAAGGATCTAGAACTACAAATACCATTTGACTCAGCGATCCCATTACTGGGTATATACCCAAAGGATTACAAATCATGCTACTATAAAGACACATGCACACATATGTTTATTGTGGCACTATTCACAATAGCAAAGACTTGGAACCAACCCAAATGTCCATCAATGATAGAGTGGATTAAGAAAATGTGGCACATATACACCATGGAATACTATGCAGCCATAAAAAAGGATGAGTTCATGTCCTTTGCAGGGACATGGATGAAGCTGGAAACCATCATTCTGAGCTACCACAAAGACAGAAAACTAAACACCACCTGTTCTCACTATAGGTGGGAATTGAACAATGAGAATGCTTGGACACAGGGCGGGGAACATCACACACCAGGGCCTGTCATGGGGTGGGGGACTGGGGGCCAGATAGCATTAGGAGAAATACCTAATGTAAATGGCGAGTTGATGGGTGCAGCAAACCAACATGGCACGTTGTGCACATGTACCCTAGAACTTAAAGTATTTTTTTAAAATACCATTTTTAAAAAATAAAAATTCCTTGGAATTCATAAAGTATTAAAATTCTCTAACAAATACTTTTTATTTAATTTTCTTTTCCTTTATATTCATTGAACTTGCAATTATTCTGGGCCTAAGTATTAATTCTGTGGCTAATTCTGAGACCTCAGATTCCTATTCCTCTCTTAAGTACAACTTGCCTTTAGGTTATTTCTCTGCTCACTAGTACCTTGACCATGGGATGAACAAGGAAAACAAGAACTCCATTTTTTTAAAAAAAATGTTCACAATAGCAAAGACTTGGAACCAACCCAAATGTCCAACAATGATAGACTGGATTAAGAAAATGTGGCACATATACACCATGGAATACTATGCAGCCATTAAAAATGATGAGTTCATGTCCTTTGTAGGGACATGGATGAAATTGGAAACCATCATTCTCAGTAAACTATCGCAAGAACAAAAAACCAAACACCGCATATTCTCACTCATAGGTGGGAATTGAACAATGAGATCACATGGACACAGGAAGGGGAATATCACACTCTGGGGACTGTGGTGGGGTCGGGGGAGGGGGGAGGGATAGCATTGGGAGATATACCTAATGCTAGATGACACGTTAGTGGGTGCAGCGCACCAGCATGGCACATGTATACATATGTAACTAACCTGCACAATGTGCACATGTACCCTAAAACTCAGAGTATAATAAAAAAAAAAAATTAAAAAAAAAAGTTCGTGAAATATAAATGCCTGATGCCACGATAACTCATGTCCTTTATTTGGAGAGAAAGTAGATAGAAAATAATTAAATATGAGTAATTCAGGCACAGCTTTTTGTAGCAAGTCCACAGGCATCGCAGGGCTGAGCCAAGTCCTGCTTTTAAAAAGCAGATATATCAGATCTGTCCAGATCCTTGGAACTTCTCTCCATTCATATTTGTGAGCACAAGAACTTACTGACCTTTGTTGCTTTCCATGATCATTCCCTTTTGTGAACCCAGAAAGTTGGCACCACAGGTACACAGATGATGTACATCTTCCTATAAAACCTTAATTTTATTATATATTTTTCTGCTTGCATTACTTCATAAAAAGAAGATGCAAAGTTAAGTGTATCCTTGCTGCATTCACAAAATAAGGTTTAGACTTATTGAAATATTTTCAATTAATCTACCAACCACAAGTAGATAAGATGAATATAATAGCAGCTACAGTAGCAGATTATTTGTTAGGTGATATGTTTATTATTAGAGGGTAACAGATATGGATAATGTACTTAACACAATGCACTTTCACCTCCCTGGTTTTAAATTCTTGGTTCATACCCCAGTGTCTATTTCTACCCTTTGCTGATTTGGTGCCCCTTGACCATTCACCAGGCACACTGAACTTCACTTCCCTTCTATGATTTGTGACTCAGCTTATTCCTTTTGGCCCAGCAAATGCCACTGACCATCTCAGATGAAGGGTCCTGTTATGGCCACTAACAGCTCACTTCCCACCCCTCTGCCTATTTCACCAGTGGTCCCATGAAAGGAGAGAGGGAGAACACTAGCCTGCAACCCATTTCTAAATGAGTGCAATAAAACCCTCCTTTGGTCATATCATTCTTTGTCACAAAAATTCTTCCATGATCCTTTAGCCTGATCTTCAAAATCTTTCAGAGTTGGGCTCCAAACTACTTTCCCAAACTAATTTCTCACTATTTCCTTAAATGAAAGTCCTCATTCATGTACATTCTCTGAATAATTTGCACAGAATTGTACCGTGGGCCTCCTGTATACTTGACATGTGGCAGGGGGCATACATACTTATTGCAAGTATGACTAATTGGTCTAAATGCACAGGAAATGTTGGCCTGGTTAAACCTGATTTATGTAACCCTGAACAATTTTCACCATATAGCTATATGGAAGATGTGAAAAATTACACCTAACCTGTTCTGACCCTATGGCATACCCTGGTTTTGATTTTTAAACCAAAATTCTGCAAAAGTCTGGCAAGAGCATATTTCCTACTTGTTTCGTTTCCTAAAAATGGAGTGCAGAATAGAAAGGAAGAGCTTTCTCATTATCTGCATATGCTGGTTGTTTGAATTCCAAGATAAACAAAAGTTTACTGTATTTCTAAATTCATCCTTTACTAGATTCCAGTAACTTGAGCTGTGTTATGAAGCCATCTATAATTTTTTTGCCTCTAGGCTCTTTTGGCCTCTGGACAATACTGTTGCTTATCCTCTTAATTACCCTTGGCCAAGTAAAATGAGACAAGGCATGTTTTGTATACTGTAAGAACATCCACTTCAAGTTAAATTCTTTACAGTCTGGTCTCACACTATTTTGTGTCATAGATACAAATACTTTAACCTTCATTCTCGAATGTCTGCCTTTTGGAAGGTCATAATAAATTACAAATACCAAAAAAGCGATTTCAGCATAGACATTTTTTATCAGTATATGGAGATATTCTATTGTCAAACAGATGTTTTACTATTAAACAGTCTGTGCAGTTCACAACAAAAACCAAGTTTTAGTGTAGGTTTTAAAAATATTTATTAAGTGAATGAATGAATAAAAATGGAAAGTAAGAAAATTATGCATTTCTAGTCAATAACAACTGTATTAAGTAGAGTTAGACATAGGTGAATTCATTTTATAAAAAATTAAAATATCCAGTAGAGTTAACTAAATGCATTCCATTTACTTTATAACTATTCTTTTCCCTTTTCTCTTTTCTAAAAATGAAAGTTGTATTTGAAAAATTTTGGCCTCCAGAATGTACATTATCATATAAAATTTCAAATCTTACTTATTTCTTTTTTCTTTCTTTTTTTTTTTTTTTTTTTTTGAGATGGAGTCTCGCTCTGTTGCCCAGGCTGGCTCGGCTCACTGCAACCTCCACCTCCCAGGTTCAAGCGATTCTCACGCCTCAGCCTTCTGAGTAGCTGGGATTACAGGCGTGAGCCACCGTGCCCGTCCCAAATCTTACTTATTTCTGTACTGTGTTTTAAAATGCTTTTTATCACAGCATAATTATATTTGTTATTTTATTTCATTTTATAATCATCATGTATGCAAAGTGGGGTTGAGGCAGGGGAGGCATGTTGTTTCAACCTGAGTTCCTAAAATTGATGCTGTGACAATTCTTGGATGAAGCTTTCCTAGGCTAGTTTTGTCATGATAAAGGAATGTCTTATTAAAGTCTCTCAATCCTTGCCTTTTTAGAAATCATAATCAAAGTTCCTTTAAAGTTTCTCTAAATTTTAGAAAAGCATTTCTATTATGTATGAGGCTCTTTGAAGAAACCTATGATTCCAATAGCTTTTCACTTGAAATATTATTTCCAACTGTGCTAAATTTATAATAATTTCCAGCCCTTTTAATATATCTAACAGTTAACATTTATTCAGAGCCCTTACTCTATGTCAGATACTGTGTTTGGATTTTACACGAATTGTCTCACTTAATTCTCACAATAACCCTATTTGTGCCCATTATTCAAATAAAGAAACAGGAATCAAGGCAAAGCAAAGTGCTCATACAGAGAGCAAGTAGCAGGGCTAGGACTTGAAACCAGATCTGTCTGATGCCAAAGCCTCTGGTCTTCTACAAAATTACGGTGAGGTCCCACCAGTAACACAGTCCCATTTAGGGGTATTTTAGAGAGGCAAAGCATGGAGTCAGGTTGATTCCTTTGGGATACCTTCCAGGTCTCAGTACGGATTAGTATTTGCCTGCTTGCCAGAGATGAATGAAAATTGTACAAGAGGAAAACAGGTTAGTAGCTACTGCAATTCTGGGGTTATTGCACCGCAGTAGCTACCACGTCCTGGTATACGGCACCCTTGTTCTTTGGAAAGTGAGTTAAAAACAGCCATTCTTAATTATGGGTTTAGATGAAAGAGAATATGAAGCCTGGAGAGCCATTTTAAATGGTTTTGAGCATGTGGGTGTGGGGATGACTGTTTAAGGAGAATTGCCCCCTTGCCCCCAAACCCCTCCAATCCTCTTCACCCCAAGAGGAGAAAATGTCTACTGCCCTACTATTCATGGAAGCATCTGGATTTTCCTTTTTACATGGTCCTTCATGAATCAGACATCTCTGGGAATTTTTCAAAGTTAATTTGTTCCCAAAGGGAGTACAAGTGAATGGCATGCCTTCATATCCCGCTTTGCTGGTTTAAGCCAAGAATGATGTCTCTCAATAGCAGTGGGAGTTGAGTGTGTGGCTGAGTGCAGCACATGGTCCTTTAACTTTTATTAGAGTTCCATCCTGCAGACTGAGGTTGTCAGATGTCATCCTAAGTGTGTGTTTAATATTTCTGAGTTTTGAACTTTGACCTTAGTTTAATGTGGACAGGCCATATGCAGCTACTCGCTTTTAATCAATGACGACAACATTCCTCTGGTGTCAGGGTTCCAAGCCATACTCTGTAGGCATCAAATATTCCCAGAAAGAGTTCAGCATTTTCAGACTTAATTTTTTAAAGCCATCACTAATGGCTCTTGAAAAGAAAGATCAAACTAACATACTAAAGTAAAATTTCTGAGTATAAAATAACTTTTCAAAGGGTGTTTTGCAACACTCTGATCCAGTTCTTCCCCTAATGTTTGGTAGTATATATTTGCTTTATGCACACACACACACACACACACACACACACACACACACACACCCTTCTTTTAGGAGCAAGTCTTTGGTTTCTCAGCCCATTCTCATTATTCCACCCCCATTGCTATGCTGAAGTTCACCAAAGACATTTGATCCAGATACTGCTGAATACCAAGTTTTTTTTAGTTATATTGTTGTTAATCCAATGAAGTTCTTCATTCTCTTATTTATATAGAAAATTATACATAAATGCAGACCAAACATAGTGCCCCCTGCCATGGCAGGGCAGATGCTGCATAGATGCAGAGGATTTTTCCAAGGCTCCTTAAGGTCCCTAACAGGGAACACTGCTGCCAGTGACCATGTCTGCTCAGGTAGAATCTTGCTAAATTTGAGACACTTAACTCTATGCAGAGCTACAGCCATTTTATGCTTGGAATTTACATCACCATTCAGGAAGCGCCTACACACCTTTCTTTAAATAGTCTCTGGTCTTGGTTTCCATGTTAGCACACACTGCTGATTCTCCTTCTACTTTTTTGGCTATACTAAGTCTCTTATGTCAGTCTCTCATCCTCTAACCAACTAGTAAATGTTGGTATTCCTCAGAATTCTTTCCTAGGCCCTCTACTCTCTGTTCTCTTTAATATTTCCCTGAGGAAATATTATCAATTCACATGGCTTTAGTTATCTATACACTGACAAATCCCAAAGTTATCTCTCTGGTGCAGATTAAGCTTGCGAGTTAACATATCTGAATATAGAACTGCCTATAGGACATTTCAATTTGGATGTCTCAAAGGCATCCCTAAACCACTGAGTATGTCCAAAACGGATAACTATTATTCTCTTAGAGAACAATCATATGGCTCCATTACACATCGAGTTACTCAAGTCATAAAGAACTGGGGGGAGGGGAGGGTTATGACTCTTACTTTCACCTCATTCACCACATCCAATCAATCATTCAACTTCTTAGATGTGATTTATCATTGTCGTCATTTAGTAGAAAGAGTACCCTCAGCAACAGAGAGAAGTACCTGGTTCCTGGGATGGATATATCTCTATTATAGATCATTCATTGCCAAACACTGAGCTGAAGAAAGACTATCAAATCTGGAATAAACACCCACCAGTGATAGTAGTTCACTGCCAGCTGCCCCAGCAATAATGTCAGCTGCAGGTCATGTGCAGTTCTTGGCAATAACATTACCTTCACCCATTTCCCTCTCATGAACATTATGATACATGGAACTCTCCTTACCCTAATTCTTACTCAGATTTCATGTTCCTAGAAAATACTCCAGTCCTTAGGACAGTTACTAATACCAGATGTTCTGTTTTTTTCCACCAGTCTTTGTAGGTTGATTAATGTGAACCAGTAATGACAAATAGATCTGTATTGTGTTGATAAAATCCAGTTTCAAAACCCGCAAGACTGAGAGCCAGACCATGGGCTGTGGTAAATTTACCAAGATAATCTAACCTATAGAGCCTCTTGAAAGGTAGCCAACTGATTTTTGCCTGGAGTTACCCATGTGCTTTCTACTTGAAATATCTCTGAGGTCTTCTTGGGAAGATGCCTAAACCCCATGAAACAACACTATAGTTTTTTAAAAACTGCTCGATTTAGCATAAGACATGCACAGACTTCCTTTAGTGATACAGATTGTTAGCAAAAATATGCTGGAATCTGGGGTAGCAGAGGGAGTTTCTTCATTAGCCATTCAGGGTACCTGGATCTGGTATTCCTCTTGCACTGGTCAATGTAATGGCTACACAGAGAATTAAGAATGTCGTTCTTCTCATGATAGCAACCTAAATACAAATTACTTTGTTCATCTAACATTTTATCCTTCCCAAAAAAGAGGACTAACCATCATTTGAAACATGTCTTTGAGGTCAGGTTTGTGACAAGTAATCTCAGAGATGACTCAATCCAAATATAGTTGCCTCTGGAACATGTAATCCCTATCCAGTGTACTCCTCCATGACCATGACACTGAGTTGGGCTCACTGGAAGCATCCTGCTGGAGTCATTGCAGCATACACAAGAGGGGACTGGCTACTCCTTATATGTGGTAGGCATTTTAAGGCTTCAAGAACTCTTCCTATGGTCCATCTAGCAGAGGTCCAAACTGCTTTAGGAGCTGAGAAAGAGGAGCAATGAGACCAAAATAGAGGACTTCAGGGGGGAAGGACCATTTCCTGTGTGCAAGGGGAGAAGTTAGGGCTTTCCAAACAGAGCCAAGTCTTGAAGGCAAAAATGAGATTTGAGTAGACCAGTTCACAAAGGGTATAGGATTCAAATCAGGCTGCATGTAGGAATACAGTTCAAAGGAAGGGTTGATGCCAAATTGTGGAGTGCCTTGAAAGCCAGGAAGAAGAGTTTAATCTTGTCATAGTTGGAAAGAGGAAGCATCCTGGGGACAAGCTGAAGAATGGAGATCAAGAATAAGGATAACTAACCAGGTAGCTATTGTAATAACCAGGGCCTGAAGATGTGAACTAAATTGGTTGCTGTAAGAAAGAGAGACATTCTGAAAGGAGAATTGCGTGATGGAAAATAACCCAATCCATGATTATAACCAGCTATCACGCAGAAGAGATAGCGCAGGACCCAGCACAATGAATCTCTGGGTGGGGTCCATAAAGCACATTCATAAACACCCTCATTGGGTTTCATTTCATTACACAAGCCTTGACTCAACTTTCTGGAACATTTTGCTGTTATCTTTCTGAACTGCATAACTTTTTGCAGAAGGGGAAATATTTTTCAGCTTCTAGAAAACTATTGGCCCATATGGCAAGGAAATTACTCTGCCTCTTCTCTATCTTTTTATTCTTCCTATTTAATCAGTCACCAAGCCCTGCAGATCCCAAGCCATCGTTGTGTCTGCCCTCTTTTCTCCACCACTGCTGCTTCTGCTCTTATGGCTACACTTGGTTTCCTACTATAGATGTCTAGCAGCTCACTCACTCTCCAGTCTTGCCTCTCTCTGATCCATCCTTCACAGTTCTATCAGTGAACTGTAGTCTTTGCAAAACTCAAGTCTGATTATGTAAATCCCCACTTTAAAACATCCAGTGATGTCCTGCTGAATGCGTTTAGGAGGAAGTTCAATCTCTTCATCTTAACATACATGGGTCATCATGATTTGTCCCATATGTTGCAGACAGATGTATTTTGCTTGGCCACATGGTATTTTAATCATTGGGAAAATTCACATAAAAATCTGTATTCTAGGCTTCCCTTGAAAAACAAAAAAAACAATCCATCATATCTGGGTCTGTATTCACAGTGGCAACTCAGGCTGGAGGGAGGAGCAGTCACTCATGGGGACAGCATATGTGCTCTCTGGTTTGTCACAGTCTTCACTCTCCATGTTGTAATCTACCCAGCCTGCTTCGCTCATTGGCTTTATCTGTGTAGCCGCTGGAAGTATTTTTGGCCTGTGGATACCTTCATACTACTCCCTTTTACTTCTTCCCACACACCCTTAATTTATGGAACTACTTACAGCTCCTGCAACAGGTAATAGAGCTTCAAGACTGTGTGACTCTGTAAGTGTTGCTTCCTTTGTTTAGCCCATTCTGCCTTTACCCCATCCTTTACCTATCTAATACCAACTTTCTCTTCAAGGCTCAGTTCAAGGGCTGCTCATCTAACTTCTCTTAGTTCCCAGGGTAATTTATTTGCCCCTTCCCTGTGGTTTTTTACCTTTATAATCTGATTTTTGTTGCCCCATCACCCCCTATGTCTGCCTTTTCGCAGTACAGTACCTATCATATAGTGCTGTAATTAATTATTAGTGTATTTTCCATACTAGACTATAAATTCCTTCCTATTTACTCACACCTGCTGTCTGTTTACCCACGTTCGCTACTTTATTATCTTCCTTGTCTTTGAAGATTTTTATTTCCATTGCTTACCATAGCATCTGCAATAAGAGCTCAATAAATGTTAAGTGAACGTTGTTGGGAAAGTTTCTTTAAAGGCAATAGGCAAAACTAGAGAGTCTAAAGGAGAGTGTAAAGAAAGATGGAAAGAGGGTGAGAGCCAAACAATAGGTTAATAGGTGAGAAGAAGAGGATCTGGGGAAGAAAACAAAGCAGGATGAATTTGGAAGATAATTTGGAGTATGTATGGGCTTGGAGGCAAAGGGAAGAGAGAGTTTCAATTTCCAAAGAAGGAATCCTCAGAACCATCAAGCACCCAAGAGAACCCAAGAATGGAGAGGCAGCATAGTATATTGGGTGTATCGAAAAAGCTCAGACTTTAAACAAATCAAAGTCCAGCCCTCAGTTCCTCCAGTTACTAGCCATGTGATTCTAGCAAGTTACCTAACTCAAGTTACTTAACTCCTTTGAGACTCACTTTCTAATTTGTCAAATGGAACCTACTCTGGCAGAAAGGGGATAGAGACAGGAAGTCAAAAACTGAGAGACTCATATTCATTGTAAAATGCTGTGCTCCACTGGCAGCCCACTATTAGTGTGTGGCAGAGGCATACTCTCCTTCATCTCCACAGAACACCATGTAACTCTGAAATCCTCAGCACTTCCGGCCATCAATGGTGCTAGCCAATGGAACTAATAGTGATGTCCAGCAGATGCTACCTATTAGGAGTGGCAGTGGAGGACAGTGATGACATCCACCAAAGCCCAAGGGAAAGCAATACTTGTGCCCACAATCTGCAGCAATTTGTCCATGACAGACACAGTGGTACCCAGCAAAGATGGTCAGTGGTTGAACCTGTCTGTGAATGCATGTGAAGTCCCTTCTGAGAACTCCCAGAAATATCGTGCAGAAAGGAGGGAGCTTTGAAGAGCTGATATCCTGTGTTAGTAGGTAAGAGCAAGCACCAGCAAAACTCAGGTTATAATACAATGGACAATTGTGAGGATTCAAGTAATACATGTAAAAGCACCTAGCAGAACACCTGGCACTTTATTGGGACCCAGATAAGATGCTTTGTCCTGCTGTTATTATTATGAGAAAAGTCAGTTGTGTATTATCACAAAGACCATGCTGTCTAATCTGTTTTCCACTGCCTTTAACAAGCACTGTTTTACCTTTTCTTTGCCTATGTTTATCTCATTCTGTTAATGAACAGATCAACCAAAAGACAAGGCTTTTTCCTCACACCTGCTGTTTACTCACATGTTTGCTACTTTATTATCTTTCTTGGCTTTAAAGAGAAAGAACTGACTTGATTCCAGTGTTGCCAAGTGTCAGAGAGGTCCAATAAAATGATTTTGCTTCACTCAGCCAATAAAACATATCTTCTGGTCTTATTTGCAATGGAAAATATGACATCTGTTCTAATTTCCCACTCTTTTTCCCCTAGGCAGAGTCTACTCTCTCCTGAGAATGTTCCCCAAAGTGTTTGAAATACTGGCAAGAGACATTTAATGAGGGCCCAATAAGATCTTCAATTTTCTTATCTCCTCACTAGGAACTGAAGTATATTATCTAATTCACATATGTCCTGGAGGAATAATTGAGCTCCTGCATGTTTCTAATGTTTTCTAATGATAGAAACTGAAAGATAACAAGTTACAGGAATACATATCTTTTTGAAAAACAGCTCATATCATTTTATATGCTCGTCTTGATAGCATTTTGATTGCAATTTCCATTATCCTGTTTCACTGTAAATATTATTTGTAACTTTGAAATATTTATCAACTTTGCCAAGTTCCCAAGTTCCTCAAAGCAACAATTAAATTTTATTTTTGAAATGTCATAAATTATAAAAAGAAATTATTTCATAAAGCTCATGGGATCACTGAAATTTGTTTGAATAAGAGGTCTGCATAAATTTGACAGAAAGGGTCCATTTATTTTTCTATCAAAATTGACCTTTAAGTTTATTATAAAAGTAGAATGATACATTTAAAAGAGAAACTATAATGTCATGTATATGCAAAAAACTAATTTAAATTAACAAAAATTAAAAGAACTGCATTTTTTAATAATGCAGCTGAAAAACAGCATTTCCTACACGAAACTAAAGGTTTCCAATAAGGACAGCCAATGGATCCCTCTATGCTATGGTTTAAATCTTTGTGTTCCTCCAAAATTTATGTTGAAAATAAATCTCCAATGCAATAATGTTAAGAAGTGGGGCCTTTAGGAGATTATTAGGTCAACAGGGTTCTTACCTCGTGAATGAGATGAAGGCTCTTATAAGAGAGGCTTCACAGAGCATTTGCCCTTTTGCCTTTCCATTTATTCCACAATGTGAGAACACAGCATTTGTTCCCTTTTGTATTAGTCAGGGTTCTGTAGAGGGACAGAATTAAAAGGATATACAATATCCTTTATATATATAATATATATCATGAATACTATATATATCATATAAATATTATATATTTATATGATATATAATATATATAATATTATATATAATATTATATATGATATATAACATTATATAATATTATATATGATATATATTATATATATTATATATGATATATAATATATATAATATTATATATGATATTATATATCATATATAATATATAAAATATTATATATGATATATAATATATATAATATTATATATATTATATATATTATATATCATATATAATATTCTAAATATATAATATTATATGATATATAAGATTATATACATTATATATAATATATAATATTATATATGATATATAATATTATATACATTATATATAATATATAATGTATATAATATTATATATTATATATTTATATTATATACAATGTATATAATATTATATATCATATATATTTATATTATATACAATGTATATAATATTATATATCATATATAATATTATATACAATGTATATAATATATATTATATATATTTATATTATATACAATGTATATAATATATATTATATATATTTATATTATATACAATGTATATAATATATATTATATATATTTATATTATATACAATGTATACAATATTATATATTATATATTATATATTTATATTATATACAATGTATATATTATATATTATATATTTATATTATATACAATGTATATATTATATATTATATATTTATATTATATACAATGTATATATTATATATTATATATTTATATTATATACAATGTATATATTATATATTATATATTTATATTATATACAATGTATATATTATATATTATATATTTATATTATATATAATGTATGTAATATTATATATTATATATTTATATTATATATAATGTATGTAATATTATATATTATATATTTATATTATATATAATGTATGTAATATTATATATTATATATTTATATTATATATAATGTATGTAATATTATATATTATATATTTATATTATATATAATGTATGTAATATTATATATTATATATTTATATTATATATAATGTATGTAATATTATATATTATATATTTATATTATATATAATGTATGTAATATTATATATTATATATTTATATTATATATAATGTATGTAATATTATATATTATATATTTATATTATATATAATGTATGTAATATTATATATTATATATTTATATTATATATAATGTATGTAATATTATATATTATATATTTATATTATATATAATGTATATAATATTATATATTATATATTTATATTGTATATAATATTATATATTATATATTTATATTGTATATAATATATATTATATATTTATATTGTATATAATATTATATATTATATATTTATATTATATATAATGTATATAATATTACATATTATATATATTTATATATATATATATAAAGGGGAGTTGATTAAGTATTAACTCACATGATCACAAGGTATCACTACAGGCTCTCTGCAAGCTGAGGAGCAAGGAAAGCCAGTCTGAGTCCCAGAACTAAAGAACTCAAGAGTCGGATGTTCAAGGGCAGGAAGAGTCCAGCACGGGAGAAAGATGTAGGCTGGGAGGCTAGGCCAGTCTCATCTCTTCATGTTTTCCTGCCTGCTTTATACTCTAGCCATGTTGGCAGCTGATTAGATGGTGCGCACCCAGATTAAAGGGCGAGTCTCCCTTTCCCAGACCACTGATTCAAATGTTAATCTCCTTTGGCAACACCCTCACAGAAACACCCAGGATCAATACTTTGCATCTTTCAATCCAAGCAAGCTGACACTCAGTATTAACCATCAGAAGTCCATCCCTTGTCAACTGGAACCTATACACAACTCCTGAGATCATATATAATCTTCAAATAAAGGCAATAATAAGGTCATAATTATACCTAACATAATACAACTATCCTTCATGCAACCAGAAATGCACCAATCCCCAACCCAAATACTATTACATAAAGTTAACAATGCTTAAATACTGATATGAAGTCAATAAATCTTATGTCACATGATAAAGGAAATAAAATGAAGATATTTTCTTAATACAAGTATATACATGCACAAACATGTTTTAACAAAAGAAGGAGGAAATACTTATGACAGTTACAGTCCTCGTTTCTGCATCTGGTCACGTGGTCATAGCTGGTATTGATTACTGCCTTCTTCTACTACCCATTCTGAATTCCTTTTGCCTTTAGCAAACGCCTCAGCAGGTCGTGGTTTTTTTCCTGGTGGAGTGACCCAAACTTTCATTCCTGAAGGGCCTGGGCCATTTGTAGTCCTGCCTGGATTAGGCTGTTGTAGTTTCCCTTTGACCTTTATCACAGGGCATGGTAATACTAAGAGACGCCCTAATGGATCTCCTGTATTCCATGCATATTCTTCCTTACCTCTGTTGTGGAGTAGTAAACTGATTTCATCTTGATAGTCTGGGTCAATCACCCCAGCCAACACTCTAACTCCCTTCTTAGCCTGTTGACTTAAAGGTAGGAGGATCCCAAAGTGTCCAGGTGGCAATCTTAACTTCCAGTTTAACGGAATGGAAGGCAGCATTCTCCTGGTGGCAGCATTCCTCCCTCTGGAACTAAGACCTCTAGGCCAGCAGAACGTAATGTCGAGAGAACAGGAAGCAAAAATGTTGCTAGTGGATCACTAGGAGTGATGGTGAGTGGTGCTACTTCCACTTCCACCCCTTGATTCCTGAACCTGTGAATCCTGGCTATGGGAGAAAGAGTACCATATATTGGGTGCTGATTCAGAGCATACACGGCCTTCTGGAGACCTTTGCCCCAGCCCTGCAAAGTATTGTCACCTATTTGACATTGTAATTGTGACTTCAAAAGGCCATTCCACCATGCTATTAATCTGGCTGCTTCAGGATGATGGGGAACATGGTAAGACCAGTGAATTCCGTGAGCATGAGCCCACTGCCACACTTCTTTTGCCATAAAATGAGTGCCTTCGTCAGAGGCAATGCTGTGTGGAATACCATGACAGTGGATAAGGCATTCCATGAGTTCATGGATGGCAGAAGCATTGCGAGCAGAATAGGCAAACCCATGTCCAGAATAATGGGTTTGTCTGTTCCAGTGAGGACAAACCTCTGCCCTTTCCATGAAGGAAGAGGTCCAATATAATCAACCTGCCACCAGGTAGCTGGTTGATCACCCCGATGAATGGTGCCATATCGAGGGCTCAGTGTTGGTCGCTGCTGCTGGCAAATTGGGCACTCAGCAGTGGCCGTAGCCAGGTCAGCCTTGGTGAGTGGAAGTCCATGTTGCTGAGACCATGTGTAACCTCCATCCCTGCCACCATGGCCACTTTGTTCATGGGTCCATTGGGCGATGACAGGGGTTGCTGGGCAAAGAGGCTGAGTGGTGTCCACAGAATGGGTCATCCTATCCACTTGATTATTAAAATCTTCCTCTGCTGAGGTCACCCATTGGTGAGCACTCACATGGGATACAAATATCTTCACAGTTTTTGACCACTCAGAGAGGTCCATCCACATGCCTCTTCCCCAAATTTCTTTGTCACCAATTTTCCAATCATGCTTCTTTGAAGTCCCTGACCATACAGCCAAAACATTGGCTACAGCCCATGAATCAGTATATAATCACACATCTGGCCATTTCTACTTTCATGCAAAGTGCACAACCAGGTGCACTGCTCTAAATTTTGCCCACTGGGAAGATTTGGCTTCACTGCTGTCCTTCAGGGAAGTCCTAGAAAGGCGCTGTAGTACTGTAAGCTGTTCACTTTAAGATGGTGCCTACATATTGTGCAGAAACATCTGTGAACCAGGCCCTAGTCTTCTCTTCCTCTGTCAACTGATCATAGGGAACTCCCCATGAGGACATTGGTACAGCCTGGGGGAGAGCAGGCAGGGTGGCAGGAATAGAGACCATGGGCATTTGAGCCACTTCCTCATGTAACTTACTTGCGCCTTCAGGACCTGCTCAAGCCTGATCACGTATATACCACCTCCATTTGATGATGGAATGCTGCTGTGCATGACCCACTTTATGGCTGGGTGGGTCAGAAAGCACCCCGTTTATGATAGGCAGTTCAGGTCGCATGGTGACTTGATGACCCATAGTCAAACATTCAGTTTCCACCAAAGCCCAATAACAGGCCAAGAGCTATCTCTCAAAAGGAGAATAGTTGTCTGCAAAAGATGGCAGGGCCTTGCACCAAAATCCTAGGGGTTTCTGTGTGATTCACCTATGGGGGCCTGCCAAAGGCTCAAAACAGCATCCCTGACACCTCAAGCACGATTGGATCTGCTGGGTCATATGGCCCAAGTGGCAGAGCAGCTTGCACAGCAGCCTGGACCTGTTGCAGAGCCTTCTCCTGTTCTGAACCCCATTCAAAACTGGCAGCCTTTTGGGTCACTTGATAAATGGGCTGGAGTAACACACCCAAATGAGGAACGTGTTGCCTCCAAAATCCAAATAGACCCACTAGGTGTTGTGCCTCTTTCTTGGTTGTGGGAGGGGCCAAATGCAGCAGCAACTTATCCTTACCTTACAAGGAATATCTTGACAGGCCCCACACCACTGGACCCCTAGAAATTTTACTGAAGTAGAAGATCCCTGAATTTTAGTCGGATTTATTTCCCATCTTCTGGTACACAAATATTTCACCAATAAGTCCAGTGTGTTTGCTACTTCTTGCTCTTTGGATCCAATCAGCATAATGTCATTAATGTAATGGACTAGTATGATATCTCGCGGAAGCAAAAAGCAAACAAGGTCTTTCTGAATAAGATTATGACACAAAGCCTGAGCATTGATATACCTCTGAGGTAGGACAGTAAAGGTATATGGCTGGCCTTGCCAGCTGAAGACAAATTGCCTCTGGTAGGCCTCATGGACGGGAATGGAGAAAAAGCCATTTGCCAAATCAATGGCTGCATACCAGGTACCAGGAGATGTGTTAATTTGTTCAAGCAATGAAACCTCATCTGGTCCAGCAGCTGCAATTGGAGTCACCACTTGGTTAAGCTTATGATAATCCACTGTCATTCTCCAAGATCCATTTGTCTTCTGCACAGGCCAAATGGGAGAATTGAAGAGGGATTTGGTGGGAATCACCACTCCTGCGTCTTTCAAGTCCTTAATGGTGGCACTAATCTCCGCAATCCCTCCAATCATGCGATATTGTTTTTGATTTACTATTTTTCTAGGTAGAGGCAGCTCTAATGGCTTCCATTTGGCCTTTCCCACCATAATAGCCCTCACCCTCCCAGTCAGGGAGCCAGCTGCTAAGTACATCTATGCCAACTATGCATTCTGGCACTGCGGAAATGACCACAGGATGAGTCTGGGGACCCAGTGGACCCACTGTAAGTCAGACGTGAGCTAAAACTCCATTAATTACCTGACCTCCATAAGTGTCTACTTTAACTGGAGGACCACGATGATGTTTTTGGGTCCCCTGGAATCAACATCAGCTCAGAGCCAGTGTCCAGTAGTCCCCGAAATGTCTAATAATTTCCCTCTCCCCAGTGCACAGTTGCCCTGGTAAAAGGCCAGAGGTCTCCTTGGGGAAGGATGGGAGAAAGATTAACTGCATAAATTGTTGGTATAGTGGGGGGTCCTTCCTCATGGTGACCTGGCTTCACCTTCATTCAAGGGGTCCTGAGTCTGTATACTGGCTTAAGTCTGGAAATCGGTTAAGGGGCTGTGATTCTCTGCTTTTATAATTCAAATTAGTCTTTTTTTTTTTTTTTTTTTTGAGACAAAGTCTCACTCTGTCATCCAGGCTGGAGTGCAGTGGCGTGATCTTGGCTCACCATAACCTCCACCTTCTAGGTTCAAGCGATTCTCCTGCCTCAGCCTCCCAAGTAGCTAGGATTACAGGTGCCCATCCCCACACCCAGCTAATTTTTTGTATTTTTAGTAGAGACGGGGTTTCACCATGTTGTCCAAGCTGGTCTTGAACCCCTGACCTCAGGCGATCCACCGGCCTCAGCCTCCCAAAGTGCTAGGATTAGAGGCTTGAGCCACCACGCCCAGCCTCAAATTAGTCTTTTGTCCATTCAACCTAGAAGTTTTCCACTCCTATAAATTAAGTAGGAATGCAGTAGGCTTCGTATCAATTTCACTTCTAGGAACTATGATTAATTAGCCAATGCCACAGCCCTATACAATTCAGACTATTCTGATTGCTGCTTTGCCTCTGCTGTCTATTATGGTAGCTACGCCCACCTTTGATGGTTGAGTGCTGCCACTTGGCCCCTGCCCCCTCAGAATCCAATTATTCCCATTGTATTTAAATTTTGTAGTTGAGTGACTGTAGTTCCCACTGTTAGATCTGACATACAGAGAAGAGCAATGACAGGGTCCTTCAAAGATGCAGGTGTTGCCCTCACAAATCTATTTCACAAGACATTGGTCAAGTGTATATCTTCTAGACCCTCCCAGCTGGGATGAGTAGGTCTAAATTGACTAATCCACTCCACCATCCCAATTTCCCTAAGCCTTTGGATCCCTTCCTCTACATTAATCCAAGGGAGATCAGGCATTTCCAGCTCATTCACAGTGGGCCCTCTTTTAATGCATCTTTCAGCTAACCAAGCAAATGAACCATTAGAACCCTTTTTAACTCTTCGAGATGCAACATTAAATGCAGAGTCCCTACTTAGTGGGCCCAAATCAATAAATTCAGCCTGATTCAACTCTACTTTCCTTCCACCATTATCCCACCCCTAATATCCATTCCCATGCCTGTTCTCCAGATTTCTGTTTACATAAACTAGAAAACTCAAGCAGTTCTTTTTGAGTATAGCACACCTCCTCATGGGTCACACTCTCAACCTCACCCTATAGGGGCCTGCTGGGACTTTAGTCTAGTTATAGGTCTAGAAGCAAACTCGGGTGTTGAGGGTGGCTCCTGAGGAGAATCAACTTTATCTTGCCTGGCAACTGCCTCAGGGGAGGCCATCACTGCTGCCTTAGGCAGTGCAGGGTTCGTTTCCTTAGACAAAGGTGGAAAGGCTGATGGCAGCCTGGGTCAGGGAGGGGATGTTGCCACTACTGGGAATGGGGAAGCTGTTTCTTCTGGCAAAAAAGATTCATCATAGTTTACAAACTCAGTGTCCCCAGCTTCATCAGGGTCCTCCCACACATCCCCATTCCAAGTTGCAGGTGTAGGGAGACCCCCTGAAACTATTGCTATGGAATAAAAGATGAAATGCTCCTGATTATTGTAAATACAAAATTGCATGCAGGATTGTGTAATGCCAGGTTGGACTGCCAGAATGAGCCAACAGCGCGTGATGTGCTTCCCCCTGCAGAGAGCCTATGAATGGACATGCAGTCAGGGAGGTTTCACATCACCAAGATTCCTATCCTAGAAAAGCAGATGTTCATAGCTCTGGGAATGGAATTCAACCCTTGTGGAGAGCCTATAAACGGATGCATGGGGGGCACCTGTCCATATGGATAAGATAGGGCTATAAACGCCCTCATCTTGCCATGGCTCTTCTATCACTCTGTAGGGTTAAAGCATACTCCCTTCTGAGAATTTCTGGTCTAACCGGTTGTCTAGCTTCATGTCCTGTTTCTATGGATTATTTGTAACCAGCTTTTGCTGCAACTGTTACTGCTGATTAATATCTTGCTAATCATAGGTTATGGAAAGACTGTGTTTCTGTTTTAAGGCTCTGTTAGAAATTACTGATGCACACACTATATTGTAAATTCTTATCCCTGTATACTGTACTTCTGCATACAGATGTTATGTTAAAGAATTACTTCATCCCCATTGACCATCTCACCTCATAAACAAATGACCCTAAATCCCTCACTAACCTACCCCCGCCCTCACTAAACTTAATAATAAATGCTGGTATATCCAGTGCATTGTTGGCACCATGGGACCAGAAGGCGGTGACACCCCTGGACCCAGCTTTCACTATCTTGTGTGTATCTATTATTTCTCAACTTGCCGATCCACCTGGGAAGAAGGAGTGAGCCCCGTTGCATTGTGGGCTGCTGGCCAGATCCTGCAATAGCAGGGTACCATTCTTTTCCAATCAATGCCCTCACTTGGACCTGTAGACACCTGTCTACTTGGATAGTAGACACCTGATGAGGCTGTGCATGCATCTTTCAATGCAGGTCAGCCACTGACATGATAAGAGCTTGTGTCTGTTTTTTCACAATTTCAGCTCTTTCTCTACAGGAGCTAAGACTCTCATTCGGGGCAATCTTAGCAGATTTGAGGCTCAGTATCTGCCTCTGAAGCTGGGACACAGAATCCCTGAGTTTATCATTTTCGTCCATCACTTCATCCACCGAACTTAGGAGCAACCAACCAGCTTCATTATGTTCCTTGGTTCTCCACATGTGGTCAAAGGTATTATATATAGAGTCACCAAACTCCTTGCCTCTCATAAGCAGTGAATCAGGAGTGTAAAATGCACTTATTTTGCATAGCTCTCTAAACAGTTCACACCAAGACTGTGGGAGTTCAGTCAGGGTGGTGGGAAAAATTATAAAGATAGTTGTAGAAAATAGTCACAAACCTTCTTGGAAGCCCGGGGGTGGGGTTGCATAGCTTCAGTAACAGATTTGGCTGAAGGCAGCCTAATCCTCTTTACCTTTAGTTCATAGCAAAAAAGCAAACAACAAGGAAATGTGGGGAATTTATCTAAATAGCTTGTTTACTCATGTGGTCCTAAGACCAACCTTTGATCAACCATGGGTGCATAATTGCTCTCTACTCGGGGGTCAGCAATGTCAATTACCCTCTAGTGGTATTTACTCAAGACCTTTGTCATTTAATCTGTACTAAATAAATGTGAACTTCACTGGCTTATTGAGGCGATGCCCCAGACTCAGAGCAGAGCTCCTTAGCTGTACTGACAGGCAAAAATATCGGTGTCAGTGTACGTCTGTCATCCATTGCTGGGTCAGGGTCTGCAGGTCAGACCCCTCTACAAAACTATCAGTGTTCTCCATACTATTAGAAGTAGAGTCCTGGCTGGGCATGGTGGCTTATGCCTGTAATCCCAGCACTTTGGGAGGGCAAGGCAGGTGGATCACCTAAAGTCAGGGGTTCAAGATCAGCCTGGCTAACATGGTGAAACATCGTCTCTACTAAAAATACAAAAAGTAGCCGGGGTTGGTGGTGGACACCTGTAATCCCAGCTACTTGGGAGGCTGAAGCAGGAGAATTGCTTGAGGTAGAGTTGCAGTGAGCTGAGATCACGCCATTGCACTCCAGCCTAGGCGACACAGTGAGACTCTATCTCAAATAAATAAATAAATAAATAAGAGAGTCCTTAGGATTTTTGGGTCTAATCATATTAAGTAGCCAACTCCAGAAACCCCAAAACCAACGAAAGAACTCCATCCTTAATATTCTGTTCCTCTAGAACCACTCCTGGTACCAAAATCTGTATTAGTCAGGGTTCCCTAGAGGGACAGAACTAATAGGATATATATATATATGTGTATATATATATATGTATATATATATATGTATATATATATGTATATATATATGTGTATATATATGTATATATATATGTATATATATGTATATATATGTATATATGTATATATGTATATATATGTGTATATATGTATATATATGTGTATATATATGTATATATATATGTATATATATGTGTGTATATATATATATATGAAGGGGAATTTTTAAGTGCTAACTCACACAATCACAAGGTCCCACAACAATAGGTCATCTGCAAGCTGAGGAGCAAGGAAAGCCAGTCTGAGTCTCAAAACTGAAGAACTTGGAGTCTGACGTTCAAGGGCAGGAAGGGTCCAGCATGGGAGAAAGACAGAGGCTGGGAGGCTAGGCCAGTCTCATCTCTTCACATTTTTCTGCCTACTTTATATTATGGCTGCACTGGCAGCAGATTAGATGGTGCCCACCCAAATTAACGGTGGGTCTGCCTTTCCCAGCCCACTGACTCACATGCTAATCTTTGGCAGCACCCTCACAGACACACCTAGGATCAATACTTTGCATCCTTCAATTCAATCAAGTTGACACTCAGTATTAACTATCACACCTCTGAATGACACAGCAATAAAGCTCCATCTTAAGTAAATAAAGAAATAAAGCACCATCTTAGAATCAGAGAGACCAGGCCCTCATCAGACACTGAATCTATGGGTACCTTGATCTTTCCAGAGCCTCAATCTTGGACTTCCCAGCCTCCAGAACTATGATAAATACATTTCTATTGTTTATTAATAACCCAGGCCGCTATTTTATTATAGCAGCATAAACAGACTAAGACAGAAATTGTACCAAGAAGGTGGGTATTTTCTATAACAAATACCTAAAAATGTGGAAGCAGTTTTGGAATTGAGTAATGGGCAGAGGCTGGAAGAGTTTGGAGGAGCAAGCTAAAAAAATCCCAGATTGCTATGAATGGACCATTAAGGGCAATTCTAGTGGGGTTCTGCTATGGTATGAATATTTGTCCCCTCTAAAACTCATGTTGAAATTTAATCCCCAATGTGGCAGTGCTGTGAAATTTTAAGAGGTGATTGGCTGATGAGGGCTTTGCACTCATAAATAGATGATTAATGGATGAATGGATTAAAGGGTTAATAGGCTAATGGATTAATGGGTTATCATGGGAGTGGAACTGGTGGCTTTATAAGAAGAGGAAGCGAGACCTAATGTAATACACTTAGCCCTCCCACCATGTGAAGCCCTGCACTGCCTTGGGACTCTGCAGAAAATCCTCAGCAGGAAGAAGACCCTCACCAGATGGCGCCTCTCCATCTTGGACTTTTCAGACTCTATAACTGTAATAAATACATTTTTTTCTTTATAAATTACCCAGTTTCAGGCATTTTGTTATAATAAGCAGGAAATGGACTAGGATAAACACAAAAGAAAGGGAGAGCTATAGAAAGGATTTCAGTCTTCTCAGAAGTTATCTAAATGGTTGTGATCAGAATGCTGGCAGAAATATAAAGAGTAAAGGCTATTCTGATAACGTCTTAGATGGAAATGAGGACTATATCATTGAAAGTTGGAGGAAAGGCCATCCTTGTTACAAAGTGGCAAAGAACTTGATTGAATTGTGTCCATACTCTGGGGCTTTGTGGAAGACAGAATTTAAGAACGGTGAACTAAGATATCTCATGGGAGAAATATCTAAGCAAAATATTGAACGGGCTGCATAGCATCTCTTTATTCTTCTAGTAAAGAGAGAAATGATTTAAAGATGGAATTCACAATTAAAAGGGAAGTAGAAAACGTCAGGGGCCCTCGGGATCTTAGTATTCACTGCCCTGCACCTCCTCATCTCTGCTCCCCACATCAGGCACAGTGCTCCTTGGCTGTCCTAGCTGTGGTTCAAACAGGCCCAGATGTGCCTCAGATGGCCCCTCTGGAAGGTACAGGCTATAAGCTTTGGCAGAGTCCACATGGCGCTAACTCTGCAGGCACACAGAGCACTAGAGCCATGGAGGTATGCCTATCTCCACCTAGATTTCACAGGATGCATCAGAGAGCCTTGGGTGCCAGGCAGAGAACTGCATTGGGGTGGGGCTGCTGCAGAGGTCGCCTACTAGGGCAATGCCCAGTGGAGCCATGGGGTCAGGGTCACCACAGAGAACCCCACAGTACAGCAGTGTCTAGTGGAGCCATGGGAATGGGGTCACCCCTGAGACACCAAACCTGTAGACCCACCAACATGCAACTCTAGCCTGGGAGAGCCACAGGCACAAGACTCTAACCATTGAGAACTGCCATGTGAGCTGTGCCCAGTGAGGCCATGGAGGCAGAGTCCCTGGAGCCTTGGTGATCCAACCCCAGCCCAGTGTATCTGAAAGGCAGGACATGTAGTTGAAGATTATTCTAAAGCCTCAAGATTTAATGCTGTTTGCCTTGGTGGGTTTTTGAGTTATTTGAGACCTGTTGTCCATTTCTTCTTTTCTGTTGCTCCCTTTTGAAACGGGAATGTCTATCCTATGCCTGCCCTACCTTTGTATATTGGAAGCACATAACTTGTTGGATGTCACAAGTTCACAGCTGGAGGAGGAATTTGTCTCAGGATGAATTGTGCCTAGAATCTTACCCATATCTGATTTAAATAATATATAGATGAGACTTTGGACTTAGACCTTAAGATTGATGCTGGAACAAGACATTTGTGGCTATGGGATGGAATTAATGTATTTTGTATGTGAGTAGGACATGAATTTTGGTAGATCATGGGTAGAATGCTACAGTTTGGATGTGTTCCCTCCAAAATTCATGTTGAAACTTAATTCCCCTTGTGGTGATACCAAGAGGTGGAGCCTTTGGAAAGTGATTAAGTCATGAGGGCTCCACCCTCATGGATGAATTAGTGCCTTATAAAAGGGCTGGAAGAAACTAGCTTAGGCCTTTTTTTCCTTTCTCTCCCTTTTTCCATGTGAGGACTCAGACTTTATCCCCTCTAGAGGATACAGTGACAAGGAAGCAGAGAGACAGGGCCCTCAACAGACACTGAACATGCTGGCACCTTGATCTTGGACTTACAGCCTCCAAAATTATGAGGAATAAAATTTCTGATCTTTATAAATTACCCAGTTTAAGGTATTTTGTTATAGCGCACAAATGGACTAAGGCATTCTAGTAACAGGAAAGGATGAAAAGATAGGGAGTTGTTCTGGACTCTAGTTTGTTTATCCAGTTCTAGGATGCCTGGTTGACCCAGCTGCTGTTCTTGAAAATCTGATCTAACTCCTAAGAAGACAAGGAGGGCCTCAGGGGATCAGAATAGTGGACTGCAGCAGGGAATTTACTGGAAATCAACATGGCTTTAGGCCTCTTACTTTCAGCCTTCAGAATCTAATCAACTTCATCTATGGATAAAATGTACAAATTTAACCATTTTGCTGGAAACTATCTTAATGCAAGATCACATCAATGATTGAAAATGATTTTATCTAGGCAGCGTGTATTTTGATTTTACTCATGGATAACTAAGAACTCTAAAAATGTTAGAATGAAACATAGAATAGCAGATGATTTGAGATTCTCCTTCCTACTACAAATTGAATGGGCAAAAAAGGCTTATAAAACCATAATAATATATGTGAATAATGAAACAAAGTAGAAATGGCTAAATAGTATACCCTTATTTATTTATACTGAAATTATGATTTTTATATCAAAGTAGCTATTTACTTATGTAGTCCTAGAGTTAAAAACAAAGACCCTCCTCTATCTCAGGCTCTCGGGTGATTTTACTGACCTCATTGCATAAAGAGAAATCTTGATAATTAAGGCTTTCAATGTCTCCAGCCTAGTTCCAAATTGGAACATTCGAACAGGCTTATATAAACCAGAAATGGGATAACCACATACTTTACTGTCCAAGATGTGATAGGTTTTAGAGAGAAAGTGGGCACTAACCAGGTGGCACATGAGGAAAAGTGGCATAAACTAGTGCCATCCCAGGCAAACCAATGTTTATGATTCTCCACATCTAGCTAGAGATAAATTCCTTCTCCTATCTCAGCTTTTCACAGATATTTCCCAATTTCAGCCCTGTCCCACCCCCATGGCGCTAAGGTAGTATTGAGAGAGAAGTCCCTCTTTCACTTCTACCTTAGTTTTCCCCCTAATTCAAAGAGGCTGGCTTTATCTTGTCTTTAAGAGATTTCTTTATTAGTAAAATTCAGCTCCGCCTACATGTCCAACATCAATAAGTCAAATGACTATCAGAGTTACTTATATCATATCTGTCAACCAGGGACAAGATCAAAGACATTCAAAGACTAAAGACAAAAGGGATTGTAGGTTACTGCCTGATGACTCTATTTAAAATGTGGTGGGATAATGTCTATGAAGTATTAATGGATTATCTTTCTTTGACACCTTCTCATCTTTTAGCACTTCCCTTCTTTGATTGCCTCAGGGAAGGGTTGTTACAGAAGAATGCAGATTTAAAAAGAGTGTCTTCCTAGCTTTTAAGTTTCAAAACCTAGGCCCTTAAGGAAACTGAAAAGACTTAGGGCAATTTTTTTTAAAAAAAGAAGAAAAGATAGGATAAGAACGAGGTTTCAGGCCTGAAGGGTGAAAGAAGAGTCAAGGTGATGCAAGGAGAGCTTCGATGCTTGGGGTCCTTGAGAAAAGGGCATCTTGGCTTCCTCACCCCATCCTTCAGGTTGAGTTGCGACCCAAGGGAGTCTGCAGAAACCCTGGCTAGGTTTAGGAGATCCAAGAACACAGATAACGTCCTGCAGGTGGCAAGACCCTGGAGAAGAACCGACATCTTAGACGGCTTTACCCACATGTCAGGGCGGTACAGAAACCATGGAATCACTTCTATGTGTCCAAGAAGGGACAGAAATGAAGACCTGCCCCACGTATCATGGGAGCACCTGAGTGAGAAGCAGAACAATCGCTGCATTCCCAAGAGGGGGGTGCTGAACCTAAAGGAGTTTTATGAATGAGTTTGAGAGGTGACCTGAGGACAGCCTGAGTGGAACATGGCTGAGGACCCAATGAGGCAATAGTAGCCCCAGGGGATGTCAGCTTGGCCAGATGACACCAAAGACCTAATGTCCAGGCCCAACCTCAAACCCTGGCACTCCTAGAACATAGGTAAGCTCATGGGAAAATGGAAGGAAGACCCCAATTTAACTGAAATTGTGTTCCTGCCATCCAAGAGGAAGGCTCAAAACAGAATTTAAGTTGAGCTACAGAAAAAGAAGGACATTTATAGTTCTTCTACATCTGTGTTTGTGGATGAGATTTGAACCCAGTACACAGAGACAAGGACATGCAGGATGACAGAATCATAGTGCAACCTACTGAAAAAGAACAGTGGGGAAAGAATATCCACGAGAATAGCTTTGAATCCAGACTCCTCCACTCACTCAGGGAATTCAAAAAGCTCCTCTGTGCCTCCATTCTTTTAAAAGCCACCTTAATACACTTACCAAGTCCTTCCAATTCCATTTCCTTGACACCTTCCCCTTCCTTTCATCTCCACTGTGCCACTGACTTAGCGCCGGCCCTTCTCATTCCTCTTTTGCACTAGCGTATTAATAATAATAATAACAACAGGTTAACATTTATTTGGGCCTCATTATGTGGGAGATATTGTGCTGTTTATTGTATTCTATTAACTCTTTTAATTTTCACATCAATCCTAACAGGTAGGTAGTATTTTTATCTTCCTTTCACAGATGAGAAAACTGAGTCACAAAAAAAGTTAAATTGTCCATGACCATACTGCCAGAAAATGGTGAAGCCAGAAAACCTGGGCTGGGCTGTGCATCTCTGGAATTCATACTTTAAACAGCTATACTCTACTGCCTCTTTTTAGTTTCCTGACTCTTCCTGCATCCTGGGTCACTCCCTTCCACACTATTACCTAAATAATCCTTCTAAACCATAAGTCTGAACACAGCATACCTTTCATAAAATCCTTCAATGGCTCCCCATCACTTTTAGCCTAAAATTTAAACTTCTTGGAATGGTGCAGAAGAGCAGGTGTGATTCAGCTCCTGCCTACTTGTTCGGTCCTATTCCACAGGCATATTTTTCCCCCAGCAGTATAAAACTAGTGGCAGTTATTCTCCTGCCCTAAATGAATGGGTAGGACACTGCACAACACACACACACACACACACACACACACTCTCTCTCTCTTTCACCCCGATTCCCACTCATTACTTTTAAGAGTCCACTTAACGTTCATCCTGGTTTTAGAAGCAGTTTTTTTAGCACCCTATCCTAAAATATATTCTATTAAATTCTAATTAATAGCTTTCTTGTTTGATCAGGGTTTTTGGGTCTGTCTTCCTCACTACACTGTGAGCATCCTAAAGTCAGGGCTATATTTGAATACTGTTTGTTTGGGGCCTGAAACGTAGCAGGCACCTTGTAGAATTGCCAAATAAAATAATCGATCAAAATACCTTTCATGGGCTGGGTGCGGTGGCTCACGCCTGTATTCCCAGCACTTTGAGAGGCCGAGGCAGGTGGATCATGAGGTCAGGAGTTCAACACTAGCCTCTGGCCAAGATGGTGAAACCCAATCTCCACTAAAAATACAAATATTAGCCAGGTGTGGTGGCAGGTGCCTGTAATCCCAGCTACTCGGGAGGCTGAGGCAGGAGAATCACTTGAACCCAGGAGGTGGAGCTTGCAGTGAGCCAAGATAACACCACTGCACTCCAGCCTGGGTGACAGAGCCAAACTCTGTCTCAAAAAAAAAAATATTTCATATCTTTTTTGCCTGTTTCAACAATAATTTCATATTCATAAGTATAAATTGGCATCTGCTAAATGCCAGACAGTTTGATGTAGACTTTTTTTTTTTTGAAATGGAGTTTCACTCTTGTCGCCCAGGCTGGAGTGCAGTGGTGTTATCTCAGCTCACTGCAAACTCCGCCTCCTGGGTTCAAGTAATTCTCCTACCTCAGCCTCCCAAGTAGCTGGGATTATAGGCGCTTGCCACCATACCCGCCTAATTTTTGTATTTTTAGTAGAGATGGGGTTTCACCATGTTGGCCAGGCTGGTCTAGAACCCCTGACCTCAGGTGATCCACCTGCCTCAGCCTCCCAAAGTGCTGGGATTACAGATGTGAGCCACCACACCTGGCCTTTTTTTTTTTTTTTTTTTTTGAGATAGGGTCTCACTCTGTCACCCAGGTTGCAGTGCAGTGGCGCCCACAGCTTACTGAAGCCTCGACCTCCACAGGGCTCAGGTGATCCTCCCACCTCAGCCTCCCAAGTAGCTGGAACTACAGGCATGCACCACAAGGCCCAGCTAATTTTTGTAGAGATGGGGTTTCATCGTATTGCCCAGGCTTGGTCTCACGCTCCTGGGCTCAAGTGATCTGCTCACCTTAGCCTCCTAAAGTGCTGGGATTACAGGCGTGAGCCACTATGCCCAGCCTATATAGACTTTTAAATGCAGTTCTCCTAGCAATATTGTAAGATACACATTATCATTCCAGTTTTAAAGATAAAGAAAACTAAAGCTGAGAGTGCGTGAGAATAAAACAAGATAATAAATTAACTTGCAGGGTTTTTTGAAAATGAAAGATAATATAAATAAGTACAAGTACTGAATCCCTAACACAGCAATAACTAACAGGTGATCCTTACAATTATTGATCAGTGATAAGTGCCAGGGTTTATTAGTGTCTCCTAACTATATGTCAGTTCTGGTCCAGGTGCACCACAGCTGCTCATAATTTTAAACCAATGACTTGTCTTCTTTTCCTAGAAGAAGACAATTACTTCCTTTCTTCAATGTTCGTTCTAATCCTTGGTGCAATCCCTCGATTCCCACAAAATCCATGCTTCTAATTTCTGGAGGTCATTTCACAAAATGAGATATAACTCTCCTCTGGGACTTCCTGACCCCACTTTGGGGAATACATTCTTACATTTTTCCCAGCATTGTAAAAGAATTTCCTTCCTGGCCTTAAGGAACTGAATGTTGCCCATTTATTGTCATTTTTAGAGTTGATGGGTTGCAGCCTTGCCTGAGCACAGTCAAGCTAGCACAGCTATTGAGGCCTGTGAAAGACCAGATGATTCTACTCAAATGAACCAAGCAAGACTCCCTCAAACTCAATTTCATGTTCCAGCTTTTCTCAACTGTCACCTGGAAATGCTCATGCTCTCTGATGCTAATAAAGTACCATAAAATATTTGCTTCCCTCTGTGGGGTGGGGCTTCCATTGCCCAACACAAATAGGCAGTCCTTCCTAGGGTGCTGGTCCCACCTATGCCCCACCTTGACTACACACTCCCCCTCCTGGCACTTATGTGACTCCTCGGGGATTTCAGTTGTGAAGGAAGACACAGAGAGGAAAGCAGAGTGAAAAGAAAAGCCAGGAGAGGGTCTGAGACAAGTTCATACTTGCTCAGAAAAGAAGACCTAAATAATAGAGTAGGAATGGACTTTGGAGACCATCTAGTTCACTGGTGAGTAAACTTCTTTACATGTGGGCCAATTCAGGAAACATGAAAATGCTTACAGATGTGGCAGGAATGGATATTTGCAATTTAATGAACATTTTTTATGCCACATTTCCTCATACCCTACAACTGTCCTCTTTATTCTGGCAGTGGATGGAACATGAAGCATGCATTGCCTCAAAGAAAAGCTAACACAACAGGCTGAAGATCGTAATTCTCAGCTTAGGAATTTCAAAAGACTAGGCCTAGGCTTAACAATAATATTGTATCAAACTAAGCATTTTACATGCATTATCTTATTTAATCCTCACAATAATCGTATTAGATGGTGTGATAGACAGAATAATGGCCCCCAGAGATATCCATATCCTAATTCTAAAACCTGTGAATATATTACCTTATATTGCAAAAGAAGTTTTGCAGGTGTGGTTAAATCAAGGAGCTTGAGTTGGGGAAACTTGCCTGCATTATCCAAGCTAGGTCCAATGTAATCACAAGAGAAGAGCCAGAGTGAGAAAAAGAGATATGATGACTGATGATGGCCTCAGAGTGTGCACAAATGCTCGATTTCAAGATGCTCTGCTACTGGCTTTGGAGGTAGAGGAAGGAATCACAAGCCAACGAATGCAGGTGGCCTCTAGAAGCTGGAAAAGGCGAATAAACAGATCCTCCTCTAGAGGCTTCAGAAGGAACAGTCTTACCAACATTGAGGACTCTGTGACTTCCAGAACTGTAAGATAAATTTGTGTTGTTTTGAGCCACCAGTTTTGTGGTAATTTGTTAGAGCAGCAATAGAAAACTGGCTGGGCACGGTGGCTCACACCTGTAATCCCAGCACTTTGGAAGGCCAAGGATCACCTGAGGTCAGGAGTTCGAAACCAGCCTGGCCAGTGAAACCCCGCCTTTACTAAACATACAAAATTTAGCCAGGCATGACGGCACACCCCTGTAGTCCCAGCTACTTGGGAGGCTGAGGCAGGAGAATCACTTGAATCTGGGAAGAGGAGGTTGCAGTGAGCTGAGCTTGTGCTACAGCATCCAGCCTGGGTGACAGAGCCAGACTCCATCTCAAAAAACAAAAACAAAAACAAAACAAAAAAACTAATACAGGTGGGTGCTGTTATTGGCCCCATTTTACATATAATAAAACTGAGGCCCACTGTATTATGCAGCTTTGCTATTGTCATAGAACATAAGTGTGGCAGCCTGAGTGATTACTCACTACACTGTATTGCTCTGTCACATAAAGCGAGAGATTCAGAGGAATGAGTAAAAAGGTTATTCTGGGACCAGGAGGAAGAAAAGTTGGAACCGAAGAGTTCTAGATGGAAGTATAGTCTGAGAAGAGGGGCCAGGAACCCCTCTTCCAAGCCAAGAAATAGGAAAGGGAGGGAGGGAACAGGAGAAATCTAAGGCAAATAGGTTCAGAGATTTAGGAGCAAGGGGTGCCTATGGTCTCCTTTCTCAAGGAGAAACCAGGTTAGTGACCAGACCCTTTGGGGGCAGAAGAATCAGCTGTGTAGTGTCTAGACTAGTGGTCCTGAGACAGGTTTACTGAGTTTCCCTGCTCTCCAAGGTGTCAGAGGAAGCTGCATATTGTCTTTTTGTACCCCAAAGTGACATAGTTGTGGAAACAAAGAGCTATTGGACCTAAAGAGACCCTGTGGATGGGAACAAAGAATGACTCATAGGGTCTTGCCTGGGCTACTGGCCAAGGGCAGAATGGGAGGCTGCGCTTCTCGGTGGATGCCAGCATGTGTAGATGATAAGCAAAGACCAGATGTTACCACCTGCACATATGCACACAGACAGGCACATCTTGATAAGTCAGCAAATCTTGGTCCCATGAACTTAGATGCAACCTTATGGAAGAGATGGAATTATAGAAAGTGGATGGGTTTGGAGGGAAGACCTTAACAGCCAGATGTTAATAGAAAAGTCACTTGATTTGTAAACTTTTGGTTGCTAATCATTGATCAAGTTCAAACCTTTCATTTTTAAGACTGAAGAAACTGAGACCCACTGTTTTAAGTAACTTTAGAGTACAACACTGAACATTTTTTAAATTATAGGATAGGGAATTAAGTCCATGTCCTCTGATGCCACAAGACCAGTGCTTTCTATTTCCTCCCTGGCCCTGTCACTTACTTACTCAACATCTATTGAGAGACGACTGGCATCAAGTATTGGGGATTAAAAGGGGAATTCCAGCCGGGCACAGTGGCTCATGCCTGTAATCCCAGCACTTTGGGAGGCCAAAGTGGGTGGATCACCTGAAGTCAGAGTTCAAGACCAGTCTGGTCAATATGGTGAAACCCCATCTCTACTAAAAATACAAAAATTAGCCAGACATGGTAGTGCATGCCTGTAATCCCAGCTACTCGGGAGGCTGACGCAGGAGAATCACTTGAACTCAGGAGGCAGAGGTTGCAGTGAGCTGAGATAACACCACTGCCCTCCAGCCTGGACGACACAGTGAGATTCTGTCTCAAAATAATAATAGTAATAATAATAATAAAAGGAGAATTCCTTCTGGGAGCTTCCACTCCTTTATGTCAGGGGTCTCCATGACTAAATGTGATCCATTTGATCCTGAGAGCTGTTGTTACTACTGAGTAAACATGATCCACAAAGATGGGTCCCCAGCAGTACCCTCATTGTCCTTGTAACTTGCATAGCGCTTTCTTGGAGAGCATGGGTGATCCCTTAAGGCCTGACCTACCCTCCTCACAAACTGTTACCCTAAGCAAGTAGCCACTGGCTTCTTTTCACAGCTTTTCATTTATAAATAATTTTTTTCTTTTAAAAAAATTAACTGTTTACATGGTTTTAATGTAAGTTTTGGAAAATGAAGATAAGAATTTTTAAAAATTATCAGTAATCTCATCTTCTAGAAAGAACCACTATTATTAGTAATATTTTCTTCCTTGCCTTCAATATACATACACACAGAGTTCCACACAATTGGAAATCAGAAACATTATTTAAATAGTTTGTTTTAATTTTCACTTATTCTTTTGAATAGAAAAATATGATTATGTGGAACAAGATTCAAACATGCATACAATCAAAGGTAAATTTTCCTTTCTACTCTATTTTCTGCTACCCAGTACCCTTTCCAGAAGCAATCCTGTTATATCAGAGAAATAGAAAAAAACCATTGTAAAATTTATATGGAACCACAAAAGACCCAGAATAGCCAAAGCTATCCTAAGCAAAAATAACAAAACTGGAGGAATCACATTATCTGACTTCAAATTATAGTACAGAGCTATAGTAACCAAAACATCATGGTACTGGCATAAAAACAGACACATAGACCAGGCCGGTATGCAGTAGTGACATCACGGCTCACTGCAGCCTCAATCTCCCTGGCTCAAAGCCATCCTCCTGCCTCAGCCCCCCAAGTAGCTAGGATTACAGGGAAATGCCACCACGCTGGACTAGTTTTTGTATGTTTTTGTAAAGACAGTGTTTTACCGTGTTGCCCAAGCTGGTCTCAGACTCCTGGACCCAACAATCCACCTATTTCAGCCTTCCAAAATGTTGGAATTACAGGGGTGAGCCACCACACCCATTCACTCTTAAAGATTAATTATTTTGTTCCTGTGGGTGGGTCAGTTCAACATACTGATCTCACCAATATGTTACTATGCAAAGATTTTTGCAGAAAAAGATATGCTACATGGATATAAATTATTCTTTCTACCCCTAGGTAATATAATTACTTTTTTTTAATTTTAAAAGGAAAATATTTGAAGCAATTTATTTTAAATCACAACAGTTCACCTAAATGATCAGAAACAAAGTGGGATATTCTTAATATGCTGCCAAGCTGGGCTGTCAGTGGACCAGGTGGGCTGAGCCTGCAGTTTGTCTTTAACACTTGAAACAGGTTGGAAAGGGCAGAAATAGAGAAGCATTGGCATAAAGTTACCCCTCCTGTGTGGTTGACTTGAGATGTGAACATGGGCTTTCTAATTTCAAGCCAAGGCTTTTTCCCACTTCTTTCAGACATTGTGATGTAATGAAAAGAGCAAACCTCTAGGATTTGGGGAAATGGGATGGGGAGGAATATACAAGCAGATGTAAATTGTTAAGGTTCTGGTTTTTGAGCTATCTTGAGTGATAGGTTTGTGGGTGGTTGCAGTGAACCACCAGTTGCAGTAAAAACAACAAAAATAGATAATGTACAGCCTAGTGATAACGGTGTGTCTATGAATCAATTATAATTAAATTTGGTGCAATGAAGGTACAGTTTTTTAAAATTCTGGCACTGTACCTGATAGCTATATGATATTAGGCAAGACACGTAACCCTTCTGAACTGTATTTTTGTAAATACATATTTTGTAAATCTGTTTTACTCTGCCTAATAGGATTACTGGAATATTTTTCTTTAAAAGGTGTGTTTAAAAAACAAAGCACAAGCCGGGTGTGGTGGCTCATGCCTGTAATCCCAGCACTTTGGGAGGCTGAAGTGGGCGGATCACCTGAAGTCAGGAGTTCGAGACCAGGCTGGCCAACCTGGTGAGACCCCGTCTCTACTAAAAATACAAAAAAACTAGCCAGCCGTGATGGTGCACATCTGTAATCCCAGCTACTTGGGAGGCTTAGGCAGGAGAATCGCTTGAACCCAGGAGGCAGAGGTTGCAGTGAGCCAAGATTGTGCCACTGCACTACAGCCTGGGCGACAGAGTGAGACTCAAAACAAAACAAAAACAAAACAAAACAAAACAAACGCACACACACACACAAAACAAAGCACAGTGTCTGGTTCATAACTAGGCATAGGTGTTTTCTTGCTTCTTTTTCATATTATCTGCTTCCTGGATTGTCTGCATAAAACCTCTTTTTCTCAATTATAACAAGTTGTTTTTCATCACTTGACTGCTTGAATATTTTGAATATTTTTTCTTGTTGTTGAGATTTTACTTCAACCCCCAGGAATAATTTGCTAAAATCTCTTTAATATACTCAGATTTTTGTGCTCTATATATTTAAATGGAGAGGAAGAAATGGGAAGAGAACCATAGTGAGTTGAATGGTACCCAAAAAATATATGTCCAGGCCGTCAACCCTGCAACTTGAAAATGTGACCTTATTTGGAAAAGGGTCTTTGCAGATGTTACTAAGCCTAGGATCTCAAGATAAGATCATTCTGAATTGCCTGGGTGGGCCCTAAATCCAATGACAAATGTCTTTATAAGAGATACACAGAGTAGAGACAGTGAGAGAAAAGGAGGGGCCACGTGAAAATGGAGGCAGAGACTGGAGTTATGCTGCCACAAGGCAAGAAATACCTGGAGCCCCCAGAAGCTGTGGAAGAGGCAAGAAAGGATTCCCCCTAGAGTCTTCAAAGGGAGCGCAGTTCTGCCAACACCTTGAGTTTGGACTTTTGGCCTCTAGAACTGTGAGAAAATACATTTCTATTGTTGTAATCCACCAAATTTGTGGTCATTTGTTATGGAAACCACAGGAAACTAACATAGAAACTAACATTTATTGGATCCTAGCACTCTTCTAGGAGCTTCAAACATGTTGTTTCATTTAGCCCTCAGAAGTACTTGGTAAGGCAGTATTAATTAGATGCTCATCTTTAGATGAGAAACTTACCCACCCTCACTAGGTTAATGAGTGGTAGAGCTGAGATTAAAACTAAACTAAATTAGTCTGATCATAAAGTTCATATGAGCTATCTACTGTAATGTGTTACCTGCCAAATAAATTATGTCTCTTTCTTTTTTTTTTTTAGACAGAGTAGTGCTCTGTCACCCAGGCTGGAGTGCAGTGGCACGATCTCAGCTCACTACAACCTCTGCCTCCTGGGTTCAAGCAATTCTGCTGCCTCAGCCTCCCGAGTAGCTGGGATTACAGGTGCGCACCACCACACCTGGCTAATTTTTGTATTTTTAGTAGAGATGGAGTTTCACCATTTTGGCCATGTTGGTCTAAAACTCCCGACCTCAGGTGATCCACCTGCCTCCGCATCCCAAAGTGCTGGGATTACAAGCATGAGCCACCATGCCTGGCCAAATTATGGCTCTTTATAGAGAATGTGACATTGGAAAAAGTCAAGAGATCTTCTTTTATCCATAAAGGTAAAATAATTTCACCATATAAGTGCTCATAAATATTTACTGTCTGCTTGATATGGACAGGAGGGTTTAAGTAGTGTTTAGTCTATTTTCTATTGCTATAACAGAATACCACAGACTGGATAATTTATAAAGAAAGGTTTATTAAGCTCATGGTTCTAGAAGCTGGGAAGTTCAAGAGCATGGTGCTCACATCTTGTGATGGCCTTTCTGTACAACATCACATGGCAGATAGGCAGAAGGGCAAGACAGCACATGTGAGAGAGAGTTCACTTTTATAAAGAAGTCTTACTGTGATAACTAACCTACTTCCATGATAATAGCATTAATCCATTTAGGAAGGTGGAGCCCCCATGACCTAATCGTTTCTTAAAGGCCCCACCTCTTAATAATGTTACAATGGCAATTAGATTTCAAGATGAGTTTTGAAGGGAATATTCAAACCACAGCAAGTAGAAAAAAAATAGCAATATCCCTAACAAATATACCATGGAGTGCTATATTATTGGGTGAAATTCAGCCCCGATATTTTACATAGGTTCTATTCTATTTTCCCTAAGTGTCAGCCAGTCTGAGAAATAAAGGGACAGAGAAAGAAAGAGAGAAATTTTAAAGCTGGGTGTCCAGGGGAGACATCACATGTCAGCAGTTTCCGTGATGCCCCCCCGAGCCATAAAACCAGCAAGTTTTTATTAGTGATTTTCAAAAGGGGAGGGATTGTACGAATAGGGCGTGGGTCACAGAGATCACATACTTCACAAGGTAATAGAATATCACAAGGCAAATGGAGGCAGGGCGAGATCACAGGACCACAGGACTAGGGCGAAATTAAAATTGCTAATGAAGTTTCGGGCATGCATTGTCATTGATAACATCTTATCAGGAGACAGGGTTTGAGAGCAGACAAGCGGTCTGACCAAAATTTATTAGACGGGAATTTCCTCATCCTAATAAGTCTGGGAGCACTGCAGGAGACTGGGGCTTATTTCATCCCTACAGCTGTGACCGTAAAAGATAGCTGCCCCCAAAGTGGCCATTTTAGAGGCCTCCCCTCAGGGACGTATTCTCTTTCTCAGTGATGTTCCTTGCTGAGAAAAAGAATTCAGTGATATTTCTCCCATTTGCTTTTGAAACAAGAGAAATATGGCTCTGTTCCACCCCACTCACCGGCAGTCAGAGTTTAAGGTTATCTCCCTTGTTCCCTGAACATTGCTGTTATCCTGTTCTTTTTTCAGGGTGCCCAGATTTCATACTGTTCAAACGCACATGCTCTACAAACAATTTGTGCAGTTGACACAATCATCACAGGGTCCTGAGGCGACATACATCCTCCTCAGTTTATGAAGATGATGGGATTAAGAGACTAAAGTAAAGACAGGCATAGGAAATCACAAGGGTATTGATTGGGGAAGTGATAAGCGTCCATGAAATCTTCACAATTTATGTTCAGAGACTGCAGTAAAGACAAGCATAAGAAATTATAAAAGTGTTAATTTGGGGAACTAATAAATGTCCATGAAATCTTCACAATTTATGTTCTTCTGCCATGGCTTCAGCCGGTCTCTCCGTTTGGGGTCCCTGACTTCCCGCAACAGTATATTTCAATATTGGTATTTACATTTCTTTTTTCTCTTTATCTTTTCTTGTAGATGACTTTAGTCTTTTGTGTTTTCCTTTAATAATCTATTCAACAAATATCTTTTTAAGTATCTATCATATGCCAGGTATTGTGCTAGACAACAGTGAAAAATGAACAAGATATTATTCCTTTCTTCAAGTTACTCCAAAAGTAAAATTATTTACAGCCTATAGATAGTATAGAATAGGTAATTTGAATACTTTTATCAGTGAGACAAAGTTGCTAAAACTTACATATCTTCTTTTCTTTACTGCCACTCAAAAACTAAAAATTCCCCACCTTTGTGTCAAACATAAATCTCTATAAACTCAATTTTATACAATATGCTTGAGACAAGTTGGCAGTATGACATAAGTACATGTAGTTAATCATGACAACAGTATGGAGAATGGATGAGAGTCAAGACAGTCCCATAGAACTTCTACATCTTTTCACAGTTTAGGATAGCTCAGATTATGGTGTGAATTCTCCACACCTGGAAACAAGAGGCTCTGCAAAGACTATCTAATTAAGCAAGGTGACCAGTGTCAAAAGATGAAACGTCTCTATTACTTAAACCAGTTAAACATCACTAGTATTGAACACTTCTTGTGCATCCTGGAAGATGATTCCCTATTGATCTCTCACATTTATGCATGTCTTCCGAGTAGCTTTTGTTCCAGACTATCTTTTTGAAGGTGTTTGTATAGCAGACAGCTTTGGAAAAATAAGATAATATATCTCTCCGAGAAACACCCAAGAATGATCAATAAATACTAAAAAAAAAAAAAAAAAAAAAAAGATAATATATCTCTCTGCCTTGGAGGACAGATTTTTTTGCTGGCCAGTTGTCTTAGTCTGCTTGTGCTGCTATAACAGAATACCACAAACTGGGTAACTTATAAGGAACAGAAATTTCTCTCAGTTCTAGAGGCTGAAAGTTTATGATCAAGAAAGGCACCAACCTTAGGTGTCTGGTGAGGGTTTCACCTTCCAGAGAGGAAGGATGCAGTGTTTTCACATGACATAACGTGGAAGGGCAAAAGGGACAAGCTCTCTAATCAGACCCTTTTATCAGGGTACCTAATCCCATTCATGAGAGAGGAGCCCTCATGACCTAATCACCTCTTAATGGCCTCACCTCCTAATAATATCACATTGGCAATACCTGAATTTTGTAGGGGACACATTCAAACCATAGCACCAGCAAAATGAAGGCCAAGTTTCTACCAGGGAAAAGGCTAGGCAGTTTTGCTGGGGGCTGTCATACAAAAGATTGAGGATTGTTAAGCTTGGAATATCTCAGGTATTCCTCACGCTGTATGTGCCACATCCACTTGGACTCCCCTCTGTGTTGTCCTAGTGGAAGTTGGAGGAAAGAGGTGCTAACATGAACATGAAATTCAGGCTGCCTGCTGTATCGTATGGAATAAAGTCTTTGTCTGATTCAGCAGTCTCATGCCTTCTGCCAGTGCCCATGAAACTGTGACAGGCAAACTTGTTAGCTTGCAAGTAGGGTAAAATTCAAACCCTTCCCAGCTCTGGACAGTGCACCACTTCAATCCTACCAGCCAGACCTCTCACTTCAGCCACTGCTGCTGCTGCTTGTTTCCTGTAGACCTCAACTAAGTTTGTGCAGAAGTGATTCGATAGTATTCTTGCTTCAACCTGTGAAGTGTTCCTCTAGCTGTCTGCCCTGGGGAACCTCTGGCACCCCTATATAGAACACCCATAGGAACCCACTCAGCATTCTGGCAAGGGAGAGGGAGTTGACCCATGAGGGACAGACACTAATGGATAAATATTTGCTTCCCCTTTTAAACTGAGGTGAAAAATTCTACAATACATTTCAAAAGCCTCCTCAGAAGACACTGCAGCATTGTGTGCCAGTCATCCACAGGAGTGGCTAAACCCTTAATATTTAATACATACTCATCTTGGCTTCTCCTCCTTCCTGTTTTGTATGCCTGCTCCCTGGAATCACATTGTTTAATAAATGTTGCTGGGCTTTGGGGGAACCCAGACAGACACTATCTTATATGTCCTAGCTTTAGCAATTCATATTTTAGTGTAAGTTAACATTCTGAATGCTTGAAGAGTTATTACTGCATCAGTGCCGGATGTACCAAAACTGAATAGTACCAAAAGTCTGGGATGTTGAGTTTTGACAGAATCCCAAAACATCTCAGGTGCTTTAAGAAGAATGTTTAGTCCCTATGTTATAGGAGGTTCTTGTATTGCTATAAAGGAATACCTGAGACTTGGTAATTTATAAAGAAAAGAAGTTTAATTGGTTCACAGTTCTGCAGGCTGTACAAGTGTGGTGCCAGCATCTGCTCAGCTTCTGGGGAGGCCTCAGGGAGCTTTTACTCATGGTGGAAGGCGAAACAGGAGCAGGCATGTCACGTGGCAAAAGCAGGAGCAAGCGAGAGCCAGAGGAAAGATGCTGCACACTTGTAAAGAGCCACATCTCTTGAGAACTCGCTATCACGAGGACAGCACCTAGGGGATGAGGCTAAACCATTCATGAGAAACCCACCCACATGATCCAATCACCTCCCACCAAGCCCCACTTCTAACACTGGGGATTACAATTCCACATGACACTTAGAGGGGACAACATCCAAACTATATCAGTCCCTATTATCAGTCCTATATTAATTTCTTTCATAGGACTTCCTAACCTCATATTGAAAAAGGTCAAATATAAAATCATAACCACAAAATGGCACGAAAGAGGGAAGTGGGCATATCACGTGATCACATTCATTTCTAAAACTGTCTATTCAAGGTTTACAAGAAAAAAGAAATTTTGGAATGCTTGTTGTTAGAGCAATTTTATGATAAAGTGCTCAATTTGTTCAAGGAAAATGTAAACTTTAAGAGAACTTATCCTTCACGTTTAATATTCATGGTAACTACTCATGAGTGAACTACAGTGGAAATGTGGTAGAAAGAACTCATTGGCCAGGGGTCTTGCTACAAGGAACTACCTTGTAAAGTTAACTTTCTTTGACAAGTTCCAGATGTGCTTCATACCAGAAATATTGAAACACAGGAACATAGTATAGATCACAGAGATGTGATTTCTTGCAATATAGAAGATGAGTGTTTAAATAATACTCATCTAAACACAGGATCTAAAAATCGAATATAATTTTGTCTGCTTACAGGATCTAAAAATTGAATATAATTGTGTTTTTAATTTTTATTTTTATTGGTAAGACTGCTATTTATTTGGGGTGATATGCTTATACATCACATGCTAGGAGACACTGTTCATTCTCATTCCTGGGCCTCTGTTTTCCCTTCTCTTTTATTTTTTGGTAGCCACATTCAGCCATTTTCTTAGCTATGTGATGGCTGGAAGAAACAGTGGCTATACATATATATATATATATATATATTTTTTTTTTTTTTTTTTTTTGAGACGGAGTCTCACTCTGTCACCCAGCCTGGAGTGCAACCTCGCCTCTCGGGTTCAAGTGATTCTCAGGCCTCAGCCTCCCCAGTAGCAGGGATTACAGGCTCTCACCACCATACCCAGCTAATTTTTGTATTTTTAGTAAAGACGGGGTTTTGATGTGTTGGCCAGGCTGGTCTCCAACTCCTGACCTGAAGTGATCCACCTGCTCTGGGTTCCCAAAATGCTGAGATTACAGATATCAGCCACCGCACCTGGCCAGCTATATATTCTTAAAACATACAGCTCACGATCTTCAGGGTGCTTAGAAGGCAAGGGATCCTTTTTAGCTCCCTACAGCATATTCTCTGAGATCACTGTTACCCTTTCTGAGAGATGACCACAAGGGGATATTTCTAGGTAGTGAGGATATAACCCTAGTTTTGTAGTACCCAGAGGACCTGCCAGCTTTCTAAAGAGGTGTCATAATTTGGAGCTCTAAATTTTGAGACATTTGTGGTACTCTAGCCTTTTCATGTGGCTAGAGAGAGAATAATGTACTAGAGAACATAAGTATCAACATAGAATTTGAACCATTCAGAAGGACTAGAATCATTGTTATTGAAGGATGTTGAAGAATTTTATTGACTTTACCACAACCCATTCCCAGCTACACAAGTGGCAGCAAGAAAAGACTCTGTGTGTCTTTCCCTTCACTTTAATAGAGGCACTGAGTATTGCTGGCTTCTCCTCCCTCCTCATGTCAAAATTAAATGCCAGTCACTGTCCATCCATGGTCATGCTGTTAACAAAGACTTCAGCAAAGAGACTCCTGCAATATTTCCTCCATCTCCTGCCTTGTGGAGGATCATGGGACAAGTGTATTTTTTCACATAGAAAGATTAAGCTGCTGCTCTCTTGTCAAGAAAAAGAAACTACCATTAGAAAGCACTAGTCACAATTCTGAGCTGTTGTAATTAACAAATACTAAGTAAATATTTGTGTGCTTTGTTTCTCCATATTAAACAACTGATGTATTGTATGGTAAAAATTTCTTCTGCACGCCTTAGTGACATTTGGTTTATTTGTATGTTGACTTCACAATGCAAGCTGCAATTATGACGCTCACAAGTTGGCAAACTTTTCGCATAAAGGGCCAGCTAGTAAATATTTTCGATTTTGTGGGCCACACATCTCTGTGGCAGCTACTCAACTCACCTCTGCCATTGTAGAGTGAAAGCAGCCATAGACAATACCAAACAAATGAGCATGGCTGTGTTCCAATAAAACTTTATTTATGAACACTAGAATTTGATTTTTATATAATTTTCATGTGTCCCAAATATTCTTTTATACATTTTTTTCAATAACTTAAAAGTGTAAAATCCATTCTTAGCTTGCAGTGTGTACAAAAACAGGTGACAGGCTGGATTTGTCCCACAGGGGATTTGGTCTATAGTTCTCAGACCACTGTGATGCTCCAAACTCAAACTTACGAGAGTCAAGTTTATCACTATATTTAAAGCTTCAAAGTTAATTGTGCCTATGCCTCCATTTAAAATTTATTTTAGGGTCAGGCATGGTGGCTCATGCCTGTAATCCCAGCACTTTGGGAGGCCAAGGTGGGCAGATCACCTGAGGTCAGGAGTTTGAGACCAACCTCGCCAACACAATGAAACCCCATCTCTACTAAAAATACAAACTTTGGCCGGGCATGGTGGCACATGCCTGTAGTCCCAGCTACTCAGGAGGCTGAGGCAGGAGAATCACTTGAACCTGGGAGACAGAGGTTGCAGTGACCTGAGACAGCACCACTGCACTCCAGCCTGGGAGACAGAGCGAGACTCCATCTCAAAAATAAAATAAAATAAAATAAATTTATGTTAGTATTTTGGAGAAGGGGCAGTGATGGATAGCCTAACTGGAAAATTCTTCTTTGGGATAAAATTTTATATTTAAAACTTGAAACTAAGCAGATAATTGTTCTAAATCTGAAAAACCACTAGCATTAAACCCCAATTAATATTGCTGTATTAAGTTATATCTTAGTAAATTGTCTTAAATAATGGACAGTCACAACTTTATGTTTTTAAAAAATCAATATTGGCTAATTACAATCTTATTCTGTAATTTTAAAACACATAAGAATATGAAAAGTTTTGTATAGTATTGATACATCGTTTTTAAAATGTGCTCTTAAGCATATTTCTTTTCCAGCAAAAAGGCACCAACACAAAGGGCCTGAACTTGAAATTTCTAGGGATTTTTCAAAATCTTAAATCATCTTCTTTAAAGATAACAAACAATTGGAAGTCAAGCCATTAAGATTTCATCATACTGGATATTTTTCCCATTAATAGCTGAACTGATATAATCAGCACATTTCAGAGTAGTACCAGATGCTAGCAAGTTTCAGTCCCTGGAGACGAAACTTGACATATCACAGTACTTGCTCCTTGACCTCCCAGTCCTAATAGTATTTGACTATATACTGGAGCCCTGGGAATGTACAGAAATCTCAATTTTCATAAGTTTGCATTTAAATTCTTAAAATATGAATTTGGTCCTGTGAGTCTCTCTGAATTTTAGTAATAATAACAGGATTTTTTTCTCCAGAGTGTTTGAAATCTGTATATCTTAGGAGGAAAATATGTGTTATTTGTTTTCTTTGCATGCTGTAATTACCTTTAGGTGCAACATATTTATTTCATACTATAAATACTTTTTCTCCCTTGGTAGATTTGCAGGTTTTTTTTTTACCAAGTTCCCATTCTTCACGTTTTTAGTTTTTGAAATTGGGTTGCAACTAGCCACAGGTACCACCAAAAAAAAAAAAAAGATAAATGAATAGATATAAAACAACACTAGATAGATAAATAATTATTATACTCAACTGTTTGGGTTCCTTTTAAAAAAATTGTCTTTAATCTACTCCTGAGAGATTTGTATCTCTTTAAACTGCTACAGGACAATAGGACAAAAATTAGTATCTTTTTTTCAATAATAGAGCATGAAGTTACCTGTACTTGAAAATTGAATTTCAAATTGAAGTCAGCCTGAGCAAGTTATTTGCTAGCCAAGTTGAAAAAACTTTAAAAAATATATAGTTGAGATCTCCTGGAAAACTGGATATCCACATGCAAACGAATAAAGTTGGGGCCAGGCACAGTGGCTCACACCTGTAATCCCAGGACTTTGGGAGGCCCAGGCGGGCAGATCACCTGAGGTCAGGAATTCGAGACCAGCCTGGCCAAAATGGTGAAACCCGTCCCTACTAAAAGTACAAAAATTAGCCGAGCGTGATGGCAGGCACCTGTAATCCCAGCTACTCAGGAGGCTGAGGCAGGAGAATCACTTGAGCCCGGAAGGCGGAGGTGACAGTGAGCCGAGGTCGTGCCACTGCACTCCAGCCTGGGTGAAAAGAGCGAGACTCCATCTCAAAAAAAAAAAAAAAAAAAAAAGAATGAAGTTGGACCCTTACCTAACACCATCTACAAATATTAACTCAAAATAGATCAAAGATCTAAACAAAGAGCTAAAACCATAAAACTCTTAGAAGAAAACAAAGGGCCAAATTTTCTCAACATTAGATTTGACAATGATTTCTTGAATGTGACACCAAAAGCACAGGCAACAAAAGGAAAAAATAGACAAACTGTACTTTATGAAAATTTAAGCTTTTGGGATTGTTTCCTTTGGGGAGTAAAAACAAAACAAAATCTTTGTGCATCAAAAGACACTATTAATAAAGTAAAAAGTCAACCCACACAATGGGAGAAAATATTGTCAAGTTATACATCTGATAAGGGATTAATACCCTGAATATAAAAGAACTCCTAAAATTCAACAATTAAAAAAATTCAAAAAATTGGAAAAAGCCTTTAATATACTTTTCTCCATAGAAGATATACAAATGGTCACAAACACATGAAAAGATGCTCAACATCAAAAATTACTTGGGAAATGCAAGTCATAACCACAGTGAGATTCCACCTCACATCCATTAGGATGGCCACCATTAAAAAAAAAAAGTGTTGGCAAAAATATGGGGAAATTAGAACTCTGTGCACTGTTGGTAGAAATGTAAAATGGTGCAGCTGCTGTGGAAAACAGTATGGTAGTTCATCAAAAGCTAAAAATAGAATTACCATATGATCTAGCAATTCCACCGCTAGGTACATACTCAAAAGAATCAAAAGGGTCTCCCATGTATACCAATGTTTATAGCAGCATTATTCACAATAGCTAAAACATGGAAGCAACCCAACTGTTCATGACAGATGAATGGATAAGCAAAATGTGATACAGTCATCCCTTGGTATCCATGGGGGATTGGTTACCAGACCCCTCACAGATACCAAAATTCACAGATCCTCAAGTCCCTTATATAAAATGGTGTAGTATTTTCACATAATCTATCCAATCCTCCCATATATTTTAAATCATTCTAGATTACTTATAATACCTAATACAATGTAAATGATATGTAAATAGTTGTTATACTGTATTGTTTAGGGAATTATGGCAAGAAAAAACATCTGTATATGTTCAGTCCAGATGCAAACATCTATAGTTCCCCCTGAATATTTTCAATCTCAGTTGGTTGAACCCACAGATGTGAAATCCACAGATACAGAGGTTGTAGATGCACACGATGCATCTACATACAATGGAATATTATGTAGTCTTAAACAGGAAGGAAATTCTGACATATGCTACAACACAGATGAACCTTGAGGACATTATGCTAAGTGAAATGCGCTTGCCACAAAATGACAAATCTGTATGATTCTGCCAGAGTTACTTAGAGTAGTCAAATTCATAGAAACAGAAAGTAGAATGGTAGTTGCCAGGGTCTGGGGGACTAGGGAATGAAGTTATTGTTCAATGGGTGTAGAGTTTCAGTTTTACCAGGTGAAAAGGGATCTGGAGATGGATGGTGGTGATGGTTGCACAACTACGTAAATGTATTAATACCACTGAACTGTAGTATGCTTAATGATGGTTAAGATGGTAAACTGTATGTTATGTGTATTTTACCACAATAAAAAGGAAAAAATATATAGTTGAGGTCTAATCCAAATGAAGACCTTTGTGTTCAAAGAATCCTAGATTCCAATTTCAGCTCTGCCACTTACTGGCTTGTTGTCATCGGTATTTACTTAATCTTTTTTTTTTTAAGACAGGATTGCTCTGCCTCCCAGGCTGGAGTGCAGCAGCCTGATGATCTCAGCTCACTGTAGCCTCGACCTCTCAGGCTCAGGTGATCCTCCCACCTTCACCTCCCAAGTAGCTGGGACTGGAGGTGTGCACCACCATGCCTGGCTAATTTTTGTATTTTTACTAGAGATGAGGTTTCGCCCTGTTACCCAGGCTGGTCTCAAACTCCTAGGCTCATGCAGTCCACCCACCTCAGCCTCCCAAAAGTGCTGGGATTACAGGAGTGAGCCACTGCGCCTGGCCAGTCTTTTCTAAAGCTAATATTTCTGATCTATAAAATAAGTCCAATAATTAAAGAATTAATAAGATAACACATAAAAAGATCTTACTACAGTGCCCAACTCAGTGCCTATGACAGTGTGCATCAAATGCATCCCCTTCCCTTACATTCATTATGTCAATAATTCAAATATATATCAAATGGGATCAAGAAGGAATTGCGGAGGTTTTCCCTTATAGCACTGCTATTGAACTTTTCTCATTTTTGTTTGGGATGCTTGGATGAGAGAGAAGTCTCCCAGTTTGGTTGCTAGAATTTATGTCCCTCAATGCCAGTACTATGTTCTTTTACCTCATTCAATGTCCATTTACCTCATTAAGTGGCCCAAAGTGTCCATTTCCCTCATTATTCTAATATAGGCCTAAACTTAGATATTATGTACTTACCTCAATTCCAGCTGTACCCTGAGGAAAGGGGTGGAGGGCAGAACAACTTATCCCAATTCCCTCTCAATAATTCACCAGGTTCTTATACAGAAACAGGCCTATTTTAGAGGAGCAGTGGGCCACAGAGAAAGTGCTGTCACCAGCTGGCTAGCTCTTGTTGTGAGCCCATACCTTGTGTGCAGGGAGTATCTATTCTATTTGTTCATACTCTCCCACTGTTGACTCCAAAGAAGAATACTCTGTTTTGGGTGTTTTTCTAAGGAGAGGTGTGTCTAGAGGAAAGTGCTATGTTAGTGACCCTTCTTGAACCATGACTTTGACTGCTACTGACTATCATCTTCAGGAGGAAGCCAAAAAATGGCAGAGTCAAGTCTCAATCCATCATCCAGACATGTAGGATATGCATGGAAGCCCTTCCTATGTTTAGAGCTCAGGCCATCCCTTCCCTAACCCCTCATCCAACAGGGACCCACTGCTCACTAATCCACCTCCTCCAAAAAGCTACATCAGAGAGAAAGGGATGTATTTTCATTGGCTAATTTGTTCCTATGATCCACTTGTTAGAATCACTGACCTGGTTATTATTACTTCAACTGCTTTCTCTTGCAAAGGAGACCACATTTGGTAATGCTACAAACAACATTCTTGTCAATCAGCAATGATGAGATCAGGGTTGCTACTTTTGCTTTCTTGTAAGCCTTGTACTTAATCAAACTAGGTGCTTAGTCTCTTTTTTTCATCTCTTAAGGAGAAATAAACACAGAATAGAAACGTCCTATATGCTGCATAAGGCCTCATGTAGAGGAGACTAAAAAAATTGAAGCTTTTCCAAAAGAGACCATTTCAGGTCATCTATTTTAAGTTCTCTCTCTCTCTTTCTCTCTCTTCTTATATTTGTATAAATTTAAGGGATACAAGTGCAGAGTTGTTACATGGATATATTGCATAGCGGTAAAGTCTGGACTTTTAGTGTATCCAGGACCCATATAATGTACATTGTACCCATTAAGAAATTTGTCAACCATCACACCCCTCTCACCCTCCCATTCTCCTGAATCTCCAATGTCTATCATTCCACACTCTATGTCCATGCGTACAGATTATTTAGCTCCCACTTATAAGTGAGAATATGTCACTCTCCATCTCTAAACATTTATTGAATAGGTCACTCAGCTTATAGCCTCTTCCTCCTATAGTTTATTTCCTACACTAAAGTAATCTCAATAAATTAAGTCTATTTCTCTCTCTCCTATTTAATACCCTTCATTAGTTCTCTATAGCCCTCATTTTGAGAACAGCACACAAGAAACTTCATGATATGTCCGTGTCTACTCTCTAGCTCACCTCCTACCAGTATTTTTCTTGCTGTTTGGGCTAAAGTAATACCAAACAACTTACAGTTCCCTGGAAACATTTGTCTATTTCAATCTTCTTAGAATGCGTAGCAGAGTATCTCTTCCTTACCCTGTTGACCTGGTAAGCTCCTATCAATTTTTCAAAACCCAGCGTGGACTTTCCTTTTCCAGAAAAACTTTCTGACCCAAAGTTAATCACCCCCTCGTAGAGTTGTTGCTCAAGTCAAGTAATTAATAAATGTGTATTGTTTAGAAGAGTGCTTGGCATGTGGTGAGCTCTATGTCACTGTTAGCCATGATGACAATGACGATGATGAGATTCTCTTACACAGTAATTGACATATATGCGGTCAGTGAATATTTTTCCAATGTTGTTGAATTTGTCAAATAAATGAATAACATGGAATAAGTGCTATTCATGTTACTGTGATAAAAGCTGGAGTACAGGTTGCTAGGGAAGCACGCACCCAGGAACTCAACCTATTCAGTTGGTGAGGCTTCCCTGAGAAAGACATGCTCCATGCTGGGTCATAAAAGATAAATATGAAAACTGTCCACTTCAGCCATTAGATATATATCAAGCTACTTAAGAGTGGAGTCCTCTTTTTAGTCATTTGCATATTACAAGTACCTATTGTGTTGCTGGGCACAGCAAGTGTGAGAAGGCATTCATTGAATGAAAAAATAAATTCAAATGTTAGGTGTCTTCCATGAGCTCTCCTAGAAGCTTTAAATATTATTTGGTTTGTGTAACAATCCTGTAGGCAGTTTTTTTCTGTCCTACATTACTAATTGAGAAATCAAACTTTGGTAAATTTGTGGACCTTTGAGTATTTCAAATTTTCTTGCTGTTTCATTGTAGTTTCAGAATTGATTCATACCTTTTAGATTTTTAAATAATTTGCAATTTTGTTTTTGAAATAAAAATTTTCCCCATTAAATTCTAAGTGTTTCGTCCTGGTATACTTTATAATGCCTGGCTAGAATTTCATTTTATAACCTAGGAATTTCTTCATTTACTTGGCATTGCCCTAAGAAATAATTTCTGTTCAGTTTCAAAAGCTGTGTATTTCCTTTACTTTATCTCTTTTTTTTTTTTTTTTTAAGACTAGGTCTTGCTTTGTCACCGAGGCTAGAGTGCAGTGGTGCCATCACAGCTCACTGCAGACTAAACCCCCAAGGCTCAAGCAATCCTCCCACCTCAGCCTCCCAATTAGCTGGGACTACAGGTATGTGCCACCATGCTGAGCTAATCCTTTTTACTTTTATTTTTATTTTTTGGTATTTTTTTGTAGAGACAGTATTTCACCATGTTGCCCAAGCTGGTCTCAAACTCCTGGACTTAAGCTATCTGCCCGCCTCAACCTCCCAAAGTGCTGGGATTACAGGCATGAGCCACCACACCCGGTCTGCTTTATTTCTATCCTAGGTTAATAAATTCCTTAAAGATAGGAGGTTCTAAGACAGTGTGTCAGCTATTTATATATATAATAGTGGAAAGGGGGATAAGACTTCCACTAACTTTTCCTTTGTCATTTCTTTCTTTCCTAGTCATTTTTTTTTTTTTTTTTTTTTTTTTGGTGTGTGTGTGGGGGGGCGGGGTGTGTCCTTTAGTAGGGACATTCATGGAGAGAGAGATGAGCAAAATTATTTGAAAGTTGTTCTGGGAACCTATTCTGAGTTCACCGTACAACTGACCAGAGACTCCCCATTTCTCCCAGAGTGAGAAGTTGCACCCAACTCAAATTTCCACAGGCCTCAAGGTCTCCAGTAGCTGGGCATCTGGTTTTCCCAGACAACTCTTAGAATCACTTGGCTTCTAAATGCAGATTACCTGGTGCCTAAGTAGTTTGAAGTCTACTAATAAGATTGTTCTCATGTGCTCCCTCTAAGACAAGAGGACACTTAGGAGGGCAGGATCCCTTTGCAATAGCACAGATCCACAATCTCACTGGCACAAACAGGTCCATGGCTTTTCTTGCTAACTCTGAGTTAGTAACTTCTTCCAGCCCATAATGGGTCAGCCGTGAGTTAGGGAAGGGACAGATCCTGGGCTAGGCTATCTAAAGAAAACTTCACTGACTTTGGAGGATGCAGAGATAGAAACAAAAGACAAAAAGACACACACACACACACACACACACACACACACACACACACACATGCACATGCAGCACAAACAGACCTGGAGGCAGAATAAACATGTTATGAAGGAAAAATGGTAAAGGCACTGGTCTGACCCTAAAGAAAACTGTGTGTATGTAGTTATCAACATCTCTAAATAATAATTTTTATTAAACAATCTATCTCCACCTCCAATCTGCTTACAGGAGACATAAGTGCAACCAACCATTTGAAACCTAATGTCTAGCTGAGCATGGTGACATACAGCTGTAATCCTTGCTACTTGGGACGCTGTGGCAGGAGAATTGCTTGAGCCTCGGAGCTATAGTGATTCATGATCATGCCACTGCATTTTAGCCTGGGCAACAGAGCGAGACTCTGTCTCTACTAAGTAAATACATAAATGAATGAATAATAAAAATAAATAAATAAAACCTAACTTCTCATTGTACATTAATTCCATAGCCATTTATTAAATCCATACTATGTGAACAGCCATGTGCTAGGTATTAGGGATGGGATCATTGACAAAGGGGGAAAAAGTACCCATTATAAATTAACTAATACAAGCTAACAATGTCCAGGCCTATGGGACCAAGCACTTTACATGTATTATGTCACTTTATCTAATTTAATCCCTATAGCAAAACCAAGCAAGTATTTTATCCATGTTACATTTTTGAAATAGGAGTGTCACAGATATTGAATAACTTGCCCAAGTTACACGGCTAGTATAAAGTTTATAAACAATTTGACACTGTAGCCACTATTCTATTTGTGCGCCCTACCCCCCAATAAAGACAAGAAACCAAACTAAGAAACAAACCAAACCTCAAGAGTTGTCTCCATTTGTAGATCTTTTGTTCGTCAATAAATTCAATATAGTCTTTCTGTCTCACTCCAAAGCTGCTCTTTCTGAAGGCTCTAATGACTATCTCTGATCAATTCTGTATCCTCACTACTTCTGTGAAGCATTTGCTATAGCTGACCACTTTCTTCTAATTGTAAAACTTTCTGCTCTTGACTTCTATGACATCACCTTCTTACCTCACAGACTACTACTTCTCAGTCTCTTGCTGGTTCTTCCTCCTCCTCTGCTCAACTATGAAATGTTGGAAGTTATCATAGCCCAACTCTCCATCTACAATCTTTGCTTAGATAATATCGTATAGTCCAAGACTAGGTTTCATCTATAAATTCATAACTGCCAAGTTTATTTCTTCACCCTGAACTATACCCCAGACCAATATATTCATCTGTTTCTTTGACATCATCACTTGCATATCTTGGACTTGATTATTGTTAACGACCTCCCGATAATGACCACCAGGAACACAACTATAGCTGAGCAACTTGGATGTATTGCTTGTTTCAGTACGTGAGAATGCACACCATGGGGAACCATGGGATGTCTTAGGAAGAGGGTGTTAAAAAGGACTTGTTATAGAATTTGAGTTTGTGTTAGGAGATTTACGGAAGGGTGCAAGAAAGAGGGACTTTGGCCTGGATTGGAAGCTGTAAGGAAGCAAGGATAATTCTATAATTGGGTATTTTAATAAGTATTATGTAGAAGGAAGGAAGACTAGACTGAGGTTAAAACTATAATTGGTAAAGAAGCAGCAGGCACTCATATTAGCTAGGATAAGGAGATATTTGATCATTTTTATGGCTTGGGCAATGTTGATGTTGTGTCTGTGTTCACATATGATTATAGAGTGATCTTACTTTTGTCTTGATCTATCACGGTCACAACTCTGTCTTGTCTGATGTTCTGTGAAATTGTTTATGTTCAACAGAAGAATACCAATGCTTGGCTGTGATTGCCAGGCCAGCTCAAAGCAACAGCAAACCAAGCTGGTAGTACCAGGCCATCTCCTGGATGTCAAGGTCTGCTTTTCTCTTTCTCGGTATCCACACTAGAATCCTTGATTTACTCTCTTCCACCTCACTCAATCAAAAACCATTACCTCACAGACTTCCCTTCTATGTGGCACTACCACCCACACATATGCTAGCCCAAAACCTAAGATTCACTGTTGATGATGCCCTTTTCTTCATTTTCCATAGCCAATCACCAAATCCCATTGTCTTCTTTCTTTTATTTCTTCCGCCATTGTTCTGGTCCAAACTACCATTATGTTTCTCCTAAACATAAAGTGCATCCTATTTCCTCTGCTTCCACACTTGCCCCTCTACAATCCATTCTCTTCATAACAGATAGATCATATTACTCCCTTGCTTTAAAACTTTCAAATAGCTTCCAATTGTACTCAGAACAAACACTAAACTTCTTACCCTGGCTTTCAAGGACCCTGGTCTGGCTTCTGCCTAACTCTCCACCTTCATCTATCTGGGACTATCTTGCGGCTCACTCACTATGCTTCCCCCACACTGGCCTTTCCTGCCCTGCCCCTGCAACATACCAAGTTCCTCTTTCTCTCTGCATTTGCCCTATCCTTTCTTTGCCAGGACAACAGTCTCCCTACCAGCTCTTTCTCATCCAGGTCTCTTTGAGAGGGCTTCCCTGACCATCTAGATGCCACCTTCCTGGTCAGTATTTCCCTCAAGTAGTAATCAATGCCGGAAAGAATACTGTTCATTTATTCATCCGTTATTGTCATCGCTTCATTGGAATTTAGCTTCCTACAGGGATGGTGTTTATCTTGCTCACTATGATTCCAGCCCCTAGAAAAACCCACCTACCTCATAGCCAAGGGCTCAGTAAATAGTATACACTGCCTTCCTGCCACTGTGCTAATTTCTACTAACACAGCCACAAACAATCAGCAATTACATTTTCTGCTTGTTTTTAACGGGGAAGTAGGGCACTCAACGAAAAGGAAATAAAAGCAGAGTCAAGAAAGTGCCTTTTATCCATGGAGTGCCCAATGTGTTGTGCGGCCGGCCACGTATATAGGGATGTGTCAGCACCTGAGATTTTTCCTTCTCTGAGCTAGCTTCTTTCCTGGAAATCATGCTGGGCCCTTAGCCTTATGGTTCACCCTGTTTTTTAAGATCATCCACGGGCTTCATTCCCGTAACCGCTCTTCTAGCTGGCCAAGGCGGCGGGAAGAAACCCCACCCTCTTGCGCAAACGCCCAGTAGCGGAATCCGCGGGGTCGAGGGCTTTAGTGTGCGCATGTGCAACCAGAGCGGCGGCGGGAAGTGTTGCGCAGGCGCATCCGATCGACTCGGTAGGTGGGGATCTCTTGGAGACGGCGACCCAGGCATCTGGGGAGCCACAGAAGTCGTACTCCCTTAAACCGTGAGTTTCCGACGGTTTGTTCCATGGCGCGGGATTGTGAGGGATTAGGAACGAATTCTGGATCGTGACTTCGGTTTTCTCGCCGTGCAGTTCCTTTTCCCGCCCCCCTTCGGATCCCTCCGACCTGCGGCGGGAAAGTCGCGCGCCTGCGCACTAAGCATCTGGTTCGGTCTCTGGCCCGAGGGAAGCCGGTCCTTCCCGGCTGAGCTCGCGGCCAGCGCTGGCCGGCGGATTCCCATTCATTCACCCTTCTCCTCCTCCGCCCAGTACTCGTGGCCAGGGTCGTATCAGTTCTCCGTCAACTTGCTTGGGGCCTTGGACGAGCCTCCTGGCGCTTCCTGTCAGTGGCGAAAAGGTTTTCTCCCTCAGTTCTTTTCCTGACTTCAAACCGCCCCCGGCGCTCGGCCCCTCCCCCACGCGGTCCCGCTGGCTGTGCCGGACTGGCAGCCTCGCCGTTTCCCACTGCGCCTGCTGCTGCGCGGGTGCCCAAGCCGGGAAATTCTCCCTGCAGCCCCCTGCCGGTGTTTCTGATAGGTGAAAATAAAGCACATGGAATTCCTTAGACAAGGCCACAGTATGCCCTACTGTGGAGGTTTGGACACATCGTGCGTTTGAAAATGTTTGCCCCTTTGGGGGGCAGTAGCATGTTTTTAGTGCGTGGTTTAGCGAGTGATCTAAATTTCTCTAGTGTTCTAATTTTCACAGCTGCTTTGCTCCCCCTGTGGATGTAACCCCTTAGCTGGCATTTTGCATCTCAATTGGCTTGTGATGGAGGCGTCTTTGGGGATTCAGATGGATGAGCCAATGGCTTTTTCTCCCCAGCGTGACCGGTTTCAGGCTGAAGGCTCTTTAAAAAAAAACGAGCAGAATTTTAAACTTGCAGGTACGTGTTTAAATCCAAAGATGTACAGTTATAAAGATTTTTCAGGCAACAATTCTGTGTTTTCAATTCCTCTCAAAAAATAAGATTGAATCTTATAAAGTGAATTGTATGTTTCTATAGGACAGTGTTAAAACAGAGCTTCGTATGATCTAAATGTAGGACTGAATTGCGATTTGGAAGACTGTAATACAACCTGTTTTACGGTTGAAGTTGCTATGGTCTCAGTATTGGTAATTAAGAATGCAGAAATTTGATGATGCCCAAATTAAATTTCTCTTTTGTATCTGTGTTCTTATCTCTACTCACCACATTGCCTTAAGCTTAAATGTAGAAATTGACACTGGAGATCATCACTTAAGTATTCAAAAGCAGAACTCACAGACAAAAAAATATGAAATGTTTGTAGCAATAATAAAGCACCATATCTCAGTGTACAGCATGAAATGTTCTTTGACCGTAAACCAGACCTTAGGGTGAATAAGACAGGGTCAAGCAGTGCCTGCTCTTGTACACTCGCATGTGTACCTTCATTTCTGCTCTGGCACAGGACCTGGGACATAGTAGGTATTTGTTAATAATAAATATTTGTTAAATAGAGGAATTCTAGTTGACTGTATTTTTTTTTTTCTGAAAGGGTAGCCAGATCATCTTTCCCATCTTTGTCTTAAGTGAATTCTGTGCTTGTCTAAAAGATACTTATTTTGACCTTTTGTCCATATATTCTTTATAACCCCACCCTAGAAAAATATGACATCACATACTTTCTGCTTTGATGGAAGTCAGTTATCCCACTTACCTAAACTTGAAACTTTAATCTTCAGCTGATGCTTTTTATTTGTTCCCCATATCGTCACCTAGCTTTATTTCTTTTTAGTAAGTATGGCATTGTGTCTTCTTTCCATTCCCATTTCCACCACATTAATTAATTTCCTTACACTTTGTTCCTGATTTACAACAGTTTCTCACCTATGCTGCCTGCTTGCACTTTTCCATTCTTCAGTTCATCTTGTATGTTGGTGCTAGAATAATCTTAAAATGCCACTTTCATCCAGTTTCATGGATACTGTTCCTCTTCCTTTCCATTTTTCCAGCAGTTAGCTGTTTTTTTAGTTCATCTTTCCCTTACTAGTCACTGGACACATAACACAGTAACACAGTCATTGTAGTATTCTTTTTCTATTGCTTAGGACTCTGCATTTTGTCTCCACTGTAAACCCCTTGGCGGCAGTATCTCCTCTGGTTTCTAAAGTATGTTGTGACTTCAGCAGAGTATCTGAATGGATGACTCTGAATTGGTTCTAGCATCATGTTTAGGAGAATGCCACTATTCTAATATTCTGAAAATCTGCTGGGAAGTAATGAATGGGGTGAATTTTATTACGGATTTCAAAAGTTTTGTAGCGTTTATGTAACAGAACATTGGACATTATAATATGATAAATTATAAAACGTGCTAAAACTTTACTCTTATGGTTCTTTTTTAAATATGATCTTAATAACAGCTAAAGTTATATAAACATAACTTCAATAGGGAGCAAAGCTGATGAGGTCCAGGCACATAACAGTCTAGTAATCTAATTGGGAAAGTAAATCAAATTAGATCATGAGACAGGTATATGCCTGCACCTCATCAACTTTACTCCTTATTGAAGTTATATTTTTGATTGGATGTTTTATATATCTTAGCATTCCCAGAGCTTAACAGTGTCCAGCACATAGTAGGTGCTTGAAAATATTTGAATGAATGATTTAATGTAAGGATATAAAGTAAAATACTTAGTGTAATGGATGAATAGCATGTCTCTTTATTTTGAGATATTTGTCAGATTTTTATAACATTTTTCTGATAAACATGATTATTGAAATTTTTGAAGTAAAGAAAGCCAAAATAAAGTCTTTTCCCATTATTGAAATATTGCCACTGTTGACATTTTGTTATATTCCTTTAGCCTTTCTAGGCATACATAGGTACATTTTTTAGAAACTAAATTGGGATCTTGTTTTGTTTTTGTTTTTGAAAAGAGAACCAGAATATGGGATCTTATTTCTGATCTCCATTTTTTTTAATATATATCTTGAATATTGCTCATGTAGTAAATATTCTACAACTGGATTTAAGGTCCATTGCATATTATATTATAATATATTCAATCACCTTTTACTATTGACCCTATAGATTGTTTCTATTTTTTCCTATTAAGAAAAATGCTGTAATGCACAAACTATCTGGCATAATATTGGTCAAATGTTTATTCTTTCACTGTTTTGGCAAGCTTTTTTTTTTTTTTTTGAGACATGGTCTCTCTGTCACACCACTGTCACTGGAGTGCAGTGGTGCAATTACAGCTCACTGCAGCCTTAACTCCTGCACTCAAGCAATCCTACCCCCTCAGCCTCCTGAGTAGCTTGGATTACAGGCATGTGCCGCTACACTCAGCTAATTTTAAATATTTTTTTTAGAAACAGGATCTTGCTATGTTGCCCAGGCTGGTCTCAAACTCCTGGCCTCAAGTGATCCCCTCCTATCTTGGCCTCCCAATGCACTGGGATTACAGGTGTGAGCCACCATGCCTGGCCAGTAAGCTTTTATTTTTTTTTAAGTATCTACTATATGCCAAGTTTTAATAAGTGAGAAAGATCTGTTCAGTGAAAGAATGATGTATAAACTCTATATTGAAAGTCTCCTCCATACTGGTGAACTCTACTGGAAGGAAGGCTTGCTTCATTCTGTTTGCTACAATGACACCCTTAGCCATGCTTCTAAAATGGGCTATGGGTACCATCTTTGTTTGCCTGGGACAGATCTAGCTTACGGCTATTGTCACAATGTAATTATTATTCCTGCTGCCTTTTCACTCAAGAGTGTCCCAGTTTGGGCTTATATTATGTATTATCCCCTAGTTCCAGGAGGTATAAACCAGAGAGTACATGAAGCCCCAGAATAACCATGACTATATGCCTAGAGTGTCAGTTTTAATCCATGACAAGATATTGAAAACGTTTCATTTATGTGATGAATATTTATTGTCTGTTATATACATGTACTTTTTTAGGTGCTAGGGATAAATCAAACCATAAAACAGAAATTAACACTGTGGTAGTTAGACAATAGACAGAGAGTAAACAAAAGAAGTAAATACTGTGCTCAAAAGTGATTAATGTTACTAAGAAAATGTAAAAGGGAAGGGGAGATAGGAAGTATTGGGGAAGGAGATTGTAATTTTAGTGAGTATGGTTGCTCATAGCCTTCTGTAACATTTGAGCTAAGACTTCAAGGTGGTGAAGGAGTGACCTGTGCAGATATTTGGGGAAGAGCATTCCAAACAGAGGAAACGGCAAGTACAAAGACCCTGAAACGGCAAGTACAAAGACCCTGAGATGGGAGTGTGCCTAGCATTCAAGAATAGCAAGGAGGTCATTGTGGCTAGAATGGGGAAGGTAATTGGAATGAAGTCAAAGAGAGATGTAAAGAGGCTTTCTAATGGAGTGAGATGTGAAACCATTAGAGGTTTTGAGCACAATAGTGACAAGGTGACTTAGCTTTATCAGAATACTCTGTTTAAACTCTGTTTGCTATGTTGCAAGCCGACTGGCTACTATGTTACAGATAGACTCCAGGCTGGCAAGGAGTGTAGTTAAGGAGACTATTGGTATATTAAAACCAACTTGGATATATTATGCAGCAGAAAACAAAAGTGACTTAAAATGTCAAAATAGAAGCCTAGACCTTCATGTATAAAATAGAGGCATTTAAATAATTTTTAGCATATTATAGATTTTCGGGATCCTCCTCCAGTCCTCAAAGTCTGTTTCATTTGTCTGTCTTTAGTACTGTTTTCCAGCTTTTGACATGAATGCACTTTTCTGCTTTCTGCTGTCATTTCCCACTTCAGAATTTGAGGATATTGCATTCACTTTGGTTGCCAGGAAGTTTTACTGTTGTTTAAAATTGTTGAAGTTGTTCTGAAGTGACAGGAAACCTTAATAAACATTTTGATTTTTGTAAAGAGGAGTAGATGCATAATAAGTGAGTAGTGGTGTGGAAGTACCCTTAATGTTTCTCCTCCCTTTCACATCTGTTCTCCACTTGTCATTTTTCTGCTTAAAAACTTCCTATAGCTTTCATGTGCATTCTCTCTTGTCTTCCTCAGCCACATTCTATTTCTATTATTGTTATTATTGTTATTATTATTGAGACAGGGTCTCCCTCTTCCATCACCCAGGCTGGAGTACAGTGGCACGATCATAGTTTAGTAACCTCAAACTCCTGGGCTCAAGGTATCCTTCTGCCTCAGTCTCTGTAGCTGAGACTACAGGCCCGTGTTACAAAGCCCAGCTAATTTTTGTTTGTTTGTTTGTTTTTTAGCTTTTTTAAGAGATAGGGTCTCAAACACCTGGCCTCAAGCAGTCTTCTTGCCTTGGTCTCCTAAAGTGCTGGGATTACAGGCCTGAGCCACCGCCCCAGGCCACATTGTATTTCATTGTCTCTCAGCCCTCCCCCTACCCTAATCATCCAAGCCTTTTTTTTTTCTTGTTCCTGTCTTTACAGACGTAGTTAATTTTTCCTAAAATGTTTTCTTCCACTTTCACTACTTGGTGAATGCTTCAGAACAAAACTTAGCTGTCAACTGAAGGCTTCCTATCACCTTCAGAAATCCTCCCCAACCTAGTAGTATATACATTCTTTTATTACAGGTGTCACCTTGTATTAAGAATGATAACATGTTTCCTTTACTAGACCAAGCTCTTAGTGGCTGCATCAAATTTATTGGTTTTTTTTACATACCCATTGCTGAGCATTTTTTAAGACAGCGTTTATTTAAATGAATTAGTTCTAGCCAGGTGCGGCGGCTCACACCTGTAATCCCAGCACTTTGGGAGGCCAAGGTGGGCAGATCACTTGAGGTCAGGAGTTCAAGACCAGCCTGGCCATTGTGGTGAAACCCCGTCTCTACTAAAAACACAAAAATTAGCTGGGCGTGGTGTTGCGTGCCTGTAATTCCAGCTGCCCATGAGGCTGAGGCATGAGAATCTCTTGAACGCAGGAGGCAGAGGTTGCAGTGAGTGGAGATTACATCACTGCACTCCAACCTGGGCAACAGAGTGAGACTCCATCTCAAAAAAGAAAGAAAATTAGAAAATATATATAATCAGCAACACCTCTGTGAAATTGGGCAAATGATTTAACCTCCCTGAATTGAGTTTCCTTATCTGAAAAATCAGGATAATCATTCCTGCTCTGCCAAGTTCACAGTACTGTTAGGAAGACCTCAAAAGATACTGCATGTGCCGGTGCTTTGAAAATGTCTTAAACTTATGCTATATAGGGCTAGTAGAGCCTAGATACTGTAATAAAATCTGAAGACTTATCTAGTTCTCTTCTGTATCCAGTAGTTTACTGGGTTTTGTATTATTGCCTCCCCTTGTTTTAACTATGTACATTTTTATAAAGAACTGATACTTATTTAAAAGTAGCAATTTATCTGCAGTCAAGGATAGAGGATACTACTGGCAATTGGGACAAATTTTTAAAAATACTTTTTTACATGCTTGAGAGCTTTAGTAGGCCTTCTCTCTGAAAATATAGTGTGAATATTTAATACATAAAATTTTACCAAGCCTTTAAGATTTTGTATCTTTACGGGAAATAGTTTTCAAGAACATCGCAATGTGTCCTTGTCATGCCATCTAGTGATCACAGCACAAATTGTTTAGTTATTTTAAAAATTTGGTGCTTTTTCATGTTGTAATCTCTACAGTAACAATGTATCTCTTAGTATATAATTCCAGTATAGTAGAAATTTGGTGTATTTAATTCTGGGACTGTCATTTTTGTCTGTTCAAGAGGTGTGTGTGAGTTATAGCAACTTGATGGGTTTTAATCTTATCACAATGTTATTAAAACTTATGTATAATTAATTACTCATATTTTATAATTTATTTCATTGAGCTTTTTAAATTTTAAGAAACTGTAAAATATACTGTCATTGATTAAAACTCTAAATTTTTGTTTCCTTGAAAGGTGTTAAAAAAGATATTGAGAAGCTTTATGAAGCTGTACCACAGCTTAGTAATGTGTTTAAGATTGAGGACAAAATTGGAGAAGGTAATCTGGGGATATGCTTTTACTATTTTTACGAGGTCTTTTTTCCATTCTATTTTCCTTTTTTAGTCTTGGTTTTCATTACTATTTCTTATTGAAAAATATACCACTTTTTAGACTATTAAGACCATAGTTTTATTACTAATTATGGTAACAGCTTTTCTTTTTCAACCTTAAAGAAAGAATAAATAATAAATATTTACTGTAAAATGAAGTCCTGTTTTAATGTATTATGCCATTGAAACAGTTTTTACAATCTATCTTAGAATTGTTTCATTAACATTTTTAAAAACCAGATATTGAAAAATTTAATAAATTGTTTTACAGGCACTTTCAGCTCTGTTTATTTGGCCACAGCACAGTTACAAGTAGGACCTGAAGAGAAAATTGCTCTAAAACACTTGATTCCAACAAGTCATCCTATAAGAATTGCAGCTGAACTTCAGTGCCTAACAGTGGCTGGGTAGGCAATTTAAACATATTTTAATTGAACTTGTATATAATTTATAAGATTTTAAAGTAGATATTTAGCAGGGATGAGGGGATTATATGTGAATTAAATACATTTTTCAGTCAAGTGTTTGCAATTTGCTAGCACTTTCCTTCTAACCTTGCAATAGTTAGTTAAATTTATAGTAATTCTTTTAGATTGGATTTCCCTTGAGGCTCGACCTGATTTCCTGTCTTTTATCACTGCTTTTTGTAACCTTCCTGCCAAATCATAAACCTTGGCTTTCATGGTTTACATTATTTTGTAAATGTAGGGAACTCACATTTCACATTTCCCCAGCTATTGACGACCTCATCTAATATTTTATTTAGAATAACAGAATCATCTGGTATGGTTTCTCTCTGCTAGGTCATTTCTGTCAACATATGGACATGATTTAGAATCTTACCCTCCTAAACTGCCCTCCTTCTTCCACCTGCTCCATCATTTCTTTGTTCCCCCTTACAGCCAGACTTCTCAAAAATTATCTGCATACATTGTTTTCATTCCACACCTCTCTTTCACTAAATACCTATTGCGGCTGTTCTTCTCTATGCTAAACTGGAAACTATAGAGTCAATCATTACTCTAGGCATCATTTAACACAATTGACGTGAACCCTTGTCTTGACTTCTGTCCTGCCACACCCTCCTTGTTTTCTTCTTCCCTCATTTGGCCTTTCATTTTCAGTGTCTTTGCTAGCTCTTCCACTTCTATCTGACCCCTAAATATTGGAGTTCCTCGTGCTTGCTCTTAGGTTTCTCTGTATTCTTAGTGTCCTCCATTTCCACATGATCTAAAGTAATGATTCCCAAAAGTATATAGTTAATCTCAGACCTTTTATCTTAACTACAGGTTTGTGTATATCCACCTGCCTATTTAACATTTCCACTTGGTGCCTGATAAATATCTCAAACCTAAAAGACAAACCTAAACCTTAACATACCAAAAAAAAAAAAAAAAACACCACAACAAATGTTCTTATCCACCCGTCTCTGCAAATGGCCCATCTACACACTTGTTTGGGCCAGAAACCTAGAAATCATCCTCATTTTCTCTATTTCTCTCCTAAACCACATTAATCACTAAGTCCTAGCCATTTTGGCTCTAAAGTATATCTAGAAGTTCATCCATGTCTTTCTGTCTTCTCTGCCACTACCTCAGATGAAGCCTAGACTACGACTGTAGCCTGCTTCTTCCTTCTCCCCTTAATTCTGTCTTTACACAGCAGCCAGAATGATCTTTAAAATATAAAATATATATGTATATAACTTAAATTGGGTCATTAGTTCCACCACTTAAAATCTTTCAGTGGTTTCCCTATGTACTTTGAAAAAAAAATTCAACCTTCTCATGCCTATCTTCCCACCTCCCTCACTGTGCTCCATTTCTTTAGTTTATCAAATTTGTCTCAAGAGCTTTCTTACCTCAGGGCCACTGCCCAGACTGTTTCCCCATTCAGGAAGACCTCTCCCAGTCATTGCTTGCTGACCCTTCATCTTCTGATCTGAGCAAGAGTGAAACTGGACGCAGTAGTTCATGCTTGTAATCCCAGCACTTTGGGAGGATTGCTTGAGGCCAGGAGTTTGAGACCTGCCTGGGCAACCTAGCAAGAACCCATCTTTACAAAAAACTTAAAAATTATCCAGGCAAGGTGGCACACATCTGTAGTCCCAGCTACTTGGGAGGCTGAGGTAGGAGGATCGCTTGAGCCCAGGAGTTTGAGGCTGTAATGACCTGCGATCACTCCATTGCACTCCATCCAGCCTGGTCAACAAAACAAGACCCTGCCTCTGAGAAAAAAAAAAAAGAGTGACATTGCTTGAAAGATGTCTTCTCTGAATTAAATTAGATTCTCCTATTTTTTTTTATTGTCATAGCATCTTTAGATTTCTTTCAAAGCCCTTATCGTATTCTGTCATTATAAGTTACCTTGTTATTATCTGTATTGTCCACTAGATAGTAAACTCCATGAGGACAGAAATTCTGTAAATTTTATTCACTATTGCATCACTAATGTCTATAATCCCTAACAGCAAATAACAGTGCCAACTAAATACTGAATGAATGAATAAGCCTGTTTGTTTCAGCCTTCTGTGTATTATAGAAGACAAGAAAATGAGATGGCCTCTATAAAGAATGCTTGCATACATTCTTGTACCCTAAATATGATCATTTCTTTTTCTATATTTTTAACTGTCTCCCTCTACCACTTTTTCTTTTTCTGTGCTTAAAAAAGTACATGCTAAAAATGCCTTCATCTGATCTTACAATGCAGTCAGGCAAATTGTCTTCAGGCTCAGCTTCCATTGTGTTATATTTTCCTTCCTTCTGTTTTGTTTCTTCCTTTCCACTTAAATTGCTGTCTTAAAAATTACCAGTTAATTATTCTTTGCCTAACTAAAAGCCTTCCCTCAGTTGTTATTCTCTTTGACTTCCATGCTAATAACTCTTCCTTCAAAATTCCTTTCTTATTTGGCTCTCTAACTTGGCTTCTTCCAAGCTCAGTTTTCTTTTCTCGCTATTAATTTTCATGTCTGTAGGTATCACTTCTCTGCAGGTACTCTCACTGACTTCTCACTTGTCTTCTCACTTAAGGCTTAGTCCCTTGTCTAGATAACTCTATCAAAATGATGAGGTCTGGTTTTAGATGCTTCTTTTACTGGCTTCTCTACTCATTTTTTGGTATCTCTATTGTTTTCTTACTCAGGCTCAAAATCATAGAAATCACCTTTGTCCTATTTTCCTCTTTTATGAAGCAGTGTAACATAGTGATTAAGAACATATATCTGGAGCAAAATGCCTGGGTTCAAATCCTGGCTCATTGATCTATTAGTTTAGTGACCTTGATTTATTTATTACTGTTACCATCTTATCTGCTAAGTCTTATTAATCTTTTCCCTTTTTTCTCATTCTGCTGCTTCCCCAGTCACAACTATAATTACCTCGTTTGAATTATTATAGTAACTTCAAAACTGGTGCCATTTTTGTTTTAAAAGAAAACTTTAACACGAGAACACAAGTCACTTGTGTTTATATTATGTGATGATGATTTAAGTCAGTTTTCTAGCAATATGTATGCATTGCTAAAATTGCGGTTTTTAAAATTAGGCATAAAGTTTCAGTCCCTCTGACCTTTCTTCTAAAAGTTCCTTGTGCATTTTTCCACTAGGGGGCAAGATAATGTCATGGGAGTTAAATACTGCTTTAGGAAGAATGATCATGTAGTTATTGCTATGCCATATCTGGAGCATGAGTCGTTTTTGGTAGGTTTTAATATTTCTTGAATTTTTATTAGCTAAATATTTAATTGCAAACAATATTTGTAACTCATTTCATTTGTAACTTTGTTTTAGGACATTCTGAATTCTCTTTCCTTTCAAGAAGTACGGGAATATATGCTTAATCTGTTCAAAGCTTTGAAACGCATTCATCAGTTTGGTATTGTTCACCGTGATGTTAAGCCCAGCAATTTTTTATATAATAGGCGCCTGAAAAAGTAAGTATGAAGAGTTACTAGAAAATATTTATCCTATTTCTTTTAAAAAACAATTTTATTGTCTATATTTAAGGTATTGAACATGATGTTATATATAGTACAAAAGTTACTATTGTGAAGCAAATATTTATCTCAGTTACCCATCTTATTTTTGTTTTTACGGCAAGAGCAGCTAAAATTTACTCATTTAGTATGAATCTCATATACAGTACAGTTTTATTACCTGTAATCTTCAGAGTGTGCATTAGGTCTAGATTTATTTATCCTACATATCTGCTACTTTGTATCCTCTGACTTATATCTCTTAGATATAATATAACATACTGCAATAGCCATGCACAGATTATTTCTGTTTCAGTTTCTTTGTGATTGGAAAGGGAAATTTGGTGATGAAGAAGATAAAATTGTATTAGTGGAATAATGTACATTATTAGATGTACTATGGTTCAGTGGAAATAGCATGAACTAACAGACTTAGAGTCTAATAATTTTTGACCTTAGACATGTCTCTTATCTCTGGACTTCATTTTTCTTTTCTAGTAAGTGAGGGGATTGGACCACATGATAGCCAATTTCCTGTTTTAACACAAAAGTTTTATTTTTATGTATACTTTTTAATGCTGATTATAATTATAGAGAAATTATAAGCTAAAAATAACATAAATACCTCTATATAATGGATCATATTAAACATAATAATATTATAACTTCTTTTTTGAGCTTTTATATGCCTGACTTTTTAATTTTCTTTAATTGGATCAGATTTTAAAACCATGATTTTAATTTTTTTAAGCTTTCTTAACTAGAAATTATCTGCTATGATGCCATCTCTGCCACCATCAGAGAACAACGGACTGTGTTTATGTTATGTATTCCTCTTCTGCCTTATTAACACAGACCACTGGAAAAAGAAAATTTGATTGTGGGACAACTCTTAATTTTCAATCCTGGTTAGCTGTTAAATTCTTACTTTGTCTGGAAAACTTATTTTTTTTTCTTTTTTCCAGAATGTTATAAATTCCTAATTGATCCCAAAAAGAATTACAGTTTTTATGAGGATGGTTTGAGAGTATTACAATGTTACTAAGCTTTAATTGCTACAGATAAGTAAAAATGCTTAATTTTGTCTCTTAGGTATGCCTTGGTAGACTTTGGTTTGGCCCAAGGAACCCATGATACGAAAATAGAGCTTCTTAAATTTGTCCAGTCTGAAGCTCAGCAGGAAAGGTGTTCACAAAACAAATCCCACATAATCACAGGAAACAAGATTCCACTGAGTGGCCCAGTACCTAAGGAGCTGGATCAGCAGTCCACCACAAAAGCTTCTGTTAAAAGACCCTACACAAATGCACAAATTCAGATTAAACAAGGAAAAGACGGAAAGGTTCTATCTCTTTTATTTCTTAAGTACCGACACTGTTTTAGAAATATACTCCTTCAACCAACAGAGGGAGATAGAATACTAGGATAGTACTTATAATTTAAAAAACTTTTTTTTGCATTTGTTATATGTATTCATTTGATTAAATTTTCACTAAGATTTGTACTGAATCATTTTGGTTACTATTTTAAAACTAAAATTTACTTTGTCAGTTTATAACATCTGTCATTAACTATTATGAAATCATATTTTATGACAAAAATGGAAAATATTAAATTTTCCCTGCATGTTAAAAAGTTCAGATTAATTATCCTTTTTAAAAGAAAGCATTAGTTATAGGGGAGGAATTCTGAAGTGTCTATCTCCATTTTAGCTGCACAGCAAAATGTAACATCCATGCAGGTGGTTTTTGAATTTTTTTTTAGTTATATATATTTGTGGACTATGATAACATTGTATGGGTGTTGAGTTCTGTCTAGACTATTTTCTCCTTTCACAGAAGTGGTTTGGTGCCTGAGAATGACTTGGATGCAGCTGTTTTTGTTTCATCTCACTTAACTCTTTCAAAACTATGGCAGAGTACAGCTGGCAGAAAGTGTTACAGATATAATCCTTATTTTCCTTGTTTTTGTTGGTATTGTAGGAGGGATCTGTAGGCCTTTCTGTCCAGCGCTCTGTTTTTGGAGAAAGAAATTTCAATATACACAGCTCCATTTCACATGAGAGCCCTGCAGTGAAAGTAAGTAATGTAGCTTAATAGCATAATGGTCAGTCAGTCATACACTGAAGAGAATTTAGGTAATAACTAGATTAACATTTATTATCAGAAATTTTTTTAAACTAGAGTTTGGCTTTGGCAGAAGGTATTACTGCTTTAAGCATTTAGTCAAAACTTGTTTTCTCCAGTTTTTTTCTGAACTTTTCTGGTGGAATTTTTTCTCATTTTTGGTTAGCTATTACTGTCTTTCTCTAGAGGAACATTTAGAACATTAAGGGCTTTCTGTCATTGCTAGAGTGTGAGCTCCATACAGTTAGCTAACTATTCTGACACATAGTTGATAGTGTAAAGATGTTTGTAAAGTTAACAAAATCATCATCAATGTAGATGATTTCAGATTGACTTATGATATCTTGTGACAGCTAGACAGCATGAGCAACAAATTAAAACTGTGATTTTAGCCAACGTACTTGTGCAGTTTACAGTTCTGAAATGGAGTTAGACACTAGAACATAACTGTTTTATACTTCTGTAATATATCAGGAAAAGTTCTAATAAAGTATAACTCAAATATTGGCCAAGCTAGGACTAATTAGTAAATTTTAATATAAGGTGACTTTACAGAAAAACCCAAGAAGACCTTAAACATTTTAATAGACAACAGTTTATTTACAGTCCAATAGCCATTCAGCAGTTTTTAAAGTTATGCTTCCGCTATTGCTTTTTGCCATACTAGCATTTTAGGACATCATGTTTAATATCATGAAAATAGAAAAATGAGACTTTTCTTTTACAGCTCATGAAGCAGTCAAAGACTGTGGATGTACTGTCTAGAAAGTTAGCAACAAAAAAGAAGGCTATTTCTACAAAAGTTATGAATAGTGCTGTGATGAGGAAAACTGCCAGTTCTTGCCCAGCTAGCCTGACCTGTGACTGCTATGCAACAGATAAAGTTTGTAGTATTTGCCTTTCAAGGTAATGTGTTTTGATGGTGTTATAAAATCACCAGCATGCTGCCATTAGAAATTGCATTGACTTGGGTGGATAATTTTGTGAGTGCAAGGGATCAGTTCAGATCAGTGAACTGCAATGGGCCTTGATGCAGAGCAGTAGTATGTTGAAGAGCAAATGATAACAGTTTTCATATATTATTTATTTAATATGGATATACTCTGGAAAACACATTTGCTCTTATATGCAAATAAGTGGGACGGGGTGGCTTTTAGAAGCTTAGAATCACACATTTTGATTGCTGATGTAGTCTTTTCTGTTTTCTCTTTTTATTCCCGCTTATGTGGAGTAACCAGAACCAAATAGTAGAGCTCCTCTTTTACTCCCACCTCCAACTCTTTGACTCATAAATTTCTTCCTTTCCTTCAAGGCTTGGCTTTCATAAAGCCTTTCTTGATTAACTCAAATATATAAGTGTATCTGTGATCAATTACTCCAAACAAATGAATTTTTATACCTGTGAATTGCTATTGGGTTCTATTTTTTCTATTATGGCTCTTATTATCCACTACTGCTTTTTATTCTTGGAGGTTATTTTAAACCTTTCTGGAGTAAGTCCGGGGAACTAGTAGAGGGGGTAAAAAACAGAAGAAGAAAAATCTAGGATTTTTATCACACTAGATTATCATTTACTTTATAGTAACACTTATTATATAGGTATCAAGGCAAAATTTACTGTGAACTAAATTGATGAATGTTATTTTTTAGACTTACATAGTTCAACTTTAACATAACTAGAGAAATCTTATTTCATCATAAGGCGTCAGCAGGTTGCCCCTAGGGCAGGTACACCAGGATTCAGAGCACCAGAGGTCTTGACAAAGTGCCCCAATCAAACTACAGGTATGTTGTACTGGAAATACAGAACCTAGTTAAAATGGATTGTTCCAGACGTATTTTATTTTATGATCTTTGTCTATTTATAACTAATATTTGAGTTCTTCTGCTTTTAATTATGTAAGCAGTTCTTGCAGTGTGGCATTCCTATTTTTGAGCTAATGCTATTCTTTATGAAAGTTTTTAATCCTAATGTTGCCTCTCTTTTTTTGTTTAAACAGTTTATTCCATAGATTACATTTTGCGTATTTATTTACAAGATGATCTTACCATCTTGTAAATAAATACGCAAAATGTAATCTGTGGAATTTTGCTGACATCACCTTTGTGGGGGAAAAAATTATGTTTAATAGTTTTTGCCAGCCAAAGACTTAAAGCATTTTATTTGCTTGCTTAATACCTCAAAAGTTTCCTGTGATGTAGATATATTTGTGTTTGATTAAAATTACTTTTGTTATTATATAAACAATATAATAGCAGTTAGAAGGTTTTGAAAAAGAAAAATGTCTTCCGTAATCTAAAAACTTACCATGGAGCTGGAATCCAGGAAACATCTTGAATGAATAGATGAATCCTGCTATTCACTTGGATTATGGGCTTTGAAGAAATGTATTCATTCATTGAATGTCTGTTCTTGCTTGCTAATGATAACAAATAAATAAATGAGACCATCTGTTCACACTCTAGTCAGGACACCATCAAATAATTATAAAATAACCTGTTGAGTATGGTAATAAAACTTATTCAGGGTATTTAAGGAGTATCTAACTATCCTAACCCAAAGAGATTATGAAAGGCAATTCATGAAAGAAATGACCTCTTAGAATGTAAATTGGGCTGAGAAGTTAGCATAGAGGCATGAGCCAAGGAACTCAAGAAACAGCATACAGGAAACTAAAAAAGTTTCATTTTGGCCAGACGCGGTGGCTCATGCCTGTAATCCCAGCACTTTCGGAGGCTGAGATGGGCGGATCACCTGAGATCAGGAGTTTGAAACCAGCCTGACCAACATGGTGAAACCCCATCTCTACTAAAAATACAAAAATCAGCTGGGTGTGGTGGTGCGCACCTGTAATCCCAGCTACTCAGGAGGCTGAGGCAAGAGAATCACTTGAACGCAGGAGGCGGAAGTTGCAGTGAGCCAAGATCGCACCATTGCCCTCCAACCTGGGCGACAGCAAGACTTCATCTCAAAAAAAAAAGTCCAATTTTGCTAGAATATTAAGATGCAAGTTGAGGAATGGTGAGAGATAAACCTGGAATGAGGTAGACAAGGTCAGACCACAGTTGTTACAGTTTGGACTATATACTGTAGATATTGGAAAGTTAAGTGAAAAAAGTGACAATGGTATATCCTAGATGGATCATTCTGGCAGGCGTGCAAACAGATTAGCTTTTGGAGAGTGGTGGCATGAATTTGTCCGGGTGAGAGGATGAAAATGTGAATGAGGGTATTGGTAATAGGAATGAAAAGAAAAGTGAAGGGTTAGAAAGGCAGAGCTTGGTGGATAATTGGATGTAGAATTAGGGTGTGGTATGGTGAGGGAAAAAGGCATTCAGGATGTTTACCAGATTCCTAGCTTGGGAGACTTGGATGTGTACCAGTAACCAAGGTGGAGAGTAAAGGAGAAGTAACTGGTTTATAGGGGAAGGTAAGGTTAGTTTGGGGTATAATTGGTTTGAGGTATTTGTGGGACATCCAAATAGAGATTTCCAGCAGAATCAAAGTTAAGTCTGATGCTCAGCGAAGGAGCTGGGCTAGAAATACAGATGAATGTCATCATTATATAAATGACAGTTGAAGCCATGAAGTGGATGGACCAATCAGGGAGAGTATACAGAGGGAGAAGTTAAAACTCTGAGGAATATCCGTCAGCACTTAAGGCTTGGAGAAAACATTGAAGGAGCAGGCAGAGGTACCAAAGGAGCTAAGAAAGGCAAGTAGGGCCGGGCACAGTGGCTCATGCCTATAATACCAGCACTTTGGGAGGCCAAGGCAGGCAGATCACTAGGTCAGGAGTTCGAGATCAGCCTGGCCAATATGGCGAAATCCCGTCTCTACTAAAAAGTACAAAAAATTAGCAGGGCATGGTGGCACACACCTGTAGTTCCAGCTACTGGGGAGGCTGAGGCAGGAGAATTGAACCCGGGAGGCAGAGGTTACAGTGAGCCAAGATCGCACCATTGCACTCCAGCCTGAGCAACAGAGTGAGACTCAGTCTCAAAAAAAAAAAAAAAAAAAAAAAGGTGATACAGTAGCCCAAGGAACAGAGAGCAGATAACCTGGTGATACTAGGAAGTCAACAATTAAGAGAGATGTCAACTTTAAGAAAAAAAAAAAAGAGCTTTTTAACATCAAGTTGAGCTAGTCGTAATCTTTAACTACCAGAATTCAGAAGATTAAAGTTTCTATAGTGGGAATGTAAATTAGTACAACCACTATGGAAAACAATTTGGACGTTCCTCAAAAAACTAAAAATAGAGCTACTACATGATCCAACAATCCCACTGCTGGGTATATACCCAAAAGAAAGGAAATCAATGTACCGAAGAGGTATCTGCACTCCCATGTTTGTTGAAGCACTATTCATAATAGCCAAAATTTGAAAGCGACCTAAGTGTCCGTCAACAGATGAATGGATAAAGAAAATGTGGTACTTACACACAATGGAAGTACTATTCAGCCACGAAAAAGAAGATCTTGTCATTTGCAACAACATGGATGGAACTGGAGATCATTATGTCAGGTGAAATAAGCCAGGCACCGAAAGACAAGAGTTGCATGTTCTCACTAATTTGTGGGATCTAAAAATTAAAACAATTGAACCCATAGAGAGCAGAAAGATGGTTACCAGAGGCTGAGAAGGGTGGTGGGAGGGTGTGGGGGATGTGGGGACAGCTGATGGGTACAAAAAATAGTTATAAAGAATGAATTATCCAGCACTTTGGGAGGCCAAGGCAGGTGGATTGCTTGAGCTCAGGCACTCGAGACCAGCTTGGGCAACATGGTAGAACCCTATTTCTACCAAAAATACAAAAAAGTAGCTGGATGTGGTAGTGTGCATCTGTGGTCCCAGCTACTCAGGAGGCTGAGGTGGGAGGATCACTTGAGCCTGGGAGGCGGAGGTTGCAGTGAGCCGAGATCACACTACCACACTCTAGCCTGGGTAACAGAGCCAGACCCCATCTCGAAAAAAAAAAAAAAAGAATGAATTAAGACCTAGTATTTGATAGCACAGCAGGGGGATTATAGTCAGTAATTTAATTGTGCAGTTTAAAATAACTAAAAGAGTACTTTGAGGGGCTGAGGCAGGCAGATCACTTGAGCCCAGGAGCTTGAGACCAGCCTGGCCAATGTGGCAAAACCTCGTCTCTACTAAAAATACAAAAAAAAAAAAAAAAAAAAAAAAAAGAGCTGGGCATGGTGACATGCCTGTAATCCCAGCTACTCAAGAGGCTGAAGCATGAGAATTGCTTGAACCTGGGAGGCAGAGATTGCAGTGAGCTGAGACTGTGCCACTGCACTCTAGTCTGGGCCACAGAGGGAGACCTTGTCTCAAAAAGAAAAAAAGAAAAGAATATAATTGGATTGTTCGTAACACAAAGGATAAATGCTTGAGGGAATGGATACCCTGTTTTCCAGGATGTGATTATTACACACTGCATGCCTGTATCAAAACATCTTATATACCCCATCAATATATACACCTACTGTGTACTCAGAAAAATTAAAGTCTTCACAGTCACAAAAAAATAAAAAAGTAATTTTTTAAAAGTTTCTATAGCAGTAGTTGGTGCTAGTGTCAGCTGAAGAAGAGCTTCTAATGTTCATTACTTTTCACTAAAATGAAAGCACTTTGACCAGTATGGTATGTAATTCTCAAGGATCATTCAGATTTTTTCCCACATAGCTATTTTTGGATTCCTTTTGATCCTATAAAATGTGCGTTTACTTAGTGTTTCCTAGTGATTAAATATCCTTTTAAATTTACCAACACGTTGCTCAAGAAAGAAAACATATTTTGCAGTGAGGATTCTCAGTCCTGGTTGTACATTAAAATCACCTGAGGAACTTTTTTAAAACATTGATGCCTGAGCCCTACTTCAGAACTGTTCAATCAAAATCTTTGGGTCTGGGCATCTGAAATTTTTAAGGCTCCCAAGGTGATTCTAATGCATAATAAATGTTGAGGACTATTGATTTAGATGATAAAATTATAGATTTGAAATTTATTTTTAAAATTTGTCTTCTGTTGCAGCAATTGACATGTGGTCTGCAGGTGTCATATTTCTTTCTTTGCTTAGTGGACGATATCCATTTTATAAAGCAAGTGATGATTTAACTGCTTTGGCCCAAATTATGACAATTAGGGGATCCAGAGAAACTATCCAAGCTGCTAAAACTTTTGGTAAGCAGTTTTGTATTATAGAACCAAACAAAATGCCTTTGATTATCTCCTACAAATCACTTAATAAATTATTGTGAAATTTTCTTTACAAATAAACATTCAGTCTTGATAAAGTTCTCTAATATTAAGTAGAAAATTCTTCAGTTGCTTGAAAATAAATTTATCACCTCTCTATACATATAATCATTTAATCTTATTAAGCACAAAGTAATACACTGTTGCAGTATTTAAAGTTTACCTTTATAATTTTATAAGAATAAGGAGTAAAATCTTAACTCCTTTTAGTTATGGTTTGACTTTTATTACATAAATTTACCTTTTATTAAAGGCATGTTTTACTTTGTAATATGTTTTACTTTTTTATTGTCTTTTAAACATCAGATGCACTATGTCTTGGTACTTAGAGTGTCCTTGCCTTAAATGATCTTAGGCTATACTAACAAGTAAACAGTTAATTATTAATACAGTGTAATAAGGACTAGGGAAGAGAATGGAAATGTGTGTTGTCAGGTTGTGTAGGTTTACGGTAGCAGAGAAGCAGAATGCATAGAAGGCCTTAACTGATGGGATATTATTGTAAGCATATATTGGACTTGGATGTCATCTCCTTAGCCACGCAAGTTCTTCAAGACTGGGATGTGCAGTGTACTTCATAGGGCACATAAGAATTATCTCAGCCTTGCTCTGGCCAACAATCTGAACTCAAGTGCCCATTTAATGTTTATTTTCCACGCTCAGTTATAGTTAATACTTTCCAAGGAATAAGTGGGATTGACTCAGCTTACTACCATACAATACAGAACACCTCAGGAGACAAAGTTTCAGCCAGCCTACCTCAAGAGTAGCTGGGCTGTCTTGTGCTCAACCCCAGGATCAGTGGGTCTTAACCAGAGTTGCATGTCAGAATTATCTGAGAATCTTTAAGAAATACATATGCCTGCCCACTCAGCCTATTCTTGGAAAATATGATTCAGAAAAACAAGATACTTAGGAAGGCTCCAGCCTTGTTAGTTTGAAAAAGCAAGTGATTCTGACTAAGAAACTATGGGTGTTTAAGAACCACTGCAAAAATTACTGCCCTTGCTTATGCACTAGTGCTATAGTCTAATCTACAAGAAAAACTTAGTGGTGGTTGTGAAGAAAGCCTCATCTTAATAGAGGCTTGCCAAAATATGTTTCTACAGTAAAGTCAGTCCACGATTTGTAACTATCTTGTACTTATTGTAAGAAAATTTTATTTGAAGATAATAGGATGAAATAATACAAGGGAAAAAAAGTGACCATGAGTGGAAAGCAAGATTGATATCTTAGAAATGGCATTCTTACATAATAATATAACAAGTATGTTTATTCTCAACTGAGAAAACTTTCATCTACTATTGAATAACTTCGTGAGAGGTTTATGAACATGAAGTTTATCAGCCAATACCAACATATTTTATTGAAGAGCTTGAATCTCCCCCATTGTAATCCAAGTTATAATCAGGGCCAACAATGGAAATACAACATCTGACCCAAAAATACTCTAGATCAAGTGCCATGATAGCAAGCAAGAGCTTTTAGAGATTTATCATTGTAATACTTCTCATATTAAAAAAAAAATAGGGCCAGCCGTGGTGACTCACACCTGTAATCCCAGCACTTTGAGAGGCTTAGGTGGGCAGATCATGAGGTCAGGAGACCGAGACCATCCTGGCCAACGTGGTGAAACCCCATCTCTATTAAAAACACAAAAATTAGTTGGGCATGGTAGCATGCACTTGTAGTCCCAGCTACTCGGGAGGCTGAGGCAGGAGAACCAGCTGAACCTGGGAGATGGAGGTTGCAGTGAGCCAAGATTGCACCACTGCACTCCAGCCTGACGACAGAGCAAGACTCTGTCTCAAAAAAACAAATAATAAAAATAATGCCATAGGACTTGTCTCAGTTGTATTAGTATGACATCTGTAGTTATTTTAGTCTTGATCTTACTATAACTTTGGACTGAGTATAAAAGCCTCAAAATTTCAACAAACACAACTGTGTTCCCCTTTGTAACCTAAAGAAATGACTTGGCTGAGATTAGCAGTGAGAGCACCTTTACTTCTCTTATCTGTCCTCAACCCTTAAACCTGGCTCCATTGTGGGTTGTCATTAAGTACTCAGTGAATTGTGTTGAATAAATTAAAAAGAAAAGTCTTGAGCTGAAACAAATTCCTGACACATAGTAGTCTGTAATAAAATATGTTGACTGATAGTGTTACTTGAAGTTATTTTTCCTGAATATTGTAAATGAACCCTCTTTTTGGTCATATAAAAAAAAGCATATTGTATAACTTGGGGACATGCTATAACATATACTATTAGTTATTTTATGACTTCAGAACAAGCTAATAAAGGAATAAAACTATATGAATATTCCCCCCTGGCTATAATTTTCTAGAGAGAATAGGAATGATAGAATCAGTTTAAAAGTAAAAAAGCATTGGCATATTGTACTCTCAAAGAATTTGGTCTTCAGTAATTGTTTGTTTCCTCCCTTTCCCTCCCCCATTTTTTTCCCTGGCTTAGTACACCAGTCCAGTAGTTAGTTCAGAATATGTAAAGGTAACTTTTTATCATCCACAGTCAGATTAATGACTTTGTTGACAATCTACATTCTCAGAAAGGCATCTAAATGTTGTGGTACTTGTTGTTTCGTACATTTAGTATATTTCTGTTTAATAAGGAAATGTAAGGCAAAAATAATACATGATTGCCATTTGTGTGATTAACTTTTTTTTGCACATCTGATAATAAACCCATCAGGAAGTTATTTCAAATACATTTATATTTTTAAAAACAGATCTAGTTTGTTTATTTGTTCATTCAGAAACATTTATTGGGGCTTTATGTGTGCCAAGTACTATTGCGAGTCTCTGCTTTCACAGAGCTTAAATTCTAGTGAGGGAGAGAACATAAATAAATACTATGAGAAATGAGTGGTACTGAGATAAAAGGAAAAGGGGAGGGAAGAGGCTTATTTAGGATAGGTTGGTCAAGAACAGCATCTCTAAGGATGTATGTGTCATTTGAACAGTTGTTGAAAAGAATAATGCCTTTTTGTCTAGTCCAACAGACATTAACTGACTACCTAATCTGTACCAGGCATAGGCTGGGTTTGGGGGGTTCAAAGATAAATAAGACAGTTCCTGCCTTCAAAGAGCTCAGTCTACTAGGTGGGACAGACATATATAGGATAGCAAAAGTAATAGTAGAACTCTCAAGATACAGTAGAAACTGAAATTGATCAGTTCTCTCTGAGGGTGTCAAGCCTCAGAGGTGATTCTTGATCTGAGTGGTGATGTCAGTGAGAGTGTCCTGGGCACACAAGGGGTGCAGGGCATCCTAGGCAAAGACAGGAGTCATGTAGTCAAAGACATAGAAGCATGGAAAGGAAGTAGAGTGGGGGCGTGGGAGCTGCAGCTAGTTAAAGATTATAGAAGGGTAAGATGAAGCTTGAGAAATTGGCAGAGTCAAGTGAGTGCCTGGCATAGCTTAGTAAGTCACTGCTTTGTACTTACTATCTCCCACTTTATCTCCCACTATGCAATTCAAATACAACTTAAATATAGCATGTGGTGCTCTATCTCATACTGTGTGTGTGTGTGTGTGTGTGTGTGTGTGTCCATGTCTATAAAGCATATGTTTGAACTTTCATGTTTCTCATGAGAGAGGCTTCTGATATATTCAAATAATAAAATGTTTTTTTCTGTTTTTGTTTTTTCTTCTTTTGCTTTTAGGGAAATCAATATTATGTAGCAAAGAAGTTCCAGCACAAGACTTGAGAAAACTCTGTGAGAGACTCAGGGGTATGGATTCTAGCACTCCCAAGTTAACAAGTGATATACAAGGGCATGCTTCTCATCAACCAGCTATTTCAGAGAAGACTGACCATAAAGCTTCTTGCCTCGTTCAAACACCTCCAGGACAATACTCAGGGAATTCATTTAAAAAGGGGGATAGTAATAGCTGTGAGCATTGTTTTGATGAGTATAATACCAATTTAGAAGGCTGGAATGAGGTACCTGATGAAGCTTATGACCTGCTTGATAAACTTCTAGATCTAAATCCAGCTTCAAGAATAACAGCAGAAGAAGCTTTGTTGCATCCATTTTTTAAAGATATGAGCTTGTGATAATGGATCTTCATTTAATGTTTACTGTTATGAGGTAGAATAAAAAAGAATACTTTGTAATAGCCACAAGTTCTTGTTTAGAGACCAGAGCAGGATTAATAATTTATTTTAACATTTTAGTGTTTGGTGGCACATTCTAAAATATAGATTAAGAATACTTAAAATGCCTGGGATAGTTCTTGGGACTAACAACATGATCTTCTTTGAGTTAAACCTACCTAAGTAGATTTTAGGTGGGTTCCTATTAGGTCAGATTTTTAGCTTCCCTAATTACCTTTCACTGACATATACAGAAAAAGGAGCAGTTTTAGTTTTAATTAATTAAAATTAACAGATGTGATGAGGATTAAATGAATCAAAAGACTTAATTTGTAGATTCTTTTAGAGTTATGAGCTAGGTATAGTTTGGGGAAACTCAACCTGGTGCTGGTGCTCTTAACAATTTTGTAAATAAAGAAGATAATTTCCTTTTCTAGAGGTACATATTAGGCCTTTTATGAACACTAAAACAATGAGGAAATGTTGGTCATGGGGCAAAGTATCACTTAAAATTGAATTCATCCATTTTTAAAAAACACTTCATGAAAGCATTCTGGTGTGAATTGCCATTTTTTTCTTACTGGCTTCTCAATTTTCTTCCTTCTCTGCCCCTACCTAAAACATTCTCCTCGGAAATTACATGGTGCTGACCACAAAGTTTCTGGATGTTTTATTAAATATTGTACGTGTTTACAGTTGGGAATTTAAAATAATACATACACTGGTTGATAAAGGGAAGCTGCAGGACCAAGGTGAAGATTGATAGTCCAAATGCTTTTCTTTTTTGAGTTGTATATTTTTTCACACCATCTTAGATATAATTAGGTAGCTGCTGAAAGGAAAAGTGAATACAGAATTGACGGTATTATTGGAGATTTTTCCTCTGCGTAGAGCCATCCAGATCTCTGTATCCTGTTTTGACTAAGTCTTAGGTGGGTTGGGAAGACAGATAATGAAGTAGGCAAAGAGAAAAGGACCCAAGATAGAGGTTTATATTCAGAAATGGTATATATCAATGACAGCATATCAAACTTCCTATGGGAAAAAGTCTGGTGGGTGGTCAGCTGACAGATTTCCCATTTAGTAGTCATAGAATACAGAAATAGTTTAGGGACATGTATTCATTTTGTTATTTTGAGCATTGATAGGTCAGTATATCTACCTAATCTGTTTGGTAAGTATAGGATATATAAACCATTACCATTGATCTGTCTTATGCCATAATCTTAAAAAAAATTTGAATGCTCTTGAATTTGTATATTCAATAAAGTTATCCTTTTATATTTTTTATGTCAGACTACTCATTTGAAAAATAGCTTTTTTTTTTAATTGACAACTGGGAATATTTTTCTTTTGAGATGGGTGAATGGTGATATTCTTTCAGCAAATAGTATGTTAATGAAACAGTCATGTTAACATATATTCAGAAATTAAAGAGGAAGAAAAATTTACCCAAAGGGTAGATAAGGAGACATTCTCTAAGAAAGTTTAATATTCAGGGCTGTTGTTTTAACTTTCATTAATGGCAAAGAACTTGGTTGATATTGAGGGGGAAGTAAAAGGGAGCTAGTGTTTTTAAATATACCCAGTGTTACAAATTAGTTCTCGGGGAATTTCAGTCCCACTGAAGAATATTGCCTCAATTTTGGACAAATATTCCCAATGTGCTAAATCAGAATTGGCAGGGAGCTTTTATATGCGTATTCTTTAGATTTTTAAGCCTTCTGAAGACCATTTTAAATAATGGGAAATGTCTCTAAAATATTTGAATTTCTAAGGATAGACTAAGAAGGTAACTAGTTAATGCCATTTCCTCTTAATCAGCTATTTTTCACTGTCAGTTTTTAAAAATTCCTAGTGCTCAGGCTCGATAAAACTGTTAAGGGTATTTTCATTTAAAAAGCCTTAGACATTTAGAACTATTAATATAACAAGCTACAAGTATTGGTTTTTGAAGCAGGCTGAGCTCTCTGGCATTTTTAATGAAACTTCCTTATAAGGAGATGATTATAGTTGTCTTAATGACCTAAATATGTGGCTCAATAATGGTTATTCCAAAGAATTAATCATGGTTTACTTCAAGATAATGAGCAAGTCATCAAGTAAAACGTTAATATCTTACTGTTCCTGGCATCAGCATTTTAGGGACAAAATGGTGTTACAGATGTCAGAATATTGATTGCATAAAATCTTGAAACCCACAAAACTCGTAGGCTTAAGTCTTAGTAATTTCTGTTGTTTATGTAATTTCAGCCCTGCACGTCACTGAAAAGTTATTTATCTTAACAAACTGGCCAAATTTGGCGGGTAATGCTGTCTGCCAGTATCTGCAGATGTATTGTTTCCGCCTACATTTGTGCATGTTGTCTGTGGTCTTTAAAGAACACTAACACCAGATAGAAATGTCAACTCTGTTCAGATTTTTTCCTATGTTCGAAGAACTGATGTTGCTGATTCCTAATTTTGTCAAATTATGTGTCTGAACTGTCTTCCTTTCTTGAAAGGTAGATATTACCAAACGTATACCAGATAAGTAATCAGAAGTAGTTAATATTGTGTCAAGTTACAGCACAGTTTTCAACAAAGTAACCACAAAGGTCAGTGCTAAGGCAAATATTTAGTAAACGATGTTTTAGCTATCTAAAGTAAAAAGGCATGATCTTAGGAAAGTGATTGCAAATTAAAAGAGAGAAAATTAAAAAACTGAAGTTTGGAAAACAAGTAATTGCAACAGTTTCAAGAGTTTAATCTGACCTGATTTTTTCTTCTGTAGAAGACAATGAACTAAAAGGACACAATTGTTCTCGATCTCTGTTTTGAGTGCTTTAAAAAATTAATATATGGAAGAGTTCAAAATGGGCAAAATAAAAACTTATTTGGAGAGCATACGCATAGTTTTTTTATAAAGCAAGAACGATGACCAGAAAACAGATGTAAATGGTTTAGAATTTCTATTTAAGCATAAACCATGTGCAAAATTACTCTTCCGAATTTAACACATCATGTGTTAGCCATTAGCTGATTCCATCTTGGACCCTACTGAAGCAATTCTTTAAGGAAAATAACAGGCTTAGCACTAGAAAACAACATATGAAGGAAAATAGGGAATAAATACTTTATAGATACATCTCTCTAGTTCTAGATTTAGAGAATGCCAGTGTTACTCCAGCAGGCAACCAAGAAGATGGATCAAGGAATGGGCTTCTGACAGACATCCTGAAGAAACTGAACACTGTCAGCTGTGGAGTGAGTAGTACAAATCAGAAAATGAAAGATCCATTGATTTCCTTCTAATCAGAATTTTTGCCTATGTTCTTTATCCACATTCTATTGATGTGTTTTTATACATGTATTCAATTATGTATTTGCCCTTTGTGTAAATTCCTTCCATAACTTCTCTGAAGACTGTAGCACATGATCTAGAAATGACTTTAGCTAGGACAAGACCAAGAAAGTAAATAAGAAACAGATGATCTGTAGCCTCACATTGTTATTTTAGCTCTGTCCTTAAGAAAAAGGAGCAGGGCCAGGGGAACCCAGCCACCTCCAAATCTCTCTAGACACTCATCTTCATGCTTTTCTACCCGGTAGAAATTTATTTCTTCTGGCGTGTTGCCATTGTCTCTATACTCAAAGCTCTGATTTACAAAATCAAAAAACAGTCACACTCTGTATGTGTAAGAGTAATCTTTAGGCAAGTATTAGCAATGTATCTTTAAAATACACTTTTCCCCGCAGTTTGTGAAATGAATGCCTGGTGTTCTGTGAGTGTCCTTTCTGTCATTTTAATTTTTTATTTTGAAACTCCATAGGTAAATGGTCATACCACATGTGTACTCCTCATAAAAAGGAATCTCACTATCACTTTTATCTTTAAAAAAATTAATTTGCTTTCTTGACAAAAGCCAAAACCTCTTTTAACAAGGGTGCTTATTTTCCTAAGTTTAGTACAATTTATTTGATTGAGAGTGACACCAAATGGTAAGAAAAATGAAATGCCTCATTCCTCTTACATAATCTCTTAACAGTAGACCACCCAACTTCCCCATAAAATGTAATTTAAATGAAGCCAAGATTCTAATGCCATGCTTTAGATTCAGAGTGGCCCCAAAGGGGCCTTTGGATTTTGTAGTTGCCATTACCTGGAATGCCTTTCCCTCTAATCTGTATATCCCACTTCCCTCTACAAAGCCTTCATTGATCAGTCCAAATGATCATGTCCTTGATTCCCTATACACAGTTTATAAGCTTCTTGAAAGTAGAGACTGTATTATATATCCCCCCACATTTTCCATTGCTGCATTTAGAAACTCGGGTCCTCAGTCAAAACTTGGGAGTTGACCAGGAATCTGACACCATGGGGTTTTCCAAGCTCCACCAGGATAATCCCATTCTAAGGACAGCTCCTGTCTTCTTAAAACATCTAAAGGATTATACTGTTTTTCCCTTGGTCATCTGTCCTAAGGCTTCTCAGCCCCGCAACCCCCATCCCATCCATCTTGGTTCTAATTTCTCTCCACTCCAAGTTGCTGGTGCTCCATTCCCATCGCTTTGACCTCAGTGAAGACAGAACAGCTGGTGGACATTTAATCTCTAACAACTTTTTACAACCTTGTATAAGAGGTAGGTAAGCAAAAATTTTACAATTCTCTATTATAGTCATGTTTTTAGCTCCTACTGTGTACCAGGCACCATAACAATTTAAAAAATCAATGTTTTAAGGTCTTGTATGTATAAAATACTATGGGAAAGCATAATATACACATTTGATTATGCTTTGCTAATGTGATTCATCTTCATACATGTGGAACCCTATTCATCTGGATTTTTCTGAGACAGCTTCAATTCCAAAAACTCGGTGTTCTGAGAATGCCAATGTTTCTGCATCCAAATTGCATTTTTAAGAATGTCTCTCTCAACTAGAAGTAGTACGAAATTGTTAGAAAGGCATTCCAGTTTTTTAGCTTTCAAAATATGTCCATTCTAATATATGTGGTACCGGAGGCTCTCTGCTTTGGGCACCAGCTGATTTGTATATTATTTAGTGAAATAGAGATTCTTCCCAATGTCTTTTGAGAACAAAATGGGATCTTAAGCACTTTCATTGAGGTCTTAAATGTAAATGTATGGATGTCACAACTGGGCAACATTTTAATGCCTCCTTACCATTTGTTGATTTAGAAATAAATCCTGATGGGAGGCAGCATAACATAAAGGAGACAGCCAAAGCCAGCTTTTCCCTGTATTGTGAGTTGCAGTTTCCTCATCTGGAAATGGGGTTTATGTTGCCTACCTCCTTGATTGGAGGAATGAGAGTATGCTCACTAAGTACAATGCTGACACAAGTACCTAATTGTTAACCTTCCCTCCTTCCTTTCTTTCCCTGGTTTCCTTTCATCTCCCCATACAGGGGAGCATTGTCTGAGAATATTCTTACATATTTCTTCCTTAACCTGTTTTAGTACATAAGGGCTTTTAAACCATTGAGTGGAAAATTGCTGTTATTTGACATACTGTGAGCCTAACATTGTAGTAATGCTAATTTTCTGCAAATTATGATCTCTCTGTCCATTAGATGGCAGGAGTTCCTTTGGCCATGTTCGGTGAGGAAGCTGCCCAAACACGTTTGGACTTGTGTATCAGTAAGGCTACTAAAAGAGAAAACAAGGTATACAAAATAAACTGGCTCTTATATAAGTAAAACAATTTTACCAGACAAAGGGAGAACTAGTAATAACCTATTACCCCCCTCATCTTTTCTAGTCACGAATTTCTTGTATTTTCTATTCCTTCTCTTCTGGGCTTTTGCATTTCCTGTTTCCTCTGCCTGGAGCACTTCTCCACCAAACCCCAGCTTCCTTCACCTAGCTAACTCCTCTTCATCCTTCAGGTCTCAGTTCAGCATCACTGCCATTAGGAAGGCTTATTTTACCTCTCCTTCTGAGTTCAGGATACCATATCCTTCCTCCACCCCATCCTGCTCATTGTATAGTACCCTGCTCATCATATAGTAGTACCCTGCTCAAATGTTGCCTCCTCACACAGGCATCCCAGTTTACTCTTACTTAGTGTCTCTTTTTCTGACATGTAGAATAGTGCTTGGGACAAGTAGACATTCAACCCTATGGTAAAAAACGCCTTTGCTCCCCCAAACTTTGTAGCTTCCAATCATTCCTATTGTGGCACTTATAGCACTACATTATCAGTCCTCTATTCTATAACACCACTAGATTGTGAGTGCCAGGACAACAACAATCAGGTCTATTTCATGCACCATTGCATCTCCAGTGCCTGGCACAGAATCAGGCCTCAATCATTATTTGTTGAAAAATGAGCACACATATAGTATACACATATGCACACAGTATAACTACAGTGAAGCAAAATTTTTTTGTTTGTTTTTTGAGGAGGCCAGTGAAGCAGAAGAGGAGAAATGGTAGCAGTGACCTATAGCAGGCTTCCTTTGCAATGACAGCATCCATATTCAGAATCAACCAGGTGGGCTTTTGATAGCAGTTACACTAAGTAGCTTTTTGTTTTTGTTTTCGTTTCGAGACGAGTCTCACTCTTTCACCCTGGCTGGAGTGCAATGGCGCACCATCTCTGCTCACTGCAACCTCTGCCTCCCAGGTTCAAGCGATTTTCCTGCCTCAACCTCCTAAGTAGCTGGGATTACAGGTGCCCAACACCATGCCCAGCTAATTTTTGTATTTTTAGTAGAGACAGGGTTTCGCCATGTTGGCCAGGCTGGTCTCGAACTTCTGACCTCAGGTGATCCACCTGCCTCGGCCTTCCAAAGTGCTGGGATTACAGGCATGAGCCACTGCATCTGGCCCACTAAGTGGGTTTTATGTTGACCTGAATTTTCAATGAATGAATTTAGAATTAATGTCAAACTTTGTAGGAAGTTGAACATGGCTTGCAGAGCAAGAATTTGGGAGGCCACAGAAGGTTTGAAGAGATAAAATAGATGTTTTTGAGCAGCCACCTGGTGACCAGATATAGTGATATAAAAATATGCAACAGAATAACCTATATGAATTTAGATAGTCAGCTGTAAGAAATGGGCTGAAATATAACAGTTAGAAAAATACTCAGATTTAAACACAAGAATACTTCACAAGATATGCTCTGGGTCTTCTTGTTTGCTTGCTTGTTTGTTTGTTTGTTTGTTTGAGACAGAGTTTCACTCTTATCACCCAGGCTGGAGTGCGATGGCACAATCTTGGCTCACTGCAACCTCCGCCTCCCAGGTTCAAGCGATTCTCCTGCCTCAGCCTCCCAAGTGGCTGAGATTACGGCATGCACCACCACACCCGGCTAATTTTTGCTCTGGGTCTTAGGTAGCAAATGATGTTCATATATGAGGCCTCCTCTGTGAAGGGCCCAGGAAAAAAGTAGAACATGGCTCCAGCCAGAGTCTCTCAGAGTCAAGAAGGGCCTAGGGTCACTTCCATTTTTTGGATCCCAAAATTTTTTTTCTGTTTAAGACTGTAACATGGAAAAAATGTTTGTATGTTAAGCACAAAAGGGACATAAAATTGTATAGACAGTAGAATAACGACTATGTAAACACACCAAAAATCTATGCACAGAAATGTGTAGGGGAACATTTAACACCAAAAGATTAACAGTGGTAGCATTTGGGTGGCAAACTGATTATTTCTAAAATTTCCAAATTTTCCTTAATAAGCAGTAAGTATAATTGCAACTGGAAATAATTTTTTAAGTACCCCTCTGGCTGAGGAGTGCAGTGTCACTATCAAATACACATCAGTGGTTTTGGCCGTGACTCCTAAGAGGATGGCAAATGCCGCTGCCCCACTCCCCAACCACCCCCAAGAGAGCATGAGCACCTCTGGCTCTGCTGAGAGAATCTTTGCAGCCCCAGCCCTCAGAATCTCTTTTCTTATTCTGCCTTATCCCCCTACCACATCATCTCCACTCACTGCCAGCTATATCTTTTCCCTTTCCTTCTTAACTCAGGAGGCAGGTTTGCAACTGCAGGACCCAAAAATAGAGGCCATGAGGTGGCATGTTTTCAAAGAACATGGTGCCTCAGTTTGGGACACACAGGAACTCAAATACAAATCATTTTCCTGCTGCTGGGTAAGTCATGCTTGGTGGCTGCTCTGGTTGCAGATACGTGAAGTTATATAGCCTTTCCTGTTAACCCACGGTTCCAAGCACTCTCTCTTAACAATTATTTCTATCATGAACTTTCTACCCTGAAAAGCCAAGGGTGGGTACTAACAATTAAGATCATTTGGTTTCTAAAAGTCCATCCTCTCTGGGAAAGCAGAGCTATACAGTGGGTGGCATCCTGCAGATTCTAGTCTACATTTGGGAAAGGTGTACACCTCTTGCACTTTCAGTTTAAGGAACAAGTCAAAAAGTAATTGCTTTAAAAAAAACAAGTGCTAGCAAGTCATAACCTTGCTGTGCCTCAGTTTCTGGATCTGCAAGGAGTGTTGCCTGCATAAATATTTGTTTAGGAACTTAGTAAAATGACATACCACTCTCTCTGCTCTAAGAGGGACATCAGCCAGCTACAGCTCATCTCACTCAGCCTGGGCCTGACCAGAGTCCCTTCCTCTTCCAAGAGAAAGCGAGGAAAAGCAGCAAGCAAGCAGACATACCAGGTAAATGGGAGTGATCTATCGTTGGCAACGAGGCCTCAAACAAACTGAAAATGCTCTGGCTCCAGCACCCTATCCCCAAATGCCACAAGCCAGACACAAAAGCCATGCAAGAGTGACTATCACACACACACACACACACAGGCACAGAGTACCACCAAGCAAAAAGGGGGATAATACTGCAGAGAGGACCCCAAAGTGCGGCTTGAGGAACACAGGGAGTCATCCAAGACCCTCACTTAGCTGCCATGGAAACAGCAAGCACTATAAGCTTTGCTTCATTCGGTCTTCCGAAATGAAAACATTAATAGGGAAGACTCACTAACACTTGTGGCAAACACTATTAGCAAGGATGCAGTCTGTCTCCTGGGCTGTGGGACTCCATCTGCTTCAGCTGAACTCTCAGAAACTACAGATGAGAGCAATACATGCATATGCACACACATGTATGCATATCTGTATGCACACAGATGTATTTAAATGAAGGTGCATACACTGTGCTAAAATACAAACAACAGAAATCAAAGATCATATGCAAAAAGGCTAAATATAACATAACACAGGCCTAGAACCAGCTCTTGGTCGGGAGCTGGGGAAAGGGGTGCTATCATCTAAAGACTATGTATACAATTTGTGGTGGGCAGGGAAGGCATCAGTGTAAACAACTCAGACTCACTTCACAACACTAGCCCACAGCAAAGTGTGATGTATCTCATATACAAAAATAGACTCCCACCTTGCTTTTGTACAAACCAAGCTTGGTAGGCATCTAGGAGGACCGTGAGTTTGTCTTGATGACAGGGCACTGCACCAGGCTGCTGCTAAATCTTCCCACCCTAGGAACTCACCTGCTACCCTCCCCCTTCCTTCCCTTTCAGGCCCTTTTCCCACCCAACATTTACAGCCTGAGGCCTGCCTGACCACCTAGCCTCACACAACTAACTGCAGTGACTAACTGCACAGCTTCCTACAAGCAAGGTCCTTCTGTATTTGTCCCTTTCTCTAACCCAAAATATAAGAAAACATTTCTGTAAATGTTTGGCACCTAAGAAACATGACGGTTGTGGATAATGCCACAAGTACACAGGGAGACCCAGTAACAAGACATGCAGGGTGAGGGCAAGGGGCACTGAGCTGCTCCAGCATTTCAAAGCCAGGACTGTGGCTTCCCATACATTTAGGGGGGTAGGAGAAGGGATGTGCGGAACTGAAGACTTCACCGGCTCCTCAGCAGCATGTACATTCAAATTGAAGATGCTTGAGCCCCACTATACCCAAATTAGGAGTCTGGTCACTCCTCTAGCAGAGCTTGGTGCAGTGACAGCTAGAAAAGTTGAGTTCCAATTGAGTCTGTTGCACCAAGAGTCCTTTTGAAGATGCTCAGCAAAGTAATTCTTTTGAGCAGATGTACAGCACATCCATGGGAAGGCCATGTAAAAGGATGTTCTCCAGCACAGTCAAATGATCCAGTCCCACTATTATCTCAGTCCCCTCTGAGTTTCTTCCTGCTGGCGGCCCTCACTGTACAGAAATAGCCAAGTAGCATCAGGGTCAGTCATCAATGGTGGGCAACCAGAAGGCCATGTTGGTACACCCGCTGGCAAAAGTCACAAACTTGGGGTTGAATTGCAAACAGGTAATTGGGCCTGTGTGTTTACCATCCAACCCAGCTACTTTTATACCACTCTCTTCATTCCAGACATGGATCTTGCCATCCTCTGAACCAATCATAACAAACTGAGAGTCTGCAGTAAATGAAGCCTCCAGTGTGACAGCTTCGCTGTTGGCATAACTGCCAAATGTGTGTATCACCACTCCTTTGAATGCACCAATGAGACGAATGAAGCTGACATTGGTGGAAATGAGGATGAGCTTGCCACCGTTGCTGATTTTAAGTGCTGTCCACTCACAAGTTCGATCATACTGCATCTTAAAGGTAGCAAATGGCCCCTTATCAAAAGAACGAAGGTCATAAAGTTTGACCATTTCAGAGTTGACACCAGCAGCAAAAATTCACCCTTCTGGATCAAAAGAACAAACTGGATTCCCCTTTATGTGCATGAGGCCCTGGCAGTTGGGAGACCGGAGATCCCAGAGTCGAATGGTCTTATTCAAGAGACCCAAAAATGAAAGTGTCATCCACAGGTGACATGGACAAGACCACCACCCTTTTGCTATGTCCAGGAAAGTATCTGATGTATTTGTTGTCATGCAAGGACAAGTAACGAATAGTATCGTCTATTTTGTTACAGCTGTAAACAACTGTGTTTGCCGCAGGAGTTTATCTGATGAGGCCACACCGTATTTCTTACTGAACAGGGTTTTGGTTTGCCCTCCTGGCAGTCAGAGAGCACGATGGAGTCGTCGTTGCTGCTCAAGGTGATCACCTCGCTTTTAGGGCTGAAATCGAAGCAGTTAATCTTGTCCCGAGTTTTCGCAGAACACGTTGGCGATACAGAAGCTTCGAAGCAGCATGCGGTGGGTCAGCTTCATGGCTGCGGCTGGGGAAGGCAGCGGCGGCACACGGCCAGGCGGTGGCGAGCGGACAGGCTGCCTAATGGCCAACCTGGGCGAGGCGGGCGCCGCGCCGGCAGCTAGGGGGAAGTCGGCCAACAATTGGGCCACCTCCTCCTCTTCCTCCTGCTTGGACGACGGTCTTCCGCCTGGACTGTGGAGCCTCGCCGACCGTTCGTCCTCACAGCCACCCCATGGGCAACCAGCGCGGTGCAGGCTCATTGTGTCTGCGACAGGCAGAAGCCGAGCGGGTCCCAACGTTTTTTTTAAAAAAGTATTTTTTTTTAGAGACAGGGTCTTGCTATGTTGCCCAGGCTGGACTCAAACTCCTGGGCTCAGGTGATCCCTCTGCCTCAGCCTTCCTAGTACCTGAGATTACAGGTACATGCCACTATGCTCAGCTCTGTTATTTTTTTTTTAAATGACAAAGGAGGTTTTTGAAAATGATAGTTTTTAAATATTTTCATCCCCCTGCCTCAGCCTCCCAAATACCTGGGATTACAGGTACATGCCACCATACCCAGCTCTGTTATTTTTTTTTTTAAATGACAGGCCGGACACGGTGGCTCACGCCTGTAATCCCAGCACTCTGGGAGGCCGAGGGTGGGCAGATCACGAGGTCAGGAGTTCGAGAAAACCTGGCCAATATGGTGAAACCCCATCTATACTAAAAATACAAAAATTAGCCGGGCGTGGTGGCAGGCGCCTGTAATCCCAGCTACTTGGGAAAGTGAGGCAGGAGAATGGCTTGAAATCGGAAGGCAGAGGTTGCAGTGAGCCGAGATGACGCCACTGCATTCCAGCCTGAGTAACATGAGCAAAACTCCGTCTCAAAAAAAAAAAAAAAAAAAAAAAAAAAAGCAGATTTTTGAAAATGATAGTTTTTAAATATTTTCATTTAACAAATTAATACCTTTAACACATACGTAATTTACAATGAATTTAGGTATTAAGTTGAGCCACATGAAACTGTTGATATTTGATCTTTTTTTAACCTAGAAAATCAATAATGTCATGTAGTTCAACCTAATACAACCTCATTTTGAGATAAATGTTAGGAGTCTATATTTGAGGCCCTGCCTTTAGTGACTATGAGGCCCTAGCTAAGTGCACTGCTGCCCATCCCAACTCTGCCAATATTGATTATAGCCTTAAGGCTGAGGGCATCCCATCTGTGTATGCGAATGTTCAACCTCTAAACAAAAGGGGTCTAAGCCCTCTGACCAAACAGTGGAGACTGAATACTGGGCTAAAAGAAAACTAAAATCTAGAATTCTAAATTCTAGGCAAGCCTATAGTATATATTAAGGACAAGCAGATGTCTGATATGTCTTTGTAAGTTTTCCAAGTACAAATGCTGGAGGCTTCTCTGTTCCTGAGTTCTCAAGAAGGAAATGCAGCAGTGCCTGATGCCTAGTGGGCCTACAGAAGTATTAACTAACTGGCTCATTTTCTCCTTCACTCAACTGATTTTGTCCTCACTCTGTAATGCTAAAGATGAGACCGGTTCTGTTTTACTCATTCTCCCCAACTTCAACAGTGAAAACAGTGTTAAACAACTCCAGGGTCTTTCCTTTCCCTTTCGCTCTGCTCTCAAACATACACCATCCTCCCTCCTTAATTTCCTTGCCCACTTGCTTCTCCAGCCTTCCCTTTCTCTACAGCCTTTTTGCCTCTGCCTCCTCCTGTGCCTCTGGTAACCACTGGGTAGTCAATGAAGAAGCCAGTGCATTCCCCTTCCCCTACATCATATCCTGAGCTCATCTTCCCTGACCTTGAGAGGGCATGAGGTGCACCTTGGTGCTCTCAATAAACCAAAGTTGTTTTAATAAGCCCAGTGAGACTAAGATATTTAAATTCTTCTTCTCACTCTCATCACCACAATGTGAGATGGATCCAAATATTTTGCAACAGCATAGCCTTGGGCCAGCAGCTCTTGAGTTATAAAATGTTGCAGCAAACTCTCCTTGCATAGCAATGTTATCACCCAAGAACTCCATCCTTAACCCTATCAGCAAGAATTCTAGAGTACTTTCTCTTTGCCATGCTCACAGATTTTCAGAAGTTTTTACCTGATGGAACCAGCATCTGAAATCTTCATAGAAGCATAGGCAAGACTCCTCTAGCAATTCCTTTTTTCCTTCCCAGATACCATGTTTATGCAATCTATCCAAGCAGGAGCTTAGCAGTGGCACTTGAGTCCACTGAAACTAATGCTTCCCTAATTGCACAATTAAGAGGTGGCAGACATTTGAATTGGCAGCTGGACTGCAGTAGGTGGAAATAAGAACACTGTGTTCCTTTGCATGTGAAGTCATGTATAGTTTTTCCAGCATATGATGAAGTTGCAATAAGAAGGAAAATCTGGACTTTAGCTTTTTGGTTTTCCTCTGGATATAAATTTTAGAGAATCTCTCCATGCTGTAAAACCTTATAGCACTTTGTATCTGTTGTGGAGCATCATTTCCCTTATCCTGCCTCTCAGTGTCATGATTTGTATGCCTGTCTTATCTTTGAGCAGCTGCCAGGTCTTACCGATTTTCTTATCCCTTTACCCACCCAATGTCTAGCGTAAGTCCTTTGAATGCACAGAGTTAGCATTCAGTGACTATTTATTGAAATATTAAAGTTGCTTTGCTTTGGAGCTGTTTTTATCTAACCCTTCCACTGCTCCATTTTATTTAGAAGGACTTAGGATTTAATATATTAGAAAGATGACTGCAAGGGATTCATATTGGCAGGTCTCAATGGTTGCATTTTCTTTGGGAAACTCTTAATACAAAGTAGTGGTCCCCACTGATCACATCAGTGTTCTGAGACCCTACCTTGTCTCCCAAACACATCCTACCATAGCTGATTGATCCAGGGGATATACCTAACAGGATGGGTCCCTCAAATTGTCACTTTCAGATATTTAAAACCTTAAGGGAGTGGGTTTGAGCTGAGTTCTAGTAAAGACTTGGATCCTGAGGGAAGATTCAAAGGCTTATCACTAGGGCTGCCCTTGTTCCCACTTCACCTGAGATCTGGTCTTTCTGCTCCTCCTTAAATCCTTTGAGCTGCCCCAGCATCTTTCTGGAAAATCCCTTTTGTTCTCAAGTTAACTAAGATCCATTTCTGTTGCACACACTCAGTTGACCTAAGCCAATAGAATGATTGGAAGGGGCACAAAGAAAGCCTGCTGGGCTTCGAGCCTGATGCCGCCTTCAACTTGCTGTGTGATATAGTATAAGTCACAAACCAATCTGAACCTCACACTCTCATCTTTAAGTCTATATTGTCACCAGAGATTCAAGACAATGCCAGCAAGAATATATTGAAAGATGGATAGAATTGTAAGATGCAGATGTGGCAGAGAAAGTTTATTCTGGGAACGAGGAAAGGCACAGGAAAAGACATGGGCATAGGAAAGCAGGGACCTGTTTGGGAAGCAGAAGGAACCCCTCTGGAGCATAGGGTTTCTTGTTTTAAAATGTAGTTAATGGTTTTATTATTATTATTTAGGTACAGCAAGGCCAGCAGACTAGATGACTGTTATCAAAAAGATAGTTATACTCACAGATGCCAAGAGAAGCGGACATGCCACACCACAGGGGGCCACTCGGGGAAGCACCAGAGTCTGTCAGGAGGTGGAAGGAAAGGAGAAAACATGAGCAAGAGCCTTTATGGTGGTTTCCATGGGAAAGAATGGGCAAGGCAGATTAAGCAGATTAAGGATTGACTAGTTTGAATAATTTCAGCTAGTTCAGGGGCACAGGGACTACTCTTAGTTGTCTGGTAACTGGCCCTGGAGTGATTAGGGCAGGGGATTATGGTCCTAAGTATGACAGCCCAATAGAGAAGGTATTTGCAGGTGTGGGCTCTGGATTGGGTGGTTTGCCTTTGAAAGGTATGCTCAAGGGCAAGTTGTTTACAGTCTCTAGGAATTGGCTAGCCCTGGAAGGGGCAGCAACTCCGGGGTCTGCAAGGCCCCAGATGTCAAAGCATTAAAATACAAAAAATAAATAACATGGTTAATATATCCCTGTAGGAAAGTAGCAGACTAGAAGGAGGAAATGGAAGCTGAGTCTAGACCATAAGGGACCACAAATGTTAAACTAAGGAGTTTGGTTTTCATTCTGCAAATAATGTTCTGTACACCCTGAAGGATTCTGAGCAGAGGAATAATATAAGAGCTGTATATTAGGAATACTACTTTGGTGTCTTTGGACAGGATGGGGTAGCTTTAAGGACCAGATCAACAGATCCGAGTAAATACTGGATGTGGGGTTGAGGGAAAGATAGGAATAAAAACCAACTTCAATATTTCAAGCCTTTGTAACTGTAGGATAGTGCTGCTATTAATAGATACAGGTGTCTGAGAAGAAGACATCTCTAACAGGAGACTTAAGAGGTAAGTGGGCAGAAATTATGAGCTGTGCTTCAGAGATGTTGATGCGACCATGTCCAACAGTGGTTCTCGTGTAATGTTGCTTGTGTGATTATCTGGCATTGTATGTGTCTCGACTCCCCAGACTGTCAGAAGAACCTCAAAGGACTTTCATCTTATTGTCTTTGTCCCTCCCTCATACCTAGTGCAGTGCCTCATTCCTCTGGTCCTTGCCAAGTTCCTTCACAAGGCTAGCACAGGCTATTTCTCAGGGGCATATCTACCAGAATTTGTCCACATGAGAGAGGAACCACTGTGGGCATTCTGACTGCCAGCCTGGGGTCTAAAGATGTCATAAGCTTACACACTGAGGACATGGATGAGACTTAGCTCTAGTGAGCCATGGTTTCCTCATACTAAATAAAACCCTTTCTGAATGTTCTCTAAGATCTTTTCTAGTGCTAAAATTTGTAAATAATTTCTGAGATTTTGTAATGCTAGAAAGGTACCTAGAGCTACCTAGCAGATCAAGTAAATTGCCTACCCTTGTTTTGTCAATATCAAGTTTAGGCAGGCAACCTCTTTCATCTTGACTCTTACTAAACCTTGTTAACCTAAGAAACAATTAATTCTAAAGGTATTAAAGTTTCTCTATTCTTTCCCCATCCTCTTAACCTTGTTCTTTCCTTATGCCCAACACAAGGAACCCCCACCAAGTTGGCTTATCTATTGGGGTGAGTAGGTTCCAATTTATGCTTCAAACACAACAGGCAGATGTCAATCACTGAACCAATTCAGGACTTCTTTGGAGTATCCTAATTCTACTACAAGAAGTGGATATGAGTGGGCCATAAATGGCAAAGAAAACATGCATGCAAAATGTAAAGTGGTATGATGAAGAAGAAAACAGTCAGGAGAAGGAAGGTGGAAAGGAAGTCACAGTTTTTAAGGGTCTTCCATACATGGCCCTCTACTAGATTTCCTGGGTCCTCTTGTTAACCACTCCCACAGTGCCTTGAACTTCAATTTTAACATCATCAGTGTTGTAAACATATTCAACATCTCTCTTCCTGTTAGAATGTATGCTCCATGGAGACAGAGACTATACAATGTCTGTCTTATTTACATCTCTATTCTGGTTCCTCCCAGAGTTCCAGGCAAATGGTGGCGGCTGGGTAAGTATTACATGAATAATTGAATAAACACATTTAATCCTGACAGTGCTGCAAAGTAACAATATCTCAACTTTACAGAAGTTGAGGCTCAGAGGGATATAGTGACTTGCCTGTGGTCACATGGCTAGAAAGTTGAAAAATCAGAAGACTGAAAGTGGGTACCTGAAGCCAGGCTCCTTCGATTCCCCTGCAAGTCCCTCATGAAAACTCTCCCATGCAGTGTCACAGTCATGTTGTTTGTTCTTTGTAACAGAAATGGGCCACAGCTAACTTAAGCAAAACAGTTTAATGGATGATATCAGGGGTTCACAGAATGGAAGAACAGTTAAGAAACTGGGGCAGAGCTGAGCTGAGATTTCAGGAGCAGGAGTGAGTAAAGGTTGAGTGAGGTCCATGGAATTAGGTCTTCTCCAACAGGTTTTTTTCCATTCTTTCTCACCACTCAGCTCAATTCAGAGAGAGAGAATTTAATTGGCTAAACGAGGGCAGAATGCCTTATTGACAGCCCCACCAAGACTGTATGTAATGGGGAAGAAGAAATTCCCCCCAAATAATCCAAGTGATCTCACCAGAAAAAAGTGGGAGTGTGTGCTAGGTATCCAAAAAAATAGCAGTGTCCACTACAAACTGCTACATGGAGACTTCCAACATCCTGAACCAGAAATGAGTCCCCCTGGCAAGCTGCTGCTCTCCCGGTCCACCCCCAGGAGGTGTTCATGGAGGATGGAGGGATAAATGGGGACCTATCACAGTGCCATCCTTGAATGCCAGCAGGGCTCCTCCTTAGAAGTTTCTAAAGTGTTGAAGAAAGTGAGAACTCACTTGTCTCCCATCCAACACCCACCCGCCCCCCAGCTAACCTGACTAGGCTGTTTTCTTGTTGTTGCTTCTGTTTTTGTTCACACCTTCCTGTGGGATCATTTCAAACCCCTATTTCCTGATGACCCAACATCCTTCTGCAATCAACTAGCAGGGGGTGAAGCCTGCCAAAACCTCAGGTAGCAGCGCTGTTGGGCACCATTTTCAGCAACATCCTGTGTTCACAACTTTCCAGCTCAGCTCCAAATGCCAATTTTGGTTTGTGAAAATTTCCATGGCCCCCTGCTAAGCTACTCTTCTCATATCCCAGTTCACAGGCACAGAGATGTTGATCTCTCACGCTGGGCCCCAGCCACCACCCTGTCCTCTGTGCCATCATTACCTTATACCCAGCATTTTTTATGGTGGTAATAAGCTCTGACTTCGGAAGCACCCCAACAACCCCTTTTGGGAGGGGGACGTATCTAGGAACCCCTAGATATGGAACCCTTTTATAGTCACATGGTGTAATGGTAGCAGAACCAGTACTGGAAACCAAGGCTTTTGGCCACGGTCCCAGCCTTCTTCACTAATAAGGCCGCTTATTCAGTTCAGTGAGAGGCTTATAATTCTGCTATAATATACCCAGAGAACCCACAATTCTTCAGTTACAACAAAGCTCTGAATTTTCTGTAGAAGTAATTGGTTTCAGAATTTTCCCTCACATCCCATACATTACCTTCAATATACATTATTTTTATATTTTTAATTCTTTTTTTTTCTTTTTTTCTTAGAGACAAGGTCTTGCTCTGTCACCCAGGCTGGAGTGCAGTGGCGCAATCATAGTTCACTGCAGCCTCAAACTCCTGTCAACTGATCCTCCCACCTCAGCATCCTAAATAGCTAGAACTATAGATGCCACCATGCCTGGCTAATTTCTTATTTTTTCTAGAGTCAGGGTCTTGCTATGTGGCCCAGGCTGGTCTTCAATTCCTGGCCTCAAGCAATCCTCCTACCTAGGTCTCCCAAAGTGCTGGGATTACAGGCATGAGCCACTGCACCCAGCCAATATATATATCATTTTTAGTGGTACAACTACCTTGAGATTTACCATTAGCCTCATTTCAGAGGGAAAAACTGAGGCTTGAAGAGGGTAAGTAATTTGTCTCAAGTTCATATAGTAAGTAGTAGAACCAAGATTCAAACCTAGCATGCTGGCTCCAGAGCCCCTGTGTTTTTTCATTGCACTTAAATTCATTACTATCTCCCATAGGTGTTTTCTGCCCTCCTATAACCGCACACACACACATACACACAAACACACACACACACCCCACCCTCTCCCCAAGGACCTATCTAGCAGTCTCTCTGTCCTTTAACAGCTTTATTGAAGTATAATTTATATACCATAAAATTTACCTATTATAAGGGTACTGTTTGATTTTAAGTAAATTTATACTCTTGTACAATAATCACAATTATAATAATAATTCAACTTTAGAATACTTCTATATTTTGCCTTTTCTAGAAATTTCACATAAGTGAAATTATACAAAACATTTTTTATCTGACTTTTTCTACTTAGCATGTTTTTGAAATTCATCCATATTGTTGCATGTATCTGTAGTTCATTCCTTTTTATTGCCAAGTAGTAGTCCATTGTATGAATATACCACATTTTGTTTATACACCAGCTAAAGGACATTTGGATTATTTCCAGCTTGGGCTAGTACGTATAACATGGCTATGAACATTTGCATATAAGTCTTTATGTGAATCTGTGTCTTCATTTCTCTTGGGTAGATATTTAGGAGTTTAATTGCTGGGTCATATAGCAAATATATTTAACATTTTGAGAAACTTCCAAACAATTATCTAAATTAGCTGTACCATTCTATGGTTTCAATTTTGCCACATCCTTGCTGACACTTGATATTGTCAGTGGGTATTAATAGTTCATTATAGTTTTAATTTGAATTTCTCTAATGAGTAATGATGTTGAACATCTTTTTATATGCTTATTCACCATTCATATGTCTGCTTTGGTGCAATATATATTCAAATCTTGCTCATTAAAAAAATCAGTTTGTCTTATTGAATTCTTTATATTTCTGAATATAAATACCTTATCAGGTATATGATTTGCAAATATTTTATTCAAGTCTGTGGCTTGCCTTTCCATTTTCTCAATGGTATCTTCTGAAAAACAAAAGTTTTAAATTTTGATAAAGTTGAGTTTATTAATTTTTTTAAGGATCACGTTTTTGGTATCACATCTAAGAAGCCTTTGCCCTAATCCATGTTTCTCCTATGATTTCTTCTAGGAATTTTATAGTTTAACTCTTACATTTAGGCTGTGATTCATTTTTAGTTAATTTTTGCATATGGTTGTTGTGAGGTAAGAATGTAAGTTTTTTTTTTTTTGCACAGGAATATCCATTGCTCCAGCATCATTTATGGATGACTATTGAATTACCTTGACACCCTTGTCAAAAATCAATAGACCATAAATGTAAGAGTTTATTTCTGGAATATACTCTGTTCTATGGATGTATGCCTATCTTTAAGTCAATACCACACTGTTTTGATCACTGTAGCTTTATTTTTTAAATCCTCCAACTTTGTTCTTTTTCAAAGTTGTTTTGATTTCTCTAGATCCTTTGCATTTTCATATAAATTTTAGTATCAGCTTGTCAAGTCCTACAAAAAACAACCTATTTTGATATGGGTTGAGCTGAAACTATAGTTTAATTTGGGGACAATTACTATCTTAACAATATTGAATCTTCCGATCCATGAACATTGTGTGTCTTTCCATTTGTTTAGATCTTTTTAGAATTTTCTCAGCAATGTTTTAAGGTTTTCAGTACATAGGTCTTACATTTGTTTTGTTAAAATTATTCCTAAGTATTTTATTCTTTTTATGCTATTATGAGTGGAATTGTTTTCTTAACTTCATTTTTGGACAGTTTGTTATAGTGTATCCTGCAACCTTACTAAGTTTGCTTATTCGTTCTAGTAGATTTTTGTAGATTTCTTAGGCTTTTCTACATACAAAATCATGCCACCTGTAATAAGGACAGTTTTACTTCTTCCTGCTTCAGTCTGCGTGTCTTTAATGTCTTTTCTTGCCCTTTTGCACTGGCTAGGATCTCCTGTATAAAGCTAAATAGAAGTGGTGAGAGCAAACATTCTTGAATTTTTCTGCGCCGTCCTCTGCTCTGTTTTCAAAGGGAATCCTGATGCCTCTTGCAGAGGAGAAGGTAAAGCTTTTCTGCTTCCTTAGGGGGTCCCTTCAGTATCTCCTCCTGCTTTCTTGCCTAAAAGACTTATGCAACTCATAAGATACCATCTCTCTCTCTCTCTCAGAGGTCCCTCTGGAGCAGCCTCATCCTCAGCACCAGGGTTTTAGTACCTTGGAGGAGTAGCACTTGCTTTTTGCCCCCTTCCATGGGGATTCAGTGAGAAGGAATTAAACATTAACTAAAATGTTTGGAACTCTCATGAAAGATCTTTCCTAAACCCCAAAAGGAGCTGAGAATGAGTCTCAGGAGAAGACCCTGACAGCTGAGACCTTCCTAGGCACTGTGGGATTCTGCAATTAGCCCCCATCTCTACCCTCCAGCTGCCTGTGCTCTCTTCTGTCCCATGCTCTTCAGAGCACCTGCTACACTCCAAACAGGCTAATCCCTCTAAAACCCCATAAACCCACCATGCTCATCCCCCGGGCTTTGGCTATGCTGCCCCTTCCCTCCTGGAACGCCTTCCCACTTTCCTCTGCTTGTCCATATCCTGCCCGTCATTCAGCACCTAACTCCAGTTCTTCCTCTTCCACAAAGCTTTTCCTGATCACTCTGGCCCTCAGAGATATCTCTACAGCTGTACTCTGACTGCCACCCAATTTAGCACCTGATCACAGCGGGTTTGTACCATGTAATTAGTATAGGTTTTCCCTGGCCACTTGGATGTAAGAAACTTCACATTTATTTGTTATACATTATGATCTCTGGTTTGGCGCCAGCCACGAACACAATGAGAGAAATCCAGTATCAGCCACTAACAGGGACGCCCCCTCCTTTCTGAGGTTCCTGTAGTGGCTGTTGGGGCTGGCCTTTCTTTCAGCACACTATTATCACTGCCAGGTTATTCACTGTCTATGCCCCAAAGCCCATTAGGTAGGCAGTGCCGCTATGCTGAGCACAGTGCGACTTCTCAGCAAATCCTTGTTGACAAACTGACATAGGCTGTGCTAAGGTCCCCTCCTACTACCCTCCCAGGACCTGTTCTTTGTACCTCTAGGCACCGCGCAGTTTCCCAGTGCGCCTCGAGTCCTCGCAGGGCCGGGCAGTGGCCACCCCGGATTGGCTAGCCTTGCCCCCTCGTGATCATGGAAGTGGGCGGGGAGCGTGGTGAGCGGATGCTGCTGGAGTGCTTGAACCCCGAGGCCTGGAGCGGCAGTCAGCACCCCCACGCCGAGTCCCTGGCAGTCCCGGCCTTCCGGGGGCGGCCCTGGGGCCTCGGGCAACTGCATCCACGGCCCTGGAGCCCATCATGTCCCATGGTTCACGTTTTTCCGCCTGGAAACTGCATGCCTGTCTTTCTGCTTTGCCAAAGTTTCCTTCGCACGAGGAGGGCCCTGAATTACAGAAGTCGCTTTTCTCCAGTCAGTTCAAGCCAGCCTGGCGCGAGTCCCTCATTCTCCTTTGTCAACGAGGCAAAGACTCAGTTGTTCACCCAACTGTGTCTTGCTGGGGGGCAGCCCTTTCCCTGCCCTTCCCTCTCTCTCAGAAGCCCCAAGTGGGCCTTTCCCCGACCCTACTCTGAGCGCGTGGAAAATCTGCTTCGGGCGCAGATCTCGAGTAGTTGGCCTCCCCTCATTTCCGTCTTTCGCTTCTGCCCGCGTGGGGCCACTTTGGTATAGGTGGGAATTAAGCCGGGGAGGGAGGAGTAGGTCGGAACAGTTTGCAGCTGGCGGCTCGCTGATTGGGTGTTATTTTACAGCTGGGCAGAAATGACCGCGGTAGCACTCCTGGGGAGGCCTCTAAAGCTGCAGACACGATGTGTCGCGGGACCATCCAGTTCTGGCCCCGTGCAGGAGGACAGGACGCCGTCTGGTCGCTGCCCTGGGCGCTCAACATGGGAGCTGCCAGAGGAGAGCGCCCTGTGAGTGCCTGACAAATGGAGGTATTTCTTTCCAGGTTTTACAACCCGATGTATTTTCAGGGAGGACCTTCCTAGGTACCTCCACTTCTCAGTCTCTCAACTCAGCAGCCTCCATCCATTTCCACGAATCCGCTGGACTCGCTCCTGCAAAACACGGTGTGAAATTGACTTCTAACTGGAAGCCTTTCTTTTCCAACCCCATCCACTGCAATTCTTCTGTTTTCAGCACTCTGGTGTTCTGTGTTTTTTGTTGTTGTTGTTTTTGTTTTTGTTTTTTTCATGTGTTTAGCTCGGGCTTTGAAAGAATCTGAAATCTTATCTTTTAATTTCAAATTCCCTAAAGCCACAGAGTGCATCTTTCCCTGTCCCACACAGTGCCTAGTTCAGTTCTTGTCCCACAGTATATTAACCAACTGCCACAAAGCCTCATGTATGCCACACAACTAAACACCAGGACGTCTGAAGGAAAAACTCTAGAAAACTCTAGAGTGGCTCTTTGGAGCAGGAAGAGCTGCTACACTCCCAATGCCCTCTGAGAGCTGCCAGGTCCCATGATGCCTTCTCTTGTGTGTAGACTGAGATGTATTCATTAAGGGTAACACGGTGATTTTTTGTTTGTGCTCCCTTAATTAAAAAAAAAAAAAAGATTTGGTGGGAAAGGCAGATGGAAGTTCTTGAAGGGGGCTACTTCAGAGCAGGTCTTTCTGAGCCCCCTTGAAGCACACCGTGTGTGTGTGTGCGTGTGTGTGTGTGTGTGTGTGTGTGTGTGTGTCTGGGACCCCAGAGTCAATCCAGATGATGCTGATATAGTTACATTTGAGAACCAGTGGTAGGTAGATCTTTGCTACTCTAGTCCTCAGGCAAACAGCATCAGCCTCACCTAGGAGTTTTTAAGAAATGCAGAATCTCAGGACCCAGCCAGACCTACTGCATAGAAGTCTGCATTTTAACAAGATCTCTAGGTGATTGGTGTATACACAAAAGTGTAAGAATCCCTGCTTTAGTAATGACTGCTCTGGGAACAAGCTTAAACTTGGGCAACCTGGACCTATGGTCACCCATCCTATCAGGGAGATAGATGGTAGATGGTGGGCTAGGGACAGGGTGAGAGGAAATCTGAGCAGCCACAGATCTGGGGTCCTCTCCCTCCCAAACTGGCCCCTGATTTAGAAATATGGTCTCAAGAGCCTATCTTTCTGTCCCCAGTTTTCACCGTAGACAACTTTCTAATAATTGAACTGTCTGTCCTGCCTGCTAGTTGCCTTTGTTATTATCGTAATCATTAGTGGTTGCTGGAAGTGGGGCAGGGTGTGTTTAGGTGAGCAGGGGGGAGTGTTAATGAGCCCATGGGTCTGGTGTGAGGGGGAGATCCCTGTACCTATCACAACCCTGTGCCTTTATTGCATGCTCCTTTACACACCCTCCACCCCTTGAAGAGGCTTCCCCTGGCCCCCTGCCCAGTAACTTACTTACTATGAATATTCCGTTGCTACATCCTGTTTCTGCTTTTGACTTTGCATCCTGTTCCAGACCCTTAGCCTGCTCCCTAGCCTCTAATCTGACTCTTCCATTAACTGTCAAACCTTCAACAGATAATTCTTTTAGCATCTGCTGTGCACACCAGTAAGTGCTGAAGATTCAAGGTGAACCCAAGACACAATCCCTGCCTTATGGGGTTTACAGCATTGTGTGGACATCCATCATTCACTCAGTCCTCACTGCACCAGAGACGACACTAAATGCTTCACTTGCATAATCTCACTTTTCTCAGTCATAACTGTCAGGTTGTCCCCACTTCATAGTTGAAGAAGCCATGGCTCAAAGACTTAAATAATTTTCCCAGGGTCATAGCTAATTGGTGGCACAGGCAGGAGGATTTAAGCCTAAGTCTGATTGCCTCAAAAATGTCTTAAACCACTCTGTAAAAGACTGTTCTTCATCACTGTATCTCCAATGCTCAGGACAGTGCCTGGTATGTATCACACAATCAACATTTGTGGAAGGAAGGAAGGATGTTGTTTTGAGCCGTCTCTTGGGCTCCACCCTTCAAATACAGAGCCACCTCAAACCCAGCCCTGAGGTTTCTCAGTACCTCTGGGCACCACATCTTCCTTCCTCACAGATCCCCCAGCCCCCACCCTACATCTGAGGCCCTCCCTAATTTATCCCTGCCTCTTAGGGGCAGCCAGCCAGACCAAGAATCCCTTCTTCATCTTGTCTGAGTATAATACATGTAAAGTTGATCCAAGCTTTCTACCTAGAAAACACACACACACATCCTGAAGCTTTATAATTTACACAGCAGTAATAAAAACGTTGAAGGAATTTAAGTAGATGGATGTGGCACAACCTCAGCTCTCCTGATGTTTTACAGACTGCCACACTATACCAGCTGCCTCCCACAATGGCTGTGAGGTGAGAACCTGAGGTGAGAACACACCCTTCCTTCAAGCTACTTCACACTGCCTCCTCAGCATAAACATAAGATTTTCCCTTTTCTATTCCTCTTAAGAGAAAAAGTATAATATAGGCCAGAGGAAAAGTATAATATAGGCCAGAGAAAAAATATAATATAGGCCACAGAGACTGACTTAAGTTTCTTGTGGCACAGATGAGGATTATACTGTGGCATTTCTCTTTTCTGTGACTGGGTGGGCCACGGTGAAATAAAGTCCTAAAATGTATTAAAACTGTTTAGACCACCTAAATTAGAATCCTTCATTTGTTAGGCCTTTCAGAAACATTTCTCGGGACTGCAAAATATATGGTAGGGATTCATTCCATTTTATAGATCAGCAAACTGAGACAGAAGGTGAGTGAGGGAATTGGAATCATACGAATGGTTATGGCAGGATACAGGGCACAGAGACTTTGGCACACTTTACTTTTTCCACTATACCACATACTGTCTCCTGAATTGAACATTTTCATCTTCTTTATTATAAAATGATTCAAATAAAATATATCTATATGTTTTCTTATTTCACTTTTTTTTTTTGGTCACTCTAGAACTGTAAGCATTGGGGGTACAGGGGAGGGATAGCATTAGGAGATACACCTAATGTTAAATGACGAGTTAATGGGTGCAGCACACCAACATGACACATGTATATATATGTGACAAACCTGCACGTTGTGCACATGTACCCTAAAACTTAAAGTATAATAATAATAAAAAAAGAACTGTAAGCATTTTTCAGACATTCACAATGGGAAATTTGAATGTTAAAGTTGGAGAGACTGCGGTTAATAGCTTGAATTTTAGAGTCAGGAAAACCTGTCTGTACTCAGGCAAGATAATTGATATGGTTTGGATCTGTCCCCACCAAATCTCATGTCGCGATGTAATCCCCAGTGTTGGAAGTGGGGCCTGGTGGGAGGTGATTGGATCATGGGGGTGGTCCTTCATGAATGATTTAGCACAATCTCCTGGTGCTGTTCTCATGATAGTGAGTGAGTTCTCACAAGTTCTGGTTGTTTACAAGCGTACAGCATCTCCCCCCTTCTCTCTCTCTTGCTCCTGCTCCCACCATGTAAGACAGGTCTGCTTCCCCTTTTCCTTCAGCCATGATTGTAAGTTACCTGAGGCCTCCCCAGAAGCCGAGCAGATGCCAGCATCATGCTTCCTGTACAGCCTGCAGAACCATGAGCCAATTAAACATTTTTTCTTTATAAATTACCCAGTCTCAGATATTTCTTTATAGCAATATTAGAATGGACTAATGCAGTAATTAACCTCAGTTTCCTGACAGGTAGATAGAAATTACTAATATGGCCCCCAGCGGCACATGTTCCAAGGAATTAAATGAGATGATATATGATAAGCACTTGGCAGAGTGCCTGGCGCATAGTAAGCACTAAATAAATGTTAGTTGTTGTAATTGTTACTAGAACTATTATGTGAGTCCCTCAGTTTCTCTGAAGAATCCTCCTTGTTTTGTGACCAGCAGTACTTGACCTTTATGGCCAAGATCCAGGCAATTTGTGTCTATTTTTTTCTTGACCTATTTTCTGGCTATAGCTTCTAGTTTCAAGATTGTAACCACATCCGTTTAGTCTTTACACTTATTTCAGACATGATATTTAAACAGATTTTAGTTGATTTTCTGAAGATAACATTAAGTCACAAAACAGACCCCCTACATGCTCTTAAAATCTGATAACTCAGTTCTACAATGCCCATGCCTCAGGGTCCAGAGAAGTTAGATCAGGAAGTGGAGGCACAAGCCCAAGAATTCATATTCCTTTTGAAAAGAGAATTTGCTTACTTTAGCTTCTAAAGCAATAATTGCATCTAGGGCATCAAACGATTGGAGACATATTGCAATAAAGGGGTTTAGTGTATACAAATTCTATTATATCAAAACTGTGTTCATCCCTGGGATTTTGTTGAGTCTAAAAAAGGTATTCTCCAGAAATAGACCTGCTCCCGTGTGACCACTTGAGAAAATTTAATTTAAAAAAGAGTCAAGATATTGATGCCAATTGACATTGGTTTTTCTTTGATGCAGAATGACAAATATGCCATCTTGTAGTTCTCATTTGAGACACATCCCAACTTGGCCATTCAGTATATTTACAAATCTATCTCAAAACAAAACGTTTGCTTTTTTATTCTTTTTTAGCCTCCTGGGATTATTTATTTATTCAATAAACATTTATGGAGCTCCTACTATGTGCTAGCCACTTGGAAACATGCTAGAGAGAGACATGAACAAAGTATTCCTTCCCCTATTCTAGTGAAGGGAGATGGCCAATAATCAAACAAACAAAATTCATAAACAAGAAAAGTATCAGAGAGTGGGAAGCACTACACAGAGAATTAGAATAGGGAGATTCAACAGACAGTAACTGGATGACTTCTTTATATCAAGCTGTCAGAAAGGTTCCCTAAGGAAGCAACATTTAAGCAGAGACATGTTTAACATTTGAGTAGAAGAGGCTTCCTGGAAGAGGAAAAATTCTGGATCCAAGGTTCTAGGACTTGAATAAACATGACATTCTGCCTCTGATCTCCTCAATTCTACCTCATTAAATTGTGAACTTCAGAGGGTCAAGAGCTGGATGATCCATTTTTATGATTAGAAAGTGATTCCTTCAATGAACCTACTACTTCTTCCTACATTCTTGTTAGAACTTTCTCAGCTATGAATCAGACTTTTCCAGGAAACTTCTACAGTCTTTACTTTGGTGACTACAACCACAATACTCAGTTGTTCCCAAGCAGAAAACTGAGGTTCATTCAAGACTTCAGTATTTGATCAAGATATTTTGCTTGGTAAGCTGGCTATTTTTTGATATAGTTTTATTTTCCCCATCTAGCTGGAATAAGATCATCAAAGTTGGTCATCTTACCTGACATAGCCTAGATATTTTCTTCTTCAGTACTAAACTTAGATGTCCCCACCTTTACAGAGTACATATTAGAGTAAGCAAGGCTAGGTTATAGCAAATAAGCCCCATAGTCCTTCTGTGGCTCTCCTCTAAGCAGTGACTTAGAGATCCTTATTGTTTTCATCTTATATTGCTGCCATCTGGATTCAGAGGTTACAACAGAAGGGAAAGAAAGTGGGAACATGGACAGTTGCACAGTGAATTTTATGGCCAGGCCTGAGAGTAGCATACATCATTTCTGCTCTATCCTATTGGATATCCAGTCATGTGGCCCCAACCTAAGGACTCCTAAGGGTGTCTGGGAAGTGTAGTTTCCCATGTGCTTGGGAAGTGATAGATGGCATGAAATTTGGCGACCCCCAAAGCTTTATCTCTGCTATAGGAAGCCACCCTTCTCTGTTATTCTCCTCTTCAGTCTGGGTTAGGTGCCCCTCTTCGACTGTAGCACAGTCTGATATATAATAGGCACTAAATATGTTTGTTGGTTAGATGAAATGAAAGATGGATTAATTGTAACCTAAGATCTTACGTCTATTAAAAGAGTGAACTAGAATTAATCAGTATTGAATTGGTTAATTAACAGAAAATTCTCTATTCATTCAAGGTATGCCTAAGAATTATAGGAAGAAATTGAAACTACACTGTTAAAAAATAGACTAGATTGGGGATCCCTAGGAAATTCCTTTTATTATTTCAACACACAACCTTAGTAGCCAAAGTCACTCCAACTCTCCTCCCCTCTGAGTCACTCTGGCAATCACTCTGTAGTTATTTCAAAGATTGGGAAATTTTCTGAAGGCAACATGGCCTGTCGATGGCATTGACTTTGGCTCCCCTCACCATCACTCTCATTGTTGCCATTAGCCCGTTTTTAAGGCCCTGAAGTTGGCTGCCCTTGAAATAAAGTGGGAAAACCTGCATTTGTGGGCCAGCTTGGTCCCCAGCCCAGTTCCCCAGCCAAAGAAAGTGAACAATCCTGTATTTGTGGCATCCTGAGCCTGCAGTGACCTTCCGGGCCAGCCAGGATGCCAGAGGGAATGCACATTCTCTGAAATGACAGTAGAGGAAGAACCAACCCATTGCCCCGGGACTAATGAATGGGTCCCTCTTTTCCCCCTGGGACAGCCTTAACAGGGCCACATGTAGGGCTTAACTCTTTTGTATCTTGAGCTTTATACATAGAGGCTGATCTGTCTTGTTTCTTAGCTGGAAATTAATTGGGCTGAAAATAGATAATTAGTTTTCAATGTTAACTGCAGTTATTTATTTATTTGAGTGATTATTTGATTAACGTATTTCTTTACCTTAATACTAGAGAGCAAGGACTATGTCTGCTTTGTTTTTCATTTTATTCCCTAGTAGTTAGCATAGTGCATGGCAGAGAGTAAGTTGTAGGGAAATATTTATTTACATGCAGAATGACTGTGGCAAACCTTGTCTCAAAGCTCAAGCTCTTATTTTGTTTTGTTTTAGCATTGTTTCCCCCGAGAGTGATCATTTCTGCTTCTTGTTATAAGTATAAAATACATTATCAAGTGGCTTCTGCTGTGTGTTTTTGACTCAGTGAATCCCAGAACCATCAAGACAGAGGCTGGGGATCAGCCCCTTCACCAGCTTTCAACTTTGGGCTGGTGGTGAAACCTCATTTTCAATTGCTTATGTATACATGTATCCTGAGTGTAATCAACAGGACTGCTCCACAAACCCAGGGGGTAAATACTGTCACATTTAGCTTCTTTACACAAAACAAGTAGCCTAAGTTCCCATGGTTTATCAGACTGTGGGATTAGCAGAAAGTCTAGCCTCTCCGTCTTGGGGCCCTCTGTCTCCCCATAACTTTTCCAAAATCCCAGAGGTTTACATAATTCAAAAAGAAGGGTCAGCCTGACTTTCACACTCCAGGGGGGGAAATGTTGCTGATCATTGCCACATGGCTGTGGAAAGTGCCCACTTGAGCCTTCAGATGATGTTAGTTCAAGGCTTTGCACAGGCTATTCAAGGTCTATCTGAGTCTGTTTGTGCTACAGTAACAAAATGCCTGAGCCTGGGTAGTTTATTATCAACAGAAATTTCTTTCTCACAATTCTGGAGGCTGGGAGTCCAAGATCAAGGCACTGGCAGGTTCAGTGTCTGGTTCCAAGATGGCACCTTCTTGCTTTATTCTCTGAAGGGGAGGAACAGTGTGTTTTCCCATGGGAGAAGAGTGGAAGAGCAACATGGACCGAAACTAGTTCCTCACACTCTTTTACAAGGCACTAATCCATTCATGAGGGCGGAGCTCTCCTGACTTAATCACTTCCCAAAAGGCCCCACCACTCAGTACCATCACATGGAGATTAAGCTTCAACACATGAATTTTGTAGGGAACGCATTCAAACCACAGCAAGGTCTCTTCAGGAAAATGATCAACCTTGTGTTCAGCTTGGCCAAGATGGCCCCTTGCTTAAGTTCCCAGAACTGCAGAAAGTTAGTTCTTAGTACTAACTTTCAGTCCCTTATGTGACCTTTCTGCAAAGATCCAGTCATCCAGAGGGGTGGCATCAGATTGTATCAGGCCGTCCAGCCCTATAGACCCCAAACTTCTGTATACTCTTCATCCCCTGGGACTATTACATTGCAGGTCTGACAACTTTTCCTATTCCATCTTTGAAACATAAAAAGTTCTCATTATTTCTCACTTCCAACAAATAGGGCTACCCACCGACTTCTTCATACTGGTCACCCGGATGGTCTCTAGGGGGCTCTATTGCCGTCAGGAGGAGGGAACTACTTGCAGTGCTTTAGGACAGTCTGTATTCCCAGACTTTCTGACACCTTTTTTAGTAGAGAAGAGAAGCTGGAGGGGGAGATGGAGAAGGAAGAATGAGGAGAACACTATAATAGAAGCTAAATATCGGCAGATCATTCTACTACACAGCTCTTCACACTGACTGTATAGGCAAATTTCCTGTTTATCCTGAGCAGAAGGCAGCCTTCCTTCTCTAAATTGTACCTACTCAAAAATTTAGGCTACAAACTTACAATCAGGAAGAAAACTGAAAGCTCTTCCTGTTGAGTCATCCGGCTTTAAAGTGCTGGATCTTTGCTGGACATTGTAGTAAATTAATTGAAAGTTTTGTGCAAAATATTATTTCAGGGGATGGGGTAGGCTCCTCGGATGAAACAGCAGTGTGTTTGTGAGGTCAAATTTTTGCTTCTTAGAATAAGAGTCACTTTGATTTTGGTGGGGCAGGATCACCCGTGGGAGGATAACTCATCCACACATATCAGACATGAATCCTTCAGTGAGAGATGGGGAGTGGGAGCAGAGTGGTCAGGGTATCCCTGTGAGGCAAGGGAGGGATCCTGACCTCTGGTGCACCTGACCTCTGGGGGACTGGCTCTTGGGTCCAACTCAAGGTTCCTTTTCAGGGCCTGTGGCATGTCCTCCAGGCCATACTGCCATCTTTAAAATACTGCCGGCACCTAGTTGTTACTGTCAGCACCTGGCTGTGGTAGGGGAGGACAGACACCGATGATTCACGAGGCGTGATCCAGAGCATTGTAACCATTAGTAGTAGGTGTGAAGGGAAATCATCAAACCATGTGAAGGTGGGAAAAGTTGTCACAAGTTGCAAATCTATAAGACAAAACTGTAAGACCAATGAAAATATTGAAAAAATTCACTGCACTCTATGAGGCTGCTGTGAGAAGCAAAAGAAGCAAGTGTAAAGCCTTCAGGTGTCACAGAAATAGGCCCCTGATCGTGCCTCAAACCATAAGACGTCAGAGCATGAAACACCAGTGAGGGAGAGTGATTGCGTTTCACAGATAAAGAGCCTATGAGCAAAACCAATCTTCCTTTCCTCTGAAGTGTGCCCCATTGCTGAATCATGCTGATGAGTTATCATGGTTTTCCTCCTGCATGATTTTCTTCTGTAATACTCATTTCAGAAGTTAAAAAAAAAACAACAAAACAAAACACAACAAAAAAACCTGCTACCTGTTTCTCTTTTTAATCCTGCATTTTAACAGACAGGCCAAGAGCAGGAGCAATTAGTCTCCCTGAGGATTTGCAAAGGGGAATTCCAATTGTGAGCGAGCTGTCATCCTTCTCCTTCAGTTGTTTAAATGTGATTCCATCTAATTCAGTTCCAGAGCAGGTGTTGAGCATCTTATGTGTGCAGACACTTACTAGGCACTGCTAGGATAGACTAGGACAGGCAGGATGCTGCCACTGCCCAGGTGGAGCACATCATCAAGCGGGGGCCACAGAGACATAGACAAATAGTTATCTGGAATTACAATGTGGAACAGAGGAGGGAGTGATAGATTTTATCTTAAAGGAGTTAGGGAAGGCTGTAGAGAGGGTGATGTGTGAGCTGGGTCTTCAAGGATGAGTTGGCCTTGTGGGCAAGACAAGAAATATCAAATAAGCTGAGTGGGAGCATAGAGGAAAGGCTAGGGTGCATAGAAGTGCATGGGGTAGAATGAGAGCCAGGATGTGTGTGGCTGGATGGAGGGTGAGGCCGATTTTAGAACAGTGATGTTCTAACAGGCAGGCAGGTTTAGGGTACAAAGGAGCTTGGATCCTTGCTCGGGACTTAGGCTTCAGGCAGAATTTCACTAGTACAGGCCAAAAGCTGGTGGCCCTGGAACGCAATGTGCAAGCAGCTCAGATTTCACAGGAGACTGCTTTAGGATGGAAGGTATTTCCTGGAGACCTTGCCACTGATGCCAGAAATTCCCAGCATTTCACTCACTCCTCAGAGGCCTCTGGAAATGTGCACATGCATGCTTCCTGAAAGGGGTAATACATTCACAAGCTGACCCCACTCTCCACGTGCTGAATGTCACTACCTAAAATCACTCACATTTCTGGAACTCAAAGGCAGGCTCTGGAGCTAGGCTACCTGCGTTCAAAGCCCAGCTCTACCACTTGCAGCCATGGAGCCTGGGGCAACCTACTTAACCTCAGAGGCCAGGTGACAGGGAGGCACCCACAAGTGAGGTGAGGCACACAGAGATGCCAGCAGCAGAGTGCAGAGAACGTGGGTGCAAATACATTCCTTTGCCCTCACACACCTTTTACCCTCACCAAGCCAATTCATAGCAGAATGCTCTAGAACAGTGTTGACCAACAGAAATATCACATAAACCATGGATGTAATTTAACATCTTTCTGGTAACTCAATTACAAAAAAAAAAAAATGGAAAGAAACAGTTGGAATTAACTCTTTTCCCAGAAAACGTTGTAAAGAGTAGCATGAAATTAACTTTAATAATATACGTGTTAACCAAATATATCCAAAATATTGTCATTTTAACGTGTACTTAACATTTTTAAAAATTAGTGAGATATTTTACATCTTCTTTTTGAGTACTAAGTCTCTAAAATCTGGTGTGTATTTTTTTTCTTACTGCATACCTCAATTTGTACTAGCCACATTTTAAGCTGCCATATTGAATAGCACAGCTCTAGTACAATGGCCCAAATGACTGTACTGAAATCATAACAATAGCTAATATTTCTTGACTACCAGCCAAGAGATCTTGGGCAAATTACTAACACTGTGCCTACAGTTTCCTTCTCTACAAAAAAGAAGTAATAATACAACCTAACTTATATTATTGTGAACATTAAACTGAGAGATACAGCTGAAGTCCTGAATAAGATTATTGTTTCTCTTTGCCTTTGCACATGTAATTTCCTCAGCCTGGAATGCCCTATCTTCTCCACCTGCAAATCCTTATTCATTCTTTTTATTTAATTTCAACTTTGCGAAGAACATTTTTATTGAAATATAAATCACATACCATAAAAATCACCCATTAAAGTGTCCAATTCAATGGCTTTGGTATACTCACAGAGTTATACAGTCATCACTATAGTCTAAGTCCAAAACATTTTTGTCACTCTCCATCCCCCTTCCCCCTCCCCAATCCTAGGCATCACGAATCTACTTTTTTTTTTTGCTTTTATTATTATTGATACATAATAGTTGTATGTATTTATGGGGTGCAGTGTGAAATTTAGATACATGTATGCAATGTGTAATGATCGAATCAGGATAATTAGCATATCCATCCATCACCTCAAACATTTATCACTTCTTTGTGTTGAGAACTTTCAAAATCTGCTCTTCTAGCTACTTAAACATATACAATAAATAGTTGTTAATTATACTCACCCTATATTGCTATTAGAACACTAGAACTTATTCCTCCTATCTAGCTGTATTTTTGTATCCATTAACCAATCTTTGGCTGTCTTCCCTCCCATCCTTCCCTTCCCCTTATTCATTCTTTAAGATCTTGTCCAAATGTCGCCTCCTCTGTGAAGCCTACCACCTTCCTTCTTAGGAAGCATCAGGTGTTCCTGGCTCTGGACCAACTCCTAATTTTGTTCAGACCTCTCTAACAGGGCTTCTTACCTTGCTTTGTGATTGTTTCCCTACCTGTCTTCCAGGATGAATCTGGAAGGGATTGCTGTATCTCATTCAAAGATACAGAATTTCCACTTTTTAATGTCTCTGAAATCAGGGTGCATTTATGTTACAATTGGCAGTGTTTTTTTTCTTTTTTTTTTTCATTGCTTGGTGAGACCAAACTAAAAAAGTAATGGCACAATGAGAGCATGTGGCATAGATTGGATGCGTGTTGGTATTTGTCTTTGTGTTCCCAGTCACTGAGCTCAATAAATGTAATAAATGTGTTGAATGTACTGACAACACTAGTAAAAGTTTACTGCAATTACCACACGTGTAAATTATTTGGCTGGCTGCCTCTCCTCTGCTCTGGATGGTAACCTCCCCAAGGGCAGAGACTGGGGGCCCTTTCATAGCAATGGGTTGGGCATCTCGTGAGAAGCCAAAATATAATACATGGTTTTTGAGGAAAATGTGCCCTTGAGTTGCAGGCAATGAAAGAAATCCCACCTTCCTCACTACAGCATGATTAGGCTTTAAAACTTCCTCCACCAAAATATCTGATTACTGCATTAGGAAGCAGAAGAGTCCAGCTAGAGTGCGGGATGAGAAATGTGCGGGCTGAGAAATGTGCGGGCTGAGAAATGTGCGGGCTGAGAAATGTGCGCTTGTGGGACCAGGAGACAGAGAGCATTTGCCCTCAAAGCTGCATGTTTCTTTGGAAACCCCATAGGGCTCCAAACAGATTATCTTTCAAAGAACTCATTACAAAGCAAAAAGGGCTTTTAAATTTCAAGTGTTTTAACAAAATCTTTTTTATCTAGAAGTTCCACTAATTGTGCTGTTTCTCTCCAGTTCATAAAATGATAAGCCAATAAACAGAATCATGCCAAGAAACTCTCTCATCAAGACAACTCCAACTATAAGCTGATACCAATCATTAGAGGGCTAAATATAATAATGCTTAGTCCAAAGAATGGGATGGAGGATGGAAAAATGGAGACCTTCTGGTTAGTGGTGAGCTCCAAGCTAGACCCTATCAGAAAGAAGGTATTTTAAAAGGCCCAAGTATGAAGTGTCTGGAATGTACATAGAGTTCCTATAAGCAAATATTGACTTTTAAATCTTTGAGATTATCTCAAAGCTGTTGTTTGAAGGTGCACCTTGATTTTTCCTTGATGAGTGGATTGGAGTTCCTGCCAAGTAACAAAAGGACTCAGTCTATTTGAGGGCTCTGGCCCAATTCAGACACACACAGACAGCATCCCCCAAACTACCACCATTCCTCCTTAGGGGAAATCATGTCTGCTCTGTCTTTAGTACCACAAACACCTTGATTAAACTAAGGATGTGTGGTTTTACTCCTCCTCACCACCCCTACCCGCCCCCACCCCTCCGCACCCGGCCCCTAGAAAAGAAAACCAATGCAGCTAAAGTAAATTGCTCCATGCCTCACCAAAATGTCAACCTGTCAGGTAGGCTCAGATTATCGTCCCAGGGTTAAGCCTGGCTAGATTTGGGCTGCAGGGGCTCCTGGGAGTACTGGCTAACTAGGCCCCTCTGAGGGCTCCTGCATCCTGTACTTGAAATCAATCACAAACCTTTAACTTCCTGCTTTCCATTCTCTTCCTTCTCTCTTCAAGTTCAGTTTAAATAAAATTACTCTGCTGAGAGATCTTTAAAAAAAAAAAACCAGACAAAAAAAAGCATCAGGCTGGGCACAGTGGCTCATGCCTGTAATCCCAGCACTTTGGGAGGCCAGCGCAGGAGGTTCACTTGATGCCAGGAGTTTGAGACCTGCCTGGACAACATAAGGAGACTCTATCTCTACAAAAAATTTAAAAATTAGCTGGGTGTGGTGGCACATGCCTGTAGTCCCAGCTACATGAGAGTCTGAGGTAGGAGGATCACTTGAGCCTGAGAGGTCAAGGCTTCAGTGAGCCATGATCACAGCTCTGCACTCCAGCCCGGGTGACAGAGCGAGATCTGTTATCAGAAAAAAAAAAAAAAAAAAAAAAAAAGGCCGGGCGTGGTGGCTCACGCCTGTAATCCTAGCACTTTGGGAGGCCGAGGCAGGCGGATCACGAGGTCAGGAGATCGAGACCATCTTGGCTAACACGGTGAAACCCCATCTCTACTAAAAAAATACAAAAAATTAGCCGGGCATAGTGGCGGGCGCCTGTAGTCCCAGCCACTCAGGAGGCTGAGGCAGGAGAATGGCGTGAACCTGGGAGGCGGAGCTTGCAGTGAGCCGAGATCGCGCCACTGCACTCCAGCCTGGGTGACAGAGCGAGACTCCGTCTCAAAAAAAAAAAAAAAAAAACAAAACCAAACCAAAACAAAACAAAACAAAAAAAAAAAAACAAAAAAAAACCCCATCAAGTAGAAACACCCCTCACCAGGTCCTTCTTACAGATACTCCCACCCCTTTCCTTCCATATCAATGTGTGCCCTTACCTAGCTTCTTTCTGGAGAAGATGCTTGCAGTCTGTTTCAAACTCTCCTAATTATGGCTCCTAATGGGTTAGGTAGCTAAGAGCCATATTAATGTGATGTTATTCAGCACATGCCTTGCCATTCCTCTTGCTTGACTCTGATAATCGTTTGCAGCTCCCATTCAGGAGGCATCCACAGTTCCTTGGAGAAGAAAAACACAACAGTTTCAATACGGTAGGTCCTATAGCAGAGGGACGAGCGTATGAGGGGAGAAAGAGGAGCTCTTAACTCTGTCTACTTAGTAGCTACCCATCCAGTGCTTGCTATGGACTCACCCTACTTGGCCTTGGGCAGCCCTCTCTTAACCAGCCCTCTTGACCAATTCCTTTCCCTTTATTTCAGCTGAAACAAAGCTGGGATTTTTTCCCCCTCAAATAATTGTACTGAAATTAAGGAGGAAGCTAAGGAGGAGCAATACAAAAACACAGAAGTAGATGAATTTACAGAGTCACAGATTTCTTATCTGACAGAACTTCCTGGGGATTCAGCTTCCTTCCCCACACTCGCACTCTCCATGAAAAAGACCCCGACCCTTTGTGTACAGTAAGATAAACACATTTCCAAAGGGGATGGGCCCCTCACTTGTGGAGATAGTTCTCTCCCTTTATCCTGGCCCACCCCTTCAGCCAAGGTCCTGAGACTAATTTAAGTAGAACATGATCAACATTAATCCTACACAACTTTAAAAAAAAAAACAAACCAATATGAACCCAAACTGAGGAACATGCAATAAATAACTGATTTGTAATCATCAAACACATAAACATCATGAAAGTAAAGGAAAGAGAGAGCTGTTTCAAAATGACAGAGACTAGAGATGTCTCTGTCAAACAAAAATGCAATGCATGAATCTAAAATGGATACTTTTGCTTTAAAGGACATTATCAGTAAAGGTTGAATGGGGTCCAAAGATTAAAAGGTAGAATTGTACCAACATTAATTTCCTGATTTTGATAGTTGTATTGCAGTTACATGGGCGAATGTCATTGTTTATGGGAATACACACTAACATATCCACTGGTGATGGGACATTTGAGAGCAACTTGCTCTCAAATGGTGTAGAAAAAATATGTTCTTTGTACTATAGTTTAAATTTGAGATTGTTTTAAAACAACAACAAGCTACTCTGAATCCAACAACCTAATTTTCAGGAATCTAATCCAAACATATATTGTTGAAAAAAAGGTAACCGACTAGTATTATTTTTTGCCAGCAAAGGTGAAATAACTCCAATGTTCACCATAAAGGGACTGGTTGAGTCCCATCATATACACACATTAGAAAAGGGAAGAAAAAGTATCTGTATATACCACTATGGAATGATTTTCAAGATATAATAAGCTAAATAAATAAAGTAGAGAAAATTGTCTATATATACGTATATATATATATATCTGAGAAAAGGAAACGTATGTGTGTAGTGCATTTAAAAAAACAAAAAGAAGAATAAATAATAAAATTTTAAAGTCAATGATTACTTTTAACAGACAGGAGGAAATAATGGAGGAGATCTGAATAGAAGCCACACTAAATATGTTTTGGTAGATTTGACTTTGGAACCACGTAAATATTTTTTGTAATTACCAAAAAATTATATTTTAAAAAAGGAATTCCAGAAAATAAAATGAAATAAATTATCCTAAACATGAATATAGTTTGCACAGCCACACAGAGGGGAATTATTCCATGAGACTTAAACCTTCAACTTGACTGCAAGTCCCTATATACAATAGGGACAATAACTACATAAACAAAAACCACTTAAACTCTTTTCAGGAATTATATTGTTGGGGAAAATGTTGGTAGTTTTTCTGAGATGCGCATGTGTGTGTGTTTTATGATAGAACAAATGCATAATTATGTAATAATCTATAATTCCCAGTGTCTTTAAAAATGAAGATTCTCAACTTTGAGAGAAAGGAAATATAGGATTGAAGACATTAAGCAAAATCCCTGCAATTCTGAATTTGAATTGGAAATATCAATATGAACTGATGTTGGATGTTATCTTAAGACATAAACATATTTCCTAGTTCTGTCTACCAAAAAGGCCTAGCACCAATGGCTGCCTAGTTAGCATACAGCACCCCCAGGGCCCAGAGTGAGCTCCAGAAATGCCATTTCTCACTAAAAGGAACAAGGATTCTTTGGATAGATGGTTGGTTACACATTTAGAACAGGAAATGTACAAGATGTGCCTGGAATACCTTGTCATAGTAGATAGCAAGGAAGTTATCAAAAACTACCAGAATTGTATCAAAAGACTAAAGAGCCAACTTAGATTCCCACTGGCCAAAGATGAGGTAATTTGAAAATCAATGACAGTAATTGCAATAGACTAAAATGCATCAAATACGTTTAAATCATGAGTTCATGATGATTCTAAAAGATAATAATTGGCCACCCTTGAAGGTGGCTAGTGAATCCTTTTTTTAAGAATACTGGTAAATAAGAAAAAAAAATTGAGCATTTGTCCTGCCTTTTCTATATGAACAATTGTACTGGGTAACCAAGTAACAGAAAAGGAGAAGTTCCTCTTCTCTTTATGGAAGTATTACAGTTAAAAATGAAAAAGGAATGGTTGAATTAGAATACCACCATTACCATTTTGCAATTTCTAATGAATTAATGGATCTAGAAATTGATCATTAACAGCTGCTAGTATCACAAAAGAGAGAAACCAAATATTACATACTTCCTGATGGAAGAATATGCCACCATCTATGAAGCAATCTTACCAAAAAATTTTTAAAAGACCAAACCTGAAGCATATCAAGCCCAAGATCCAACTACCAATTTACAGAAAGAACAGAGAACAGAGCAACAAGTAAAATGACACCACAGGGTTGCAGTCAGAAAACTCCAGACTGTGAGAAAATCTACATGACCAACAGTCTGGTTTCTTCAAGGGTACTAAAAGAGAGAAAGAGAGTGGGAGAGAGAGTGGAATCTATAGATCAAAAGAAACATAATGAGACACAGCAACCAATCACAACGTGTGGGCCTTATTTGGATCCTGAATCAAATAAGGACACTTTTTAAAAGGAATTATGACATTTATGAGAAATTAATATTTGAACACTGGCTGGATATTTGATGAGATTAAGGATTTGTTGTTATTTTTTAAATGTGATTATGGTATTGTGCCTTTAAAAAAATTAGTTCTCTTTTAGATGTTCATACATAACTGCTTACAGAGAAAATTATATGATGTCTGGAATTTGCTTCCAAATAATGCAAATGAGGTGACAGAAGTGAGTGGGGGTGTGTGTAAAACAATGTTAACCATGAGTTCATAACTGTTGAAGTTGAGTGATAAGCACTGTTTTAGATGTTTGAAATCTTGCGTATTCATCTACCTGTGTACATACTTAGAATTTTCCATAATACACAGTTTAAAAATAATACCAACCCTGTACCAGGAACTAGGCTGGCATTGACACACCTAAGCCATGAATTGGCATCACAGAAAAACACTGTCAGAACTTTTCCTTCATGACTTACACATGTGGGAAGGGAGAGGAACTTGGTGGCAACGCCCTTAACTCTCCTCTGACTTGATGAATATGCAGTTTCCTTTGCCAAATTGGAAATTGAGAGGAGAATGCAGCCCTGTCTAAACTAGCTTCTCTGCAGAGCTTGTTGAAGGCCGGAACCATTACTCAGGGTCCAGCTGCACAGCATTCTCATCCACCCAGCAACACATGCAGAGAGCTGTGAGATCAACATAGGGCCACATGTGGGTTTGAACAAAGAACAGTCAGACAAAAGCCCTACAGACGCTCCTGACCTCTCTCTTGGCCCCTGGGCCTTCCATGGAAATGCGAACTTTCCTTTGACACTCACATGACACCCTTTGGCCCTTAACAACAGTCCTATAGAGAGTGGGCAGTGCCCTTTGGCTGCATCAAGGGCAGGGGGCTCAATGCTCTAAATTGCTGGCATTCACACCACAATCTCCTCTTATTTCTAGGCCCCACCCTATTTATACTTTAGCTTTGTGGCATTTGAGAGTAGAAACATAAATTCAGCTAGACACTCCACTGCCCAGAGGGGTGACCTTTATTGTACATGCCTGGGATGTTTTCCCAGGGAATCCAAGAGAAAATGGCTTCATCAGAGATGTGTGGTACTATAGAAATGCCTAACCAGGGCCTGCGCCTGGGCACAGGTCTCCCTGGCTTGCACGTGACTTGAATTTGGCTTGCAATGAGGGAGTATTTCTGTGGGGGCCCATTCATTCACTCATTTACTCAAGCACATGCTGAGCCTCAACATTAGAAGCTCTGGAAGATACAAAGAAGAAAAAGACAAAGTCTTTGCATGGAAAAGCTCTCAGGTAGGTCGGGGAGAAAGACATATTCACAAATAACTTCAATTTAAGGCAAGGTGTGATCAGACCATGACTGAGGAGTTCAGAAAAGGAGAGAAAATTCCCAACTGCAGTAAAGTTGGAGGAGGTGAAGCAGGAAGCAGATGTTAAAAGCTGAATAAAATTTTAGGCCGGGCTCAGTGGCTCATGCCTGTAATCCCAACACTTCGGGAGTCTGAGGTGGGTGGATCACCTGAGGTCAAGAGTTCCAGACCAGCCTGGCCAATATGCTGAAACCCCATCTTTACCAAAAACACACAAAAACTTAGCCAGGCATGGTGGCGGGTGCCCGTAATCCCAGCTACTCGGAGGCTGAGGTGGGAGAATCACTTGAACTCAGGAGGCAGAGGATGCAGTGAGCTGAGATCACAGCACTGCACTCCAGCCTGGGCGACAGAGTCAGACTCTGTCTCAAAAAAAAAAAAAAAATGTCAATTTCAGTAGTCAAGAGATGGGGTGGGGGTGTGGGGAGTTAGGGTTGGGTGAGGGTGCAAGGAGAACAGAAAATTTCAGGTAGAGAAAATATCTTGGACAAAGTCACGCAAATAGAATTTTATAAAGTTTTCTGCAAGTATGATGAGTAAACCCATCAGTGGTGGAGATGTCCATACATGCAAGGAGCAAAGCTGAACCTTAGGAACTAATATGGTTTATTTTATTTCCTTGTTGCTGTCCATTGGTTTTCCAGAATGCTAGTGATCTCCAAGTTGTCACCTATTGCTTGATAATACATGGAACAAATTAACCAATCCTGAAAGTGGAATTTGAGAATTGGGTCAAAATGATGTGGGGTACAGCCCCACTTATTTATACCAAAGACGCTTTTTACTAACCTCTTGAATCTCTTCCCAGTCTCGTGGTTGGATCAAATATCTCACCAACTTCTTGGTGAACAATGGAAGATCCACATGGTTTGGTTTTTATGAACCTTAGCACTACAGACATTTTAAACCAGGTAATTCCTTTCGATGGGAGGCTGTCCTGTGCATTGAGGATGTTTAGCAACATTTCTGAGCTCTACCCATTAGAAACCAGTAGCACTCACCCCCCAGTTATAACAACCAAATGTGGGGGTGACAGCGGTGTGGGGGGCAAAATTGTCCCCAGTTGAAAACCACTATACTTTAATATATAAAGAAACCAAAAAGATATTAAAAGCTTACATTTATTGGGTGTTTATTACGTATAGGCTCTGTATTAAGTGTTTCCATATATTAACCCTTTTAATCTTCCCACGATCCAATAAAGTATAGGTACAATTATGATTCACATTTGACAGATTAAGAAATTATTTGCATTTACAGAAGGGTTTATCAATGTATCCAGACTCACACTCCTTGTGAGTAGCAGATTCAGGATCTGGCTCAAGCGCTCTGACACAGGCACCCACCCTCCTGGCCACCAAGCTACATCGTACAAGTCCCCAGGCTCCTCAGGCCTTTCTCCTGGAGGGGCCAACCAAATGGTGTGGGCACCAATAACAGAAGCCCCGGCTGGCCAGCAGCCTCAACTGAATTGCTGGAAACCTCACTTAGCAGGCCACAGGGATGGAACACACGTTGCTTGGGATCACTATGGGAGCCTCCTCACTGCCATGTGGTCTTTTGTTTGTTTTGTTTTGGCTGGAATGCACTGGCATGATCTTGGCTCACTGCAACCTCCACCTCTTGGGTTCAAGCAATCCTTGTGCCTCAGCCTCCCAAGCAGCTAGGACTACAGGCATGCACCACCACACCTGGATAATTTTTTATTTTTAGTGGAGACGGGGTTTCTCCATGTTGGCCAGGCTGGTCTCAAACTCCTGACCTCAGGTGATCCACCCACCTCGGCCTCCCAAAGTGCTGGGATTACAGGAGTGAGTCACCACACCTGGCCTGCCAGGTGGTGTTTACTCTCCTCCCTGGCACTCCCTTGAGGACCAAGTGGCTCACCTGTATTCCACATCAATGACATCCTTTCTGGAACAGCTTCGAACCTTTTAATGCCCCATGACCACATCTCCTGGTTATCATGTTGACCTCTTTTCCATGGAGTACTAGTCATCCTTGGCTTCAACATGGAGGTGGGGAAATTCCCCCAGAAGGGATACGATTGTCCTTTAGGCCACAAGACATGAAGTTTGGTCACAAAGTTAACAGTGGCAGTTATGCTTGCCTCTCCAGCATCGGTTCTCCCTTCCCTCAGTGCCTGTACTGATTGTCATTCAGGTATACACACTGCCCCAGGGCAGCCTTGACTTTGGGCAACATGTAGGTGAATATTCTGAAAACATTCACAGACAAATTTGAGTTCAGATCCTGGTTCCACCATGTAGTAAACGTGCCACCTGCACAAATTAATTGCCTGTTTCAGCCTCAGTTTCCTCATCTGTATGAAAGTATAGAGAAAAGGAAACTATCATGTAGAATTATGATATGGATTAGGAATAATATATTCTGTAAAGTGCTTGCTTTCTGGTATTATTATTAACAGTTATTAATCCCTTCGGAGGGGTTTGTATGCCAGGTTGCTTCTTGGCGTTATTTACAGTCAGCTGAGAGCAAATGGAATGTGGAAATGAACATTATGATGGCAGACAAGGCTAGGAAAAAATGCAGAGCAGAGCACAAGTTCTGGACAGCAGTCTGGAGTCTGGTGGTGCCAAAACTTGGCGGGGCACAGTGGCTCATGCCTGGGATTCCAGCACTTTGGGAGGCCGAGGCGGGAGGACTGCTTGAGCCCAGGAGTTTGAGACCAGCCTGGACAACATGACGAAACCTCATCTCTACAAAAAATTTAAAAATATGCCGGCTGTGCTGGTACATGCCTGTGGTCCCAGCTACTCAGAAGGCTGAGGTGAGAGGATTGCTTGAGCCTGGGGAGGTCGAGGCTGCAGTGAGCCATGTTTGTGCCACTGCACTCCAGCCTGGGCAACAGTGCAAGACTCTGTCTCAAAAAAAATTGGAGGCCGAGGCAGGCGGATCATGAGGTCAGGAGTTTGAGACCAGCCTGGCCAACATGGTAAAACCCAGTCTCTACTAAAAATACAAAATTAGCCAGGTGTGGTGGCACACACCTGTAGTCCCAGCTACTTGGGAGGCTGAGGCAGGAGAATCGCTTGTACCTGGGAGGCAGAGGTTGTGGTGAGCCAAGATTGTGCCACTGTACTCCAGCCTGGGTGATGGAGTGAGACTCCATCTCAAAAAAAAAAAAAAAAATAGCAGTACTAAAAATAGGCCTATTTCAATCCTAGTTTATTAATTAACTATAATCAACCTCCCAATAAATGAACCTCAGTGAGTTGGTTTTCAGTGGGTTGTAAGCCAAGACCAGTCCAAAGTGATCTCTGAGCTGGACCTCCCATGGCCTTATGCCAATTTCTGAAATATTGTCTCACTTATTTCCTACCAATATGCATCCATCACAAACTCAGATGATACAACTCATTTCTGGGTGTTTTCTTCTTAAAGCCTACAGGAACAATTATGGACAGTTTCAAATCATACAAATATCTACTATTTAGTGAGCACCTACTATATAGCTTTGAATCCTTATTCTGCTCTTGCAGGCTTCTTATCCCCATTCTACACCCAAGGAAGGAAACAGAAGCTCAGAGAGGTTAAGTGACTTACCCAAGGTCTCCCACCTAGTAAGTGGCTGGGCCAGGATTCAAAGCTAGGACTGTCTGACTTCTTTTTTACTTCGTCTTCTAAAGCTCCAGGCTAGAATGACTGACTTCTTTTTGATGATGCAAAGCTACCTCTTGATCCTATTACCCCATCAATAAGTGGGTGTGTGTGAGAGAGAGAGAGAGAGTGTGTGTGTGTGTGTGTGTGTGTGTGAGTGACAGAGAGAGAGAGAGAGGTGTCCTCTGGGCCTAGAACAGCTGGCAGGATCCTCTTTCACCTTATATACTGCTGGTGGAGCCAGGCAATGATTGAATGTGCAAAGTCACAGAGTAGGAAGCGGAGGTAGGTCACTCACAAAGGAGAGCCACAGGAAGGAAGGAAAGAAGGGAGGGAGAGAGGAAGGTCAAGAGGGAGGGAAGGAAGAGGAACGGAAGAAGGAAGGAAGAGAGAAAAGAAAAAAGGGAAGGCGTGAAAGCAGGAAACTGCTTTCTCCTGTCTTGTTAAGAGTGACTCAGAGGGACATTTCCAGAGGGCTGGCCAGTAAAGAGCAGCCTTTCCCCGTGAGGAGGGTGGAGAGCATGGCTGCTGGCGGAGCTCCATCACTCTCACTCACAAGGCATGTGCCCTCTGAGGAGGGTGTTGACAGCACCATTTTCACCTCAGAGGGAGAGGCGTTTCTGTTCACATGGAAGGGCACATGTGAGGGGTATTTGGTCAGGAATGCATTACAGACTCAAAGAAGAAGCTGGCATGCCCAAGAAGAGTCACTCCAACGTGGAGAAAATGCAACCAAGATGTTGGCTCAGATGCTCACAAGAGGCTGCCAGAGATGGTCTCAGAGTCCCCAGTTCTGAAGCACCCTCCAAGTACTCAAAGATCTGCATCACAAAGGCTGTATTAAGAAAGCACAGAAATTTTACAGTCAGAACATTTCTGTAAACACGTTGGTTTAATCCCAATTTTACAGCTCAGCTACTCTCTGTAACACACAATCCATAAAGCATTTACAATATTGTTCAAAATCTATACACTATTTACATTCCCTGCCCTCCGTGCAGGTACGGTGAATCGAGGAACTTGGCCAGAGTCCTGGAGAAACAGCTAAGACTCAAGAAACCACAAAAACTAGCAACAAGAACCCTGAATAAGACGTGTAAAGAACAGGGAGCCCCAAAGACAAGTCCTCCAAATCAGGAGGATCCGGTCACATGTGGGCAAACTCAGGGAGATAGGAGTCCTTGGTAGCCTCCTCCAAGTGACCAGATGGATGATCAGCCCTACCTCACAGCCCATGGTTTATGCGAATCTGTTTTTCTAATACTCCATCAAAAAGCACCTCCCTTTGGTTACTCAGTGAGGGGCATAAATGTCCATTGTGGGCTGATGCAGTGGCACGCGACTATAATCCCAGCTACTCAGGAGGTTGAGTGGGAGGACTGCTTGAGACTAGGAGTTTGAGTCCAGCCTGGGACACATAGTGAGACTCTGTCTCTGAAAAAAGAAGAAAAAATGTGGATTGCTTCTGGCCATTCAAATTTCTCCAGCAGTAACCTGGGCCCTGGGATATTTTCCCCAGTATGGTCCTTGGTCACTGCCCTGGGCCTGTTGACATGGCAACTACACCCAATACGGCTTTACAGGTCAGCCTCTGCCCACTCAGGGCAGGCTGCCCAAAAGGAGCCCAGGGCTGGCAGGATCTCTTGCCTGGCCCTCAAGTGAGTTCACCCCTCATAAGGGTAGACCCAGGTTCAGCGAGTCCTCAAGCCCATATAATTTCTGCCCTTTTAAAGAAAAGGAACACAAAATTACAAACTGAAAGTGAGGTACAGGGCCTGGGGAGAGGCCGGTACAAGAGAAAGGCCCCAAAGCGTAAGCCTACCTTTGAAATAAACCCACTTCTGCCTTTCCCTAAGCTCTGACCACCCAAGGAGGTCTTCAATGGCTCCTCTCAGGTGGCAGGAAGCCTCTGGGCCTGGCATGGCTGGCAGGATCCATGGCAGTAGGCTTCACCTAATTTCCTTGGCACACAGAGATGCTTAATTGTTGATTTTCAAGCTCAGAGTAGAAAGCAAAAAGATCAGGATGAGAGGTAAAACAAACTCAGCAATACCGAGGACTATTCATAGTTTGAAGAATTGGGTTAATCAATTCAAAAGTAATCATTTTAAAAAATCATTTTAGAAATTGTTATTATACAGAATATTTGCTGTTTTAAATGAACTTACGGGATATTGTTCACCAGCATATAGCATTTTACATTTATCGATTTTTGTTGTTTTTGCTGTTATTCTTCAATCCTGTAAATCCCTGGAGACCCAGCTCAACCACTGCCTTGGGACCCAACACCCTAAAAATGGATCTATTACTCAGCTACACACTGAACTCAGTAAAATGTTCTGCCTTTTGCCTCTACAGCAGCCTGGCTGCCAACGAGGACAAGTCTAAGGCAGGAAGTACATCTCACGTCCTGCTTAGATTTGATCCTTTGGCTGCTCAAGCTGCTGTGATATAATGAATAGAAGAAAGAGACATCTCAGAATCCATAGTGAATTAGACCAGTGAGCCAAGTAGCCATGTCAAGCAGGGACAAACAGCCCCCTGCCTCACAGGGGATGGAACCTATGTCTGCAAAGGTACAGGCAGCGCCTCAGACCGGAGTGGACCTCAAAAACAAGGGCTCCAACCCAGCAGCAAGACCTGGGTCCAAAAGAAAGTGTCCTTTGGATGCCACAGGCTTTGTTATTGGAAACCCCAGGCCAGAGAGGGAACTGAAACTGTTTAATTAGGGACATACCCGCGTGTCAGGAAACCAAGTGTGACCCTGGGAGGGGTAAAGTTCCGGTTGGGAGGAGACTTGGATGGGTAAGAGGAGGGCGGTGGGACAGGCAGACGCACCCAAGGGAAGGAAAGGACCGAGATAGGGCAGCCAGCTGCCCTTGGCTCCGAGTCCTGAGGAGGCAGCATCTCTTCTGTGCACAGACAGTTCTTTAAGGATTGAAGCTGGGCTGCCTCAACCCGCCCAGGAGAGCAAGGGCGACCAGGACCATCCCTCTGACTCCTTTTGACTGGAAGGCAACAAAAGTGTTTTCAGGAGGTTCTCTGCTCATATCAAATCTCCTCACTTTGGAAACTTCTTGCTGGCATTTCCTGGTTGCGTCTGCCTCTTCTCAACAGACTTGAAGGTCTCTGGGAGAACATGCCTTATCTAATTAATAATCGCTTCCTCTTATTGAACTCTTACTGTGTGCTAGGAATTGTCCCAGGTATTTTACCCTAAATTGTCTCACTTACTTCTCCCAATGCAATTTTTTACCTCATGAACTCAATGCTTAGATCCTAATTTATTTGCCTGAGATCTCATGGCTAGTTAGGTAGGTGTAACTAGCATGCGAGCCCAGAATGTCTGACTCCAAAGCCGTTTACTAAAGGTTTGTCAAATTCATTGAACTAGTTCCTACTGGATGTGAAAATAAGCATATAATCAACTCTTTTTAACTTTTATTTTAATTTCATGGGTATATGTGCAGATTTGTAAGTAAACTTGTGTCATGGGGGTTTGTTGTACAGATTATTTCATCACCCAGGTATTAAGCCCAGTACCCATGAGCTGTTTTTCCTGATCCTCTCCCAATAGACCCCAGTGTCTATTCTCCTCTATGTGTTCATGAGTTCTTATCATTTAGCTCCCACTTACAAGTGAGAACATGCAGTATTTGGTTTTCTGTTCCTGCATTAGTTTGCTATGGATAATGGCCTCCAGCTCCATCCATGTTCCTGCAAGGGACATGATCTCATTCTTTTTTACGGCTGCATAGTATTCCAGAATATAATCAGCTCTTGACTTGCAATTATTAAAAATAATTCCAAAGAAATTAATCCAAAATTCATCAATTTTTGACCCTGAAATATGTTTTTGTACATATGTTTAAATATGTGTATGTTTGCTATTCTAGGAATTCGTAACTCTAAACAAGGTAATAAAAATACTCTGTACAGGATCTCAAAATTAGGAGTTTCCTTACTTTGATTTTCCTACTAGAACTACTGCCTACACAGAGCTCAGCCTGGGTCCTGCTTCTCTTCTCCATCTGAATTCTTTCCCCTTTTCTGTGTCTAGCCCTGAGCTCCCTTGAGCCTCCAGACTCACATATTCAACTGCTTATTTAACATCGCCATGTAGATAGTTAACGCCTCGGACGGACGTCATGTACAGCAGAACCCTTTGTCCTATTACCTTCACAACTGTTTTTCTCCCAGGCTTTACCATCTCAGGAAGTCATACCAGCATCCAGTCAACTGCTCAAACCCAAAACCTGGGAGGCATACTGTCTCACGCGTCCGTGTGAAGAGACCCCCAAACAGGCTTTGTGTGAGCAACAAGGCTGTTTATTTCACCTGGGTGCAGGCGGGCTGAGTCCGAAAAGAGAGTCAGCAAAGGGTGGTGGGATTATCATTAGTTCTTATAGGTTTTGGGATAGGCGGTGGAGTTAGGAGCAATGTTTTGGGGGCAGGGGTGGATCTCACAAAGTACATTCTCAAGGGTGGGGAGAATTACAAAGAAACTTCTTAATCGTGGGGGAGATTATAAAGAATCTTCTTAAGGGTGGGGGAGGTTACAAAGTACATTGACCAGTTAGGATGGGGCAGAAACAAATCACAATGGTGGAATGTCATCAGTTAAGGCTATTTTCACTTCTTTGGGTCTTCAGTTGCTTCAGACCATCTGGATGTACACCTGCAGGTCACTGGGGATATGATGGCTTAGCGTGGGCTCAGAGGCCTGACACGTACCTGATTCCTTTTTCTCACCCTTCAAATCCTATCCATTGCCAATTGCTGTTTGTTACTCCTCTAACATACATCCTGGATTTCATCTAAGCTATCATCTCTTTAGTGGGTTCACGGAAGAAGCCTCAGTCCTCCCACCTATAAAATGAGTAACCCAGCTATTTCACTTTCTTGATCTCTAGTTCGGTTATAAAACTGTTCAGAGAAATGCTAATGTTTTTCGGGGACATTCATGCCCAAAAGAGGGGGATAGTTCTTTCTAGGACTATAATTCTGATATAAAATTTAAGACACCGTACATTTTATTACCAAAATATTTCTCGGTCTATCTACCAATTCAGTATGACAAAATCCCCGTCTTGAGAAAATGTCTTCCCATTTCAAGTGCACACTTTTTCTTCTTGTCTTCCTGATGCCAACTGCTTAAGAAAATACTAAAACTTTAGGAAAACAATATAGGTATATTGTGTTTACATAAAAACAAAATTAACAGTTAACTCATTTGACAAGAATTTCTTAGTTTTTTAGATGACAAAGATGGTTTCAGAGTAAACTGGGCAATCACTAACTCCCTTAACAGCATTAAATAAATTCCTCTTCTGTGAAGTATCAGGAACTGTTTATTTCTCCATGCCCTCAAAGGCAATCTGGATTTTCAGTTAGCCATCGCAGAGATGGACTGAAATGGGAGCTGTAGTCACTGGTAGATTAATTATAATTTTTTTCAAATATTTTAAACTCACTTTTCCAGTTATGCAATTGACCTTAAGAAGTAGATCTTAAAATCTGGGAGTCTATAACACTTTGGGTCAGTTTATATAAGCGTGTGTGTGTGTGTGTGTGTGTGTGTGTGTGTGTGTGTGTGTGTGTGTTTAATCTTGCCCAGGATTCCTTAGTGATCTGCTGCTGCTCTGTGTGGACTGACAGGCCCCAAGCTGTACTGCAGAAATACAGATAGCACTGCTCCAAGGCTGTGGTCTTTCATATACATTCCTGGGAAATGTAATCCTTGTGGTTTCCAATCTCATTTCTCTTGGAATACAGATAGGAGCAAATTTAACTTTGAAAAGAACACATGCCCTTTGTTTACATTAAGATTAATTTGAGATGTATAAAGAAAGTAAAGCCACTTGGGATCAATATTTACTAAATCGAAATCTCCATTATACTGCATCAGACTTAATTAGTACTTAAATTCTAATTTAATTGTGACAGGCTTTCTTCTGTTTACATTTCTGAAATTAAACAAACCATCACCTCCTCAGTGGTCCCTCTTGAAGAAGAAACACAGCTGGCTCTAAGTTAGTTTTGAACCCCACCCTCTCTGTCCTTACCTTTTTTTTCTTCTTAGACTTAAAAAAACAAAAAGTTTTGCTCTCAGCTCAACTGTTAGGCAAATATAAATTCTTATTGGCAACTGAATTAAACATATGAATATCTGCAGTTCATTTGATTCAGAATTTGCAGCAGTGGCTGGGGGGCATTTAATTTTACTTGTATTTTTTATATTAATTTCTTTTTTTTTTTTTAGAGACATAGTCTCGCTCTGTCGCCCAGACTGCAGTGCAGTGGCATAAGCATAGCTCATTGCAGCCTCAAACTCCTAGACTCAAGCAATCCTCCTGCTCCAGCCTCCTGAGTAACTAGAACTTTACTGCATTATTAATGGATAATACTTCCTGGTTGCTTTTCTGTCAGTTACACAAGCTACAAATTAATAGTTTAAGCTTGAAAAACAACAGCAGCAATTAACTCATACTCCATGCCTTTCAATTAGACAGCTCCTAGTCTGCCAAGACTACCTACAAAAATACTGTATAAAAAGTAGATCTCTCCCTGGCACAAGGGGACCATCATTTGATATGTTTATGAGATGACATCTTCTTAGATTAGGTGGGCTGCCTTGGGTTAGGGCTGTATTCAACTTTGCTAACTGAGGGGGTAATTCTAACAGAGTCGAGAAGTTCATTTCCTATCTTGCTGTGCTAAGTACGGAGACAATTCCCTAAAAAGAAAGACCAGATTGAAAAAAGGAAAATAAACAGACTTTAGAAGCAACTTTGAGTTGTGGTTAATAGAGCAGGATGCAGCTGTGGTTCGATGGAGCAAAGGAGGAGAAAGAAGGCAGTCTGAAATTGCTGCTAAATTAAACTCCCTATGGTTAGGTGGCTTTTTAGGGCTGTGACTTTGAATTTACATGACTCGCTATTAAGTATACAGAAGAAGGAGTTGCTAAAGCACAAACTGAAAATAATAAAGCTGAAATTTCAAGGTTCTCATGCATGTGTTGGCTTCAACCTTTCCCCCACTGGTCATGAATCTAGACCCCTTTTCTTTGTTAAATCTTCACAATTGTTATGCTTCGTTTTACCCATGCAGGTGCAGCAAAGCTTAGTGGTTCTATCAGGGGAGGCAGTGGGGCACATTGGTTAAAATCAGCAGCCTAAGTTAGAAAACACGCTTCCATCACATTTCAAGTTGTATAATCTCTGTGAGCTTGAATTTCTTCATCAATAAAATAGGGGTGCTAATCCTGTGCCTATCTCATAGAATTAAATGAGATGGTGATTTATTTAAATGCCTGACACATAGAAGAATACCATGAGTGATAGATGTACGAGGGTGACTAGAAGGTACTCTTGTTCCCTTCAATCAGTTCTTCACTTAATAGCCATAGAACTGGCTGGGAACACCTAGAGAGAAGATTTAGATAGAGACAGAAGCAGCAGCTAGAAGAGCCCTTTCAAACCCAGAGGCAGGGTATGTCACTGTCCTGTCCAGACCGCACAGTGGCTTCCCACCATACCCAAAGTAAAAGCAAAGTCCTCAAATCATTTCGTGACCTGCACCCCTCCCCAACCTCTCTGATCACAAGTCCTTCCACCCCTGTCCCCGTCACTCCCCTCTGCCCTAGCTACATTTCTCTCTTCACTGTTCCTCGAACATACCCAGCATCCTTTCTGTCTTGGAGCCTTTACACCTGCTGCTCCCTTTGCCTGGAACACTCCTTCTTCAGTTGTCTGCTGGTTTGCACCCTCACTGCATTCAGGGCTCTGCTCAAATCAAATGCCTTTTCAGAAAGGCCTTCCCCATTGCCTTAGCTAAAAATAACACCTCTACTCTACATCACCTTGCCCTTGTTGTCTTCCCCGATACTACTAGGTGGTATTAAAATAGGCTCATTTATGTATTTATTTGTTTGTCTTCCCCTCTAGAAGGTAAGCTTCCTCTGGCAGTGTCTACTTTATTTCCTGCTGTATTCCCAGAGCTTAGAGCCATGCCTGACATATCATAGGTGCTCAATACATATTCATGAACGGAAGGAGTAAATGCCAGACAAGGTGACTTCTCATTGATCAGCACAAGCTCTGATGTGTATCGGAATCACGTGGGATGCTCATTTCTTGGCCCATTCCCAGAAACTTTGCTTTATTAGGCCAGAGATGGGGTCCAGGATTCTGCATTTTCACAAGCATCTCAGGTGATTCTAAAGCAGTCTTCCTGACTTCCAGACTTCCTGAAACATTACTGAAGACAAAAATTCTATTAACTCATACCAACAAAAAGAGACCATAAGTGTCCAGTATTTTTAATACAGTGGGCAGAACTGGTTAGGCAGAACTTGGCATTTGTTTTATCAAGGGCTGTGTGTTTAAAAGTGGTCAAGCAGTGCTCCAGCTAGGAAGGACAGTAAACTGCCTCGGAATAAATCTGCATTCTGAGGAGACTCATTCGAGTGGTCCTTCTTTGCTCCTTTTTACTTAAGTGTCTTAAAGACCATGGGCACTCATTGTCCAGAGGAGGGAGGTAACAGAAACATTTCAAGGCTTTACAAAGCTGCCCTCCCATACAGGAGTTATGCAGGGCTTTGCGTTACTACAACTCTGAGGGTCGAGAGGGTCCAAATCAAGGTCGGCTTTTGGGAAAGGACACCCTGGGTTCCAAGGGTGAACTCATGGGGAGGAAATGGGGAGTCAGGGGTTGGGTCTTAGACTCCATTCTAGGGCCTAAGCTATTGGAAGAGGGAAAGTAAGCATTGACTATAAAGAGCTAGAACTTTGGGAGCTTGAGCTTTGGGAGTTTGATCCCCTTGGCCAAGTACAGCCCTAGGGAGCGTTGACGCTCTTGAAGAATCATTTTTAATGCTGCACAGGAATCTGTACTAATTCTTGTTTGTTTTCTTTTTGTATGGTGCATTCCAGCAAATAGCTGGTCAGTTTCTTTTTGTGTGGCACATTCCAGCAAATAGTTGGTCAACTTCAAAAGGGTTGGAGAGAGGATCCTGCCTCTCTGGAACTTCCTCCATCCCCTGGGCCTCGGTTAGAGTGGCTTGTATGACACAAAGTAAACATTCCCAGTGGAATTGTCCAGTTCATTTAGTGTAGTAATAAGAAACAGTCTCTCCTTGGTGCTGGCCTTCTCATCTTATGATTACTTTTGTCAGGTGATCTGACTATTGCAGTTTACTCTACTTGTTTGTGCCCTGTAGGGCTTTAAACAAATGACGTAAATTTACGAGATCTAACTACCAAATCATAATGTTGCCATCCTAGAATCATTATGTCTTTGAAGTCAATAGCAGCTGTGTCTGTGTGTTGGTGTGTATTTTCCAAAACAGCCAAGGCCGTTCCCAGGCATCACCACTTTCCTTTGCATCTTAATCTCCTGCCCTGTAAACATCTTGGCTGGGTGTGGCGGGGAGTGTTAGCATGAAGGGAAAGGTGGTAAATTTGATACCAGGGTCCTTCACTCCCTTCTGCCTCCTTTCTCCCCAGACAGCTAGAGTGAACACAAACACCCCACAGACAATGGAGAGCAGTGTTAAAAATGGAGGCCAGATAGAGGGGTTCTTGTGATTGTTCTTATCAAGTCCCATTGCCTTCATTTGGCCAAACAGGAAACTGGAGCTCACAGGACACCTTTGACTAACAGTCAATAACAGTGAAAACCCAGAGAAATGGGATTCACATGCAAAGTGTTCAACCAAGGCTCACTTCCCTGTGGATTTTTAAGAGCTATTATTCATTGAGGACTTGCTGAGTACTGCACTTTGTGTGAAGCACTATGCTTAGTGCTCTTCTTGCATTAATGCGTTAAGCTCCAAAACCCAGTGGTGTACGTGTTATTATTTCTATTTTATAGATGGGAAAACCAAGGCAGGGCCCTGAGGCTTAGCAACTTTCCCCAGTTCACCTGGCTGATAAGTAGCAGAACTGGAATTTGAACCCAGAACTACTGTGCTCTTAACCATCACATAACCCTGCCCTCATGCCACCTTTGTCAGGACAAGATATTATCATGGAAGAAACACTGGACTTGGAGTAAGAAAGCTAGGCTCAAGTGCTAGCTCTGCTTCTGCCTCTGAACTTGGTCAAGTACTTTGAGCCTTTTGATTTCATCTCTGTTTTTCCTGTCTATAAAATCCCATCAGGATTCTTGGGAGGCTGACATGAGATAACATAAGGAAGAGCATTTTGCAAACTGAGGTGTGCCCTGGATTATTATCACTGAAGCCCACTGTCCCATAATAGTATTGCAGCGAGTTACTTTCTTTCTGCTCGAATTGTAACAAGTGCAACAGATAAAGGCCTGTGTTAATAGTTCATGAGCCTTGTGGTTGGATTTCATATCAAAGGAAGGAGTCCCAAAGGCTGTGAATCTGGGTTCAAGCTGTGAGTGTTAAAAAGGTACAGTGTTTGAGTCTGTGCAACATACTATTCAGAGCAATGTCTGCAAGGAACGCACTGCACCTTTCCAAAGAAGAGAAAGTAAAAGACTCTCAGTGCCTCTATAACTTTATAGGGCAGTAATTCTTTCTGAACAGAGGTCACACCACAGTTTACAGTCTTTGAAGAGCATGACGACGTGTGCCAAAATGTCAGTGCAACCAGAGATATTCTTGCCATTATAAGAATGCATGAACATAGAAAGTATAATTGACATTTGATTTATAATTTGTGAATTTTGCTCAGATTCTCACAACCTCTTTTTCATTTTATAATTCTGAGTGAATATAGGAGCAAAGATTAGCATTCTAGCATCCAGCAAAAAACATTTCTAAGCATAAGATCTGAAACTGTAATTCTTATCAGGAAACATAGGGGAAAAGCTTTGTGATCTTGGTCTTGGCAATGAACATGACACCAAAAGCACAGGCAACAAAAATAAACAAGTGGGACTACATCAAACTAAAAATCTTCTGCACAGGAAAGGAAACAATCAACAGAGTGAAAAGACAGCCTACAGAATGGGAGAAAATATGTGTAAGCCATGTATCTGACAAGGGATTAATCTCCAAAATACATAAGGAACTCAAACAACTCAATAGCAAGAAAACTGAGAAGCCAATTTAAAAAGTGGCTACGGACTTGAACAGACATTTCTCCAAAAAAGAAATACTAATGGCTGATAGGAATGTGAAAAAAAGCTTATCATCACTATAATCAGAGAAATGCAAGTCAAAATCACAATGAGAAATCACCTTACACCTATTAGGATGGCTATTATCAAAAAAAAAAAAGACAACAAGTGTTGGTGAGGATGTGAGGAAATTGGAACCCTTATACATGTTTGCAAGAATGCAAAATGATGCAGCTGCTATGGAAAACAGCATGGAAGTTCCTCGAAAATTTAAAAATACAACCACTGTAGGATCCAGCAATACCACTTGTGGGTATATATCCAGAAGAATTGAAATGAGGATCTTTAAGGGATATTATTAGCATTCTTGTGTTCACTGCAGCACTAATCACAATAGCTAGGACAAGGAAACTACTTAAATGTCCATTGACAGGTGACTGGATTTTTTAAAATGTGATGTATTTACACAATGGAATACTATTCAGCCTTTAAAATGAAGGAAATTCTGTACTGTGTGACCATATGGATAGACCTTGAGGAAATTATGCTAAATGTAATAAGCCAGACACAGAAAGATAAATACTGCATGGTTCCTTTTGTATGAAGTATCTAAAATAGTCAAATTCATAAAATCAATGACTAGAATAGTGGTCACCAGGGACTAGTGGAGGAGGGGGAAATGGAGAGCTACTAATCAATAGATATAAAGTTTCACTTAGCAACATGAGTAAGCTCTAATCAACCTACAGTCAACAGTAATGTACACTTAAAATTTGTTAAGAAGATAGATAGCATGTTAAGTGGTCTTAAAAATAATTTTCAGATTCAGTTTTGATTGAGAATTACCCACCATTCCTCCAATCTGTAATCTAAGTGCCAGAGGCCCTCATGGAGTAAAGCCTCCAGCTCTCCTTCTTAGAGCTGGTAGCACATTCAATAACTACCTCCCTCAAGGGATTTGAAGTGTGCTAAATTAGGTCTTCATAGATACAAGAAAGCTGAACATTGAGGCCAAATAAATAAAGATGAAAAATCCAACCCTTTCATTCATCAGATGTAGGCAGAGAATGCTTTAGAATTCTCCTTGACTCTTTTTGCTGCATTGTTCCATTTTGGAATGTGTGTACATAAAAATCTCTGATGAAGGTTATAAAAAGAAAAAAAGACATTCTGAATGCAAAATATAGAATATATCTGTTTTTTATGTCAACTCCCTTGGCTCTTGGTTGAACCGGTAAGATTTGCTGTTTCAGACCCTCTGTTGTCTAACCTGAGTCCCATCAGCTGTCTTGACATTCTCAGCTTTGTCACAAGGGGTATCCATGAGAGAAGGTAGATGGATCCACTCAACCAGTCCTGGAAATGAATGTGTGACTGACCGAATGTTATTTTTACTATAGAAAGGGCCCTTTAGAAAACCACTCTGGTTTGCCTGTCTTGAGAAATGACAATGAAATTAGTTGTAATCAGTTGAGGATCACCATGTAGACATATTGATTAATCTATAGCATTATGTTATGGTATCTGGGGAAATTTTACCCTTTCAGAAGACTTTTGGCAAAACAATGGGTGAGGCAAAGTTTTCAGGACAGCAATGGAAAAGGGGGCTGGCTAGTCTGTGGTATGTGAATTTGAAAGCTATATTAGATCTGTTTGGATGCTGTGGGCAGCAAATACTGGAAATACCAACTCGAACTGATTTAAGCAATAAGGAAGTGTATTGTTTCACATAACGGGAAATCCAAAGGCAGGTGGGCTCCAGATGTGATGTGTCAGGGCTGTGTTCCGTCTCTCACTGATTCTCCTTACCTTGCCCAACCCTGTGTCAGGTTTACCCTCACCTGAAAGCAACATGGCTGCCACTTTGGAGCATCATATCCAAACACGGCAACACCTGTAAGAAGATCTGTCTCTTCCTGTTCCTCTTTCTTAGGAGCAAGAAACTGTTTCCCAAAACCTCCCCACAGTAGACTTCCTACTTTTCATGGGGCAGAATTGGGTCACATGACTGTTCCTAAACCAATCAGGGAACTCCCATGGTTGGCTTAAGCAGAACTTGCCCCTGGAGCTGAGCATGGAGCTTATCCCCTGGACCACACTGGGGAGAGACACAGAATCTGGGGCTATCAGGAAGGAAGGAAGAAGGTGAAGGGATGAATCATGAGTTGGCCACGGGAATCTTGGTCCTTACTGAGTCTGATTACAGCATCACCACATGCTTTATCCTATGAGACAACATTCCTCACAGTTTACTCTGCAGTTTCGATTGGATTTTTATGGGAAGCATCATTTTTCTCTGACCTCGTGCTGCAATTTTGTTTCTTTTTTCCTTAGCAGAGACCACAATGGAAATCCTACTATAGAAACACTTGAGTGCTATCAAAGGATCAGACCATATAAGGTGCTAGAGACCTTTTTATTTTAAATAAGAAACAAAACTATTTATACTTTTACAAGGAGTCTGCCCTATTTTAGTAAATATTTGGCAAAGCTTCTTGATTAAAGAGCAAACTGACCCTTGTTCTGCAGGGTTGTTTTGCCATAACTAAAATCGTTCATTAATTTTCTGAAAATAGAAGCAGCAAGTGTGTGTTCTTTTGCACTGTGACTAAAGTAGTGCTTACTTGTGATTTGTTTTAAGCTATATTTACTTAGGCGTAATTGTTCAGGTGTCTTTTAAACCTCAGCTCTCGTCAGACCCCATTCTGAGTTACAATCACCAAATGGTACACTCGGAAAATAATCTCCCATGGATGGAGCTAAGATGCATTAATCTGGCCCTGGAGACTCTGGCGTGTTTGACAATACATTTCAAACTGGGTCTCAGAGGTCCTGCATTTGGTAACAAGTTACAACTGTTTTGACAAATAGCGATTCCCTAGATTATTAAACAGTGCGTAATCTGAGAGAAGCTTGTTGAGCACCATATGTTTCTGATTCATTGGCAGTTAACTCATTGTGTGACGTTGGGCTTGTGGGAAACACTCCAGACCTGATCACCTTTCTTCTTTAAAAGCATCCTCTTGCCAGCTGAACTGGGTGTGGTGCAGCTGCAAAGAGTGGTGTTAAATTAGTCTCATAAACTTCTGCAGGACAGCCATATTGGGAGTTATCCCACGATGCCACACAGTAGACTGGGTTGTGGCTGGCCGGCAGGCAGGTGCAGGATGTGGTCCCGGGGCTTGTCATCTGTCCCATTCATGTAAAATGTGCCTCTGCCTCCAATCTCCTTCCCCCATCCTCTGGCCTTGGCTGACAGTTTCTGATCCTAAATCAAAGATGCTCAGAAGAAAAGCCATCAGTAGATATCAAGCAAAGGATTTAGAAATATTTAGAATGCTAAAATGTCAGTGCTGGAAATTGCCTTAAAGATCATCCAGTTCAACCTCATTTCTTGGATAAGTAACGTGGGGTGATGTGGCATGCCCAGTGTCACACAGCTAGGTTCCGGTTTATTCCCTTGTTTCCTTACTGCTTCCCAGTCACTACTGGGAAATTCAAAATTCAACTTTCAGTGTGGGCAACTTAAATGGAGTCTGGAATACACTAGTTGATTCTGGTGCTCCACCACTTACCTAATAGAAAAATGAGAAAAATAAAGGCCCCCACCTCATAGAGCCAGTGATATTAAATAACTTAATCCGAACAATGTGTGGCGTGTGGTGAGAGCTCAGTGAAAGCCTCCATGGCCACTGTCATTCTCTCCTGACTGTTGGCAGGAGGCAAAGTGGTTCAGTGGAAAGAGCGCCAAATAAGTAGGAGTTAAGAAATGTCTGGCGCCAGCCATGTGACCTGAAAGAATCACTCACCTTCTCAAATCCTCAGTTTCCTCTGCCTTCCTCAGAGGAGGATTTTATGTATGTAAAAGTGTTTTGTTGCCGTACAACTCTATAGCAGTGCTCTTCAAACAGTAATGTGCACACAGATCACCTGGTGATCTTGTCAACGTGCAGATTCTGTTTCTGCAGGTCAAGTGTGAGCCCAAGATTCAGCATTTCTAACAAGCTCCCAGGAGATGCAGGTGATGCAGTCCAATGACTTCCCTCTGATGTGCTATATGACATAAGGGCAGCATTCTGATCACCAGGCAGACGGCAACCTCCAAACCCCTCAGATTGTCTTCTTGACTCCAGATGCAGCATTTGTAAAGCAGCGTGGGTAAATGACATGCTGCTCCTAAGGATTCTGCAAAAAGGGGACCTGAAAGTGGATCTATCTGGTACCTAGTGTCAAGGTCTCATGTATTAAGTTTAGCATTTGGTCTCCTAACAATCTCACACTTTGCTGAATACCATTTTGCAGATCTGGTGACTATCATGTCAGCATTCTAAAGCTCCTCCCCTAAGAGTTAGTTCTGGCTTATTGGCTGTTAACTCTTTCAGGCTACAGTTGAGCCAGGTACCAGAGGTTGGCAGGACAAGTGTGATGCCAGGGAAAGAGTGGATGATAAATTCGGCTCTAGGCTGGAAGCCAAATTATGTTTAAAACTGTTTCTGGCCCTCTTACAAGCGTTGGTGTGGCTGGGGCATGAGTGAAAATAGAGGCAACAGCACAATCTACCATAGCAGCCAGGAACACTGTGAACAACAGGAAAGAGATTTGAAAGTCTGTTCGTGTTCTAAGAGAATTGCAGAAATGTTAAGTGGCCACCGTAGCTGAGAGGACTTGCCAGCTCTAATTAGAAGTGGGCAGGTGATTGGGTGTTTGAAATTTTACTTTGGGTACTTCTGGAGAGTCAGGAAGTTAGGAGGGTTTGCATTCGAGAGTGATTTCTTTACCCAGGAGATGAGGCCAGAGATGGCCATAAGAAGATGTCAGAGTTTACTGCTGGCTGCCAGGTTCTTTCTCCAGTGAGAGCCTAGTGGATGGCAAAGGGTATGAAAGGAGGGAGTTGGGGCAGATAAATGACAACCGAAGCACGGAGGAGACCACTGGCAATTCTTACCTTTGCTTCAAGACTCGGCTCAACTGACATCTGCCCTCTCTTTTGCCTTCACCACCCCATGTTCCCCCATGCTGACCAGTCGGTCCCCTGAAGGCAGGCACGGTGCCTTCCATTCTCCTGTCCCCTACCTACATCACGGGCATGATCCCAGTAAATGTTTGGTTATGTGTTTCTGGAGTGAGAACAAAGGGCAGAGAAAAAGAGGAAGGGGAAGAAGGAAAAGGAAACCACAGAAGAAAGAAAAAGAAGAGAGGGGTTGAGAGACTCTTTGGGAAGCCAGCCTTTCAAGGTTCCAAGAATGTTTTCCAAAATCCTTCAAACCCAGGTCCTAGTAAATGGTTTGGCTTCATCACACATGCGCAGGAAAACTAAATGAGGGTCTGAGTCTGATTGACACTAGCCCTCTCCACAGCATCAGATGTGGCTGTGTGAGCTTAAACACAGGGAGGAGGGCCTGCCGTCTAGCTTCTAGCTTGGTGTTGATTCCCTGTGTGTTTAAAGCCAGGTGAGAGATGAAGCAGGCAGGGCACATGCCACAGCAGATGTTGTTCCCCCTTCCTGGGAGCCAAGGAGGCCTGACTCCTCAGCTGGTCACCTCTCCAGGAGAGGACGGAAGCCACAGGGCCCCAGGGTCTAGCTGATGCTGCATTCCCAAAACCTCCAACGAGGAGACTGTGTTATTTCAGCCATGCTTCGTTGGACGGCAAATATTTGAGCTGCTTTATGAGGATCTGGGACATTGCAGAGTCTTCAAATTCACAGCAAGCTGCCCCCACGTGAGAGTTAATTACTCATACCAGGCCCTGTTTGCAGCGCTGGCTGTGGAAATGGTTCCCAATCCTCAGTCACGTCTAAGCTGTGAGGGTGTGCTAAGACAAGGAAAAGCTCAGTTAAGGCTACATTTCCAAAAACTCTGGGGGCTATTTTGCCCCAAACTTCTTGCTGTGGTGACAGTTATGAAACAGTGGCATGGGGAGTTTCCTCCCTAAGCACACCACCAACAGAGAGAGGGCGTCTCTGTTCTCGTTTATAGGACCAGAAAACTAGTTTTAAATGCCATCATTCCAACAGGAATACAAGATGTGACTTTGGGCCCAAACTGGAACCTTTGAGCTGACATTTCTCCTCTTATAAAACTCAACCATTGCTTGCAGCCTACTGCATGTGCTGGATTCTTGCATGAGTCTGTAGAGTGCTTCGAAGCACTTATTGTATTTATTTATTTTCTTTTTTGAGACAGAGTTTCGCTCTTGTTGCCCAGGCTGGAGTGCAATGGTGCGATCTTGGCTCACTGCAACTTCCGCCTCCCGGGTTCAAGCGATTCTCCTGCCTCAGCCTCCTGAGTAGCTGGGATTACAGGCATGCGCCACCATGCCAGGCTAATTTTATATTTTTAGTAGAGACGGGGTTTCTCCATGTTGGTCAGGCTGGTCTCGAACTCCCGACCTCAGGTGATCCGCCCACCTTGGCCTCCCAAAGTGCTGTGATTACAGGCATGAGCCACCGCGTCTGGCCACTTCAAAGCACTTTTGAAAATAGACACTGTTTTCCAACAGTCAAATAGAGTCTTCAAATACAGACTGTTTTCAAACAGTGTGGTGGCTTTGTAAGGTGTCAACTGGACCACAATGAAGCCAAGTCTCAGAATTCCCTTTCCTCTACAGTTCTGCAAGTGAAATTTGGAAGGCAAAGTTGAGGCAGCAGCCATTTTTGTGTTCGGAAGGTGGGTATAGGTACCAGGTACCGTGGCAGCTCATGTATGTTGTTAAGTATCTCCTAGCCTACCTTGTTAGCGTGGGACTCCAGCTCCTGCCAGTTCCCTCCTTCAGCCCCTCCGAGTCCTGGGCCGGGTATGTGTGCACCTGTGACAAAAGGTACCAGCTGTTTCTGCAAGTCACCCACATCCTCAAGGCTGGAGATGGTGAAACAAATGGGAGTACCAGTTGTTCTTAATTGCTCACCCTCATTGCACATTCAGTTCTCCTTTCCCTCTGGCCTACAACAACTTCAGTCCCAACACCAGATGCAGAGACAACAGTCTGGCATTGACGTCTCCATCAGCACCCACAATTGCTTAAGGCCTAATCCACATTTTAAAAAAATTCTCTTACCCTGTTTCATGCATGATGATTCCACTTTTCTGATTGAGCCCTGCCTCATACAATGTATAGAGCCAGGCCACCATGATAGACTTGGAAGGATAATGTGAGTAAGTGACAACTAATCATGTCCAACCCCAATTTTAGTCATTAGATTGTTGCCCATTTCTCAATGGAGGCTTTCTGGAAGAGTGCTGCTGACCAGTTGATAAATTGACTACTTTTAGTAAACTATCCTTTTACTTCCTCTTCTCCCCTTCTCCACTGTAGGTATTCCACATAATTTCCACTGCCCTGAGATCAAGGCCAACCCATGCAAACTCCTATACCTCATAACGTCCTTGCGTTTTCACCCATATTCTTTCCTTCACACATCTAAGCAGAAATGATTTTCCCTTTCCCATGCTCACCCCTCTCCCTGGGACATTGGCCCAACTCCTCTCCCTCATTCCTGTTTTCTTCATTTTTCTTTCTCTTACTTTATTCTCTTGCTTTCCAAAGAATCTTTCCCTCTGCCTTCAAACATATTGAGGTCACGTATTTTATTTTATTTATTTATTTATTTTTGAGACAGAGTTTTGCTCTTGTTGCCCGGGCTGGAGTGCAGTGGCACGATCTTGGCTCACTGCAACCTCCACCTGCCAGGTTCAAGCGATTCTCCTGCCTCAGCCTCCTGGGTAGCTGGGATTACAGGTGCCCACCACCAAGCCTGACTAATATTTTGTATTTTCAGCAGAGATGGGGTTTCGCCATGTTGGGCAGGCTGGTCTCGAACTCCTGACCTCAGGTGATCCGCCCGCCTTGGCCTCCCAAAGTGCTGGGATTACAGGTGTGAGCCACCGCACCTAGCCCATGTATTTTATTTTTAAGAGTACCTTTCTTTGACCGTTACTCCTTCAAACTTCCATCATATCTCTGCCTTCCATCAAACTTCCTTAAAGGGAAACTGTTGCCTTCATCTTCCCACTGCCTAAATCCCTACCTTCTATGCCAGAGGTTCTCAGGCTTGGCTGCACATGGGAATTCCCTGGAGCCAGGACCCACCTCCAGATATTTTGATGGAGTTGCCGGAGAGTGTGTCCTAGGCCAGGGGGATCCTGCCCTCCTACATACTTGCAAATCCAATGTTCTTGGTAGGAGAAGGGACAACTTAATAAGTCTCAAGCAAGTTAAGAAAGCTCAGAGGAAAAGGTGGACGTATTTGCCTACTTAAAAATTTTAAAGCTTCCAGGTAAATAGATTATTTTCCTGTTAAATTAATGAACACATTTTACATATTAATACCCAATGCTGGTGAGAACAAGCTTCTCATTCATTGCTAACGACTGAGTAACTAGGTATATAATTCCTTGGAAAAACAATTTAGCAAACTATCCAGGGGCATAAAAATGTACATACTATTTAATTCATTATTTCTACGTCTGGAAATCTATCCTAAGGAAGTAATTCAAATGCTGAAATATAACTAAAGTACTCAAAATGCTGATTGCAGTATTATTTACAATAGTGAAAAATTGGAAGCAACCTAAAAAAACAAAAGGGGAATGATAAATGTATTTATGGTGCATTTAGTGGTTTGAATATTAAGGTACAAATGAAAAGATAATTATGAAGACTATAACATGAAAAAATGCTTATAAGTGGGAAAAAAAGCAGTACATGTAATTATTGATATAATGTAGGAGGAAAGTTGGTAAAGACAAATCAAGCCTGGCTTAAACTAATTATGTGGCTTTTTAAATGTCACAATTTCACATTTTAATAAATACTAAATATTAACTTGGGAATTTGGGCAAATAGGCTTAGACCTTTTTTTAAAAAAACTCTTCCAGCCGGAGATTTTTAGTTTTAACTTTAGTTGACTTTTCCAAATACATTTGAAAACAAGATTAGCAAGCTAGTTTTGTCCTGATAGCACTGTGCTCCCCTAAGCTTGAATCTTGTAAACATGTCTCAGGATGATAACACAATTATCTTGAATCTTATCCCTTTTTAGGGAAGCTGCTCTCATTTTTCCCAGCTGGAAGATTTGTGGAAGACATTTGACTTTATGCTCTTGTTTCAGTTTCATCAGTAACACAATTTCTCCAGTGGATTGTTTTTTCCTTGTGGCAAAAGGAAGAAATTCAGGCTCACAGTTAAATGCTAATTCTAGAAAGCAACCCTGAGGGACATTATTCTCAGCATTTCCTGAATTCCTTGGTATAATAATGGATGGTCATTATGTTTTGGGGTCCCCATTTGGACTTGGGGGTAGAGGACAAAAATTAAATGAAGCTCTGAAATTATCCTTGAATGATAGAAATGCATCACACAGTGTAACAGAACACACAAGTGACTGGGAATACAAAGAAGGCCGGTGAATTTTTTTTTTTTTTCGGAGTCTCGCTCTGTCACCAGGCTGGAGTGCAGTGACACGAACTTGGCTCACTGCAACCTCTGCTTCCCAGGTTCAAGGGATTCTCCTGCCTCAGCCTCCCGAGTAGCTGGATTACAGGCACAGGCGACCACGCCAAGCTAATTTTTGTATTTCTGGTAGAGATGGAGTTTCACCATGTTGGCCAGGATGGTCTCCATCTCCTGATCTTGTGATCCACCCGCCTCAGCCTCCCAGAGTGCTGAGATTACAGCCGTGAACCACCGCGCCCACCCAAGATTTTTTAAAAATCAAGAAATGTGGAGGAGAGGCTTGTAGCACAATATAGACTGGACACCTCAGACTTCTGAAAGGCACACACGGAGGTCTTTCTCCCGTGTGGATTTTTGCCAGCCATGGTCACTATTTGCCATCCCTTTCCACGGAGGACTGAGCTGAATACAAGTCCTCTTATAAGCACAAGCTTGTTCTGAGTTAGTGCTTCATTGAGAGAAAACGAGGATGTAGAGCTTCGAGAATAGGGGCCAGATGGTGTCACAGTGAAATACAGCACAGGCTCCACTCAGGGCTTTGTTCAGAGCAAGGTGAATGTTGTATCCTGTTGGGACAACACTTTATTCTCTGAGGGACAATAAAGTGGCTACCCCCTGCTTTTACATGCATGCTTACACCTGTTTGCAGAGACAGGTTTGTAAGGCATCCTTGCTAGAAAATGCACGCTTTTACTCTCTGGCTGAAAATATCTTACAAGTAGATGCTTAAAAAGCACAAGATTTATATTTTCTATTTTATTTGTAAAAGTCCTAACTTGTCTGCAGGCTTGATTCCCTTGAAGCCTGCCGTACTTTTCTTTGGAAACCTACATTTGTGGACAAAGGCATTGTTCATTCCCCAGAGCCCAAAGTCCAATTGAGTCCAACAATATGGAATTTTAAAAGCTCAAATTTTGTTTTCTTGAGTGATCTAGGGTTTTTCACCTGCTGTTGGTTTTTCCTTAGAAGACTCACGGGTAAGTGTGTCAGACATGGACCAGAATCAAAGTACTATGCAGTATTTTGAAAAGAGCAAAACTGTGTGGAAACATACCTGTTTGTCACAGCACCATTTGGAAGTCATTTGTACAAATGACAGCAATGCATTTATGTTGCATTTGGGAACAGCATAGATAGAATTTGAAATAAATTGCAGTGATATATAGTGCACCACTTTCGACTTCAAATAGCAGAAGAACTTACATGAAATTCATAGTGTAGTATAAATGCAGCCTCATGAACATCTGAACATCCTTTCTGCACACAGTCCCTTCCTGCCAGGTGTGCTCTAGAGACATAGTACAGTGGGATGGACTGCGGAGCAGCCGCCACAACTCCAGCCGATTAGAAGAAACTGCTGACTCATGCAAAAGTCTGAGGCAAGTTTCTGCAGTAAAGGAAGAGGCGCACTGGAGATATTAGAAGGCAGGCAACATTGACTTCTCTATCCAGTGCTGACGCCCCCTTCACATTTCCCGAGGTGAGGTTCTTTTGGGTCTGGTAGCCCCGCTGGCCTAGAGGTCAACATTGACACTGTTTACACTCGGAATACAGCGAAGGGACTGGCAGGAAAACCACTGAGAAACATTAATGATGCAAGGCTGGTATTGCAGAAGAAAACTAAGGCTGTGATCTGCAAAAATCTAACATGGAACTCGATCTCAGCCAGGTTTCGAAAACCTGGGTATTCTCTTTTTCGAAGTTGAAAGCAACTTTTTAGGAGGTAAGTGCAAACCTGGTTGTGTGGGTGGATTGCAGCAGGATCTAATTTGAGCACAGTTCTGAGAATCCAGACTCTGTGAAGTCCTTTCTGGCTGTGCTAACCCACTGCAGGAGTTTGGGAAAGTTGCCTGATTTCTCTGTGCCCTACTTTACATGGTGGGGAAAGGACAAACTAGGGCATCATCAAAGGCTTAAGATAATAAAAATTTTCCTTGACCTTTTAAAGAGATTGCATCAATAAAAAATACGTAACTAGAGGAAAGTGATATCAGTGATGTAGGCTTCACTTGGAAAATATAGTACATTAAAAAAAATTAGACAGTGTTTCCTTTATCTTCTCAAGATGCTTATCTTCCACACAGCGGAGAACAAAGTTTCTTTTTTTTTGAGAGGGAGTCTCGCTCTGTCACCCAGGTTGGAGTGCAGTGGTTCAGTCTTGGCTCACTGCAAGCTCCGCCTCCCGGGTTCACGCCATTCTCCTGGCTCAGTCTCCTGCGTAGCTGGGACCACAGGCGCCCGCCTCCATGCCGGGCTAATTTTTTGTATTTTTAGTAGAGACGGGGTTTCACCGTGTCAGGCAGGATGGTCTCGATCTCCTGACCTTGTGATCCACCTGCCTCGGCCTCCCAAAGTGCTGGGATTACAGGCATGAGCCACCAGGCCCGCCCAGCAGAGAACAAAGTTTCTAAAACACCCATCAAATCATTCTGCTTCCCTGATTAAAGTCCCTCACTGGCTGCCAGTTGCTTACACAATGCGATTCGGATTCCTTGGCTCCGCAGCCAAAGCCCTCTGTGATTCGGTGCTGCCCACCTCTCTAGTGTCAACCCTCGCCCACCTTCCATGCACCTCCTCCCCAGGAGCTCCCGAAGGCTGTACTCAAAGGGATGGGAGGTGCCCCACTGCCATGGTCACAGTGAAGATGCATCAGAAGACGGAGGTGATAAAGAGCCTCCTGAGACCATCCACCCAAGGCCACCTTCGAAGAAACTCAGAAGACCGTGTCCTTGGCCACCCTGTACAGGAGTTCTACTAAGAGTCAGGCTTTCTCCACTGATCTTCTGTGGATGTTTGCTCTTCATCTCTCCTCCCCCTCCCTGTTCTTGACCCAAGGTTCGCTGGAAGTACTCTGATGTTGCACATTATCTGTCAGCAAGGTTTACTGAGAACTCCAGTCCCAGCAACACCAAATGGCACAGACTCATCTGTACAGAGCCTGAAATACCTAGAAACAGGTAGTGAGCTATGAAATGAGACAGAGACCCAGGCTGCAGGCAGATTGCCGAGGGCAGAAATACACAGAGGTTCTGGGAAACCATGGCTTGGAGGTGGCTCCAGTTCTGGGTCCCTGTCCTCGGCCCCTGCAGCCACCACATTTTCTAGTGTTTGCTTCCTGAACTAGGGGCCATTTTGCTGTCTTACCTCAGGGCACCTACTGAATTCATCTGTCAGGTTCTGGCTTTTTAAGTGTTAGGTTCACCATGAACACAACTCAGCTGTCCTGTTGCCTTTGACCTCCAATTGCCCATGACTTCCACTTACCCTAGATAGGGGTGAAGGCACCTTATCAGGTCAACCAAAGAGCAGCCATGTCTGCCTTCCCCTCAGATCAGGTGGACAAGTGAATCAAGAAACCATATGATTACAGCAGTCTTATTCCGAGCAGGCACCAGGCCAGCCTTTTACTTTTGTTACTGCCTTTTTTGGGGAGTGGAGTTGTGGGGGTGAGATGGGGGACAGAGTCTTCCTCTGTCTCCCAGGCTGGAGTGCAGTGGTGCGACCTCGGCTCACTACAACCTCTGCCTCACGATTCAAGCAATTCTCCTGCCTCAGCCTCCTGAGTAGCTGGGACTACAGGCATCCATTACCATGCCTAGCTAATATATTTTGTATTTTTAGTAGAAACGGGTTTTACCATGTTGGCCAGGCTGGTCTCAAACTCCTGGCTTCAAGTGATCTGCCTGCCTCGGCATTCTAAAGTGCTGGGATTATAGGTGTGAGTCACCGCACCTGGTCTTGTTACTGCTTCTCCTCCTCTCCCTCATCCTCCGATGAAGGTGTTATCATCCCCATTTTTCAGATGTGGAAGCTGACACTTAGAGAGGCTCAGTAACTTGCCCAAGGTCATAGCTAGAAGGGGATGGGACTGGGATTCCAACCCAGTCCAATCCAGGTCTGATTCCAAAAACTGCTCTCTTCTAGTATGCTAATCATTACATTGTGCTTAATATGGGTTAGATACTCTTCTAAGCACTTTACAGGCTGGGACCTACAATGGGGTGTTCCAATAAACCTGTAGTAAGTCAAAAATGCATGTACATCTAACCTACTGACATCACAGCTTAGCCTAGCCTACCTTAAACATGCTCAGAACACTTACATTAGCCTACAATTGGGCATAATTATGGAATACAAAGCATCTTTTATAATCATTAAAATAAAAATTTTATAATCATTAAAAATCAAAAATTCAGAATTTAAAGTTCAGTTTCTACTGAATGAGTGTCACTTTTGCACCATTATAGAGCCAAAAAATTTTAAGTCGGGACCACCAGTATTTATAACTCACTTAAACCTCGCAACATCTGTAGGAAAGAGGAACAATTATCTCCGTCTTCCAGGGGAACATCTAAGGCCCAGAGAGTTTCAGCAACTTGCTTAATGTCGCACAGCTGTTAAGGGGCCGGGACAGGATCAGTCTGGCAGCCTAGATCCAGAGGCTGTGCTCCTCACTCCTGTGAGGCACAAACTCCCCATGCTTCAGCCTCCTGAGGTGTTGGCACAACCAACACTTCTGGAGCGCCTCCCTTGGGTAGGCACAGTGCGAAGGCACTGCAAGAAGAATGTAAAGTGCATACATGTCCTTGAACTCAAGGAGCATACTAAGTCCAACTGACATGTCGGGAGCAGGGGTGGCAGTTGTTGCGGGGGCAAGAGGCCTTTACAAAGGCATGCTGAGGGGCATGTCTACCCTGCATCTCCAGGTTTACTTCTAAAAACCATAACAGAGTTCCTTTTCGGAAATCTTTACAATGTACAGACCTCTATGCTGTCAGGGGCTGCTGAGAAATAGCAAAACCCTGTCTTTGGCTTTATCTCCTTAGATAGAGGAGAAATCCACAGTTATGTGAGATCGAAGGAGAGCCAAGCTTTGACACTGTCCAGCTCTGCTTGCAGAGAAAGGCAGTGGCCGGAGCAAAGGCTGACCATGGAAGCTTGACCGAAGGCTGCTCAGCAGCAAACAAGACAGCCAGGTGCCCCCGGCAATTCCTGACCTCCCCCAAGCAGCTTGAAGGCTTTGCCTAGGCATCTGTCATTCTCTTCAGTCACTCTGGGCAAAGGGGCAGAGGCAAGGTCTGGGAGCTCCTTGGGCCATGGACACTGGTTTCTGCATCTGTTCTTCCTGGGGTTCTCTCGGACACCCCCTGGCTCACAGTGCAAGCTCAGTTAAGAATGCAAACATTGGTGCCAGACAGACTGAGTGGGAATCTAGCTAAGAGGCCTGGGGCGTGCCCATGGTTACCTTGTCTATAAAATGGGGCTAACAACAGTTCCTATCTCAGAAGGCCATTGTGAGGAATAAACATAGTAATGTGTAATCTAAAATACAGGTCTGGCACATAGCTCCATGATGGTGCTCCATCAATGTTAGCTATTATTAAATTCTAAAACCCAAGTCAACTGTTAACTTTTTTCTGAATCCCTCTGCCCCTTCTCTAAGTTCTGGGCTTGTACAGTATTTTAGAGAAAGAGAGGGAGAGATCTCTGCTATGACACTGATCCTATTGAATTGTAATTACGTCTCTCTGTCTCTTCCACTAGATCATGACTTTCATCTGAGGGCTGGACCTTACTAATGTGTATCCAGCACGGTGTCAGAGGCACTGCCAGTATTGGCTAAAGTAATTGATTAAACGGAATCCTATCCTTGTGCTGCCTTAGGGACCCCACAAGCCTCCCCACGCTACCATCCCTCAGGTTGTAACTAGAGGCCTGGACAGATGTGTCTGCTGTTCTAGGTAATGGGATTTCCTCTGAAGACCCTCTTTGTTACCACATGGGCCTTTATCCAGCAGCAGGACACAAGTAAGGGAACATATAGGGACTCAAACCCTGAGCCAAGTTTCCAGACTGGGCCAGTAGATGTGTGGATTCTTACTTCCTTTGCCTAACTGTTCGGCCTTCCTAAGTTCTCCATATGGCAATAGCTTCCTAAATTTGTCCCTTACATTTTTCCCCTCTCCTCTAATTTCTTCTGAACACCAGTGCTTCTCAAAGTTTAACATGCACACAAATCACCTGGGGATCTTGTTCAAATGCAGAGTCTGATTGGGCTGGACTGGGATGAGGCCAAAGTGCTGCATTTTTACCAAGCCCCTGGGAGATGCAGATGCTGTCAGTCCTCATTCGATAGCTTGAGTAGAAAGGCAGGGCACCACTGCCAGGATAATCTCCTAACACGGAACTGTGATCATGTCACTTTAGTGGATTTGAACAGACCCTTCACCAAAAGAGATATAAAGATGGCAAATAAACACATGAAAAGATGCTCGATATCATTAGCCATTAAGGAAATGCAAGTTAAGGCCACAGTGACATTCCACCACACACAGAATACCTAAAATTAAAAATTACAATACAGGCACACCTCAGAGATATGCAGGGTTCAGTTGCCACCAGGACAAAGCGAATATCACAAAAAAAAAACAAGTCACGTGAATTTTTTTGGTTTCGCAGAGCATATAGAAGTTATGTTTACTCTATATTGTAGTCTACTAAGTGTACGAGAGCATTATGTCTTAAAAAATGTATGTATCTTAATTTTAAAATACTTTATTGCTGAAAAATGCTAACAATTACCCAAGCCTTCAGCAAGTTATCATCTTTTTGCTGGTGGAGTGTCTTGCCTCAGTGTTGATGGCTGCTGACTCATCAGGGGAGTGGTTGCTGAAAGTTGGAGTGGCTGTGGCAATTTCTTAAAGATAAAAATGAAGTTTCCCACATCTATTGACTCTTCCTTTCATGAACATCTTCCCTGCAGCATTAGATGCTGTTTGATAGCATTTTACTCACAGTAGAACTTCTTTCAAAATTGGGGTCAATCCTCTCAAACCCTGCCACTGTTTTATCAACTAAGTTGATAGAATATTCTAAATTTTTTGTTGTCATTTTAACAATGTTCATGGCGTCTTCAACAGAATATGTTCTATCTCAAGAAACCACTTTTTTACTCATCCCTAAGAAGCAACTTCTCATCTGTTCAACTTTGATCATGAGATTGCAGGAATTCAGTCACACCTTTAGGCTCCACTTCTAACTCTAGTTCTTTTGCTATTTCTACCACATCTGCAGTGACTTCCTCCACTGACTTCTTGAACCCCTCAAAGTCATCCATCAGGATTAGAATCAACTTCTTTCAGACTCTTATTGATGCTAATATTTTGACCTCTTCTGATGAATCACAAATGTTCTTAATGTCATCTAGAATGGTGAATCCTTTCCAGAAGATTTTCCATGTACTTCCAGATCCCTCAGAGGAGTCACTATGTGTGGCAACTATAGCCTTATGAAATGTATTTCTTAAATAATAAGAAATAAGCTCCTGATTCATGGGCTGCAGAATGGATGTTGTGTTGGCAGGCATGAAAACAACATTAGCCTCCTTGTACATCTCCACTCAGAGCTCTTGGGTGACAGGTTCATTGTCAAAGAGCAGTCATATTTTAAAAGGAATCTTCTTTTCTGAGCAGTAGCTTTCAATAATGGGCTTAGAACATTCAATAAACCATGCTGGAAATAGACGTGTTGTCATCCAGGCTTTGTTATTCCACTTACAGAGCACACGTTAGCAAGATTCTAAGGGCCCTAGGATTTCTGGAATGGTAAATGAGCATTGGCTTCACCTTAAAGTCATCAACTGCATTAACCCTTATCAAGAGAGTCAGCCTATCCTTTGAAGCTTTGAAGCCAGGCATTGACTTCACCTCTCTAGCTATGAAAGCCATAGATGGCATCTTCTTCCAATATAAGCCTGTTTCATCTCCATTAAAAATCTGTTGTGTAGTGTAGCCACCTTCATCTATGATCTTTGCTAGATCTTCTGGATAACTTGCTGCAGCTTCTACATCAGCACTTGCTGCTTCGCCTTGCACTTTTATGTGATGGAGATGGCTTCTTTCCTTAAACCTTGTGAACCAACCTCTACTAACCTCAAACTTTTCTTCTGCAGCCTTCACAGAATTGAAGAGAGTTAGGAGCTTGTTTTGGATTAGGCTTTGGCTTAAGGGAATGTGGTGGCTGGTTTGATCTTTTATCCAGACCACTTAAATTTCTCCATATCAGTAATAAGGCTGCTTTGCTTTCTTATCATTTGTGTGTTCACTGGAGTAGCATTTTTAATTTCCTTCAAAAACCTTTTCTTTGCAATCACAACTTGGTTAATTGGTTAATTGGTGCAAGAGGCCTAGCTTTCAGCCTATTTCAGCTTTCAACATGTCTTATTCACTAAGCTTAATCATTTCTAGCTTTTAATTTAAAGTGAGAGATGTGTGACCCTTCCTTTCACTTGAACACTTAGAAGCCATTGTACGGTTATTAATTGGCCTAATGTAAAAATTGTGTCTCAGGGAATAGGAAGGCTCGAGGAGAGGGAGAGAGAGGGAGGAACAGCGAGTCAATAGAGCAGTCGGACACACATGACATTTATTGATCAAGTTCACCATCTTATAGATGGGTGGTTTGCAGTGTATCAAAACAATTATGATAGTAACATCAAAGATCACTGATCACAGACTAACATAGCATATATAATAATAATGAAAACATTTGAAATATTGTGAGAATTACCAAACTGTGACACAGAGACCCAAAGTGAACACTTGCTGTTGGAAAAATGGCACCAATAGACTTGCTCAATGCGGGATTGCCACAGACCTTCAATTAGTAAAAAGCACAGTATTTGTGAAGCACAATAAAGCAATGCACAATAAAACCAGGTGTGTCTGTGCTAAGTGCTGGTGAGGATGTGGATAATTAGAACTTGCAAATCCTACATCTACTTTGGAAAATAGTTTGGCGGGTTTCTTTTATTTTTTTATTTTTTTAGATGGAATCTTGCTCTGTCTCCAGGCTGGAATGCAGTGGCGCAATCCTGGCTCACTGCAACCTCCGCCTCCCGGGTTCAAGCGATTCCCCTGCCTCAGCCTCCCCAGTAGCTGGGACTACAACGCATGCCACCATGTCTGGCTAATTGTTTTTTGTATTTCAGTTGAGACAGGGTTTCTCCATGTTGGCCAGGCTGGTTTCGAACTCCTGACCTCAGGTGATCCGCCCGCCTTGGCCTCCCAAAGTGCTGGGATTACAGGTGTGAGCCACGGCCGGTAGGTTTCTTTTTAAAATGAAGTTGAGCATACATTTATAAACACTTATTCAACTCAACAATCTTACTCTTATTTATCTGGGAATTTACCCAAGTGAATTGAAAACTTATGTTCACACAAAAACCTGTACATGAATGTTGATGGTAGGTTTATTTATAATCGTCCCAATCCGGAAATAGCCCAAATGCCCTTCAAATGGTGAGTGGATAAACAATGGGTATATCCACACAATAGAATACTACTTAACAAGGAAAGTGACAGACTCTTGACACACACAAAAACATAGATGAATCTCAAATGTGTTATTTTAAGTGAAAGAAACCACATTTAAGAAGCTGCTTCCTATATGATTCCATGTATAGGACATTCTGTAAAAGGGAAGACTATAGAGATGGACAACAGATCGGTGTTTTGTTGTTGTTGTTGTTGTCGTTTTGAGATGGAGTTTCGCTCTGTTGCCCAGGCTGGAATGCAAATGGCACGATCTCAGCTCACTGCAACCTCCGCCTCCCAGGTTCAAGGATTCTCCTGCCTCAGCCTCCTGAATAGCTGGGATTATAGGCGCCTGCCACCACGCCCGGCTAATTTTTTGTATTTGTAGTAGAAACAGGGTTTCACCATATTGGTCAGGCTGGTCTTGAACTCCTGACCTCAGGTGATCCATCCGCCTCAGCCTCCCAAAGTGTTGGGATTACAGGCATGAGCCACCACACCTGGCCACATCGGTGGTTTTGAGGGGCTAGTGTGGGGGGAAAGGTTGACTACAGGGGCATAAACAAACGTCGTGACATGTTGGAAACATTCTATAGCTTGACTGTGGTGGTGTTTATATGAATACATACATTGGCCAAAGCTCATAGAATGCTAAAAAGGATGAATTTTACTGCATGCAAATTATACCTCAAAAACAATAATGAGGGCTGGGTCCAGTGGCTCTTGCCTGAATCCCAGTGCTTTGGGAGGCTGAGGTAGGAGTATCACTGAGGCCAGAAGTTTGACACCAGCGCCCTCTCTTCCTTTCTCCGCCATCGTGGTGTGTGCTTGACTCCGCTTCTCGCCATGTCTTTTCACAAGACTTTCAGAATTAAGTAGTTCCTGGCCAAGAAACAAAAGCAAAATCGTCCTGTTCCCCAGTGGATTCAGATGAAAACTGGTAATAAAATCAGGTACAACTCCAAAAGGAGACATTGGAGAAGAACTAAGCTGGGTCTATAAGGAATTGCACATGAGATGGCACACGTATTTATGCTGTCTGAACGTCACAATCATGTTACCATATCAAGCTGAAAATGTCACCACTATCTGGAGAGTTCAACATGTTTTCCTCTCTGAATCTGTTATAAACATGTTGGTTGGGCTGGGTTCAGTAATAAATACGTGAGGCCTTTCATTTAAAAAAAAAAAAAAGAAGAAGAAGAAGTTTGACACCAGCCTGGAAACATAGACTCTGTCTTTACAAAAAAAATGCGTGCACGAGACTGAGAGAGAGAGAGAGAGACCAATGACAACAAAACGACTAGCAAAAAAACTTTAATGGTTCCCATTTGCCAAAGGAATTAAAGTCCAAACTCTTAGGCAGACCTTCTTTCTGACCATTTCTGCTATTCATTTTCTCTCCACACCAGCTAAACGTTGCTGTCACGCAAACATGCCCTGGGTTTTCTACTCAGTCTGTACTATCTCATCTCCTGGAATACTCTCCTCTCTAGCTCTGCCAGTCAAAATACTCCATCAGCAGAGGCCCAGAATCTCCTGGAATACTCTCCTCTCTAGCTCTGCCAGTCAAAATACTCCATCAGCAGAGGCCCAGAGCAATCGCCACCTCTTTCCTCACACCCTCCCTGGACCCCACAATCTAGAAGGGCTGATCACTCCAGAGCTTTCAGCTTCCTCACCGTTCCCAAATCCCCTGGTATCTGCCCTTATTTGCTCATCTATACTTTCATACCTTTACATTCCCTTTTCCCCCTTCTAGGATAAACTAGGCTACACACCAACTTCTGCCTCTTTGCCTCCTGCACACACACACTTTAACCTCCGGGAAAACTCCTACACATTCCTCAGGTCCAGCTGGTATGTCACTTCACACGACAACTTCCCTGAATCTGTTCAGAGTTAGGCACTTTCTCCTTTAGGTACCCTCAGCTCTTTGTTGATGGCGGGATTACAGCCCAGCCAGTGGTGCTATATGTATTTGATAATTCTGTTATTACTCTGCTGTCCTCCCTATTAAGGTGTCTGCTTTTAAGGACATTAAGTGTGTCTTATTCATCTTTGAATCCCAGGACTTCTTTTATAAAATAGGTAGATAATAAAAACAATGCATGAGTGGATGAATTTTCCCAGCAATATTCCTTGGCTCCCCCATTGACCAAAAATGGTACCATGAAAGACAAACCTGTAACCCTGCCCCTGTCTCAGTCATTTGTGTCATTGTAAGGGTTTTGTTTTGCTCTGTTTGGAACAATTCTTTGGACACAGACAATTCAACTCGAGCAAACTGTACTCAAGAGGTGGCAGTGAGCGGTCACTGCAGCCTTGGAAAGGCCCTGCCTGGCACACATCGCACTCACTTAGGATGCCTCCACATCCCCAGTCCCAGAAGAGGTGAGGAGAGAAGGCAGCTGCTGACAGGAGGAACTGGGACGGTGTCACCGCTGGTGGTGATTGATGCCCCTGTCCTCGCTTGCTCATTCCCTGCCGTTGCTGCTTCCTCAGCAGGGGAGGTGCCCTTCCTAGCAGGTCCACCCTCCCAGCACGGCCTCTCCCAGGGCCTCTCACCAGTTCATCAGCCCTCACCACTCTCCCTCCAAACCCTGGAGTGCTGACAGGTGCCCAGGAGAGAAAGGCATGGGGACGGATTCTGGGAGCTGACTCTCATGGTTGTTTACACTGAGATGAGAGTGCGGGGGTCCCAACCAAGCTGTGAACAAGCCCCTGCTAGGAAGATAAGCCCTGAGGGAGATACATACACACACACACAGATACACACACACACACACACAGATACACACACACACAGATACACACACACGCAGATACACACACACATACACACACACACACACACATGCCTACAGGGAGTCTTCCTGGATGGAGCTTTGGCCACAAGCTCTCCCTAGTTGTCTCCCGGTGAGATAGAAGGAGCCAAGTATTTTTACAGGCAATAGGCAGGCCTGAAGCCTTAGTGAAAATCTGGCTGAGGGTGGCCAGCACCTTCATCTGAGCACTCTAGACTTTGCCATTCTCTAGAAAAAGAAAGATAAATCCAAGAAAAAAAGGAGGAGGCTGTTTGCCCAGTGAGGCTCTCTCTGACAACACAGCCCTACTCAACTTTGCTCCGTGGTGGTCCAGATGGCCCAGGTGGCGGGGAAGCTCCCCTGGGGCCCAACGAGGGTGACATGGAAAAATTTTAAAACTCTGCAACACATATATCAACTGGCTGCCAGGACTGACTACATAATTCGTTGGGCCCAGTGCAAAATGACAACATAGAGTTTCTTACTAAAAAAGCAGGAAAAAAGGCCTTTAAAAATATTGAAATATGAAACATTTTTCTTTCATGTACTTTTTCATGGTCTATATTCACCATATGTTTTTTATTTGCTATTTAATGTTGTTCTAAGTAAAGAAAAATTGATGTTTTCAATTATTAGCATGAATTTTACCATTCAGCTCTATATTGCACAAAACCTGTTTTACATGCAAATATAAGGGCATATAATTTCTATGTAGAGTCACTGAAATTGCATAGTTTGCATTTCATGGTGTGCATATGCCTATGCATTTTTTTTTCCCCCTGAGACAGAGTCTTGCTCTGTCACCCAGGCTGGAATGCAGTGGTGCAATCTCAGCTCACTGCAACGTCCGCCTCCCAGGTTCAAGCAATTCTCCTGCCTCAGCCTCCCGAGTAGCTGCGATTACAGGCTCATGCCACCATGCCTGGCTAATTTTTGTATTTTTAGTAGAGACGGGGTTTCACTATGTCGGCCAGGCTAGTCTTGAACTCCTGACCTCATGATCTGCCCACCTCGGCCTCCCAAAGTGCTGGGATTACAGGCATGAGCCACCGCGCCAGGCCATGCCTATGTATTTCATGCTTTCTGGAACAGTGGAGACACTACACAAAATTAATGAAATTGTTTTCATTGCACAACTTGCTGCGCGCATGTTCTACCAACACTCTCTACCTTCAGTTTACTAATGAATAAGGAAGGACTGAAAGGAAAAAGAGCAATGGTTTGGCCTATCTTTTCTTTCCTTCTACATCCTTATTTTTCCCTGAAAGTGGCTGGCAAATGCAAGGGAGTAAGAAAAGGTGAGAGGTTTCCTTGGTCGTTTTTGTTTCTTAGAATGCCATTGCCTTCTTTCCGCATTCATAACAAGTTCTGATTTGAATGGACAGCATGACCTTTTGGCAGGGACCCAGCTTGCTCAGTGATAGAAACACCTTCATCTTGTACTTACTTTGCCCAAACTCCCACGCATTGTGGGTACACCCACATTATGTGGTCCATGAGGCATGACGAATGCTACATGCAAATGGAACAGCAAGGAATGGCAGACCCATGTATTGCATGCATCTCCTCAACATGCATGCTCCATCATCCCATCAGACTTCACTTACAAGACACAAGTTCAAAGAGAAAATTATTAAGAATTTCAAGATGGTGATAGCACAACATTAAACCAAGCACATGGTCCTTTTGCAGACAGGGCCTGGTGAGACTGCACAGGTTGCATACCTTTGAAGCTGGCCCTGTTCCTTGCCTCTCCCTGTCTGTCATGCCTACATCCACATATAGAATATCTCACCCTCTGTGACCTGCAAAGCATGAGGACCCAACAGTCCCTTCTAATGGATCATTACCTGAGAAAGCTGAATAGCACATTGTGTCCACACCCAAGTTTCCCCAGACCAGTTCAGACTGGGAGTAGGAATGGGCTGCCATGCTGGAGCCTCTACCTAGTTATTGAGCACTTACTGCATGCCAGACCCTGGACTAATAATGTGTCTCATTCACATTATTATCTCATTTAATCCTTTCAGTAACCACATGGGTAGTATTATTATATCCACTATACAGATGAGAAAAGAGTGGAGCAGAGAGGTCAAGTGACTTAATGCCATATATATTGTCAGTGCCAGAGCATTTCTTGAACCCAGATCTGTAGGAAAACAATATCTTTCAAAGTTTTAAAATATAAAGCTTTTTTATTTCATACAATTTTCATGGTCCATCTCCTCTATTTGCCATGTGGGTTTTTTTAAATTTGCTATTTAATGTTGTTCTAAGTAAAGAAAATTTAACATTTTACAGTATTAGCATTCCAAAACCCATATCTTGGGCCTACTTCTAAGTCTGAGATTCCCAGGAATATCTCAAGGAGCTCATGCAGAGTCCTCTGCACTCCTCTGTGGCACCTGCATCTTCCTCTCTCGCACTTCCCACCTTTTGACAAGCCCACTGTCCCAATCCTGGCTGCCCTCCTGGCTTCCTAGAGGGAGCAGGCCCCCTGTCCTCCCAAACCTGCAGGCCTTTCAGATGCCAAAATTAGGCTGAGTGCCCAGGAATCTCAGCACTGAAGCTACGTTTGTATGGAATGGCCCCTTCCTATTACTGTCTCATATTTCATTATTAAAATCATGGCAATAATAGCATGACTGAGCATTTCTTATACTGGAAACATAGCCACGTAACCATGCACAGCCAGACTGCTTCCAGTCCCGTGTCTCTCGGCGTCCTCAGCGACAGGAGTTTCTCCTGCTCTGTCTGCAGCTGTTCTCTCCAGAAAGCTCAAACATGAGCTCATCAAGCTGGGCTCTGAGGCAGAGGGAAGGGGAATAGGAGCAATCAAGCCAGATCCCTGTTGTTTTCTCCATCTACGTGGGATCCCAGTACTCCTTTGAACTCCTTCCATGATCTAAAAGGCCCACATATAAACCAATCTCCTGGGTTCTCTTTACTGTTCAGTGAGACAAGTCCAAACATGTTGCTATGGTCTGAATGTTGGTGTCCCCCCAAAATTCACATGTTGGCACCTAATACCCAATGTAATAGTATTAAGAGGTGGGGCTTTGGGGAAGTGATTACATCATGAGGGTTCCACCTTCGTGGATGGGATTAGTGCCCTTACTGCGGGGGGGGAAGAAAAAGTCTACTCTGGAGGCTGAGGCATGAGAATCACTTGAACCTGGGAGGTGGAGTTTGCAGTGAGCTGAGATCGAGCCACCACACTCCAACCTGGGCGACAGAGCAAGACTCCATGTCAAAAAAAATTTTTAAAAAAAAGGCTCGAGGGAGCTCTCTTGCCCCTTTCCACTATGTGAGGAAACATAGAAGGCACCAAACATAGACTAGAATGGGCCCTCACTCAACACTGACTCTGCCGGCACAGTTCTTGGACTTCTCAGCCTCCAGAACTGTGAGAAATAGATTTCTTTTGTTTTATAAACAACAGAATAATTACCTAGTCTAAGGTATTTATTATGGGAGCATGAACAGACTAAGACACACACCTTAAGTTTCAGGAGAAAAAAAATGTAGGCTGACAGGGAGCACCCCAGTACACACACACACACACACACACACACGCACACGCGCACACACACACACACACACACACAGAAACAGAGTAGCCTCATTTCAATTGTGATGCCCTTGGCAGGGGGGCCCCTCCTACTTTACTGAGAATCATTTCCCATGCTCCCTGCAGGGGCCCCAGTGGACATTATGGGCATAATGCAGGAGCCAAGTACCATTACCCTCAGGTTCTCTCTACCACATCATGCTGTTATAGTTTCCTTAGAATGCTTATCACTATAATTATGTCTTACTCACTACTTCTCATCTCCCTCCTGTCACCCTGGAATATGAGTTCCATGAGACCATGGTCCTGATATGTAGTGTTCCCTGCTGTAACCCCAGTGCACATGGTAAGCACTCAATAAGCATTAGGTGGACAAATGAATGACTGAACGAGTGCCAAGTCTCTTTTGTTACTTTGCCACCCTTACTTAACACCTGCACTGCCCATGTGCCCCTCTAGACCCTCAAAAGCCAAACTCCATACATCACCCTAAAGGTCGAACATCTTAGAGACCAAGACCAAAAGGGGTTGGGTCTCATGTTTTGTCTCTCTGGAAGGGCAAAGGAGCAGGGTTTTTTTGTTTGTTTGTTTCATTTTTTACAATGGCCAGCATCTGGGCAATGGATCAGAGGGGCTTTCAGCTGATGTGAGATGCCTGGAACCCATGAACACAACCAGCAGGAAGCCTACATGCCCTGCCCTCGCCCCTCTCCTCCCCACCAGCAAGGCAAAGCAGGCAACTTGTCCTCCAATCCTTCCCACATCTTTCAGGCCATGTGCCATCATCTGCAACTCCTTGTCCAGCCTGCCTTTGGGGTTCGTTTGGTTAGTGTTAGGGTGAAGGTAGCCAGGATCCTCTGCCCCTAAGGGTATTAGTGTGGGTCACCAGCAGGTGATGGAGCTCAATGATGATAGGTGCTAGCAGGTGTCAAGCTGGTGGTGCCTGCTTGTCCCTGAATATGGACCGGCTACAGGCAAGCTGAGCAGCCAAGCAGAGGGAGGGGACCCTCACAGGCCAGACGCCCCACCATGTGGGTGAAGAATGTGAGCTATGCTGCCCTTATGAACAACATGTGTTATTTTACTTTATCAGTTGATTAGGGGACTAATCAGCTCAGGGATATGAAGCGGAAGGTTACAGCCATGCCCCTGGTAATCCTTGGACTGCAATCCCTGGGCCCAGCTCACGTCAGCAGCACTTGATTTCCATGCACAGTTTGCGTATGTTGGTGGAAGGTTCAAGGTCTTACCCTACGAGTTTTCAAAACATGCCATTCATAAGTGTCCTTTTAAAAAAACGCAATAGCATTTCAAAAATTAATACACAACCACTGCAAGAAAACACAGAAAAGCATAAAGAGACAAATGAATATTCATATTTATTGGTTTGGTATTTTTCAGTGTTTATATACACATATATACACAGTATGTACAACATTGGTTTTTGTTGTTTTTGTTGGGGAATGAGTCCAAAATTGGGTTCACATTTTGCATAAAAAATTTTACAGCTTGCTTTTTTTGCTTAGCAAAATACCATAAGAACTTCTCTGTAACATCAGCCTGATTTAAAATATATATATATATATATTGTAAAGAGGGGGTTTTGCCATGTTGCCCAGACTGATCTTGAACTCCTGAGCTCAAGTGATCCTACCAACTCAGCATCCCAAAGTGCCGGGATTACAGGCGTGAGCCACCACTCCAGACCAAGCCTGATATATATACATCTTTTAATTTCCATAGGTTTTTGGGGAACAGGTAGTATTTGGTTACATGAGGAAGCTCTTTAGTGGTGATTTGTGAGATTTTGGTGCACCCATCTCCTGAGCAGTATACACTGAACCCAATTTGTAGTCTTTTATCCCTCATACCCTTCCCACCCTTTCTCCCTGAGTCCCCAAAGTCCATTGTGTCATTCTTAAGCCTTTGCATTCTCATGGCTTAGCTCCCACTTATGAGTGAAAACATATGACGTTTGGTTTTCCATTCCTGAGTTACTTCACATAGAATAATAGTCTCCAATCCCATTCAGGTTGGTGTAAATGCCATTAATTCATTGCTTTTTATGGCTGAGTAGTATTCCATCATATAAATATATCACAGTTTCTTTAGTCACTTGTTGATTGATGAGCATTTGGGTTGGTTCCACGATTTTGCAATTGCAAATTGTGCTGCTATGAACATGCCTGTGCAAGTATCTTTTTCATATAATGACTTCTTTCCATCTGGGTAAACACCCAGTAGTGGGACTGCTGGATCAGATGGTAGTTCTACTTTTAGTTGTTTAAGGATTCGCCACACTGTTTTCCATAGTGGTTGTACTAGTTTACATTCCCATCAGCAGTGTAGAAATGTTCCCTTTTCACCGCATCCACACCAACATCCATTATTTTTTTATTTATTGATTATGGCCATTCTTGCAGGAGTAAGGTGATATCATGTTGTGGTTTTGATTTGCATTTCCCTGATCATTAATGATGTTGAACATTTTTTCATATGTTTGTTGGCCATTTGTATATCTTCTTTTGAGAATTGTCTATTCATGTCCTTAGCCCACTTTTGATAGGACTGTTTGTTTTTCTCTTGCTCATTTGTTTGAGCTCTTTTTAGATTCTGGATATTAGTCCTTTGTCAGATGTATAGATTGTGAAGATTTTCTCCCACTCTGTGGGTTGTCTGTTTACTCTGATGACTGTTCCTTTTGCTGTGCAAAAGTTCTTCAGTTTAATTAAGTCCTAGCTATTTATCTTTGTTTTTGTTGCATTTGCTTTTGGGTTCTTGGTCATGAAATCTTTGCCTAGGCCAATGTCTAGAAGGGTTTGTCCAATGTTATCTTAGAGAATTTTTATAATTTCAGGCTTTAGATTTAAGTCCTTGATCCATCTTGAGTTGATTTTTGTATAAGGTGAGAGATGAGGATCCAGTTTCATTATCCTGTATGTGGCTAGCCAATTATCCCAGCACCATTTGTTGAACAGGCAGTCTTTTCCGCACTTTATGTTTTTGTTTGCCAAGCCTGATTTTTAATGACTACAGATTATTCCATTTATGGGTACACCACAATTTATCTAATCATTCTCTTGTGGGTAGACATTTAGGTTACTTATGATTTATTAATATAATAAAAATATACATGTATTGTGTATCAAAGTTAGACACATATATATGAAAGATGAGCAGCTTCTCAAAAGCTGTGTATTTGTTTCCAAAGGCTGGTGCCCTGCAGTGGCCACACGAGGACCTTCAGAATGTACACATAGTGACTAATGGTAACACTGGAAATCATCAAACTGCCAGGGTCCTGCCAGCACTCAGCATTTGCTCTTCCACATGAGAAAGTCCCTACAGGGAATGGGAGTTAATGTCAGCATGTCAGTACATACAGTCTGTTCTCAGTGAATCTGGAAGCTTGTCTTCCTAGATGCCTATGGCTGAGTCGCTGAAAAGATTTTTGACTCAGGGCTTCAGAAGATACCTCAGTGCTAAATCACCCAGAGCAGCGTTTCAGATTCAGAAGCTGCGTCACCTGTGGGCAGAACAGAACTCAGCTACGGACTTAAAGTTCCAGAGCTCAGTAGCATCAAAGCACAAGGGACAGAGACCCAAAGGATCCATGAATGGGGACTGAGACCCGAAGGATCCATGAATGAGGGCTGAGCCATGTGGTGTGTACACACCCACAACATGTGAGTGAGAGCTGCGCCCACAATCTCCTGTAGGTCAGCCTCCAGGCCATGCAGACAGCCCCATACCCTAAATCCCATGTACGCCATCTACGTTTCTTCTCTCTACTTTGTTTAATAAATCAAAAATTGGCTAAAGGGAGGAGGTGGTCAAGGATGCCATGACCCACTAAACAGTCTAAACAGAACGCAGCAATGTCACTACACTAGAGCTGGAAATGGGGTAGCAGAATGCCAGCTCCCATAGCAAACCCCAGGATGAAAGTGAAAGCTGGGGTGAAAAGGCCTAGAACTTGCTTCCAGAGCACAGGTGACAGAATCCCTGAACGTGAAACATTCTTCTCTCGGGGATGATGACTTAGCACTGAGGTATCTTCTGGAGCCCTGAGTCACTCAGCTCCAGGAATGATGGGTGTGGACCAGACTGGAAATTCACTGGACCGTTTTCAGTGTAACTTGGACCCAACCTAAGCATCTGGGGGACCTGGAAGAGACCCATGTCATCTGGTCTAGGCCCCAGTTCCAGGCAAATGGTAGAAAAGCTTTTCGTTATGGGATGACTCTGATCCTGAGCTGACAGGAGAATCCCATAGAATTGAGACGCTCCAGCACCACCTTGGATTTTGCCCCACTGTCTGGTTCTGTGAAAGAGCGAAAAAAGTCAGGATGAATGAACCAGTGCATGAACAAATACATCATAGCCTTCCTTCCTCCGCAAAGGTAGAATCTTGGCAGTAGCCATCTGCCAGGGCAAGGAATGGCCTGAGAGGGTTAGGGGAGAGGCAGAGATGTCTAGGAAGTCATGAGGCTGCCACACAGTAGGAAGAGGAAGGCCTTCCATCTGCGGCTCCAGCCACAATTCAGGAGATCCCTGAGCTCCACCCATGGAAGCTTGGACAAGCCACATCTCTGTTCCTAATATGTTCCTACATATGTTCTCTAATCTCTAATATGGGAAGAATAGTCACAGCTTCCCTGCTTCCTCTGTGAGATAACACAGTCTTAACTGTTTTCACTGAAAAGTTGTCAGTGCACCCACAACTCCACCCTCCCTACTGACTCTGGGGCTGGCGAGCAGCCTTTCCCAATGTAATTATGGTTTCAGAACTTGATTTGATCCGTGTAATAAGCAAAACCATGTAATGAAAAGCCATGTTAAATGGAAATCCCATCCGAGTATTTTTGTGCTGGATCTTAGGAAGAACTCAAAGTGGGACACGTGAGGAGAGGACTGTGCTGATGAGAGCAAAGGAGAGAGCTGGGGTCTTGGAATAGGAAAAGGCCCATAGGTACTAGGAAGCTAATGAGTAACTAGCCATGGGCTACTGTGGTAAGAAGGGCAAGTATTTTGGATAAAACATGGAAGGGCTTCTTAACAGAAAAGGTTTGCTGCTACCAGCTGACCATACTATAAATCTTGCATTAATGCATTCACTTACTCATAAGTATTTAACATGCCCACCCCACTACTCTTGCTCAGGGACTGGGAGAGGAGAAGTACAAAGCTGTACTTTGAAAGTACCCTAGAAAGGGAGTTTGAAGGACTTGGCCACGATCTTACAGGCCTTATATTGGACAGACAATGCAGCCTGCTAGGGGTAGCGCACACAGCCAGGCTGCCTGGGCCCAGATCTGCCGTTTATGAGCTCTGCAACCTTGGGCAAGTTGCTTAATCATGCTGCGCTTCAGTTTCCTCACTTAGAAAGTAGAGATAACAATAGTCATTTTTTCATTAGGCTGTCGTGGGGAATAAACGATTTAATACATGAAAAGTATTTATAATAGAACAGAGCCTGCCACATCATATGTGCCCAATAATGTTAGCAATTATTGTTCCCTAGAAAGGGAGTTTTCAAGGAGGTGGCATCATCATCCAACATCAGCAGATTATTCCATGCATCGCAAAGTCAAATTTAACATTTTGCTTTTTTCTATTATATATAATAAACTTATTTGCTCACTTCTAACATTTGTCATTTTCAGCCTTCATTTTACCAGCACAGACTCTAGCTCTCGGTATTTGGGCCTTAAGATCTTCACAAACAAACAAATCTTTCTGAAATAGAAAAAAAAAAAAACAGACCCAAAAATCTAACACTATAGTGACCTCCTACTAGGCTTTAAGTTTAAACGGATTAGGGCAGGAAGTTTTACGTTCCTGTCGTATTTGCTGAAGGTGTATGGCAGGGTGCGGCGCCTGTTGCAGGATTCCAGCAGGGCCTGCCCTGGCTCCCCAGGGCTTTGCAAGGAAGCTGGAGAAGTCCGCCACCTCGCTGTCACTGCACATCAGTAGACCCCTATCCCCACCCGCAAACTCAGGGCACCCACAGTCTCTCCAAGGACTGCAGTTTTGTCGCCAGATTGTGGGAACATCTGTCTTGAATCTAAAGAGACAAAACAGATGGGCTTGGTTTCGGAGTTCCGCCCACTCCCCAGTGTGCTGTTGTTAGTGACCACAGGAGTGGGAGCAGTCCAGAGAGGTTCAGCCCAGGAACTCATTAAACTAAGCTCCTCCGAAAGGCACCTTCCAGTGTGGATGGGGGCAAGGAGGGAGGAGGGCAACTGGGGCCCAGCAGAACTCCTTCCTCCCAGAGCCCTTACAAAGGCAAGGGAGGTCGGCCTGGGCCAAGCTCCCCGCCCACCCTCCCAGCTTTGCACCCCCTTCTCAGCCAGACCCACTGCCCTCTCACAATGCAGAAATGAAGATGGAAGGAAACAGGGAACATGCAACCGCCAGACTCCCTCTGGAGCCCAAGTAACTGTTCCACAGTGTGCATAAAGGGGCCAAGCTGGTGCTCCTCCGGCTTGATGGAGTTGGTCAGTAGAAACTAGGATGTCCCAACCTTGTGATCCGTGGTCCATGCAGCACATTGTAGAGACATTGGTTGACTTTTCCATGAGTTAAACCCTGTCTGGGGATGGCATCCCAGACCCAGTCCGGAATGAAGGACATGACTGAGTAATAAGGGGACTGTGTGCTTAACAGAAGACATGACTGAGTAATAAGGGGGCTGTGTGGTTAATAGAAGCCCTGTGTTGCCGAATCAGGCTCACACTGGAGCCATGCAGCACCTCACAAGGGGAGCTGAACTCCGACAAGCACCACCGCCCTGATGTGCAACTGTGTTGAACAGCCTGGCCTAGAGCAAAGTCACCAGGATCACCAAGTAAAGCTTCCCTTATTTGAAAAACTCACATATAAATATTATGACCTAGTCTGCTCACCCTCATATTTTAGAATAATATTAGGATAACAATAATAGCTGCCACTTGGGGGCTTACTATATGTCAGATAATATACCAGCCATTTTTCCAATATTATCTCATTTAGTATTCATGAAAATTCTAGCGTTTTTTTAATCCCATTGTTCAGATGGTAAAATTGAGAATTGAAGAAACTAAGTAATTTCCCCAAGATGACATATCTGGTAAAGGGCAGAGACAGGATTTTAAACCAGATCTGTTTGATGTCAAAACTCACATTCTCTCTCCCCACAAAACCCTCCACGTGCTGCACAGTGACACAGTTCAGACAAGGACTAAATTCTATGGAAATAGTGAAAATACCTGGATTTCTAAACTCTTGGCTAAATAAAGGGCTTGTCTCTAGTTCCCTCGTGAAAAGTTGAGGCCAGGTGCAACGGCTCACACCTGTAATCCCAGCACTTTGGGAGCGGAAGGCAGGCGGATGGCTTGAGCCCAGGAGTTTAAGACCAGCCTGAGCAACATAGTGAGACCCCGCCTCTGCGAAAAATAAAAAATTAGCTGGGCCTGGTGGCACACACTGGTAGTCCCAGCTACTCAGAAGGCTGAGGTAGGAGGATCACTTGAGCATGGAAGATCAAGTTTGCAGTGAGCCATGATGATGCCACTGCACTCCAGTCTTGACAACAGAGCAAGATCATCTAAAAAAAAAAAAAAACAGACAAAAAAAGAGGCCAGACATGGTGGCTCACACCTGTAATCCCAGCACTTTGGGAGGCCAAGGCAGGAGGATCACTTGAGGTCAGGAGTTTGAGACCAGCCTGGCCAACGTGGTGAAACAACATCTCTACCAAAAATACAAAAAAATTAGCCCAGTATGGTGGCATGCACCTGTAATCCCAGGTACTCAGGAGGCTGAGGCAGAAGAATCACTTGAACCCATGAGGCGGAGGTTGCAATGAGCCAAGATGGCACCACTGCACTCAGCCCGGGCAACAAGAGTGAAACTCCATTTCCAAAGAAAAAAAAAAAAGAAAGTTGAAGTAAGGAGGCCCAAAACCTTAGTCTCAGATCTATCCTTCTAAATACTAGGAGTCTTCTGGGTGATGCGGATGAAATCACAGGCTGAGATACAGATAGAATTCCAACTCTTCAGTGCCTCATACCAGCTTGGAGCCACATGCTGCTCTGTCACTCCCATCCCCCAGGGACCAGCCTTCCCAAAGGGTGTGGTCATTGTTTAGAATGTGCCACTCCTCTGGGTGTAGGTTTTCCCCTCAAATCACTGCAAATACTGCTGAAAGAAAATGTGGCCTTTACCTCCCATCAGTGAGGTGATTTAAACTCTCACTCTCAGACCTTAGCTTCCTCTGCCTTGGAGGATTTGATCAAGTTGAGTGGAAAGAATAGCAAGTATTTTTACAGTACTTTACATGGCTTTGCATGCAAATTGCTGGGTTTTTTTTTAATAGATCAAAAGCAGTCAAACATCAGCAACTTCATATGATTCTTTACCTTATGTGAAGATTGTTGACTGACTCAATCAATTACCAGTTAATCCAGCCAGCCAGCTAACTGGGGAAACAAAACTATTATAACTCATGAAGTAATTATAGGACTAAATGATGTGGTGATGGCATTTTACAAAGCAATATTTCCAAGTGTTATCTTGCTTAATCTTCACATCTGCCCCACTGAGGGGCTCTGTGTCATCTCCACATTACTAAATTCACTGGGCTTCTATGTGGCAGAACCAGGTGAGTCCTTCAAAATACTTCAAATTCTCCAAGGCAGCTCAGGCTGCCCCTTACCAGTCGCCACGGTGCTTAGATGGGCAGAGAGGAAGGGAGCAGCATACGCACAGGGTCAGATGACACTCAGCCTCATCGAGGATGCAGAGAGAAAATAACTCAATGGAGAGAAGCAAGCATTAGGGGGGTTAAATGACCAGGTTGGTGGGGGGAATTAAATTATAGACGGTCTTAAAAAACAGGCAGGGGAGGTTTTTCTGTTTTTGTTTTCGTTTTGTTTTGTTTTGTTTTGTTTTGTTTTAAAGACAGGATCGCACTCTGTTGCCCAGGCTGGAGTACAGTGGCACCAACATAGCTCACTGTAACTTCAAACTCCAGGACTCAAGCGATCCTACCGCTTCAGCTTCCTGAGAAGCTGGGACTACAGGCGCATGCCACCACGTCTGACTAATTTTTGTTTTTATTTTTTGTGGAGATGGGGTCTCAAACTCCTGTCCTCAAGCAATCCTCCCATCTTAGAGTTTGCCTTTTAAAGTCATCATCCTTAGAACTGGAAGAAACTAAAAGAGATGTCCTGTTCTAGCCCACAGATTTCACACAGGAAAGAGCTACCTTCTTCATTTTACAAAATAAACAACTGAGGCTCACAGATTTGGTTAGATGTAGAGGGTAGGCTAGAATGATGATTCCTCACTCCCTTGTCTGTTACTTTTTTTTTTTTTTGAGACGGAATCTCACTCTATCGCCAGGCTGGAGTGCTGTGGTGCAATCTTGGCTCACTGCAACCTCCGACTCCCTGGTTCAAGTGATTCTCCTGCCTCAGCTTCCCGAGTAGCTGGGATTTCAGGCATGTGCCACCACACCTAGCTAATTTTTGTATTTTTAGTAGAGGCGGGGTTTCACCATGTTGGCCAGGCTGGTCTCAATCTCCCAACCTCATGATCCGCCCGCCTCGGCCTCCCAAAGTGCTGGGATTACAGGCGTGAGCCACTGTGCCCGGCCTGTCTGTTGCTTATTATAGCTCATCGCATTGACCTAGACTTACTCTTAAGATTAAAAAATTACTGTCTTGCCTAACAAGCTGTCTTATGTATAGGCTGTTACTATTTAAAACTATTTCACATTTCCAAAGTGGCAACAAAGATTGTAGGTTCTTAAGGAGAATTTCTTGACAGTGATATAATACAAGTGTTCTAGAAAGATTAGTCTGTCAAAAGCATTCATATAGATCAGAGAAGAGGAAGAGTGGAGTCAGGAAAATAAATAAATTAGTGAGGCTCCAGAAATGCACTGGATATGTGGCCTAGAAGCAATTTCTCTCTATTTTTTTTTTATTTTTTATTTTTGAGACAGGGCCTCACTCTGTCACCCGGGGCCTCACTCTATCACCCAGGCTGGAGTGCAGTGGTGTGATAATAGCTTACTGCAGCCTCAACCTTCTGGGCTTAGGTGATCCTCCCACCTCAGCCACCTGAATAGCTGGGACCACAGGCACGCACCACACACCTGGCTAATTTCTAAATTATTTGTAGAGACGAGATCTCGCTGTTGCCCAGGGCTGCTCTCTGACTCCTGGGCTCAAGCAGTTCTCCTGCCTCGGCCTCCCATAGTGCTGGGGTTATAGGCGTGAGCCAACACACCTGGCCAATTATTTTTTTCTTTTTTTTTTTTTTTGAGACAGGGTCTCACTCTGTCGCCCAGGCTGGAGTGCAGTGGTGTGATCACTGCTCACTGCAACCTCTGCCTCCTGGGCTCAGGTGATCCTCCCACCTCAGCCTCCTAAGTAGCTGGGATCACAAGTGTGCACCACCACACCCAGCTAATTTTTAAATTATTTGTAGAGACCAGATCCCACTCTGTTGCCCAGGCTGATCTCAAATTCCTGGGCTCAAGTGATCCTCTGGCCTCAGCCTCCCAAAGTGCTAGGATTACAGGCATCAGCCACCGCACCCAGCATGGGGAGAAATCTAGATGATGTCAGATGAATAGTGATTCACTGCCAGAAATGGGGAAGACAAGTGTAAGAGCCCATTCTGGATGAGGAAAGATATTGAGTTTGAAGAGAGAGAAGTTGCTGTTTAGGAGGCAGCTGGAGATACAAGACTAGACATCAGTGTGATGTTGATACTAGAAACAGAAATTTAGGAGTCATTAATGCTGAGGTAAAGATACAAACTACAAGAATGGATGAGCTCACCAAGAGCCATAGTCTTGTGAGAAAACTCAAGGGCCATGGCAAAGCTGGCTTCCACATCCATTTCCCTTACAATAAAATAGAGTTGTTACTAGGGAAGGGGGTCCCCAGCCATAAACTATATTTTCCAGCTCCTCTGGCATCTAGAAGTGACCATGTGACTAGTTCTTTCCTATGGAGAATGAGCAGAATTGATGTGTGTCACTTCCAGGCCAGGGTCTTAAAGCAGATGTGCTTTCCCTATTCTCTTTTTCTCCTGGATGCAGGTAACAAGGAGGCCTTAGAGTCTAGGGGGATGGTGGAGCCATAGAATGGATTCTAAGTTATGGATTCTGAGTAAGGAACCTTTCCTGAGTAAGAAAGCCACCTGCAAATGGGAAAACCACTGTGGACTAATACATGATTGAGAAATAGACTTCTTTTGTGGTTGGGCCTTTATCATTTTTGAATCTACTTGTGACTAAAGGTCAGCCTACAACAAGAACTCTTGAAGAATGCCAGGTTGAAGGTGAATAGTACGGCAAAGAGGATAGACAAGCAAGATATTACGTTACGGAAATAAGATGGGGCAGTTAGAGAAATAGAAGAACTCCAAAGGTGCACTATTCTGGAAGTCAAGGGAGGAGCAGCCTTGAGTAGAAATTAACTATCAAAGATGGGGGAAGGAGGATTGATATAGAGGAAAAAACATTAGACCTAGCATTAATAAGATCATTCACAACCTTCCAGAAACAAGAGACAACTATGGGCAGGCATTTCAAACACCCAAGGCCATGTGACCAATATTGTCTTTCTTTCCACTTGTTTTGCTGTTGGGCTTTCCCCTCCTGGCTCTGAAGGAGCCTGAACTTCAGAACATCCCCCAAAGGACTATGCAGCACAGTCCAAAACCAATGGAAAAGTGACGTGAACCCTGCCATTATGTAATGCAGTGGAAGAGCCCCTTGGTTGGGCTGCTTTGCAAGAACTAATTTCTGACACATCTGGGACGGTAAAGTCCAATAGAACAAACAGAAGAGGTATTTTTATTTGTAAGAAGAAAGAAAAAAAGAGTTCCAGCCTTGAACCAGACTGACTGCGGCGTCCCCACTGGGAAGCAGCAGGTGTCCCTCCTGCCTATGTTGCAATAAGCAGCAGCACCTGCAGGTCGGGAGAAGGGGCCAGCAGAGGGCTAGAGCCAGCTCAGAGCAGGAGTGAACACAGGCCAGCCTCCAAGCAGATTTTCTGTATTTGGGGAAGTCTTCAGGAAAATAGGCTAAACCATGCGGTCTGCTTTCTCCTGTCTAATTTAGTTACATTAGTTTAAATGAAGCACAAAAAGAAAACAAAACAAAAAAAGTCCCCAGTAATATTTTCAGAGGTCTTTCTGCTCTGCTTATTATGAGATCAGACTGAGATTTGAAATCAGAACAGGGTCCAAATTTTGACTCAACCTTATGATGCCAAGGAGTGGCTGGAGGTGGTATGGAGGGGCTCTATCCCCATCTCTGTCCGCCCTGCAAGCCACCCCAAATACAAAATAAAAATTGCATTGTATTTGTCAACAATATAAAATGTGAATAAGTGCATCTTTAGAAAATACTCTGCAAATGAAGCTTCATCATCCATCTCCAGGTACTCATACAACCCATGTGTTGCCCCTAAGCTCTTCTTACATCAAAATTCTGGAACCTTCACTGGCTCCACAAATGAATGTCTTCTTGTTCTTGGCAAGTTGTCTGGCCACATTTAGTCTCAGATTCTTTGGCTGGAAAGCAACCTCCCAGGGCTATAGTGGGGACTATAGTGAGATGACATACAAACCATCTGTTTGTGCCCACTCCCCACTTTTCCTGACAGAAGCTTGGTCATGGTCTAGCAGAAAGTAGCCTTTGCTACTGTGACTTGGGAGCTACAAAGCAAAGGGGAAAGTGGAACTTGCTTTACCTAGGTCCTCGTTTGTCTGAATCTAGCCCAATATTTGGAGTAGCTGAGTTCTCACAGCTCCGTGCTTTCCTTGAAAGGGAAGTCACTCATCTGACCTAAGAGGCAGAAACCGCAAGGGCAAAACTCCGAAACTAAGCTCATTAAAATATGGATCACAGGATTACCCACTTTCTGCCCTGTATCAGAATTTCTCCCACAGCCTCCTTGATGGGTTATCAGCCAGGATCTTCACGGTCTCTTCTGGAGCCAGGCAGATCACTGCCTTCTATGAGGTGTCCACTCCACTGCTAATCACCCAATGTTAAGCCAAACCTACCTTTTTATAACTTACTCCAAGTGATCCTTGCTCTGCTCTCTGGAACAAATCAGAATAAATATAATCCCTTTTCCATACAACCACCTTTTTCAAAATTAACTACCTTCACTGCCTCAATATGATATACACACTGTTCGTATCCTGTTTACCCAACTTTGAACTTGCTCTTATTCATCAAATAAGACCCTTTTGAAATTTGTGTTAATAATAAGGGCCATAAATGGATCCAAAGTGCCTTGTAACTGAAACCACTCAGAAGGCAATGAGAATATTGCCCACCTTGTATATCCAGATAGACATTTTCTTTTTAAGCAGCCAGATACATTATTGATGTGTATCCAGTTTGGACCATCTATAAAACTACTGATTTTCATTTTTGATTTTTTTTTTTTTTGAGACAGGGTCTCATTCTGTCACCTAGGCTGGAGTGCAGTGGCATGATCATGGCTCACTGCAGCCTCGAACTCCTGGGCTCAAGTGATCCTCCCACCTCAGCCTCCTGAATAGCTGGGACTACAGGCATCCACCACTACGCCCAGCAATTTTTATTTTCATTTTTTTGTAGAGCTAGGTTTTCGCCATGTTGCCCAGGCTGGTCTTGAACTCCTGGGCTCAAGCGATTCACCCACCTTCTGGGATTACAGGCGTGAGCCACCATGCCCAGCCCATTTCTGATTTTAAATGGGACTTGGTTAACTGCCCAGGTAGAAACATGCCTAAATTTCTTCTGAAGTATTTATGAAGCACAGAAAGATTAAAATCTCATCTACCATCAAAAGCTAAGACCAACAGAAAGCCACTTGGCTTTCTGTTGCCAAGTGGCAACTGGCTATCAGCCTGGCCTTTTTCTCAAGAAACAGAGGCTCTCTAACCATGGAAAAGAAGGTGGGAAGAGGTTTCGCTCCTCCTAGCTGCTCTACTCCCCTACATAGAGAGCTAGAGTCTACACCACAAGAAACCTGGTGGCCATCCCTTTGCCATAATGGTGTTACATTTTGAGTTCATATAAATATGTTTCATCAGCTCCATCTTTTGCCATCCACTTGGAGACCAATTCTTGGAAGTGTATCAGACTGGGAGTGCTGGATACATTGCGTTCTGTTAGGAATAATCACCAGAAATAAAATGCTACAGCTGGGGATAGAAGTGTATCACAGAATCAGACAATGGGGTAGGAATTCAGCACAGCAGAGCTATATTATAGGAATGTTAGCTAAATTCTCGAAATTGGGCCAAGATCCATTATCATCAACCTGCTCTCCAGCTGTAGAGCTGAGAAAATTCAATCATTACCCAAGTGTCCAATCAACAGAACCAAATAAAATCTACACACCCTGTCTGTGGGTGAATCCGAGACTAGCTCATTCTCTTCTCGTTCAAACATGAGTAATCAGGAAAAAAAAAAAAAAAAAGAAAGCTGGCATTGGGAGCACAAATACAATTATGCAGAAGACAAGATGAAAAACATTCCTCTGAAAATGATCTCCTACAGGGGAACCAGAACACATTTTAGAAAACTGTGTAATATCCTCAGAAGCATGGAAGAAACTTCTGTGAAAGAGGTACAAATAGTCACAAAGAAAGAAAAGAATCGGTTGCAAAGACATGAAGTAAGATGAAGAGCAACAAGAGATAGGTGAGCTTAATAAGAATATAAATAAATATTAACTAAAATATAATACACTTATTAAATAATATAAATTACACATTCAGATGAAGAAAGAGTGGCATTAGCCTTTCAGAAAAGTATATTAGTATTCTGGAGATCACACTTGAGATGTTCTATAGTGTAGAGGAAAAGAACAAGGAAATGTAAATGGTGTGTGAGAAGATGGTAGACACAGAAGACAGAGAACATGATTCAAAATGACCTTTTCTTTTGAGACGGAGTATCGCTCTGTCACCCAGGCTGGAGTGCAGTGGTGAGATCAGGGCTCACTGCAACCTCCGCCTCCCGGGTTCAAGCAATTCTCCCTGCCTCAGCCTCTCAAGTAGCTGGGATTACAGGTGCCAGCCATCACACCCGGCTAATTTTTGTATTTTTAGTAGAGATGGGGTTTCGCCATGTTGGCCCGGCTGGTCTTGAACTCCTGACCTCAGGTAGTCTGCCCGCCTCAACCTCCCAACCTGAGCACGTTTTTAAATTGAAAGAAGAAAAGAATCCTTCAGGTACTCAGGTTGAAAAGTTAATAATAAGCTATTTACAAAGGAGAAGAAAGTAATCTAATCTCTGATTTCTCTGCAATGCTAACTGCCAGAAAACAATGGAGCCAAATCTACAAATTTTTGATGGAAAACGATTGTGAATCTCAATTTTCTATCTAACCACGTTGTCACTGATTAATGAAGGCAACAGAAAGACATGCTCAGATAGGCAAGGACTCAGAAAATAGATTGGTCTATGGTCTCTTCTCGAAAACATTATTTGAAGACATACAATAACCAACTGATAAAAGAATCAAAATCAACAACACACACACAGGTGCACACACAACATACACCTTCATGCAGAAGAGCAGGAATTCCTTCAGTTTGGAACCATGTTCTGGAATTCAGTAGACTGTGATATCTGGGATATTGTATACTCAGAGACTAAGCTTACCCCTTGTGAGAAACATTGTTGCTTGCTAACATGTTTCCCTCCTTCCTCCTTTCCACCACAACCCCAACTTTGTTCATCTCCATCGCCTTACATAACCATGGGCATCAAAGGAAGGTAGCCTCATACCCAGACACCAAGTGGACTGTGACCGGTCTACCTCCCGGTCTGTGATTGGTTTAGGTATGCACATGTGACATAACCCCAGCCAATAAGACATGAGGAAAGCCTGTAGGGGAGACTTGGGGGAAAATTTTTCTCACTCTTAACTAGAGACACCTAGCAGGAGACAGGCTCATCTTCTCTTGCACTGCCATGTCCAGGAACTGCTGCAATCATCTCACAGCCATGAAGGGAGCTGGCTTGAGGACCCCCCCAATATATCTAGGATGGCAAAGCCAGAAGATGAAAAGAACCTGGGTCATTGCTGAAATTGTTGATTAGCTAAATTAACCAAACCTGGATCTGCAGTGTGACACTAGATGTATTTATTATTTAATACAAATGAGTCCAAATTTTCTGTCATTTACAGCCAAAAGCATCCTAAGTGACACAGTGCTGCAGTGTTAACTTAGCTATTCCTCCACTCGCTAGAGTCTAAGCAGTAGAGTCTACTGTTTCCACCTCTCTTTCAGTGCCAAGAAACATTTCTTGAGCCATATCCTTTAACCCACAGTTCATATGGAATCTCTTGCCTGATTTGATGGTCACTTATAACAATAACTGGTGCTGTTCTTGTCCAGATTTTTCTAACAATGGCTAAGCTTATTACATAGTGAAGATCCTGTGCCAAGAAAATTACTGAACAACTGTTCTTTTCTCTCCCTCTCCACAAAAGGAGTATTGCGTAGAATAACATAAATGAACTTTTTCATTGCTAAAGAACTTGAGAAATGGCTTTTGTGCATCTTTAAGTCTCATGTTAAATGACCTAACTCACTGAAATTTTTTTTAATGATGAAAGATAATAAATCACTTAGGGACTGACAATACATATCATTAAGTGCCTCTTCCTAAATTATTTGACCTATGAATATAAATGGCACTTAAAAATCAGCATATATTATCTCAACTATGTAAACGCATAGGAAAAAAACTAAAAAAAAAATTCACTAAATTGTTTCTGGTGATTTTGCACGTTGGGGCATGGTGATTATTATTTTCTTCTTTAAACTTACAAACACTGTATTCACTTTTGTCTGTCTTTTCTTTGTTTTATGAGTGCATGACCTTCCTTGACCCAGGAAGTACATGGCACCACCTCATTTTCCTAAAAGAGCAAAGTGGACCATTCCCCCTCCTCTCAGCTCTTCAGGGCAAGTATATTTTCTTTCCCAATTCAGATTTCCCTGAATTAGATTTACAACTTCTATTTCTAGCAAGATCTCCCACGCCAAGGCTGCAGAGTTGGCACCCCTCCCTCTGGCACCCTTGATGCGTTCACATGATCCAGACTTCTTCTACAGAGACTGTCCTACAATGGGCACCAAGTTCTGCCTATTTCGCCTCTGAGCTAATTCCCTCCAATAACTAGTTTCTTGATACTCCCCTTTGGAATCATTTTCCTGGCTTCTTTCCTGGATTACTTCTTTCATCCTGCCTAGAAACCCTTTATTCTTTGTGGTCAATTGAAGGGCAAAGGGGACATCCTCTAAGCCTTTCATCCTTATCCAAATGGGAGATTACCTTGCATTCATAGCATTCAAAATGTAAGACCCCTCAGGCGAGAAGATTGGCCTAGCACACAGGGCGTGTAGTTCAACTTGACAGTTCAGTGACCATGTGTACTTCTTAGATCAATGTGGTCCCAGGAAACTACCATGGCAAACTGCCTATTAGTTCTGCCTGTTCACTGTCAAGATCTCTCAGGAAAAGTGCTCTTAACTCTCTCCTGGTACATTTGTACCTGGAGGGCAGATTGAATTGACTTTGATCACTTGACATTCTGGCTCCTTACAAGTCTCTCTCTCCTTATCCTCCACAAGACACTGATCATCATTTGATTCCAAGATTGGTAGGACCCCTCTACCTGGGCAGATCCCAACTGTAACAGATACAAATAATCCTTTGTTTTGAAGATGGCTATTTTGATGTAGAGGAACAGAGGCTTGACTCAAATTAACTAAAGAAAAAGGGAATCAATTTTTAAAGATAAACATGAGGCAAAGGGGGATCAGAAATGGCATAAGAATTCAAGGACAGGTACCATAGTATGGCTGGGCACCAGGGGAAATCTGCAACTAGCAGAGACCACTCTCTCTAGGCATCTACCTATCTCTGGCAATGACCGCTCCATTCTCCTCCCTAACTGACCAGCTTTCTCTGCTTACCCATTCTTTCAAATTCCTCTAACTTTGGAATGCCTGTGGCTTGTGAGGGCCACTCAGGCCCCAGCCTAATGGCAACTCTTGATATAGAGATTTGGCTTTTGCCTTCAGTGTTCATTGGTCTAGTTTTAGAAAAGCTGCAATTTAAAAATAAATGTTTCAATTATAGAATTTAACACACAACACATACACACTACAGTAGAATACTAAAGCCCCACATACCCATCACCCAACTTCCAATTACTAATACTTTTCTTCTAAACTTCTGTCAAACTATGCATCTGACAAAGGTCTAATATCCAGCATCTATAAAAAGCCTGTGCAAATTTACAAGAAAAAAAAAACACTAAAAAGTTGGCAAAGGACATGAACAGAAGAAGACATACATAAGGCCAAAAAGCATATGAAGAAAAGCTCAATATCACTGACCATTAGAGAAATGCAAATCAAAACCGCAATGAGATACCATCTCACACCAATCAGAATGGCTATTAGTAAAAAGTCAAAAAATAACAGATGCTGGCAAGGTTGTGGAGAAAAGGGAAGACTTATATACACTGTTAGGCGTGTAAATTAGTCCAACTATTGTGGAAAGCAGTGTGGTATTCCTCATACAGCTAAAAACAGAACTGCCATTCAACCCAGCAATCCCATTACTGGATATATACCCAAAGGAATATAAGTCATTCTATCATAAAGACACATGCATGTGTGCATGTTCGTTGCAGCACTATTCACAATGGCCAAGATGTGGAATCAACCTAAATGCCCACCAATGTGGGCTGGATAAAGAAAATGTGGTATATATACATCATGGAATATCATGCAGCCATAAAAAAGAAAAAGATCATATCGTTTGCAGGAACACGGACAGAGCTGGAGGCCATTATCCTTAGCAAACTAATGCAGGAAAAGAAAACCAAGTACTGTGTGTTTTCACTTATAAGTGGGAGCTAAATGATGAGAACACATGGACAACTCGAACAACACACACTGGGGCCTACCTAAGAATGAAGGGTGGGAGGAGGGAGAGGAGCAGGAAAAAATAACTATTGAGTACTAGGTTTAGTACCTGGGTGACTAAATAATCTGTGCAACAAACAAATGCCCATGACACAAGTTTACCCATATAACAAACCTGCACATGTACCCCTGAATCTAAAATAAAAGGTTTTTTTAAATAAAAATAAACTTCTGTTTACCTCTCTCTTTTTTTTTTTTTATTTTAAAGCAAATCCCAGAAATCGTTTCATTTCACTTGTAAATACTTCTATTCAATTTCCGTATTTAAAGTCATTAGACCCTTTCAATCAGAAAGGAATCTGATTAGCCTGCCTCACCATTGTAAGCCCAGGCATACAAATGATCACTGGGCAGTCCATGGACTGGATGTCTTTGGATCAGGTGATCAACCCAGTTCAATCAAGAGTGGCTAGGCGGAACTGTGTTCATTATCACCAAATAACTGTGATGACACTGCTTCTCCACAAAGCCAACAGTTTTCAGTATAAGGAGGAATAGGCCTGGTACACACTGCACAACCTTGTTAAATCATCCCCAGATCACTGAGTTATCCACCAGGGCTGGGGCTAAGGTGAGGCAAAGGGGGGACTTGCTTCAGGCACAAAATTTAGGGGGAGCCAAAACGTTCAGTAATCAAGATAAATAACATTTTAATGCAATCCTTTAATGAATCAAAATTACTTTTAGAAAATCCACAGTGAAGAAAATATCAAAATGTTAAATAAGGACAGAAGTTGTCTACAAAAGTAATAAACTTGCTGCAGTGAATGACTGTCTTGTGTATTCAGGTACTTTACATACGTTAGAGCATTAACTCCTCATAACCCCATAAGAAAGGTTATGATTAGCTAGTCTTAGGAAAATTCTTGACATAAAATTGCATTTCAATCTATTCTTGGATAAAAAAGCATTTATTGGTGAAGTTAAATGTAAGGTATCAGAAACTCCATAGAGACTCCTACAAAAAAGTAACCATATTCTCCTTTTTTAAAACATCTTTTTCTCTTTTCCCAGTATGCCCAGTTCAACCATCTAACTTGCTTAGAAAAACAAGACTTTTCCAAGAGAAACAACATTTAAATCAAATAAAATCCTTACAACAACAGTGTTTTTAAACGTGATTGTTTCAAGATTCTGATATGCCCGACAGGCTGAGTTTTGAAACTTCGAGTTGGGACGCTTTATCACTCAGGGGACCGCTTCTTCAGGGGAATTTTATAGCTGCACTTTGAAAGTTGCAGGGAGAGGGTTTTTTGCCTTTGAGCTGTGATATCTCTTCAACAAAAAGGGGGTTTTCATTATTATTATTTACAGTGAAACCTAGTGACAGGCAGCTACTATTAATCATTCACTTATTCACCATTGGGGGTCCTCATGGTTTACAGCACTATGCTTGGGACACAACTACAAAATAAGATAACCAAAGTCCCTGCTTTCGTGGGACTCACATTTGGTTTTGTATTGTTTTGTTTTGTTTTTTACTTTTTTTTCCCTTAAACTCAGTGGGAAGAATGACCTTTGATTTTTAGTATTATGATAGGGCTTAGCATGGCATGTTGCATTTAGGACCTAATTTTCTTATATTAAAAAAATGTTAATTTGTGCAATTATAAGAAAAATGGGAAATACATTCAACTTCAACTAAAGTCTGAACGCACTAGAATATCCCCAAGTCAGTAACAATCCTTAGACCTATGTTACCATTCTCCTAAACATTCTAGCCCATTAATGGCTTATTAATCCCCTAGCTAAACATTTAATAACTAACAAATTTGCTTGTGCCACATGGTTTGTGTGAATTTAAAAATCCTATGATTTTTCCCTTTCTTCTAAACTGCTTTTCCGAAAACCATTCAAGAAACCAATAAGGAGTTAGGTGAACTCTGCCCTTTATGATCTTATCATAGAAATGAATAAGGGTGGCTAATTTAATGACAACTTTAACCTCCTTTTCAAATTATTTCTGCCCATAAAAATGTTTTTATATGGTACCAGATAACTCCCAGCTGCTCTATGTGCTGAGACATGCCTTTTCTGGTAATACCATAGGACTCCAATGGTACAATCACAATACACAGAGATACTCTCCCTGACTTTCCAGATCTTCGACAGTTCTTAGGAGCTGGGCCTAGCACTGCTGGAACTACCTTTCATTAAAATACTACTGGTTCTATAGTTTATATTACTCCCTTTAAAATCTTACTAATTTCCAGACACTTGTTTTCCTGAATAAAAATGTCTCAAGGCTCCATAGTCACATACTACCTTTGCATTAAAATGCAATTGCAGCTAAAATCAGGAATGAAAGCAGGACATCACTACTGATCTTAGAAAAACAAAAGGGATTATAATGTAATATTATAAACAACTGTATATCAACAAAATAGACAACTTAGATGAAATGGACAAATTTCCAGAAAGACACATACTACAGAAACGGACTCAGGAAGAAGTAGAAAACCTGAATAGGCCTGTCAGGCCTCTGAGCCCAAGCTAAGCCATCATATCCCCTGTGACCTGCACGTATATATCCAGATGGCCTGAAGCAACTGAAGATCCACAGAAGAAGTGAAAATAGCCTTAACCGATGACATTCCACCATTGTGATTTGTTTCTGCCCCACCCTAACTGATCAATATACTTTGCAATCTCCCCTGTCCTTAAGAAGGTTCTTTGTAATCTCCCCCACGCTTAAGAAGGTTCTTTGGAATTCTCCTCACCCTTGAGAATGTACTTTGTGAGATCCACCCCCTGCCCCCAAAACATTGCTCCTAACTCCACCGCCTATCCCAAAACCTGTAAGAACTGATGATAATCCCACCACCCTTTGCTGACTCTCTTTTCGGACTCAGCCTGCCTGCACCCAGGTGAAATAAACAGCCATGTTGCTCACACAAAGCCTGTTTGGGGGTCTCTTCACAGGAACACGTAAGACAAGACCGATAACAAGTAAAGAGACTAAATTCGTAATTTTAAAACTTCTCCTAAAAAAATGTCCAGGTTGTCAGGCTGGGCGCCGTGGCTCACGCCTGTAATCCCAGCAGTTTGGGAGGCCGAGGCGGGCAGATCACAAGGTCAGGAGATCGAGACCATCCTGGCTAACACGGTGAAACCCCGTCTCTACTAAAAATACAAAAAATTAGCCGGACGAGGTGGCGGGTGCCTGTATTCTCAGCTACTCGGGAGGCTGAGGCAGGAGAATGGCGTGAACCCAGGAGGCGGAGCTTGCAGTGAACCGAGATCGCACCACCGCGCTCCAGCCTGGGCAACAGAGCCAGACTCCGTCTCAAAAAAGAAAAAAAAAAGGTTCCAGGTCCTGATGCCTTTAAACTGATGAATTCTACCAACCATTTAAAGAATAATTAAAACCAATCTTTCACAAACTTTTTTAGAAAATAGGAGAGAAGCGGCCAGGTGCGGTGGGTCACGCCTGTAATCCCAGCACTTTGGGAGGCCTAGGTGGGCGGATCACGAGGTCAGGAGATGGAGATCATCCTGGCTAACACGGTGAAACCCCGTCTCTACTAAAAAATACAAAAAAAATTAGCTGGGCATGGTGGCGGGTGCCTGTTGTCCCAGCTACTCGGGAGGCTGAGGCAGAAGAATGGCGTGAACCTGGGAAGCGGAGCTTGCAGTGAACCGAGATCGCACCACTGCACTCCAGCCTGGGCGACAGAGCGAGACTCCATCTCAAAAAAAAAAAAAAAAAAAAAAAAAAGAAAGACAATAAGAGAGAATACTCCCAAATATGTTATGTAAAGGCAGCATTACCCTGATACCACACCAAACAAAGACATCACGAGAAAACTACAGACCAATATCTCTTATGAATATAGACACAAAAATCCTCAGTAAAATACTAACAAATCAAATCCAGCAATTTGTAAAGAAGATTATATACCATGACCAAGTGGGATTTATCCTAGAAATGCAAGGTTGGTCTAACATCAGAGAATCAATTTATGTAAGATACCATATCAACAAAATAAAAACAAAAATTAGTCCTGGTGTGGTGGTTCATGCCTGTAATCTCAGCACTTTGGGAGGCCAAGACAGGAGGATTGCATGAGCCCAGAAGGTAGAGGCTGCAGTGAGTTATGATACCCCATCTCTAAAACAACAACCAAAAAAAAAATTTAAAACTAATTAGATGATCATCCCAACAGATGCAGAAAAAGCGTTTGACAAGATCCAACACCCATTCATGATAAAAATATTTAACAGTTTGGGAATAGAAGGTAACTTCCTCAACCTGCTAAAGACTATCCACAAAAGACTGACAGCTAACATCATACTTTGAATAAAAGACTGACTGTTTTCCTCTAAAGATTAGGAAACAAACAAAGATATCTGCTCTTGCCACTTTTATTGAATATTGTACTAGAAGTTCTAGTCAGTGCAGTAAGGCAAGAAAAGGGTATAAAAGGCATCCCAGTTGGAAAAGAAGAAGTAAAACTCACTATTTCAGCAAGGCTGTAAAATATAAGATCAATATACAGATATCAGTTGTATTTCTATATACTATACATTAATAACCTAAAAAAGAAATGAAAAAAGCAATTTTATTTACAATAGCATCAAAAAGAACAAAATACTTAGGAATAAATTTAATAAAATAAGTGTAAGATATATACATTGAAAACAAAACATCACTGAAAGAAATTAAATACTTAAATAAATGAAAGGCATTTCATGTTCAAGGATTGGCAGGCTTAATGTTATTAAAATGACAATACTCCTTAAATTGATCTATAGATTCAGCACAGTCCCTATTAAAATCCTAGCTGTCTTTTTTTCAGAAATTAGTAAGTTGGCCCTAAAATTTACACAGAGACAAGGGACCCAGAATAGCTAAAAAAAAAAAAAAATCTTGAAAAAAGAAGAACAAGGTTGAAGGACTCATATTTTCTGATTTCAAAGTACTTCAAAACTACAGCAATCAAGACAGCATTTTACTGGGGCATAAAGATAGATATATAGATTAATGGAATAGAATTGAGAGTAGAGAAATAAATCCTTATATTTATGATCGATTGATTTTTGACAAGTGTACCAAGACTTTTTTCTCCAATGGGGAAGAAATAGTCTTCCACAAATGGTTCTGTGAAAACTGGACATCCACATGCAAAAGAATGAAGGTGAATCTCTTCCTTACACCATACACAAGAATTAGCTCAAAATGGATTATAGAACTAAGTGAAAGAGATAAACCTATACAATGTAACACTTAGAATAAAAAGGGCCAGGTACAATCCCAGCACTTTGGGAGGCAAGGGCAAGAGGATTGCTTGAGACCAGAAGTTTGAGACCAGCCTAGGCAACAAAGTGAGACCCTGTTGCTACAAGAAATTGAAAAAAAAAAAAACAAAAAAAAACAGCTAGTCAGGTATGGTGGCATGTGCCTATAGTTCCAGCTACTCTGGAGACTGAGGTGGGAGGATAAATTGTTTGAGCCTGGGAGGCTGAGGCTATGGTGAGCCAGGATTGCCACTACACCCAAGCTTGGGCAACAGAGCAAGACCCTTCTTCAAAAAAGAAAAGAAAAAAAACATAAAAATAAATCTTTGTGACCTTAGGTCAAGAGTCTTCTTAGATTCAACAGCAACAGCACAAGTGAAAAAACTAAGATAAATTTGACACCATTAAAATTAAAACTTTCTTCCCACTGATACTATCAAAAAAGTAGAAAAACAAGCCATCAAATAGGAGCATATATTTGCAAAATATATGTATGATAAGGAACTCTAGAATATATGAAGAACTCTTACAATTCAATAACAATTATAAAACAGGGTAAAAGTTCAGAATATTTTCTCCAAAGATATATAAACAACCAATTAGCATATGAAAAGATGTTTCATATCATTAGTTATTAGGTAAATGTAAATAAAAACCACAATGAGATATTACTTTACACCCACTAAGATGGCTAAAATTTTTTTTTAAAGGTAATAACAAGTGTTGCTGAGAACACAGACAAATTGGAGCTCTTATACACTGCTGGTGGAAGTGTAAACTGGTATAGCTAATTTGAAAAACAATCTAGAAGTTCCTCATGAAGGCCAAATATAGAATTACCATGTGACCCAGCAATTTCAGTTCTAGGTATGGACCCAAAAGAAGTGAAAACATACATCCACACAAAAACTTGTACATGAATGCTCATAAAAGCATTATTAATAATAGGCAAAAACAAATGTCTATAAACTGATGAATAAATAAAATGTCTTGTAGCCACACAGTGGAATATTATACAGCCATGAAAAGAAATGAAGTTTTAATACATACTACAGCATGAATGAAACTTGAACATTATGCTAAGTGAAAGAAGGAAGTCACAAAAGACACACATTGTATGATTCTGTTTCTATGAAATGTCTAGAATAGACAAATCTATAGAGACAAAAAGTAAGTTTAGTGGTTGCCTAGGGCTGGGGGGATTGGGGAGAAGAAGGGGAGCAACTGCTGATGGGAACAGGGTTTCCCTGTTTTAAAATTAGATTGCGGTGACAGTTACACAACTGTGAATATACTAAAAACCATTGAATTGTATGGGTAAATTGTATAGTATGCAAATTATATCTCAATAAAACTGTTAAAAATGCAATTGCAGGGATTCGTGTTGGATACAAAATTAATTAAAATAATATGTTAATTTTTAACCTCCTGAATCTTAGTTTATTAAACTGTAAAATTCAGATAATGCCTTCAAAAGTTTTTATGAAGAAATTATTGATTCCTTCATTCATTTATTCAACAAAAATATTTGTTGAGTGCACCCTAGGTGCAAGTACTATTCTAGGTGTAGGGGATAGAGCAAAGAACATAACCTAGCCCTTGTAATGCTAACGTTCCAGTAAGAGGAGACAATCAAATGACGCATGTGTTAGGTGAGAATTTGTGTTGCAGAAAAAGTATATACACAAATATATGTAAATTTCATATATATATATGAGGAATGGGAAGAAGGTGAATAGGGTGATGGATGGAATGTTTCATTTTAAGTTGATCAGGAAAGGCTTCACTGAGAAGGTGACATTTTAGGGAAGTCCTGAGGGAGCAAGTCCTGTGGTTAATCTGGGGGTGAAGCACTCCTGGTAGAAAAAGGCCTTGAGGCAGCAGTCTGCCTCTGGGTGTTCTAGAAGCAGTAAGAAAGCCAGCTCAGCGACAGCTGAGTGACAGAGAGGGGAGAGAAAAGATGATGGGGTGTAAGGTGTGTTGGGTGAGGGTCGGGGGAGGTACAAAGGAAGACTGGACCAGATCACGTAGAGCCTTACTATAGATTGTTGTAAGAAATCTGGCTTTTTTCTCTGAGCCAGAAGAGCCATCAAAGGATTTTGACCAGATTATCACACTGATCTGATTTACATGTAAATACCTATGGCTGCTCTGTTGAAAATAGACCGCAGGGCTGCAGCATCAGGAAGACCAATGGAAGACTGCCTCAGTGGGACAGGAAGGTGGCTTAGGGTGCTAGTGGAGGAGGTGATTAGGAAGGATTAGCATCTGTATATATTTTGAATGAGGAACCAACAGGATTTATGGACAGATCAATTGGGAAGTGTGGGAGAGAGACTTAAATGAAAGAGAAATAAAGATGAGTTAATAGGGCCGGGCACGATGGCTCACACCTGTAATCCTAGCACTTTGGGAGGCCAAGACGGGTGGATAGTTTGAGGCCAGGAGTTCAAAACCAGCCTGGCCAACATGGTGAAACCCGGTCTCTACTGAAAATACAAAAAATTAGCCAGGCATGGTGGTGGGCACCTGTAATTCCAGCTACTCGGGAGGCTGAGGTAGGAGAATCACTTGAACCCAGGAGGCGGAAGTTGCAGTGAGTCAAGATCACGTCACTGCACTCCAGCTTGGGCAAGAAGAGGGAAACTTTGTCTCAAAAAAAAGAAAATGAGTTAATAGATGTTAAATGCCTAAGCATTGGTAAACAGAAACCATTGACTACTTTTCAGCTGTTATTATTATTATTACTAATTCCTGTTTTGAGAGGTAATGTATAGAACCTATAAGTAGTACTTAACATAAGCTATTCTTATTAAATCCCAGAGAGAAGCCTTAACAGGAGTTTGTGTCCTCTCTGCAAGGCTGGGTGATGGGCAGCTGAAAAAGCGTCGAGGCTCAAGATGAATGAAATAAGAACTTCAAGTTCAGTCCTTAAATCCTATTTGAACCTGAGGTCCTTGCTAAGGCTGTTGGGTAAGATCGCTAAGTGCCCATACTCCCACCTCTCTCTCCCTGTACTCAGAACCTTCATTGCCTTCTTTTGAGCATTGTAGAGAATGTTTTCTCTTAGTTACCATCTTCAGTATTGTTTTTTCAACAATATTAGTGTGTTTTTACTAAAAAGGCATGCATATTCAATTCAGAGAATTTATAAAACATTGAGAAAAAAGTAAAACTATTCAGAAATAATATCACTCTAATATTTTTCTCAGATGGATACTTTTTAAATTAAAAATGGGATTATACTACACATACTGTTTTGAAGCCCTCTTTATTCATTTAACAATACATTGTTTCTTAACAATAAATACTGTTCTATAACATCATTTTCAATGGTACATAATGGAGAACCGAATTATGTATTCCCTATTGTTCAATGCTTAGGCTATTTATAACTTTTTGGCATTAGAAGCAGTCCTATCAATGAGTGTCATTACCTATATATTGTCAAGGAAAAAATTTCAACAAACTGAGTTTAAAGATCTAATTGGCTTTATTAGTGATTCATGAATCAGGCAGCATCTCATGTACAGAATAGAAAGGTGTTCTCCTGGGCATGGCAGAACAGTTGGTTTTTGTAAGGTAGCTTGAGCAGCAACAAGGGAACAGCAGAGTGCAAAAAGTGAATTGGTTAACAGCAGGTTACTTCAGGTTACTTTCCTTATATGGCTAAAGTAGAGGGAGCTTCCTTATGCTGATTCAGTTTGTCAAGGCTTTTTTGGGTTTTTGTTGTTGTTGTTGTTTGAGACAGAGCCTTGCTCTGTGGCCCGGTCTGGAGTGCAGTGGCAGGATCATGGCTCACTGCAACTTCCACCTCCCGGATTCAAACGATTCTCATGCCTCAGCCTCCCAAGTAGCTGGGACCACAGGCATGCACCACCACACCAGGCTAATTTTTTTGTCTTTTTAGTGGAGACGGGGTTTCGCTATGTTGGCTAGGCTGGTCTCAAACTCCTGGCCTCAAGTGATTCGCCCACCTCAGCCTCCCAAAGTGCTGGGATTACAGGCGTGAGCCACTGTGCCCAGCTGACCAGGCCTTTTTGGATAGGTTGCTGTGATCTCCTGTTTTCTGGAAAACTGATCTAAGTACAGCTTGATTATGAAGCACAAGTGAGTCCATTCTGGTTTGGTCTGGTCTGTTCAGCCAACTGCAGGAACTGAGTCCAAACCAATGGCCTCCCATAAACTTTATTTAACAATATCTTTGCAGCATTCTGATTGATTTCCCAGGAGAGATCTAGAAGTGGAGCTGCTGAGTCCAAGAGCATTCATAATGCTTTTTTTATTTTTAATTTTTTTAGAGACAGGGTTTCACTCTGTCACTGAGGCTGGAGTGCCGTGGCACAATCATAGCTCACTGCAGCAGACTTGCACTCCTGGGCTCAAGTGATCCACCTGCCTCAACCTCCCAAGTAGCTGGGACTACAGGTTTGCCCCACCACACCTGGCTAATCACAATGCTTTTGATACATGTTACCACCAACCTGATAATGATCCATTTAAGCCACCCATTTTTATGACTGAAGACTCCTTAGATTCCCTAGGCTTCCTCCCAGAGGAACGTGGTAGGACAGAATTTTAAACTACGAAGAACTTCAAGTTCAGTCCTTACATCCTATTTGAATGTGAAATAACTTCACCTCTCTGTTTTTCAATGCCTTCATTTGTCAAATGAAGCTACAGTACTTTCCTCAATGCAATGAAAAAGCCCCTTGAAAAGATTATGAATTCCCAAAGCACATATTACTTATATCAAAGAATCTTTAAAGACCAGGCCCTGTCCTTAAAATCATCCTTTATCCTAGAGAAGAGGGAATGGACCTCCTTTGTCTTCCAAGCCATCTTTTCCTGTTATATTGTAAGTCACATCTGGAAACTTACTGAATTGAGATCTGGGAACAAGAAACCAAGAACTCAATAACTGATTGTCAGAAACAGCAACCTGTACTTGCTGCCTAGAGCAAGTGGGCATTCCAGCAGGAAGGCCATAGGATGCAGCAGAGGTGGCTTCCTTCTCAGCAGGAAGAACTTGGCCTAGTATTGAATGATGGACGGGTTGAACTTTGAGATGGTGGCTGGGTTGAGCCTGCGGACCCAGGGAGGATACGCCCTCCTCTCACCCCAGGTAGGGGAAGTTGGTATTGGGGCTGCCTCCCAAAGGGGTACTAGGAGAGAGGACTGGTTGCAATAAAGGAGGAAAGCATGAGTTTTGGTGGTGTCAGTAACTGTGGAAAAGCCCCTTCCACAGATCTCACTTCCCAGCCACCTGTGGGCCTTAGGCCTGAGTGAGTATCCCACCCCACCTTTCTGCTCCTCACTGTTGGAGCAGTCCCAGCAGAGAAAGCCAAATTTCCTCATTATGGTTCTTTCCCTTGTCCAGGTTATAAGACCTTTGAGGTCTCACTGAATAGCAGCACCTTCCCAATACACAGAGAATCACCCTAGGGCTTCTAGGCCACAAACTTCACAAACCCCTGAACAGATTATCCAAGGCAATGGGAAGAAGACTCCCCAATCAACATCAGAACCCTCCAGGAAACTTCAGTGCTCTTAGTAGATAAATTTGGATTCCTCTGGAAAGCCTCCAAGCTCCCCCAAGGTAAATGGCTCTCCCAGCACCCCAAAGGAACCCACAGTTTCATCTTTCATATGGAGGCCAGAGAGGCATCCACTGCATGAAGTCACCTCACCCAAGGGGCGTGGCAAGGTGGCTTTTCTGATTGCAGAGCCTCCATCCTTCCCTGAAAAGTGCCCACTGTCGTCCCTCACATGTTCTCACATGGACCACGTTCTGGATGGCGTTCCTCAAAGCACAGCCAGTGGCCCTGCATGGGACTGAAGCCCCATGGAAACCACAGAAACTGCAGAGATCCCAGGAGCCACAGCCACATGTGTCATCATGATCTCAGAGGTTCACCCCTCAGACAGGCTGACTGGATGTCATAAAAATTAATTAAATAACTTAAATTGACTGTTGAGGTGTTTGCCCAGAGCAGGCACTGACATCCCTCAGGCTTCTCAGGGCAGCAGAGCTCATTTGAGTCATTCTGCAATGGGTCCCAGTGGAAATCAGTGGAAACAGGGAGGCGCAGGTCTGGCTGCCCTCCCGGGCTGAGTCAGAGCAGGCCTCGCACTAGGAGGCAGGGCTGTGCCCCCAGACCCTGGATGCCCTTTACCCCCCAATCAAGGGCTTTCTCCCTTCAGGATCTCACCCTCCTGCAGAAAAGGTCAGAGTGAAGCTTGCAGGAGTTCGCAAATGTTAATCCCCACCACCACCATCTCCACTTCTGAGCAGATGTCCTTTTCTTCCTTCTTTCCCCCCCTTTTTTTTTCTAAATAGAGATGGGGTCTTGTTCTGTTGCCCAGGCTGGAGTACAGTGGTGTGATCATAGCTGACTGCAGCCTTGAACTCCTGGCCTCAAGGGATCCTCCCATCTCAGCTTCCTGAGTAGCTAAGACTATAGGCATATGCCACCACTCCTGGTCCCTTCATCCTTTCTTTTCCTTTTCTTTGCTCTTTTCCCACATCCAATTCGGGAAGTGGGAGTTGGCAATACTCAATTATCCAATAGGCAGATAAACATGCGCTTAAGGTCCAGGAAGGCAGGAATACCCCCAAAATTGTTTGAAAAGTATCTCATATCATATATATCATCACATACACAGACACATGTATTAGAAAAATCATACCTTTGTTTACCTTGTTAACACTTTGTGGCTTAGTGTAGTTTTTCTTTTGAATTACATGAGGGTCGTGAAAACCAACACCATTATCTTTTCATGTTTTCTGAGCTTACAGCTGCTAAAGTCCTTGGGTAACAGTGGTGAGTTTTGAGAAGTTGTGCTTGGAGTTAGGGAGGGAGACAAGCTTTCAAATGTAAACCCATGTCTAATACCTACACTAATACTGGAGAATGTTGGTAGATGTGAGTTGTTTCAGCTACTTTGAGAGGCAGTAGTATAATGCAAGGTCTAAAGACTGTGAGGTCACACAGGCTGGGTTCAAAACTCAGCCCTGACATTTACATAGCGGGTGATCTCAGTGAGTTATTCAACCTCTCGGAGGGCCAGTTTTGTCATTCATAAAATAAGTGATCCTTAGGGCTGAATAAGCTAATATGAATAAACTATTTAATACATATAAGCATTCAGTAAGTGGTACTTATTATTTTCCGAGATAGTAAAGCAATTCCGCCGTTTTTACTATAAAAGCTTCAACATGATAAGTTACGCTTTTAAAAAAACCTTTTTCTTATAAATAAACTAATTATTAATACCTCTGCTTTTTAATATGGAAAGATCCTCTATTAAGGGCTTCTAAATAAGCCAACTGTTAGATTAAGAACTTAAATCTCAATTCAGGTATCATTTGTTAATTTGTTCAGTTGATGAAATTATTCGTCTCATCATGGAAGCCAATTAAATTAATGCGTCTGTTTTACCTATAATTTTAAAAGAAAAAAAGGTCTAGAAAGAGCAGAAACACTTTCCTTACCCAGGCTCTTATTATCAATTTAAGTTGACTCAGACCCAACGTAGGAAAGGCTGGGAAGTGAAAGGGTGCTGACCCAGGGTTAAAGAGGGGTGGGAAGCTGGGGGAAGGGTTTCCGTCTTGGAAAAGACCAAAACAAGAGCTTCCACGGAAGTAAAGATTCATGCAGGAAAGGCCTGGAAACCTGACCATTAAGTGGAGGGCTCCCGTGGTCCTAATCCCCCGATGGTGACTGATAACCCCCATTGTGTTCGGGCCTAGTGCTTCCGGGCAGGAAACCCCAGCCTCTGTACCAGGGATAAGGCAGGCTGGGAGCAGGCCTGGTGAGGGCATCTCACTGCCACTTCCTTCTCTCAAGGAGGGTCGGGGTCAGGCTCCCTTTCCCAGGACCTCAGAGTTCTGAGAGGTCAGGGCTGGTGTGGGCTGCTGTGGAATCGGGCCTCTTCTGTGTGGAGGTCAGCCCTTAAAGCCAGGCCTGGGGATTGGGGTGAGGTGGCCCATGAAGGGAGGGATATGAGGAGGTTGAGGGAGGAGGAGTGAGGGAGAAGATAAGAATTGGAAGATTCATAAGGTGGCTTATGTTAGGGTGACATAGTGATGTCAAAGGTCAGCACAGAAAGGGATTTGAGTGTTGGGCTAGGAAAACTCTCTCTTCCCTGTACTGTAATTTTTTTCGGATTTAACTTTATATTTTGGCTAGTCATGTTTTTACAAACTATATTGTGTCTTTCATTAAGTTGCAACTTCATATCTTAATTTTATTTAATTTTTTTTTTTTTGAGACGGAGTCTCACTCTGTCGCCCAGGCTGGAGTGCAGTGGCCTGATCTCAGCTCACAACAGCCTCCACCTCCTGGGTTCAAGCGATTCACCTGCCTCAGCCTTCCAAGTAGCTGGGATTATAGGTGTGCACCACCATGCTCAGCTAATTTTTGTATTTTTAGTACAGACAGCGTTTCACCATGTTGGCCAGGCTGTTCTTGAAGTCCTGACCTCAGGTGATCCTCCTGCCTCGGCCTCCCCAAGTGCTGGGATTACAGGCATGAGCCACTGTGCCTGGACACATACCTTAATTTTAAAGTGAAGATCAAAATTTGATTATAACTCCTTTTAAAAATCACATTATAAGGCCGGGCACAGTGGCTCGTGCCTGTAATCTCAGCACTTTGGGAGGTCAAGATGGGCAGATCACCTGAGGTCGGGAGTTTGAGACCAGCCTGACCAACATGGAGAAACCCTGTCTCTACTAATACAAAATTACCCAGGCTTGGTGGTGCATGCCTATCATCCCAGCTACTCCGGAGGCTGAGGCAGGAGAATCGCTTGAACCTGGAGGAAGAGGTTGTGGTGAGCTGAAATCGCACCATTGCACTCCAGCCTGGGCAACAAGAGTGAAACTCTGTCTCAAAAAAAAAAAAAGAAAAAAAGAAAAATCAAATTATTGCTTTTTCTGATTAGAAAATGTATATATAGTTACTGTAGAAAATTTGAAAAAAAATTTAATCACAAAGAAGAAAATTAAAACTACCTACACTCTTACCACATGGAAATAACTATGGTTAATGTATTAATGTATCTTCTTCCAGATATTTTTGTATGCATAAATGTATGTACATTATTGGGATAATACTCTACTTTGTAACCAGCCTTTTCCCCTGGACAATATATCAAAAATATGTTTTTATGTCCTGTGGTATTCTTATACAACTGGATTTTTAATGGCTAAGTATTCTGTCATATGTGTTTTCATAATTTATTTAACCAACCCCTTTCACTGCATATTCAGGAATTACCATTTTTCCCCCCTTAAAAAATAACTGTGGTAAACATAATAATTACCACTTTTTTTTTTTTTTTTTTTTTTGAGATGGAGTCTCCCTCTGTCACCCAGGCTGGAGTGCAGTGGCATTATCTCAGCTCACCGCAACCTCCACCTCCCGGGTTCAAGCAATTCTCCTGCCTCAGCCTCCTGAGTAGCTGGGATTACAGGTGTGCACCACCACACCCGGCTAATTTTTTTTGTATTTTTAGTAGAGACGGGGTTTCACCATATTGGCCAGGCTGGTCTCGAACTCCTGACCTTGTGATCTGCCTGCCTCGGCCTCTTAAACACTGCTAAAACAAAGATGAGGCATTACTGTGACAATTATTCAAAAGGTTCTACATTCAAACAAAATTCTGAGGAGTTTGAAAGGCCATCTTAATGCAGCTCTCAGGCCTCCCTTCAGGCTTGCAGAGCACTCAGCCACCTGACTCTGACCCAGGACTTGGCACCATGGAGCATGATATTGTTTGTATGTTTGTCTCCACCCAAATCTCATGTTGAATTGTAATCCCCAGTATTAGAGGTGGGGCCTGGTGGGAGGTGATTGGATCCTGGGGGGTGGATTTCTCATGAATAGTTTAGCACCATCCCATTGGTGCTGTCCCTGAAATGGTGAGTTACTTCTTGTGAGATCTGGCTGTTTCAAAGTGTGTGGCACCTCACTTTCTTGCTCCTGCTCTGGCCATGTGATGTGCCTGCCTCCTCTTCGCCTTCTTCCATGACTGCATGCTTCTAGAGGCCTCCCCAGAAGCTGAGCAGATGCCAGCATCATGCTTCCTGTGAAGCATACAGAGTCGTGAGCCAGTTAAACCTCTTTTCTTTATAAATTATCCAGTCTCAGGTGTTTTTGTTTGTGTTTGTTTGTTTGAGACAGAGTCTCACTCTGTCACCAGGCTGGAGTGCAGTGGCGCGATCTCGTCTCACTGCAACTTCTGACTCCCTGGTTCAAGCGATTCTCCTGCCTCAGCCTCCTGAGTAGCTGGGACTACAGGCATGTGCCACCATGCCTAGCTAATTTTTGTATTTTTAGTAGAGATAGGATTTCATCATGTTGGCCAGGATGATCTTGATCTCTTGACCTCATGATCTGCCCGCCTTAGCCTCCCAAAGTGCTGGGATTACAGGCGTGAGCCACCATGCCTGGCCAGGTGTTTCTTTATAGCACTGAAAGAACAGCCTACTACAGAGCATTTATTCATTCAATTGGCTCATATTTTTTGAGCAGCTACTATTTCAAGAGCAGAGGCTACAACCTCCAGAGTATTCATGGAGATTGTATAGAGAAAGCTTAGGATCCTAGGATCCTGGAGTCAGATTGCTTGCTGTGGTCCCAAGAAGTTTACCATATGATTTTGGGCAAGTAACTTTACCACTCCGAGCCTCATTCTCTTCATCTGTGATGTGAGCATAATGGTACCTACCTCATGGATTGTTGTGGAAATTAAGTGAGATAATGCTTGCAAAGGTTTCGTACAATGTCTGGTGCATACTAAGTGCTCTAACTATTATTATTAGCTTTAACACTGCCCTCCTGCTGTTATTACTGAAGTTTTGTTCATCTGAAGCTCTAGAGCCATCTCTCCATAATGCTAAACCTCTTTATTGCCTACACTTCAAATAATTCTACTCTTTTCTTGCCAGCAGCTTAATTGAGACAACTGTCTGATCTATAATCACTTGAGCGGTACACACCATCAAGGAAAAAGGAAACACTCAGTTAACAGATAAAAATACAGAGTTCAGCAGTTAGCCTTCCACACTACAAGAGATACTTGATTAGTCTTGAAACTTAGAGTCAACAAAACACAATTGCTTAAGTTTACTCTGGACAAACAGTTTCCTCAGCGAGGAAAAATCACGTTCCCTCAAGTTCTATTGACATTTTGAAACTCTAAACCCTCCAGTTACTCTTCTACAAATCACATCTGCTGGGACCCTGATATGGTTTGGCTCTGTGTCCCCACCCAAATCTCATCTTGAATTGTACTCCCATATTTTTTTACAGGCTCATAGGCGGAAGGGACTTGCCTTGTCTCAGATGAGACTTTGGACTGTGGACTTTTGGGTTAATGCTGAATTGGTTAAGACTTTGGGGGACTGTTGGGAAAGCATGATTGGTTTTGAAATGTGAGGACATGAGATTTGGAGAGGCCAGGGGCAAAATGAGATGGTTTGGCTCTGTGTCCCCACCCAAATCTCATCTTGAATTGTACCCCCATAATTCCCATGTGTTGTTGGAGGGACATGGTGGGAGATAATTTTAATCATGGAGGCAGTTACCTCCTTACTGTTCTCCTGGTAGTGAATCAGTCTCATGAGATCTGATGGTTTTATCAGGGGTTTCTGCTTTTGCATCTTCCTCATTTTCTCTTGCCACTGCCCTGTAAGAAGTGCCTTTCGCCTCCCGCCATGATTCTGAGGCCTCCCCAGCTATGTGGAACTGTTAGTCCAATAAAACCTCTTTTTCAGCCAGGCGTGATGGCTCACCCCTATAATCCCAGCACTTTGGGAGGCCGAGGTGGGTGGATCACAAGGTCAAGAGATCAAGACCATTCTGGCCAACATGGTGAAACCCCAACATGGTGAAACCCCGTCTCTACTAAAACTACAAAAATTAGCTGGGCGTGGTGGTCGGTGCCTGTAATCCTAACGACTCAGGAGGCTGAGGCAGGAGAATTGCTTGAACCCGGGAGGCGGAGGTTGCAGTGAGCTGAGATCACACCACTGCACTCCAGCCTGGCAACAGAGTGAGACTCCATCTCAAAAACAAACAAACAGACAAAACTCTCTTTTTCTTCCCAGTCTCGGGTATGTCTTTACCAGCAGCGTGAAAACGGACTAATACTGACCCACGCGCTCACTGCATCACTGATGCTGAGCAGGAATGGTGGGAGGAGCACAGAATGCCTCCTCCCAATCAGGGTATTTTCAGTCTCTTCTGTGGTGAGAAACTTTTTGAGGATCCAGGATTTCAAAGCAAAGAGGCGCTGAGGCCAACATTGAAATGGTTGCTCCACCCTTTCCACTCCTCCTCCTACAAAATTCCACAGCTTGGTCTCCACATTTCATTCTTATTCCTTGACAGGGATACAACACTACACTAACCTTTTTTGGCTATAACTTGTGTCATGTAAACGGCAAAATGCTGGTGAATACTGTGCTACCTGGAATGGAGATTTGCAAGGTGCTAATGGGGAAATTAAAATTACAGCCTGAGGTGGGCAGACCGTGCGGCTGGAGCAAGGTTGAAACTGTTGAGGAGCCCATGGAGGTAGAAGAAGCAGCAAAAGAAGACAAAGAAGAATCTGATGATGAAGCTGCAGTAGAGGAAGAAAAAGAAGAAAAGAAATCAAAGACTAAAAAAGTTGAAAACACTGTCTGAGACTGGGAACTTATGAATGATATCAAACCAGTATGGCAGAGACCATCAAAAGAAGTAAAAAAAAAAAAAGGTAGAAGATGAATACAAAGCTTTTTACAAATCATTTTCAAAGGAAAGTGATGACCCCATGGCTTATATTCACTTTACCACTGAAGGGGAAGTTACCTTCAAATCAATTTTATTTGTACCCACATCTGATCCACGTGGTCTATTTGATGAATATGGATCTAAAAAGAGTGATTACATTAAGCTGTATGTGCTCTGTGTATTCATCACAGATGAATTCCATGATATGATGCCTAAGTACCTTAATTTTGTCAAGGGTGTGGTGGACTCAGATGATCTCCCCTTGAATGTTTCCCTTGAGACTCTTCAGCAACATAAACTGCTTAAGGTGATTAGGAAGAAGCTTGTTTGTAAAACTCTGGACAAGATCAAGAAGATTGCTGGTGAGAAATACAATGATAATTTTTGGAAAGAATTTGGTACCAACATCAAGCTTGGTGTGATTGAAGACCACTCCAATCAAACATGTCTTGCTAAACTTCTTATGTTCCAGTCTTCTCATCATCCAACTGACATTACTACACTAGACCAGTATGTGGAAAGAATGAAGGGAAAACAAGACAAAATCTACTTCATGGCTGGGTCCAGCAGAAAAGAGGCTGAATCTCCTCCATCTGTTGAACGACTTCTGAAAAAGGGCTGTGAAGTTATTTACCTCACAGAACCTGTGGATGAACACTGCATTCAGGCCTTTCCCAAATTTGATGGGAAGAGGTTCCAGAATGTTGTCAAGGAAGGAATGAAGTTTGATAAAAGTGAGAAAACTAAGGAGAGTCATGAAGCAGTTGAGAAAGAATTTGAGCCTCTGCTCAATTGGATGAAAGATAAAGCCCTTAAGGACAAAATTGAGAAGGCTGTGGTGTCTCAGCACCTGACAGAATCTCTGTGTGCTTTGGTGGCCAGCCAGTACGGACGGTCTGGCAACACGGAGAGAATCATGAAAGCACAAGCATACCAAACGAGCAAGGACAGCTCTGCAAATTACTATGCAAGTCAGAAGAAAACATTTGAAATTAATCCCAGACACCCACTGATCAGAGACATGCTTTGATGAATTAAGGAAGGTGAAGATGATAAAATAGTTTTGGTTCTTGCTGTAGTTTTGTGTGAAACAGCAACGCTTCGGTCAGGATATCTTTTACCAGACACTAAAGCATATGGAGATAGAATAGAAAGAATCCTTCGCTCAGTTTGAACATTGACCCTGATGCAAAGGTGGAAGAAGAACCCAAAGAAGAACTTGAAGACACAACAGAAGACACAGAGCAAGATGAAGACAAAGAAACGGATGTAGGAACAGATGAAGAAGAACAAGAAACAGCAAAGGAATCTACAGCTGAAAACGATAAATTGTAAATTATACTCTCACTGTTTGGATCCTGTGTGGAGAGCGAATGTGGAATTTAAGTCATTTCTTTTGGGAGAGACTTGTTTTGGATGCTCCCCACAGTCCCCTTCTCCCCTGCACTGTAAAATTTGGGATTATGGGTCACAGGAAGAAGTGGGTTTTTTAGTTGAATTTCTTTAACACTCCTCATGTATGTTAAATTTGTACTATTAAACTGACCATTCTTGATGTAAAACCTTGTCATGTGTATAAAAAAAAAAGATTCCCCTCCTAAAAAAAAATTACAGCGTGAAATCGCAAGGGGCTTCAAGATAGTTTAAAATCCTCTCCACTATTTACCCCATCTTTAAAAAATGCTTCAGACTGTGGGAAAACTAAAGTGGCTCTCTGTAATTCCTGGATATGGCAATTGAGTAGGAAATGTGGCTTTGAGGGGACCAAATTTAGAAGTAATTGAAGAGGCAGCACCATCTAACTGATGGAGAATCCGACTGGATTTTCTGTTCCTTCATCCATTGAGCTGGCTTGACACTTCCCTTCTCAGTGCTTTTGTTTGATTTTTTGTAAAATGAGAGTCACGCTACTAGATAATCTCCAGAGACCTGTATAAGAGTCTATGAAATTTTTTTTAGATGTTGAAATATTTTTAGACTTTGCACAATTATTAAATGTATTGAGATACCTGATAAATATATTTATTAATAAAATGGTATAGGCAAAGAGCATAGACAGATGATTCATAAGAAAAAATACACATAATTAATGAACATTTCCAAAGGTCACTTTTACTAATAATCACAATTTTCTACTTATCCCAACAATACATATTTTTTAAAAACAGTTCACACTAAAGAGTCATATGCAGAGTGTTGAGATAATCTTGTTTGCTTGGAAGGTCATGGAGATGCAGATAAACCTCCAAATCCAGCAGGGTCTAAGCAGGATGGGGACCTGATTTTTTGCAGCCTGCTCCACCCATTGACTTTTGTGATGGACTCGGTTAGTTTTGTCTGCCTGCTTTCTGGGTCCTTTTCTTCTACTGTCAGCACTCCCCAGGTAGCCACTCATCCCCAACTCTCAGGCCATTTGTTTTGTGAATGCTGGGCAACACCGCCCCCACCACCCCCATCGACTCCAGTAGAATTTAATTCTTGGGCTTTGGTCAGAATGATCAGGAAAGCGACATTCCTTTCTGCTAGCACTAATAGCTTTAAGAATGCACAGGCCAGGAGTTGCTGTGCTGCGACGAGAGGGCCTGACTGAAAAGAAAACCAACACAAGGAAAGCTGTAGGGATATAGGACAAACCAAAGTGTTTTTTCCTACCCTCTACTCTCACACAGTCACTCAGTATAATACTTCAGACACCAGATGTGGGGGTGGTCTTCCCCCACACACCAAGCAATCCTGCAGATGATTCTCTGATGGATACAAGTTGAGTGTCTTCAAATCAAATTCTATTCTATTCTCACACTGTCTTCCTGAAGATAGCAAGAGATCCCACAGGTTGAGGGCTCAGTCCCATGACACTGCCCCCACTTCAGAATGCCAGTTGCAAGTGTAGGATGTGACCAGTGTTTCTGACCAACCAGCTATAAACTGGGGTGTTCCCAACCCCTTCCTTGGGTTCCGTTAATTTGCCAAGCGGCTCACAGAACTCAGGGAAACAGTTTACTTACATCGAGCCATTTATTATATAGTATATTACAAAGGATACAGATGAACAGCCAGGTGAAGAGATGCACAGGGCAAGGAAAGTGGGAGGGAACCTGGAGCTTTCATGTCTTCTCTGGGTGCCTTACCCTCCAGGCACCTCCATGTGTTCAGCTATCTGCAAGTTCCCAGAACTCAGTCCTTTGGGGTTTATATGTAAGCTTCATTACATATAATGATTCAATCGTGATTAAATTATTGGTCACTGGTTTATCAACCCAACCTTCAGTCCCTCCCCACTCCCCAGAGGTCAGGAGGTGTGGGGTAGAAAGCTCCACCCCGCTAATCACATGGCTGGTTTCTCTGGCCACCAGCCCCCATTCTGAGGCTATCTGGGAGCCCCAGCTACCAGTCATCTCATTAATATACAAAAGACACTCATCACTCAGGAGATTTCAAGGATTTGGGGAGCTTTATGTCAGGAAACAGGACAATGAGCAAAAATATATTTCAAAATATTACAAAAGCAAAGCCTAGAGGGTCAAGTCCTGATGACTTCATATGAGTTCTTGGATCCAGTCATGCCTGAAGATGGTCCTATCCATAGACGTTTTATGTCATTATTTTTGAAGTAATATAATATACAGAGTATTAAAAGCCAAATAATATTACAACATCTACAAACTGCAACAACAGAAGTCTCCTGCCTATTCCTTCCCACCCCTTTTGTCTTCCTCTTTAGTGTTTTCTGCTACTTTATATTGTGTTTATCTCCATATATCTAACCAATAAGGCTATCCTGCTATTTCTCAGATCAATACTTCTCATATGTTCCCTCATGACTTTCTTTGTGGAAGAAAAGGATTTAGCACTATTTTCTCACTAACTATCCCTCACCCAACTTCATCTTTCTAAAATAGATATTTTACAATTTTTTGTTAAATTACTATTTAGTTTTCATCTTATTATGAGGTGTTAGGTGATTACATTTTCTTCTATTACTGTTGTTCTTTCTGTAAGTAATAATTGCCTCCCTTTGCTCATTTTTTTATTGACTGTCATGATTTCTTTCTACACTCACAAAAGCCTTTTAAAACTCTGAATCAATTTCCTTTTTTAGTTAAACATCTGATATTCTTGTTTTTTTTCCTTAGAAAGGGTCTCACTCTGTCAGCCAGGCTAGAGTGCAGTGGTGTGATCATGGCTCACTGCAGCCTCGACCTCCCGGGCTCAAGAGATCAGCCTCCTGAGTAGCTGGTACTACTTGGCTAATTTTTGTACTTTTTGTAGAGACGGGGCCTTGCTGTGTTGCTCAGGCTGGTCTCAAACTCCTGGGCTCAAGCAATCCTCCCACCTGGGCCACCCAAAGTGCTGGGATTACAGGTGCGAGCCACCATGCCTGGTCTGATATTCTTTCAGTTCCTTTTTTTTTTTCCTAGGGACATTCTCTCCTGAAGCTTTTCATTTCCTGCTTCAATCAGACTAGCTGACTTCTAGGCCTGCTGCAAGATTTCCTTGATGTTATCTTCCAACCCTTCTTGTGGTTGATGCTACTGTGTTCATCAAAGCAGATCCTTCTTCCTGAGTACAAAGCTAGACTATGTCAGTTTTAGCTGATGGAATGTGAGCAGAAATGATTCCTGTCACTTACAGGCCTGGTCCATAAAAGCCTCTCAGGGAGATTCACTTTGTCTTCTCCTGTTGAGATGTCCAGGGCGATCTTGGAAGCTACATGTTAAAGATGGCAGGGTCTTTGTCAGTGGAGCTCCTAACAACTTTGTGGAGTCCTACCCCACTCTACTGTCTTTTTCCACTGATTGGACTTAAATGAATAAGAAATAATTTGCTAGCTTTCTATTCTGTAATGGTTCCTTTTTATAGCATCCAGTTCTTATTTCAATAATGTAACAATATTTGTTACCTCTTTGAGGACATTGAAGATTGTTGTGGAGTTTTTGTGGTTATTGTTTGTTTGTTTTGCTTCCGGCATTGTGTGTTTCCTCTGAGTTCTTTTTGGCACCTACCTGTTTGGATCACTCTTTCACATTGAGTTTTTCCTCAAGTATATGAGTATCATCATTGACTTCTGACCATATTTGAGAGTGAGGTATTGAAAAGCTGATTAAAAGCTATGTGACCATGGGTGGGGTTTGTTGCCTGGTTAATCTTCATTACAGAGATAAAGTGGCTGGCTGGGTTTTTCCATTTGAGAATATCATCTCAGTATCATTAGGGCTTTTCTACGCCACTGGCCAGTCTTCTTAGAGAAGGATTCTTCAGTCTTCTGCCCAGGCTCTGTAGACCTGACTGCTGGGTTCTCTGAGCTGATCAGGAAAATGGTTGAAGTTCTCCCCATTCAGAATGTGGAATTGCCTGTTTTTGGAAGACTCTTTCCACTGTTTTTCTGTTTTCAGTTGCCTGCCCTGGACCTCTTTGCTACATCTGGTGTTTTGGGTCTGAAACCTCTCTGGTTAAAGTTTACTCCACAGTAAACCTTCGGTCCCCTGGCAGGGTTGGGGAGAGATGCGTACCTCTCAATGTTCCTGTTTCAGACCCACGTCTCCTTTTGTCCGCAGTGTTCTGCGGTGTGAATGGGCTTGCTTCTCCTTTGAATTCTCTTTTAAGAATGTTGGGGCGCACCACTCAGATGGCCCCCTTTTGATGGAGGTCTCATTTCCCAGCTGCTAGGAGTATTGGCTGATGACATTCCTAGGAATTGACCATGGATGATGGGAACTGCCACATCCAAAGTTATCCCAAGGCCTAAGCCCCTTGCCTTAATTTGGGACCACTCTGAAGGGCTTCCTATGAGGTCTTCTGCGACTGTGCTGTGACTCCATCTCAGCTCCACCTGTCTCTACTCAGTCCTGCTTCTTTCACTCCCCAACAGGTGACGTACCCAAGAGCTCTGCCCAGTAAACTTCCAGCACCAGATTTCCATCTCTGGGTCTGTTTCACTGGGAACCGAATCAAAGACACCTTTCAGTCTCTAGCTGTTTCATCTCATTTTAATATTCCAAAAACATATTGGTATTTTTCATCTGCTATTATCTCCTCTCCTATATTGATTGACTTCACGAGTGTATACCTATTTTCCTTCTTCTGTTCTCATTTTATTGATATTTCTACAAGGCATCTGGCTTAAACATATGTGTTAAATCTGTTGTTTGACCAGAAGTCTGGAAACATATTAATAACACCATAGAACACATAACAAATCCTTCTAGCTTCATATAGGTCATGTGAGAATTACTAAAACTAACTCCCTTTTATGGACACTATTTGAGATGGAGTATTAGAGAGTAAGAGACTGTAGGGTAAATATGCCAGATCCAGACCGCCAATGGAAAAGCTAGAGAGCAGTCCCCATACTTTCCTGGATTACCCCCTCCCCTACCCCAAGCTATGCTCCCTCTCCTTCCTGGGGGTGGCGGGGGGTGGGCACTGAATCCCCACCAAGCTCTGAGCCTGCTCTCTTTCTCTCCAGGCCTTCGCAGATGCTGCTTTCACAGCCTGGAATGTCCTTTCTTCATTTCACCTGACCAAGTCCTTTTAACCTTCCAGAACCCAGCACAGAGCATCATTAACCCCTCACACTCAGCACTGGGTCAGGTACCTCCCTTGTGCATTTAAAGTACCCCACTCCTGCATTCATAACAACGCTTAATATACCAGAATTGTCACTGCCTGTGACTTTGACCTCCTTGAGCACAAGAACCGAACATTTTTCTTTTTAGAGCTAGTACTTCTCACAGTACTTGACAGATGTTTAAAAGTGGCTGTAGAGGCCGGGCGCGGTGGCTCACGCCTGTAATCCCAGCACTTTGGGAGGCCAAGGTGGGCGGATCATGAGGTCAGGAGATTGAGACCATCCTGGCTAATGCGGTGAAACCCCGTCTCTACTAAAAATACAAAAAAATTAGCTGGGCGGTGGCGGGTGCCTGTAGTCCCAGCTACTCGGGAGGCTGAGGCAGGAGAATGGCGTGAACCTGGGAGGCGGAGCTTGCAGTGAGCCGAGATCGTGCCACTGCACTCCAGCCTGGGTGACAGAGCGAGACTCTGTCTCAAAAAAAAAAAAAAAAAGTGGCTGTAGAACAAATGGAATAAATGGATCAATGAATAGATGTATGGATGCTTCAAACAGGCTCTCCTTGGAAAGACTGCCATAGAAGAGCAAGGCCTCAGGCTTGGGGAAAAAAGAGGAGTTCAAGTTAGGAATGAGTTTCTCCTGTCCAGCTCTCACCTAAACCTTGGTGAACTAGTTCCCAGAAATAGTAGAGTAAAGGAGGTGGTCCAGCCAGTTGTTACTGATCTGGATTGGCAGAAATGGAAGAAAAGATGCCAGAGTAGCAATGGAGTATTGATGCAGAAAAGGCAGAGAAGGGAATCCGTATGTAAAAATACCAGCCTGAAGCTGCAAAAAGCTACAAACAAGAACCTCCCTAAGAGCTTATCATACCAACAATAAGAAGCACTACTACTAACGCTTATATCTTAGGGACTTTTTACAGTTCTGTGATGTTGTAGCTCATTTTATCTTTACAACAGTCTTATGAGTTGGGTGCTTATTCATATTTTATAGATGAGGAAACTGAGGCACAGGAAACTTACCCAAGTCGATTCAGCTAGGAAGTGGCAATGCCGGAGTCTAAATCCAGACAGTCTAAATTTGGCATCCATGCTCTCAACCATGACAAGAGAAAAGCTGCCTCCCCTCTCATTTCCTGATCTCACCGATTCACCACCTACCCCAAGTTGCTAGAAAAACAATTCATCTTTTTTGATAGAAGAATATTCCTGTCAAGGCAGGATTCCCAGCTGTATTTGGTCTCATAGCTCAGGTAGAACAAAAGTGAGGTGAGGAAGAGAGCTGGGAGGGAGAAAGGCCCAGTGTCTGGGATGGTCCTTATATCCCCTTCCCTTGACAAACACATTCCCAGAAAGAATCAGTATAGAGGAAAAAGGGAGAGAACAGAAAAACTGCAGATAGGTCCAACTGACTGTCCCTCCCTGGAGAGTGGTCCCCTCCAGGCCTGGTGGCAGGCACTCTGTGGCCTGCATTCCAAAGATGGGCTTTGGTTTTTGGACCCAGGAAGAAGGGGCCAATATGCATCAGGGATCAAGTCAGAGTCAGTGACTCAGCCCACACAAGGCCCAGAGGTTCAGTAACACATCACAAGATGCTGAGACATGTCTCAAACACTTGCCAGCTGAGTCCATCTGGAACATGAGTTCTGAGCAGAAAAGAGCAGGGAGATGAGGGGAGGAGCCCTGGATGTGCTAGTCAGTGAGAACTGACTCAGAGGTGACTTCCAAGGCCAACCTGGGGTGATCTGGCTGAGTCTCGGACCAGTCTCAAGTGCTGTGGAAGGTCATGAGAGTGGCAAGGCTGAACCTCAAGACCAGTTTCCCAAGCAGGGAGGAGAGGGTGACTCCAACACTGCCTAGCCTCTCCCATGCCGTCCCTTTCTGGTCTCACTCAGGCCAGGGAGGACTGTTTTCCCAGGATGGCCCACCCTGAAATGTAGGAGGCAAAAGAAAGGAGCGCTATCAAAAATCCCTGGGGCAGTCTTGTTGCCACTTCTCTGAATCCTTTCAAAGGAAAAGAGCTCATAAGCAAGGCCATGAAATTGTTCCCACTTGTATAAGCAGAATTCTCACACTTGTGACTATTGAGCTTGTGATGTGAAATTACTTGTTCCATGTCTGTCTTTCCCACCGGGCAGTAACTGTTACCAGGGAAGGGACCAGGCTGGTCTTGTTCACTTGTGCCTAGGAGAGTGCCTGGTACACAGCTGGTGCTCAACACATATGTGTTGGGTGATAAACTGTGCATGGACGCTGGTCTTCTTCTAGCCCTTAGTTAGGAATTAGTATGAACAAGACCTCTTCCCACCCTTCTTTACCGGACCAGCCTGCAGATGCTCTTGCTCCCCTCTCCCCCGTCCACCAGGGCCTCATTTTGCATTTGCAGAGCCGGCAATTAAAACTCCCCCAGAAACTTTCTAAGAGCCAGAGGCCAGGTCACGTGGCTTGGGCCACCGCATGGAGCCTGGGCCTCCTCTGGCCCCAGTTGCAGCTCAGGTGTCAGAGGCTGGGCTGGGGGTGGGGGCTGGACTGGGAGGGCAAGATTTCTAGGAATCACTGGGGGCCTGAATTACTCAGATGAAGAATTTGAGAAGTTGATTCAGCTTTTGGGAGGAAATGTCAGTAACTAGGGGAAAAACAACTGGGATGAAGGGCGAGCTCCCTGGCTATGGGAAAGTGTGCTGGCTCCAAGTCAAACTGGCTCTCATCCAGATTTTTATTTCTGGTGTTTGGTGGTTACATAAAAAAAGCTTATAAACTTAACTCCAGTTAGAAAAAAATACAACTATTTCTAATATTGATCCTGGATAATCCCTTCAAACCTGTCAGGGAGACCACCCGGTGTGAAGGGAGGTGGGGGCCCAGTAGGTGACAACTTAGGGAGGGCTGGGGCCAAGGAGGCTCTGGGGCTGCTTGATTTGGAACAGCACCTTCTCCATGCAGGATGCCTGTTTTACTGGTCACCTGGCTGCTTCCTATAGGATTTTAAGGACCAAGGGACAAAAAGTTAATGTACAGGCGTGCAGCCTCCAGCAGTGATTCCTAGCCTTTCTAGAGTGCTCCCATGCTCACATTTGTATCTGATATTTGGTGACTCTTCCTCTCTGGGCAGAAATAATAGGTTAGTGTATATTTTTCAAGTGGAAATGAATTAAAATAATTTTATCAGATTGATAAAAGCATGACAAATACCAAATAGAGGAATTAACGAAGTATATGAATGGACAGTTCACTATAGGAAAACAAATGCCAAATGAATGTGTGCAAAGATGTTCATCCCCAACAGTCGCCAAAGAAATGCAATCAAAACAAGGTACTATTTTGTGACTTTCAGATTAAAAGGACTAGAAAGAAATAATATCGTTTTTCAGTTTTAACTCTTGGAAGACCAGCAAGTCAACTGGAAGACCACTAGGCCTGAGGCCTCAGTCCGATGACTGGTCACCATATTCTCATATAAAAAGCATAGAGAGACAGAGTTCTTCCCAAATGCCTACAATAACCAGTTAGAAAATACAATGGGAAAAAAATTCCTTTCACAATAGCAACAACAACAACAAAATTTTAAATGCCCAGGAATTAATAAATTAATATAACAAGAAATGAGGAAGCTAGATAAAGAAAGCATTCTGCCTTACTGAGAGACAAGGACATCAAAAGAGGGGCACATCTAAAAATATCCGGATGAGTTAAAGATTTCATTGTAAAATATCAAATTGTAAAAGTCCTAGAGGAAAAGCTAGGTAATTATGTAATTATGAGATAGGGGAGACTTTCTGTGGATGATCCCAAAAGCAGAAACCATTAGCGAAAAGTTGGATAAATATGACCTATATAAAAATTTTTAAAGATATGTTGATGAACAGCATAAACCAAACTAAAAGGCAAATAACAAACTTATAAGTACTCAGAAATTTTCTCAATGTTAGCAGAAAACATGCTGCTGGCGTTGCATTTTGTTATAGAATGTTCATTAACATCTATTCTAAAGGAGTGTTTTTGGGGAAAGTGTCAGTAAGATGTGGTTTCAGTTCTTAATTCACAACAGCACATAATTCTGTGGGCCTTCTTCCAGTTCCTCAAAAACTACCAAGATCTTTTGGTTCTGACATCCTCTACATTTGCTGTTGTCTTTGCTTAAAAAGTAAATATGTCCTTTCTCACCCCATGGGCAGCCATGTCTCATGCTTCAGACTTGGGCACAAATGATGCCTTCTCAGAGAGGCTTACTTTAACCAGTCTAACTCAAGACATTCCTTACTCTTTATCCCACCAATATGTGCATTTTCTTTATAGCATTTATCAAAACCACACCTTGTAAATATAAACATATTTGTTCATTTGTGACTAGGCCTCCTCTGAAAGAGAGTAAGGCCATAAGGGCGGCTCAGGAAGACTCCTGCCTGTTCACAGGCATAGAGCAGTACTTGGTAGAGTAAAGTACAGCTGGCACAGGTCAGGCAGGCAACACTCATTTGTGGGACAATGAATAGGCACTCATCTGGTGTTGGAAGAGTAAGGGAAAATGAAACAGAGCTGCTCCCCTCCTAAAGGATTGGTTGCTTGAATGAATGGATGAATTAATGAACAGAGTTGGATAAGCCTCTCATGACAGTATTCTGTAAGGATTGTCACCCCATGTTTTGTCTCTCCTAAAGACCAGAACCTTGACTTGAATCAAGAGTCTTTGTCAAACTTAAACTTTATCTAACTTCAATCAAGTACAGATGCTCCTCAGCTTATGATGGGGTTATGTCCCAATAAACCCACTGTACATTTTAAAAGATCATAAATTGAAGATACGTTTAATACACCCAACCTACTGAACATCATAGCTTAGCCTTGCCTACCTTAAACACAATCAGAACATGCACATCAGCCTACAGTTGGGCAAAATCATCTAACACAGAGCCTATTTTATACTAATGCTACAATAAATAATTTTGAATCAAAATTCAAAATTCGAAGTATGGTTTTTACTGAATGTGTATTGCTTTTGTACCATTGTAAAGTAGAAAATTCATAAGTTAGGGACTGTCAGTGTCTTGAATCCGGCTGTCATTATCTAACTGAAGTCTACCCTAGTCAATACCCAAAGCCCAGCTCCAGAACACAGGGGACCACCAAAACAAGGAAGCAAAATTCAACAAAGAAATTATCGAAAAGGACTTTCACTTGTTCCTTGTGTCTCTTGACATTCAAGGGAGTCTAATTTATAACCCTGTGGGACTTTTCATATCCTCTCTTCTCTACCCCAATCCCCTGCCCACCCCACAAGAATCTAGACTCATCTAGATTTTTCTTTACCAATTTTCCCATCCCCTTCTCACCCAACACCCCCATTCCCAACCCCACCTCCAACACTGTTCCTTGTCCTTTCTTGCTTCCTGGCTATTCACTAGGACTTGATCCCTTTCTAAACACTTTTCTTCCCTCCACCATCTGATCTGAGTCCCTTGTGTCTTCAGAACTTCAGAGCCCAGTAGTCTTTACCAAAGTCTGGGAGTAAGTCTGACTGAGACATTCTCTTGGGAACGTGGGGGTGGGAGTAGGAGAAAAGTGATCTGGAAATTCTTGAAATCTCTTTGGTGGTCTGGGGTGTGAGAAAGGGGGAGAGAAGAGGCATCTCGCTATCTCTCATCAGTAAAATGCCTGCATCCCCAACCTCTTCTCTGACCTCCCTCCATTGCTGCTCTGCCTGCTCCTGGGCTGTGTCCTGACACTCAGCTGCTCTTGGGGTTGTTGATCCTGCCACACCCTCTACCACAGAGCACTGTTTCTCATGAGGCTGTAACAACACCAGCTCTGAAGCCCATGATATCAGATGATACACCAACTAGCCCACCTTGTTACAGCCTGGTCCCACCCCTTCACCCCTCATTCCTTGTGGGTCCCTCTCACTCATTATTCCTGCGATAGACTGGCTTTCTCCTGTCCTCCATCATCAAAGTTGGAATGTTCTGGGGCTTAGTTTCTTTGACCCCTTCCTTGCTTACTCCCTAGGCGATGTCTTTCAACCATGTGGATGGTCTACACATCCATAGGCTAATAACCCCCATGTTTATATCTCTTGTCTGGACTCCTCTGAACTTCAGACTCATATATCCAGTAGCCTATTCCTGTCTCTATTCAAATGTCTAACAGACATCTCACTCTCAACAACAGAACTCTTGATTTTCCCCACAAACCTGCCCTCCTTATAGTTCTCCCCCTCTCAGTAAATGTACCTCCTCTCTTCTCGTTGCTCAGCCCCAAAACCTTAGCATCATCCCTGACTCCTCTTTCTCTTACATCCCACATTCAACCTGTCAGCAAATCTTGTCATTCTAGAATCCATCCACTTCTCATCACTTCCACAGCAACCTCCCTTCTCCAAGCCACAGTCTCATTGTGCCTGGATTCATGTCACAGCCTCCATAGCAGATACTCAGCATCCCTCTCCCCGGTGTGTTAAGTATTGCTTAGGCAAATAGCATGTCCCCTGGGCCCTCCTGCAGAATAAAACTGTTGGGTTTCCCAGCCCTACATGAGGTAGCCAGTCTTGTAAGCCTACTACTCTGAGGCTTTTCATCCCTTCTTTCACCAATGCCATAGAAGTTGTCATAGTTCTACAAGGGCCATCCCTTTCCCGGAGCAGCAAGTTAGCACTACTTCCCCGGGTGCATACAAGGGAGTTAAATCCTGCATCATAGGAGAATACTCCCATATCAGTATGCTCTCCATGGCAGGAGACTCTAGGTTGGCCCCCTGATCCCACCTTCTAGTGTTTACATTCTTGTGTAATCCCCCCACAGAGCGCAATCCAGACACATGCTGAGTTCTATGTGGTTACTTGTATGTGAGTAACATTTGTCTTGCTAGGAGGACTCTCTCTTGCTGGCTTCCAAGGAGCAAGATGCCATGTCATGAGTTGCCTTAAGGAGAGGGCCACGTGGCAAGGCACTGAAGGTGGCCTCTGGCAGACAGCCAGCGAGAAACAGGCCTTCAGTCTGATAGTCTGCAAGGCCCTGAATCCTGCCAACAACTGTGTAAACTTAGAAGTGGGTCCTTCTTCACTTGAGCTTTCAGGTAAGATCTCAGCTCAGGCTGACACCTTGATTGCAGCCTTGCAGAGGACCCAGGAAATCTGTGCTGGAACTCTTGACCCAGTGAAACTATGAGAAAATAAATGTGTGTTCTTTTAAGCCACAAAATTTGTGGGGTACTGTAATACAGAAATAGATAACTAATACAGTTATGTTCTGTCCATCCCCTGCCTTGATCAGTCTTAGAATCTAGTCCCATACACACTGTCCCAGGTTTGACCAATTCATACTGGCCACGTCTGGAGCTCCTTTCTTCTCTTAGCAGGTCCAGCACTTCCCCAGCTGTGATATATTGTGACTTGACCGTAGTTATTGGTTTTAGCAATTGACAGCTACATTTTGCCAGAGGTGATGAGGTCCTCATAGCCAGCCTGACAGTGAGCGATGCCGTCCAAAAATCCCATTTTAGAGTCAGCATCCTAAGACCACTTCTCATATCAACTGTCATAGTTCAGGTACACAGAGAAACAGATTCCAAGATTCTGAGATGTGCGTGCACGAGGTTTTTTTGGGGTGCACTCTTGGGACAAACATCTTCAAGGAGTGAGGGTAGCAGGATTGAGCTGGGGAAGAAATTGACCTGCACTGCAGTTGCAACAAAGGTTTCAGCTGCTCCTATAAGTTGCCATAGCACCCAAATGGTCTTCAGTGCTGTTCTGCTTTGAGGCAAGAGGGCTGGGACTTAAAACTTTCTCATCATCCAAAATTGTTGAAGGCAGGCTGCTTGCAGGGAAGGGGGCATAATCTTGGCAGGCAAATCTTCACTGGGGGAAATTCCCCAAGAGAAAGTCAACTGAGAACAGTCAATCGCCAACACTCCCAGCAGGGAGGGGGGATAAGTACCCAGATCCTGAGCACATCCAACACCCACTACATTCTCCCTAGAGGTCCTCCTCCACCTATTTCCACCCCATCTCACACTTCTCCAGCCACCCCACCCAGATACCAGCCTCTCTCACCTTCAAGAAAGACTGGTTATTGGACCTGTAAAATCAGGCTGGGAGTGTCCCGTCCCCAGGAGCTGGCAAAACAACAGGCTCCAAGGGCCTCAGTCTCATCCTCACCATCCCAGAGCAGCTTGAGAAATGATCCTATGTGGCCCTACGATGTTCAGTGAAGAGAACAGGAGAAGAAGCCACTGGGAAAGAAACAGGTCCTTTCCCTTTTGCTCAGTGGGCTGCAGAATGCCAGGTCAGTATATGATCTCACTTAACCATCACAGCAACCGTGAGCTGAAAATTGTTCTCTCTGCTTTCCCAGTGAAGAGTCTGAGCGTCAGAGGGATTAGTAATGTGGGTGCCAGTCTTTCTGTAGCACTTGCTCTCTCTGTCTTCTTTGCTGCCCCTTCCTCATCCTGCCCCTAAGTACTGGAATCACTCACTTATGAGGGAGTCTCACCCCACTCTATGGCTTTAAGTACCAACTTTGCACTGATGATTCTTCAGCTTTGTATCTTCAGCTCAGACTGCTCCCCAGAACTCCCAGCCTGGATATTCATTTGCCTTCTCAGCATCTTTTCTTGGATATCAAAGAATGAACTTAATAGTTCAAAACAGAGTTCTTGGTTTTCTCTGCCAAATCTCACCACCCGCATTCCTACCGCCTTAGTTTCCATTTCTACTCAGAATGGTACTGTCATTCTTCCAGTTGCTCAGGCCAAACACCTGGTGTTGTCCTTGACATTGCTTTATCTCTCACACCTCATGTCCATCTATTTGCATATATTATCAGATTTTCCTTTGAATCTGACCCTTTCTTACCAACTCTGCTGCCACCATACTGGCCTAAACACTGTCATCTCCCATCAGTACTATTGCAAGAGCTACTTCCTTAGTCTTTGCTCCTCAGTGTCTTCTCTACATAGTAGCCAGAGTGATCCTTTTAAACTGTAAGATCATTTGGGAGGCCAAGGTGGGAGGATTGTTTGAGGCCAGGAGTTTGAGACCAGCCTAGGTAACATAGAAAGACTTCGTCTCAAGTTTAAAAATCAGCTGAGCACAGTGGCACACACTGGTAGTCCTAGCTACTCGAGAGACAGAGGCAGGAGGATTGTTTGAGGCCAGGAGTTTGAGACCAGCCTAGGTAACATAGGAAGACTTCGTCTCAAGTTTAAAAATCAGCTGAGCACAGTAGCACACACTGGTAGTCCTAGCTACTCGAGAGACAGAGGCAGGAGGATTGCTTGAGCCCAGAGTTTGAGGTTGCAGTGAGCTATGATCATACTACTGCACTCTAGCCTGGGCAACAGAGCAAGATCCTGTCTCAAAAATAAATAAGTAAATGAAATGAAATGTAAGATCATGTCCTTCTTCAATTCAACACTTTCCAGTAGCTTCTTATTTCATCCAGAATAAAATCCAAAGTCCTTGCCGTGGCTTACAAGACTACCTGATCTGGCACCCCCTCAACCCCTCTGTCCTCATTTCTTACTCTCATCTCTTGCTCCTACATCTCACCCTTTCTTTATTCCACTCTAACCAGTATGGCCTCATTGCTAGTCCTCAATACCCCCAAAATGTTGCTCCTATCACAGCCCATTTCAGTCCTTGTTTCCTTATAGAGATTTATATCACTCCCTGCAACACTCTTTCTTTTGGTCTCTGCTCCAATGCGCTCTGTTTGGGTGCCTCTCCCTATATCAAGGAGGCATTTCTTACCAGCCTAGCTTAAAACAGATGCTGTCCTCACCCTATCATTCTCTAACACTCTTATTCTGGTCTATTTTTCTGCATATTGTGTGTTTGATAGCCTCTCCACCTAGAATGTAAGCTCCATGAAGGCAAGTCTGCTGTTCACTGATGTGTCTCCAGCATCTAGAACAGTACCTGGCACACATTGAGTGCTCAATCAGTGTCTGTTGCAAGAATAAGTGAATGATTGAGTAAACTGCCATGGCAGAGACATGGCCTGGCAGGTTTCTTGTGAGGTTTTTGGAAAATGTTCTGTGACAGCTCAGAGAGCAGCAGGTAACAGCAGAAACTCGTATATTGGCTGCCTCTTTTTTTTAGTCTAGGGATTTCTCATCCTGTATTTGTTGTTGTCTTATCACCTCATTCAAAATAGAGTTCTAAAACCTCATGGCTTCTACCCAGACCAATAGGGTTTATGACATGGCACAACCAAACCCCTTCTTCCTTATCCATTTCCCAAACACAAATCCACATCCACATCTACATCTACACCCACACTTAGCTTTAGCAAACAAATCTTCACAGAACACATTAAGCTAACCAAATATATAAAAATATATATTTACAAAAAGATTTTAGGAGATGTTTATCCATTTCACAGAAGGATCTTTTGCTTTGGAAAAGGATTCACCACGGGAATCCTCTCCATAACTAGTTCACCAAATCATTTTAAAATAGGACTTGACTTCAAGTGTCTCTCCTAGAAGAAAAGAAAGAAGCCTGTATTTACCAAATACCCATATGTTCACATCACTGGGCCTACACTATTGGCTATTACTTTATTTAATGAGTTAGTGAGTTATACCAGGGGCCTATCTCATTATTACATCCATTTATTGTATCTTTTGAGTGTCTTTGAATTCCACAGATGATTATATTTTATCCAAGGAAAAAGATAAAAATACATAGCATGCTGGGGTCACTTAGTTTTGGAACAAGTAGATTTTATACACCTCAAAAACACTTAAGAAGGCAACTTCCATTTCTAGCCATTATGGAATAACTAGCAGACTAGTCTTCCTGTTTTCAACAACTCTTAAACTGGAAAAAAATGTATGAAATAATTGTTTTCAGACTTTAGACAGGATTGAGATTCCTGAGAGGAGGAAAACAAATGAGATGAACTTGTCAATTGCCCTGGCTTTTTGTCTGGAGCACTTTGCCCACTGTGGTACAAGGAGGGGGTGCTCTGATAGTGGATGGTCCTCTTGTTGAGCCAAGATGGCAGACATCAGAGCTCAGCACTACTGAAATGGTTGGAACTTGTGGGCAAGGCACTGGAGAAAAGGGAACTTTGCAGAGAAAGGACTCTACACATCTGCTTAGAGGTCCCCATGAGTCTTTAGCTGATATTAAGCTGTACTTATGTGGGACAAGACTCCATGAGTTGGAACAAAGACTAACTATCAGGGAAAAAAACAACCACTGGGATGATGTGAACTAACAACCACAAAAACTCACACAGCCCTAGGAGACATTAAAGTTTTGACCAGCCAGATGGAGAGATCTCACTGAACACTCCAAGCAGTCATTAGAGACCCTAGGAAGGCCATATCTTAGGATAGGGCTAATTTAACCTTACAGTAAAGGCTACTCTAGTAAAGACTACTCTAATAAGGCTTAAAAACAGCTCTTATTTTATTTATTTAGTTAGTTAGAGAGGCTAAGGGAAGGGAAAAGGAGAGGAGAAGGATGGGGGGCAAAACAACTCCTGTAAAAACCAAGTTGATCCACAAGTAAATTAACTACCAACTAGAACAAAACTCAACATAATTAAAGAAGACAACAAAATCCAGAATTCAACAATGTAGCACTGACAATGTCCAGCATCCAATCAAAGATTACTAAACATCTGAAGAAGTAGAAAAAATGACCTATAGTGAGAAGAAATATCAGCCAACAGAAATAAATGCTTCTAATGTTTTCCTTGCAATGTGGTACAGTATTTTCTTTTTGGAATTAGAACTCTGATTCAGTAAGAAGGTAAATGATATTCTGGCTATTTTGTTTAAAAGGCAGAGTATATAATATTTTTAAGGATTTATGTCCCAAATAGAATAAATAGAAACTTGGGGTAAGCTTCACCTCTTTGACAATAACTCTTGAATCATATGAATAATTTACAACTTCATAGAATTATCACACTGTAAGAGGCCATGGAGATCATCTATTCCCTCATTTGAGAAATGAGAAAACCAAAGCCCAGTGACTTGTTATGGTAAGAAGCAGTTGGGTAATCATTGAGCCAGGTTAATTCCAAAGCCTAGGCTTTTTCCATGCTGCTTCTAGAGCCATCTTGTTAATTTTTAAATTCCACAGTATTTATTGCAGACCTGCTAAGGAGGGCACCATCCTAGGCATTGGACATAGAGCCATGAACAAGTTGGATATGACCCCTCTTCATGGAGCTCACATTCTAGGGCAAAAGGCATGCAATAAGCAAGAAAACAAATGTATATAAAATCTACATTGGGAGAAGTACTCAGAAGAAAATAAAGACAGAAAAATGGGATAGAGAATGACTGGGGGGTGAGAGAGGTGCCAAATTTGGTTTGTGTGGTGACAGAAGGCTTCTCTAAGAAGGTGACATCTGCCCTCAGGCCTCAATGATGATAAAGAGCCAGCCATATGAAAATGGGCAGGAAAATAATTCCAGGATGAGGGATAGCAAGTACAAAGTCTCTAAGGTGGGAATGAGTTTGGCATGACCATGGTAACAAGGAATGGAGAGGGGAATGGTGATAAAGAGTTAGGGACTGCAGACTTGCATCCTGGACCTATTGCTAATTTTCTGTATTGCTTAGTTAAGTCTAGGTGATCACTAAGGCTCTGACATGTTATGGTTCTCTAATTTACGGAGCATATTCAATGTGACAATAACAAGAAGTACCATGCAGAGAATAAAGAAACAAGATAATGTCCTATGTATGGTGCAAAAAGAATGGGCTTTGAAAGCAGCTTAACTCATTTGGATCCACATGTATTAACCACGTATTATTGGATAACTTCTTCAAGGCCTTATTAGTCTCGGCTTCTTCACTGATAAAAATAGGTATAATGCTAAATAGCACAGAGTGACCAGAAAAATTGACTGAGATGTGTAATAAAACCAAGCCCAGTGTTTGGCGCATATTAGCAGCTCAAAAAATGTTATTTTAAATCTTCTGTCTGGGGAACACGACTGATAATACTCATTATAAAGGCATGTGAAAACATCTAAGGAGAGGATGAAAGGGTTCATTAATCACAGATCTGTGTGACATACCTACTAAGTGCCAGGCACTGCTCTAAGTGCTGGGGATGGACTGATGAGCATGACACACACCCTGTTTCTTTTGGAGCTTGCATTCTGGATAGGGATGTAGCAGGACGAGCTGCAGACAAAACTCCTCAGACACCGAGTTAAAGAAGGAAGGGGTTTATTCAGCCGGGGGCATCGGCAAGACTCCTGTCTCAAGAGCCGAGCCCCCCGAATGAGCAATTCCTGTCCCTTTTAAGGGCTCACAACTCTAAGGGGGTGCGCGTGAGAGGGTCGTGATTGATTGAGCAAGCAGGGGGTATGTGACTGGGGGCTGCATGCACCGGTAATTATATCGGAACAAAACAGGATAGGGATTTTCACAGTGCTTTTCTATACAATGTCTGTATCTATGGATAACATAACCGATTAGGTCAGGGGTCGATCTTTGACTACCAGGCCCAGGGTGTGGCACCAGGCTGTCTGCTTGTGGATTTCATTTCTGCCTTTTAGTTTTTACTTCTTCTTTCTTTGGAGGCAGAAACTGGGCATAAGACAGTATGAGGGGTGGTCTCCTCCCTTATTTCCCCACTTTGAGATTCTCACTCAATAGTGGGAGTTCTCACTTTTATTTTTACTACCGATGTTTTCTTGCAAGACAGATCGATAGTGATTTATATAGTACACTTGTGCTGAAGCATTTTGGTGAACTAAGGTAACGATGAAGTTTTTATCATTTGAAGAAGTACAGGTAGCAAACAAGGGAGCAGTAAGCAGGTTCCTATTACTATTATAACTCTTATTATAAGAGTTTTACATCTTTCTAGTGCTGGGAACCATTTTCTAAACATGGCCCCAGGATCAAATCCATGCCACACTTGCACAGGCATATGTGCCAGTTTTGTCATATCTCTAACTATGTCTTTAACTACTTGCCCTTGATTATCTATGTGTAGGCAGCAATTAGTAAGGTTAAATTTCCTACAGACCTCTCTTTCAGCTGCTAGCAAGTAGTCGAGAGCTAATCTATTTTGATAGATAGCATTTCTCTTCTGAGTTTCTTGCCGGTCCAGAATAGTCAAGGCTCTGCCGGTTTTATTAGTGATTATTTTTAAGATAGCTTGTAACAATATGATTCGGTTGATCATGTAAATGGGGGTCCGGTATCCCCACGAGCTGTCTTGTGCTTAAGTAGCAGGCCTATAATATTGTATGATTCTCTCAGGGGGCCATTTATTATTTTTAAAATTTTCTATAGCTATGCTTCTCTTTTCATGGGAAGCATAGACAGGGAAGCCCAGGAGTTCACCTGTTTTTATGGGCAGTAGGAAGAAAGATGGTTTAATAGTGCCAATAACACAACTACCTGCCCACTGGTCAGGTAATTTGGTGTAAGCTCTATGCCCACATATCCAGTATAATCCAGTGGGGGCTGTCCAGTCCCGGTGGGACTCCGGGTGGGTCCACACGGTTTGCAACTTTGGGAATTTACTAAATGGATTTCTCTCTGTGTGATTTGAACTCCACCAAGTGACTGTTTTTGTGGTACCATTCTACAGTTTCTGTCTCAGACAACTAAGTCGTCCTACGGGGTGAGTGAATTCTTTTCCTTCTCTAGCTATGCAATATTGTCTAATAATTGAGGCTTTTAGGACCCAGAAATTATCAGGGTGATTCTTTTGAGCCGGGAATTCACCAGAAACTGGGTCTGTAGGTACTAATTCTCAGGCTTCCCCTGGCCATTGATCTCCTATTACAGTTCCTCCACATACGTACCATGAACTGATATTGAGAGACTGTGTTATATGCTCGGCTAATTGCAAAAACAAATTTCTTGTTTTTCCTGGAATTTCTGGTGCTGGCACATTTAGTTCATCATAGAAAGTTTGAAACACTGGCTCAGGAGAGCATTTGTAAACCTCTCCTCGAACCAAGATATTTACTCGAGGATCCAGTCCGGCCCCATCGATTCTTAAGGTCACACGCTCCTCTTTTTTTCTAGCAAGGATCAAGGGGATTGGTTATTGCTAGCTCTAAGGGGTTACATTGTCCTTTAGTACAGGAAGGGCCATTTTTTCCTTTCTGAAGGTGGACTGGATCTTTTTTATTTTTTTAATCCAAGTGGCCTAAATGACACAAGACCAGTATTTACATTTATTTCTACACAGTCCTAATTTATGGCAGATGTACTTATTTTCTGCCATATAGCCTCTTTTCTAATTAAGAGAACACACCTTGTTTCTAACTTATTACCATTAATGACAGCACAGGCATCAAATTTTAAGGTGACTTGTTTGGGCACCCCTTTTTCTTCTGTTTGGCTGACAATTTACTCATATCGTTTATGAGCCTCCACCAGTCCTCAGTCCTTAATCTTATTTTAAAAACTGTGGTTATGGGAGGATCAGATGGGTCATAACACACATCAGGTTGGTCATTTACTGGGCTACATACCTTGTATAGAATAACATTATACAAACAAGTTCTTTTTAGAGTTCCAGTACACTTATAATAACTGTAAAATAATAGGAACGTAGCAACCTTTTGCCCTACCTTAGTGACTTGATGTATACACTGGGAACAGTCCTCAGTCTGAGGAACGTCAGTTGACGTCCTTACTGTAAAAGTCCAAATTTTAAGGAAAATGAAACCCGCGACTAGTTTTCTCATGCTTCAGCCGTGCGTGGACCAGTCAGCTTCTGGGTGTGACTGGAGCAGGGCTTGTCGTCTTCTTCAGAGTCACTTTGCAGGGGTTGGCAAAGCTGCTCCCATCCACGTACTGCTCACAGTCTACTGATGTTTAAGGATGGTCTCGGAGGTTGGGCCTGCTAGAATAAACTGAGTCCAACACCTCTACACAGTTATGTTCAACTGGGCTCTCTGATACCAGGAGCAAGGTGGTGGGGTTTAGGGTGTTGCAAACTTCAATGGTTATGTGGGGATTTTCACATAGCAAGCTTTGGTGCTTGGTTAATCTAGCATTTGTTAGCCAATGATGTCCTTTGGTAGTCATTAAAGTTACCAAAGCATGGGGGACTTTTATATTCAGGTTTTGCCTAAGGGTTAGTTTATCTGCTTCTTGTGCTAACAGGGCCTTTGCTGCTAGGGCCCTTAGACCTGGGGGCCAGCCTTTGGAAACCCCATCTAGTTGTTTTGAGAGATAGGCCACTGGCCTTGGCCAGGGCCCCACAGTCTGGGTTAAAACTCCAACTGCCGTTTTTTCTCATTCTGACACATAAAGTGTAAAGAGTTTTGTCAGGTCAGGTAGCCTCAGGGCTGGGGCCGACATGAGTTTTTCTTTTAACTCATGAAAACCTCATTGCTGTTGATTGTAATAGATGTAGTTTATCTAATCTACATTTTTATTAACTGTCATTTACTAAAATATTGACAAATCTCATAACTATTTGATTTCAAGCTTTAAATTGATCTGCTATTCTTTGTGGGACTCCAATTGCGTCTAAATAGACATGAGAGTCGAAAGACCCGTAAGGGGCTTCTCTTGCTTTACGATGTCTTATTTTTTTTCCTTCCGGTTGATGAAATGCCAGGGCGAAAGGGATGGCCAGTTGGACTAAAGTACAAGTGCCACTCCAGTTATTCGGCAGAGTGCCCAGTAAAGGTCCACCACAATACCACCACACATCCGCTCAGGGATGAACAAGGGCTGACTGATTGATAAGCTCTTGAAAATTCTTAAGCTCACTGCATCCCTCCAGGTCTCCAAGGAACGCTGTCTCCTCCTTGTCGTGAGAGACACGAAGTGAACTCAGTGTTGGGAGAAGGAGGCTGGATGGCCCTGGGGGGCTGACCTGCAGGGTGCCGGACTTTGAGATATAGCAGAGAGAGCTTGGCACGACTTATTTCTCCAGGCTGTAGAATCCTGAAAAACAGCTACCATGCAGCCTACACCTGGTCGACTGGAGGACCACCTTAGTGGAAAGGGGACAATCTGGGCCTCTGGCCTGCCATGTGCACAAGCATAACAGTTGCTTTTGTTTAACATGCAGATAGAATATTTGATCCATTTTAACCAGGCATTTGCATCTTGGTATCCTGTCTTAATTGCTAAAGTTTGTTTTAAGTCTTTAACTTCTATGATCCTCTAGTAAAATGAATGTATGGTTTTAGGAAATTACAAAAACCAGTTAGGGCAGTCCATCCTTGCTCTTTAGTGGTCAACAGAATGTTGGACCAACTATGGCATGAAAGCTCTACATCAGGGGCAAGACTCCTGGTTGGCACTGGGGTGTTTATCGAAATCTCCCCGGATTAAATGGTCCTAGTTTACTAGTGCCCAGTCTGAGGAGAGTCAGGAGGGACAGAAGTACTTTTCTGAAGTAGAAAGCTGTCTTTGGCTTGGCAAGTCCCCACAGGGTATAACAAGGCAAGCATTAAATGCAATAGTTTGAGGCAAAATTGACTTGGTTATGTTAATAGATGGTCAGCAATAGAACAGTAACAGTAACAGAATAGATGAAAAGAGTTAAATTTTTCTTAGCTTTAGTTTGGTAGGGCTTTCCCCCGGGACTACGGCCATGACTCTGGAGGGGGTGGTGCTTTCTTGACTCGGGTGTGATGAGTCCATCCTTTTTTTTTTTTTTTTTTTTTTTTGCTGTACAAACAGCAGTCTTGGTGGTTAGCAGCACAAGGTAGGGTCCTTCCCAGGCTGGCTCGAGTTTTTCTTCTTTTCACCCTTTGATGAGAACGTGATCTTCAGGCTGGTGCTGGTTTACCGGAAATTTTAGGGGTGGTACATGTGCTAAAAGACTTTTAGTTTTTGAGAGAAAGGAAAGTGGAAGATAAACCAAGTATATAATTTTTAAGAAATTGACCTTTTGTTTTAAATGTGGGGACCTTGGCAGTGGACTTTAGAGTCCTTAGTGCCTTTTTACTGAGAAATTTCCTTTAGCACCTATTTTTATTAGTTTTTAAACCAAAGAAAGCCAAATACCATTTTACATTTAACAATGCTTCTCGTATGATTTTTATACCAGATAAGCTAAATTTTATCTTTATATTAGTGTGTTATTAATGTTAAACCTAATTTTAATAAAACCTTGTAGACATATTTATCTAATTTTTAATGTTTGACCATAAGGTAAGATTTTACAGACTCTTTTTAACCTTTTATAATTTTTGCTAAAAAGAAGGTTGGTGCTTTAAGAAAAACCTGCTATGCTTTTACTTTAATGTCCAGTTTACAAAAAAACTGGATGATACTTCTTTAACTTTAGCTAATATGTGTACACAGAGAATTATTTTTACAATTAATGTTTTAACACTTGTTTAAACATTCAAAACAGTAATTTTTTTTAACTTTTTAATGTAGGTAAAAATGTACATTCTTATGCCTCCTTATAATTCTTTTACCAAAGGTATACTTTACTTTTTTTATACACCTTGCACATAAACTTTTTTTTTTTTAATAGTTTTACATTCAGGAGGCCTAGTTACTTTTAAATTATGCAACATTTTTTGCATAAATTCTTTTTTATAACTTTTTTTCTTTCATGACTTTTGAAGACAATTCTTTGACATGTCTCAACTTTATGACTTACTACAAATATTTCTTTCTTTAAACAACCAGTTAATTTATTTCAGAGCAAGAATTTACCATATAATACTTTTTATATAAATTCCACCTTCCCTTTTTTTTCCTTTTTTTTTTCCCTTAGGATACTTCTGAACTGGCGAGGTGTGCTCACAATGAGGTTTTCTCTAAAAGTTATTGTTTTTTACTTTTGTTGTTGTCGTTGTTGTTGTTGTTAGCAAAACAGTTGCTGCTACAGATTGAATGCATTTGGGCCATCCGCGGGTTACTGGGTTAAGGATTTTTGATAGGAAGGCCTCAGTGCTTTCGGGATACGCCCTTGTTTACACTGACAAAGTGGTATTGGAGTGTTATAGGGTTACGGAGGATACCTTCAATTATCGATTATAGGTTTTAAATTTACCTTGGCTTTTAAAAGAATAGGGTACACTTTTTTTTAACTACTTGTATATCTCTTTCTTTCTCTCTTTGACTTTGTCTCTCTCTTTTTGACTCCTTTTGCGTCTGTCTCTTCCTCTCTCTCTCTGCCTCCTCTTTCTCTCTCTCTCCTTGACTTCCTCTTTGTCTGTCTCTTCCTCTGTCTCTTCCTCTCTCTCTTTGCCTCTTTTCCTCTCTGTCTCTTTCCTTTCTCTCTCTCTGCTGGTCTTTCCTTGCCTTTGCCAGCTGCTTCTGCTGCTGTTCTCTCAACCACTGTGTGTTGGGGGCGGGGGGCCTAAAACCAGCTGTAACCAAGTGTCTACGTACCGGAACTGGTCTGGCTGTAACCAAGTGTCTACGTACCGGAACTGGTCTGGCTGTAACCAAGTGTCTACGTACCGGAACTGGTCTGGCTGTAACCAAGTGTCTACGTACCGGAACTGGTCTGGCTGTAACCAAGTGTCTACGTACCGGAACTGGTCTGGCTGTAACCAAGTGTCTACGTACCGGAACTGGTCTGGCTGTAACCAAGTGTCTACGTACCGGAACTGGTCTGGCTGTAACCAAGTGTCTACGTACCGGAACTGGTCTGGCTGTAACCAAGTGTCTACGTACCGGAACTGGTCTGGCTGTAACCAAGTGTCTATGTACCGGAACTGGTCTGGCTGTAACCAAGTGTCTATGTACCGGAACTGGTCTGGCTGTAACCAAGTGTCTACGTACCGGAACTGGTCTGGCTGTAACCAAGTGTCTACGTACCGGAACTGGTCTGGCTGTAACCAAGTGTCTATGTACCGGAACTGGTCTGGCTGTAACCAAGTGTCTATGTACCGGAACTGGTCTGGCTGTAACCAAGTGTCTACGTACCGGAACTGGTCTGGCTGTAACCAAGTGTCTACGTACCGGAACTGGTCTGGCTGTAACCAAGTGTCTACGTACCGGAACTGGTCTGGCTGTAACCAAGTGTCTACGTACCGGAACTGGTCTGGCTGTAACCAAGTGTCTACGTACCGGAACTGGTCTGGCTGTAACCAAGTGTCTATGTACCGGAACTGGTCTGGCTGTAACCAAGTGTCTACGTACCGGAACTGGTCTGGATTCCCTGGCTTACAGGTTACCTTGTGTCATACCTTTGAAACAAGGGACCTGTCCAGGCTTCCTTCTAATGGCCAACCTACCTCTAATGCTGGCCAGTCTATCTTACACAAAGTTTGAAGTTTTCCTGGTGTCATAGTACTCCACAGCCTCCCTTAAATTCTTTTTTGAAATTTTTCAACATAGTTCCTAGTAGGGTGGGCTTATTTGTGGCTGACCTACGCTTCTTCGAGACAAAACACCACGCTCACTCCACAAACACACCACAAAACAAAGAACAGGTAAATAGAGCACACACACATACTTTTGCAGTTTGCACCAAACCAAAATCAAAACCAAAATCAGAGTATCCAGAAATCTAAGCCAGGTCAAAACCAAAACCAAAGTATCAAGCAATCCAAGTCAAGTCAAAAACAAAAACCAAAGTGCCAGTACAGGCACACCATGGGTGATCAGGCCACGCTTCCACTCAAATGGAGTGGGCAAGTTCCCAAGACCGGTCATGTCAAGCAATTCAAACCAAATCAAAACCAAAACCAAACCAAAGTGCCGATAAAGGTACGCCGTGGGTGATCAGGCCATGCTTCCACTCAAACGGAGTGGGCGAGTTCCAAAGACTAGTCTTACCAAGTTTTAGATATCCAGACTTCAAGTGCCCATTCCTTCCCGGTGTTCAGCCACTGCATTGATACTCCACGAGGGCCTGCAACACACTGCTCTGGAGAGGCGTCCCACCGGGGCAAATTCCTTCCCGGGAGCGCTCTCAGGATCCGCGTCGCTCGGGCTGGTCAGAGTCCCCCACAGGGATGTTCCACAGGACAGGCTTAAGCCGCCTAAGGAGCTGCCTCAACCATCCGCCATTCAGCTCGCTTCCCGGTCAGGGAACCAAGAAATGTAGCAGGACCAGCCACAGGCAAACCTCCTCAGACAGCGAGTTAAAGAAGGAAGGGGTTTATTCGGCCGGGGGCATCAACAAGGCTCCTGTCTCAAGAGCCGAGCCCCCTGAGTGAGCAATTCCTGTCCCTTTTAAGGGCTCATGACTCTAAGGGGGTGCGCGTGAGAGGGTCGTGATTGATTGAGCAAGCAGGGGGTAAGTGACTGGGGGCTGCATGCACCGGTAATTAGATCGGAACAAAACAGGATAGGGATTTTCACAGTGCTTTTCTATACAGTGTCTGTAATCTATAGATAACAATCAATTAGGTCAGGGGTCCATCTTTAACCACCAGGCCCAGGGTGTGGCGCCGGGCTGTCTGCTTGTGGATTTCATTTCTGCCTTTTAGTTTTTTCTTTTTCTTTCTTTGGAGGCGGAAACTGGGCATAAGAAAGTATGAGGGGTGGTCTCCTCCCTTAGAGAAAGATGGGCAATGTACAAACTAAAACAATTAAGAAAAATATTATCAAGGAATAAGTGTCATGCAAAGAATTAAAACTAAATGATGTGATGGAGGGAAATTGGGTGTCTACCATAGACTGGGTGATGGGGGAAAGCCTTTCCCGTGTGATAATTAAGCTGAGATCTGAAAAGTAAGGAGGAACCAGCTGTGGGATGATAGGGGGAGTAGCATTCCAGGCAAAGGAATTGTCAATGTGAAGGCGTTAAGGTAACAAAGATGTCACAGAACATGATGGTTGGAGCAAAACAGGGAGGCAAGAGAGTCGTATGAGCTGAGGAGGAGTCAGATCCCTTAGGGCTCTGAGTGCCAAGATAATCACAGACAAAGGGCTAATCTTTGTAATATATAAAGAATTCCTAGAAATTGAGAAAATTAAAGACAACAACCCGATAGAAAAAGAGGCAAAGGATAAAACAGACAGTTCACAGCATAACAACAAATAATCCTTATACATATAAAAAGATGCACAACTTCATTCATTGTAAGAAAAATGCAAATTAAAATTACTTTGAGATATCATTTTTTCATCCATCAAATTGGCAAAAATACCAGAGTTGGATAACGCACTCAATTGGTACAGCTATGAGAAAACAGGTATTGTTGACAGTAGTTTAAAATGGTGCAACTTCAATGGGATCCAATTTGGTAATATCTATTAGGAATAAAAATGCACTTACTCTTTGGCCTGGCAATCCTACTTCTGGGAATTTTTCCTTGAGATACACCTGCACACAAACCAAAGAACCTTCATATAAGGCTACTCACTGCAGTGTGGTTTTTAATAGCAAGAGATGGAAACAAGCCAAGTGTGCATTGAAAGGGGTAGGTTAGGCCAGGTGCGGGGGCTCATGCCTGTAATCCCAGCACTTTGGGAGGCCGAGGCAGGTGGATCATGAGGTCAGGAGTTTGAGACCAGCCTGATCAACATGGTGAAACTCCGTCTGTACTGAAAATACAAAAATTAGCCAGGCATGGTGGCACGTGCCTGTAATCCCAGCTAATCAGGAGGGTGAGGCAGGAGAATCGCTTGAATCTGGGAGGCGGAAGTTATAGGTAGCCAAGATTGTGCCATTGAACTCCAGCCTGGGCAACAGAGCGAGACTCCATCTCAAAAATAAAATAAAATAAAGAAGAAGAAAAAAAGGGATAGGTTAAATAAATTATGGTATATCCCCAAAGTAGAATTCTATATGGCTGTAGAAAAGAAATGAGATACTGATTTATATTCTGATATGGATACAAAATATGTTAGGTGAGACAAGCAAAATGCAGAACATGTATCGTATTAATATGTTTCCACTGTGTAATAAAGGGGGAAAGAGAGGAGATTCTTATTTGCTCACATTTGCTTTAAGAAGCATCACAAGCTAGTGAAAGTGGCTACCTACAGGGGAACAGAAGGGTACACACAGGAATAGGAGCCGGATTTTTAAAAGTATACTTTTGTTTTGTTTTTTTGGAATTTATTCTAAGTGTGATGGGAAGCCATTTGGAGTATTAAACAGGGGATTGACAAGATCTAACGTCTTTTAAAGAGTGTGTTCTAGCAGCCACCTGGGGAATAATCTTAGACAGACGAGGAGGCCGCAGGGAGTCTGCTGGATGTGCTGGTTTATGTTGGAGGTAAGGATGGCGTAGACTCGGGTGGTGGTGGTGCAGATGGAGAGCAGCAGATATGTTTGGAAGCCATCAGGACTCACTGATGGATTGGCTGCGGGAGGTTAGAGAAAAATAACAGTTTTGTGTCTTGAGTCATGAGGTGGCATGGTGCTACCAGACCCCAGAGATTGATAAAATAACAGCTGGGGCAGTTCATAGGGTTTTATGGAAAAGACTGCCTGTTAGCAGAGCTGTGAAGGACTCTAGGATCTGAGGAGGTGATGAGAAGGCCTTGCAGATGGAGAGGAAGGAATGGAGCAGGCAGGGCCAGGGGCCAGGAGGCAGTGGGGGGCTCTGCTCTGAGAACTGGTTGGGTCTCTCTGCTCACAGTTGTTTCAGTTTTTCTCCATTGCAACTCAGCTCAGCCCCAGGGCCATGAAACAACTTGAAACCAAATCCTCTATTTCCCATCATATGCTTCTTTTAACTGCTTCCTACACTTCCTGTGACTGTTTCCTTGCAGTAACTAGAGTTTCTATCACATGCATTGGCATTCTGAGAAATACACTAAAAGTGAAAAAAATCAACCAGTCAAAATGAGGACTGGCTGGCTGGCTGGGTTAAAGATTTGTCGCTTTTTCCTTTGCTGGCGCAATAACGTAATTACCTTCTCTTGGATCACTCACTGGGGTGGAAAGGTAAAGCGTGGTGGATTTCCCTGGAGTGCAGGTTGGATGCTCCTCCAGGTGCTTCCACTTTTAAGGCTAACTGGCGGGCTAAGAAGCTTTTTATTTTCACCTCTCCTCTCCACTCAAGAAAAAGATTTGATAACTGGAATCCTCAATGGAAAGTCTCTTCTGCAGTTGCTGTACTTATCAAAAAGTGGTGCTCCAGAAGAAGTTTGTGTTTCAGATGAAGATTCTTGAAGCTCTAGTTTCCACTTTTGGGGTATGCTGTATGGTTTTGGGTTTAAATAACAAAAATTGGCCAGGCACGGTGGCTCATGCCTGTAATCCCAGCATTTTGGGAGGCCGAGGCAGGTGGATCAGTTGAGGCCAGGAGTTCAAGAACAGCCTGGCCAACATGGTGAAACCCCGTCTCTACTAAAAACACAAAAATTAGACGGGCATGGTGGCAGGCTCCTGTAGTCCCAGCTACTTGAGGGGCTGAGGAAGGAGAATCACCAGAAAGTCAAGGCTGCAATGAGCCGAAATTCTGCCATTGCACTCCAGCCTGGGCGACAGAGCGAGATCCTATCTCATGGAAAAAAAAAAATTAGTTTTCTCCCTTCCTACACCACCCCTGCACCATACAGAATCCATGTGATTTTCCCTTTTAAAAATTCAGCATTATTTCAACACTGTTGTCAAGTACACTGTGTTCTTTGCAGAAACTATGTCATAGGCAGTTTATGAACCGGGACAAGTAACAGACCAGCAAAAGCTGCTCCACCCAAATCACTTATGAAGACTTTCAGCTTTGAGTCTTTGATTGGTCAAGTGGAAAGAACCAAGTTGGGTTTCAAAGCTGAGAAATTCTTGTTCTCCTTGTCCATTCCCTCTTTTCTTGCACAGGTGGTGTGCTTTGGTTGATAAAAGGATAATCAGTTCTGGGGCTTCTGAGCAGAAAGAAAATATTGATAATATGTTAATAAAATAGAAAGGAAAATGGCTGAGGGTTGTGTGTGTGTGTGTGTGTGTGCACACTCACACTCCCACCCCTCATTTCTTTTTAAGTCAAGATAGAGTTCACTTCAGTCATGTGGTTCTACATTTAAAGTTTTTTTTTCTTTTTAATGAATTCTCAGAGGCAGTAAATGCAGAAAATCTTTAAAAATTAATTCAAGCTGTGACCTTCTGAGTAAGGGGAGGTGATGTCATATGATGACCTTTATTTTAAGTGTGAAATCGAATCTACATAAAGTACAGTGTTGAGTTCCTCTGAAAAAGCTGAGGTGGCAATCTAAGAACAAGGGCAGCAAATATGCCAAAACTCAAACTTTTGATTATCAATGACATCTATAAAAATTAATCCGGCCATTTGCCCATTTTCAAACATGTTGCATTAGGGAAGAACAATGCTATAGGTTTGGCTTGCTTTGAAACAAAAAAGATGCCTATATTTGGCATTTGGTAACATTTCTTCACTTTACAGAATTATTATAACATTCACAAGTGGCTAGATGAAACCAACACTTTATAAATAATGTTTGATTAGGGAATATTAATTTTTCCATAAACATGGGGAGGGAGGAAGAGGAGGAAGAGCAGCAAATTATCAAGAATACTGTGTGGAACCATGAAAAGTTTGGGATAGACCTAACATTGATTTGCTTTTTATTTACTAGACAACTTTTTTTTCTCTCTCTCTCTCTCTCTCTTTTTTTGAAATAACAGGGAAAGAAATTACATCTGTGTTTTTTTTTTTACAATAAAAATCAGACAACTCACAACTCTTATTTAGGTCATGAAATTATAACATTTTTGGATCACAGACTCTTGTAAGAATCTAATGAAAACTATGACTTATTGCCATATGTAAGGGCCTAATGAATTAGATCAATTTCTGGTTGTTTTACTTGTCTGTTTGAGTAATCCATTTAACTATTCCTATGCTAATATCATATTATTTTTATTACATGATTTTATACTATATGTGCTAAGGCCAGACTACCTCACAATTCTTTTTAAAAGTATTAATTCAATGGGAAGTGAATGAATTGAATAAATTCATTTTTTTAATAAATTCATTTTTTAATAAATGCTTCCAGTAGAATTGAATAATCACCTGGAAAGAAGCAAAAATAGACCCCTACCTTCATATCATACACAAAAGTATGGATAAAGACCTACATTTTAAAAATAAAATTTTAAAAGTATTAGTATATATCTAGAGTCAGAGAAACCCTAAGCAAGAGAGGGAACCCAGAGGCCAAAAGGAAAAGATATGTATCTTCAACTACATAAGAATTAAACATTTAGTCTTGGCAATATCAATTAGAAACAAAATGAAAAGACCATAATAGACTGGGAAAATATTTCTCATACATGACATGTGACACAGAATTTCACTAATGTACGATCATTAAGAGAAAGACAATTCATTAGAAAAATGGGCAAAGAAAATAGAAATTTATAGGAGAACCTGGGAAAGACTGATATGATAATTTAAAACTTAGTCATTGCAGATAATACAAATCCAAATGAGATACAATTTTCAACCATCAGATTGGCAAAATTTAATAGTGGGTAATATTTATTAAGTGATTAGTATAGGCTAAGAACTTTATGTGGACTAGCTCATTTAATATTGACAACAATGCTAAAGTGTAGATTTTTTTTAATATCACGGAAACAGTTCACCTAGCAAATGGTAGCACCAAGATTTAAATCTGATGCCTAGAGCCCAAACTTCTGTTTCAACGTAGGCAATGTTGATGAGGAAGCCAGGGAATGGGCACTCATACATTGCCTGTAGTGATGGCGTGATTTTCAAAAACCTTTAGAGAAAGTAATGTGGCAATAAATATTAAGATTAATATAAAAAACTCATTCTCTTTGACCTGCCATCCCAGGAATAAAAGAAACACCAGGATCTTGGCATTATCTGTTCTTTGACTACTTGGTAGAATTTACCTGTAAAACCAGCTGGGCTTGGTGGTGTTTTTTGTTTGTTTGTTTTAAATTTTGTGTTCTATTTTGTTGTGAGTAGATTTTAATTTAGTTTTTACTTTTTATTTTTTATTTTATTTTTCCCATAAGCCTCCTAGATCTTACTTTTCTTAAATGTAAAGATTTATTAAAGATTTATTTTCAATTTTTATTGCTTCTTGAAATAGTTTTGCAACATTGCATTTTTACTAGGAAGTCATCAGTGCCATCCACTAAGTTTTTGTCTCCTAGCTCCCTATCTGCTTGATGATGCTGGTAGTGGGACTGGGCAAGCCACGCTCAACTTCCCGCTCTGATAATCCCTGCCCTGGGCCCTCAGCAATCTCTGTTCACCTTTTCAGCCCTTCAACATCTGCTACACCAAGTCCTCACGTTCATTTCTTTCTGTTGAAATAATCAGAGTGGTTTTTGTTTACCCAACAGAACTCTGACTGTCCCTGACACATCACCCACATTGTGTTTTCTAATTTATTAAAATAAAGTTTATGATGATCCCTTATTGATTAAAATTTCTGCTATATCTGTTGTGTCTTTTTTTATCTTCTAATGCATGTGTTTACTTTTACTTAATTTTTACCTATCTCCAATAGTCTTTTAAAGTAATAATTAACTTGCCATGTTGGATACTGTTACATTTTCAATCTTTTTTTTCCAATGTACAACTTAGAGCAATTTAAGTTTCTCATAAGTTACCTGCTTTAGCCGCATGTTTGAATGTAGTATTTTCACTGTTCAAGTCTAATCTTCTAATTTTCTTTTTTCTTTTTCTTTTTTTTTTCTTGAGATGGAGTCTTGCTCTTTCACCCAGGCTGGAGTGCAGTGGCGCAATCTCGGCTCACTGCAACCTCTGCCTCCCAGGTTGAAGTGATGCCCTTGCCTAAGCCTCCTGAGTAGCTGGGACTACAGGCCCATGCCACCATCCCCAGCTAATTTTTGTATTTCTGGTAGAGATGTGGTTTCACTATGTTGGCCAGGCTGGTCTTGAACTCCTGGCCTCAGGTGATCCACCCGCCTCAGCCTCCCAATCCAATTTTCATTATGACTTCTTTGAGCCATGAATTATTTAGAAGTGTTTTTGGTTTTTTTTTTTCCATTTAACTGATTGTCAGAACATATAAAGTGTTTTTTTTTTTTTTTTTTTTTTTTTTTTTGGAGACAGAGTTGTGCTCTGTCACCAGGCTGGAGTGCAGTGGCGCAATCTTGGCTCGCTGCAACCTCTGCCTCCCAAGTTCAAGCGATTCGTCTGCCTCAGCCTCCCGAGTAGCTGCGACTACAGGCGCCCGCCACCACGCCCGGCTAATTTTTTTGTATTTTAGTAGAGACAGGGTTTCACCATGTTGGCCAGGCTGGTCTCGATCTCCTGACCTTGTGCTCCGCCCACCTTGGCCTCCCAAAGTGCTGGGATTACAGGTGTGAGCCACTGCGCCCGGCTGTAAAGTGTTTTTAAATTCCTAAATGTATTGAGTATTTAAAAATTATTTTCGTATTCATTTTTAAACTATTTGCATTGTGATTAAGTAACCTGATCAGTATGATTAAATTTTGTGATATTTGCTGAGAATGCCATTATAGTTCCAGGAGTGGTATATACAAAATTGTCAAATTGGGGGGACACAGGATTCTATGTATGGATCTTAATCAAGCTTAATTACATTGTTCAAATCTTCCATATCCAAATATTTTTGACTTGTCAACTTCTGAGAGTGATATGTTAAAATATCCTACTGTGATGAATTTGTCAGTTCCTCTTTTTCCTCTTTATAATTTTTATAATTCTGTCACTTTTTTTTTTTTTTTTGCTTTAAAGCATTGGAGTGTGAGAACATAATATATAAGGATATTAACTGCAGCAGAATATCTTGGCAAAAAACTAAAATGTCATTACTAGTGAATTGGCTGAATTCATTGTAAAAAATATTATGCAGCCACCAAAAAACATGAAATTTGTTCCGTATCTAATAATCTACAGGAGGTCGATGTTAAGTGAAAAAGGCAAGTTGCAGAGTATGTATATTGTGATCCCATTTTTAGTAAACGAAACAAAAACTTCTATATTCATGAACACGTTTCAATATGTTTGAGTTTGAAAAAAGGCTGTTAACATCAGCTCCTCTAGGTAAGTGACTGGAGGGAGTAGGAAGGGTAGCGTTAACAAATATCTTTGTATTTCACTTCCTATGAGAACCATATTTTTATTTGGGCAATTTAAGTTAAGCCTAATAAGAAAATGATGATGATCAGCAGTCATCTTAGGAGCCCTGAGAAAGATATGCCATATGAAAAAAGCAAGTCACAGGCTGGGCGTGGTGGCTCACGCCTGTAATCCCAGCACTTTGGGAGGCCGAGATGGGTGGATCACTTGAAGTTAGGAGTTCGAGACCAGCCTGGCCAACATGGTGAAACCTTTTCTCTACTAAAAATATAAAAATTTGCCTTGGGTTTAGTAGAAACCCCATCTCTACTGAAAATATAAAAATTAGCTTTGGGTGACACAATGAGACCCTGTCTCAAAAAAAAAAAAAAAAAAAAGAAAAAAGAAAAAAGCAAGTCACAACTGTTATAATCCAATTTTTTTTTTTTTTTTTTTTTGAGACAGGGCCTTCCTCTGTCACCCAGGCTGGAGTGCGGTGACATGATCTCAACTCACTGGAATCTCCACCTCCTGGGTTCAAAGATTCTCGTGTCTCAGCCTTCTGAGTAGCTGGGATACAGACGCATGCCACCCCGCCCCGCTAATTTTTGTATTTTTAGTAGAGACAGGGTTTCACTATGTTGGCCAGGCTGGTCTCGAACTCCTTACCCCAAGTGATCCACCCACCTTGGCCTCCCAAAGTACTGGGATTACAGGCATGAGCCACTGCACCGGGCCATAATCCAATCTTATTTAATGACATGGACATGTTGATATGAATTAAGGAAACATCTGGGAACACATACACTAAATCGGTATTCTTATATTCAAGTTGGAGGATTATGGAGGCCTTTTCATTGCTACATGTCTGTATTCTTTGCATTCATTTTATATATATATATTGTGTGAACAAGAAAGATAATTTTTTCTTACAAAAAGCCTATGGACTCTCACCAAAAACAACAGCCGAGACATAGCTGCAATAAAATCCTACATACAATTCCAGCCACTTCACAGACTCTCTGAAGCCCATTTATTAATCACCCAGGTTTTGACTCCAGTAGACACAAGGAGAGTTTAATGGCAAAAAAAATTCATTGACCTGCCAATTACTCCCACATATCCTAAGAGGAGCTGGTTGCAGGGGGCACCGTAGCTGTAAAATGGAGCTTAACACTGTTCCGGCTCTGTGGGTACCCACCTGTGTAACATGTGAGGGATGGGCTGCTGGCCTTGATGCCAAATCATCTGAGTCACTAAAAATCTCAAAAGGGGAGTGTGGCCTGTAAATGCATATTCAATGCTGTAATGTAATATTTGATACTGAACGAGAACTTTTTTCATTACAAATTTGTCTGGGGGTGAGGATGCCAAATAGAACTGAGCTCCGGAGAGGTGAGAGAAGTAGCTGGGAAAGCAGGCAGATTAGCCTCCTCGGAACCATGCTTAGGAATCTGAACTGTATCCTGAAGGCAAATGGGGCAATTACCTAAAGGCCTCAAAATGGAGTCTTTTTAGGATTACTTTGGCTGCATGGTGGAGAAAGAATTGAAGGGAGCAAAATGGAAAGTCGGCATACCAGTTAGGAGGCTGCTGCAGTGACTCAAGAGACAATGGCTCTTGAGCAGTGTGTAACAACAGTCAGAGTAGGAATAAGTCAGTGGTTTGAAGAAAGAGACATTTTAGAGGTAGAATAACACTCGGACTTATTGATTTGGGAAGAGGGGAGCCAAAGAGGCTGTAGTTAGATTCCCAGGTTTCTGGCTTGGACAACTGGAAGACGGTGGTACCATATGGAGATACGGAATGCTGGAAGCAGCAATGGGGTATTTGAAGGGGCTGAAAATAGTAGACCTTAAATGTATATTATGTTTCTTTCTTTGACTCTGGGAGATTGACAGAAGGCCCAGGAATGGTTTCCAGGGTGAGACACCCACTTCCAAGTCTCCTGCCATGTTTTTCTGAGAAGAGCGACAGCTCCTGCTGCACTCTTCTTCTAGTCCATCCGCCCTTCCCTCTGCTCTGGACCTCTTAGCCTTTCTCCTCCCACTTCCTCATCAACACGGAGCAGACGATCCATTCAGGAGAAAGTCACAGTGAAAAAAGTTACATGAGCCTTAGGGTAGAATTTAATGATAACAAGACACATATTAATAACTGATATATATCTTTTTATTATGCACAGATAAAAGATTTAAAACTGTGGTTATCAAAACTATACATCTAAGCATCTTCACAAAATAGCTGACACACTGAACAGAGAAAAGAATACAACAGGGGTGTTCAAACTGGCCACAGGGATTTTAAGGGTACTCGTTTTACCCTCATAGATGATGAAAACCAGCAACAAAATCAGGCTCATTCAGGAAAAACCAGAAGAGAGAAGTATTGTATTTGGAAACTGATAATAGTCCTTTTTAGAAAAACATCTGTCAGTTTCATGAACAACCCCCAGATAAAACAAACATGAAAAAAATCACATAGGACTCACCCAACAAAATGTGCTCTGTTAACACAACCAGCAGTACAATCATCATTCAAACCATGAGGTAGTTACAGTACAAAAAGACTGGCACGCGTGTGAGCACCCCACACACACTCACAATCATGCCCACTAAGAACACAAGCAGGAAATGGATTTACAATCTTATTACAAGGCAAAGAAAAAAACCATTTTTTTTGTTTAGAAAATGCTATAGAAACAGTTTAGACAGAAGAAATCTCTGGCTTTTTAAAATACAGAGTAACAGCTGGTAAACACCACATGGTGAAAAGCTATAGCGTATTATACAGACAATCTGCCTTGGAGTTTGGGGCATTTTAACAACAGCTTCAGCATCAAACAAACAACAAAATGGCCTCTGCAAATTAAGGGTGTAGCCTGCAGAAATAACAAAAGACTGCAGATACAAGAGTTCAGCTGAAATACAACAATACTTTTAAAGAAACTTGTAGTACACGTTATAAAAGTAGAGCTTGTACTTTGTATTAAAACTGTAAAGTGTGAAGCAATTAGAAATACTGTAATGAGAAGCTAGGGAGAAAATACCTTATTTTTTTCATGTTCATTTTTTAGAAACATTTCAGAAATACTTAACGACATTCACTCTCCAATATGAGATTAGGTTTTATCGACACAGATTTCTTGATCTGAATAATAATTCTGACAATGAGACCCAAACAAATAAAAGGTGATTTTTTTCCTCTCTCTCTCTTTTAAAAAGATCTTTTGGTTTGCATCTATAAATTTGTAAATTAATTTTAAATTATTTATAAAATCATTGGCAATGTAGCATCTCTCTTAAAAATATATATTTAAATATATTACAGAAGGTTTTAACCCTGTCCTTCTAAGACATCAATCTTTTAATATCTCCTAATAGCTAATTTTCTTTTTAACACGATGGAAAAGATTTTTTAAAAAAGCAAAGGACTGATCGAAAGAATTCACAGTAGCTGAAATTAAACATTTCATATGGAGTAACTTAAATTTATCTAAAACACTTAAATATATCTTTATACACAAATTTTGTAGTAAAATATAGCTATAAGTGACTTAAAGACTCTAGTCTTCTTTGAAGACATCTTTAAACTTTTTTATACATAGAATATGCTGAAACAATACATTCCACCGAAGGTTAGGCAAAGCGCAATATTTTCAAACACAGGTAGCGTAATCTAGGTCCTCCACTCTGATACCCTTCTGTTAAAAAAAAATTAAAGGAAAAAAATTCTCTAAACTCATGTCTTCTTCGTTTGTATATGGAAATCTAGAAATTTTTCAGTAGATCAATGTAGATAGCCTGGAAATCTCAGCCCTAAAGTAATGTTTTAGTTAAAATGTTCCTTATTGAAAAAAAAAAATGTTCCTTATTGAATGTGTATATCTATCAGGTAAGTCATATTATTACTCAACGATTTGGTAAAAATGATTGTCAATTTCCACATACTTGTTTCCCATGTAGACACTGCCCTAAGGTTTTAAGCTTCATCAGGATTACCTACTGAGGTTCCATTCACAGACAACCAGGCATAACTTCCTTATTTTAAGGGCAGTGGGATTTGCTTATGAATATTTTGGGGGTAGAATCTATCTTGTTCTACTTATGGAATTCTAAGTTGTTTGGGGGAAATTCTGGAAAAAGAATAATTTGCAATGAAGCTATCTTCAGCAGTAAAATAATTTAGCATGATAATTCCCCCCTGGCATTCTTTTTTTTTTTTTTTTTTTTTAACAAGGAGGTATCACTGAGCTTATTTTAGCTGCAAAGTGGCATCATATTATTCCATTTAATGAAATTCACCTCAAGCCCTTTTTGACATATTAAATATATGGGATATATTTAAGGCAAGAGAAGTAAGGCAATCCAAATGAGTGCCCTTTTCCAATCTCAGCACTGTCTTGGTGGAATTGGTGACACTATTCAGATAACCAACTGGAGACCGACAGGATTTGCCATGCATTTGCATCTTGCTACAGTTTGGTTTTTATGAAAGGGCCTATTTTTTTTTAAGTTGACATATTTTGAGTGGAAACACTCACCCTACCAAATATACTTAAGTTGCAACTCTAAAAGCATAAGGACATTTTCAAATTTTCTCTTCTTCAACTGAGAAAATGAATGTGCCAGGTGACATATTATATACTTGTACTTGCATACACATAGAAATATATCACTGTGCAAATTCGTCCTTGACTTTATAACTGAATTTCACCTCAAATTATACATTAATTTGCAGAACAAAATATTAGGAATGGGCACAAATCTGTGGTTCCTGATTTTGGTCATTTTCAATTTCTGTAGGCCTGTAAGAAATACAAAATTTGCATTAAGACATTTTGCAGTGGTGTATGCAAGTATGGGAAGAAACAGGAAGCTGATAAGGTCATCAGCATTGGTTTTGGCCCAGGGCACAAGAAAGGAATGTTGCCTTAACACTTGTCAGGGTGCAGTCCCTGAGGGCAGCACCCATCAAGGGACACATCAGACCCCACAGGTTGTGGCAGCAAGGTCAGAAGTGTGCATCCAGACAAAGGTGCAAATTAGACAGGAGGATCGCTTAGAAAGCCTCAAAGCATTTCTTGTTTTACATCTTGGTTCAGATATAAAGAATCTTTGGCCGCATCTCCTCACTGGTTCTACTATCTGGCTATTAACCCTTTACCAACTCCTTGAGTCTGGGTAAAACTCAGGGCCCCAAATTATGGATGTTCTCACCTGGACAAAGCAGCATTTTAAAAACTGGCATGTGTTTCACATTGAAAACCCCCAAGCCTGTGAGGGGCTGGTGGAGAAGACCACCATTTTAGCTTTCTCACATGAATTCTAGTGTGGTACAGAAGCCCAGGGTCATGTTTATACTAGCCCTGGGTGTGGGGTGAATACAACGGGTGATCTTTATACTGAAATTCACTCTGTCTTTACAAGGGAACCAAAATCCAGCCCTCTGAGTCTGGACACGAGGCTCAGCCATTGGTCCTGCCCTTGGCAGTAGCTGAGCTGAGCTGGGCTGGGCTGGGTTGGGCCGGGTTGGGCTGGGTTGGGCTAGGCCGTGCTGCTGCTGGAGCAAGGCGTGCTCTGCGTGCTGCCGATGCTGTGGGCAGCACTGCTGTTTTCCGAGGCTGGCGGGGAGGTGGGGACTTGCTGCCTTCCTGCTGTCTCCCCTGCAGTTAATAAAGAAAAGGCAGAGTCAGAGAAAGACGCATATTATGTATGTGCATTCCTGAAAAGATCATTTATTCCGCATTTGCCATTTTAACTGATATTTTTCTCAACCAGGGCAGAAGCAACTAGACTAGGTCCTAGATGGCTGGAATACCTTCTAAAATAAGGTTTTGCTATTTGTTGTTTTATTTTTAAAGCATCATGAATGGGAAAAAGAAGACAGCTGACTGACAGGCAGCTCTAGTGGCTAAGACCCCTGAGAGTTGATGACAAAGTCCCTGGATTTCAGGGTCCACAACCTTTGATGAAATCACCACCACTTGGTCTGTGTGAGCTGGCAACTGACCAGCACCTGTATTCAGGAAACACTGTCCATCTTCTCTCATAAAGACACTGTAGGATTTGGAGGGTGTGACCTTTCAATTGTAGTTAAGAGAACCCTGGAAGTTTGGGAGCCTTGTTCTGAATGCACTTGTTAAAAACAGGAGTGAAATATAGACTTTGTCCTAGCTACAGTAGAGAGAGCCTTGTGTGCCAAACAGATAAATTACCTGAGAAACCGGGGTGGGGGATAGCTGCTATTGGAAAAACCTTTTGGGGAAGGGGTTTAGCTGTTTGCACATGGGGACTGCAGTTGCCAGCGAATGGCCTCTCTTCCCCACTGAGGTTCCCTGTGGGGTGCAGTGTGAGTATCTCCTAACACTTTAAGCATCCCACTTTTCATTACACACCCCACTGCATTTTAGCTAAAGCCATTCATCGTGCCAAATGTGCAGTGCTTTGGAGAGGAAGGAAACCTCAAGTCACACACATGGTTTGCATTTAACAGTGCAAAAGGCCCTAGAGTTAGTCTTCTCTTCGGCAAAACCGGCCTCAGTGCAACCCTCAAAAAATGGCTCTAGGTAGGGAAAAGCGATCAGGGCTCTCCAATAAAAAACACTGCATTTACTTTGAAAAGTCAGAGCATAAACTTCATAAACTTCTTGTAAGCAGCATCCCCTCCTTCAATGTGGGAAACCCCAGAGGGCCAGGCCTGTTTATGAATGAGCCTCCTCTTTCCTGTCATGCTGAAATACACATCTATCAGCCGGAGATAAGCAACCCTTCCAGCTGCTTCATTAAAACAAAACACTCGAGGAAAGGCCCTGCCCTCCAGTGCAGGAACTTGGCCCCATTACTTCCATTCTCTTTCTGGGGCCCCTCAAAAGCCTCTGTGAAAAAAGCAGTTCTGCAAAATGTAGAACTGGCTCATGTCCCTGGGTCTGGTTACAGCTTTTCCTGTCACCCCTTTCATGAACCACACAGCTATACACACTTTTGCATCAACCTCAAAGTATTTATGTGCTTGTTGTAAGTTTGGCCCTTGTTGTACTTCCTCTAATTATCTTTTCTTCTGGGATTGGCGGGATGGATAGGGGACTGGGGTCAATATTCCTGAGAAGCGGAGAAGCACTGCCTTTTTTTTTTTTTTTTTTTTTTTGTGAGACGGAGTCTCGCTCTGTCCCCTAGGATGGACTGCAGTGGCATGATCTTGGCTCACTGCAACCTCCACCCCCCGGGTTCAAGCAATTCTCCTGTCTCAGCCTCCCGAGTACCTGGGACTACAGGCATGTGCCACCATGCCTGGCTAATTTTTTGTATTTTTAGTAGAGACACGATTTCACTGTGTTAGCCAGGATGGTATCGATCTCCTGACCTCGTGATCGGCCCACCTTGGCCTTCCATAGTGCTGGGATTACAGGCGTGAGCCACCACGCCCGGCTGAAACACTGCTTTTGACTTTTTTGGAAACCTATGTTTTGGACCCTCCCCAGCACTGCCCTCTACTCTTCATGTGTGTGTATAATTAAGGCTGGGGAAATTAGCCTCCATGGCAATAACTTTCTGCCAAAAATTCACTTTCCCCAGAGTAGGAGCTTTATTTCTAGAAGGGAATCAAATCTCTTAACTATTCTGAGGTCAAAACAAAAACAACCTCCAGAGACCCAAACAACTCTAGATATACTTTAAGAATTTGACTCCCTTACAAACCACATGTTGGTCCATACCCAGCTGGATCCTCACATAATCAATCAGAAGGACTAATGTGGCTATGCATGAACCACATTTTAAAAATATTTTTTCCTATTTTAATAAGGATACATCTGAAAAGCAGGAGGCCAACTCCATCTTTTTCTTTTTTGGCTCACCTGGGCTTTGTTTGCTCAGCCCAACAGCAGGTAAAAGAGAAGGCCTTGCTTCATCAAGCAATAGGGAGCAAGTGTGCTCCTCCAGGATCTGCCCTGTGCTTGATTATTCACATTCAGGAAAAGTGCCAGGACTATGCCCTGCCCAGGAAGCCTGAATATCTGCTTTCCGATGTCTATTTGCCAAATATAATTTGTTGCCATGTCAGTTTATTTTCATCCGTGCCCATTAAAGAGACCTTTCAACTTCCCGAGTTTTGGGAACTCTTGTTCTGGTAATGCAAAACACTTCAAAACAAAACCCCAAACAAAACAAAGAAGCCTCCGCACTCAAGACTGCAGGATGCATCTCACCAGCTGGATAAGTCAAGTTAACCTAATATTATATTGACTTTGATCCAATAATGGGCCAAGGTGAGTCTCTGTCTGAGAATCTGCTGGGAAATATTGAAAGTCCCCTCTTCAGACCATCCTTTCCAGTTCTGTGGCTATTTTCACATGTAAGATGCAAGGTTTCTCAATATAACCATGTTTTAAAAATAACTCTTACCTTTTGACAGATTAAGTTTTTTCACTGTCAAATGGAAGTGATGCTACAGAAAAATTCACCATGAGGAAGAAAGTTGAATGTACAGATGCTTCTACTTAATGGGCCAACAGAGACCCCTGGGTTTTCTGAGATGGGTCTTTGGCTGTCTGCTCTCCACTGCAGTGGTCTCTGATTTCGTGGAGCACCAACTTTCTCTAAAACATCCCTTGGGTGACAAGTATAACAAGGCTGCTCCTAAAGGAGATGGGCAGGGAGGACCTCGTGGCTAAGCAGACTAGGCCCAATTAACACATCTAAGAAATTCAAGGAGGGCGCCTTGCTTGTAAATAAATATCAGACTTGGCCAGCAGAGGAAATGTACTCAGTCTTCCTGCTTTCCTCCTAAAATATCAAACCACATTGAGGGAACAGAGATTTGAGAGGAGGGAGAGTGAGTAGGGGAGAGAGGAATTTGGTGCCTGACATACTCTGGAGGAGGAGAGTACACTGAGGATAAGGACACTAAGGATTAATTCCACCCATCTCACAGTTAGCCTATGGCTGGGCCTAGATACTGCCAGAGATGCCTCAAGAAATAGAAAAACAAAGCCAGGTGCAGTCACTTACAGTGCCAGCTTAGGAGGCTGAAGGGGGAGGATCTCCTGAGGCCAGGAGTTAGAGACTGCAGTGAGCTATGATCTCACCTGTGAAGAGCCTCTGCACTCCAACCTGGGCAACAGAGAGAGACCCTGTCTCTACCAGGGGGAAGAAGAAAAAAAGAAGCAAAAACAAACAAACAAAAAACATTTCTTAATGGAGAATGTTTTATTTCTTTAGCATGGCATGGAGTTGCCCAGATCTGACTTCCTGCTACCTCTTTGGCGTCTATATTACAACTGTATTCTTATTTCTAAGTCTTTCACCATGGCAGGTCCTGGGGAAGAAACTATTCAAGAAAGATGTGAATAGCATGGGAGGACTCTGTGGGGAAACAAGAGAAGAGTTAAAAAGAAAGGTGAGGGCAAGCTTGGTATTTAGGCCAAAGGAGACTATTGCAAATACTCTCCATGAGGATTATTACAAATAGGAGCAGACAGCTGTTCTTTATCTCCCTGGAGGGCAGAACATGAGGAAATGAGTTTAAATGGCAGGACTAGGGATTTAGATCAGATAGAAAAGAACTTGCTGATTATGAGGATTGGTTAGTTATAGAGGGAATTTATGGAATCTCCTTCTCAGGAGATATTTAAGCACAGGATTGAAAACCATATACCTGGGGACACTTTAGATTTAATATTCCTTGATGCTAGAAAGAAAATAAAGATATTTTCTTCTAGATCTACGTGTTGGATGCGATTTTCTATCAATTAATGTCTCAGTTTCTTGATCTCCTAACTGTAATTAATTCACAAGCTCACTCTTTAAGCAGAGTGAACGATACTACCTTTAATTTAGAGAAGTCTTCAATCACTTTTTATCATTTTCAAATTTCATTCCTCCCCAGCCTCCACACAAAAGACTCTTCTTTTGCAGCAAAATTCTCCAGGAGGGGTGAGTTAGATGTTGTTAGAAGTCACGGGGAAAAGACTATATCAAGAATTAAAGTTTTTCACAATGTCCTGCCTACTACTTTCTTTCTATATTCCTGCAGTGTGGCCAACCTGTTTGTATATGGACTTTGGTTTTCTGTGGTATCTTCCCTGCCTTTGTGGCCCCTGAATAGGATGCAAAATCTGATAATAACTAAGAAGAAGAAGAAAAGCAAGAGGGAAAGAGAAATCAGGTGGAGGAGGAAGGCTGTCCTCCACAGCTATCGCTACAACCCTGAGTCAGAAACTGGACTTGAAGCTCTGGTTTGTTCAATGGCTAGACTTGCTACCTTAGTAGGTATATTAGTTGTGTTTCCCTTTAGTCAACACAGAGATAATCACTACTTCACAGGGTTATTAGGGTGAGCGTACTTAAAACAAGAAATGCGTAATAAAAGCTTTTTCAACTTTAAGGCTGCTCTGATGTGTAAGCAGAAAAAAAATCTAAGCGTGTAAGGAACACTGTTTCACAGAGCATAATAAAATGCTGAAGTTTTGAATTAGGTGTGCCCGTCCCAACTCATCAGGCAGTTTTCAACAACCCTCCATGGAACACACCATGTGTTCTTAAAGCAAAAGTCAAGCGCATACCCAAAAGTCCACCCAAGTCAGGTAAGAGGTTTTCATTAGAAGTAGCTCGGGAGGTGCCAATGTGTTCAGAGGCCTGAGGTTTCTCCAGGTTCCCAAGTGTAGCCCGATGAAAAGAGAAACAGCAAGCAGACAGACTAAGGTGTGATAAGGTAGGAGGCAAGAGACCAAGTCCCAGGGATCAGACAGATGCAGCTGGAACAGACGGAAACCCCAATGTGACTGTAAAGAAGGCAGGCTCCACTCTCTTTTCACTCAAATGCCCATATCATTATTTTATAAAACCATTAAACACAGAGGTTAAGATGAATGCCTTCGGCTTTCCTGGTGTCTATTGGTGTGTCTTTTTCTCTCAAAAAACAAAGCACCTCCCGGAGCATCTGGCCATTCATACCCTTCCCCCTTCTTCTCACCCTCCCCTCAGTTTCCATAAAAGGTTAATAGAAAACTTAATTCTTCAGATTAGAAACACTTCTTCTTTCTCCAGTGAGACTTCCCTTGTCAGTTCTCCATTTTTCTGACACAGTTCATCAGGTCATTGCTTTCCTAAAGGTTGGCATGTGTGCCTGTAGCTGGGTTTCTGCCTGAGCCAATCTGCTTATAATCAGTCTGTTTGGTTATTCTCTTCCTCTGAATATATGGGAACTCCACGACAGCAAGGACTTTCTGTTGCTCATGGCTATTTTACCAGTGCCTAGAATAGCGTTGGCATTTAACAATAGCTTAAAAAATCCATTGAATAAGTTGAGTGAAAGAACGAATACATGAGTGAACAAACCAAAAAAATTTAGCTGACACTAAACAGAGGCAAAAAGAAAAACCGAAACACATGTTAATTAATGTTTATTATCTGATAAGCAGAAGGAGGATAAAAAGATTATGGCTACGTGACCTTTGAATTTGTAATAACAGAACAGGAAGAAAAGAGTGAACTCTGAATCAAGAAAGCAAGCCTTCAGTCCTGGCCGCTGTGCCTGGGTAACTTTGAGCTTGTCACATCAGTTCTCTGGGCTCAGTTTTCTCGCTACGTAAAAAGGAAATGCTGATGCAGACTAGTAATTTTCCAAGGACTCCCTTTAAGAAACTGATTAAAAAAAAAAAAAAAAAAAAAAAAGCAAGGGTACGACTTTGCATAGAGATAGTGCATTTAAAGGCATTGACTTGCATTCCTTTCCCAAATCTTACCAGAATGACAGTAAATGGACTTTTAAAGGCATAAACACATGAAAACAAAGATAACAAAAGTAAAGATAACAGCAATAAAATATATTGGAAGCTGGTGAGGAAATGGGTGAGTAGCAACTGACTTGGCAGACTCAAGAGAGCCGAAACCTAAGCCAACAGTGGGAAAAACTGAGAAACAAGCAATTTATGTCGCCGAACCCTTAAAAAACTCAGGGAATGGTGGCATCAGGCACCTCTGGAAACCTCCCTTGAACATATGGCTATAAGCAAGAGGGGTTGGCTGAACTATATGAGAAGCAGAATAGTTCTCTACATTTCCTCCCTCGCTCCACTGGGCTGAGATCTGCCCTTCCTAATCCAGGAAGAAGACGGGAATTTTACTCTCTTAAGAGGAGGAAACTGAAGGTTCCAGAAATGATCAACACCAGGCACATTTGAGGGCAAGAGTACCACATTCAAAAGGGGGGGATTCGGCAAACATATATTAATACGTATTTTGGCTCACCTGGGCTTCTTTTGCTCAGCCTAAAAGGAGATAAAGCCAGATGGCCTTGCCTCATCTAGCAACAGTGAAACTCTGAATCAAGAAAGTAGGGTTCCAGTCCTACTTTGTAACAAATTTGTCTCCTGCAGAATTTGCCATGCGCTTCACTATTTGCATTCGGGAAAAGCGCCAGGATTATACCCTGGCCGGGAAGTCTGGATATTTGCTTTCCGGTGTCTATTTGCCAAATATAATTTGTTGCCATGTCAGTTTATTTTTATCAGTGCCCATTATAATGGTCTTTCAACAGCCAGTCCTATACCTTTCAAGCAGGAGGCAAAAAAACATATTTTATGGAAGCCTGAAGAGCTAAAGAGGAAAGATCCAATGATGAGGTATCAGGGATTCATCAATAAAATGGCCCAGTCAGATCATCTTAAAGAAGTTCACAATCAATACATCCCACCCACAGCTTAGAATTTCCTCATTCTTTTTTTTTCCTCATTCTTAAATAATCCTATATTAATATTCTCAGATGATACTGCACCCATGAAACAAGAATAGAACTTTTTTTAAAAGAAAAGAAATTCACAGGAAAAAAGTTATTAGAATTAAAAAAGTTATTGGAATTAAAAAATTTGAAGCCAGTATTAAAAACTCAGTAAAAAACTGAAAGATAAAGATGAGACAATCTCCCAGAAAATAAAGAAAGCAGACACATGGAAAACAGGAAAGAAAGGAAAATTAAAGGACAAGAGGTTCAACTTTCAAATAAAATGATTTCTAAAATGAGAGAAAACAGAAAAAAGGGGGTGAGAAAAAAATAAATCATTCTTAAAAATCTCAGTACTGAAAGATATGAGTTTCTAAACTGAAAGGGCCCAATTAGTGACCAGCATAATGTATAAACATACACCTAACTCAAGAGATATCATTGTAAAATTTCTTCCAGAAAGAAAAAACAGGTTATATACAAAAGGGATCAGGAATCTGCACAGCTCTGAACTTCTCAACAGCAATCCTCAGAGCTAGAAGACAATGAGGAGGGCTTTCAAAAGTCCGAAGGAAAAAGTGTCTATAATCTAACATTCTGTACCTTGCCAAACTGTCTACCAGGTGTTTCTGTTAAATGAGGATATTTTCAGACATGCAAGGTGTGAAAAACATTTGCGTCCTCTGTACGCTTTAAACCAGGAAGAAGAAAGGCAGGAGATACATGACACAGGACATCCACAACTCAAAAGAGAAGTGAAGGGAATGCACAGAATGGTAGCGAAGAAGATCATAGGAAGACAGCAGTGTCCAGAAATGGAGGGAACCGGTTCAGACAGGAGCAGGTCAGAGGCTCCAGGAAAGAGCTGAAGAAAAGGAATCAGTAGAACATTCCATATGTCTCAATGTATTAAAAGGAGATTGAGACAGCTGGCAGGGTCAGCAGAAGAATTAATGATAAATACATAGAAAATTAAGCTGATGACTGAGGAAGGAGAATGGCAGGAACCTGAGAGGCGGAGCTTGCAGTGAGCCAAGATTGCGCCATTGCACTCCAGCCCGGGTGACAGAGCGAGACTCCGTCTCAAAACAAAAAAAAGAAAAAAAAGAAAAGAAAATTAAGCTAATGGGGTAGGGTGGGGAAAGATAATAATTAATTCTAGGGAAAATTAAAAGTCATGCAGGATATTATACTACATGAGTTAACTGTGATTAGCATTTAGGTAGTCATAATAATGTAAACAGTAAATGCTGCTCTAACCAAAATGTCAGTATATTTCTATTAAGAGGATGGTGGGGGAAGGGGACATTTTCCATAACAGGAGGTCTAGAGCAAAGGTGTAAACCTGCAAAGTCAAAAAGCAGCAATATACTCAGGTTATTTAGAAGTATGGATTAACATCCAAAAGGATGAGCTAAGCGCCAAAAATAATGCTCTGGGGAGTGAGAAAAGAAGGTAAGGACAGTAGGGGTGTGATTTTTTTTTCATAATGAGTCTTGTAGGATTATTTCAACCTTTAAACTATTTGCATGTACTACTTTGATGAAGCTAAAAAGTTTTACTAGAAAATAAAAATAAAAGCATTTGTTCCTCCCTTCAAGAAAAAAACAGATAAGATTTTGCATGTGACTTTAGGGACCTTCATGGACTAGAAGTTAGGGACCCCTGAACTAGGTAGGGTTCCTAGGAGCATGAACATTCTATGGTTCCAGCACCATTTCAGCCCCCAAGCACCCCTCCTCTCTACAGCATCTTAGGAGAGAATGTAAGTTTTAGGAATGGAGTTTTCCAAACAGAATTAATCCAGCCTTAAGGGAATATCTCTTATTGTGCCCAGAGTTGTCATATGATAAAGTGGGAACCCAGTCTTTGTAGAGTAACACACATTCCAGGTATGTAAGTAGATATCCACAATCCAAATTTGTGACTTGGTTTTGTGCTCCGTGCTGCACATGGAATGGAAAGCGTAAACAAAGGAAAAGTTATTCAAATTAAGGATTGTTTTTCACACAGAGGCAGATGCTATCTGAACCCCCAAATACAGCATATACGATCTGTGAGTTCCACAGCTTCAATCACTGTTGAAATTGAACGGACTGAGTCAGTATTTGTATCCTGGCTCTCCCCATTGCCCACTGCATTATAATCTTCCTTATTAATCTAAATTGCTGCTAGCTGACCCAGGTAACAAACTGAAGGGGTTCTGGAAAAGAACTATCATGTGGTCCTGAAGTGAGTCTTCTTCATGCTTGTATGATGCTGGTATTCCTCAAGAGCAATCTATAAAATGAACCAGAGGCTACAGTTTTTAATAAAAAGTAATTTTGAAGCTGTCTCATAAGTCATGCCAATGGATTTTAAGCCCAAATGACAGTGTCTATAAACCTTTTACCTTCTGAATCAGTGTAATTCATTTTGCTGGAAAGCATCACAGGAGGGAGGTCTTTGGTTTCATTTTTCTTAAATTTACTTACAAACCTATTTCTACATTAACAGTACTTGAAAGGCCCTCCTGAAGTCTCTGGCTTGGGGGAAAAAGGATCAGTAACAACAGACTTCCAAATTCAATGAGGATGAATACATGCCATACCACCAAGTTTTGCTTTTTATCAGGTTTGTGTGCTTGGCTGTGGGTAACAGTCTGGATTATTGGGGGGATTTCAGTGGGGCATGTTCCAGTAGTGAGTATTATCTGGTTGCCCTATATTCTGCCTGGACCTGGCTTCCTGGCCCAAGATTAGCTATGAGAGTGCAGCTGTGTGACCAAGGCCAGTCAGTGGCTGAGCAGGCACATGGTAAACATCTGTGGGTGACCCAGTCTTCTTGGAGGACTTTCAAACTCACTCCCAACAGCCAACACAGGCTGCCAACAGCCCTAGAACCTCTCAGCCAGGCAGGAGGTTGGAAAAGTTGCAAAGAACTGTTAGCTTGAGATCTGAACATGTCGGTATTCCTGCGACAAAATTACTTACTTTAAAATGCTGCTCTGCTAAATTCTGTCTTTCTGGTCCTTTTATAAACTGTTCATGAGGGAGAATCCTCCTAAACTGATTCACAGATGGTTATATAATACTCCAGAATCATGACACTGGAGTCTTATTTATTTTGAGACAACTTCTCTCTCTGTCGCCCAGGCTGGAGTGCAGTGGCACCATCACAGCTCACTTCAGCCTCAACCTCCCAGGTTCAAGCGATCCCCACCTCAGCCAGCTGGGACAAGAGATGCACACCACCACGCCATGCTAGTTTTTGTGTTTTTTTGTAGAGACATGGTTTCACTATGTTGCCCAGGCTGGTCTTGAACTCCTGGGCTCAAGTGATCCTCCCGCCCCTGCCTCCCAAAATGCTAGGATTATGAGAAGTCATTTTTTAATCTTTCACGTAAACATACTTTACTCAAAGTATCCTGACTAGGAACAAGCATTTGAGGACTCAAAGTCTCTCTATTCAAGTCTTCTACATTTTTGCCAAGAGGTTGCCTTTTGGGTGAATGTCCCATGCTAGGCATGAAAGAGTCCATTCCTCTCCTTCTGGCGTAATCTAAAATACCTCAGGCAGGAGATGTAGTATTTAAAGTGAAAATTCTGATTTGAATCTGACACTTTTAACTATCAGAGGATCACTGTGTCATGCTTTTATTCTCAACAGCTTGACGTTTTGTCTAGCAATCAAGAGGGTAAAGATATGACTCTCCAAAATATCCTTCAGTACTTCCTTCCTCTTTAAATCAGCCATCCTTTCAGCTTGGCCCAAGGGGAAGCCAAAGATCATGGCATTCATTGGTTTAATGGACAATTAATGAAATTATAAACAGAGAAGCTGGGCCTGCCACTTGCCTCTGACGGATCAATCTAGCACAGTTTATCTAGGTTCACAGTATAAAACTACAAGGATCCAAGAACAAACAAGAACAAGACCGATTTTATACATTCTAGTTCTCCAGAATGCCGCAAAATGCATGTCACTCCTGCCCATAGTTGAAAGGAAACTAAGAAAGAATCAATAGCAGGACAATCCATTTGTTCTTTCTCCATTGCACTAAAGACTCCCTTTGCTGGCCTGCATTCTGTATTGGGGTCAGAACAGGTTCTCTCATCAGGCTAGTATGTTTCAACCTTGGGATTGGTAGGGAGGAGCACATCTGAATTTTGAAGATTGAGGGATAATAGCTTGAAAATGAAGTGCTCTGTTTCATCACTTTTTTTTTTTTTTTCAGTTCATGGAAATCTATTTAGAAAATTTAACTTTATAGAAAAACATGAAAATTTTATGTTTTATCAAAGAAGACATAGCATGGGTTAAAAAAAGGTTGAGAAAATCTGGTTTAAGTCATTGATTAAGGACTCTGATGGACAGTGCTCAATACCTTGGCAGGTGTGGTAATAAAATCTTGGCTTTCTTTTTCACTTCCTCTCATGTATATGCCTATCCTTAAGTCTTTGGTTTTGACGGAATGGTTTGTATTTCTGTACGTTGTCTGCATTAACCTTAAACTCTAACAACAAAGTAGCTTTATTAGCGGCTAAATTTCACCAACATCACAATCGCAATTAGCACAGTTTAAACCTTCCTTTTCTTTCCACTGTTTATGGCAAATTATACTTTTGTGAAACCCAATTTATACCAAATATGTAAATGTAAAAATAGTAGGAATGAACTTTCTCTTTCATTCGTTATTTCATCCAACAAAACACTGAGTGTCTATTGTGTGGCAGGAACACAAGCTGTTCACCAACTCTTACTCAACAGTCACACTAACCTGTGTGAGAATAGATGTACCACAAGGCCCCCGTCAGGAGTGCTCCGATCACAAAGGCTGCAAACGCAATGCCCATCACGGTTAGGGTGTCCAGACCATGGAAAATTGCTATAAAGGAGAGAAACCGATACACACAACTTTTTGGTTAGTCTGCATCATGCATTGCAATTTTATATTTGTTTCACAAGCACTGTCATAAAGGTTGAGCACTAATAAAATCGGAGAATGCAATGAAGATTCCAATAAAATACACTGTATTTTGTAACTTGCAAATTTTTTTCAAAGGTTAAATGAAATTATCAGGTTTCCAAAGTATTCTCAGTTTGCAATTTATTTTGATCAACAAACTAACTAAAAAATCAGATTTGCAAACTCAGTAAAATCTTGTCTGTCATCTCATTGTCTCACTCTAAGGACCTACTATTTGAATGGAGGGTAGCTTGAAAATTCACAGGTTAAGATGCTTTGGAAAATAAAGTGAACTTCCATGATCAAAATCTGGCTTACTGCTGCTTATTCACTGAACATCTCCAAAAATGACACACTGCACAGAAAACACACACCTTAGAATACTTTATACACATATTTTTGTGAACATTTACAAGTATGAAAGATAACAGAAAGAAAGGAGAATATAGAATAAAAATAAACTATTCCTGTGGATTATAACATTTCACCGATCTCCTCATATTAAACTCTTAATCTTAACAGCTTCATATTGTATCATTTAAAACAACCTACTTTTTAACACTTTTCCAACCATGATCTTTCTATAAGGGGAACGGAAATACTTCCCAGTGGGGAGTGATGTCAGTTTTATGGTCAGCAAAACATATAAATAGAACCAATTGTTTCTCCATTTGGCAAAGGTTTTTATATTTGAAATTAATTCCAGGCCCCAGAAATAGAACATTTCCTTTCATTTAAGAGAACTACCTTCTTTGAGTCACTTATAAAAAGTTAAAATTGGTTTCCAAGGGGGAGGAGTTTTAGGTAGAATACAATTTCTAAGGTCTCTGGGTTTTGAATATAAGTGGGAAATACAGGATCTCCCCACTATTATCATATTATTTCTACTTTCTGCTCCAGTCAGAAGCAACTCCAGTGATCTCTGTATAAATTAAATCCCTGCCTTTCAACTCACTTCAGTGTAAAGAAAGCTATTTTTTTTTTACATTGAAGACTGCCATACACTCCTGTGACCTTTGGGCAGCCCAGCACTCCAAAGGCTCGGGGAAAGTATGCTGTGGTGGAACAAGTCTGGAAGGATCCGAACTCCCAAGTTCTGGTCCCCACTCTTCTAGACCTGTGCTCTTTGGTGTGTTCATTTACCTTCTGAAAAATGCGGATAGCTTTAGTCACCTGCTGAAGTCAGGTGGAGGAAGAGGTGGGAAGAGCTCCCTGGAGGTGAAGTTGAACCGAGCCATCAACCTATTTAATCTAGTCCTTAAAACTGATATTAGAAGATGATTTGCCTTTTTATACCCACAGATGCAAAAATTGAACATGATTACAAGTTTTTAATGAAACTATTCTAAATCTCCAAAGATAGATATGTGTCCATATGTGCCTCTGTTTGAGTTCATATTGTTCCATAATTTAAAAAAAATAATCCACTTAAGACAATGGTTTATGAAGTGCTTTGTGAAAGGAACTTTCCAGACTGATTGTTAAATGTAGTGAATCAGCCACGGAGACTAATCCTGGGAATCTTAGGAAAGGAAAAAAAGCACAGATTCACAAATTCTCCTCACAAGACAACATTATCTAGAAGAGCTCTGGGTGGACAGCTGGGAAGTCCAGGTTGAAGTCCTGCCTCAATGCCAATGAGGCAGGAATATTTCTGGGTCAGCATTTTCTTCTGCATAAAATAATGAAATTGGCCTAGACAATTTCCAAGTCCTTATTCTGCAGCAATTGGTGTTGCTTTCTCTTTCATTCTTACATGCTCTTCCTGGGGCCCCCAGCCCTTGCACTACGGATTGTCTTGAAAGTATAGCAATGAGTTCCCTTAGCATTACGCCTCTGAGCAGATAAATATTGTTGATAAGACTTAAAGCAAACCACTTCCATGGCTGTATGTGAATTCTTGCAGGTTAGAGCAGACATAAGCATGCAAGTCATTAACTTGTCTCTCTAAATAAGTTACTACCTTCCCATTCAAGCCATACATGCCAATGGATCAACAAATTAATATTTTAAAGTGGTAAAGGTGAAAGGGAAAAAGAAAGCAGGGATAAACAAAGGACAGAGGAAAGGAAAAAATATGAGCAAAAAGGGGAAAGGGGAAGGGGGAAGGGGGAATGAGAGCAGAAGTCTCCTTATCAAAACTCAAAGTTTGGCAAATGTTCACTAACCAACTCATTCTTAGGAAAGCCCAGGAGGTTTTATTTCGAAATAGTTGCATAAAGACTTACGTGGAGAAATTGGATTTGGTTCCTTCATGCTTGGACCTTTTTCTGAAACAAAAACATAAATCACAATGTATTCTATGGAGAACCAAGATTTAAGCAAAGGGTCATCAAAGTCTCAGCAGAAACTGACACTTTTCCATTTGGTAATAAATACTGTGAGAAAGCTCTGTCAATGATCCTCTTTAGATATCAAAACTATAATGAGTTACCCAGAAATTTTAAGCATTGCATTTTGTTGACAATCAGTTGCATAGGCTCTCCAATTTGAAGAAAATTTGAAGGCAAACACCTAAACTTAGGGAATTTGGGTCCGACAATTTGTGTGTGTGTTTGTGTATATCTTTTTATTTACTTACAAAAAAATTCAATACCTTTAAGTACCATGCTTTTCCAGTGTAGTCTAATATTATTCTGCTTTCAAAATATTCTTTTTTTTTTTTTTTTTTTGAGGGTCTCACTTTGTTGCTCAGGCTGGAGGGCAGTGGCGCCCTCAGCTCACTGCAGCCTCCGCCTCCCAGGCAATCCTTCCATTTTAGCCTCCCGAGTAGCTGGAACTACAAGCATGTGCCACCACACCAGCTAATTTTTATATTTCTTGTAAAGACAGGATTTCACCACATTGCCCTGGCTGGTCTCTAACTCATGGGCTCAAGCAATCCATCCATCTGCCTCGACCTCCCAAAGGCCGAGGGACTATAGGCGCGAGCCACTGCGCCCAGCCTTCAAAATATTCTTTTAATTTAATATACACATTTTCTAAAAGTATCTTTGTTCTCCTAGCCTTAGTGCTATTATCCTATAGTTTAACTCCCCTTCATTGCTCATCAGGATTATCACAGAGGCCCCCTTATCTCCACCACTACCCTCCCCCCAATTATTTCCTCCTCCACATTTGCCCCCAGAGTGAATATTCTAGAGCCCAGAGCTGATCATGTTATAACCCTGACTAAACCCCTTGATGACTCTCCTTCCTTTATAGGGAAAAAAATCCACACTCTTTAACATGGCACACAAAGTTCTCCCTCCCTTCTCTATCCTCTCTCTCCAGCCTCCTTTCCTGATGGAGTCCTTCACCCATGGTGGGCTCCCCATACTTAGTAATTTAAGCTTCCCAAATTCTCTATGCTGCTCTTTGTCATCATGCTTTGCAAGCCATCCCAAGACACCCTCCTCCCCAGACCTGCTTTGTTGGCATTTTCTCTGGGGGACCTTTGCTGAGTCTCCCACTGTTCCATCTCCATCCCAGCAGAGCTAGTCTCTCCCACCCTTGCTCATTCCATCCCTCCTCTGTTACACTTGGGCCACAATACCTCCTAGTTCTCTCTCTCTTTTTCTCTTTCTTTTGCTTTTTTTTTTTTTTTTTTTTTTTGCTGTGAGGGCAAGGTCTAGTTCTCAGTCATCTGTATATCCCCAAGGGCTCAGACTGGCATAGAATAGGTCTTCCAGAAATGTTTGGTGAAGGATGATTAAAATGTTAATGTACTTTTTGCAAATGGAGGCCACAGAGGAAACCAGCAATCAGACTATGAAGACGTTCATATGCAGTTTGCACCAGTGCCATGAAGAAGGCAGAAAAAAATTTTGTATCACTGTTTTGGAAATGAGCAGCCTGAGACTCTGATATCGTGTGACTAGAGCCCAAGGTCACAGCTGGAAAGCATCAGGGCAGAAGTTGAATCAGAATTCCAGAGTTCTGCCTAGCAGGCTAAATGACTGGTGAGCGTAGCTCTGTCCCTAGCTGGGGAAGCACTGATGAAGTAACTATTTGTGCACAGCTACTCATTATCCTCAGCAGTGAGGCTGAGACCAGCGGTTGAGATATTATGGTCCACCACCTATTTTTGTATGGCCCATGAGCTAAGAATGAATTTTATATTTTGAAATGATTTTTTAAAAATCAAAAAAGGATATTTCATGACGTGAAAATTATATGAAATTCAAATTGACTCCATAAATGAAGTTTTATATGGATGCAGCTATGCTTATTTACATACTGTCTATGGCTGCTTTCATGCTGTAACAGCAGCGTTGAGTTGTTGAGACAGGGATTGTATGAGCCACAAATAAAAAATAATCACTATCTGGTCCCTTACAGAAAAAGTGTGCTGAGTCCTGCTACAGACCTTGACCCTACTCTTTGGAGTTTAAAAGTGATACATGTTTAGCACCTCTCTTTTCATCTCCATTTTCATTCACCACAGAAGGAACACACACCTTATGTCTGAATTCACAGGGAAGCAAAAAGAACTTGGGAAAATGTGACCCAAACAAGCAGCATCTGAATTGATGTCTATAAAAATAAAGAAGCTAGACAGGATAAAAGAAAACAGAATTGTAAATTCTCAGGATTAACCATCTCCGATGGGTGGGTCAACATTCTGGCCACATGAGTTATCAATGTCTGGCTCTAGGGGAAGGAATGCTACTGGATGAATCAGAGCCACCACAATTGAATGGTGCCCCCTGGAGTTGTGCAACATAGTGGCCCTGGAATGAGGATATATGCAAAAGTATACTTAAATACAATTACTAAGAAAATAAAAATGATTGTATGTTTTTAAGAAAATCTAATTCAGTATGCAGAACACACACTAATTACGCTAACTACAGAATGCACTACCCTGGGAGCTGGGTCCCATCAGCCTCATTGGCACCAATAACAACAATGATGCCTTACATTTGTACATTTGTATGGTGTTTTGCAATAGACAAAAAGCCTTCGGCCTTCACTTATATTGTCTCATTTTAAACTCCCAAGAACTCTATGAAGGAAGAGTATCTACCCACAAACTTCTCCTTTCAAGACGTAGTATTTGATTCCCTGAACTAAGTTCAAAGGCATTTAAAGGTTGCTACAAGATGCATCATGTAAGAAATATACACACTTCTGGGAATAATTCCATCCAATCAACCACCCATGGTTAAACTTTCTCACTCAGAATCCCCAAGCGGTTGAAAAATTATGACTCTCTCCTAAGGAGACCTCCCATGTAAGAGTTTAAGTTTTATAGTAAGGCCTGTGTGATGGATGGCATTGTTTTAAAATTCTTAATGGATTTCTGTTATGATCTAATCCTTTACCCCCACCCCAAATAGGAGCCTTCTCACAGAGCTAAACAGAAACAGTTGTTGTTCATTTCCCCTGGGTGAAGTCTCTTCGTGATTTCTGAGCACAAACAATAACAAGCAGAAGCTGCAGAACTGAGGTTAAAGAATTCTATCCTCGAACTTTTCTCTTCCCGAATCCCTAAGAACCCCTGAGTATAACTAAAATGGCTTGATCTCCACCGGAACCCTACCATCGAGTTGGCATGCTGAGAGGAAAAGAGTGGACTCAACAATATTTACTTTTGGTTTAAGGATAAGATTAAGATTATAAGAAAGGAATCTTAGCTATTGCTGTAAAGAGAACTGTAACAATAAAGATTTCTTTACAGAAAGGACAAACTATAATCAATGTTCTGAATTAAATCTTTTCATATACGCTGAGCAAATTTTGGTCTACCTCTAGAACCAAAATTCCCCTCTTCAGATTGTTCAGCATGGTTTTCATAAACGGGATATTTCTGGGGTTATGCATGAGTAACTGACCACAGCTTTTGGCCTTTAGTGCTCAATTTGGTACTAGGCACCATAGGACGGAGTGGGCCCACAGTGAAACAAGACGTCCAACTGGTACCCACATCTATTGGCATTTGGCAAAGAGAAGAATGGGGAGAGGAAGATTCCTCCTGGAGACTCAGGAGGTCTTTGTGCAGGCCCCATTTAAGACAGAGTTTTTACTAACTTAACGTCACTGTAACTGAACCCTTTTTCTGGATTCTTTCAATATTTATGATATTCATTGCAATTACTTGTTCACTTATCTGTATCCTGCCACTAGACCAGTGTGTCTCACGTGGTGGGTGATTTTTATTCCAGGGGACATTTGGAAACGTCTAGAGACATTTTGAATGGTTACAACTGGGCTGGTGGTGGGAGGGTGTTGCTACTAGCATGTAGTGGGTAGAGACCAGGGACACTGCTTAACATCCTGTAACACACAGGCAGCCCCCCAACTACAAAGGGTATTCCAGCCCAAACACTGATTGTACTGAGATTGAGAAACTTTGCACTAGGCTGTAAAGGCCTTAAAGACAAGATAATTTGTCCACTATACACCTACCATATTTTTTTGAATAAATAACCACAAATATCACGTATATTTTATTCTTGAGTACTTTCCCCAGCAATGCAACCTTCACACCATTTTCAGAGTAGCCTTCCTAAATGACCTAATCGCCGGGCGCGGTGGCTCACACCTGTAATCCCAGCACTTTGGGAGGCCGAGACGGGCGGATCACAAGGTCAGGAGATCAAGACCATCCTGGCTAACACTGTGAAACCCCGTCTCTACTAAAAATACAAAAAATAAAATAAAATAAAATAAAAATAAATGACCTAATCATCAGTTTCCTGCTTGAGATCTTCTGATGGTTCTTAACTTTTAGAGGTACATACTGGAATATGTATGGATGAAATTAAATTAAATGTCTGGGTTTCCTTCAAAACAATCCAGTGGATGACAGAAAGTGATAAAACAAGATTCACCATAAATTGGCAATTGTTGAGACTTATTCTATTTTTGTATATATTTGAAATTTTTCAAAATAAAAAGGTTTTAAAATGTAAAATACTGGCCGGGAGCGGTGGCTCAGGCCTGTAATCCCAGCACTTTGGGAAGCCGATGCAGGCAGATCACCTGAGGTCAGGAGTTTGAGACAAGCCTGGCCAACATGGTGAAACCCTGTATCTATTAAAAATACAAAAATTAGCTGGGCGTGGTGGCAGGCACCTATAATCCCAGCTACTTAGGAGGCTGAGGCAGGAGAATCACTTGAACCCAGGAGGCGGAGGTTGCAGTGAGCCGAGATTGCGCCACTGCACTCCAGCCTGGGTGACAGAATGAAACTCCTTCTCAAAATTAAATAAATAAATAATGTAAAATACACGATGTTAAAAAAAAAAATATGATATCCCTCCTTCCCTTCTTGGATAGAGAATGAATGCCCTGGTCTGTCAATTAAGCATTTCTACCATCTTTCCACTCAGTTTCCCCTCACCTCGACCTCAGCTCGAGGACAAAACCTGGCTGGTCCTTTAGAGTATTTTTATTCTGGAAAGATCAAATGTGTTCCAAAAAGTAATGCCTCTCTTGGATCAACTTCCAACTGACGTTCACAACTTTCCCTTCCTCAACCCTCCCTTCCCAAAAAACCTCTAGTTTGCTGAGAGGTTGAGAGGAAGGGGAGGAAATTAACATTTACTGAGTATCCAAGATATGCAGGCATTTTTATTTTTTAAAGTTAGGTGGTGAAAATACGGAGAAAATTCAGTATCTCAAACATTTAACTTGCTAAGAATTAAACACATCTATAGGTATGTAAATCACGGCAAATTTTGGAATGATATTTATTGCTCCTGATGACATCCACATCCATGCTCTTCTGTGTATGTGCACTGTTTCAGAGAAATGGTTACTCCTCTCTTTCACAATTTAAAAAAAATCATCACCGACGTGGTGTAATCATTTTTACTGTATAAGCCCAAGTGTTCTCAAATGCTGTAAAAAGCGGTCACAGAATCCAAGGCAAACAGCACTAATATGCCTATACTTCAAAATTTCAGAAAATAGGGTAGGATGGCACCACCTCAACTATTTTAAATGTTTTGTCATAAACCATAATATGCATAAACTATTTATGTTCTCTGGGCTTTCTGAGTTACTACTGAAAATCACAGAACTTCTCCTGAACTTTAATACTCTGCTAAACAGGTTACACATTTCCCAACATCTTAATCCTTTGGGTGAACAGACATTTTTCCTAAAATCCTTCATCTTCCTTTTAGTTCATAATCATTAGGGTATTTGGGGTGTTACCTTGAATACTAATGTGATATGGTATGAAAAGGGAGAAGAGGGCCAGGTGCAGTGGCTCATGCCTATAATCCCAGCACTTTGGGAGGCCGAGGTGGATGGATCATCTCAGGTCAGGAGTTCAAGACCAGCCTGTGCAACATGGTGAAACCCCATCTCTACTAAAAATACAAGAATTAGCTGGGTGTGGTGGCAGGTGCCTGTAATCCTAGCTACTCGGGAGGCTGAGGCAGGAGAAGCGCTTGAACCCAGGAGGTGGAGGTTGCAGTGAGCCGAGATTGCGCCACTGCACTCCAGTCTGGGTGACAGAGTGAGACTTTGTCTCAAAAAAAAAAAAAAAAGAAAGAAAGAAAGAAAGAAAAGGGAGAAGTGGGGCAGGAAGAGGGGTGTGAAGACATAGATGCACATGATTCTAGTTTTCAGTAAAAACTAGAATCAACCTCCATCTGGAATAAGGCATAGGGTTTAAGAGCACAGGCTCTGGAATCACAGTGCCTGAATTTGAATCCCAGATCCACCATTTATATGTTGTGTGCCCTTGGCCAAGTTATCACTATACAGAGGTGCTATGAGGATAAAATATAATAATCCACATAAAGCATTTAGCACAGAGCCTTGCACAAAGTAAATGCTCAACAAATGTTAGATCATCATCCTCATCTCCATCACTATCATCACCATCAGCTTTAAACTTTCATCTATTGTTAAAAATTTAAATGGTAAAAGAACGCTAACCCAACACTGATTCCCAAGGGACTTAGAGATCAAAAGTGGCAAAGATGTGCTCAGGAAGGTTCCATTAAAAACAGTGGCCCAGAGGAGGAATCCAGAAACATTTTTATAGTCTTGATTGCCTACTTTCCTGTCCACAGAAGAAACACTAAAGTATGTCAATGCTATTGGCAGTGGTGGCCACAGAGCAGCTCTCTGCCCAGCTGTGAAGTTGCCAACCAGAGCCTTTATCTGCTGTCCCAGAAAATCCAAGTGTTGAAAAATAAGATGAACCAAATGACCAGAGAGAGCTGGAGTTTTGGCATGGCCTTCAAAGAGCACCTGTGTAGTAAAAGCACAGTGAAGCGTCCCATTGGTTAGGAAATTTTTACCCAAAAAGTCACAGATTCTACAATAAAGAGACATAAAGCTGTCTGACAGGAAGGACATTCGTGACCTGTTATTATTCAAATAAACCAATGCAATTAGGCAAATGGTCACAGTCTCTTTTCTTTTTTTTTTTTTTTTTGAGACAGAGTTTTGCTCTGTCCCCCAGGCTGGAGTACAGTGGCGCGATCTTGGCTCACTGCAACCTCTGCTTCCCAGGTTTAGGCAATTCTCTGCCTCAGCCTAAAGAGTAGCTGGGATTACAGGCGTGTGCCATGACGCCTGGCTAATTTTTTTGGTTTTTTTTTTAGGTAGAGACAGGGTTTCACCATGTTGGCCAGGCTGGTCTTGAACTCCTGACCTTGTGATCCACTCGCCTCGGCCTCCCAAAGTGCTGGGATTACAGGCGTGAGCCACTGCGCCCAGCCCACAGTCTCTTTTCAAATGACTATTCCAATTCACCTTGAGGCAGAAAGCACAGACTCCAGTGGTCTGCATTGAGGATAAATGATTTAGAGTCAAAAGAAAATAAACTTAAAAGGTGAGAGGAGTCACACACAGCTGAAACCTGCCAGAAAACTTACCCCAGTAAGCGCAAAGTTAGAAAGCAAATTTGCATACAGCCCCTGGGAAGCTGGCCTACAGTTTAACCGCCTCAATTTATTTAACAAACCTAAGTAATAAACTTTCTTCACCCACATGCTTCTCAACTAAAATCTAGTCTCAATTAGCAAATCTCATAAAATTGCTTTGATATTTGGTAAAACTTTCCTCTTGAACTTTTATACAAGAAAACATTGAACTTTCAGTACAATTATACTAAGTTTAAATAAAAGTAATTACCTAATTTGCAAGAGAAATTACTTAGAAAAATGTCACCAGGCTCAAAAGAAGAATGGATGAATTGCTGGAAGTTATACTGCGGCAATATTAATGCCTAATTATTGTCTGGCATGGGAAAAAGCAAGCCGCTGCCTTCAATTACTAGCAGAATTACCTCTCTCAAAATAGTTACGAGTAACAGATGGAATCCGAGGTAGCTGCTCTTATTGTTAAATTATCAGAGACATTTGAACCAGAGCAACTCTACCTTGAATAGGGCTGGGTAAAATGAGGCCGAGGCCTATTGTGCTGCATTCCCAGGAGTTTAGGCATTCTCAGTCACAGGATGGGAGAGAAGGTCACAAGATACAGGTCATAAAGACCCCGCTGATAAAGCAGGATGCAGTAAAGAAGCCAGCCGAAACTGGCCAAAAACCACCAAAACCAAGATGGCAATGACAGTGACCTCTGGTTGTCCTCACTGCTCATTATACACTAAGTATAATACATTAGCATGCTAAAAGACACTCTCACCAGCACCATGACAGTTGACAAATGTCATAGCAAAGCCTAGAGGTTACCCTATATGGTCTAAAAAGGGGAGGAACCCTAGTTCCGGGAATTGCCTGCCCCTTTCTAGGACAGCTCATGAATTACCCACCCCTTGTTTAGCATATGATCAACAAATAACCATAAAAATAGCAACCAGCAGCCTCTGGGGCTGCTCTGTCTATGGAGTAGCCATTCTTTTGTTTCTTTACGTCTCTAATAAACTTGCTTTCACTTTACTCTGTGGACTCATCCCCAAATTCTTTCTTGGGTGAAATCTAAGAACCCTCTATTGGGGTCTGAATTGGGACTCCTTTCTGGTAACAAAATCACTTTCATAGTACAAAATGGAGCCAGCTGCTGCCCAATTGTGATTACTCTGCAACACAATTTATATTCTTATTTCTTTCTCCTGAACCCAATAAAAAGGAACTATTTGGACCATCCATTTATATAAAGACTGGGTCTATTATAACTTTCAAATGGTTGAAAACCAATCAATAAAAGTAAAACAAACAACAACAAAAATGTTGCCGAGAACATCTCATGTACACTTCACAACAACTTTAGGACGGCCAGAAAAATGAATTAAAGATTATTTTGCTTCTTCAAACAGCATAGTTGAGTATTACAACTGAAAGGACCTTTTGGAAGTCACCCAGTCCAAACCTCTCCTTTCCAGATAGAGAAAATGAAACCCAAAGAGCTGGTGGTAGGGGGGTTCTCCAATGTCCCACAGCCAGTTAGCAGAGAAAGCTAAAAGCAGTGCCTTAGGCTCCCAGCTCCAATCCAGTGTGCCTGCCACCTATACTCTTCTGCCATTTTGAGGGAGCACATTCATTCATAGGAAGGGGGCAGATGCCACCACCAGATACACAATTGGAATGGCACAGCTGTTTTCACAGAGGTTAGTCAACCAATAAGACACTAGACAGTACCTGCATGCCTCTGTTCTGGTAGGTTCTGCCCACTGTCCAGGGGTCACCCCTGCTGCCTAGTCTTGCCAAATCCCAATCCAACATGCTCAGATCAGGAATGCCATCCCAGGGCCACACCAAACCCTAGATCTGGTGTCAGCACCACCCAGCAGGCCTTCCAGCTAATACCCTGAAACTGGAGCCAGACAGTGTGCTGGCTTTTGTCAAGGCCCTTGGTGCCCAGGCTCCTCTGTGCCCCTCAGAGTGGCGAGAGGCAGCCTGTAGCTCTAATCCTGAAATATCTAACCCCGCTTGGAATCCACTTTCACTCTCCCAGCCTTCTCTCAGTTTGACACCCTTAGATATCAATGTTACTAGATGGTGACAACTGTAATTGCCTAGATATCCCATGTGACATTTGGTTCCACCCCTCAGATGCTGACAGCTGCCTGGTGTGTCCTTGCTTGTTTATAACCCTTGGAGCTGTGATGCGGGTCCTTGTCAGATGCTCTTCTCACCGCCCACAGGGCCTCATATCCACTCCTAACATTTGTTAGGGCCCAGTTCTGCCTCTCTACTGCTCTGGCTGGCCAGACCCATGCCAGGTCTGGCTCTGCCCTGCCTGTCCTCTCAGGTACTGATGCCACACCCCTTAGGGCACAGCCTTCCTTTTCTCACAGAAGATACAGCTTGCTGAATGTTCCTGCTTGTGGAGAAAGAGGCATGCTTGGCTCCAAGCAACAAATGTGATTGTGCAAAATTCTGAAAACTGAATTTTAAGATGCATTTGGGCAGTGGTTCTCATCTGTTACACCTAAGATGAATAATGTTCACATATTCTCAAAGGCATTTGCAATTTTGATAAAGCAATACAATAGGTTATAGCCAGCATAAACTTTAGCAGTAGATCACAGAAAGATGAACTGTGGATTGTGTGCAATTCCCGGGACATGGGACTAACTAGAACCCTTTTTTGCATACTCAAGGAAGCATATTTGAATGCAAGGGAGAGTGACCTTATGACAGGAACAACCTAGACCTGATTCTTTTTACAGAGGAAATCATTTTCAAATAGATTACTTACAACTAAGCCATAATGGCTGTAAGAGAACCAGCTAAAGAAAAGACTCTTCGGGCAAAAAATGGTCTTCTAAAGTAACTAACTGGCCCTTTAGTTATCTTGTGAATAAAGCTGGACTTTGATTTACACTATTGGGTCTTCTTAACAAGCAGAGCTCAGGCCCCATGCTCTGATCGTGCCTCCCAAAGCACACCTTTAGATTCTGCTTCATGGTGGATCACAGCAAGGGGCTTAGTGAACGTCTTCTTATTCTGCATCATGGCCCAGATTATCGAGGCGTCCAGCGAGGTGCAGGCTTCGTCAGGAGGCACACACTGCAGACAGGCAGAACAAAGCACAGAATCAGGGGCCACTCAAAAGTGCCTTCACCAGCTCTACCTGCACAGCTGTCCTGTGGCCTTTTATCAGACAGCACACAGCTGTTCACTACAGAAAAGCAAGAAGGTGGGTGTTTTTCAGAGAACACCAAATAACCTGGGAGATATGACAGCAGGCCCAGTGGATTTTTGGTTGTACCTGAAGATGCAAATATCACTGGATAGCTTCTCAATATTGTCCTCCCCCTCCCCTTCTTCTCACAAAACTAAACATTTTAGTGTTAGTTTGAAAAACAGAAAAACTATATGCCTAGTGTTGGTCCTCACCAAGCTGGGCTTCATATACACGGTTCATGTTTGTGATTGGTGATTGTGGGAAATTTCCCATAAAGACGCTCCTCAACTTATGATGAGGTTACATCTTGACAAACCCACTGTAAACTGAAAATATCACTAAGTTGAAAATGTGTTTAATACACCTAAAGTACCGAACAACACAGCTTAGTCCAGCCTACTTTAAACATGCTCAGAACACTTACGTTAACCTACAGCTGGAAAAATCATGTAACACAAAGCTTATTTCATAACAAAGTGTTGAATAGCTCACATAATTTATTGAATACTTAGATTGAAAAACAGAATGGTTGTATGGGGACTGTCTATACTGCATTATGAAGGTGACAGATTTTACATTTTTCTCCAATAAGATAATCATGTTGCTGAGTTTGTTTCATTTTTAATCCTGGTATAGGCTCATGTAAAACTAAACTTTCCAGGGTCATCTGCTTTTAATGTTTCAAAATGCAGATCCTGGGGGCTGTGCCCAGGTTGTGGAGGCCATGAGATTAGCCGCTTCAAACCTATTAATGAGCATGCTCAGGCCCACTACATCTGTTTTGAAAAAATATGATCACACTCCGCACTTTTTCTTTAAAATAACTTTGTTTTCTTGTCTATATTTATCAATAGGTATAGTTCTTTTTTATTTTTCTTGAGACAGGGTCTTGCTGTGTTACCCAGGCTGGAGTACAGTGGTACAATCATGGCTCACTGCAGCCTTGGCCTCATGGGCTCAAGTCATACTCCTGCCTCAGCCTCCCCAGTAGCTGGGACTACAGGTGTGCACCACTACACCCAGCTAATATATATATAGTAGTGACAGGGGTCTCACTATGCTGACCAGGCTGGTCTCGAACTCCCAGCAAGCTGCCAAGCTCAGCCTCCCAAAGTGCTAGGATGACAGGCATGAGCCCACGCCCAGCCTAATAGGTATAACTCTAAAGTAAATGACAGCTTCTATGGTAAGAAGACATATTAATACAGCCATCATTTTAAGTCTATAGCAGGCATCCCAAAAAGCTAATCAAGTTCCATCTTTTCCAAACACAAAAGAGCAAAGACTTTAGGCCTTGCTGTCATTGCTGCTCTGAGCAACATGCCAGTCAGACACTTCTTATAAGACAACCCTCACTGCCCTACTCTTACCCCCTCAAAAAGAGAAAAGCCTTTAACAAGAGCCCTCTTGTAAAGAAAAACAACAAATTTTCTGTGGAGAGGCATGATGACTGAAAAGAGTTGCATTTTGCTTTCCTGTTTTAGTTTACTGTTACTTTCCTATTGAGCTCTTCAGTTAAGCAAGAGTCTATGATTCCGCATTTAACTCAGTGGAGTGTGACCCTGGGCAAGACACTCTGCTCTCCGGGTCTCGGTTTCATCAGCAAAGGGCAGGGTTGGTCTCAACAATCTCTGAGATCTCTTCCTAGAAGATTCTTTGGCGCTCTCTATTGTCACAGAAAGCACTCAGAAAATAATAGAAATGTGAAAATATTACCTATAAGCAGCAAACAGAAAGACAGTGGTAACAGCTCATCCAAGCCTCTGCCAGATAAAGGGCTGTCATTGTACATACTGTCCTATTTGCTCCTCTACCCAGGAGGGAAGCCAGGTATGATTATAACAGTATATGAGGAAATACAGGCTCTAAGGGGTCCAGAGACTGGCTTAAAGTCCCATTGGTGGCAGCAGAGCTTCCTTCTCAGTCCCAGGCTCTTTCCATGTTATCTTACCTTGGGGGTAAAGGGCGACTTGAGGTTTAGGGTTATATCCCATCATGTCATCCCCTGAGGCTTAGAACTCTCTTTACGATTAATTTTCCCAGATTAACACACATGAAGCTGGGCTGTTCCAGGCCAGGTCAGAGAGAAGTAACAGCCAAAGCCACAGCAAAGATCCCTGGTAACTGCTAGGTCTCCCCTCCAAGACCTCTAACCCTTAAACGTTACCCTTCTGCCCACAGGAAGCAGCTGGTCCCACAGCCACACATGAAGCTCCTCATGGCTCTCTACCACTGTCCACTAAGCCCCAACCCTGATGGTGAATGCCTACAAGGCTAAGGCATCACCGCCGCAAAAGCAAACCTAGGAATATAGTCTAAATCACTGTATATGTGCTCCCCAATGATTATGATCATATCTGCTCTATTTTCGTATGCAAACAAAATTCTCTTGGGTGTTATCAGAGAAAAGGATGCCCAGGGGACTATAATGATGCAAGGAATTCAGATCAATTGTAATCTATTTGGAAATGGTGGTTTTTCCTCCTACCTCCATACCTAAGACTTAAAATCTGTGAGTTAAATGAGAAAATTCCATACATACATTATTAATAACACTGCTTGATTCTTAGCCTTTTAGACATTGATATATGACTGCGAAAGGACTGGAAATCAGTTTACTCTGTGTGAGATAGCCACAGAATAAATGCACATATGAAATTATACATAATTATGGCAGATCACAGAAACAAAACTATGGCAGAAGATACCTTTCATATACAAGACCAACCTAGTGGGTATCATAGTTAACCTTGCAGATCTCCCCTATCAAATGCATTCCACCAAGGTCAAATGGTTCTGCTTTTTGTTATGGCAATAGAACATTCAATCTGGAGAGTGACAGGAGGCAAATATGATGAACTGATATGAAACTGAGAAAAGCTAAAATATTTGTTAGTTTCCCCTAGAAGTCTCCCTGAGACAAGTCAACCTTATATTTCACACAGAAAAGGTTAAAAAACAATGACAATGCCAGTCCCAGCAGGACCTGGAAAAATTAATTCTCACAATGAACTTGTCCTTTCGGCTTGCTGTGTTTTTGGCCTGCAAACTATCTGAAAAGCAAAGATAAAGCCAGAAATCTCCCTCCATGGAAAAGCGTCTTGATTTATCACTCGTAAGGTACTACTAAGTAGCACGCATGGAAAAAAGAAACTCATGCTGTCAGGATTTATTATCTAAGACTCCATAAAACTCACAGTTCCCTGCTAATAGTGACTTTAATATTTCAGTTGGGCAGTTCCAAAACAAAAAACCTCAACCTGCAAGACCTTGGGATTAAACTTTTCTGCCTCACCTAAAAATGCCAAAATAACCATCCGAATGGATGAAGGCCCACAAACCTTAGGCAACTTCTGGGGGTGCTTCTCCATCTTCGTACACAGCGTCAGCTCACACTGTAGAAAGAGCAGTGAGGTGTTGAAGACAGGCTTGAAGACAAAGCTGAATCGCTTCTTATCCATGTCAGCTTGCGGGATAGGAAAGTGCACTCTCTTGGGACTGTAGAATTTCACAGATTCATCTTTAGGACAAATATTCTCAATAATGGTGTAATGAGACATCCTATCAGGGTTCGAATATGGAGAGATAAAGCACGTTTGGATGGCAAATCCCAGTTCTTGTTCAGCCTTAGTAACAGATACCTATGAAAGAACAGAAAGATGAATTAGGAAATGAGTTAGCATCTCACTTTCACTTTAGGCACAAGGACCATATGCCAAGACAGCCCTTCAGATGACACGCTGCTTTATCTTCATAACATAGTTATAGCCTTCTTTCTAATTACAAAAGTAACACACACACATTGAAAGAAAAAGATATTTTCCACTTCAATTTGATATAGATGATGACAGTGAATTATTTCTTTCAAATATTAGTCCATTAGATTCAAATACAAGATGAGTAAGTCTCTTCCACCTCCCAATGAGTCCTCTGAGAGCTAAAAATAAAAACATATTTTGCATTTAAAGTGGATTTTCCGAAGTAAATAAAACACCAGTAGGCAAAGTCCCTAATGTTTTAATAGTACAACACTTATAAGCTAAGCTCTTTTTAAAGACTGACCAAAAAATAGAGTTCAGCGGCAAAATCTATTTAACCTAGGCAGGAAGACTGAGCTTCTAAATTGCAAAAAGTCAGAGTAAGCCTGATGAGAGTCCTGCTTCATCGGCGAGAAGGCAGAGCTGGCTCCGGCGCTGGGTGTCAGTGACGGTGCAACCTGGAGGCCATCATGGGCCTGGTAAAGTGTCCCAGCTGCTCACAGATCCAAATCAGCCTTGCCAAGTACTCCCCCTTCGCTCCATAAGCCCAGGGGTAGTTTAGGGGAAATCTAATCTGGAAACGTTTCCGACTCATTTATACTTCCCCCTTTGAAAACACTTGTATGGGCTACGTCCAAATTTTGTTAAGGTTCTTTTCCTTAGAAACAGGAAGTAATGTTTAGCCAAGTGTAAACAGAATTCAAACCTCAACTATCCTGAACTTAGCTAAAATCCCCAGACCAGAGGAGATTCTCCATTTGGTGACACGTGGATCACTGCATGAACTGCCCCTCCCTGCTATGCCTCATTCTTTGACTAAATTTAGGATCAAAATAAACTTAAACACTTGTAGAAACAGCTAGTCCTTACCCATAGACCAACAGCCGCAGAATCATTTCAAAAGACATGGAGATAGAAACAGACTTTCCACGCTGAGATACCCAGGGGAAACCCCTGACATCACATGGGGCTTTGAATCCGCAGCACTGTTGTGAAAGATTCCTACGTGGTGGTTAACTGCAGGACACTCAACAGTGAAAATGCTAATGAAGAGGATTCTGATAATGTCACTGTGGTGACATTCTGTAAATACTAACACTTCAGTATTTTTGCAATACTTCTGAAAAACAAGATATTCTATCTTGGAAAGGTGGCAAATTACATATGTGCTATTACTAAAAACTGCCGTTTAACATGAACTCAGAAACCACATGCCAAAATGTGTAACAGAGGGACTGCAAATCTCTTCTCTAATCTCAAAAGAAAGTATGTAGCGGCAGAATGTCTAAGGTATCCCAAAAAGGGATACCTTTGTAGCAGAGGGAAAAAATATATATTATTTTTTAATATATTTTATGTATATATAGTTTATATATATAAATTATCAGCAAATCTTTTACTAAAAAGGATTTTACTTTTAGACCAGAAGTGAGTAGGAGAAGGACTACGGGCTTTGTAGTGAGACGAGCTCATAAAAATTACATGCTCTCCTGCTCACGTGCTGGGCACCGAGACTCAGTTTACTCACCTACAGAATGAGAACACGAATACCCACAAGATATCATAATTGTGAAAACTAGCAAAGTAAAAGTTACATGCAAACAACACAGTTCCCAGAGTGTCAATAAATGCTACCTATTAGTAATAGTAGTATTCTAGATTTAAAATTTTGGGTTATTAACAACTGGGTTTGTAAATTCCCCAAGACAAATGAACCAAAAGAAAACTGCCATTATGTGACCAACAGTCACCTGGAGATGACCAATGAACAGGTGGCAACACTGTTAACTTGGATTATGAAAGGGACTGTATGGTGTAGAGGGAATAGAGGATAAACTATGAGAAATATAGGTGATATATGAAAAGGTATAAATGGGAAAACAAGAATGGAAAAAAAAAACTACCAATAACACACTTCAAGTAAGCCAGCATTTGAAGGATGGGGGAAAAAACCCAAAATATCCAGGGTAAGGTACAGGAGGAAGATTGACCACTGATTAGCATAAATCAGCAAAGCCAGGCATAGATTTGGAAAAGAACAATCTGCAATTATGCAGCACCCCTGAAATCCACAGCGCAATAGGGTGCTGTTGACCAACTGCCCATGTGAACTGTACAGCCAGAAAAGCAAGAGAAAAACAGCCATCTTGGCTTAGGAAAAGCATGTAGAAGGCAGTATATTTTCCCCAATGGAGAAAGAAGGTGTGCTCAAAGAAAGAGAACTCTCAGAATGGGGGAGGGGCAGAATCCATATGATCAAGGAAAACAACATCTAGCGCCAGCGGGCTCTGTCCCAGAGTCAGTGCGAATGTGAGAGTTATGTGTCTTTCCAAAACAGAAACACGTGCACCAAAGTCACTTTTAACATATGGAAGTACCCCACTTTGACCCTTTAAGCTTCTCACCCCTCCCACTATGAAGCTGAGCTTGCAGCTGAGCACCAAAACCAGCTCATTAGATGAGGACCTTCCCATAAGACCAACAGATGATATGCCCACTTGAAACACTAAGGTTGAAACATGAAAGGTTGTACCCAGGGCACAAGAAACAGCAGACATCCTGGTGCCATAAGGACATTTATCTTTTCTAGAATCCACTCTCTGAACCTGGATGTTTGCATTGATAAGACGTTATGTTTTCTCCCCTTTCAAATGGCACTTTGGAGATAAGTGATAGTCGTATCCAGCGAAGATCAGTCAGAGCTCTGGAGTCACACGGCCTATGAGCACTGAATCTGAACTCCACTAGTACCAGCTGTGTGGCCTCAGACAAATTTGTGCCTCAATTTTCTCATCCATAAAATGAAGATATTATTAGCCTCCCTTATAGGATGGCTCTAAAGAGTTAACTAACTGCTGCAATACTTACAACTCTGTTTGGCACATAATAAATCTGCAGCAAATGTTAGATGTTGTTATTTCATTATTACCGCCACTGCCTAATATTGTGTAGTCACTCCAGATTCCAGATTTAGGTTGCACATGATTATTAACATTATATATAGGAAATAGTTTAAATAAGTTTATACAGATACTCAGATCATGATCTAGAAAAAAAAATGTCATGAGTTATAATAGCACATAGCATTTCACTTAAAAGTGAGTGCAATTTAAAAGATAACAAGTCAGTTTCAGTGGCGGCATGGACCCACAGGGATTTGGCTGCCCTGCTGGGGGCTAAGGGGACTGTGCAGGGAAAAAAAAAGAAATAAAAGATAACATATGAGGTGGTTTTGAAATATTCCATGGTTAACTCTAACACTGCAACTACTGAACTACTGTTCCAAAAGCAAAGGACAGGGCTTTACCAGTAGAATTCACACTTGCCAATTTTTTTTTTTGTTAACATTCATCTACAAAATACTGTCTTCACTTAGCATAATGTATTAAATCTTGAAATTTCCTGCTTTGGTCAGAAGTCAGTCTGGAAGCGTTCTCTGAGCCAATCCCTCATCAGACCTGTTGAAGGTCTGTGAGGTAGGACAGGAAGAGGTCTGTACAGGGTATTTTAGCTGATGTCTAAGGAACTATAGCCCAGCACTAACCTAAAAGGTCAAGGCTAACTTTCAGGTCTCACCTCAACATAAACGTGTCCATTCTCTGGCACAGAGAAGACGCCCTGGGAGGGCACCAAAAAGAGGTCAGTGTTGTATAGCTCCATGTTGAAGGTGATGTTTCCGTGGGGCTGTTCCTGGAAGCTGCTGGGGTTCCTCACCTGCTGAAGGCTGCAATTAAACTGGAAATAACAACCCACAGGAAGATTAATGACAGTCATATGAAGGATGAAGGCCCTGTAGCTTCATGAGCTTTGGCTTTTAACATCTGATTTTATTTTCAGATAGTCCCTAACTAAAGCCAACAAAATAGACAGCATTTTCCACAAACCCCCTACTGATAACAAACACATACCACCACGATTTCAGGTCGGGTGAACAGGGAAGCATCTCCTTCATCCATATCTCCCGGAAATCCATTATCACCTGACTCCAGATCTTCATAACCATCTGGCCAACCACTACTGTCCCCAAGGGCTGGAACCTGTATCACAATCTAAAAGGCAAAGAAAGCACAGCCAATGTTATAAAAACACCAAACCATGTGTGTTTGGTTCTGCCTCACACAAACACTCATGTAATCATTCTGATGCAAATTGAAAATCTGACTTTAAGACAAAATAATAAAATAACATCCAGGCTTTTTCGAATTATATCTTCAAAGTGATGAAGAATAAGGAGAAACCCAATGCAGGTTCAAGTTAAAAGCTAAACTAATATTTGTATCTTCTCTTGTGAAAAATAAATATTTATGTTGTAACCATATTGAATAATTACAAATGATTTCAAATGGTGGGAAAACACTAGATACTAGAATGGAGTTGAATGGAGTTGTCAAGAGACTTGCCTATACCGTGAGAAGGGGCTTCCCCTTAAGAGTCTTTATATTATAAACTCTAAGAACTACTAGCAGTTGGCGAATACAAGAAGCTTTGGTTATATATATCCTTTAAGAGTTGTAGAAAGTTTGGTTGGAGTCAGCAGCGAAGGACCTAATGTTTGGTTATATATATCCTTTAAGAGTTGTAGAAAGTTTGGTTGGAGTCAGCAGCGAAGGACCTAATGTTTACTATGGAGCACATCTCTTCATTGCCGCTCTTGTACCCCTCTAACTTTTGCTCATTTCTTCCCTAAGAAATCTTTCTCTATGGTGTATGGATGTGGAAAAGAATACGTTTTATTCCAGGAATCTTTTTTTTCCACCTTTTTCGCTATCCACCTGCAGATATATTCCCGGAATCTATCTTGACATAGGTTGAAATTATGATTCCTGGATTATTTCTAAATAGGATGAGAAAATTCACCCAAGGGTCATGACGCCATAAATGAAATCCTAATTTCTTTTGCTTCACATGCTTGGATTCTGAACATGATGCAAAATAGAAATATATAGTAAGTCTGAAAATTACTACAAACAATTATAATTGGTGAGAACAGCTAAAACAGTCTCCAAAGGGAGTAGGATGGGAAGAAAATTAAAAAAAAAAAACAAACTGCCTTTCTCTCTGTACCAGGTCCTCCAAAGAAAGTACTGACGCCAATTAAAGGAAGCATCTAGGATATTGCTAAACTCAAAGATCATAATAAAGAAAAGAAAAATATGTGAGAAAAAAAGGAACTTTAAGGGATCATTACATGCCTTTCTCTCCTGAAGCAACTGACTTTTTTTTTTTTTTATTTTTTCTTAACAGACATATTACTGTAGCCACTTTTGGTGTTAACTTGGACCCCAGTTTTAAAATGCCATAATCAAGTATTTCAGTAATATATGACATTCATTATATCTGTAGACACTGGATAACTGAACGAAAATTCATGCTGCAATTATCAGGAGGTCAAAGGTTAATAAATTAATTATTTGAGTAACAAAAGGAGATTAGCAGGGCCTAGCCTGGTGTCTAGGAAAGATTAGTGGACAAGAGGTCAGGAAGTTGGATTCAGTCGTCCTGGCTCTGCCATTAGCCCATCCCTGGAGTTTAAAAAAGCAAGTCTTTTTAACTTCTTGGAGTTCAGTTTCCTCACCTGTGAAATGAAGAAGCTGAATAAGCTCATCTTAGGGTTATTTGCTGCTCCAACAGTCTAATATTCTCTGAGGAACAATATGCTTGGGTTCATGGGAGAGTCACTTCCCACAGGAACCACGCTGACCAGAGCACCTGATTGCTAGCCTCTCTTCTCTGGATGGGGTCGAACTAGCAGCCACAGCTCAGCCACCCCATGTCAAAGCTGGATATGGCACTAAGAAGACACCCCCCCTCCCACCCCAACCCACCCTGTGTCAAAGGTGGACACAGGGATCTCTGAGCCTTATTTTTACCATTAAAAGTAAAACCCAAAATGCAAAATCAGCACTTTAAAGTTCTTTTGGAACTTCACATTTTAAATTCTTTTAATATTCACTGCCTAGTCTCTGCACCCAAGAGAATGGGTTTAATCTGAAAAGATTTTGACCAACTGAGAAGAAAGATTTCTGGAAAATGCAGCTTAGCTATTGCAACGGTTTATCATTGGGGGAAATCTGTGGAATCTTTCTCCAAGTAACTTCAAAAGTAGGAGAGTTTCTTCAATGTATGGTCTTTCTTAGAGGTGGAGAGAGACTTAATAATTCCTTAAAGGTCCTTTTTGAGTTTTAAATTCTCTTTTTGGATTTTTATTCATGAAGGAGGGAGAAGTTCTCCTACTTCTGGACGAGACTCAAATGAGGCCAGAGAGACCACACATCTGGTTAACCCGGCTGTGCAGAGGTGCTGCTCGTTCATATAGCCCAGGGCCTTAAAATTTTATCCTTATAAGGGCCAGTTGAGCTTGGGCACTGAGAGAAGTCATAATCACCTTGACAGTGCAGCCTTTGTCATCAGGAGACGGAAACGGGGGGTGAGAAAACAGGCCTTCCAATTCCCAAAGACTCACCAATAAAACAAATAAAACCAAAGAGCTCAGGGTCAAAGTACATCCATTTTGTTGAGAACTGACACTTGGCTTTCTTCAGGCCTGGGGTGAAAACCCTCTTCATCTTCAAAGAAATGTTAAGACTAACTTTAAGGGAGCACACAGCCAGGCTCTGGCAAAGGGCAAAGCTTTGTTCTGGAAAACACTCACGGAGTTATAGTAGACCACACCATCAAGGGCTGACCACCGGGGCCGAGTACCGCAGCCATTCAGAGGAGACTCCAAAACAAAGTGTGTGCCATTCATCTTGGCCTTGCAGGTAGGATCCAACAGGGTGACGTCCATCCCCGAGTAGCCACTGGCCTAAAACAACAACCACCAAAGACATGGTTGGAGGCCCACAGGCAGTTCTGTTGTATAATTGACACAATTGACAATTGCCTGGTCTTCCAAGGACAGGCGATGAGAGGCCTGCATCGTGCCCCTTCCCCAAGTATCTCTTCCCAGCTGCCCACCTCTCAACAGCTCAAGGGTAGTATCTGTTGGCCTTGGAAATTCAATAGCAAAATATTGACACACAAGGATCTGGAACCCCCACCCCCTGTCACTGAGAACAACAGGAACCAGGTGAGAATCACAGCCAAGGGGAAGTAGGCCCATCCAACTGAGAAAACAGTATCAAGCCTCCGGAGTTCAAAAATGAAAGAGATAGGGAGAAATTACAGATGCAGACTAGGGCCAGATGGGAAAGGAGGTAGCCTCTCTTCCCTCCTGTAATCAGCTGCACCGACCTGAAAAGAATCTTTTTCTACAGCCACGATCATCTTCTCATTGTCACATTTGACAGACAGGGCAATATCCACGCTCCCTTGCACCTCTTCTGGCTCTCTGAGACCAGGAAACAGTTGTATGCTGGGAATGACAGGGTCCTTTGGCCGAGGGAGCCCATCTTCTCCCTCTTCATTCCAGACTCTCCTGGAAATATCTGGGAAAGGAAACGGAAGGCCTCCATTTTGGCCTTCCCCTCCCCGGATGGGCGGGTTCTGCAGGGCAGGCAGGGCACCAGGGTCCAGCAGGATCCGTAGCTCAGGAGGAATAGTGTGGACTTCCTCATCTCCCATCTCCTCTGCTGGTGAAAGAAGAAGGCAAAACATCAGCAGTGTTTGATGCCAGGCCACAACCAACATCATTACAGGCAGAACAGGAGGAATTAGCATAGAATGGGCAGGTGTAAAATGACTTTTAATAAGCAGTGCATAAAGGTCATTAGAAGTCTAGAAGCCTGAATTCTAGTCCTGGTGTTCTCTCTAACTAGCTCAGTGGCTTTAGGCAAGCGGCTTGCTTCTCTGTGCCTCAAATTTGCTTTTCCAATTTTTTAAATTAAGTGGTTGGAAATGATCAGTGGTTCTTAACTTTGGCTACACATGAAAATCACTTGGGAGCTTTAAAAAATATTCCTACGCCCAGGTTGTACCCCAAACAATTTAAACTCAGACTCTCTGGGGTGGTACCCAATCATTAATATGTTTTAGTCTCTCCATGTGTAACTGCAATGTGCACCTAAGACTGAGAACCAATGGAACAGACAGTTTCTAAGGCTGTCCAAGCTAGAAAAATCTGTGATTTAAGTTACATGATGCAATATTATTCCATTGAAATGCCACTAAAATACTTTCCTTGAATCAAGAGAGTCTTTTGAATAATTTCTCTAATGATGTCTTGAAACAATATTGGTATGTTAAAATTACTTCACCACCTTCTTTTTGACAGCTAAATTTTAACAGGTATCTGGGCACCTTGGCCTTTTGGAACATATTCCCTTGAAAGATAAGAAATAGCTGCATAGATACATTTATTCCTTCAAAGGGAGAGACGTATTTCCATACAATCAATACTCAATATTTTGTCGTATTTCTAACAACTAAAAAAATAATAATTTCCCCAGTATTCTTTATATCTACTATCTAAGGCCAACTGATGTACACTTGAGGTCAAATCCATCTCAGTGGAAGCTGGAAGTGAAGATGATAGTTGGACATTATCTCTCCTTTAATAATATTCTTTGGAAAGGACGCTAGAGCTGTAAGGGTCCAAAATAAGTCATAGCTTTGTAGGGTTTTTAATTTGTACTTTCACGAAAACCTTCACAACAACCCTGTAAGGTCTGTCCTATTATTTTCCCCTTATTACTGAAGAAAAATCTGTGGCTCAGAGGTGAAGCAACTTCTCCCCAAACAGTGACTAAATGGTAGAGCTGGGGCTTGAACCTGTACTCCTAATCCTTATTCTATTGGCATTTCACTCAGTGGTGGTACCATGAGCTGAGGAACAGGTCTAGGGATCACAAAACTAGGGTTTCAAGTCATGCTAGCTAGAAGACTCCAGAAAACCTCAAGAATTTGTTGACCCTCTGCTTTCCACCCCATTCAGCTGGGGTAGTAACTCCTGCCATCCTCTGGGTATGAACACTCAAGTATGAGTCCTCGTGACTATTTTCCTAAAAGATACAGCCTTTTACCATGAACTTCTTTCCTGCAGTCTTAACTCTTCTGTATTCTCAGCCATAAGTGGTCATTAGGTGTCTCGGAGAGAAGAACCTAATGTAATCACACTAAAGATAACCTATAACAAAGTTCTCTGAATATGCATTCAACTCTATGTCACTGAAAATCTGTATTACAGTTTCCTCAAAATCTCTGTCTAGGTAATTTTAAGCCTTCTGATAAAAAGTAGTCAAATTATTAAAATGTACAAGAGAAAAACAGCAACATATAAGCTGAAATGACAGTTCCTCACTGGAAAAGCTTCATTTGGGGGGTATTTTTTACATAACTTAAAAAACTTCTAACTTACCATTATTTTCAAGCCGAAGATGAAATCTATTAGCCACAGGAGCCATTGTGTATGAAGTTATTGGACTATAGCCATTGTCCAAAGCCCACTTCACCAGATTCCCTTGGGTTGAAGGAATGTCATCTCTTATTGATTTGGTCATTGTCATAGATCTTTCACTCTCTTTTCCAAAGCCAATACTGTTAGGAGCCTGAAGATATAGCAAAAAAATCACTCATGAGTCTAAAATTAAACAGTACTTTAGATAATAAAAATTAAATATCTTAAATAAGTAGATTCTATATTGTATATGAGGGAATTATTTATTCTTTTGACCCCTGTTTTCCTTGGGCTAAGAACGATGATGTGAAAAACCTTTAATAGCCGACTAAAAGACATCTACGTATGCTGCTTGATCATACTATTTGTATTGCCTATGCTGATAAAAAAAATCATCCAATGACATGTAAGTAGTTACATACTAAGTATGCCTAGTCTATAACTGTACAGTTAGTCTAATGTTTAAATTATTAACACACACAGTACATATGTATAATAAACTTTCCCTTTTTTTTACTTAAAATGACATATAAAGTATACAAACAGACATGTTATATTGCCCTCAAATTCCCATGCTTCCACTTCCTATTCCCCTAGATTTCAATGAAAGATAGCACAATCACTTACAGCCACTTAACAATGGAGATATGTCCTGAGAAATGCATCATTAGGTGATTTAGTCATTGTGTGAGCATCATAGAGTGCACTTACACAAACCTACATGGTAGAGCCTACTACACACCTAGGCTATATGGTACAGCCTACTGCTCCTAGGCTACAAACCTGCACAGCATGTTACTGCACTGAATACTGTAGGCAGTAGTAACATGATGGTCAGTATTTGTGCATCTAAACATAGAAAAGGTACAGTAAAAATATGGTATTACAATCTGATAAGACCACTGTCGTATATGTGGTCCCTCACTGACTGAACCATATTATATGCTCAAGACTGTACTTCAGTGTGGAGACTATCCCATCTATATAAACTATTAAATTCCACATGGTAAAACAACCAATGTTTATATTTCATCTAAAATGTATGATCAATTAGTAATTCTATAACTGTATTCATTTGCCAATTCTACTAACTGAATATACTTGTATCTTCTATTCTAAATATTAATTAATTAATTTAGGTTACTCTCCCCTTAAGTATCACTGTTTTATCCAGTAATACAAGTAGGTCTTAAGATTAGCTTTCAGGGATGGGTGCAATACTTCACACCTATAATACTAGCATTTGGGGAGGCTGAGGCGGAAGGACTGCTTGAGCCCAAGAGTTTGAGACGAGCTTGGGTAACACAGGAAGATCCCATCTCTACAAAAATTTTAAAATTAGCCAGGCATGGTGGCATTTGCCTGCAGTCCCAGCTACTCAGGAGGCTGAGGTGGGAGGATCACCTGAGCCCGTGAGTTAGAGGTTGCAGTAAGCTATAGTCATGCCACTGCACTCTAGCCTGGGTGACAGAGGGAGACCCTGCCTTAAAAAAAAAAAAAAAAAAAAAAAAAAAAGACTAGCTTTCACTGGATAATCAATTACAAAATTAAAATGACAGAAATATTTTTGGGAAAGGATATAAATGGACTCTACTCAACCAGGTTATTCAACAAGGACATGGAAGGTAAATTTATACATCAGTTGCTGACTCCTGTGGCAGTGCTCTTCTCAGAGGGTGAGAGAGCTAAATGCTGCAGAGGGGACCCCAAAGGGAAGGTACCATATTTTCAACAACTGCACCAACAGGGCTGGAAAGCCCTTCCAGCATGCAGATTACACCATTTTCGTGCTGTATAAAAATCACTTTAATTTCCATGCCCAGTGATTTTCTCCTGCATGCATGCAGCATTTTTCCTAAATTCCTCATTTGTTTCCCATTCTGTTTGCCCCTAACATGACTAAATATTAATCCTTTCCCACTGTAAAACCCTAAAAGATTCACAGGCTCTAAGTTCTCTTGGCCTATGTGGTTGTGGGATATTGGCTGAAGCCACATATATTTCAACTCAAATCTTAAAGGATCTCATTCAGTATATTTTTCTATTACCTAAAGTGCTTATGTGTGGGAATACTGCCAGACTCACCAGTCACAAATTCTATATGCAAAGGAACCAGACAGAACTTTAACCAACTTCTGCGGCCATTTGTAAACTCAGTTTAATAGATTCAGAATATTTTAGCTCTTACTCCAATTCAGAAAAAAACTCCTTAGGGTAAAGAAGGGCTAGGGAGGAAAGAAACAAAGAGGAAGGAAGGAAGGAAAGAGCTAAAATGAGATCATGAAAGATCCAATTTATTCTTAGAACTTTTTATGCATTCAGTCAACAGTAGTTTCTTAGGTACAGCTTCTTCCAGCCTTTTAGAGCTACATGTCATTTTGATTGGCTGGAATCACAACAATTGGCCTAAACAACACTGCTTGCCCTCATCTGCCCTAGTCTCTTTCATGTTGTTGGACAGCTGAGAAAATATCGTATTTCCAGAACACTATCATCATAACTGCCACCTGTCCTTTTGCACCAATGTGGAATGAGCTGTTTGCACCTTTCCAGATTAAATCTAGGAGCTGTCAATACATCTCATTTTGATTATGTCTGGGAACTTAAAAGACTCAACATCTATCTACACATTTGTAAAGCAGCAAGGCTTGGGACAATGGCAGACAAGTTGGTTCCCAGCTTTGAGCAAATTCTCACACTGTACTTCTGGAAGTCCCTAGGCTTTTTCCAGCTTTAGTGGAGCTACGCCAAATGCAGGTGTACAAGGAGGTCTCCAAAAACCACCACCATCTTTCCCAGCCATATCTTCATGAAAGATAAGGAGTTAAGTCTAAGTGCCTCCACACTCCCCCATATTTACATCTGGACTGATGGTATAGGGGAGGGAGGACTAAGGAAGGGAATGGCCAGAGAGCGTAGTGCATATGCCCACTGAGATTTTTAAAAATGTATTCTCTAAGAACAAGCTGCCCATCATCAACCCTGAAGTCCTGAGGCCACATGAAATAATATAAGAGGAAACCTCTAACAGGTTTCCTCCATCTATTTTTTTATGTTTTAGAGGTTCTTCCTACCATAAAAGTGATTATGCATGGTCCACACAGGACCTGAGAAAAGAGCCAGAGCTGGACAAGGCAATGTAGACACCTCCAATGTTCCCATTCTTGCCCACTGCCTGGCTCTTTGCACCTCTTTTGACCATTTTGCCATCTGGAGGACACATTCTGCCCATGCCCCACCCCCGACACACACATGCATAAGACATCCATATTTAATGGTGCTCTTCTTTAAATTACTCCATCAGACTCCTTACAATTCCCTTAGTAGACATCTTTCTTTCTTTTCACCTTGTATAGAGAAGTGCCCTAATTGTTCCTATAGACACTCTGAAAGAGTTATTTATGGAAGGAAGATGAACCCCCTTTTTATGGCAGGCACTCTGCTAGGCATATATTATCTTATTTCTCTTCCAAAATATAAGGAGATAGGCATTACCATTCCTGTTAGAGAAGGAGAACCTAAGACTCACAGAAGCAACACATGTAGCTGAGAACTTACATGCGCAGGCCCTGTGTCCAGTGCTTTAGGTGAAATATCCTATAGGCCCTTAACAAGTATTTGGCAAATAAATGAACAAACAAATGAACTCAGCTAATGAACCACAAACTCAAGGTGAGTACTATCATCATACCCATTTCACAGGTGACCAAACAGACTCCGTGTTCATCAGTCAGACTGCACAACATCTACTAGGAGTAGTAATTGGAAATGGGATTTAAATCTAGCCCTGTCTGGCACAAAGTCAAGATTCTTTCAATTTCACTATGCTGTCTCTAAAGGAAATACTAGAAACAAGGTTTCTATAAACCATTGCCCCCTTTCTAAATAGTAATTTAAACTTTTGTGGGAGCAGGTACCTTTCCCTCACAGCACAGTCAGAATTCACATCTGAAACAGGGAATTAGAAAATCACAAAGCATAAACTGGTTGGGAGAATAAAAAAGAACATCATGAAACATTACCTAATTGTTTAGTAATGTTGTCATGCATTGTCCAAAATTGGCCTGGAACAAGCGTACAGCCAAGGAGAGGAACATAAACAGATCTTGCACTGGGATGAGCAATCTCATTTCTAGCCTTTCTGATTCATATGAGAGATGGGGACATTCAAAGTGAACTCCAGGACTGCCATGGACCAGGCACACATACTCAGGGAAAGAGCCATCGAAGGGTCAAGGCTGAAAGAATATTTACACAAGAACTCCAGCAGGGAATTAAAATGTACCGTATGTTTTTGCCTTTCAAAGCATGATTCCCTTTCCTGTTTTTGTTATTCTGAAATTAAAAACATTTGGCCGGTGTGCCAGGCAGCAAAAGCAGCAGACAGCCTAGGTCACCAACACCCCTCATGCCATGCCAGAGAAGGCAATCAAAACATCTCTGACTTCAGATCATGGCTAGGCTTTGGGCTTGACAACAAATTAATGTATCACCATTACATATGATGGCTCACTGGGATCCTAGCAAAGTTATAAAAAAAAAAAAAACCCACGGGAACCAGAAACGATTACTTTAAAATTAAAATATGTGTGCTAGTGGTTTTGCCTGCTGCCTCTGGTGAGTGCTTTTACATGACGTTGCCAAGGGAACTGTTGGCTTTGCTCACTGTGGTATCACATGGAAGGTGCCATGAATGAATGAATAATACCAAAACCAAGGGCATCCCTCTCCCAAAATACTGAAAACATAAAACCCACTTCAGCTTACTCAGTGCAGGAACTAAAAGAGAGATTGGCCAAAAAAAAAAAAAAAAAAAAAAAAAATTTGAGCCCATAGAAGAGATACTAAAGAGATAATTATCTTCTTAAAAAATAGGGAGGAGGATTTTTCTTTAACTTTCAATATAATTCAGTCAAATAGTTATTGCCTAAGCATATTTGAGATAAGATTTACTTTACCAAGTTTCAACATTCAACTTTTGAGGAAACCAGCTGCTGTTTGCCCATCATGCCAATGGGCTAAGCCTTGTGCGTACATCTCTATTAAATAGAGGGCCTTGGGAACAAGCTGGAGTAGACTTGTCCAGCATCATTTCACTGACTTCGCACTTACTGTGATTCTTCTATCAGTGTTTCACACTTAGGAGTTGGAAGCAAGCAAAAAGACATGCCAATATTTCGTATTTAACTCAAAAAGAAAAGTCAATGATGTGAGCTGGGGTCAGCCTAATAGTCCATACTTTCTCTAAGTACCTAACTCCAAAATAAAAGCTGATATTCGGTACTATGACACTGAGGTCCTTGTGGGATGCTCAATATGAAGGCTTAATTGTGTTCATTACTTTACACTTACTATTAGTGGAAAGCATACTAATGTATTTCAGGAATTTCACAAATGAGGGAGCTGGGGTTCAGAGAGGTTAGGGGACTTGCCAAAGGTCACAGTGGGATTACCTGGACTCAGACCTGGGTCCGTCTTAATCCAAGGCCATGTTTGAACAACCGCACCTATTTTATAGGAGCATGCTATTTTGCAAAGTGAAAAATAATTGACAGAGCTTAGAGAGTCCAAAGAGGCAGGAACTTTAAAAATAACACTTATAAAGTACAGCTTAAATTGTTGTCATTTATCTAAACAAAACAAAAGACATGCTCCACCAACTTACAATAATTTTCAGGCTTCCCTTAACATCAAAAGATTTGATCACCCAGTTGACAGACTTTTTGCACTTCAAGATCAGGATGAGATTTTTGACCACTTCAAGATCCTCTTGAGAAGGTCTTATATCAATTGTTATATCCACCTGGAAAGCACTGTGAATGGAAGACAAAGGCAAAGTTAAGACCTACATGCCAGAAAGTTGCAACTATCTCCCCTCTTCCAAGTCTTCATGTTTCTAGTGTCTGGCCAGTTGATTAAAAAGCTGGAGTTGATCCCAGGCCAATGACATGTGCAAAACAGATTGTTACTGCACACATAACAAAATTGTTTTACATAACAATAGAAACATATGCTTGCTGATAATTAGTCACTAAAGTTTTTCTCTTCTTTGATGGAAAAGAGGTGGTTACTTAATGCAGCCACTGTTTGAAGTGGACTTGAACGAACCAGAAGAGTTTACTTTTGAAGCAGTATTGTTGCTTTTTCAACCTTCAACACCTTCGATGTACAGGATTCCCATTTGGCTAATATGCTCAAATTCCTTCAAAACTGAAGTAGGTGGCAGTTTGGTGAGTTGGGGGCGGGGTGTTGGGATAAGGGAAGCATGGTGGTAAAAAAAAAAATTAGGAAACTTCAGAGTAAAATAAGAGACAAAAGGCTAAAGAATTTCTTGATTTATATAAGGTTTGCTTAAGTCATTAACAATTGCTACAGAATCGTATCTGCATTTACTTTCCCAAACTTCTGGATATAAGGTTATTAAAATAAAGAAAACAGATGGTCAACCAAGTGATTACTGGAAAATTGATGAACACAACCCAAACTTCTAAGAATTCGTAAAAAAGAGAATTTTTTACTAAACAATAACATCCCTGTCATTCTGAATTTAAGGGAACAGTCTTTCTTTCCATCTCAGCTTTACACACTTGTAAAGCATAAAATGCATGGTATACTCCAATGAAGCCTCAGGCCTGACGTCGAAGCACATTCACCAGACTGCTCCTATTCCCATTCCCTTTTCACTTTCTACAAAATTCTTCAAGTGGCCAGAGTGGAATCTTATCAAAACGATCTGTAGCTTACACGCTTTGAAAGTCAAACCCCGATTAGCATTTTCACCTCGAAATCCCTCTACAATATACATTTAAATTTTCAAGTCACTAGTCCAGATGCAAAGGAAGGAGGGTGAAATGCAGGCTCATGTGGGAAAAGAACCTACTTTTTCTCCTTTTTCTTTAATTCCCTAATTATTCTTGATAGGGAGGGTCGAATTTCCAATCCAGGGGTAGGAAGCTGAGAGGGAGAACAAGCGCACAAGGGAGAGGCAAGTTCTATCGAATGGCTTTTTGGTATGTCACCATGAAGGGCCACTCCAGCATACACACACACACACACACACACACACACACACACACACACACACCAAGCACACAAGGGAGAGGCAAGCGCTATCGAATGGCTCTTTCGTATGTCACCATGGAGGGCCACTCCAGCATACACACACACACACACACACACACACACACACACACACACACACACCAAGCACACAAGGGAGAGGCAAGTTCTATCGAATGGCTCTTTGGTATGGCACCATGAAGAGCCACTCCACCACACACGTGCATGCGCATACACACACACACACACACACACACACACAGATTTAACGCAAACAGCTCTGAGTGCCTAAGCGCTCTAAGGACACCACAAACAGAGCTTTATTAAAAACAGAAGGTTACTAAGATGATAATTATATTAATAGGGCATATTTTGTAATTTTCCTATCAGGGATAACCTTAGTCAGAGGTGATAAAGATGAAGGAAGAGTGACTGTGTCCTGTAATTAACACCCAGAAGTTTGGAACAGGCTTCAGGAATTCATCTGAAATATCTGGGATCTAGGGACAGATGCAGAATATAAAATATACCACTGGTGCCTTTACTCTGTTCTTCAAAGCTTCTGTGAAACACATCTGATGAAGCACACCTGAAGCATCAATGGCTACCTTCCCTCCTGCGTGAAGCATCAATGGCTCCCTTCCCTCCTGCGTAGGGGAGGGTGTAGGACGGGCTACACCTCTCCCTGCCTCAAGTCAAGGAAGATCTTTACTTTCATCTCTTGTCACACTCACACACTTAGACTCACTTACCTGTAGGGGTTAGAGTTGGGGGTGATTAGCTCGATGATGTGTACTTCCTCATTCTGGGGCTGGCTGGACATCACACACCCTTCTGCTGCTTTGGGTTGAAGGTACTCAGCAAGGTAATTGAGTGAGAGAAAATTCTTCCCTATGTTGCACTTTGGAGGGAACACTTGATCTGAAAGAGGCACAGGACAATCTGTCAAACCACTGAGGTACTCGGTAACCAGATTCAAAGGAAGGAGGGTGACAGTGAAACTGAGCAAATGGCAGACACAGGGAACCACGAGCTCAAAGGATGGTTCTTCGTCTGTGAAGTCCGCAACCACTGCCCTGAAATGCATCCTGTTATGGTCACCAGTGACCGCCTATTGACTAGCCCCCAACTAGGGGCCTCTTTTGGCTAAATCTTCTCCTTGCATGTTCTCTGTGATACTTCCTGTCCTCGTCTGTTTCCTCTGACCTATCTTTCACATCTCTTCCACTGGTTCCTCCTCTGCTCAGAATCTGTATAGACCCCAACCCAGAGAATCTGATTCAGAACACCCAGGCGGGGCCTAGGGAGCTTTCTTTTTTGAAAAGCTCGTAGTAGATTCCAATATAAACCAAGGCTAAGAACTTCTCAGCTCCTTCCTCAATCCCCTTTCTATCTCATTCTTTTTCTAGGTGATCTCAATCACTCCCATGGTTTCAACCTGTACCTAGATCATGACTCCTTTTCTGAGCAGTTGACTTATACTGTCATCTGTCTACCAAGCATCTCCTATCTAAAAATCCAATACTTATGTATTTCATGGTCAGCGTATTTAACATTCAATCCATTCTATCCCCAAATGCACTCCTCCTTGGATATTTGTTATTTCAACTATCAGGAGAAGCAACCACCTAATTAATCCTCCGACACCCCATGTAGAATTAATCTTTCCCTCATATGTATTCCTCACAGCACTTTATACTCTGAAGATGAAAGGTAGGAATTTGGGGGAAATAAAGAAGGCAGACTTTCACTCTTTCTCACAATCTGAACACAGACAACTCAAGTTTATATGGCACTTTACAGTTTACAAAGTGCTTTCGCAAACATTATCTCACTGTGCTGAGAGTTGCTCACCACCTCCACCCGGGAAAGTGATGCAAGTACCAGAATCTGAAGACACTCCCACAACGGCACATGCCATTTACACAGCACGGCGGCTGATGGGATTTCCATCCACGGGCTTAAATATTTCAACAGAACTTGAAAGAAACTGCTGGCAGTGTGACAGCTGGGACCAGTGTCAAGGAAGTTCTAGGTGTAGCATGCTTTTTTCAGAAGGGATAATTAATCAGAGGCCTGGCACTACTATAAAACAGACTTCTGCCTTTTCCATTTTGAGGACAGGATGCCAGGGTTCAAGTCCACATGGAAGTCTCACTTTGGAGTAAGGAATCCAACCAGGGGGTCCCAAGACTGGGTTGATACTGTCCCTCCCCCTCCCCACTTGTGCAACCTCCCTTGTGCTGAGGTCCGCAGCACACACTGGGGCATCATGGCTCTGGCCACCACAGCACCCCCAGCACCACCCCAGAACAAAGGGGACCAAAGCCTCTGTTTGTCGGCTCGTTGCGAGAGAGCATTGGGTTTGCACTCTGCAGTCTCCTCTAATTCCCCTCCCCCTCAGAGAGAAAAGCTCAAGGCTCCACTGACTCAGGCTGCTAGAGCAGCCTCCCTCCACATCTGCTGAGGGTTTTGCCAGATGAGCAAATGAGGTATGCACACCGTGCAGCTGCAGCCCTGCGGATGCCTCCCCCACATCACAGGATGGAAAATGATATTGGAACGGCAAGGTTGAAATTTAATTAAGAAAGAGCGTCTATGGGCCAGGGACAGGACAGTCTGGAACTCAAGAGACTAGGGCCCTCCTGGGATTGTGGCCGGCATATCCAGTTCATAGGTGTGCCTGGCTTGTATCTGGCACATAGTGGGCATATGGTATAGGTTTCCTGAATTAACAAACAATGATGTGAGATTTGAGACAAATAACAAAATATTCACTCATGTGAAGCCACTAGGAAAGGTCTAATTGTTCAAAAGTTGATGTTATTAAGGGCTCTAGTCCCAGAAGCCATTGTCACTAAGTTGAATAAGCTGACCACTTTTGTTGTGTGTGGTTTCTCCCCCGCTCCCCAATGACTTTCCGAATGCCTGGCATCAAAACTTATACCGAGTGCCAAGTAGAAAGGAAACCACAAAGGGGAATTCCCGGGTAGAAACCTGGCAAGTTTGGGGGCAGGGGGAGTCACATGCTTATTTGTATTTTAGGGAAAGATTGACAAATGACTTTGAGACACAGAAGGATATACTCTGAGAGCAGGAATGAACCTGGGGGGTAATGCAAACACCTCATTTTCCTGCTGTGGAAACTGAGGCTCTGGTGGTAAGTCAATGTTGCTTGAAGCCTCGCAGCAAGACCAGCTGGGATAAGAGCAAAACTCTTAAATTCTTTCATTCTGGGTATATAGATGAGAGCAGTTCCCAAACGTCAGCAAGCATCAGATCTCCTAAAGGGCTGATTGAAACACTGACTGCTGGGTCCCACCCCCAGAGTTCCTGATTCAGTTGGTCTGGGTTGGGCCTGAGAACTGGCATTTCCATCAAGTCCCCAAGTGATGCGGATGCTGCTGGGGCAAAAACCACACTCTGAGAACTGCTCGGGTTAGAGCAACCAGGCCTCATGGCCTGCGATCGCTGGGTACAAGAAAGGTAGAGCCAGGTCGGATTCTGGGAAGTGGGGGATGAAGCTTGCTCAGTGCAGTCTGAGCCGTGGTGATAAACATATCACTTTATGGTCCACTGACCTCACCAAGGAACCTCCTTTCCCTACTGCTCCTCTCTCCACGGCATGGCCCGGTGACTCATACTCAACTGGTGGCTGGAGTCAAGTTTCAGGGGTTCCGAAGGTGTTACCAAGGAGTTAACAGTTTTTACTGCACCAGACACAAGGTCCTTTAAGTTGGCTTCCCCTACCCAGTGTGCACAGGCTGAACCAGTTAAGTGACAACCCGTGGCTCTCAGGGTAAGTGACTACTGTGCTTAGAAAGAAGCTCATGCACTGCCGAGAGAACACAGTCCAACATTCTAAATGTTATTATAACAAATTTTCTTATTCTAACAAATTCCAAGGGGTAATCAACATTCTTTCATGCTACTAGAATTCTGCTTCAGAAACGCGGCCCGCTGGCCAGGGCTTAGAGTCTTTATTAAAAGAAATTTTTCATTTTGTCTCAATGGGATTTGACCTCTGTTATTAGCTACCTATCATGAGAGTACAGAAACAAACTTAGACTTTTTGAGCCCAGCCCTCCTCTAAGTCCCCTTCTCTCTGCCTCAACTAAACAAGGATGTTCATCCAGGTGGACCACTTCCCTTTTTGAGTTATGCTTATTTGGCTAGGACTTAAAGTACAGCTCAGGCAACAAGCGTTAAACTCAAGAGTCAGGAAGCCTGGGTTTGTGTTCTGGCTTTGTCACTTGTTAGTAACTTGGATGTGAGCAGGTTCACTTAGCCCTCCACTAAGCCCTCTGTAAAACGGTGGAAATGACATCTTCCTCCTGGGGTTACTGTGGGGTTAAGTGGGATGCACGTGAAGGCCCCTGAAATGGCTTCTGCACGTAGCATCCTCTCCGACGTCCACGTCCACCTTTCCTGCCTCTGTCTCTCACACACTTTAAAGCAGCCCAGATCCAAATAAGAGTTGGGATCAAGTGTTCACTAACCCACCCTTCCCTGTCTTGTCTATGAGGAGGTGACAGCTGCTGTAGAATTTAACAGAAAGCAGCTGGATGCTGAAGACCTTAAACGCAGTGTTCACACAATCAGCCAGCTATAACAAGGACCCATTCACAAGAGTTATTTCCTAGTAACTTATGGGGGTTCCAAATATACTCAACTGAAAATAATGATTTTTAAAAAAAGGTCTGGCCAGGTGCGGTGGCTCATGCCTGTAATCCCAGCACTTTGAGAGAACAAGGGAGGAGGATCTCTTAACCAGCAGTTCAAAACCAGCCTGGGCAACACAGCAAGACCTGTGTCTACAAAAAATTGTAAAAATTAGCCAGGTATGATGGCATATGCCTGTAGTCCCAGCTTCTTGGGAGACTGAAGCAGGAGAATCACTTGAGCCCTGCAGGTTGAGGCTGCAGTGAGCACTGATCGCACCACTGCACTCCAGCCTGGGCAACAGAGCAAGACCCTGTTGAAGGAAGGAAGGGAGGGAGAGAGGGAGGGAGGGAGGGAGGGAGGAAAAGAATGAAAGAATGAAAGAATGAGAAAGAAAGAGAAGGTTTTTTGTTTTTGTTTTTGTTTTAAAAAAGGCTTTCAAAACTGGGTTTCTGGATATTTCTATCCCTTTGCAATGCAAGGAAATTTAAATAGGCAATCTCTTATCAAGACCCTACACTTCTTTTCTCCAATAATTTGTCCTTGTAATAGTCATTTGTACTAAAAATATATTTAAATACTTTTCCTTTGCTATTGTCCAAAATGTAACCTATGTCTCAGCACCACAAACTGACACAGGCTTCAAACGTTTGCAGAACACAGGTAAGAGGAAGCCACCTGCTGACCCATTCATTCTGCCAGCTCTTCCACTCCATCAGTCATCACCTCCTTCCCACACCCTCAGCTTCTCACCTCCACTTACTTTTTTTGACTTCTGTGCATGGGTGTCTTCTAAATCCCACACAACAACCTTCTCCTCTCTCCCCCTGCTCCTCCCTGTGTTTCACTTGGCCATAACCAGGCCTGCTTCCCCAGGAGGAAAAAAGAAGGGAGGGAATATGGGGGGCGGTGGAGAGGCCTGGGGCCAAATGACCCCTCAGGTCCCTTCCAGGTCCAACATTCTGTAATTCTGTGATTCCTTGCCCTAACCACCTGGTTTCAGAAAAGAAAACAATTGCCTGTCATAAATCAGTCATTAACTGAAGCCACATAAAATTTACCTTCCCCCACTTTAATATAAATGTTTCTTGCTATCTTGAGTTCGGTGAATGAAGTAACTGCTCCATACTCTTTTCGGGCCCAATTTAACAGATGTTCATTTCCATGGGGGAAGTTCCTTTCTTCTGTTTCTGCTGTCAAGGAGAAGTTTGCTGATGAAAACTGGACCACAGAACCCTCAGACACCTAGAGGAAAGAGAATTGCGTATTTAACATGGTGCAGTCACCGGAGCTGAATCATAATTAGAGAAAGTACTTCTCAAATCGAAGTGCTTGTAAATCGAACCTCTTCCCTTTGTTATACAAGCAGATCAGCGTTTTTAAGCAGCGGATTCAAGGAATAATCCCAAGCCTAGTCCTCCCAGACAAAGGCAAAACTACCAATGCAGGATGTCCCTCTGAACTCTGAAAGAACCTTGTGAGGACGGACTGCATTGCACATTGAGTAATCGTAAGAATTATCACTGCTATTTCCAAGAAATCTAAATCGAAGACCAATCTTACAATGAATGTATTTCAAGTCAAGTGGGAAGCCTTGATGAATGTTCTCGTGGGCTTATAAAAAGCTTCAGGATCAAGACAAGTGATCCCAAAGTCCTGCTAGCAACTGATCACGACTTTCAGGTCTTCCACAGTTGCAGCATCTGCCAACAGAGTCATCACAATAGGGAAACAGCGAGAGTCCTCTTGGTTTATGTTCACCTCAGCACTGAGATAAAAATGGCCAAAGGTTGCCAGCCTTTCTATCACATTGCTCTATTTCATAAGAGTGAGATGAATGTTTGTAACAGTTTATTGTGTAAGACCCCCAAATTCCCATAGATAATGAAGTCAAGAGGCTGTTAAACTGATCTAATAAAACTTTCAGGATGACGTATGCAAGTACCTCATTCTTGCTGAATGTATTTAGACCACTGCTGACCTAGCATATCATGGTATATGTGTAATTAACACATCCAAAGGAGGAAAATCATCATCTTGTTGCTGTGCTATAATCAAATTTAGTTGCTGGTGAAAATATGTATGCCATTTTTGTTGGCTAGCATTTATAAAATAACTGATTTTTTCAATGTCAGAGTGAAACCTCAAAATGTGGGCAAGAAGGCTCACAAATTCTCAGGTCATAGAACTATAAATGTCTTGTATTAAATTTCACATGAACCATTTATTCATAACGAAAAGCATGCAGTTTCTGAAGTAAGACTAAGAAGCAAGTCGAGGGCAGGGATTTTATTAGTGGTTCTATCACAGCAGCATTTTTAACACACACAAAATTATATTTTCCCAGCTACTGTGCTAGGCATTAATATTTTCTATACAATTATATAAACGTATCTTCTAAAAACGCTGGCAAAAAAAAGTACTTCAATTAATTGATTCCATGACCTACTAATGTTGCAAGCTGAAAACTAGAATCACCTGAAAAGTTTCTAGATATCCTGATGCCCGGGCCACACAGATGGTACAGAGCTACATGTTCCACTCTGGTTTTGTTTATAACTGGCATCAGGACATTCAGAAATGATCGTGACTACACTTGACAGCACTGATACGTAGTAAGTGTGCAGTCAGTGGTAGCTGTGTAGAACTACACAGGGCTCTGTGGAAGCCCTGAATTAATCACTAATAAACTCGGTGTAAACCAAAGCTACTCACAACAGCTACCACTGACTGCACACTTACTACGTATCAGTGCTGTCAAGTGTAGTCACGATCATTTCTGAATGTCCTGATGCCAGTTATAAACAAAACCAGAGGGGAACATGTAGCTCTAACCTTGTTTTGACGTCGCCTGAATAAGAAAAAAATCCTAGGTCATTTTCCTGCCAAAAAATAACCATGCCCACCTAAGTGTAACTTCTCTGAGGCTTAGCTACTCATCAACACTGAACTTCCAACAATGTTTATCTAATTTTTTGACTTTTGCACTGTAGTAAAATCTTCCTTTCACTTGTACTAAAAAGGCATTTTTATCAAGGCTGTCACCAAAACCCACAACAGTCCAGAGGCCTTTGTCCCACTGCCAGCACAGTTCTGAATGTTTAGACGAGAAACCCTGGATGTTCTGCTTCTTGTTTCTCATTCATGTTGTGGCCATAAACTACAGCAACCCTATATACATTATACACAGAGTACGTTTTTCAGAGCGGAAAGCGGGATGTCACACTGGTGCATTCCAGAGGCAAGAAAGCAAACAGCACAAATACAGAAGATATCAACGGCAACTCCGAATTGTGTCCTGAAGTAATTAAAGAGCGATGCCGTGATGAAGCTGGTGATGGGGCTGATTCGTGGAGGAGGAACAACTCCCTCTGCTCCCTCCAGGCATTGTTGTCCTCACGGGCCAGCAGCAATAAGCTTCATACACTCAGGGCTGAGGAATTTGGAACTGGAGTTAACTGCCACTCCTCAGGCACATTCCAATAAGAAGAAAGCAAAGCTGCAGTGAGGTGTCCCTGACTGCAGGTCAGTGGAAATTTTCAGCTTCAGCAAGGAGTGAGCTAGCACTCCCCTCCTGACTGCCAGCTCTCCTGACCCTGACAAGGCTACAGCTGAGTTTTAGAAGGTGTTGTTTTAGAAGGTATTGTTCAGATGTTATTTCCATCTGATTTGCGGAACTGTGAGGCAGGCTACGGTGACCTCTACAGCAGAAAAGCGGAAACCTCAGAGAGTCTAATGGCCTACCCAAGGCCAGAGAGTCATGCACCAGGCCCAGACCAGAACTTAAGACTTCTGACTCCTGGTCACAGCTGGCCTCTGCTTGCACCCTTCCAGAAAGAAGACCTCACTAGCTCCCAAGACAGCAGATTTCTGTTCTGTTAGATTCATTTTTTATACACTAGTCTGAGCCATGCCTACTAGAACAAAGAATTCCTTCGTCTTTCTTCCATGAGACAAGACTTCAGGTGTTTAAAGGTGTCATCTGACCTCAATCACATGTTTGCTTTTTCAGGGCAACACCCCTAGCTTCTTCAGTTCTGCCCCAGATACCCTGGTTGTCAGAGCGTCAACAGGATAGTCTCTGAAAGACGGTGTCGGGACAAGATTCAAGGTCTCCAGGTATGGTCTGAGAAGCATACTGTGATGGTTCATTTTATGTGTCAACTTGACTGGGCCACAGGTGCCCAGATATTTGGCCAAACATTATTCTGGGTATTTTGGTGAGGATGCATTTGGATGAGATTTAAATGTTAGTACATTGAGTAGGGCAGATTTCTCTCCCTGACATGTATGGGTTCATCCAATCAGTTGAAGGCCTGAATAGAACAAAAAGCTGACTCTCTCACAAGTAAGAATTCTACCTGATGGCTTTCAAACTGGAACATCAGCTCTTCCCGGTGCTACAGCAGCCTACAGGCCTTCGAACTGGAACTGGGGCACTGGCTCTGCAGATTTTGGACTTCTTAGCCTCTATAATTGCATGAGACAATTCCTATAATAAATCTCTTTCTCCATATATGTGAACACTGCATGAAGCATCCACATTAGCTTTGGCATCAGCTGAACCCTGCTATGATCTCATATTTACTAATTGATATAGTTTGCATATTTGTCCCCACCTAAATCTCATGTTGAATGGTAACCCCCAACGTTTCACATGGGGCCTGGTGGGAGGTGTTTGGATCATGGGGGCAGATCCCCCCATGAATGGCTTAGGCCATCCCCTTGGTAATAAGTGAACTCTCGTCTTGAGTTCACGTGAGATCTGCTCATTTAAAAGTGTGTGGCACCTCCCCCGACACACGTTCTCTCTCTTGCTCCTGCTTTTGCCATGTGTAAGTGCCTGCACCTGCTTCATCTTCCTCCATAAGTAAAAGCATCCTGAGGTCTCCCCAGAGGCAGATGTTGGTGCTATGCTTCCTGTACAGCTTGCAGAACCATGAGCCAATTAAACCTCTTTTCTTATAAATTGCCCAGTCTCAAGTATTTCTTTTTAGCAATGCAAGAACAGCCTAATAAACTAATCTATGCTTTAAACATAGAGCCAACAAAGATTTATGGAGTGCCTGCCTACTCCATTGTTCTCCATGCTGGAGACACAGTGGAGAGACACAGTGGAGAATATGACAGAAAAAATTCCCTGCCCTTATGGAGATTAAAGTCTAATAAGACAGCCAGAGGAGCACAATAAGGTCACTGAGAAGTTAAAGACCTAAAGGAGACGAAAGAACAAACCACACAAACATCAGGGCAAGGAGCATTCACAGTTGAGACGCAGCAAGTGTAAGGTCTGACATGGTGAAGGAAGACCAAGGAGGTCAGTGTGGCTGGACACAGGGCTGAGAGGAGGTTGGTAGGACACAGGGCTGAGGCAAGGTTGGTAGGACACAGGTCCCAGAGGAGACCAGTAGGCCCAACAGGACCTTGTAGACCGTTGTAAGGACTATTGAAACATCTACCAAATGTTTTCGCAGGATGGCTCTGGCTGCTATGTTGAGTCTAAGGGGAGACAAAAAGCAGGAGATCATTAGTAGACTTCCGGAATAATTCAGGTGAGAAACAGTGGTCACTCACACCAGGAAGGATGGTAGAGATGATGGTACCTAACCCCCCAAGGTCTTTTCACCAGTTCGAGGCTTTTCTATCCTATCCTTATACCCATAATTCTCCCAAAATAAATGCAAAGTCTTATAGTTATTCTTCAGACCCATATTTCAAGTCTGAAGAGACCATGTAAAAATCCTTATTTTATTAGCTATAAATAATTAAATTTTATAGCACACCTTCTGCACTTTCATCTAAATCCCTGAGAGGTTGACCAAGACAAGGCTGAAGTCTGTGACTCATACGTACACTCCCACACTAACCTGAGCACATTAGCAGTCCTTGCTGGGGTTCCAGGTTGTTCAGCCAACTACCAAGGGACCTCACAGAACCTTCCTCATCTTTGTAAGGGCATCATGCTACAACCCACCAAGAACCCTGCTGCATTAGTCCATTCTCACACTGCTATAAAAAAATACCTGGGACTGGGTAATTTACAAAGAAAAGAGGTTTAATTGGCTCATGGTTCCACAGGCTGTACAGGAAGCATGGCTGGGAGGCCTCAGGAAACTTACAATCATGGTGGAAGGTGAAGAGGAAGCAGGCGTGACTTATATGGCAGGAGCAGGAGGAAGAGAGGGAGTGGGTAGGTGCTACATACTTTTAAATAACCAGATCTCGTGGTAAATCACTCACTATGACGAGAACAGCACAAAAGAGGAAATCTTCCCATCCCCATGATCTAATCACCTCCTACTACCAGGCCCCACTTCCAACACTGGGGATTACAATTTATTTTATTTTATTTATTATTTTTTGAGATGGAGTCTTGCTCTTGTCACCCAGGCTGAAGTGCAATGGTGCGATCTCGGCTCACTGCAACCTCCACCTCCCAGGTTCAAGAGATTATTCTGCCTTAGCCTCCCGAGTAGCTGGGATTACAGGCGTGTGCCACCACATCCGGCTAATTTTTGTATTATTAGTAAAGACGGGTTTCACCATGTTGGCAAGGCTGGTCTCAAACTCCTGACCTCAGGTGATCCACCCACCTCGGCCTCCCAAAGTGCTGGGATTACAGGTGTAAGCCACCACACCCAGCTGGGATTACAATTTTTTTTTTTTTTTAGATGGAGTCTCGCTCTGTCGCCCAGGCTGGAGTGCAATGGCATGATCTTGGCTCATTGCAACCTCCACCTCACGGGTTCAATTGATTCTCCTGCCTCAGCCTCCCAAGTAGCTGGGATTACAGGCGTCCACCATCAGGCCCGGCTAATTTTTGTATTTTTAGTAGAGACAGGGTTTCACCAGGTTGTCCAGGCTGGTCTTGAACTCCTGACCTCAGGTGATCCACCTGCCTCAGCCTTCCAAAGTGCTGGGATTATAGGCCTGAGCCACTGTGCCCGGTCACAGGATTACTATTTAACATGAGATTTGGGCAGGGACATAGACCCAAATCATATCATTTGCTGAAATGAAGACAAGATATTTCCAGGTCATTCCTCTAGTCTACCAGTCCATGCTCCAGACACTGCATTAATTTTCATGGCATAGCACCCTTATCAGAGTCTGGCTTGTAGAAGAACATAGGATATAAAGAGAATAGCAAAACACATAAGAAATGTAGGGAAAATAATTTTGTCTAATATGAGAAAGGGTTGCAATCATCACTGCAAGGAAGATAACTGCAAGAGTGTATAGGAGAAAAACAACCTATTTTTCTCTATGCTCACACCACTCTCAATAGTTTACTTCTGACATCGCATGTCTGGGTGTTTTTCCCACACCAACTAATTCTCCAACTCAGAACACCAATTGATGCTGTGTATTTCGATGTAATTCTGATACCATCTACCTGGAGATAGGTCAGACCGCACAGATTAAGGGCTCAGTCCCACAAGACTGCCCCTCTTCAGATGCTTCTGATAGTGGGGCTATAAATCATAGGTTCCCATGACCCTGAGGTTCAATTATTTTCTAGAATGGCTCACAGAACTCAAGGAAATACTTTTAAGTTTATTCATTTATGATAAAGGATACAACTCAAGAACAGCAGCCAGATGGAAGAGATGCACAGGGCAAGGTACGGGGAAGGGGTGAGGAGCTTCTGTGCCCTCTCGGAGAGCGCCACTCCCCCACGCCCCGGCACCTCCACATGCTCACCAACCAGCAGCTCTCCAAACCCTACCCCACAGATCAGGGATTTCTAGGGAGCCTTCATTCCACAGGCATGACTGATAAAACCATTGGTCATGTATGATTAAGTCAATCTCCAGCCCTTCTCCCCTCCTTCAGAGGGGTGGGCTGAAAGTTCTAACCTCTAATCACATGGTTGGTTCCCTTGGCAACCAGCCCCCATCCAGAGGCTATCCAGGAGCCCCAGCCACCAGTCATCTCACCAGCATACAAAAAGGTACTTAACACTTCAGAGATGATGAGGGTTGGAGGAGCTGTGTGCCAGAGGAGGAGACTATTTATTCCATGCCCCATCTTCCACCTTATCCCTGGAGGCTTGCCACAACACTGTCCCATTTTGGGTCCTTATAATCTCAACCAAACTGTTGCAGTAACTTTCTACCCTCCCAGCCGCTATTCCTGTTCCTTCTACCCCTCCTCCACACTGTCACCTGGGTAATCCTTCTAAAAAGTAAACACATGATAAAGCGGAATGGCACCTAAGCATCTTAACATGGCGCATGACTGAAGTGCCTCTGCCCGCCCTCATCTCATGCCACCCTCCCACATACCCAAGAACTACTCACAGTTGTAGAACACATCATGCTGCCACACACTCCTGGGTCTTTTTACACCCTGCACCCTGCCTGAACCCGTCTATCCTACCTTGCTCCCATGGCAAACCGTTCTGTGTCCTCCCAGGAGTATCACCTGCTCTGTGAAGCCTCCCAGGCTCCCTACTCTCCTCACAATGAGCTGCACACAAGTGACTGTACAGACCTTTAGTCCATCCCTCTCTCACATGGACTGCAACTATTTATCAGCATACCTGCCACCCTCATTTGACAAAGAGCAACACCTCGAGGGCCAAGAAAAAACCTTGTTCATTCTGAATCCCTTGGGCCTGGCATAGTGCTGGGCATGAAGCAAGGACCCAATAATTGCTTGTTGAATGAAAGCTCAATGTTGTTACCTACAGGAAAAGATACACCATAATTGATTCATTCCCATTACCCAAACTCATTGCTTCCCTTACTGCCCAGGAAATGAGCTTTTGGCCAAGCTTTAAAGCTAATGATTTGATTTTTCACCTAATAACTCCACCTAAAAACCAATTATTAAAGCATATTTAGTAATTCCATGTCTTCCCCACAACCCAATGAACTTTCCTCCTGCTTGCTAATTAAAACCCAATCCTCTAACATTCCCTGACATGACAAATGTCTTCCTGTGGGAATGAACAGAGCACTGGGCTCCAAGGGTCCCAATTCCTAGTAAACGTTTGTTGAAGGGGAACCATGAAGCACTTTACAGTCAAACAAATCCTGGGATGCTGAGGTGCACCCTGGACTCTCCTGAATGCTCCTCCCTACTTGAACCATGCACAACATTTGTATTTGAAATTCAGGTTATGCTACCAGACTTTTTTAAAGAGCAGAACATTACTCTATCTGCCAATTGCTGGGAGTTTTATTATAAGAACTTACGGCTAGGCAACCACAGCCAAGTTTATTATTTTTTCTGGATCAGGTTCAACAACCTCATCCAAAACTACATGAAAAAAGCCAAAGAGGCAACCAGCCCTTTGTTTCCACACCTGTCTTTAAGCTTTAACTCTTAAAGTCCTCAGCGGATCCACGGAAGCCTCAAGGTTGATCTCCCAAGCCTGAGTGAAGTGTACAAGTCCCAGCTAATGAGCACAGACACCATTTTCCTGGCACTGAGGTTCTTTGCTTTAGCACTTAGCACATCAGCTGACTCACCACCTGGCAGGTTGCATTGTAGCCTCTCTCTGGGCCTCCCCAACGTTGGTTTAGTCTTCAGTGGTGAGGAGAGGAACTTGCTGTGGATAGTGCCACACATCCCCATCCTCCTGCCTCCTTGACCCCTACCCCAAAAAGAATGCTCCCAGATGAAGTCTTGAGGAAACTTCAGGCCACCCTAGATCAAAAGTGGATATTAAGTCTCATCTTAAGTTTCACCTCAACCTCCTTCAAGTCTATTCAAATGTTACCTTCTCAATGGGCCCATTTAAATTTACAACCCCACCACCCAGCCCCACTCTAGGAATTCTGATTTTCCCAAACTCACTTTACATTTTATTTCTACAGTACTTGTCACCTTCTAAAATGCCATATAATATGCTTATTGCCCAACTCCTTCCACTAGAAGGTTCCTTCAGAGGCTGGGATCTTAGTGTGCATTGTCCATGGGTATACCCCAAGTGTTGGGTACAAAAAAGATACTTGTTAAGTATTTGTTTGATAAATAAAACAAATCTTGATGTCCAATTAACTGGCAGTGCCTGCCTAAGGTTCTGTGCTGAGAAGGATTCTGAGGTCATATTCAGGAGCAGTGGAGAAATGGGAACAAATGCCATGAGCAACCACGTGTCTGCCAGGGGGTTAGCGAAGGCATCATTGCTCTACAGCTGTTATCCAATGTAGTGTCCACTGGCCACATGGCACCATCAAGTACCTGAACCTGAAATGTTGCTGGTTAAATTGACCTGTGTTATATAAATGTAAAATGCATACCACTTAGCACAAGAAAAATCCCTATCTCATTAATTTTTATTGACTGATTACAAGTTTAAGTGATATTATTTTGGATCTACTGGGTTAAACAAAGTGTCATTAATATTAATTTTACTTACTTTTTTTTTTTTTTTTTGAGACGGAGTTTCGCTCATCACCCAGGCTGGAGTGTAGTGGCACGATCTCAGCTCACTGCAGTCTCTGCCTCCCAGGTTCAAGCGATTCTCCTGCCTCAGCCTCCCGAGTAGCTGGGATTACAGGCACCTGCCACCATGCCCGGTTAATTTTTTGTATTTTTAGTAGATATGGGGTTTCACCATGTTGGGCAGGCTGGTCTCGAACTCCTGACCTCAGGTGATCTGCCCACCCCGGCCTCCCAAAGTGCTGGGATTACAGGCACGAGGAGCCATGCCCAGCCACTCAGCCTTCTTTTACTTTTTAAATGCACCAATAGAAGACTTAAAATTACATATATTGTTGGCATTATATTTCTATTGGACAGTGCTTCTCTAGAGCCTCCTCCAATTTGACCCTAAGAAAGGAACATGTTTATGAACTGATCATGTCCATCCATCTGCTTCTTGGTCTGGTCTCAACATAAATCAATGTCAAGAAAACATCTCAAGCCCAACGCTTCCCAAAGTCTGATCCTCAGACAGAAGTACGTTAAAATGCAGACTCCAGGGTGGTGGGAGGTAGAAATGTAGGAAACTACATTATAATCCTCCCTCTACCACTCATGATTCTGACGCATACTTGAGGAACATTGTTCTAGGCCATAGATATGAATATTATTTAAACTCCAATAATCTTTATAAAGCTCGAATGAGATTGTTTGAAGAACGAGCAAGAATCTCTCCTCTGCACTGATGATAAAAAGCCAAGAGGGAGAGTGTAAAGCCAAGTCATGGATGGAGTCATCTCCTTGCACATCTCAAAAGGAAGAAATGGGCCTTGTGAAATAAGAGAAACCATAGCTCCCCAATGATAATGAAAAAGCCTGTTGAGATCTCAGAGGAAATCTGTTCCAGGAATCTCAAACGCACGCGTACACACACACACACACATCCCCTACAACTCAGCTGTGGTCCATTTGGAACTTGAGTTATCAGCTGGGTGAGTGCCTGCTATTCAGGTTACAGGCCCTTGGGGCTGCTCTAACTCGCACATCCAACTGCACACATGTCCGTGACTTTGGCATTGGTGGAAGTTCAACACTTACACAATGAAAATAGACTCCTCCCCCTCTTCTGTCCTGCCCTACTCCCAGCTTTCAGTATTCCTCTTCCCTTTTCCTGACTCCTGCACAAACAAATCTCTTTTTGGAGTTGCCTGCTTAGGAAAATAGAAAGAGCAAAACAAGGAAAACAAAGAAAGCAAAGAAAAACACACTGATATTTCAGAAACACCTGCCATGCCAAGAACTTGCTGGCTCAGTTCCAGGGGGAAAAGACACACGGTAAAGGAGAATAGGTATTCCTCAAGAATCTCAGTTGAGGTTTAAGTGGGATCTACAGATTGGCCCTAGAACTCATCACAGCCCCCACACAGAAAGGCATTACAAAGATTATGCTTTTATGTATTTTGGACACACAAAGTCCAGCAAAAACAAACATACTGGAACAGCACTGAAATATTTACCTTCCAAATGAAGACTGAACCCTGCATTTTAAAAGAGGAAAATCACACGTTCTCCCTACCCAATTCCTGGGAGGACCCCACTTGCCTATTTCCTCTGAAGCCATGTGATGTGAAATGCAATCCGAAACATGTTTTCTATTAACATATATCATGACTCAATGCCTTTTAAAAAAGCTTCATTTCAAAGAAATAATAACTTCCATGCCTGTGAACCTAGGTTCATAATTTGCAAAGCTACATATTCATGAGCCATGTGATGATGGTATCTGCCAATCATGCATTCATGAAACACAAATCCATGCAGCCATTTAAAAATTCTTGGGTGATTTTATTTAGTACCCCAAACCAGATTACTTTCTTCCAATAAAATGACTTAAAACATATTTGACTATTACTTTTTCTCAAAACATTCATGATGATCATCCTGTTCTTAATTTTTGCTGAAATATAAAAAAAACCTAAATGACTGAAACCGCCCCATGTTCTTAACACCCTGCATGTTTACACACGTCCAAGAGGAAAGCTCTGAGATGCTGCCCTCCAAACACAAACATGCACAAACTTGAACATGAGCCAGTACAAAAGCAATACTCTCATCTCCCATGGAAACGTTATCAGAACAACAGTACATGTGAGTGTGTATATACACAAAGAGAAGCAAAAGATGTCTTTCCATCTAAAAAACAAACTAAGTCCCCACAAGTTACCAAACTGATGAAGCACAAGCTGCTTTCTAATATAGTTTTCCAAAGTAGAGTCCCAGGCCACACAGGAATCCTGTCCAGCTTTACAAAAAATTCTTCAGACTCCTAACTTTACCCTTCCTCATCTGCCAATGTTAGCCTGATGGAAGAGCTTACCCCCAAATTCAAAGTGCATTTCAATCTAAATGATGTTTTTCACGAAAAAAAATAAAATGTTGGTATCATTACTATTACTTGCCATATTCCTTTATCTAATTTTGTCCTCCAAATGTGCTCCTGGAGAACCCCACAGGAGGGAAGACTCTCTTTTTTTTTCTTCTAAGTTACATCCAATCAGCCAAGTCAAGTTCAAGAGCAAAAACTGATTTTTACAAATGCCTGGCTCCAAACATGTTCCTAGAATTCTCTTTATAGAGTTTTTTTTTTCATCAAGGCTGATAATCTCAACTCCATTTTACAGAGAAGGAAATTGAAGCTGACAGAAGCTAAAGGATCTACCCAAGGCACACAGCTGGCAGACAACAGGGTTGACAATAGAACCAAAGACCTGGTTTCTCACTCTAGAGCTCTTTCTATTCCATCGCTGTGGAAGAGTCAGCTACCAGGCTCAGAAATCAGTAGTGTAGGGTAGACACGCACATCCCTCAGCCTCATGTTAATAAAACACTAGGAAATATGATATTAATCACAAAAGCTCAGGCTGCACACTTCCTAAGTGCATGTCACATGGATTCTGAATCCTCATATCTGATAGTGGAAACAACTGGGGCTCTGAGCAATTAGATAAAGTGCCAGATTACACACCTTTAGCAAGAAATGAGTGCAGATTCAAACTGTCTGCTGGACTCCAAAAATGATGCTCTTTCCACTGTGGGAAGGTGGACACTCTGCCTGGAAAGGTCATCTCCCGTTGGTGAGGGAACTGACTGGCTCACAGGTCAGCAAAGACCTGGGTGTCTTAGGGCAAGCTTTCTACCAAGTCTGGGTAGGCAAATACAGAGGAACATTCTCCAGGCTTAGAGGAGAGTGAAAAGGAAAAGCAGTGAGGCAAAGCAGGGGGCTCCCACCCTTCACTGCTGCTTGCAGAGATTCTCCTGGTGGGTTATTTCCCTCTCTGTCCCCTCTTCCCCAGCAATCTCAGGAGCTGTGCTGGTCAGAGTGGAGAGGAACGGAATGGAAGGGACAGACAGAAATAGAAATGAAACAGTTAAAGCAACGAAATAATTACTTGGCTAGAAGTCAAGTTAGAGTAAACAACAACAAATTGCTCAAGGATCTTAAAAATTTCTGTGATGGTCAGTTTTATATGTCAACGTATCTAGGCCATCTTCCCCAGCTATGCAATCAAACACTCATCTACACGTTACTGTGAGGTATTTTGTAGACGCAATTAAACTCCATAATCAGGTGGCACTAAGGAAGGGAGATTGTATCAGATAATCTGGGTGGGCCTGATTCAATCCATTGAAAGCCATTAAGAGCACACCCAAGGCTTCCCTGAGGAAGAAAAAATTCCACCTGTGGACAGCGGCTTCCGCTCATGCCTGAGCTGCCCTTCCTGAAGGCCTCCCTGCGGACTTTGATTGCCCTGCCTGTCCCCACAATGGCATAAGCCAATTCTTTGTAATAAATCTCTTCATATATATATCCCCGACTGGTTCTGTTTCTCTAGATAAATGCTGACTGATAGCTCCTGGGAATGGCTGGTGCAAGCCCTAGGAGAAACAGAGCTGCATATTCTGGCCCAGGAACCACAGACCTAACAACAGTTTGGGAAAAAAAGTTCTAAAGGGTATTTCCTTGGAGGGCAAGAATGGAGGTGAGGCCTCTAGCCCGAAATAACTGTGGTTGGAGCCTCCTTGAGCTTCCTAAAATTAGCTCTGAAGCAAAGGCAGAGCCCTCTTAAGCAGGCCACACCCATTTTGCAGTCTACATTGAAGTCTCTGAAGATGATCAAGGTGGTCTCCTAGGTCAAAGCAAAGAAGGTTGAACTGCACATATTTAGCATCAATTAACAAACGGTCCCCACAGGGTTCAGGATAGATGTAGATATTAGGGCATCCTGGTGGAGCTGATCCAGAAACGCTCCAACTGGGACCCCAGAGGGAAAGCTCTTGGGAAAGGGGTCAAGAAACAGTTTTAAAATCTTTATTCAAGTGAAATACTGATATGATCTAGATCCCAGTACTGAAATAAGTCATGCATAAAACACTTTGCTGAAACAAGAAGTTTGCTCACCTGATGCGATGCCCTGATTTGGCTCTATAGGTTCAATTCTGAAGCCCTGTTCTTGGAACAGTCATGAGTGGCTCCAGACTGGAGGCCAGAGTTAGAGATAAAATCATAGTCATGCCCTCGAGTCAGCAGTGTGACTGTTCCCAATGAGGTCCCCATTTACCATTCTGGAAAGTATTATTATTATTATTATTATTATTATTATTGCTAACATTTACTGAGTACTTACTAAGCACTGTCCCTGGGTTAGAGCCCCCGTTTACTAGCTATGGGACCAGGTACATGTTAACCTCTTTGTCTCAGTTTCCTCATCTTAAAACAAAGACAACAAAAGCACCTACTTCACAGGCTTATTATGAAGACTAAGCTCATACATGTAAGTACTCAGAAGAGTACCTCACACACGGCACACACTAGAAGTGCTTGTTAAACATACACATATGTGTGTATGTATCCTCACATTGGGCCATGAGATTTGTCTGACAGATGCTGAGGTTGACAGGCCACGAGTCATTCCTCACTATGGCAGGACCATAGCCTTCTTATACAAACTGCAAGAAAAGGATATAAAAACCCTGTTTTAATGGATTGGGGCAGGCTTGGCTCCAAACAGCAGCTCTGAACATCACTCTGCCATCTGTATCACCCAGAACCAATAGAATCTCAAGAACAGGCTCTCTGTGATAAAGATGGAAAGGCCAGAGATCAAATGGACTGTGAGACTTTTGCTAGAGGTGGCAGACGGAAGACCCCCTGACTTCCAGGTATACACTGTGTCATTCACCACCTCAGTGGGACAAGGCAGAGGCAAACCAATGGTGACTCCCTAGCACAGTGGCATTAAGGACCCACAGTTGCAACAAAGACCCTGGGTCATCTAAGGATACAGTGTTAGGAACAAAAGGCAAAAGCAGATCTTGAGAAAAGCAAATTCTATCCTAGACACAGAAATTAGAAGGCTAAAGGGACTCCTTCCTCCCCTGCGAAATCAGAAGTAGCTTCCAAGCTAGAGTTAGATAATGTGGACTCGAGGTGCAAGAACCAATTTGCCTCAAATAAACCCAACAACCTGTGTCCAGGAAGGAGTTGGACCATCCTGGAGTTGCTTTCTGAGATGGAGAGTGTAGGTCACCTGTGGAGAACCCTTACCAAAGGCATCACTGTCTATAATTTATGAGCGGAACAAGGCACAGCCACAGCCTTCAAGTCAGCCTCCCAGAGTCTCCTGGTAGACAGTTGGGGTTTCTTTCCCCTCCTATTACATGGAAATAAAATATTCTGCAACCTTCCTTAACAAAACAGTCACTTTTTCTACCGAACAGCTCTCTGGAGGCTGGCCACCACGTCAACAAAGGGCACCAGAGATGTGACATTTGATACAATTGCCCAACACTTGGGAAGGGCAGATGCATCTGATTACCAGATTAGCCTTAGACAATAAAGCCTTAAAAGACGTTATGGGACTCCACACGAAGAAACACCAACCTTGCCTCCTCAGTGAAAGTGAGTTTATTTGACCTCAATTTGTTGAATGAAAGCAAAGCCTTCACAGGGCTGCAACCCATGCCTGCACACAGACATGACGCAAGTCCAGCCAGAGCCAGGAAAAGTCTACACTTGCGTGAACCCTCCTGGACAGTAGGTCTTCCTCAGGAAAAATACACCCAGGCAAATCTCCCAGGGGCCACGGGCCATTCACTCACTCACAACATTCACCAGCCTTAACCTAGCAAGTTAGAATAAATCCCAGGGAGTCTTTCAAAAACCCCTTCTGGACCAGGTTTACCAGTTGAAACTGGGCTCTTTCCAATGTTCTAATTGCCATAGTGACATTTAGGAAGAGCTCAATGGCCACAATAGGGCCAAAAACTCCTATTCCTAGGAAACAGGAATGACTTGTTTGAACTAGGGTAGTTGACTGACCCTAGTTCATGAGAGGATCAAGACCCATATAATTAAGGCCCTTAAGGACAAGCCACAAAACCAACAGATGAGCAGACTCCGGAATAAAAATGCATGGTACACAACCACTTGGAATATCCCACAGGACACAATGAGTCATTCCACAAGAGACATTTAAAAAAAGAAGAAGAACCACCAGCAATCTTGAAACATTTAGTTATTTAATCTCCCTTCAAGAGAGAATTTATCTGGGGAAAGACCTCACTGCAAAACACAAACTGGTATATCCGGGTCCCTGGAATACAGGGGTAATGCTTCTGGCCGAGCCAAGAGCTGTGTTTGTGTCTGCAACCTTGACCCATTTGCCACATGCTGTTCTCCAGAGCCAACCTCATGCAGGAAGCTGCCTTGATTGCATTTGGAAGAAGAGAATTCTCATTTTCTCCAATTTCTACTATTCTCATCTTCTCCAATTTTCACTATTATTTAGCGTAATAGTACTTAGCACACTAAACTGCAATTCCCAATTTTTCAATCAGCTCTCCCACACAATGGGAAGCTCCCTGACGACAGGCAATTCACCCCAGTTTTCCCTAGATCCTCCACAGCTAGCACAGTTCACAGTCAGGCACTAAAAACTGTGTGTTGGATGAATGAACAAGCACATACATAAACCATCATACCCGGTATGCTAATTCTGTGTTTTTTTCTAAACATGGGGGTGGGGGAACTGCCAAAGAAGGGAAAGAAGGAAATTAGCAAAGAAAAAAATTATTTCCAGATTTTTAAATGTAACACAATAGAATACAGAATTTTTTTTAAAAAAAGTTCCCTTCTCCACAAGCAAACTTGAATGTCTGAGTTATTCTTAGGGCGTTTTTGGACAGACACTACAACCCTCAGTTACACATCACTTGGCTTCATGAAAAGGTAACAGCTGGACATGCACGGTGGTATGGGCTGTGCGTGTCCCTTCCTAGTGCTGCACTGAGCACACATCTGGGGCTATTTAGCAACTGATTGGAAATTTAGCCTTCTGATTTCCAGTTAAATACTAGGCACAGGAAAACAAATAGCACTTGTTTTTCACTGAGTCTTGTCAGTCATCCAAACTCCAGTGCAGACCAGAGAACTGCCTGTGGTTTGGTGGCAGAGGCCCAAAATATTTGGACCTTTTTTTTTTTAATGCCTCTAGTTTAAGTAAAAGGAATAAACTAGATGTTGGCAGCTCCAGCTTCTTCACCCATCCCTCCCCGCTTCTTGAAAATACAAAACTGGTTTTAAATTTATTAATTTACATTTTTCATTAGGATTAAGTTTTGATTTGTTTTTAATCCAAAGCTAATAGCATAGAGTTTAGTTTCTGTCATTTATTGCAACTGCCCTGCCTTGATATTTACTTGGATTTGCTGAAGAGGCAATGCTCAATTTGCCAGTTTCTGTTCCAAATTAAATTGGGATATAACATCTAGCAGTCGTACTATCAAAGAATCACAGAGTTTAAAAGCTGGGAGGAACTTTAGAGATGAGCTAGTACGATCCCCTCATTTTAGAAATGAGGAAACGAGGTCTGAGTAGTTAAGTGATTTTTTTTCCCGATGATGTATATAACTAGTTAGTGGCAGAGCCAAGACTAGTACTCAGGCCTCCTAACACCCAGGCCAGGGTGTTAACTGGAAACAAAAACCTGAATTACCTCCGAGTAGAGCTGCCCAATAAAGTACAGGACACCCAGTTAAAGTTGAATTTCAGGTAAACAATGAATACTTTTTCAGTATATGTTATGTCCCATATACTACATGGGCACACTAACAAAATGATTTGTTATTTATCTGAAATTCAACTTTAATTGGGCATCCTCTATTTTTATATGCCAGCTCCAGCAATTGTACCTCAAAGACCAAAATCCCCTTCTATGCCCCATCCCCCACTCAAACATACACACATTCACATACATTTGCTCTCTGATTTTAATGATAAATGGCTAGAAAAAAATAGATCACAGCACAGTAATATCGAGAGTGAATGAGGTTGGAAGAAGCTGCTTATTTCTTGAAACTTCTAATCTTAGATACCCTTTTTTCCTTATGAGCATGCAAAGTGACTAAGCCTGACATAAGTAAGCTGGCCAAGGCCTCTGGACTAGGTATTTTAGGTTATTAAAAGCCAGGCACTAGGGTCTCATCTTGAAAACGTCTGCTTGTCCTAGGGCTCCAAGTCTACAGACCTTGCAGGAGAGAATGCTCAAGTTTGGAATACAAATAAAGCAAGATTAAAAAAAAAAAATTAGAGGCCGGGCATAGTGGCTCACACCTGTAATCCCAGTACTTTGGGAGGCCAAGGCAGGTGGACGGCTTCAGCCCAAGAGTTTAAGACCAGCCTGGGCAACAAAGTGAAACCCCATCTTTACAAAAAAAAAAGTCAAAAATTAGCTGGGTGTGGGGGTACATGCCTGTAATCCCAGCTACTCGGGAGGCTGAGGTGAGAGGATGGTTTGAGCCCAGGCAGCAGAGGTTACAGTGAGCCGAGATCATGCCACTGAACTCTAGCTTGGGCTACAGAGCCAGACCCTCTCTCAAAAAAAAAAAGAAAAAAAGAAAAAAAAATCAGGTACATGGAATAAAGTAAAAAGATACATTTAAAAACCTAGTCCCTGCCCAGCACTGTGGCTCGCGCCTATAAACCCAGCACTTTGGGAGGCCAAAGTGGGTGCATCACTTGAGACCAGGAGTTTGAGATTAGCCTGGACAATATGGCAAAACCCTATCTCTACAAAAAATACCAAAAAAAATCAGCTGGTCATGTTGGCATGCACCTGTAGTCCCAGCTACTCGGGAGGCTGAGGCAGGAGGATCGCTTGAGCCCAGAAGGTTGAGGCTACAGTGAGGCATGTTTGCACCACTGCACTCCAGCCTGAGTAAGGGAGTGAGACTCTGTCCTCAAAAAAAAAAAAAAAAAAAAAAAAAAAAGTGCTGCAGCAAGTTTTTACTAGTTTTATGAAATACAGTCCACATACCATAATATTCAGCCTTTTAAACTGTACAATTCAGTGTTTCTGTGTGTATTCACAAGGTGTGGTATATTCACCACTATGTAATTATAGAACATTTTTGTCACCTCCCAAAAGAAATCTCGTATCATTAGTAGTCATTCCCCATTTTCCCCTCCCATCAGCCCCTGGCAATTACTAATCTACTTTCTGTTTCTATAGATTTGCCCATTCTGGACATTTTATATAAATTGGAATCATACAACTTGTGACAATTAGCATCTGGCTTCTTTCACTTAGTATAATGTTTTCAAGACCCATCTATGTTGTGGTATGTATCAGAACTTCAATCCTTTTTATGGCTAATATTCCATTATATGGATATAGCACTGTTTTCATCCACTCATCTGTTGGTAGACATTTGGGTTGTTTCCACTTTTTGGTTACTGTGAATAATGATGCTTTGGACATTTGTGGACAAGTTCTTGGGGACATGTGTTTTGCTCAGTTTTCCACAGAACCATTTTACATTCCCACCAGCAATGTATGCGTGTTCCAATTTCCCTACAGCTTTCACAACCCTTGTTATCGCCTTTTTTATTAAAGCCATCCTAGTGTGAAGTGGCATCTCACTGTGGTTTTCATTAGCATGTCCCTAATGACTCATGATATTGAGCATCTTTTCATGTGTTTTTTGGCCATTTGTGTCTTTTCTCTAGAAACCGTGTATTTAAATTGTAGTATGTCCTTAAAGACAACTTCATACTGTGGCTCTCATTTTAGCAAATTCAGGTTGAAGGTTCAGGCATCATCACCCAGTTAAGTTATCTTACTTTTTTTTTCAGTGTAGAAATGAATGCATAAATAAAAACAGGCTTATGTGATCCTTCTAAGAGATTATTTGCAGTTTCAACATGGCACACTGAGAGGGTAAGATGATTTTTATTTCTGATTGTTCTCTGGGCCACCCATACACCCTGCAAAAGGAAAACTATAAGATTATTACAACTTCATCACGTGTGTGTGTGACTCACACTCAAAGATTCACTACTTGAAACTCAGCCTGAAAGCATCACTCTTCATCCCACTCATATTTCCTAGGTAACCAGAATAACCAGATAAAGGAGCTGCACCTGCAGAGAAAACCAAATCCCACTTTCTCCCTGCCTGACACGTTCCCTTCTTGCCTGTGCTGTGAGGGGGTGAGAAGGACTGAAATGATTTGACAGAAAAAGACAGATGCCTTTATTACTAGTATTAAAGTATGTTTTCAGTCACCCTCAAGGGTGGCTGCGATGTCCTGGGTAACATAAGGCCCTCCTAACTAATTATGAAAGTTTTCCTTTTTTAATTTGGGCAGTCATAACAACACAGACATGTCCATTTAAATAAAAAGGTCACCCTGATAAATGAGTAGATGCTATTACTTGAACTTTTCTCATTGCCCTATTTAAAAAAAAACAGTTAAAAGTTCTGTAACTCTACGTACACAGTAGACAGCTCTGAGACAGAAATGCAAACCATCCAGCAGCATATCAGGAAACAGGCAAGGATACATGCATCGTGGACTGAGAGTCAAGAGACCCATTCGCTTTCCACAGCTCCTTTAGGCTCCCTGGGTAACCTCGGAGAAGACAGTGATGAAAACGGTGAAGCCTGAATTTCCAGAGATCCCGTGGGCCCTCTGAAGTGTTTGATGAACACTTTATATAAAATAATTTAGTTATCTTATCCCCAAACTTTAACTCTTAACTATACAAATGGATAAAGAGAACACACTACTGGATTTCTATTGATCACCAGACCCTCTGTGGCAAAGGCTATCAAGGAGATGAGGAGAAACTAAAATTCATTTCAGGCCACAGAGAGGAAGGGAAAAGCCTGCCCAAGGAGAGTGGCCCAGCTTGTGCAAGGACTTGCATCACTCGTTGTCTGCTGATGTGAGAACGTGAATGAACAACAGATGTTCCATCGTCTCTTCCAGGCCAAGAAGAAATGTGCAGACGGGAAAAAAACCGTTTTCCCTAAAGGAAGCCTGCTGGACAACAAAGCAGAGTTCAGGTGTCCTGGAATTTAAATCCTTGACTTCTCCTGATGCTGCCTCCCACGTGTTGGTAATTTTAGGCTCATTACTTGATCTGCAATCTCCTTACATGGGATTGATCCAAATGGGGCTGACGTTCAATTGTTTACTAAAGCGGCCACCTTCTTTCATTGTTAGTGTCTAAACTGATGACCAAGAAGCAGTTTTTACAGATTTTAAGCAAAATTAAAGCAAATTAATAACTAAGAGTAAGACACTTTCCGTCAAAACCCATGAACTGGCAGACTGAAGAAAGAATCCAGGCAGCGATAAGTACAACTATGACATACGTAGCCCACACTTTCATCTGGACCTATAGCCCAGAGAAACAGAACCCCTTTTGATCTGGGGCCAGCCAAACTAGATATTTCATAAATACAGATGCAAATTCAACACCCGTCCCACATGCTCTTTACTGTGACTAGAAATAAATAAGAGCAGCAACAGCAGGTGATGTCTATAAACATTTTATATGTGATCTCACTTACTCAAGATAACAGCCCTATGATGCAGGGCCTGAGAAAAATCCGGCTTAGAGAAATTAATTTGCCCAAGGTCACTGCTTGGATCTAAACCAGGACATGCACTGCCTTTGCTCATAATGCCTCCATAACCTGCCCACTGTGGTAGCCACTAGCCTCACATAGCTACTAAGCACCTGAAATGTGGCTAAGCAGGACTGAAGAACTGTAATTTAAGTAGCCACGCACAGCTATTTCCTATAGTATTGGACAGTATAGCTCTACAGTATGAGGGCTAAATGTGCATATGACTTTATGATCAGAGCCATTAGTATTACTATCACAAGTAACTTTAATTAGAGGAGACTGACAGTGATTATGAGTACGAAGGCAGACAGTTTAGCATAACAGCTTGTAGAATGGGTCCCATCTAGGTTTGAGTACCAACTCTGCAAGTAACTAGCCATGTGATTTGGCCCACTACTTAACTTCTCTAAATCTTAGTTCTTCATCTATAAGAAAGGATCTACACTATGGTACTGTAGAAGGCTATCGTGAGAATTAAAGTATTAGAGCATTTAGTGACCTGAAATATCCTAAGTGCTAAATAAATGTGCTAGTAATAACAACTAAATAATTACTGATTTTTGATTTTTGGCCTTTTTAATATAGAATAAGAGTTGCAATTCCCAGAAAAGGCTACAATAAAGTTATTGTAATGCCCACCTTGTAAATGTACCTTTTGAGTTTAAATGTTTTCTTTTGAAATTAATTTAAATTTACAGCAAAGTTGCTAGTACAAAGGACTCTACTATACCCTTTTAACTAGATTCATCAGTTTTTAAAACCTTGCCACATTTGCTTTATTCTTCTCTATACAACATGTTTTTTTCCTGAATGATCTGACCTTTTAGCCCTTAATCTTAAAGAGTATTAAGTATGTTTCCTAAGGATATTCTCTTACATAAAAACAACATAATTATCAAATTCAAGGAATATAACATTGATATAATATTTTAATCTATAGGCTCAATTATAATTTATTTATATAAAATACAATCCACTGTCCCCCTAATGTCTTTTATAGCAGCTGCCCCACTCCCTACCCAACAGGATCCAGCTCAGGATCACATGTGTCTTGTCTTTTTGTCTCCTCTAATCTGGAATGGCTCCCCAGCCTTTCTCTGTCTTTCATGACTGATACTTTTGAAGATTATAGGCCAGTTATCTTATAGAATGTCGTTCAATTTGGTTTTGTCAGCGTTTCTTCATGATTAGATTCAGGTTATATGCATTTCTGGCAAAAATACCACAAAAGTGATGCTGTGTTCTCTCTCATTTATAGGCACACAGCGTCCATCTGCCCCACATTGCTGATATGAATTTTAATCACCTGGTTAAGGTATCATGGGATATCCCCAAGGTATATAGTCACTATTTTTTATGTGTAATTAATAAGTAATTTGTATGAAAGATATTTTAAGAATATCTAAATATACTACTTCCTGAACTCCCTCCATCTCTGCTAGATTTAGCATCTGTTGATAATTCTTGCCTGGTCAACTTTTATTATGATGGTTGCAAAATGATCATTTTCTAACTCCTTTGCTCCTTCTAGATTTTCTAGTTGGCATTTTACTATAAAGATGAGCTTTTCCTTTTCTCCCTTTTATTCATTTATGTACTTATTATAATAATTGTATTGACTATGGATTCTTACATTATTCAACAAGAACCTTTGAGTTTTTAGAAGTACTCTTCAAACACAGGGGAAAGAAACTACAGATCTGGATTGAGAGACATTAACTGGGCAAAGTTTATTCATGAGGCAAGAGGAAAACTATTAACTGGGGACTCCACTTGTTTTGGATGCTTGTGGGCAAGAGAGGTTTAAGGCCTCAGGCACCGCAGTTAGGACATTAGCCTGCAGCTCTCGTAATAGACAATGTGAGTTACAACTACCAAGTTGCAGTGCTGCTCATCATCAGACATGATATCACACCAAAAAAATTCCATCCAAACAACCCATCGATTTCTCCACAACTAGCACACTTGAATGTTCTGGCAAACTCAAAGGGACATGATTTACAAATAGTAGGTAATATTTGGATCTTTCGACAAGAGCTGAGTTCCAGCTTGTTTTTTTAATAAAATACAAATGACTTCATTTTGGAGCTCACTGTGTCACTTTCTCAACAAACAGATCCTCATATCAGGAATTAGGCCTGTGTTATATACAAATAGTATGGGTCCGTGCATATTCATTTTGTGGTCAGGGACCACACACCCGGTAGCCAGTTACAATATTTACAGGGCTCCTGATGCCACAAGGGGGGTTTCAGAGCTGAAACCAAAGCTCAGGCCACACAGAGTATGACGACAGGTCCTGCTCTAATGTGCGCACTAGACCCCAGCCTCTGCCCACAGAAGATGGGCAGGTGTGTCTGCTTTCTGTGAATGCTTATCTATGTCATCATCCAAATATCACTAAGTGCATCCTCCAAATTTAACACTCTTTGGACTCTGGCATTATTTCAGTGAAAGTAAGCCTTTATGAAAAGTTTGGCAAAGTTTAAGGACCATTATGTCCTTGTGCTAAGGATCAGTTTGGGGGAGGTTTAAGCACTTACCAAAAACAGTCTGGAGACCCCAGTGGCAAGTCTCTCTGTCTTCAGATGCCACACCAGGGGGTGTGGGGAGTTGAGCAGGAACACAACAGACTTGTGGTGGATGTGGACTGAGGAGATGGGATTCAGGTGAAGTGTGACCTAGGAAGCAACAGAAAGAGGGCAGAAATCTTAGCCCTGGCTTTCCATGAAAATCACTCAGAGCAGCCTCTGGAATACTTTTTTTGCAACTCACTATCAACAGAAACAAGCTATAATGTAGCTCAGATTCTATGAATAAGATACATTAAGTTGAACCAGATGATATTGCCAATATTTGACCATTTTTTACTACAAAATGGCTATTTCATATTAGTCAACCACACTAATCTCAACCAAAGCATGATTTAGCTCCCTGCCAAAGAACAAATAAACAGAACACATTTTTTCTTTCTAAAAGTCAGCAAAGGTGGAACAAAAGTTACCTTCCCTTAGGCCTGCTTTAAGCTTTAGGTCAAATGACTAAGGTGAAACTTGGAAAACAAAATCCCCTTGGGGTGGGGTCATCCCTCTGGATCTCCAGAGAAATGACTTTCTTCTCCTCCAGGTAAGCTCCAACCTCTATAAAGTGAAATGGGTTCTGCCAAAGAAAAGTGCCGAAAGCTGAGAAAAAGCGGCTGCCAAGGGAGGCTGCCAGGGCTTTCATTGTCTCAGCTTTTAGCTTGAAGGGCTTTTCCAAAGAAATGAAGCACAGAGGACACACAGAATAAAGAGTGATTGTATACAGCCCCTGTCAAAAAAAAAAAAAAAAAAAAAACAGGGAAGAAAACCATGGGATGGATACAAAAACTGTAACCAATTTTGACAGCAGATCAAGGACTATTGCAGGTCATCACTGTTGTCATTAACATCACCAAAAAGCACCTGTGAATGGAGCTGCAAACCATGGACTCAACAAAGTCCTCTTGGCACACATGAGCCCAGGGCAACATGAACATAGGAGAACAAAGGGATATATAAGGAAATATTGACTAGATACTTTCATACAGTCTGTCTCATACTGGCTTTCCATACAGAGCGGGGAGGCAAGACCCAAGAATCACATATTTAAACAGAGTGAACTCATCAAACATAACCATAAAGTAATAAGGGAGGGACAGGACAAAAAAGGACTTAGGCTAGAAAGACACAGACTGAATGATGCACTGGGAATAATAGTACATCTCAGCTAGAATCCTCATGAGGATGACATGGTCTAGATCCACGATCTGTGTCTATACAACCATCAGGGATACAGCACTAAATGCTGGACTATTTCACATTTTCCCAATGGCTGCCAGCCCACTGTGATCTCAACATACTTCTACCTTTTTTTGTAGGGACCACTTATGACCAATGTCACTTATCATAGTATGCTCTCAGGTCATTGATAAATAAAACAGTAAACTTTCATTATCTTTCAAAACCCAGGCTTTAGCACATGGTAAGCACTCAGCAAATGTCAAAATAATGTTTTAATTCTCTGCTTTTCAATGCCACAAAAATATTCTATGAATAACTTGCATCATCTTGTTCACTAGCTTGAGAATGCATGTCTTAATTTCCAAAATGGACTGTAGGCCAGGAGCTTGAGACCAGCCTGGCCAACATGGAAAAACCCCGTCTCTACTAAAAATACAAAAATAAATTAGCCGGGCATAGTAGCAGGCACCTGATACTCAGGTGGCTGAGACACAAGAATCGCTTGAACCCAGGAAGTGGAGGTTGCAGTGAGCCCAGATCGTGCCACTGCACTCCAGCCTGGGCTACAGAGTGAGACTCTGTTTCAAAAACAAGCAAACAAAAAACTGTGCTTAACATAGACACGATAATACACTTGATCTTAGCCAAAAGGCCGGGAAGTAAACACACACAATAAATATTGACTTATCACAGCAAATTCATATATTTATATGTTACCTAAAGGGGAAAAAAAGGTTCAAAGGAATTTAGCTGGCTAATTTGCAAAAAAATACAAAAATAAGCAATACTCCAACTGTCATGAGCTATTTCTGCACACAGCTAGGATCATTTTTATATCTGGCATAAGCATAGCACTAAATCAAAGTACTAGATGAACAGTGATGTCAAGTACAGCTACAGCAAAGTAATGTGCTCCTTGGTTGTAAAGACTCTACCTCACAGCACACTTTGGAGATGCTGTCCGCATCTAGAAATAAACAGATTGATAGCCACTGAGAAGAAGAGATGCTATAGAAATAGCAGAAGCAAAGATTCAAACTGTACTGAACAAAGAGACACACACACACTATGGAGAATGAAGGAGGGATGAAATCATCATTTGTTCCAGTGTACCTGAAAACTGCAAAGCAACACTCTTTCACTAATAGCATGTATCAGTAAAAGGTTTCTCTATTTATTTATTCAAGACTATTTACTGAGTACCATAATGATGCAAAGACTAGTAATGTATATCTGCAGGGGCTGCATCAACCCTTCTTCTGAAGATTTTCTTTGCAGTCCTCAGGCATACAATTCTTCTTAGAGCTCATAGATATGCAGAAGTTTCGGTCAAAATATATACTACAAAATACTAGTAAGTATGTATTTCAAATGAACAAGAATTTTTTATAAAAGCTCATGAAATGAGAAGAAAAAGATCTATGAGACAGATATTGGTGCTCAGGTCCAAAATTTTCCAGATGGTCAAAAGTGCTGAGGCCTGGCTCATACAATCAAGGGAAGATTTCTAGGAGCCACAGCTCTCTGAGCTTTCCTGGAAACAGCTCCCTCTTCAATATGTGGCAGTGTCTGGCCAAGATGAATCTCTGACTCTGGCACACAGGGTCCAGGCAGAGCCCCAAAAGCCATTTGGCAAAGAAGAATTCACACTACAATTGGGAAATTCAAAGAAAAATACCCAATAGTTTCTTTAAAAGATCATTTGGCAGGGACAATGAGTCCTGCAAGTGCCTGCTCACCTAATCCCTCAGCAACCTGTCTTTTCTATGCTTCCCCCGCTTGAGTAAATCTTGCTGAAGGGAAGATAAAGGACAACCAAAACAGCTAACAAAAGAACCATGGTATAAAAGCTTCCAGAAATGTAGAGAGAACACACAGCAATATCTCAAAGAATTCCTGGCTAAGTTGCTCAATTTCTCCCAGGCTTGGGGGAAAAAAAAAAAGACAAAAGAAAAGAAAAAGAAAATCCTCCTTAGGATCAATTATAGCTCAGGGTAGACTACAGTTACAAATATAAGAATATCCTGAAGCTTTTTGTGGTTACACTCTCCAGTGCTCATGGTCTAAAGGCCGAGCTGAGGCAGACTACAGCAAATAAATATCCCATGAAGAAATGATACAAAGAGTATCCAGAAATCTCCAGCTTGGAAATCCAAACAGTAGTTTAAAGAGTTGACCATCAATCCTATGTCAAATTTACACATAAAAATACAGGTTAACAGCTTTGTCTATGGGCTGATAAGTAATAAGGAATTGAACACTGGGACCATGCAAGCTGTGAAGGCTGGTAGAACCAAAGGGGATGCAGCTCAAAGGAGCAGCAATGACCAGTCTCGAAACCACTGGCTTCTTTGTAAATCTTTGGGAGTCATGGAACATTTGAGAACTGAATGCATGTGTGCACCCTCTCCTTACCAAACCAAACCAAACAAAAAACATCCATATCACACAAACTTTTGCAGACAATGTCAGGGAATTACATTCATTGCAGGGCCCATGAACTCCCCGTTAGGCACCCATTAACCCAGATTAAGAACCCCATCGTAAAAGAGTAAGAAAGTTCTAAGAGCAACAATGGTAACAAAATGGATCCATCTAATTAAACTACAAATTACACCGCTGGTCTTAAGATGTCATCCTTTCAGCAGAAGAACTTAATAGATGAAGACTCAGAACTAAAAAAACTTTCACATGCAGTTTCTCGTGAAACCCGTACTTTGACCACAAACTGGTCCATGAAGCCTAATCCAAGAGTTCCTGTTCTAACCATGCTGGTTTCAAACAGTGCTGGATATTCGGTATTCCTGATGGTGTGAGAAAATGCAAGCAAATCTGATCTGCCACATCCCTTATGTAACACCATCCCTCATACATTGCTGATTCTTCCCCTAAATGGAAAAGAGTTAATTGGTCTAACCTGTTCTACAACATCTATTCATACTAGGTCTTCTGCAGTTACCTGTGCAATGCAACAAACATACAATTTTATAAAGAAATTCAAAGCAGATCTTCTGAGTGTTTTTCTGGGGAATCTGAACACAACTTTGCCCAAAGTCAAGGACAACTCTAAGGAGCACAAAGCCTCTGAGTGGAAACACTACCTCCCTATCTCTCACTTGGGAAGAACGTCTTTGCTCACATTATCAGCAGAAAATAACAAGGACAATCTTTTCTGGACCTTGTTATAGTGAAGGCTTCTGGGTTCTCCAAAGGTTATCTTTGATAAGCAAAAACTATCTATTGTCTCAAACTCTGTAGATTACTTTATGAAAATGAATTACAGGAAGAGGGGGAAACCCTACTTGCTTTATGGAAAGATTCCTTATGAAAATTGTTTTGAATTTCCCAAGATTCATAATATAGATGCAAGGCATTTCTACCATAGAGATTTCAGAATATGAATTAGTTAGACCCCCTACTTCTGGGGTTCATTAAAACGAACGAAAAAGCAAAGTGAGCAAGGCAACTGATATGCTAGTCTAACAGCTGTCCAATTTTGCTAACGTGTCAGTGAGGTCCATTTCAACATTTCTGATTCTTAGAACAGCCCCTGTGGGCTGTTCATGAAGCAATGAAGTCATCCAAAACACTACCAGGGAAACTCTTATTATCTAAAACCAGACCAAATAATTCTCTGAAATGGATGATTCAATAATCAGTTTACACTAAGATAAGAAAAGAACTCCAACAGCGTGCCTACAACCAAGACCCATAAAATCACATGCTGGTCTGTATATAGCCATCATCTGTCCCCTCTTCAGGGGTAAGGAGACATCCCACTTGGCAACAATGTTAGTAGTAACTGAAAACATCCTGAATCTGGGTCTCCCAGCACCCACACTTTGCACCCACAAATGGAAAGGCACAAACCTATTTCAGGACACTAGGGTCCCACTGAACTCAAATTTCACTGACATTTGGGCAATATGACTTTTAGGAACTCAAACCTGACCCCAGATGGATCTAAAATGTGCAACTGACTGCTAGGGGTGGGAACAGTATTTACTTAGTTGCTGCTGCAGTATTTAAAGTATATTCTGATCTAAGGAACCCCTACAGCTGATATTTTATTCACCATTGCTTGTCCTTCACCATTTGGGAATTGGCATAAAAAGATTCCCTCAAAATATTTTTAGAGAACTGGGTGTGGAGCTTTAAAATTTTTCCTTTTTATTTTTATATTTCTCTGAATTTCTAGAAGAATATTAATCAGTTGGTGCTGAATTCAAGAAATCTTGACATACACACACATTCCCCCCCACACACACCCAGGGTCCCCATCCTGACCTGGGGCACTCAACTAACCATTCTCCTTGGTCAAATGGTATCAAGCTCTTTCCCAATGGTTTTGTCTTGAAACCACTTAAAGTGCTGAGAGGGGCACTGTCAGTCTATTTCAAAACTAATCTCCCTTCCCCCCAACAAGGACATGATTCAGGATTCCCTGAGAGCCTCTGAAAATCATCTAATATAACCACAAAAGAGACAAAAAAAAAAAAAAAAAAAAAACCTAAAATGAAAGTCTGAAACGGGATGCAGAAATAAGCTCTGCTCCATATTTTGTATGCCCTGGAAAAATACTGGGAACTAAATTTGGGTTGGGGGTTGAGGGGCAAGAGCTCATATAAACAGAGGAGTATTTATGAAACTACAGGTCATGACCTTCTAAAGGGGTCCTGGGAGCCGTTGCAAGGAGATTCCAGAGACCCAGGCCCTTCCTTCCCAGAGCAGCCACAGCTCCCCCGGCTGCGGAGAAGAGAGGCAGGCAAAGCGGAGACCCTGATGTGTGGGTGGTTCGGGTGGAGGAACGCTGCTAGTGCCCTCAGCAGGCCACTACTGATGCAAGTCTGAGGACACAGACAGGCACTTTTCTATCATTCTTTGGCATTAAGATAGGTTGTGTGAATGGGGTACTGTGTACATCACTAACACACCGCAGCCTTGCAGGATTCTGGCCTAAAGTGCACCACAGTGCTCCGGATGGACTTGTGGGTCCAGCTCACAATGCCATCTCCAGTAAAATCTTTCCCCCTCCCTCAGACAGAGCCAGAGCTCTCTCAGACAGCACTGGTGTTTCTACCTCTGCCTCTGCCTGGCACTATAATGAACTGCTTAGATCAAGCTTGTCCAACCCACGGCCACATGCTGCCCAGGATGGCTTTGAATGAGGCCCAACACAAATTCGTAAACTTTCTCAAAACATTATGAGATTTCTTTTGCAATTTTTTTTTCTTTTTCGTTCATGAGTTTTCATTAGCATTCATGTACTTTATGTGTGGCCCGAGACAATTCTTCCAATGTGGCCCAGGGAAGCCAAAAGATCGGACGCCCTGGTTTGGATGTTTGTCCCCCCTGTCACAGTATAAATTCCTCAGGTCATTCTTCAAGGGCAGAAACTGAGTCACACTCATTTCTGCATCCTTAGGCCTAGCACAGGGCAGGACATCTAGTAGGCAGTCCACAAGTTCTCTGAAAGAAGGAATAAAAGAAGGAACGAACAAAAGTTATTAATGAAATGTGACTAGGATAATAATTACAGAGTCATATTGACCTGTTTTTCTGGCCAGAACAAGGGGGTTGGGGTGTATATAGTAAACAGAACATTAACACACAGTCAAGATAAGCAGATTCCAGCTACTGAAACAAATGACGGAGATGCTTCCTGGAAGGTATGCTGGACAGCATGCCAAGGCCACTCCCAGGCTTTGTAGGACAAGCCACCCTGATCATCATCCTCTCTGTGTGTAAGACAGCGTAGAATGGCACTTGGGCCATCCATGGGAACCATAAAAGGCAAAGAAAAGAAAATAGAAAATGTTTGTTATCTTAAACAGTTACGCAAATAAAAACACATAAAATGTAAAAAACCTTTGGAGCGTGTTTTCTTCCTTAGGGATAGATAACAAAGATAAAATATTTTGAGCAAATATTCCACTATCTTTTAGAGGCATAGAATTTTACACGGGTTTGCATGTAGGCAATTAAGTGTGTTAGAATGATTAGAAATTAAAATTTTAGACAAACTGAAGAAACTCAATATTTGCAAATTGATTAAAATGGAGGGAAAGTTTGCTTTTTATATATATATATTCCCTGTCACATTTAATAAATACATCCATTCAGATCACTTTTTGTTTTTAACACTAATATGTAACCAAAGCCCCATATAACTATGTGCTATACAAACGTATTTCCTCTCAAGTTCTCCTTTTTTTGAGACAAGATCTCACTCTGTCGCCCAGGCTGGAGTGCAGTTGCACAATCAGAGCTCACCGTAACCTTCAACTCCTCAAGTAATCTCCTGTCTTGGCCTCCCAAGTAGCTATGGCCACAGGCATAAACCACCATAACCAGCTAAGTTTGTTTTCTTTTTTTTTTTTTTTTTTTGTAGAGACAGGGTCTTGCTATGTTGTCCAAGCTGATCTCAAATCCTGGTCTCAAGCAATCCTCCCACCTCAGCCTCTCAAAATGCTGGGATTACAGGTGTGAGCCACACAGTACCTAGCCTAATTTCTACATTTTATAATGGGCTTCAAATTAGCTTTGCTACATACCTGTTTAGTAAGCCAGTATGCTCACATGTATATGTCTTTACCAACAACAGAATGTTAGAATGGCCTGTGCATCAGTACTGTGATGTATCAAACTGCATAATAAAGAGAATCACTAGAGTGATCATTAGAAGCTGATTTACAAAATAAGCATAGCAGGAACTCAATTCCCACAAAATCTGAGTACTGGAGTAATCATTCCACCTGCTACGTGCAGTCAGAGATTGAAGCTGTCCTCACTGGGTTAACAAGAATTCCGGACAGAAAATATAATTAAGCATTAACATGCTGCTCTTTGACCTAGTTTCTTGTAACCAAGTCACATAGCACTAGATTCTCACCATTTGCATCCCCATTGCTCCTATAGATAGATAGGATGTCTGATGTTAGAATCCTAAGGGTTTTGTTTGAGAGTTGCATGAGCAGATCCTGAATTCCAACGGGACAGCTGACACCAACCAGTTTAAAGACTCCCACAAAGGAACCACCAAATCAGCATGAGAACACAGTTTCTTCATCCCCCTGTCCCACGACTTTACCCTGCACTCTTCGACCCATCAACAATCTCCATATTTCAGCCCACCCAAAACCCTTAAAAACTCCAACCCCAAACTCCTGTGGGAGATGGATTTGAGTTTTCCCCCAGTTCAGCAGCTGTACAATTAAACCTCTGTCTCTGCTGCAACCTGGTATCTCAGTGTATTGACTTGCCACGCACGTTGGACAATGAACCTATTATGGCTGTAAGATCTCAATAAGGATTTCTGTTTAAGCAGCATCTTAAAGTTAGTTAATTTGTAATAGCAAAAACAAACAAACAAAACCCCACAAAATGCAGTTGTAGTCAGGTAGCGATTTAAGATGCTCTCAGCAGCAAAGGATGGCATTTGGATTCCCCTGGGCTAAAGTACAATCTTAGAAAGTATATTAACCTGAAGCTGGTAAGGAATTCTTTAGGAGTACAGTGTTACCTTGCTAGCAGAAATCAGAAATCCAGAGAGGAGTAATTACTAAGACATGAACATTCAAAAACACCGCACTTGGATTATTGTTAAAAATCATGGTGGCAGCAGTAGTAATAACCATCATCATCATCATCTCCTAAGGAAAGACAATAGGTAGATCCATGGCTCCTGTTGAGATTTGCTGCTCTCATCAAAAGGAAGTGCTCTGCGTAATATCTAATTACTCCCATCTTAAAGGTAAAGAAATTGGTGTTCTTGCCAAAGTCATATGGCTAGAAAATGACAGTGCTGGAAGTAGAATGAATGTCTCTCCCTGTCTGTCTGTCTGTCTCTCCCCCTACCTACCCACCCCCATCTTTAATCTTGGGTGTTAGTCTTGGGACATAGAGGAGAATGGGAAGCTGCTCTATAGCAGTAAGAGGCAGGAACTATTTTACTCCTGGAAACTATATACAAACTCAGCAAAGTAACTTCTCAATTCTTTCTGGAAGGAGGGATAAATGCATTAATTACTGTTTTGTATTTTCACATTGGATCACAGAAAAAAAAAAAAAAAGCCATGCTCTTTAAGATGACTTTGTGTTGGCCGGGTGCAGTGACTCATGCCTGTAATCCCAGCACTTTGGGAGGCCAAGGCAGGAGGATCACCTGAGGTCGGGAGTTCAAGACCAGCCTGGCCAACATGGAGAAACCCCGTCTCTATTAAAAATACAAAATTAGCCGGGTGTGGTGGCGCATGCCTGTAATTCCAGCTACTCAGGAGGCTGAGGCAGGAGAATCCCTTAAACCCAGGAGGCGGAAGTTGAGTTGAGCCGAGATCATGCCATTGCACTCCAGCCTGGGCAACAAGAGCGAAACTCCATCTCAAAAAAAAAAAAAAAATAGAAGACTTTGTGTCCAGAGGATATTACTGACCTATGTCCTGTTGACCCATCTCTTACAGCATCCAGAATCTGCTGCCTTGTATTAACTTTGTACATATAAACTATCTCAGAGCATGGGGTGGGACTTGTATTTTTATCACCTTAGAACCTTGTCCAGTATCTAGCACTTACAGGAATTACATTAATATTTGGTAACGAATGAATGACTGAATGAAGAAATTGATAGGTTTTGGATCTGTGTCCCCACCCAAATCTCATGTTGAACTGTAATCCCCAATGTTGGAGGTGGGGCCTAATGGGAGGTGACTGCATTATAGGGGTAGTTTCTCGTGAATGGTTTAGCACCATCCCCCTAGTGCTGTTCTCATGAGAGAGTTCTCACAAGATCTGGCTGTTTAAAAATGTGTAGCACCTTGCCCTTCACTCTCTCTTCCTCCTGCTCCATCCATGTAAGATGTGTCTGCTTTCCCTTCGCCTTCTGCCACGATTGAAAGTTTCCTGAGGCCTCCCCAGAAGCTGCTATGTTTCCTGTACTGCCTGGAGAATTGTGAGCCAATTAAACCTCTTTTCTTTATAAATTACCCAGTCTCGGGTATTTCTTTATGGCAATGTGAGAATGGACTAATACATGAATCAACACACACATTTTAAAGCATAATTTCATCTCTTCCAAGATCTACATTTTCTTCTAAGTTGGCCACATCTCCCGTAACCCAATCCTTTGGGTCACTCTGCCTTCCTTTCTAAATTACAGGCAGTTTGACCTGGTGGTTAAGAACAGTGACTCAGAGCCAGGCATTAGGTTGGAATCTCAGCTCTCCACCTACCCACCCTAGGGCCTCGAGGATGTTAAGACTCTACTCACATCAGTTTCATCAATTGTAACATGGGGATAATAATTGTATCTATTCTATCAGATGTCAAAGGGTTAAATCTGTCATTTGTCGAAAGCACTTAGAACAGTGACTGGCATCTGGTAAGCACTCTCTAAGTGTTAGCTATTATTACTTCTACCCACTAAAACCACAGCTGCTATTCTCCATTCCCTTGGTTCCTATGGAAGGAAGCTCTTGTCTATACCATCCTCCATTGAGGCTTCAAGTCAAAACGGGTTTCCTCATAGTCCTCTAAACATCAAGCTGCTGGCATCCTTGGACTCGGCCCACATTCTCCTCCTAAACCAACTTCTCTCTGGGCACACACGGGCCCTGTTAACCTTCCCCTTTGCCCCCACTCTCTTTCTTCCCCACCTGGCCACCCCACTTCCTGAGTCACGCTCCCAAAGCTTACTCACAGCACTATCATGACCAACAACATCTCCAAGGCTCACTTCACTCTAGCCAGACTTGGAGATACTTCAAAGGCCCCACATGATTGGAGAGAAGGATAAGGGAGCTGTGTTTTTGTTTTTTTTGTTTTTTTTTTTAATACAACACATCCTGAAGGGGATGCCCTGTTTCCATGTGTGTATTTTACTCTGACACAAACCGATCACTCTCAGGCTTGAACAAGCTCGGTGAAGACCTCCACCAGATACAAAACCAAAAAGGCCGAGACAGCTGCAAAGGTTTCTATTTCCCTAGAGATGGGAGTTTCATGGAAGGCTAAGGATCACCACAGCAACCAGACTACAAAAACAGTCGTGGGCTTCAGCACCGTAACTCTGGTAAAGCAATTTGTGCTCTGTGAAAGGCTGGGGCACAGAAGTTGAAGAATGATCAAAGTAAACACTGCTCCTCAGGCACCATTTTGTTGTGCTGATTTCAAGACACTGAGTCTCAGCATCAAAGTTCTGTTATGAAAGATGCGCATCAAGTGCCAAAGATTTGCTAGGCTGGACTGCCTGCCCTGGTGCAAAGGTCTGGAGAGAAACTCATAGCACATTTTCCAAAACAACCATTTCAAATTTGCTCTAAGAGCAGACCAGGGTAAAAATGTATGCCATTATATCAAGTTACCCTGCCCATGCTAGAACAACTGTTGATCCCAACCCTGGATTAAAAAAAAAAAAAAGAGTGGGTGATTTTTCTCATAAAACCCTAAATAGACTTTATCCCATGCTGAACTTACATAGACTGATTCCTACAGATTTAAGAAAAAATTACCTAAACTTTATTAAACACCAATTGAAAAAAATCACCTGTTCTAGTCTCTGATCTGCCACCCTAAATCTATACTGCAGTTTACATAATAAATAAGAAACTACAGCATACTATTTCTACACTCTATAGAAGCAGCAAATATAGAGTATAGTAACTAAAACAGAAATCTCTTCATGGATTTATAAGAGGCTTCAATATTTATTAGTATGATTAATTTAATTATTAACTATGTTAACTATAGCTTGAATATATAGGAACTTGTTCTTTTTAAAGAAACTCAAATTGGTCTACCTGAGTAATCTTACAATATCCTCAAAAATTAGGTTAAAAAATATACAATTCCCATTAGCAAATTTATAGAAAAATCCTTCAGACCTCTGTTATGTTGGCAGTACACAATGCATTCCTAAAAAACACTTAGTGGTAGTGAGAAATCTGTAACTTAAACTGCCCCAAACAGGAACACTGAGAAATACAACAACAACCATGTGATGTGTACACATACTTACCACACCCCTTTTCTCTAGGATGTGTCCCATGTATAGTGCGCTGCTTTCTGAATCTTTTGTGGGGAAGGGGTCCACTTACACAATTTCTGGAGTTTCAGCAGAGGCTCACTCAGTAAGTCAGCAGGGACTCTGCAATCCACAAAATTTATTGTTCCATAGGCCCCTCTAGCCCAGCAGTTTGCAATGCATAAGAGGTAATTAGTAATATCTAACACCTAAATGCTTCACAGACAGGAATGAATGGCTTGGCTTACGGGCTTGCTCAGTCTTTTCTAGCTGCACCCTCCTCCTTTTATCTCTAGGTTAATAAGCGTGAAGTTACTAAACTAACAGGGAAAAGAGGTTCTCATGTTATGTTTTGCGCATTTACTATTCATTCCTCAGAAACTGAATGGCTACTATGTGTAAAGCACTTTACTCAGTCAATCCTTCCCAAAGTGTGGAGATAATAAGAATGTTTTAAGATATACTTTATGTATATATATTTTTACAGGAATTAAAAACATGATTTCATGTTTAGGAAGTTGAGGATGAAGCTAAAGTCATTTTTTAAGTGAGTAGATTTAAGAAAAAATATTATGGGCCGGACACGGTGGCTCACGTCTGTAATCCCAGCACTTTGGAAGGCCGAGGTGGATGGATCCTGAGGTCAGGAGGTCAAGACCATCTTGGCTAACACGGTGAAACCCCGTCTCTACTAAAAAATACAAAAAAATTAGCCGGGCGTGGTGGCGGGCACCTGTAGTCCCAGCTACTCAGGAGGCTGAGGCAGGAGAATGGCATGAACATGGGAGGCGGAGCTTGCAGTGAGCCGAGATCGTGCCACTGCACTCCAGCCTGGGTGACAGAGCAAGACTCTGTCTCAAAAAAAAAAAAAAAAAAGGTAAATAATGCAAATAATATATGAATACTACACAAACTGTGAAGACTAATAGCACATATAAACTTATATTTGGGAAGCACCACTAAGTAATGAAAGGACTTCAAATGTGAGTCAGACACAATACCTGCCCTCAAGAAGCTCACAGTTTGATGGGGGCAGAGGGACAGGCAGATACAAACACATCTGTGGGCAGCAGGAAGGGGGCACTTCAGCTGGGCCAGAGGGTGAATGGGGAAAGGTGGATCTAAGGGGTCCAGACAAGGAGAAGGGCAGTGGAGGCAGCATGAGTGGGTGTGAAGAATACTTAATTCAGACGGAGCTAAGGAAATACAAAAAAGAATAAAGAAGAATGTCGTTGAAAGGGTACTGGAGCCAGATCACAATGAGCCTTGAAAGCCAAGCTTAACCAGTTAATGAAAGACGATCATTTGCTTTTCAGAGACATAGACCCTGATTTGCTTCCTGATAGATAATGAGTACATTAACTTCTGGCTTAGTAAGTGTCACTTAGTTAACCACATTACTGCACTGATTCACTAAATGAACTTCCATTACCTGACTTACTTGCCCAAAAGAAAACATATCATTCATAAATCTAATAACAATTTTAAATCCCATTTTTGTTTAGGATCTAAAGGGTACCTTTAGATTGTTGCTGAATTACCAAGGAATATCTTGCATGGTGAGAAAAATCAAACTCTAGCCCTCAACCCTAAATCTCCTAGACTTGAGGAGTTTGTTCCTTGGCTTTGTCCCCAGGTCATAGTCCCTCAATAAACACTTGTTGAGTTTGGGGTATAACCATAAACTATCAATGAATTAAGCAACTGAGCTAGGAGCCTTGAGCATTTCTATAAGGAACAACTTATAGGGCCTGGTAATTCTGGTCCTGGTTACATTATTTTATGTAAAAGTCTGTAAGTTCTATCCATAATTCTCTACTGTGTAAGAAATGAGCTGAATTAAGCCTCTTATCTATCCCTCTACTTTATCATCTCTAAGGTGAAAACAAGTTACCATTGTAGAATGGTGTACAATGTCTTTCTGAGATGCCCTCTTAAATCTTGGCAAGACCTACCAATACAATATTAGCATCTTCAGTACACATTTCAGACAATTTTAGGTCAGAATCTCTCTCATTCTTTTCAAAGAAGAAAGTAAGTAAATTGTTGGCATGAAATTTTAGAACAAAAATAGGATTGTCTGATTTCTAGAAAATAATCATTTGTTGTTTGCCCTCAAGGAGAAAAAAAGTTAATTGTCTGAGAAACAGAGGAAATTAACTTTCACTATAAACCACAAACCCCGGTGCTCCCCAATTTTGCCTTCCTCCTAATGTAAGATCCTGACATATCATTCATTTTAAAAAGGGGGTTAGGCACAGTAGCTCAGGCCTGTAATCCCAGCACTCTGGGAGGCTGAGGCGGACAGATCACTTGAGGACAAGAGTTTGAGACCAGCCTGGCCAACATAGTGAAACTTTGTCTCTAAAAATAATAAAAATAAATAAATAAATGATTTTTTTTTTTTTGGCTTAAGTATCTTACTTTGGGCTTCAGTCTCCCCATAAATGAAAAGGTTAGACTCTATCTCTATGGCCACCTATAAATCTAGAGCCTATGGTTCTTTCAGCAACTAATAGAGTCAGTAAAAGTCTTCAGGACAGATCTCTAGGCCAGGCACAGTGGCTCATGAGCATTATCCCAGCAATTTGGGAGGCCAAGGCGGGCAGATCACCTGAAGTCAGGAGTTCAAGACCAGCCTGGCCAATATGGTGAAACCCCGTCTCTACTAAAAAATACAAAAATTAGTTAGGCTTGGTGGCAGGCGCCTGTAATCTCAGCTAATCAGGAGGCTGAGGCAGGGAGAATTGCATGAATGCAGGAGGCAGAGGTTGCGGTGAGCCGAGATCGCGCCACTGCACTCCAGTCTGGGCAACAGAGCAAGACTCCATCTCAAAAAACAAAAGATCTCTAGAAATGAATGTATCTCAATAAATGAGTTGATGTGACTGAATTATCAATTTCATAAATGCCATGTCACACTAAAATGATCTGTGTACTCAATTAAAAGGAACAATTTTAAAAAGTTTAGTTTAGCCTGCCAAAGTGAATACTAGAGAACAAAATAGAAGTGCTTTCTCCTTTCAACAAGTGAAAATGTCTTGAAATGCTGGCTTGAAAAATTAAATAATGTTTGTTTTAGAGAGTTTCTTTGCTTTCCTTAACTTTAATTCTGGGTCAGTGTGCCCACTTAGTCTTTTACATTTGGCAGAAGCAAAACAAATAATGAAATACTCAAAGCTAATCCTAAGGGTAAACCATGATTTACAGTGCATTTTAAAATAGGAAGTGTTGACATGGTAGTAGTCTAAAAACAAGTTAATATACTTGGTCTTGCTAATTTCTTTTAGATATACTTTTCTTTTTTTTTTTGAGAGTCTCACTCTGTCACCCAGGCTGGAATGCAGTGGCACGATCTCGGCTCACTGCAACCTCTGCTTCCCAGGTGCAAGTGATTCTCCCGCCTCAACCTCCCAAATAGCTGGGAGTACAGACGTGCGCCACCAGCCAGGCTAATTTTTGTATTTTTAGTAGAGATGGGGTTTCACTATGTTCTCAAGCTGGTCCCAAACTCCTGGCCTCAAGTGATCCACCCACCTCGGCCTCCCAAAGTGCTAGGATTATAGGCGTAAGCCACTGCGCCCGGCCTAGATATACTTTTCAATGAGAGAGTTGTATAATTGATACTGAAAGATGAGCAGGTTTTTTTTATTGAAATATAAGTTTCCAATAAATCAAAATATGATTTAAAAAAAAGAGTAAATGCAAACAACAGTATCCCACTGTCAGGTTCTCAAATGCCGTTTTGATGGGATAAATCCTCCTCAGTAAGGACAATGGCATTTTTTGGTTAAACCCTACATCACTAGTCTGAGAACAAGTCTCGGTCATCACAATCGACTCATGCGGTGATTGGGAATTCTTTCAGGGCAACAGGCAATGTGTTAAATATGCACTGTTGAGTACACTGTGCAAAGTTATGAAATTCTCTCTTTCCCTCCTGACATTTTTTTTTCCAAGTACTTCACTGGCTACTCCAGAAGCAAAGGAATAGAGAAAAGAGTGAAATCAGAACTAGTGAGTGGACTTGGTTACTGTAAGATCACTGGTAAAAGTCTGAAAGAAACAAAAGGATAAAACCAAAAATGAAATTTATATATAATAAAATCATTGACTTCTAGTGAGAAAGGAGATTTTACAGACATTCTACTCCAAATGTTTGTTATAGATAAGGAAATTGAAGCCCAAAGAGGTCATGAGTTGCCCAAGTTCTGTAGCTGGTTATGGCATGGTTGGGACTAGAGCCCAAATATCCACTCTAGTAATCTAGTTTCTACTTCCCTTGCCAGTGGAACTATTCGCATTTCTCCTTATAGAACCAATTCTCCGTTGTTAGCAAACACGGACTCCCCAAGTCTTCAGAATTTAGGGTCAGCTCTTTTAATCACTAGATAAGAACACAGAAATGTAAAGAAATGCCAAGAAACAACTTCTTACTCCGCAGGGCCCCACGTGATCCAACCCTCAATGACCAATCGCACCTCCCACCACTCTCCCCCTTGCTAACTCCACTCCAGCCATACTGGCCCCTCTCTCATCTCCAACAAGCTGCTTCCAAGCTGAGGGCCTGGGCCCTTTATTTGGCCTCTTCTTCACCCAGATCTCGGCATAGTTCACGCCTTTTCACCATTCAGGTCTCAGTTCAAGCACGCTTCCTCTAAGAAGCCCTTCCTAACCACCCTAACAACCAACTCTTCCTGTCACTTGAATACCCAGGTAGCTCCACAACTTGGTGCTGGGAAATCCTTTCATTTACATTTTTATAAAATTGAAGGGAAAAGACACAAAGCCTGTTGGCATCTATCCCAAGAATATCTCCTGGGCACTTCTAAGTAAAGGCCACTGCCAGCAAAACAAAAATAACCAACTTTCAACCTACTCAAGACATGCAAGAATTCAAGACCAAATCAGAATGCATCCCAGAGTTCACCTGATTCTGCCAGCAGGAGCCCTGCAGTGCTGAATTTCTGGGCATGTGAATGATACATTGTTGTACTGAAACATTCATTTTCCAAGATTCCTTTCCAAATTCAACTCCATGGTCTTTCTTTTGTCTGTTTTGCTAAAGGGCAAAATACTAACCTGTTTCCAAGCTATTCAGCAATATTTTGGCACAGGTAATCCAGTAAGAGAATTGTTTGTATAGAACAGAGCTGATGTTAATAACAGGGTGCCCTAACCTGCCCCTCTTTCTAAGCTCTTCACCTATAGATGACAGCCCAGCTATTCACATTTAACTCTTACCTGATGGCTGTTTCATTGCAGCTCAAAGACTTACCTGCATATGATTAAGTCAACACGCAACACTGGGTGCAACATCTAAGCCCACATTTAAGCAAAGTAAAGAGCTTGAGATCATCTAAATGGGAGCGGGAGCAAGGGAGAACTCACTATCCACTGTGTTTTTGTTACCTTTGGCAAATTCTCAAGGGTAGGGGGTCAGGACTGCCAGTGCCTGGCACTGTGCCTGACACATTACAAACAGGTGCTTAATAAATAATGATTTCATTATTGAATAAATGCCTAAGCCTTGGGAAAGCCCACCTTGCCCAGAGCCACTCAGAGTGCATGTCAACTCCATCTATAGGAAGTGTGTTGTGAATTCAAGGTTAGGTTCTACCAATTATTTCCCAGCTCATGACCTTGGGTAGAATACTTAACCTCTCTTAGCCTCAATTTCCACACCTGTAAAACAGAGCTAACAGAATCTCCCTTCCAGGGGTGTTGAAAAAAACAAATAAAATGCCAGGTTTTGTAATTCTCTGGAAAGAAGCCTACCAGCGTTTGACTTTGGCTCTGATCAGTGTAGTGCCATTACCTCCTGCCTACAGGTCCCTGGATTTTCAAGCAGGGTGACAAATTGGTGGCAGCTGCATACATGACCCTCCAAACACTTGGCTTCCTCATGAGGAACTAATGGTTGTTCTGTCATTTGTCTGCTTTTCCTTCACCTTTGGGATTTGGAGCTCATTAAAGACGAGGGCCGAAAGGTAGCACAAACATCAACATCTTTGCTAGTTGTTCCTGTTCAGGCACCACTAACCTGGACAAGCTCAGGTTTTGCTCCCCAAATCTCACCGTAGTTCTGGAGACTTCTGAATCTAACAAACAAAGGTCCTGGGAAGACCACATTCATTCCACACCTGACCCCAACACCACATCTACTCTGAGGTTACCCCAAATCTCTGAACAAAAACTCAATCACCTGTGCTCGCTGCCTTTCCTCCCTGGCAGGTACCTTCCAAAAAAATAGGAACATAGGAAGTGCCAAAGCAAGGAACTGCTTCCAAGGCAGCTGACATCACTGGATTGTGAGGTAAAGCTAGAGGTTTCTCCCAATCTGTAGTGGGGAAATCTGGGGACAAACATTTATCTTCAGAGGCCTGTCTACACTGCCCCTTCCAGTGTCACAGGCTGTCACAATTCACCTGGCTTTGAAGACCTGTGGTGTTCAGCTGAAGACCATTCTCCCAGCATCAACACCAACAGGCAAAACCATCAGATGAAGCTTTCACAGCTGCCAAGGTACTTGCTGTCCTCAACATATTTCATACTCAACTCGGCTCTATTTTATTTACCAGTCTCCTCCCCTAGTCTTGGAAAATTCTCCTTTCAGCCCTCTGCCAAACCACATCCCCATTTCAAACCTTTCCAATTTCTCACCTCCAAAAAGCAGCACCAGGCAAGCACACCTGGCTCCAATTATTCCAGCAATGCCTTCCCCCAGCCCCAGCCCCAACCCCAGCTCTAGCCCCAGCCCTAGCCCCAGCCCCACATCCCCCTAACATGCCTGATTACTTAGCACTTAACGTGTTTATCTCAGCCCAGCTGTAGTTGATTACATCTATTTGGTTAAGTTTCTATCTCGTGTATTTAGGGCGATGAGATGTTTCTACGTCTCCGTACTTTCTGTTACAGGTGTTGCTCTTTGTCCCTGGATGCACGGTGACCGTGAGCTCCGAGGGCTGCCTGTCTCCTCACTCCTGCAATGCTTTGCACCGGTGCCCAGTTCACAAAGGCAGCTGCAGCTGACTGTCCAACTGCCTGGTTCTAATTTATGTGGAGAGAGGCCTCCACTCAACAAACTGAAATAATTAGTTCTTCTAATCTTCTGCATTTCAATAAATAAAAGAAAGACAGGGAAAGATTCACATGTACTCTGTCCTGACGAAACAGTAGAGCTCTTTGGAAAATCATGAAATTTTTACTGTGCAAGGCAGTAAGATATAAGCAATGAAACTCAAAAGCATTTTCCCAAGTATTCAGAGACCAGATCTGCCCCCAGATCTGTAAATCCTACTTAATCTAGGTTAAAAAAAAAAAAAAAACACACATAAGAAGACATGAGACACCCTTAGTTTACATTTCAGCTCTTAGGTGGTTCCTTATTCACTGAATGCTGAGGGTTTCTTTAAGGATATTTTGTAGTTTAACAACTCCAGAAATGCTTTTGACTCTAATTCTCAATTGGTATTTTGAAATATTAATTTTCTCAATGTCTTTATATTGACAGAAAATAAAAAAAGAAACTGAGATCCAAATGGGTCTACACATTTGCCCTCAAGTTTAAACAAAAAAGATCACAACAGAGGGAAGACCAAAAAAGAGGGAAGTCTTTTATTAAGACTCACAATCCAGTGCTGTCTTCTATACCTTGAAGCCTTGGTTTAAGAAACATTACTTTATGCCCAAGCCATACATACCAATATCAATAACTAGATCTTCAAAAAATATAATTAATGAGAAACTTCCATATATAGAATTTCTAGACTTAACCTATTTGCTAAACTGCTACATCAACATACTTATTTATTCATGCAAATGTTTATTTCACAAATGTTTCTTGACTGCTTACTATGTAGTGGGCACTGTTCTAATTCCTGGCAATACCAACTAAAGATAAAACATCTATACTGATGATATACTAGCAGAAGAGATAGACAGTGAACATATTTAAAAATAAATATCAGGTGGTAATATAAGTTACATTTTAAAGTAAAACAGTAAAAGAGAGTGTGTCTGTTGTGGGGTGCTATGACTATTTTAAATGGGGTGGTCAATGAAGGCCTCTCAGTGGAGGTAATGGCAAAGCAGGGACTGGGTGAAGGCAGCCACATGAGTAACTGGGAGAAGTACTTCAGGCAAAACAAAGAGCCCATGCCAAGGACAGGAGGCAAGATGTCAGGGCCCACTGCAGCACAGTGAGCAATGGTGAGAGTGCTGGGAGAAGGGGGAAAAGATCATTCAGGGCTCTGGTGGGGATTGCGCATTTTCATTGAAATGTAAAAAACCATGGCAGGAAGCTGAACTGGTGAACTTCGTGACTGGACGGAAGTCTTTCAAAAGATCATGCTGGCTGCCACTTAGAGAATAGATCTTAATTGCTAACAATGATAGCAGCTGACATTTATGGAGTGCTGATGATATTCCACGCACTGTTCTAAGCACCAGTCATGCTTTAATTATTTAATCGTCACAGCAACTCTATGAAGTAGATACTATGATTATGCCCACATGAGGAAAATGAAGCATAAAGAAGTTAACTGACTTGCCCAAAGCCCCACAGCTCATGAGCAGTGTAGCCAGGCTTCCAACACTGGCGCTCTACCCCAGATCTTGCACTCCTAAGAGGGATGGGCCAGAGGCCCACTGCCTCTCAAGTAAAAATGTGATGGTGGGTCAGACCGAAGGTGGTGGTCAGAAGTGGGCAGATTCAGAATATGGTCTTAGGGTAGAACAAATAGGATTGGATATGACATCTGAGCAAACACAGGAAGTCATGGATAATAATGCCAAGGACTGTGGCCCTGGCAACTGTGTGGTAGCGTCCTTTACAGAGCTGGGGAACACAGGAGTAAACAAACTGGAGACAGGAGGGAGCATGGAACTCAAACTAATGTGAGTGTGTGCTCATTTCCCATACTGCTGTAACAAATTACCATAAACTGGGTGGCTTAGAACAACAGAAGGCTATTCTCTCACAGTTCTGGAGGCCAGAAGTCCAAAATCAGCATTGCTAGGCCAAAACCAAGGTGTCAGCAGAGCCACATGCCCTCCAGAGGCTCCAGGAGAGAACCTGTTCCCAGCCTCTTTCAGGTTCTCGTGGCTGCTGGCATTCTTTGGCTTGTGGGTTCCAGACCACCAATCTCTGCCTGCATGGTCACACAGTCTTCCCTTTTGTCTGTGTCATCAAATCCCTGTCTTATAAGGATACATGTGACTGTATTTAGGGGCCACCAGATAATCCAGGATAATCCTCCATCTCACAATTCTTAATTTAATCACACCTGCTAAGGCTTTTTCTATATAAAGGCAACATTCCCAGGTTTAGGGGTTAGAACGTGGATATATCTTTGGGGGCCATTATTTAGCCTATCACAGTCAGGAATACCACAAATAAAAACAATAAAACGTACAGGTGTGGATAAACAGTGAGCAAAGCTTTTCCCTTTTACATGAGAATTTGATCTTCTGTTAACTCTCTCAATTCTGTAACCCTGGTAATCTGGTAAGACAATATGTCAATTATAACACAAGGCAGCTTGCTATTGGGACTGGAAAATTTTAAGACATCTGATAAGAAGTGACATCTGGGGGCTTCCCTGAGAGCAGTGATTCTTGTAAATGGGGCATATTTATGAGACAGAGTACCATGAAAACTATTCCTACATAGTTGCCTACTAGTTCCCGCAAGGGTCTAAGGCTTTTTTTTTTTTTTTTTTTTTTTCTGACATGGAGTTTCACTCTTGTTGCCCAGGCTGGAGTGCAATGGCATGATATTGGCTCACTGCAACCTCTGCCTCCCGGGCTCAAGCGATTCTCCTGCCTCAGCCTCCCAAGTAGCTGAGAATACAGGCATGCGTCACCATGCCTGGCTAATTTTGTATTTTTAGTAGAGACGGGTTTCACCATTTTGGTTAGGCTGGTCTCGAACTCCTGACCTCAGGTAACCCACCCGCCTCAGCCTCCCAAAGTGCTGGGATTACAGGTGTGAGCCACTGCACCCGGCCTTCCTAAGGCTTTTAAACTAGAGAACTACACACACACACACACACACACACACACACACACACACACACACACACAGAGATCTCATCTCCTGGCATTTGAGCCATCAGCTGGAGAGCTCTGGATGGCTATGTGAACTGATGAACTGATGTGTGAACAGTCACAAGGCACACAACAAGGAGGAATGCCTTGCTGCCATGCCGTAAGCTGTGGTCCTTGTCCTATACCCTTTTAAGTATAATGAAGCCACCCATGGCCTATGATAGTCTCATGGGTCTGAATGTTTATTTGGACCCAAGAAGACTCCTTGCCTGAGTTTGTTGCCACATGTAATAATATCGTTTCAGTTCATTATTTCCATTTCTTCCTCCACCACAGTTACTCAGCAGCAAAAAGGAGTAGAGCATTTGTTTCATCTGTTCATGCTCTTGTGTGGCCTCACTCAAACAGCAAAATGGCTAAAAAGGGCAAAGGGAAAGGAAAAGCTAGAGAACAAAAATTAGTAAATTCACAAAAACTGAGCTAACTGTTCCCTCAGGGAGAAGTGAGTACTGCCTACAAGGAACATGCTGCGCTGCCTGTGCTATGCCTTCCAGAGGCCTCTCCAGCAGAATGAAATGTAAAATCCCTAACCCACAGTTCTGCTGGAAATGTGCAAGTGGGCTCATTACTCAGAGCCAAGATAAAGGATAAATCTTTATGAGTACCGTAAGTATGAGTCATAAAAAATAGGAAACATATGTAGGACGTATACACAGTAATAGCACCAAGCCAGAGAAAGTGTTTAGGAAATGTATTTAAGAACACATGACAAAACAGGACGAAAAATTGCCCTTGTACATTGCTCTAAAACACATTTAAAAAAAAAACCTCACAGCAAGTCAAGGGCCCATATCACTTTGCTGATCTCTAATAAACATAGATCATTTCCATATTTGGAAATAGGCTGGCCTTTTTATTTTAAATGCAAATAGGAGAGCTGAATCAAGAAAAAGTAACTTGGAGTAGGCTTTGAAAGATTTTATGATTTGGGAAATTTGAAGAGCTTCCAAATAAAATACTGGGAATTAGATCTTAACAGCATTAAAAATGAACACAAAAGATTCTTTTAGAAAAATAATTGTTCACAATGGTAATATTACCATTTCATTTAGATTCTCACTATCTTAACAACCACTGGAAAAATGAGTGGAATCTTCAAACCTTATGAAAGCAGGAATCAAAAATAAACTGCAACACATGGGCTGACAACATACCGAGAGCAATGAAGGGCCTGCGTGAAAGCCCTCACGGGGATGCTGGGCTCAGCAGGAAGAACTCGCAGCAAGGAAGAAGCAGAGCCCCCTGGCCAAAAGCACCAAGTGACAATCTAGGGGATGAGGGCGTTCAGAATAGAAGGGAGGGTGATCGGCCCCCAGAAGTCTTTTGGGGCCAGATGACTGAGGCAAAATGTATCATCATTGGAAATTAAGCTCTTCAGTTGCCTTTGATTTTGGAAGATGCCCGAATTTAAGACAGCTTGGCAAGGCTAGGAGACACCTACATGCCCATGTGCCCAACACGGAATCATGTGTGTCCCAACGGACCTTTGGCTCCCTTGGACCAGGGCTTTCTCCTTTACCTTCAGAAACTGCTGCCTCCCAAGGAAAGCACTGCTTGCACATCGACTGACCTGAGGTTGAGAGGAGGAGCAGAGGAATGTGGAAAGGATTGTTTTTACCTTCATTAAGTGTTAAATTTACCTAAGACTCCCAGAGAGTCAATGCTCTTCAGGAACTATTCTGAGGCAGAAATTTCAATATAACTTCCACCTCATGAAAAAATCCAACTGTAGGTCATTAAAAGACCCCAGGGGCATGGCGAGGGCTGAGAGGTACGACAGCTCACTTTCGACCTTTTGTGCTCAGGCCTCTCAGCAGTTGCTATACCTCTCTGCCCCTCTCCCCCAAGGCACCTCGGTATGTGCTCACATCACTGGTAGTGAGGCCACACCTCACTCTGGGAGGGGGACTCACCTTTTAAGAAGACATCGATGCAGCTTCCACGTAAACGGGTCCACAGGCATGCAGTCCCTAACCTGTGGCAAGCCCAGTGCTAGGCACAGAGAACCGACAGCCACATCACCGACTTGCTGGAGCAAATTCAAAATGGATCAGATGTGTGTACACATGTATCAACAAATAGAAGTTAAGCCATAATGGGCACAAGGGGACACTTCAGCTCCGGGCAAGAGTTAGGCTATGGTAGTGACCTTGGATCCTAAAGCTGGGCTCTGTCCTTGCTTCACAGTGAGAATCAGTAACACCTCATCTCATTAGCTCTCTTATCTTCAAAAGTATCCAAGTCATACCTGTAATTTGCCCCTCATCCTCCAAGAGTTGTACAAATTTCAGGTTCAGCTGAAGGACTCTGTGGTTCAGGTGGAAAAAAAAAGCCATAAATACAAAGCATTATTGTAGGGTGCTTTGGACTAGAACCCTGTCTAATATCTGGGCCTTGATATTTCAGCCTTTCAGACAAGGCCAAGGAGCTCAGAGACAAGGACTCCTTCAATCAGCCAGCAGTGCCACTGAGGTGCCCCGGCGGGCTGGACAGGAAAGCATGGAGAACATGGCTGCAATGGAAGCCAAAGCAGCAGGTCTTCCAAACACAGACTCAGATGCCTGTGTCTTTAAGACCAGACCCTCATAAATGGATTGCTTCTGCTGGACACCACGCTCTAAATAAACAGACTCTTCTGGCCGACACACAACTTCCTGTAGGATTCTGGTGGGTAAAGCTTGAAAAGGCTGCCAAATCCAATGACCAGCAACTTTTGAGCTGACTTAGAAAACAAGCTACAAAGACTTGAGTCCAGAGTAAACAAAGGAAAAAGCCATATTAAACAGGGAACAAATTACTATATCGGCAGGGATATTTTAAGTACTCACTGAGCAAGAAAACAAAATCAAAAAAATCAAGTTATAAGGTATTTAATAATACACGGTAGAGTAAAATGCCCTCTTTCAGTTAGAGGAATCAAAGTTAATTAATTCCAGCAATATTAAGAATTGGCTGGAGTCACCCCCTACATCATGAGGACAGATCATTCTCAATGGCCCAACTTCAAACCTGGCTCAGATCAAATGAGCAACCCAAGGGAGCTGCATAGAGTTGAAAACCATTTATAGCTTTTTACCCAGCTGACGGAAAGGACTAACTAGTTTACTAGCAGATGACTAAAACCCCTCAGAGTAAAGAAGAATGTAACAAAGATTTAGAAATGGGCTAGGGAAAAGACTGAACAAAGATCTGCAGTTTAGAGTAAAAAATAAGATTAATTAAAAGAGATTTAATTAAAAAAGTAAATCAAAGCAGTCATACAAAATGGAGGACACCTGCTTAGCTCCAATGTTGAGGGGCCTAGGGACCAAACACTAAGTCCACTAATAGAATGCAAAGCAAATAAAGATGCACTATGCAAAAGGAAAGTCATTTAAGAAGACTTTCAGTTATACTCTAAATAACATCCTTGGTGCCATGCAATAACCCAATTTGCATAATGCAAAAAAAGACCCAAGACCTAGTTCCTGCCCGAAAGCAGTCCACTCACCAGCTGAGTGTGCAGAATTAACACACACGATTCAGCAGCAAGTAATACAATAAAACATATAATTCCATACTGTGGGAAGGCACAGGTTGTGGTAGGGGGAAGAAGATTCAGAGCGATGTTTAGAAAAGAAAGAAATGGAGGAGGGTAAAGCAATCAGGCAAGGGTTTGGTGAAGAGCTAAGACCTAAGCATGGGCTTCCAAAGTGGCAAGAATTGAGAGACTGAAGAAAGAAGTCCAGGTGGAATTAAGAATAAGGGCGTGGGGCAAGGGGTTTAGCTGGTAAGCCCAGGGGGAGGCTCAGGAATCTATACATCAAGGGATCCGATGCAGGGGCTTCACACAGCACACACACTTTGAGAAGCCGATCCACAGGATTAAGTCCAAATCCTTACGTGGCCTTTCCAGTCTCATCTTCCACTCAGCCCCAGCCTACCCCCTTCATTGTCTTCATCCTCTATTACAGGAATTGCCAAGCTCTTCCTGCAAAGGGCTGAATAGTAACTATTTAAAGCTTTGCAGGCCATGCAGGTCTCTGACACAATACTCAACTCTGCCACAGTAGTGAGAAGGCAGCCATAGACAACATATTATCAAATGGGTGTGGCTTTAAAACTAATAAAACTTTAAAAACAGGCATCGGACTGATGAATGCATTAACAAAACATGGTATAGCCACACAATGAAAACTACCCAGGAATAAAAAGGAATGAAACAACTGATACATGCTACAACATCGAGGAACCTCAAGTGCTTTACGCTAAGTGAAAGAAGCTAGACACAAAAGATACATATTGCATGATCCCATTCATATGAATGTGCAGAACAGATAAATCTAGAAAGTAGATTAGTGGCTACCTTGGGCTAGTGCCGGGTCGTGGGGGGCACACACAGGGAATGGGAGAGTGACTGTTAATAGATACAAGGTTTCTTCTTAGGGTGATGGAAATGTTGTAAAATTAGATTATGGGCCACTGGTTGCACATTTCTATAAATATACTAAAAACCACTGACTTGTACACTTTAAACAGGTAAACTTTATGGTACGTAAATTATATCTCATTAAAGCTATTTTAAAAACACAAACAGGCAGCAGGCAGAATTCAGTCCTGCCTAGCACCCTTGATCTGTCCACCAGCCACACCGTGTAGGTGAAGAACTTTCCTCCACACCTGGCGCCCACTCTGTGTATATTGAGTCCTCCCATCCCTTGGCTCAACAACACTAATTTGACTTTTAAGCCCTCCGTCAAATGTTCTTTCTTCTGGGAATCCTTCCCTCACTTCCAGAGAGAATGAACACACCCTTTGTTGGGCTTCTGTACTTTTTTTTTTTTTTTTTTAGACAGCGTCTCGCTCTGTCTCCCAGGTTGGAGTGCAGTGGCGCGATCGTGGTTCACTGCAGCCTCAACCTTCGGGCTCAAGTGATCCTCCTGCCTCAGCCTCCCAAATAGCTGGGACCACAGGTGCACACTACTATGCCTGGCTGTTTGTATTTTTGATAGAAACAGGGTTTTGCCATATTGCCCAGGCTGGTCTTGAACTCCTAAGCTCAAGCGATCTGCCCGCCTCAGCCTCCCAAAGTGCTGAGATTACAGGCGTGAGCCACCACAGCTGGCCTTCTGCAAATTTTTAAAATATATTAGTCATATTATTTGTCATGTTTCATTAAATTCATTCTCTCTCAACTCTAATAGGTGCTAAAGACATAAAAATGAGTAAGAATCTGGCAGAGCACCTACCTAGCACACAGTGGGTTCTTAATAGTGATTCATTGAACAGGCCTGTGAATGAATAAACAAATTCATTATGAGAGCATTATTTAGAGAAGTTTGGTTTTATGAAGAGGTTCACAAGCTAGACAGAAAGAATCAGGGTCTAAAGCTGAAGAGGCCAGTCCCAGGAGACCAGTTAAGGAGGCTCCAGGGTAAGTGGAGAAAAACAGAGAAATTCAAGGGCAATTGCAGAGGAAATGTCAATAAAATGTGGTGATTGGCCAAATATAGGGTTTAAAGAGAATGGGCAGGCCAGGTGTGGTGGCTCACACCTCTAATCCCAGCACTTTGGGAGGCTGAGATGGATGGATCACTTGAGGCCAGGAGTTCAAGACCAGCCTGGCCAACATGGTGAAACCCCATCTCTACTAAAAATACAAAAATTAGCCAGGTGTAGTGGCGGGTGCCTGTAATCCCAGCTACCTGGGAGGCTGAGGCAGGAGAATTGCTTGAACTCGGGAGGCGGAGGTTGCAGTCAACCAAGATCGCGCCAATGCACTCCAGCCTGGGTGACAGAGCAAGACTGTGTCTCCAAAAAAAAAGACAAAAAAAAAGAGGATGAGTAAATACAAGATGGTTCAAAAGTTCCAAGATGGATGGTACTGGTGACATTGATGGGTCAGGGAAGCCAGATTGAAAAGCCAGCACTAGGGTCAGGAGAACTGGCCTGGGAGGGTTCTTAAATTCTATTTTAGAGAGAATAAAAATTACTGTTAGCTAGCAGTTGACTGTACCTATACCGGCCCTAAGTGCCACAGAGACATTTCTCAATGGTCAGTGAACCCTCTAAAGAAGTGCTACTAGCTGGGCACAGTGGCTCACGCCTATAATCCCCGCACTTTGGGAGGCTGAGACAGGCAGATCACGAGGTCAAGAGATTGAGACCATCCTGGCCAACATGGTGAAACTCCGTCTCTACTAAAAATACAAAAATTAGCTGGGCGTGGTGGCACATGCCTATGGTCCCAGCTACTCAGGAGGCTGAGGCAAGAGAATCGCTTGAACCCAGGAGGCGGAGGTTGCAGTGAGCCGAGGTCACGCCACTGCACTCCAGCCTGGTGACAGAGCGAGACGCCATCTCACAAAAAGTAATAATTAAAAAAAAAAAAGTGCTATTAACATCTCCATTTTACAGATGAGGAAACAGGGCTTAGGGAATTAAGTAACTCACCCAGGGTCACACATGGGGAGTGGCAGAGCTGAGACTAGCCCTGTATCTAACATGGGAGCGAACCACAGTGACAGCCACTCCTCCAGTCCATATCTGAGGCACCTGGCAGCTCAAGATGGGACCCAAGAGCCGGGATGCTTCAGCCATCTGACTGTAGTTCCACTGGAGAAGCCCAGGCAGAGTTTTTGGAGTTGTAAGCAAGGAAGTGACAAGCAAAATCCTAAGACCAGACAAGCCACCTCAGGGAGAGGAGACAGAGGAAAACAGAAAGCCAAGGGCTATGCCTCAGTCAAGAACCCCCGAGGTTAGGCACACTGGCTCACGCCTGTAAGCTCAGCACTTTGGGAGTCCAAGGCGAGTGGATCACTTGAGCTCAGGAGTTTGAGACCAACATGGTGAAAAAAATACAAAAATTAGCCGGGCGTGGTGGTGTGCGCCTATAGTCCCAGCTACTCAAGAGGCTGAGATGGGAGAATCGCTTGAGGTTGCAGTAAGCTGAGATCGCACCACTATACTCCAGCCTGGGCGACAGAGCCAGACCCTGTCTCACGGGGAAAAAAAAAAAAACCCCAAGAAGAAAGAGTGAGCAGCTGAGAAAGAAACAGAAAAACAGATGGAATGGTAGAATGAGAACCAGGAAACCAAGAGGGAGGTGCCAGAAAGGGAGTGCTTGACAGCACTGGAGGCTTCATAAGCTGGGGAGGAGCAAGAGTGGGGCAGGCAGATGTGTAGAGGCAGCTCTGCAACAGAAGTTGGTGCCCCGAGGGGCTAGTCCAGTGCTAGCACCAAGTTCTTGGTTAATAGTGAACATGTCACCGCTACACCCTCTGGCCTGGTTCCCCTAAGGTATTAGGGCTAGGTGGACCCCAGGGACCCTCTAGTCCTAGCAGCCCTTGAGTTGTTCAAAGGGGCATCATCAGGGTCTCCCCAGAGATTAGCTCAGGCCACAGAGAGGGAAGAAGGGAAAGAAGGACGTACAGATGTTCACTCATTCCAGTGGAGCAGGGGAAGGAAAAGAGAAATAAGCTGACCTGAGGCATCAGAGGGGCCAAGTCATACATGGCCTCTTCATCGTGGAAGAAAGAAAAGTGAAATAATTAAACGTGTCTAAACTTACACAGAAATATTTAGAAAATACCGTGGAAGGAGTGATTGAAGTCAATGCAATAAATACTTCTGCAGAGTTTAAGTATTTAAATCAGCGATTAGCAGTTAAGTTTCCTTTTACTCTCAAACAGAATGTCAAGAAGCAGATAAGCAATGGCAAGGAGAAGGCTCAAGCTGGAAAACTGGAGACGCTGCACACGCATGCACTGGGCCTTTGCCCAATCAGCACATCTGCATCTCAGATTTGCAGAGCTGCTCCTGACTTGGGTCTATTGCTTTTTTTTAATACTCTCCCAAAAGTTCTAAGAGCAAAATGTCACATTTTTAAATGCAGAGAGTGCTCTTGTAAAAACATTGTCTAACAACACTTTCAGGAAATTATATAATTCTTTTTTTAAAGCCAAGGGCAGTTACCATGGCAACAGTAGTACAGGTCAGGGTTCTAACCCTAACCTCCATAAAGACAAAACACCATACTGGTTGGAAAATGCTGCTGCTGGACAAATTTTAAAAGGGGTCAGCTGGGCACGGTGGCTCACGCCTGTAATCCCAGCACTTTGGGAAGCCGAGGCTGACGGATCACAAGGTCAAGAGATCGAGGCCATCCTGGCCAACATGGTGAAACCCCGTCTCTACTAAAACTCTACTAAAAATACAAAAATTAGCTGGGCATGGTGGCGTATGCCTGTAGTCCCAGCTACTCAGGAGGCTAAGGCAGGAGAATCTCTTGAACCCAAGAGGCGGAGGTTGCAGTGAGCCAAGATCGTGCCACTGCACTCCAGCCTAGGCGACAGAGTGAGACTCGTCTCGAAAAAAAAAGGGGGTGTCAAGGCAGTCTCTATCTGGGGGAAGAGGCAATAATGACAGGTTTTTACAATCTGTCCAGCCAGCATAGAACATAAATCGGCATTACCTCATTCTAAAAAGGCCGAGTCCAACCAGGCTCAGTCCCTCTGCCGGGGCAGGGGCTGTACTTTCCTGGGGCAACTTTACAGCATCTGGATATTACTGTGACGAATGACAGGATTTAAGTGACGTGACCAACCTGCATCTTGGTAGGAACGTTTTAACTTCTTAGCTTAGCCTTGTGTCCTGGTTTGTTTCCTAAACCCCGGTGTTTGCTATTACCTCTCTGATTTCTGCTTTCACTTTTTCTAAAAGTCCAAGACTGCATTTTTGGAGAGTTCCTATTGGAGAGTTAGCTGGAATTTTAGATTGAACATCTTGCCCCAAAGTGTTAGACATCATCCTTGACTAGTGTGACCAGTGCCAGCTCTCGCTTGCATTGTCCTCTGTTGTGACAGCTAGCAGATGCATTGCCTTGCTGTCCCTAACCCTGCTCCCCTTTCCAGGCCTGGACTGGCACCTTCACACGACCTAGCAGGGTGTCATTGTTTAAATTGCATTGAGTGTCTTCAAGTAAAGGAGTAACTCTTTTTATATAATATGAGTGTCCTATTCATTCAGGCCCTCCAATCCTATGTGGACAGACAGATTCAGTTGCCTTTGTAGGTAATGAAATGATTTCTATAGTAATACTCAAATAAATGGGGAAGGGAAGAAAGGAGAGAGGAAATGGGCAGGTGGGGAGAGACAGAGAAAAAAGAGAGAGAGAGAGAAATAGTACAGGCATGGGCCACATAACAATGTTTCAATCAACAAGGGACCACATATACAACGGTGGTCTCATAAGATTATAGTACCATAATTTTCCTGTACCTTTTTGACATTTAGGCATGTTTAGGTACACAAATTCTTACCATTGTGTTACAATTGCCTACAATATTCAGCATAGTAACATGCTGTGCACATTTGTAGCCTAGTAGCCATGGGCTATATATACCATATGGCCGAGGTGCGTAGTAGGACATACCATCTAGGTTTGTGTACCTACACTATGATGTTTGCACAACACAATCCCCTAACAACACATTTCTCTGAATGTGTCTCTGTCATGAAGCAATGCATGACAGTATCTGTTAAGGACTGGTGGAAAACTAAATGACCATTTCAGAGGTAATCTTCCCTGTCAAGCTGGGTGATTTCCAGAACAGCTTCCTTTTAAACAAACACCAGGCAGTGCTTATATGCGGAATGTATTTGTTTAGAAACCAAATTTCACTGATATACAGTGTCTGTGTGTGAGGGGTTTCCTTTGACACTTGCTTAGTACATACCACATAAAAGGTATCTCAAACATAAATAGCCCTGGGTTTTTTGTTTTTTCTGCATATGCACAGGACTGCATTAGGAAGTCATTTATGAATAGCAGCAGGGTAAAAAATGCCCCAGATAGAGAAAAGAATGTAGCTAGTTTAATGTTTTTGCTCTCACATATGTACTCTCCCAAAACCCAGCCTTGAGATTTTGTATCAGTTCTTTTAGTGGTGTTGGGCAAGGCACACCCACTCCTCCCCAAGCACTGTATTATCTGAATCTCGATAATCGAGGGGGAAAAAGAGAAAAGGTGTTCGTGTATTAATATTGTGGAAATGGGGAAGGATTACATATAGATAGGTAGGTAGGTAGATAAAGATCTCCAAAATGGTCAATCTTTGAATTGCCAAATTCCCCAATGTAAGCAAAAAGATGTCAAATCAGATGGCGAAGTCTGAATACTGAAGCTCTTGCATATCATTCTTAGCAAGAAGAGTCAGTTAATATGCTAGTTCTCTCTTACCACACAGTTAAAACAAGTTTGGATACAAGACGTAGTAAATTATAAGCAGAGGACAGGTGAGCTATTTGTGTGAACACAGCTGAAGGCCTGGGGGTGGGGGGAATGTTTAACTATGAAAACAGACAAGAACATAAAAGGCCCCTTGGTGGTGCCATTTAGCATGGGGATTAGCAGCCACATAGAGCACAATGGCTCCTGAGCTCAGCCCTGCATTTTATAATTACTGACATGTGGTGTGATAATCCTAAACCATGAAAGGGAAAAAAAGAGACACTGCCACACACAGACCAACTTAATACTGCCCCAAAGCTGCAAGGAAGGGAATCAAAAAGGACTCCAAGCACTGCAAAGAGTTATTACAAACCTATGCACAGAACCCAAACCCTCACTAACAGACCTACTTGCTGGCTGTCTAACAAAGCAGACTCAGCAGACTAGCAGGTTCTGTAGCCCAGAACCAAGTAAGAGCTAAAAGGAAAGGACAACTAGCTGGAGTATGGGAAAAGCTTGCAGCTTGCACTGTAGAATCCAACAGACACAACTCGGGGGCTGGCTCCACAACTCACCATCTGGTTGTATAACCTCCCTAAGCCCAAGCATCCTCTTCTGCAAAAACAGTGACCACCAAGCCTCCCTTTCAGGCTGACGACAAGACTGGCAGAACCAAACAAGTGCCTGGCAGGTGGCTGGCCCACAGGAGACACGCAGTCTTCACCACTACGGCTGCTAGTATTGTCATTTGGGGGATGTGAGAGCTGTTAAGAGGCAAGTCGAGCAGTTAGCACTTGACAGTGTTTACTTCCTTCTCTTTCTCCCCACTGTGGTCTTTCCTGCCCTCAAAAAGAACCAAAAAAGGGACAGCTTTATGCCAATCCTCAGAGAAGGTACAAAGTAAAAGTGACTTGGAGCCACATGTGTGATTAACCACACATCCCATTTGTCTGTGCCTGCCAAAAAGCCTGGAGCCAAATTTCAAACACAATCATACCAACCACATAAACCCAAATGGCTCGCAAGCTGCACCCTTCTTTTTCCCTTGGTCCTCATTCTGTATTTCTGCTTACACTGTTGGTATGCCTGTTGCTGGAGGCTCATCCCAAATCCTCTTTTGGAATGAGGCAGAGAAGCTCATAGGGTTATGAGCTTTTTGACGGGTGAAGTTATTAAACCTGGCCCCTTTCCCATGGTAATGGAGCCTCCTGATCCCCACTCCACCCCTACAGCCAGGCACTGGCACGCCCATTGCTCCTTTAATGTCAAAACAAATGCATAAATTTAAATGTCCATATCTTTTCTACACATATGTAATGGCTAACTTGGGACTTATCCTCAGCAGCTTTTCATAATAAGCAAGCAATTAGATAGGTCAGAAATAGAAAAGACACACCACCACATAAAAGCAGGTCACAAGTAAAAATTAGATGATAGGAAACAAAATTGTTGCCATTCCAGCAACTAATGAAAGTATGTTACTGTAAACAAGCCTCTAATGGTGCTGTAACCCCTCTCAGGAATCAGGAAACGCCCTGAGCAATTAAACTCGGGAGTCCGACACAAGGGGGCGGCTGCATTTTACTTCAAAGTCAGAGGGTACTAGGAGCTGGTTTTCATGGGGATGGAAACCATGACACTGGTCCTCACTTGCTCTAAAAGATAAATCTGATCTCTCAGCATTGTTTATGCTCTTCTGCTGTCCTCTGTTGCCAGAAAGTCATTTTCCAGTTTCCTGTTCGCTTCCAAGGCTGTTGTTTCCGAAACCAATGATTACAAATGAGAGGTGTGTTCTCAGATGAAAAATACAATAGGTCTACTCTGACCCGAGGAGAACCCAGCAGGGAGGCCGATGACAAAACATTGCTTTGGTACTGAGGGCTTTTTATGTACTGTTGTAACAAGTGTGTTTCTGATACAAATTCTCTGCTGGCCTATAAAACTGTTCATCCAACTTAAGCGTTACTGTCTCCCTAAATCTTGTCAACCTGCTGCAGTTACTACTTTTGGGTGTAGGCTCTGTCACCGCCTCTACACAGGAAAATTAAAAATCTCTCCCCAGCTGAAGAACTTTAAGGCACCTGGGAGGTAGGAATTTATTAATAGTAAAATATTAGATATGGGGTGATTTATAATAGATCTTGATACTGATCTTGCACCAATAACAAGCCAAGGGGAAATGGGGCTGATTTAGTAATTCCCTCACATTTAAGGATGACATCATGAAAACCAACTACTCCAGTCTTCAGTCATAGTCAATTACAGCTTGGAGCCAGCACGGTAATTGTTTTGCTAATTTGTAAGTAACGGCACTTATTTCATTTTGAAAAATATTTGCCTTTAATATTTGGTAGAGGCCAGGTGAGGTGGCTCACACCTGTAATCCCAGCACTCTGGGAGTCTGAGGCGGACGGATCACTTGAGGCCAGGAGTTTGAGACCAGACTGGCCAACATGATGAAACTCCATTTCTACTAAAAATATAAAAAATTAGCCGGGCACGGTGGCATATGCCTGTAATCCCAGCTACTCAGGTGGCTGAGGCATGAGAATTGCTTGAACCCGGGAGGTGGAGGTTGCAGTGAGCCAAGATCACACAACTGTGCTCCAGCCTGGGTGACACAGCAAGACTCTGTCTCAAAAAAAAAAAAAAAAAAAAAAAATTGGTAGAGACTGCACAAAGGCTGCCTCTGGCCCTCCTACTATTACCCTCAAAACAGATCAGCTGTTATTTTTAGCATAGACCATATCATGACATATCTACAAAAACCAAGTTATCCATTGAAAATAACAAAAAGCATTAGGTGAGTTTAAGTTGAAGGAGTAAGCAATCTTGGTAAAAGTGAATTGAGCCAACGTAAACTTTATAGACTAATTAGCATGTCAGCAGGTCAAACGGTTTTTTTAAATAGTTTCATTGAGATACAATTCCCATACCATAAAATTCACCCACTTAAATTACAATTCAACAGTTTTTAGTATATTCACAGAATTGTGCAACCATTAAAATTTTAGAACATTTTTGTCATCTCCTCCACCTTTTTTTTTTGTTGTTGAGATGGAGTCTCACTCTGTTGCTCAGGCTGGAGTGCAGCAGCGCAATCTTGGCTCACTGCAACCTCCACCTCCTGGGTTCAAGTCATTCTCCTGCCTCAGCCTCCCAAGTAGCTACGACTACAGGCACCCGCCACCATGCCAGCTAATTTTTGTATTTTTAGTAGAGAAGGGGTTTCACCATGTTGGCTAGGCTAGTCTCAAACTCCTGACCTCAGGTGATCCACCTGCCTCGGCCTCCCAAAGTGTTGGGATTACAGGTGTGAGCCACCTCGCCCGGCCTCCACTTTTTTAAAAAAACATGTAACGTTTAGCAGTCAACCTCCATTTCCTTCTTTCCCCTCTAGCCCTAAGCAATGACTAATTTACTTTGTCTCTATAAATTTCTGTATCCTGAACATTTCACATACATGGAATCATATGATATGTGGTCTTTGTGTCTGTCTTTTTTCATTTAGTGGATTTTCAAGGTTCATCCATGCTGTAGCACCTATCAGTATGCCATCCTTTTTACTGCTCAGTAACACTCCATTGTATGGATATACCATATTTTATTTACCCATTCATCAGAAGATGAAAATTTGGGTTTTTCCACTTTTGGACTAATGCTGCCATGAACAGTCACAGACAAGTCTTTGTGTGGACATGTGTTTTCACTTCTCTCGGGTATATACCTAAGAGTGGAATTGCTGGGTCATGTGGTTCAAATGATTTTTAAAAACTGTTTGCATAGCTGCGGGAATGTTCTCCATAGTCATATGTCAAAAGAGTGAGCGATATTTAATCCTTATACACACCCATCTTACCAACCACAAACAATCTTTCATTCTCTCGTCCTGACCCTCATTCTGATGTTATCCTCTATGCTCACTTTGTATATGCAAACTACTCTGAGATCTGCCGTATGTGAGCAACGCAGAGCCAGATGGAATCTCCAAAAATCAGTTATCCCAAAATCTTGTTTTCAAACAGTATTGAACTACAACCATCTAATTCTTAAAGGTCCGTCTGTTGTCTATTCTCAGAAACATCTTCAAATCACTGGCCCAAAATCATACATATACTATACTAATATCGAAAGAGAATAATGTTCAGGTTTTTAAACAAGTTTGAGACTACCCTTTGTAGGCCCTCTTTCTTTTCTTCCTCACTGAACACACTATGTCCCTGATGCCAGCTAATGTTATGTATCCTCAGTACTGCCAGGTCCTAAAATGAATCCCATTTTGAATAACATAGTAACCAAGTGCAGGAGAGCTCTGCTGTCACTCCTCGAGGTATTTTTCTCTTGTTTCAGTAGTCTTACTCGAATTTGTTTTCAGAGTCAACAACAGTACTGCACAATTTAACGTCAAGAATTTTCTGCTGTTGCTGCTTCTGTAACAGCTTGGACTTTCTTTTCCCTCTGAGTTCCTCTGAGAGAAGCATATATAAAATGAGTAATTGTCGCTGCTAAAGAATTGCTGGAGTCAGCAACGCTTCATAGGAGCTGCATTTCCTCCTCTCCTCCTTTCCCTCTCACCACAAACTCTCCCCCATCAGTTCAGAATTAAAGGCACATTACTGGGATAAAGAAATCTGACCTGAAATATGAGTTGCAGCAACAATGGCAAGCAACCAAGAGTATTAACAATAATTTCCAATGTTGCTGGAAAGGTTAGATGATCTGTCTTTGAAATGAGCCAACTCTGCACACGTTCATGAGATTAAAATCAGCTTGCTTTTCCTTAACATCTCGTGCTTCTCCTCTTCCTACCACCCCAAAAGGATGGGGTGGCTGAGGCACATAAACAAGTGGCTCTGGAAATTAACTTTCTTGACCAGAAGAAAGCTCAAAGATAAATTCCATTCTGCATTACTTTTCCTATACTTCACTATGATCAGGATTTTTTGTGGTTTCTCTCTCCCTGGAGAGCGAATACCTGAGTGATAACATTTCTGACACACAGAAGCTTAAAAACAGAATACTCTGTGTTATCTTGTTGGGAAATCTGTACTCTTAAATGATGACCATTCACCCACAATCTAGGCCATTTTTGAGCCACAGGAAAGAGGACGCCATTTCTCTCTGAAGATGATGACCTTGCGCAAATAAGTTTTCTGCACCTGTTTTGTCACCTGTAAAATGAGTATAATTGTAGGATTCATGGAGTTACTGTATGAGTGCTTCGAACAGTGTTTGGCAGAGTAAATGCTGAGTAACTATGAGCATATATCTTTATCATCACCATCTCCGCTAATGTCACCGCCACCTTTGGGAAGCTGCCTAGATAGTGATAAGGAGCTATGCTCAGGGATTTTCAGGCAAGTACAAAGTACCGCCATCTTTATTCCAGAGTGTTCCCATTTCCCCTCACTCATCCTGCAGAAGCAATAAGTTCATATGACAAAGTAAAGAAAGAAGACAGAGGACACAGGAGGAAATGGGAAAGACATTTCACAACAACAGAGAAAACGGTACCTTATTTGGTTTCTCACAATCATGTTTAAAAGATGAAATTATTATTATTATTTTTGAAACAGGGTTCTGCTCTATCTCCCAGGCTGGAGTGCAATGGCAATCACGGCTCACTCCAGCCTCGATTTCCCAGGCTCAAGCAATCCTCTTGCTTCAGCCTCCCAAGTAGCTGGGACTACATGTGCTAACTACCACACCCTGCTAATTTTTTTTTTTTTTAGTTTTATTTTTAGTAGAGATGAGGTCTTGCTATGTTTCCCAGGCTGGTCTTGAACTCCTGAGCTCATGCGATCCTCCCACCTTGGCCTCTCAAAGTGCTGAGATTACAGGTGTGCACCATCACCATGCCTGGCCTAAAAGTTGAAATTCTTATGAACGTTTTTTTCCAATACGGAGGGCCAGGAAATGGGGAGAGCCAACCAATCTCTAGACAGAGAAATCCTAAAGTTGCCCAATCCAGACAGCAGCTGGTATTTTAAATCTGTTCTCTTATGTTCATACATGAGCTTCTTTTGTTGAACCCCAGAAGAGAAGAAAAGGACTTCTGTCCAGAAAATCATCTCTGCAGACTCAGTGGCAGTGGGCTGAGAGCTGACACCTGCACCTACCTCTCTCTGTAGCTGGCCAGGCCCCTGGCCTGCAGTGCGGAGATTCAGGACATGCACCTCCTGTGGCAGCCCAGTTGTGCCTCTGCTGGCACAGCCTGACAAAACAGTGAAGCTCTCCATCAAGGCCTGGACAGGATGGGAGGCACTGACAGGTGACAGTTCACACAGTGCACCAGGCTCTGGACCTGCCAAGGGAATCACAAACACAAGCCACTCAGAAACAGCAATTAATTCTGCCCCAAAGGGGCAAGGGTGATCAAACCACTGCCAACCCACCAGAGATGCCTTTCCAGGTAAACTGTTCCAAGACTAAGTGGCCAAAAAGCTAGCCTATCTTCTAAAATCCCAATCTCTTAAATTTCTTTTGGATAATTTGGTATGTATTTGATTTTTTAAATTCCCTTTTGGACTCACAAGTCATGAATGCATTCCTCTGGGTAGAAGACACTTCCCATTTAACATTTGTGTTTAATTCCTTCTTCCCTCTTGGTAGAAAATCAGAGATAAAATAAATTGCTTAAAGTCCCAATAATACTATACATAAATAATATTAAATACCTAAAATTGCACTTAACAAAAGTATAAGATACAGATCCTATCTTTTCAGAGCTTCCCTTTATTAGGGAAAGCAAAACAAACTTAAGAACAATACAGAGCAAGATGTAACATGTAGAGGCGATCAGGGCCAGAGCTGTACAGCAAAATTTGGGCCAGAGGTCAGAAAAATCCTCCCAAAAGAAGTAGGATCTGAGCAGAGCCTCAAATAGAAAAAGTAGAGTGCTGGTCATACTTGGTTCCTGCTTCTTCATTCCCTCTTCCTCTAATCAGTCAAGCCTTAAATCCTAAATCCATCCACTCCTCTCCATCTCTACTTCTTTACCAACCCTAGACAATTACAAACCTTCCTGAACGGAGTCTGAGGACTCAAGCTCTGCATGCCACCTTCCACACAGGCACTGTCCACCTAACCTAGAGGCACTCAATGTTACGGGTGTTCCCAAAGCAAATGCCTGCCGTTGGCATCTCTGTGGGAAGTTCCTGTCCCTTCAGAATAGCTGCCCTACCAAATAAAGCCTGAGCTCCACCACAGAGCACAGGAGGCCCTTCTTGATCTAGCCCCTTCCTATGTCTCATCCCTCCCCACTCCACGTCAACTTATTTAAAGGTCTCCAGACACACCAGGATGTTTCCCAACTCCATGTCCTCATTCAAGCCTGCTTCCTTTACCCAAATTCCTCTTCCACTCTCACTCCGCCCCCACAACAAACATCTCAAGCTGAGGAAGGCTCTCTTTCTCTGCCCTCCCGCAATCCATCTGCCTGTCTCCACTACTGCATTTACATGATAGCCACTGGTGTACACATCCATCTTTATTGGTCGAATGTGACCTCTCTGAGGGCTGTGGGTACTCATCTTTGTATCCTCAGCATTCATCTGCAGTGCCTGGCATATATGAGATGCTCAAAAAACGTTTGTTAAATGTATAAATGAATCATTGAGCTTAAAAAAAATTGCCCCCTCTCAGATCAGTGAGTAGGGCACCATTCCAGGGACTTGGATTTGGCTGTAGGGAATAAGGGAAATAGGCTGCTACAGCCCTGACATCACTGCAGCCTCCTTTCACATTGGCTGGATTGATAGAGACATACCCAGGGGAAGAAGGAACTGGATGCTTACTCCTCACACACTTCTGTGAGCTTGGTGCTATTGTCTCCATTCAATCACCCAGGAAACTGGGCTGAAACAGTGCCCACTACACCACAACCTCCCAGATAGAACCCACGAAAAAGGCCTGAATGTACTCCAGTTTGTTCTTCCTGACTTCTAAATAATAAAGGTACCCTCCAGGGTTGCAAACAAAGTTCAGAACCAGCCAGTCTGCACCCAGAAGCAGACACCCTGCCTGGTGGGCCAAGTCTATTTCAGGACTTACAGAAATTATCTAGGCTGATAATAGCTATCTGGTCTGAAATGAAGTATGTGCCTTCTCAAATAGTCACTGCCACTCTCTGGACTGTGGCCAGCTGCTTTCTGAGAAAGCATAAGGTGGTGAAGGAAGATGTCCCGAGAGCAACAACAGGAGGTACTGACTGTAAATTCCCTGGAGCCCCTGGCGGGGTGCGGGGAAACCATATGGGCAGGTGCTCCCTCTGCTGCCCTCATCCTGCCCTCCTGGCCTCCGGCTTTCCCAGCCGCAGTGGGATGTCTGGTATACTTCACACCCAGAGCTTCAAGAAATTATCCTACTCCTACTCAATTCTGGGGACACACACTGGCTACAGCTACCCACACTGGGAAACCCTTCTGAACTGGTTGCAGAGCCTCCTGCCATGAATTTACAATTATCACAAATTAAGCACAAATAAAAATGCCTTTCAGTTCCATTCTTGTATGTGTGCAAAGCTCTGAACAGGCTGAAAACACATCTGCAAAAAGGCCTGCAATCTATTTGATCTGCCCTCCTCTGCATGATGCCACCATCACCCATTAAGATCTTCCTTAAATCACCATACTGCTCACCTCCACACTGGGGCAGGGGCAAAAACTCAATGGAAACAAATCAAATAATAAGGTACTCCCAAAGAGGGAGGGAACTAGTGCCAGGAAGCCTTCAGTGCTGAAGATGTGCACTTCTTGCCTTAGAGTCTATGCTCTCTGTTTTGCCAGAGTCCAGAACAGGGCAAACACCCTCTTTAAGGGCTAGAGCTCTAGCCACGGGTTGGTTATATGAGTCAGTCCAAGGTCAAAGAAAAGAGAAAGCAATGCATGGGGCACACCCTGATGAAGTGACAGGACAGCGACTCTTTACAGAGACCCACTGGAGGCCAGGTGCAATGGCTCATGCCTGTAACACCAACACTTTGGAAGGCCAAGGCAGGTGGATCGCTTGAGCCCAGGAGTACAAAAGCAACCTGTGCAATATGATGAAACCCCATCTCTACAAAAAAAAAAAAAATATATATATATATACACACACACACACACACACACACTCACGCATATATATACATATATGCATGCATATATGTATATATATGTGTATATGTGTGTGTGTGTGTGTGTGTGTGTATATAAAAGCAGTTGTGGTGGTGCACACCTGTAGTCCCAGCTACTTGGGAGGCAAAGGTGGGAGAATCACCTAAGCCCAGGGAAGTCCAGGCTGCAGTAAGCCGTGATCACACTATTGTACTCCAGCCTGGGTGACAGAGTGAGACCCTATCTCAGAAAATAAAAATAAAAATACAGAGACTTACTTGGCTTGACGTTTAAATACACTCAACAGTGTGTTCCTGACCATCTGACACAATAGAGTAGTATTTGGTTTTCGAAGTTCCTCATAGAATTTTTTTCCCTCCAAGATTGAAAAAGAAAAAAAGCTACAACATATGATTAAACTATCCTTACACCAAAAAGACAAAAAAAAAAAATCAGGAATTATCTACCACCATCCCCAGGGTCATATAAGAAATGGTATCTTTAACAGTTCAGCATACAACGTAATAAGAGACACTGCTCGGCCCAGTGCGGTGGCTCATGCCGGTAATCCCAGCACTTCAGGAGGCCGAAGCGGGTGGATCACCTGAGGTCAGGAGTTCAAGACCAGCCTAGCCAACATGGTAAACCCCGTGTCTACTAAAAATACAAAAATTAGCTGGGCTTGGTGGCGTGTACCTGTAATCCTAGTACTCAGGAGGCTGAGGCAGAAGAATCGCTTGAACCCGGGAGGCGGAGGTTGCAGTGAGCCAAGATCGCGCCATTGCACTCCAGCCTGGGCGACAAGAGCAAAACTCTGTCTCAAAAAAAAAAAAAAAAAGAGAGAGAGAGAGAGACTGCTCCCATTTATTAAGTGCCCACTATGCAATGCTAGGTGCTGCATATCCTTCTGACACATTGCAAGGAAGCAGCACTAACCCCATTTTAAAGAAAGCAAAGTAAGCTCAATGTGCTTAAGTAACTGTTTCAAGGTTGCCCCAGTCACCCAAAGCTTCAGACTTGGCCCTCCTTGCGGCTCTCTCTCTCAGGAGGCAGGGTCCTGAAGTGCCCGGCCTTGCAGTAATCAGGGCAAGAGAGATGATGGTGCCCGTGGAGATGGAGAGAAGGGGACAGAGTTAAGTGGCCAGGGAGAGAATCCACTGGGTGAGGAGAGGGAAAGGGTGACCAAGCATTGTACGGTGAACATCCAGCCCAATGCCTGGGCTACTGTGCCAACACTTTCTGTGAAAATAAAAAAGTGGTCATAGATTTAGGGGTGAGATCTACCGTTTTGTAACTTACTTTGAAATACCTCCCAAAAAATAAGATGGATTGACAGATGGAGAGATATTTGATAAAGCAACTATTGCAAAATGCTAATTGTGGAATCTAAATGTTCCCTGTACAATGGTTTCAACATCTCTACATGTTGAAACTTTTCATTAAAGAAAAGTTGGGAGAGGGAGGCAATGCTTATAAAAAAAATTAAGCCCAGAAATGCCTTAAGAAACCTTCCTCAAAAAGTGTGCCAGCATCACACTGCTGCTGAGAGAGCAAATTGGTATAATTTTTCAGTGGTATCCAAGGCCCCACAAAAGGTACACATCCTTTGACCCAGCAACTTCCCGCTAGGAATTTTATCCTGAAAAACATAACTGGATAAGTTTGCAAGGGGTACAGAATGTACAAGTGAAAAAAATTAAGACTTAAGGGAGGGGACAAAAAGTCCCTGTGAAAACACCCAGGCTAAAGGACGTAGGTTAAACTCTAAGTATGGGGTAGAGTAGTCCTCTCCTAAGAGAACAGACACAGTGTAGGAATCAGGGGAGAGGGTTTCCTTTGGGTAAAAAACAAGCCTCTCTGGCCAAGAAAGGAAAGAGGCAGTGTGATTGTATGAAGTTTTCCTTTGAATATCTTGGAGAGACGCTCTTCTGCCACCAGCTGTTCCATCGCCGCCTTCCAGGTAAAATGCCTGCCAGGCCTTCCTGGAGTGCACTATCCTTTTTCCATAGATTTTCTCAAACACATCCATGGGTTCAACTCTCATCTCTTTACAGAAATGACTCCAGGCCATCTCAGACTTACTTATTTCTCCTTTTTTTTCTTTTTCTTTTTTTTTTTGAGACAGTCTCGCTCTGTCGTCCAGGCGAGAGGGCAGTGACGCGCTCTCAGCTCACTGCAGCCTCCACTCCCCAGGTTCAAGCGATTCTCGTGCCTCAGCCTCCCAGGTAGCTAGGATTACAGGCGCCCGCCATCACACCCAGCTAATTTTTGTATTTTCAATAGAGATGGGGTTTCATCATATTGGCCAGGCTGGTCTCGAACTCCTGGCCTCATGTGATCCACCTGCGTTGGCCTCCTGAAGTGCTGGGATTACAGGCGTGAGCCACCATGCCTGGCCCATACTTCTTTTTCTAAGCTCCAGGCCTGAATATTCAACAGCTCCTTCACCATCTACTTTTGTCTCATGGACACCCAATCTCAACATGCAGAACTCAGGATCTTTACCCCTCGTGCCTGTTGTTCCTCCTTCATTCCCTCCCTAAGTAAATGGCACCAGCCTCTTCCTACGTACACCTGGCACCAACCTGGGGGAGGTGCCCCAACATCACCCCTTCCCTCTCCTCACCCAATGGATTCTCTCTCTGGCCACTCAACTCTGACCCCTCCTCTCCATCTCCATGGGCACCATCGTCTCTCGTTCCCTGATTACTGCAAGATGCTCTTAATTCTTATCTCCACCAAAATGTCTTCTATAGAGCAGCCAAACTGATCTGAAAAACCCAAGTCTGATCCTGCTTTTCTCTGCTTTAAAAGACTTATCACTCCATCTCTGCTGTCCAGATGAAGCCCCAAAACCTCAACGTGACTTACAAGGCCCTCCAAGATCTGGCCCTGCTTCCTGCCACGGCCCCGTCTCTCATTCCTCGGACACTTGCTCCCGTGTTTTGGCCATTCTGGTGAAGCACAGAAGTGCTCACTGTCTCCCTATAGCCATCATTCTCCTTTCTTCAAGTGCCAGCTGGACACACAGCCACCCAGAACGAAAGCTATGTTTCCCAATCCCGCTAGCAGCTGGCAGCTTCCTGTATGAAGGGAAGGAGGTCAGTTCTTCTGCCATTTCCTTCTGACTGCTGGTTGGAATGTGGATGTAACAGGCAGCACTAGAGCAAGCCTTTGGGGCCATGAGACAGAAGCAGCATGCTGAGGAGGGCACAGCAACTGAGAAGCCACCTGGGTACTTGATGAACATGGAGCCACGGGATCAGCTCTGAACTGCTTTTTTTTTTTTAATAGGAAACAAATGTAAACTCTTTTTTTTATATAAGCCAATGTTATTTTGGGTTTTCTGACATTTGTAGCTTAACCTACCCTAATTAATGTACTTGCCTTCTTTTATTTCATCAGAAGTGCCAACCTTTGTCCCAAAGGAGCCTCTGAATAGCAAGGTTTCCTCCAGGAACACATTCCCCACCGTTTCTGTTCCTTCCCACCACCATGGCCTGACAAACTCCTGCTCATTCTACTGATCTCTCAAGGAAGCTCCCCAAACCTCCCTCACTGTGTTAGATCTGTATTTTTTCATACTCTCATGGTACTCTCCGTTTCTCTCCACAGCACTTCCTGTGATGAGATGTACATAATTATTTGTGCAATTATTGGTTTCACATCTACATGCTCCCAAAGACTGCAAACACCACGAAAGAACAGAACCCAACCACTCTGTCTGCTGCTGCCTGCCTCACCCCAGCACAGTATCTGGCACAAAACAGACACTCAATTATCGCTGAGAAATGGGGAAGAACCATGGGGTGATGCATGCTGCATGGGCTTTGTGCCAATAAGGGACTGTCTGTCTCAGACTTCCTGCTTTCACTCTTTACCTGAGAGCCAAAGCCTCACTCTTATACTAAAAGGGGCAGAAAAAAAAAACACCAACCATGAAATGAAGGAGGTGGCATTTTTGGTTGCTAAGAATCAAGTCCCAGTTGGGGCTTCCCCACCTTCAACTGTCACAGAAAGCAGGAAACACAAATCTGTTTTTGTCTTCTCTTCCCGGACACTCTTCTGGCCAATCCCCTCTCTCCAGGTGGCAGGACAATCCTCTATCTCTCCGTTGGCACACCACAGCCCCAGCCTCATCCTGCCACTTCTGGGTCAGGCCCTAGCCTTCCTGTCCCTTTCCCTCTGCCACAGCCAGCTCATGAACCTGTCTCCCATCCTTCCCCCTTGGCCTCATAGTGGTTCCTTCCGCAATCTGTCTGCACAATGCCAGGGCCAGCTCCATTCAGGAAGGCTTCCACCTGGGAACAGCATGATCCACCCCACAGGCTCTAGCACAAGTGCCTGAGTTAACACAGTGGCTCAGATTCTCACTTGACCACCATGGGGCCCGAGTATAGCACCTCCCAGCCACGAAGGCTTGGAAACCAGGAAAACATGCTCCGAAACCCCATCTGACTCATCTGCTCACTTTTGTGGTGACCTGTGAGCTCTGGAGCTGCTACTGTAGGCCCTCACCGGCAGCCTCAAAAGGCTGGGAGTGTCTCCTGTGGCCACGGCTGAAAACCCACATCCCGTCTTCCCTACGCAATCTCTTCCCTGCAGTCAAGAGCCAAGTGAGTGACATGCTCTGATGATGCTCCTTATCAGCAGCACAGCAAAAGCTGTGTTACCACGTAAGGATCAACCAGGGCGTGGACGATGACGAAAGAACACACCTGAAAGCAACAATGCTCATAAGCACACACGCGTGCTCACTTCACACCATACTCTATCATGAAAAGGCATGTTGCAGATACTTCATCCAAAGCCTCACAGAAACTCTATAACCCACTATAAGTAAACTGTTGTGAGCCACACAGAGGTAGAATGTGTATTTCAGAAAAGTGCTTCCTGGCAGTAATGTCCATATGGATTCACCTCCAGAGACAATCCTCACTGGTGCCTCCCAATCTGGATATTTCAGTTCATTCTGGGCATCTGGTATGTGACGAGTACAAGATTCCTTAAGGGTAGCTCCCAAAGAAATCTAACTTTTCCTTGGACTCAAAGTGTGAGCTGAGTTTAATCCTCCCCTGCTGGCTTACTCGAGAAATCTGATCTCAAAATCTTGCCGGGTGTCGTGTCTTGTTTGAACTGAAGTCAGGCTCTGCTCTTCTGTTTGGTACACTCTCCTCGGCCACCAGCACAGAGGCACAGCCCCCTTCACCCACAAGATGCTACTTCTACTGACAAAAATATTTACTGACCTGAAGACAGCACAAATTCAAATAAACTCTGGTGAGAAACTCCCCAGGTGGCCCAGACCACGGCCACACTGCCAAGGCCACTGCCAAACCAGCCTCCTTCACAAAGCAGGCCCCCACCGCTCGGGTGCTCAGCAGCTGGGCCACCTGAGGCCACACTGTGAAGCACATGGTGGCTCCCTGGGCCGCTGCCTTGTGTGAGAAGCTGGGGGTTAACTCTTCATATGTATGGTTACCACACCACTAGGGGCCACACATCTTGTACATGTTTCTGATTCTCACAATACCACTGTGAAGACAGTGTTAATGCCCTCATTTTAGAGTGATGGGAAACTGGAGCTCATGAGAGGCTAAGAAACACATCAGCAGGAAGTGGCAATAGGGGATTTGAACCTGGGTCTCTGAGACTCCAGCTCCAGACTTTTCCCCTGGCAGAGCACCACCTGCCTCTGCCTTGTACTTTCCAGTTCCTCGCCTCAGGACTGGGTGAACAGATGCATAGGCCAAATGTAAACATTCATTCATATCTACTAAAATAAAATAAACTGCTCGGTTCACACGTATCACCTTTGGTTGACTTAAAAGACTTCATGAACTTAATGAAACTCGTTTCTCATTTTACCAAATGCCCTCCTCCATCCTTTTCACTAATGCTTGCTTATCTGGACACATGGGAAACGTTCCTAAGATCTCGCTATAACATCAATGTCTAAATTCCCAGTTCCACTTAAAGAAAAAAATCAAATGGACTCACCCTTTCATTATGTCCTTTAGCTGCAACACAGCATTCCAATCTCAGTTACAGAACCCCCACATCCCTGCTGGCGGTGGGCCAGCTCCAAAACTCGACAGAACGCAGACAAAGCATTTGGGAACAGATGCATTTGCTGCACAGACTTTAAATTTAATCAGTGCCAAAAGAAATTACTAATATCACACCTCATGCAACATGGACAAAAATACTGGCGGGGGGGGTAATGTTTTGGAGAAGACATAGTAAGTAATTTTCACATTTAATAAATGTGATCCTCAAGCATTCTAAATACCAATGCATACCAAGTTGACACAAACATCTGGTACCTATTCCACATAATTTTCAGCACTCTGATTCCCCATATCACCCAGGGTTCTAATGAGGAGCGTGTGTTCAGCTGTAATAAAAGTGGTAAAGATGCAGAGGGAATTAAGGGGTAACATTATAGGCTGGGACCAAGACATCGCAGTGGGGAGATTTTATTCTAATGACACCATTGGCTAATAAGGTTTTTGTTATTGTCCCACAGGGAATTCTGAAATGCTGTCAGCTGCAAAGAGGGACAAACTCCCACAGATTGTGGGACTGGGTACTACAGGATCTATTCTGCCCTTGGGCTGAAAATCCTTTCTACCCCCATGGGATGCAAGAATCTGTAAGAAAGGGCACCCAGGATGATTTCTCAGCCAATAGCACTGCCTCACTTCAATCGAGCTTCATGAGAAGGAATGTTACCAACACAGGATATGACGCAAAAACAAAGCTCCAAGAAAAAAACACCTGGAATGCCCTGAGCTCACAAACACGCCTGACGTGTACATAACATATGCTCATGTTTGTACCATCTCAAATTACAATTCATTGGAACTACAGCGCCTTGGGGATGGAGCGGTGGAATGTACCACCATTAAACTCCAAAGAGGGCGCTTCTACCACAGCTCCTACCTGGGTTTTTCAACAATAAAACCTGGCTTCAGGCTGAAGCTTATCCCTAGTAGGAAAAAGGTAGACAAGTCCTAAAACTTGTAATTTGGATTTCTCAGGGGGAAAAAAACTAGATTTTTCTACAGCACAACTCTTAGGCATATCTTATCATGGTTTCTTTCACCCTCCAAGCAAAATCTACATCCAAACCTTCCTCCTAACAAACTAACCCTCTTCCAAGAAGTCAACCACCAACTTTTTGGGCCAAAAGCCAGTGCATATTTGTGTATTGTTGTGTTGAAATCATGGAGCAACCATGTTGGAGAATTTCCTGTATTCAATTGTGTTTTCAAATGTTCAAAAGGAAACAAAGGGCACAGGTTCTTTAGGAATCCAAATTCTCAAAGTGTTGGGAAGTGCCAAGCTATAAAAGGCACATACTCTTCCATCTAAACAAGATACCACTATACAATCTGGACGTGCCAACAGAGGGGGATTTCTGCAGCCCTCTGAGGAAGTGGTGCTGTTATGTTTCATGGTTTTTATGACCTGAAGTGAAGCAGTGGCATGTCTCAGAAGTCACCACTGGACATAGCAAGAGGTGTCCTTGTATTACAGAAGCACCGGGAAATAGTGAACCAGGAGATACAGGAGCTGGGTTTTAAGCATTCCATGATCTCTTATTCTATGACAGGCTTGACTTATAGATCAAATGATGCACTATATGTGAAAACGCTTTACAAACTTCAAATACTATTAGAGACATAAAGTCCCTTGAGGGGAAGAGAAATAAATGAATGAGAACATTTTCTCCAATCAAAAACTGTTTTCTCTAAAAACTTTTAGAATGATTAATAAAATATCTAAGATAAGATGTTCTTATACTACTCCCTAGCATTACTCCCCAGAAATTATTTCTATGAATTGCACTGGAAAGACTTAAAATAAAACTACAGCTGGGCATGTACTCCCTGTAATCATGCCTGTAATCCCAGCACTATGGGAGGCCAAAGCAGGAGTGCTTGAGGCCAGGACTTCAAGACCAGCCTGGGCAAAATAACCAGACCCCCATCTCTTTAAAAAAATTTTTTTAATTAAATTAAACTATGCACAGTATTAGAGTAAAAATTCCTGTTCTCTGAGCACATTCTGGAAGTACAACTCCCAAAGGCGAGAACAGGCCATGTTTCTGCCTCCAGGGAATTCCATCAATCCATAAAGACAATCAGTTGGCATCATCTTGGCCAACAGTTCTTCTGATTTACTTTGTTTGGTATTTTGTTTTGTTTTGTTTTTGGAGACACAGTCTCACTCTGTCGCCCAGGCTGGAGCACAGTGGCGCAATCTCAACTCACTGCAAATTCCGCCTCCTGGGTTCGAGTGATTCTCCTCCCTCAGCCTCCCAAGTAGCTGGAATTACAGGCATGCACCACCACACCCGGCTAATTTTTGTATTTTTAGTAGAGATGGGGTTTCACCATGTTGGCCAGGCTGGTCTCAAACCCTTGGCCTCAGGTGATCCACCTGCCTCTGCCTCAGCCTCCCAGAGTACTGGAAGTGAGTCACCACACCGAGCACTGATTTACTTTTGACCAATAATATGGTGCACCTGTCCCTATTCTTCTCACAAGAAGGAAGCTTAAACAGAAGGAGACACTGGCTACAGCATTCATTTTGGAGGGGATAAGAATTTATGGGATGTTACTGCCTAATTGGCTCAGAACAGAGACCAAGAACAAATCTGAAGGTTTGAAGGATGGGAGAAAATAAGATCTTTTTTCTCCTACCCTATGAATTTGGCAGATACAAAATAACTGAAGGATAGTACACTTCTTTATTAAAATGCAAATGCTTTATCGACTTAGATTCAAAATATTAAACTGAACTTTATCCCATAAAAAAATTACAACTTAATTCCTACTAATGCAATATCTGATGGCAAAGTAAGACTTGCAGAGCTACAAAGCTACACCTCATTAACCCTGAGGGATGACATTACCAAATCTGTTCATCTCTCAGACCTTGATTTGTACCTAAGATGATCACTAATTTTCTCTTTTTTATCATTTGCAAACTGGTGTCTAGCAAGAAAGAAAAAGATGGGAGAAAGAGAGGTAAGAATGTGTGCAAAAGCACGGAGGAATAACATGCATTGCATGTGGCATGCTCTGGGCCTGGTGAGCATTCTGTTAGGGCTGGTGGCCAGGGTCTGGGGTGCAGAGTCTGAAGCAGAGACAAGTGGCAAGATGAGAAACTGTAAGAGGGTCAGGAAGGGCAGAAGGGGGAAACCACAACTGCTGGGGAGTTGAATCATCGCCTATAACCACTGGTCCTGATTGCAGATAGGAGACCATGGATTAAAAAAGGAAAATCTGCAAACTTTTGGTTTGGCTGTGCAAAATATTGTTAATTACAGCCATGTGTACACACTGGGCCACGAACTAAAACACATTTACTTTAAGGAGTTTATACATAATCAGGGCACTCACAATTGGTTACAGGAATGAGTCAAATGCTTAACACTGAATGCCAAATTATTCAGCTTAATATATAGGTCCCAATTATAAGACTAAACTCTATTCCTTCCTCTTCAGGCTAGCTAGCCTGCTGCTTCAGGTGCTTCTGTTAGGAGGGAAACTGAGAGCTGACATTTGCAGAGAAATTATGAACACCTGGTCACTGGTGTGCTCTTGCTCCTTTCACAGTGAAGCTAAAAGGCTCTGAGAAGCTGTGGACCTGGTTTTTCCAGAGCTTGTGGCAGTTACAGGCCCATCAAGCAGTGCCATCAACAGAACTACTCAGTGTAGACTGGGTCTTAGAGAGACAGAAGGATTGTGCTCGGCTCAGTTGCTGTGGTTCAGAACCACAGTTTTTTGGGGGTAAGTGGACGGGGACAAGGTCTGGCTTTGTTGCCCAGGCTGGAGTACCATGGTGCGATCTGGGCTCACTGCAACCTCTACCTTCCAGGCTCAAGCCATCCTCCCACCTCGGCCTCCCGAATAGCTGAGACTACAGGTGTGTGCCACCACACCAGCTCATGTCTTATATTTTTTGTAGAGACGGGGTTTTGTCATGTTGCCCAGGCTGGTCTCAAACTCATGAGCTCAAGCAATCCACCTGCCTTGGCCTCCCAAAGTGCTGAGATTACAGGCATGAGCCACCGTGCCTGGCCCAGAACTACACTTTTGTATTGCACCTGATAAAATTCAGAGGTCCCTTAAACTGTTACACCTGTTACTCCTTTATAGCAAATATAAGCTTTTATAAATCTATTGCTTCATTTATTTGGGCATATGTTTGTGTGTCCTCTACTTACCAGAAACTCCATGAGGGCAAGGACTGTGTTTCTTTTACTTCCTCTCTCCCAGTGCTTGACACAGTGCCTGGCATGCGGCACGTGTTCATAAACATTTGTTGAGTGATGAATTCATGTGCCAAACAACCAAACTCCCAAGCTGCTAATTCTCTAAGGACTATGGAGCCAGTCTCCTACGTTTAATCCCAGCGCTGCCACATTTTAGCCTTTTAACCTGGGGCAGCTACTTAGCCATTCCCTGCCTCTGTTTCTTTATCTATACAATGGGGATAATAACAGGATCTGCCCCATAAGACTGTTCTTAGGATCAACTCATTTTTATTATTGTATTACTGTAATTATTACCATCTCTTCAACTATGAGATGTGTTCTGGAAAAAAAAATGCAAAAGAGAAACTTCATCAAAGCACTTAGCTAAAGGAAACTACATCATTTGAGTGCCAAACCTAGCTCTGCGCTTTCTAGCAGGCAGGATGAAAAGAAAATATGATGCTCACATAGATATCATAAAAAGGAAACAAATCACAGGCAGGTGCAGTGGCTCACACCTGTAATCCCAGCACTTTGGGAGGCCAGGGTGGGAGGATTGTTTGAGCCCATAAGTTTGAGACCAGCCTGGGCAAGAGAGTGAGACCTCATCTCTACAAAAGATTAAAAAATTAGCCAGGCATGGTGGTGCACACCTGTAGTCCCATCTACTCAGGAGGCTGAGGTGGGAGAATCCCTTGAGCCCAGGGAGGTCAAGACTGCAATGAGCCAAGATAGTGCCACTGCACTCCAGTCTGGGTGACACAGTGAGACCTTGTCTTAAAAAATAAATTAATAATAATAATAATAGGAAACATCAGCTCTTGCAAGAAAATACTTTTCCAAGGTCTCAATTTAAGAGGCCTGTAATAAAGCAAGAATCAGTGATTTTTAACTTTTTAAACCAATAATTTGCATTATTGTAGGTATGAAAGCAAGAAGCAAACTGGCATTTATTTGCTAAAAGCATGTGATGGAGTTTGTGATCTTGGCATGATATATGCCATGACATATATCAAAAAGTTTGGATTTTGCTGTGTCGGGTCAATAAGCAATTTCTGAAAGGATAAAATCTAAGCAGAGATATCAGTTCAATAAAAGGCTAAGAGAGAAGGGTATAATTCAATCAAATTGTATTTAACCTAAAAATAAGATAAAGTACTGTACTATTATTGTTTAATAAACTCTCCCCCAAAAATTTAAAACTGGGATAAATGAGATACCTGTTCAGAAAAACATCTATTGAGCTTGCTCAAGACGAAACTTTACATAGTAACATACTGTAAAACATACATCTGTATCTGACAAAGCAACCTTCCAAAACAGATGTGTCATATGATGTTTCAAAGCTGATTTCCCTTTTTTTTTTTTTTTGAAGTTTGTCACATTCAGTGAAAGTAACTGCTGTTTTTCAGAAATCCGTGTGTGTTATTTTGGAGAAAACTTTGCTTTGGTGTTTTTCCACTCTGGATCAACTAGCTCCTCTCTTTTCCTCCCAAGCAAACCTTCGTAAACCACACTGCCAGAGGGAACTCACCTTTCTCCCATGGAGACAGCTCTAATACTTGCAAATGGTCAAACTGAAAATAAAATCCCTTGCATGCCATTTCCTCCAACAAAAAGGGCTTTGTCTCAAGATTTGCACAGAAAAACATACCAAAGCTACATCTATTATTTAAAGTAGTAATTCCTTCTCTCAGTATTTCATATTCCTTTCTTCCCACCTTACTTCATCTGGCCCAAAGAACCACCTTTCCGCCACACAATAAATGCCTCACTTATTCAACATTGACTGGCAATGAGATATTCCACATAAGCAAATTATCCAAATAACTAAGTCTTTTCTTGTTTCAAAAAAGTAAGTGTCTTTAGTCAGTTTTAAGGAAAATCTGCCTAAAATGTACTACATGCATAATTTCTTCTTGGCCATCTTAAATATTTTGAGCATCCTGAAACTCGCTTATTGTATATTTTTCTTGAAGATGTAGGGCTGCCATTATGAATACTAATTAGTTTATTAAAACTTGATGTGATTTCAGTTACTATATCTACCAAATGGTCCCATATTTCTGTGCTTTATAGTTTTTTCGGTTTCGTTTTTGAGGTGGAGTCTCGCTCAGTCGCCCAGGCTGGAGTGCAATGGCACCGTCCCAGCTCACTGCAACCTCCGCCTCCCGGGTTCAAGCAATTCTCCCTACCTCAGCCTCCTGAGTAGCTGGGATTACAGGTACTCACCACCATGCCCAGCTAATTTTTGTAGTTTTAGTAGAGATGGGGTTTCACCATGTTGGCCAGGCTGGTCTCAAACTCCTGACCTCAGGTGATTTGTCCATCTCTGCTTCCCAAAGTTCTGGGATTACAGGTGTGAGCTACCGTGCCTGGCTGCTTTATAGTTTTGCCTATACTTTTCATACTTGTGGGTTTTTTTCCAGTTCTGGCTGCAGGCCTGTGTCTCTGCCTCAAGCCTATCACTTACCATCTTTTACACTCTTATATACTCAATTTTAAGTCAATCAAGTCTGGATGAAGACCAGAAGATGGCTCCCCAACCCATCCACAGAGTAACCTATATGGACTTTTGATGGCTATTTTCCTTGTAACTCACTAAAACGTTCTGACTTCCTTCATGATGCACAAACCTGCTGTAAAACTGATACTGTATCATAATATTAGTGACAATATTAGGGACACTGTCCACAGTAATCTAATTTGAATGGCAAACCATCAAAGAAAGTTAAGCTTATGCACTAAAGGTGAACTGTTGGGAATTTAGTTCACAACAAAACCATGCTAAAAGCTCTATTCTATTGCTTCTGGGGCTTCAAGCTTTTCAGAAGTTCTAAGAGAAAAAAACAAATGTATAACTAGGTATGACAAAGTTCTTATGGTCCCTCAATCCCATTTTCTCATGGTGACCTCCCCTTTTCTTTCAGGATGAAGAGATATTCAACCTGTACAGCCCAGATTAATTACAATTTTAGCATAATTTGCACATTTTTTCCACTCTAGTTTCTCAATGGAAGTTGTATTCACCATTCCTTCCTGTCTTCTTTCTTGAGTCAGTGCCAGCAAGCACTGTTCATAGAAATCAGATACTCCTACCAGTGCTCCCTGGTCCAGGTCAGTACGAATGATCTACCATGAACCACAGAGTCCAGGGCAGGCTGGAAAGCACCACCTCACAAAGAAAACACCTAACGGGGCCACCCAAAGGCCCCTCTATGGCAGCAGTCCCCAACCTTTTTGGCACCAGGGACTGGTTTCATGGAAGACAGTTTTTCCACAGACCGAGGAGGAGAGGATGGTTTTGGGATGGAACTGTTCCACCTCAGGTCATCAGGCATTCGTGAGATTCTCATAAGGAGCAGGCAACCTAGATCCTTCATATGCGCAGTTCACAACAGGGTTCACACTCCTATAAAAATCTAATGCCACTGCTGATCTCACACGAGGTGGAGCTTAGGCAGTAATGCTCACTCACCCGCTGCTCACCTCCTGCTGTGTGCCCCAGTTCCTAACAGGTCCGTGGCCTGGGGGTGGGGACCCCTGCTCTATGGTACAATACCATTTGCAGCTTTCTAAAATCCAGCCATGACATGGAATCTTCCCTGCCTTTCCATGTTGATTAGAAGTCGGGGTCCAAATTCACTCTTTGCAAATCATTATTATGTAAGGAAAGGCATATGTATATGTATATGTATGTATATATACACACACACACATACATGCCAAGGGCTATTACTGTTTCTCATACTCAAGAAGGTTCGCTTCCTAAGCTCCTTCCTGAAATGAAATCGTTTCTTTGCCCGAGAGATAGCTCATAATTTATCCTAGATTTCAACCTTTTTTAGTAAAAAGTATAGGAAGTTACATGGAAACAATGAATGGAAGTGTACTTTTTTTTAATCAAACAAGAACAGGAAACTTTCCGTGGTTTATGGTAAAACTACATATTTGAGCCAAAGAAAAAAATAAACTATGCTCAACCCCTTTTTACTCTCCCCTATCCAAAACATATAAGAACATGCACAACTGACAACCACAAGACAAATCTCAACACCAGGGACAAATTAATATTTATAGGCTTCAAAAATATACTTCCCCAAATTACTTAATAAACCCCTTCAAACAGGCCGACACCTACTTCTTCTACTATTGTATGACCAAAATGAGTCATAATAAAACTTAGGAATATTAAAGACAATAAGTGAGGAAATTCCAGAAAATATAAAAACTATTTCAGGGAGCCAAAACAGAACTATATTTATTTTTCTATCAAAATGCATAGGTATAAATAAACGGGCAAATAAAACAGGCGCTCACAAAAGTAAACATATACCCGGCTGCAGTTCTACAACATAGTCTTCTAAATTACCACCTCCTCCACATTAGAGAAATTACTTCCTTCAACAAAATTAACCTCCAACACCCTCCAAACTGTAAAAATCTCTACTATACTGTGAGCAATTTATAAAAGCAGGCATTTTTGAGGCCAGGCACAGTGGCTCACGCCTGTAATCCCAACACTTTGGGAGGCCAAGGCAGGTGGATCACTTGAGGCCAGGAGTTCAAGACTAGCCTGGCCAACATGGTGGAACCCCAACTCTACTAAAAATACAAAAATTAGCCGAGCATGGTTGTGGGGGCCTGTAATCCCGGCTACTTGGGAGGCTGAGGTAGGAGAATCACTTGGACCCGGGAGGCGGAGGTTGCAGTGAGCTGGGATCGCACCACTGCACTCCAGCCTGGGTGACAGAGCAAGACTCCATCTAAAAATAAAATAAAATAAAATAAAATAAAATAAAATAAAATAGGGATAGTCCTGTCCTAGCTAATCCTCAGGGTCATCATGAAAACAAATGAGATCATGGCATTTGAGAAGTGTTTAATTAAATCAGGAAGTTCTATAAAAATATAAAGATAACATCAATAAGTATATGAAAGATCAACAGAAAAGAACCTCCTTTCTCCTCACTACCCACTTTACGTTACAAAAAAGAAGCCCACAGGATACAATGGGAACCTTGGGAGCACAGAGGAAAGAACACTACATTTGGACCTAGAAGGCCTGGGTTCCAGGCTCATCTCTGCCATTAACAAGTTCCTTGACTTAGGGCCCCTCTCTTGGTTGCCTCACCTGGAGTTAATACTACATACCTTGCCAAAATGAATTAAAGTAAAGGATAGCAAAGAATTCTATAAACTCTAAGTGAGATCCCTATAGAAGAGACAAATGAAATCAATCTGCTGAACAAAAAGTTTGAACTTTAATGGTTTGTGTTATAAAATCAACTGACAAGGAAAGAAGTTGGCTGTAATCAGACTCTTCCCAAACACCCCAAGGAAGAAAGCCAACCAAGACAGAGGAGTGGAGAAGCCTCCACAGTGTGAACCTGGAAGGGCTCAGCTTGTATATTCATTACCTAATGAAACGGGGGCTTTAGAAGTGGGAATTCTGAACCTGTCACTGTGGATGAGAACCTCTCTGAATCCACTTAAACCCATGAATTGAAAGACTGGGTTGGATTTTTTCCATTCCTGGTTAAGATAGAGCCACACAAATCCTAATTCTAAATGTGGATGTTCAACATTCCAGAATAAACAGCAGCTCATGGAGAAAGCAACAGAAGGATGGCAAGAGGAAAAAATAGATCAACAAACTACAACAGATTGGTCACTTAGTAATTAAAAAAGAAAAAAACGAAAAGAAAACAACCCATCTCAAAGTTCAACTCAAGGCTGAATTCCTATCAGAAACTACCAGAGGCCAAAGACTACATCTGCATAATATTTTAAATCTGAGCCTGGTCTTTGAGAAAACATTTGACAAAGATTACCAAAACATCTATTTTTCTTTCTTTCTCCTCATTTTTCTCAATTATTTTCCCTAATCCCTACACTTCACTGACCACTCCTGCGTTCTCAACTGCAGTAAGCAAATACATACTAAGTTGGATAACATATTATTTTGTATCTATGGTACACAGCTACAGTGTTGGAATGGCTCCTGATTCTTCCTGGGTTAGCAAATGTTCACTTAAATCAAGTGTACCACCTATTTCAGCTATTGAGTCTCTTTCATCTTTATGGGACTATATTTTGAAAATCACTAGAAACTGCGTGGTTCCCATATATTGGGCTCAACTGAAACTTTAAACTCATGCAATAACTGTTAATATTCAAGTATAATTTTACCTAGCAGTAAAGTTATATTTTGCACATCAAAAGCAAAATGAAGCATTAAGAAATTTAGTTATATACATTCTTTCATATCCCTTTACATAAGCAGAATACAAAGTACTTACTTTTTTTCCCCCAAATGAATACAGGATTTCAACAACATTAAGACATGATTATTTTCACTTACTCCCATATAATAGGTATTCTTATTAAAGAAAACATCTTAATGTCACCATATATGAATTCATCTAATCTCTGAGTACTCATTTATCATCTCTACAACTACACATTTGACAGAACCAAACTGTGGCCCTAAGAAACAAGAATTACTGGCATAGCTAAGAATTCAAGAAATCAGAATACAGTCTCCAATTATGCATTTACTTCAAATAAGAACAATAACTTGAAACTCTGTGTTAGGCTTTGAATTCACCTCCAGCCTGACTTTAAAAAGCTACCATGAGGCCTAACTCCAGCTGGCAGTAGTAAACATCCCTGGCTATCTAACAATATTTTTATAAACAAAGCATCATAAAGAACATAACGTTCAAACGGCATGGAAACTGTTTTCCACGGTCCATATTTGACAATCTTTCAAAAAAATGTTAATATTACACATATTAGCACTGTGTAATATATAAGATGTAACCCCCTCTTCACACCAAGATCAGTTGCAAAAGAACACTATGATCATATTTCAGAAAGTAACATGTAAGGAAAAAGAAAAAATAAAGAACACTATGACCTTGGCAAAATTCTCAAGTGTTCAGACAGAAACTTCTAGAAGTGCTTGTTTGTTTGTTTTCAAATTCTGCTTTTTGAAATTACTCACTTGATTTTTAGGCCAGAAAGGATGCAAACGTCTGAATTTCTGCAGTCACCTCCCTCCCACTGCTTTTAATTGCTCTATAAAGCAATCCCTGTGGATACCTATCTTAAACTGCCCTGGCCTTGCCAGGACAAATGTTGGCCCATGTATTCCAGTAAAGCCATGAGTATTCTGAAGGTCAAACAAAATACATATTATTTCCAATCAGAAAGGAAGCCTGTGCTTTCTGGAATAAGGCCCCAGCTCAACCTTGACTTGGTGCGCTATGAGGCAAATAAACCAAGAACTGGGAATGGCCTTCCTTTTTAATCAGTACTTTCTGAAGGATGCTACTGATAACAGAAAAAAAAAAAAAAAGTCAATATACTTGATAATTCACATCTCCCTCTGTCTTGGCTGGAGTTTTTTACAGATGCATTTACAGATATTTAAAATAATGATCATAAATAAAGCTTTAAGTTTAGAGTATATAAATTTTTATTTTTCCCCCACTCCTGAAAAAGGCTTGATGGTTACTTAGCTTTTTCTTTTCCTTTTTTTTCTATTTTACCAAACAAGTTTCCACAAGTCCTTCCTACGCGTGTCCTCACAGCCAAGCAAAGAGCAGTGAGATTTCTCACCATTAATTCACTCTTCATTTCACATGTTCCTACAGCACCAGCTGTTAGTTTATATTTTCAGTCTTTACTATTAAAAAAAAATTTCAACTGCAACTGCACCATTTCCCCTTAGCCCCAGCCTTTTTTTTTTTTTTTTTTTTTTTTTTTTTTTTTTTTTTTTTTTAGGAAAGTTTAGGACAGCAGAAAAACTGCTGAGCTGTGACACAAAGAAAAGCTGACTCTGCACATGCCTCATTGTTTTCTATTTTCATTCCAGCACAGTTGTGGCTGGAAACCAGCCTTCAGGATTCCCCGTGGACCTTGCCAGCCCTGGTCCCTGGTGTTTTAAAATGTTACACTTTATACACTACTCATAGAGGTGTGATTCAATTGAGTATGTTCCCTGTGGTTCTGAGTGAGGCTAATATATATCATGTATCTTTGGAGAAGTAACCAAAATATGTGTTTAGGGAAAAGGAAAAAAATAGGATCAAGGGAGTATTCAGAGATGTAATTACACATACTCAAGTGGGACCTTTTGTGTGTGTGTCTTGGAGGTGGGAGATTTAATGTAAACACAGACCACGTTTGTGCTTTCTGTTATACACATCCTGCATCACCACACACTGAGCACACATGTGTTAAAATGCTGACACATTCATTACAAGAACATCATTTATCCTATTACAAGTTTTAGAGTTTTGCATGTCTTTTGTTGATGGTGGGGTTTTTTCCAGATTTTCTTAGTTTTCTTCCTCAAATACACTTGATAACTTATTTTTAAATGTGAGAGCATTATTATAACACCAACAGCATCCTCCTGCAATCTATGGACACAGATTATTTTGCCAGAGTAAAACAGATTCCAAAAGGCTGTTCACACCTTCTTTGGGGGACCTAAAACACAGGGTCCAGGAAGAGCTCAGAAACAATCCTTAAATCCTGATCATCGCCAGGTGTGGTGGTTCATGCCTGTAATCCCAACACTTTGGGAGGCCGAGGCAGGTGGATCATGAGGTTAAGAGTTCAAGACCAGCCTGGCCAACATGGTGAAACCGTGTCTCTACTAAGAATACAAAAATTACCCAGGCATGGTGGCATGCGCCTGTAATCCCAGCTACCTAGGAGGCTGAGGCAGGAGAATCACTTGAACTCGAGAGGCAGGGGTTGCAGTGAGCTGAGATCGCGCCACTGTATTCCAGCCTGGGTGACAGAGCAAGACTCCGTCTGGGAAAAAAAAAAAATCCCGACCATCATCCCACTCCACTGACCTTGTAAGCGAGGCCACTCCTCAAAGAGCTAGGGATCCCACAGGCTAAAAATAACCCTTTGACCCACATAGAAATTACAACTCAGAGGAAGCTGAGACAATTCATCCACTGAGAGCCATTCTCCTGTTTGGAGAGGGCCTACAGGCATCAGCAGCACCTAAACATACAGCCTTTCCTGGTCATGATTTATTTCTTAGCATGACAGTAAATCCATAGCTTACAATAGCAGGACGTTGCTGTCAGACACCAAGGTCTCTCAGCATAGCCACTATCCTGAAGTCATGAATCACACCTCCAAGTCCAGTGACAGGTTCAGAGGCTTTACCACCCCCTCCCTCCCCTAAATCCACAGGATGCCCACTCTGCTTCTCTGCTCATGCGATGATTTCATTAGTTCAAAGATATTCTGCCTTCTATCATTTTTCTCCTTACAGTTCTTAAGAGAATGAACCAGCTTCAGAAAATGGGGAAAGAAAAAACAAACTGATCATCAGATGAGGGTTCAAATCTTGAACTGGCTTCTTAGAAGCTGTGTCACTTTATGCAAGCCACAGTCTTTCTCAGTCTTAGTTCCAGATAAACAGTGAATAGCAGCACATTCTTTATGAGATTATTATAAGACTCAAATGAGAGAATACACAAGAAAATACCTAGCACATATTAAATGCCTGCTAACCTTTTACCTATGAGCAATCATAATGCTCAATTCATACTTTTCAGAGGGTGTAGTCATTCAATAATAAAGACCAGTAGAAATATTTTAAATCTTTTGTAATCTTCTCAGCCAGGTTTGGGACAGCAACTGAACTGTCCAACCTCTCTCTAAAGGCATTACATCATAACTGTAATTACACCAGGCTGTAACTGATATCAATGTAAATACACCTACTGTACTACACCATAACAACATCACTGTTATGGTACTATAAAGTATTACAGGCATAGATGTTAACTGCCACAGTATTTATAATAAACAAATACTTTAAAATAACCAGCCGGGCACGGTGGCTCACACCTGTAATCCCAGCACTTTGGGAGGCCGAGGCGGGCGGATCATGAGGTCAGGAGATCGAGACCATCCTGGCTAACACGTTGAAACCCCGTCTGTACTAAAAAAATACAAAAAAATTAGCTGGGCGGGGTGGCGGGCACCTGTAGTCCCAGCTACTCGGGAGGCTGAGGCAGGAGAATGGCGTGAACCCAGGAGGCGGAGCTTGCAGTGAGCAGAGATTGCACCACTGCACTCCAGCCTGGGTGACACAGCGAGACTCCGTCTAAAATAATAATAACCTAAATGTTCATCAAAAAGGGTGTATCTATATCATGAAATACATATGCTGCATTTAAAACACTGTTATTTGTACAGACAGAAATATCTTATGACATGTTCTTTTTGTATGTAAAGAATGATACAATTTATTAACCTTCTAAAACTATGTGTATTTGTCCATATGCATGCACATACATGCATAGAAAAAGGATTAAATGGATAACTCTAACTATAAATGGTTCTTACCTAAGGTAGGGGTGATGCTAGAGACGGGTTGGAGACACGAGAGGAACTCTGACTTTGCTCTCCATCCTTCTATGAGGTTGACACAAAAGTAATTGCAGTTTTTTCCATTAAAAGTAATAGTAATGGCCGGGCACAGTGGCTCATGACTGTAATCCCAGCACTTGGGAGACTGAGGCAGGCAGATCACCCAAGGTCAGGGGTTCGAGAGCAACCTGGCCAACATGGTGAAACCCTGCCTCTACTAAAAATACAAACATTAGCCAGGTATGGTGGCACACGCCTATAATCCCAGCTACTTGGGAGGCTGAGGCATGAGAATCACTTGAACCTGGGAGACAGAAGTTGGAGTGAGCCGAGATCATGCCACTGCACTCCAGACTGGGTGACAGAGATAAGACTGTCTCAAAAAAAAAAAAAAAAAAAAAAAAGTAATGGCAAAAAACACAATTACTTTTGCACCAACCTAATACATTCTTAATGCTTTTACTGTGCAAATGTGTTTTTGAATATTACTTAGATAATTAAAAATTTAAAAATATGCTCTACTTTATCATAAAAATAATTCTGACCAAAGCCAATGCTAGTTGATTGGTTTCTGCTCTACATATCTTATTTTAAAAATCATATGTGGTTTAAAGGAACAATCTCAGTGTCTCTCTAGGAAGCAGAGAATCCTGGTTTCCTCCACTTCAGTGACAACGCCCTCTCATAGACCTGAGAGCTGTGGCCCAACTTCCTCCTCCTCTGTGGTCAGCAACTCTACGGACCTGGGGCCTTGCCTGGGTAGGATGCTGTAGAGAAAAGACCTGGCTTTGAATCCTGGTTCTGTCTATACCATCTGAAACTTTGCCTTAGTTTTCTCATTTGTAAAATGAAGACATCTACACTTTGTGAGGATTACATAATGCATGCAAATATACGATACATATTAAATGGTCAATAAATGGCAGCTTTTATCTTTACTATTATTAACCAGGTTAGTCTCTAGATTTCAGTATCAATTCTCCTCTGTAAAGGGAGGGCCTATCATTTGATTATTTTGAAAGTTCCCAGCTCTAATAGTCTATGAACATGTGCTATAGAAGACAATGGACAAATATGTGCTAAATAGTGAAGCCAGGTGGCTGAGACCAAAGAGACCAGACAAATGGCTAAGCAGAGCTTTGGCAATAGTGTGACTTATGTGACCTATTACCATATGGGGTAAGAGGCAAAGAGGATAAGAGAAGTCTTTTCAATCCCACCTAGAAGCCTTTAGAATCTGGAGAGATGATAGACAAACCGCCACATTTATATTCTTCTACTGCCAAACAGAAAACATTTCCAGTATCTCCTAGTGCCCGCTGTAGGCTGAGAAGAGCAAAGCATTAAAAAAAAAAAAAAAAAAAAAAAAAAAAAAGATGAATCTTAGTGTGACCTTCCCAAACATAAACTTCATTTTCCAGCCTCACCAATCTTTTAGAACAGAAGATCAAGTCAAATCCCTTTAGAATCAACGGGTAATAATATCTCAGCACATCTAATCTATTTTGGGGGCTCAGTTGAAACCCCATCTCCTTTATTAGCCTTCCCAAATCCTCCTCACTAAAAGCTATCACTCTCTTTCACTTCTCACAGACTTTGTTCTTCAACTCTATTAATTTCTGCTTCACATTAGTTATTTGCATGCCTATTTTATCTCCCTTACAGGGCCATAAACCCCCTTACAAAGCTGAATAAGGGCCGGGTATGGTGGTACACGCCTGTAATCCTAGCACTTTGAGAGACCAAAGCAAGGGAATCACTTGAGTCTAGGAGTTCGAGACCAGCCTGGGAACATGGCAAAACCCCATCTCTACACAAAAATACAAAAATTGGCCAGCGTGGTGGCACGTGCTTGTAGTCCTAGCTACTTGGGAGGCTGAGGTGGGAGGACTGCTTGAGCCCAGGAGCCAGAGGTTGCAGCGAGCCAAGATCACACCACTGCACTCCAGCCTGGGTGACAGAACTAGATAGACCCTGTCTCAAAAATAAAATAAAAATAAAGATGAATAATGTCCTATTTAGTCGCCCATTCACAAGCCTTATTGAGCACCTATCTAGATGGTAAATACTATATAAGGTCCTGGGGATACAGAAATAATAACGCATTTTCCTTCTTCAAGGAGCTCACAGTCTAATGGGAAAGATAGGCCAGTGAACACTCAATCATCAAGGTGTTAAGGGAGCCTGGAGGGGGAGCCTCCCTAATTCACCTCAAAGAAGGGGAAGATGAGAAGGGTCAAAAAAAGGCTTCCTAGGGCAGGTGATATCTGAGGTGATTCTTAAGAATTAATATAATCTACCCAAGCAACATGGATAGGAAATGATGAATCTGTATTAAAACCAACATAGGTACACATACTTTGAAGAACTGCGTGGCAAGTTCTTATAAAGTTACATACAACTCAGCAATTACAGTCCTAGGTATTTACTCAAGAAAACTGAGGACATATGTCCAGAAAAAGACATGTTTATAGAGGTTCATAGCTACTTAACTGCATAATACTAAAAGGAAACAACCTAAACATCCATCAGCAGGTGAATGAATAAACAAATTGGGGTATATCCATACCGCGGAAAACATTCAACATCAAAAAGGAACAAATTACTAATACATGCAACAACTTGGCTGTTGATTCTCAAAAACATTTTGCTGAGCAAATAGAAGTCAGACACAAAAGAGCACATGAACTTCTAGAACAGGCAAAACTAATCTATAGCAACAGAAAGCAGATTAGTAATTGCCTGGGACTGGGGATATGGACTACAGGGAGGCTGAAGAGAATGAAAGGGGTGGAGATGGATAATAGAAAAATTCTCTGTATCTTGATTGCAGTGGTGATTGCACAGGCATATGTATTCATTAATACTCATCAAAATGTACCTTTAAATGTGTGCAATTTGCTGGGTGCAGTGGCTCACGCCTGTAATCCCAAAACTTTGGGAGGCCAAGGTGGGAGGGTTGCTTAAACCCAGGAGTTTGGGACCAGCCTAGGCAACATAGCAAGACCCCGTCTCTACAAAAAATACAAGAAATAGCCAAGTTTAGTGGTGCACACCTGTAGTACCAGTGACTCAGAAGGCTGAGGTAGGAGGATCACCTGAGCCTGGGAGGTTGAGGGTGCAGTGAGCCGAGACTGTACCACTGCACTCCAGCCTGTGTAACAGAGCAACACCCTGTCTCAAAAATAAATATATAAATAAATAAAGTGTACATTTTAATCTATATAAATTATACTTCGATATAAAGTTGATTTTAAAAGAAAAAAAGAGTATGTAGTACAGAACACAGACTCTGGAGCCAGACTGCCAGCTCTATAATTTATTGGCTGTTTAAGAGTTAACTAGTAATGGCATTAATATTCACACTGCATTAATATTTAGATTATAGGCAAAGATCTGGAAGTAAGAAATGACATGATAGTATGAGGACTACAAACAGTTTGGTATTTAGGGAACATAAATCAAGAGGAAAGATGTGAAAACAGATGAGGCCAGAGAGACAGACAGCCGAAGGCTGCAAATCTCTTTGCCCCCACACCTAAGAAAGAGCATCTGACATGCCATGGGTGCCCATTCAAATGTTTATTTTCATTGATGAACATCCATTGAGATACCATTACACACCCACTAGGATGACTAATTCAAAATGACAGATAATAATAAGGTTTGCAAGCATGTGGAGAAACTAGAACCCTCATATATTGTTGCTGGGAGTATAAAATAATACAACAGGCCAGGCGCAGTAGCTCACACCTGTAATCCCAGCACTTTGAGAGGCCGAGGCAGGTGGATCACGAGGTCACGAGTTCGAGACCAGCCTGGCCAAGATGATGAAACCCCATCTCTACTAAAAATACAAATATTAGCCGAGCATGGTGGCAGGCACCTGTAATCCCAGCTACTTGGGAGGCTGAGGTAGGAGAATCGCTTGAACATGGGAGGCGGAGGCTGCAGTGAGCCAAGATCGCACTACTGCACTCCTGCCTGGGTGACAGAGCAAGACTCCGTCTCAAAAAATAATAACAATAATAATGCAACCACTTTGAAAAAGAGTTTGGCAGTTCTTCAAAGGGTTAAACACAGAGTAACCATATGACCCAGCGATTCTACTCTCAGACACATATAAATACAAGAGAAATAAAAACATAAGGATGTGCTTGACTCTGGCCTTGGCCAAAGCCATACTTCCCAGAAAAAAGGGAAAAAACATAAGCCCACACAAAAACTTGCATGTATATGAATGCCCATAACAACATTATTCCTCATATCCCCAGACAGGAAACAATGCAAACGTTCATTAACTGATGATGAATTTTTTAATGTGGTATATACATAAAACAAAATATTACTTGGCCATAAAAAGGAATGAAATACCAAATACATGCTGCAACATGGATGAACCTTGAAAACATGCTAAGTGAAAGAAATTGGTCACAAAAGGCCACATATGGCATGACTCCATTTCTACAGAATGTCCAGAATAGGCAAATCCATAGAAACAGAAAATAGATTAGTAGTTACTAGGGCCTGGGGAAAGGGAAGAATAGGGAGAGATTGCCAATGGATAAAGAGGTTTTTTGGAGGATGATTAAAATGTTCTAAAATTGACTGTGGTGGCAGCTGCACAACTCTGATAACATATTAAAAATGATTGTACACTTTAAAGAGGTGAATTGTATGGTATGTGTATTATATCTCAATAAACTTGTTATAAAATGTGCAATGAATATACTATCAATAGTCCACTTGTGGTTAGGTTCAGTGGCTCACGCCTGTAATCCTAGCACTTTGGGAGGCCAAGGCGGGTGGATCACCTGAGGTCAGGAGTTTGAAACCAGCCTGGCCAACATGGTGAAACCCCATCTCTACTAGAAATACAAAAATTAGCCAGGCGTGGTGGTGGGTGCCTGCAGTCCCAGCTCTTCGGGAGGCTGAGGCAGAACAATCCCTTGAACCCAGGAGGCAGAGGTTGCAGTGAGCCCAGATAGTGCCATTGCACTCTAGCCTGGGTGAGAGTGAGACCCCATCTCAAAAAAAAAAAAATCCACTTGATTCAAGCAATGTTTGATAAAAGTTAAACACAAAGGAATACGAAGTATCCTTTTTCGTTCAATTTGCTGAAACCCATATTAAGTCCCTGCTATGTGCCAGCTACAGTGGCCACAAATAGTAAGACAGAGTGCCTTGGCCTTAAGCAGCTATACTCCCAGAGTCGAGAGAGAGTGACAGGTGGAGTCAGGATAGAGAGACAGGTACACAGTGAGGTAGCACATTAGAGGGTCCCCTAGAAGGCTGCCGAGGGAACGGAGGAAACACAAACAAGGGCCATGATCGCCTCTTCATTACCTTGTCCAGTACCTTATCCCTAAGTTATGGTCCTGTTAGATGTGCATTTCTTCTATTTTAAGTCCCGCTCACATTTATATTTAGTAGGAGGCCGCTGTGGTGAGTGGTGTGACTGATTCTCCAGCTGACTGTCCTAAGCCAATCACTGTAACTCCATTACTCTACCAGGGACTGATTCAAGGATGGGAGGAAAAGCTGAGTCAATTCAGCCAATGATTGCAAAGAGAGACATACTGGGTGTCTGGGGAAAGAACCTCTCTCGCTCTTAGCTGAAGCCAGCATTGCCCTTCCTGTTTGAAGGAGCAAACCGATGGCTCCTGACAGCCATTCCTAAGCACCAGCACATCCTTCTTCAGCTGAAGATGACCCTATGCCAGTAAAGCAAACAGACAAAACAACCTAAGTATTAAATAAAATTAGTCATATTCCCATTTTCTCCCATCCACTATTAAAAAAAAAAAAAAGGCCTGGCCATGCCACCTGATGCCTGTCTCCCCTCCCTGGTCTGGAGGCACCTACAGAGCAGGGGGCCAGGAGTTCCACGGGTCTCATTTCCTCCCGTCAGAGCCTAGCACTTAGTCAACCACTGCAAGTCACATATTTTGCAAGAACGGAAAAGCGATGAACAGAGAGTTATCAATCTGTTGTTATACTCAACCCCAAACATTTTTAAAAGCAGATTTTAACGGAGAAAAAAAATTACCTACAGGCCTTTCCTATTAAAACAGATGAACATAGTTGCCTTTATTGATTCAAGCAAAGACCACATTTTACTGAGGAAAACTTTCTGTCCCTTGCCCTCTACCTATTCCTGTGGTGCCAACATAGAAAATGTCCTGGACTTCTAGGGAAGGTAAGCTCCCGGGGTGGGGACGCCGTAGGTGTGATGTAAAGTGCCAGGCATGAGGCTGGCATTTGATGTTAAGCGCTGTAGCAACGATCACAACAACAGAACCAGCGGGGCGTGTACAGGCTGGCGGTTACGACATGGAATGGTACTGGTTTCTATTCTCAGCATGTGTCACTGACTTACTGACAAGACAGTTAAACATAAAAGGGGTCCATTATCAGTGGTAACTGGGATCAAGTCCTTGGGATAGCAGGAATAAGAAAAATCCAGCAGTAATCCCCAAACCTCCTGTTTCTCAAGAGTTTCAATTTCCTGCTCCAAACCTTTTCAAAAACTGCTATTACCAAAGTAAACTGATTTAAGTTGACTGTTACTTCCTTTCCGTGATGTGACAGCCCCAAAGGATGAGCAGGGAGAGACAGGCCCCCATTATCCTCCACTTCTTAAGGCTTCTTTGTATGCACGCCGCATGAGATAATTCATTAACGAAGAAAAAGTTACTGGTTATGATAACACAGTCCCTGGCACACAGTAAGCACTTGGTAAATGTTTACTGAATGACTACAGGAAATATCTGAGTGCTGGACAGAGGAACAAAGCCTCAACTCTCCCAGGTTTACTTTTTTAGCCAACCTGTTAACAACAATAATAGTGCATGTCATCAAAGAGCTGGAAAGGAGCTGGCTTCAGTAAGGCTGCAGTCACTCACTACTCAGTGAATGAATCGATCCATTCAGTTTCTCTGACCCCCATCCAGAATACAAGGTAGTTATGGCCAGCACAGGCATAACTCCCAACGGACTTGTTATTAACCACACTGGGTAACTATGAATGGATGCAGAGACACCAGTTCAGTTCAGCTGCAGACTGTCCGGAACATTATCTTGGTTAATCATCTACTCCAGGGTACCGGCTCTTCAGATCACGCTGAGGTCTGCTTCTCAAAGCCTGACAGGATCAGAACTGTACAACCTCTCACAGTCTTCTTTATCCCTTCCCCAAGATAACTCGTCATGATCGCTATAGAATAAACCTGAAAGGGTTTACTTACTACCCTAATTACAATTACTCAGGGTGAAGCACTGGATTCTCCTGCACCATGAAGAACTTTCAAATGTAACCATGCACACCTCCTCTTCCCCTAACTCCACACCCCCGTCAATATTTTGGCTTCATTAACTAGTCAAAGGAAAAAGAGTTTGCCAAATGGCAAACTCATATTTCACACAGGTATCTCAGCCAAGACAGGAAGGAAACATCAAATCCATAGCCCAGTGTATAAATGTTCAGCACTGAAATGAATGAAAACGAACAGGACACTTGTGGTTACGCTTTGACTTAAATCCTTAGTTAAAGGGAAACTAAAGCTGATCCAGTTCAGTTTATCAACAGGAGAGTTCATAAGGAATTATCATGAGCAAACAGGGGCAGCCACCCCCGAAACTGTAGTTGCCTTAAGCAGAAACGGAGGTGCAAGTGAACTTAGCTGTGAAAGGGTCCCTCTGGATGGTCACCTCCACAGAAGCAGCAGCTGCTCAAGCCCCAAGGCACACTACTAAAGTTAAGGAGTGAAAGGCTGCTGGGGTAGAGGAAGACCGAAATTCTTCCAGGAAGGAATTCTAGTTTAAGCCTGTATTACTGTCACTGCAGTTCCAGGACCCTCCCACTGCAGGTCCCTCTCTCCCAATTCCCTGGCATCTAGTCAGACCAGGAAGAGCAGGTGAGGGACCTCAAGGACTCCTCAATGCAGTGAGTGGGTGTTTGAAGCTTTAAGGCTAAAGCTGACTTATACGTACGTGAAGGAGTCCCTCTTTTTCTGACCATCTTCCTGGGCATGTGTCCTGCTGGCAAATCACCAATGCCAGCACTCTCTACCTCCCAACCCCGCCCCCTCCACCATGACACCTGGGCCATGACCCAAGCAGACATGCAGTAACAAGGCACAGTGTGGCTGGGCACGATGGCTCACACCTGTAATCCCAGCACTGTGGGAGGGTGAGGTGGGCAGATCACTTGAGGTCAGGAGTTCAAGACCAGCCTGGAGAGCATGGTGAAACCCCGTCTCTTCTAAAAATACAAATATTAGCCAGGTGTGGTGGCACGCACCTGTAATCCCAGCTACTCATAAGGCTGAGGCACAAGAATCACTTGAACCCAGGAGGCAGAGGTTGCAGTGAGCTGAGATTGCCCCACTGCACTCTAGCCTGAGCAACAGAGCGAGACTCGAAGGTCTTCAAAAAAACAAACAAACAAAAAAAAAAAAACAAGGCATGGTGTGGGGAAGAGAGCCACAGGATGGCATCAGAAGACCCATGCACTGGCTGTGGTTCTGACAAAGTGACACCAAAGGGCACATATGCTAGAAGGGTCCAGCCATAGAATCATAGAACCTGTGAATACCAGAAGCACCCAGAACATAGCAGTCCCCTCAAAGGAAGCTCTGAGATTCAAAGTGTGCTCCAAGATGATGTCCATGGCTCACCAATTCCCATGGAGAGTTAAAACTACCAAGGATGCTTTGGACACAAGAAAACAATCACTATGAAAGCAAGGACTCTAAGGGGACAACAAACTCCAAACTCAGTTGTTCCAGACAAGGGGTTTTTTTTTGTTTTGTTTTGTTTTGTTTAGAGACAGGATCTTGCTATATTGCCCAGGCTGGAATACAGTGTCTATTCATAGGCACAATCCCACTACTGATCAGGATGGGAGTTTCGACCTGCTCCATTTCTGACCTGGCCAGTTCATCTCTCCTTAGGCAATCTGGCAGTCCCCTGGGAGTCCCCAGGGAAGTCACCACACTGACGCTGAACTTAGTGCAGACACCTGATTGGCATAGTGCACTACAACAGCCCAGAACTCCCGGGCTCAAGTGATTCTCCTGCCTCTTGAGTACAGACCCAAATGATCGTTACAGTTTACATAAAGGCAGGGCCTGAAATAAAATTTTCAAAAAGCTAGATCTTTGGTACTCAACACTCTTTCCATCTAAAACCAGAACTAGAGGCCAGACCTGAGCAATACAAGGCTGTGTTCCAAAAACTGCCAATACTAGTACCATGTTCTTTGCCTCTGTCTTTCTCTGGCATAACCAAGATCAGCTCAGCCTGGCAGGGTTATGCTTGGTGAAGAGGGATACAGGCAATCGGGACTTGGTGCTCGTCCCCAAGGGCAGAATACTTCCTGGCTACTTGTGTTTGGTATGTCTTTGTTTTGGTTTAGCCCTGGCAATCTGGCAGGCAGTCGATTTCCAGGGGGAGCTCTGTCCACGGTATGGATGCCCCAGGCTTGAGGTCCTCATTCATTTTCATAAACAAAGCCCAGTTGCCACAGTGACTGGTGCTGCAAGCAGCTGCTAAATAACAGAGGTCACCCAGAGCTTTCTCTGGGTTCTACAGTCTGTTCCTAGGCTTCTGTGAACAGTGAGTGGGTCAACGGGAGCTGCAGTCATACCAGCCAGTACTTTATATGGGAGTCTGCCCCCTGAGGAGAAACTCCCAAGAAAGCTGCCAGATACACAAGTGATTTCAGGTGGGGTCCAATACCCCACCCCTGACAGATCTCGGTCTGGGGCACAGGAAGAATGAAGGGCATAAGGAGTAGCAACTTCCTCCTTGTGGCTTCAACAGTCCCCAGAGCAGTGAGAGGGCACAGGGTCAGAGCTTGGTGCAAAAGGAATGATCCTGGAAAAGTGAGTGTGGAGTTGGGCCAGTGCTGCTTCTGCACCCTGTGTGCCGATCAGACGCTTTCTCCCTGTCCCACTTAGGTGGGAAACGGCTCTCACCACCCCCATAGCAGGAAGCACAACACGCCTCCCACCCAGTACACACAGGTAAAAACTTCTGGACTGGAGTCCCAAAGGTCTCTTCAAGTTAGAAATCATCACCATTGTGTTTCCACCTCCCCAAGGCAAGCCTGTCCAAAGGCCACAAGATCTGCTAGACCTCACAAGCTGGGGCACAACCTGCACCATGCCCACCTGCCTGGGTTGTTCATTTGTTAAAACCAGTAATAGTTTGTCTTTTACTCTGCAAAGTACAGCTTCTGTCCTCAAGGTAGATCATTTCAGACAAAAACAATTTAAAAAAAAAAACTGCACTATAAGGCAGGTCCTCTTCGCTCTTGCAAAACCAAGTCACCTTGGCTAGAGCCCAAGGAAGCTGTAAAATAGAAGTGAGCATAAACGTCACTTAGTCTTTAGACTCATTCCCATGTTAACATGGAATAATAAACATTCTTCGACCCCAGTGCCAGTTCCAGAAATAAGTGATCATTTAAAACTTAAGCAAAATTAAGGTTTACCATTCCCAGAAACATATGCTTCTGTCTTTATCAACCATGAACCAACTAAACCACTACAAGGAAAGGAAAATGGAAATGAAAGGTCCCTAATTCGCAGTGTAACTCAAAGGTAAACCTGCAGATTTGGGTCAAACACGCAACCAGGACCCAAATGTTTTATACACAGGATTTTTTGTGTTATTTCCACCACTGTAGTTTATTACAGGCCAGAAGAAACCTAAACAGTTAAGAAGTTTGTCCTTAGGCAAATAGTTCAATAATTTAGACTTCAAAGACTCCATATTAACCTCTGTTTACACAAAGTAATGTGTTTCCTTTGCCTGCTGAACATCAAAACACGTAACAATTAATTACCTCTATTTTTGAAAACGACGTAAGTCCTGTGAAATATAATAGCCAACACATTTTAAGCAGAGGGAAAAAAGCATGTTCAAAATCTGCTGCATTCTCTGTAGAGACAAAGTAATAACAAAACATCCATGGAATTTAATTAACATAGAAAATTATTTAAAAACAAAAACTTTTCTCCTTAAAATTGTCATTTTTCTTTCTGTATTATCTATTTTTTTCCATGTTGCCTTATGAACACAGTGAATCTAATAATAGAGCAGACTGGCTTTTATATCCCTTTACTTAAAAATTCAACAAAGTTAAAATTCCACGTAAAGGTAAAGCTTAGATAATTCAAAGTTATGTCATGTTCTAACTAGTCAGCTCTCCTGAGAGCATTCCTAGTCCATCATTAACCAATAATTAATGGCTAATTTCCTAGAAATTAACTCTATATCCTGTATAGGGAAGTGTAAATGGAAAAACAGCTAGTGGCCCTAAATGAGAGAGAGCTTTGCAAATACTAAGGTCATCTTTGATATACAGAGACAATCGATATTCCTTTGAATTTGTACAGGAATTTTAAATTTGCATTTTTTCCCCATTATATGACCCTCAAAATAACCACATTTGGCTAATAATAACATTATTATCTATGGAGTGTTTACTATTGTGCAAGGGTCTCTTCTAAGCATTTGACATGTATTAACATGTTTATTCCTCACAACAACCTTGAGATACACTATTATTGGCCGCACTTTACAGATGAAAGAACTAAGGTAGAGTGATATTAAGTAACTCACTCAAAGTCATAAAATTATTGAATCAAGTGATTAAGCCAAACCAGACAGCAGGGGGAAGGTAGAACCTAGACTAGAAGGCAGTCCAGCCTCCTGGGTTCCAAAATCGAAGGGAGTTTCTTCTCAGAGAAAACTCTGAATCGGGGTCACGCATGGTGGCTCACACCTGTAATCCCAGCACTTTGGGAGGCCGAGGCAGGCGGATCACATGAGGCCAGGAGTTCAAGACCAGCCTGGCCAACATGGCGAAACCCTGTCTCTATTAAAAATACAAAAATTATATAAAAATATAAAAATGGTACATGCCTGTAATTCCAGCTACTCAGGAGACTGATGCAGGAGAATCACTTGAACCCGGGAGGTGGAGGTTGCAGTGAGCCCAGATCACACCACTACACTCCACCCTGGGCCACAGAGCAAGAATCTGTCTCAAAAAAAAAAAAAAGCCAGGTGCAGTGGCCTATAATCCCAGCACTTTGGGAGGCCAAGGCAGGTGGATCACAGGGTCAGGAGTTTGAGACTGACCTGGCCAACATAGCGAAACCCCGTCTCTACTAAAAATACAAAAAATTAACCAGTCTTGGTGGCGGGAGCCTGTAATCCCAGCTACTTGGAAGGCTGAGGCAGAAGAATCGCTTGAACCCAGGAGGCGGAGGTTGCAGTGAGCCGAGATCACTCCATTGCACTCCAGCCCAGGCGACAGTAGGAGACTCCGACTCAAAAAAAAAAAAAAAAAAAAACAGGCCTGGTAACCCACGCCTGTAATACCAGCTACTAGGGAGACTGAGGCAGAAGAATCACTTGAACCCAGGAGGCGGAGGTTGCAGAGAGCCAAGATCACACCACTGCACTCCACCCTGGGCGACAGAGCAAAGCTCTGTCTCAAAAAAAAAAAAAAAAAAAAAAAAAGGCCAGGCACGGTGGCTTACGCCTATAATCCCAGCACTTTGGGAGGCTGAGACAGGTGGATCATTTGAGATCAGGGGTTCAAGACCAGCCTGGCCAATATGGTGAAACCCCACATCTACTAAAAATAAAAATTAAAAAAAAAATTGGCTGGGTGCGGTGGCACACACCTGTAATTCCAGCTACTTGGGAGGCCTTGAGGCAGGAGAATTGCTTGAGCCCAGGAGGCGGAGGTTTCAGTGAGCCAAGATGGTGCTACTGCAGTCCAGCCTGGGTGACAGAGTGAGACTTCATCTCAAAAAAAAAAAAAGGAAGAAAACCCTGAATCAAGATATCCCAAGGAATATCCCAGTGAGATCTGACCTAAATATATGTCCTAATTCTATGGAAAACTCAAGTACTAACATATTAAAGAAAGAAAGAAACAAAGAAAAAAGGAGGTCCAGATTTCCTTAATCATCTGCTCAGAATTCTCAATATCATTTTAACTCTACACATATTTTCTACATTGTCCAATATTCTTTGCAAATTACCTAAGAAAATGTTTAAAGCCTCCAGAAAAAGGAACTATTTGGACATTATATACTGGAATTTTCACTACATTTTTTTCCTACATTGTAATGTTTTCATGGTTTTTTAACAATTCATGTTTCTGGCAAACTTGTTCTTTTAACACTCAAAGCTAAACTCATGTAACACATCATGCTGGCTGCAGTTTGAAGCTACTATCCAGCTGGGCTGATTTTAAAATCCAATTCTGATAGCATGGTGTCTCCCGCCTTCAATAAGAGTTGAAACCTCTCCTTTCTAGAAAATCTTCACATATCAAAAAGACAAAAGATACTTTTCTCTTTATGTATTTGAAAATTGCAAATAGTAACAGACGCTGCTGAGATCTCATTTCCTATCCTCTGACAGGTTCCCCTTTGGTTCAGGCCTGAAGAATGGGCATGACATATGAGTGTTTATTTTCCTGCACTAAAGTGAAAATCTATCTGCCTTTGAGAGTTCAGAGTTGATCTTTAATTCCATCATTTGAATACCGAACACCTACTACCTAAAGTGCCAAGTTCTTGTGGCTACTCGAGAAACAGCAGCGAACAAGATAAGCAGTTTCTCCTCTGCTTTCATGGAGCTTCCATTCTATGCAGGAGGAGAAATAGACAATGAACAAATACGTGAGATGGAGTTTGTTTTGGTTTGGTTTGGTTTTTAAGACAGAGTCTTGCTCTGTTGCCCAGGCTGCAGTGCAATGGCGCAATCTTGGCTCACTGCAGCCTCCGCCTCCTGGGTTCAAGCCATTCTCCTGCCTCAGCCTCCCTAGTAGTTGAGATTACAGGCGCCTGCCACCACACCCAGCTAATTTTTTGCATTTTTAGTAGAGTCAGGGTTTTGCCATGTTGGCCAGGCTGGTCTCAAACTCCTGACCTCCGGTGATCCACCTGCCTCAGCCTCCCAAAGTGCTGGGATTACAGGTGTGAGTCACTGTGCCTGGCGGTGAGATAATTTTTAAGGCACAAAGAAGCTCCTCCTCCAGGAAAGGACAAGTATAGCAATGGATGGGGGTGCTTTATGCAAGTGGGGGGCCCAGAGACCCAGCCACTGCCTATCCCCTGTCTGGCTCACAGCCCCATCATAGGCTCAATGAGGCAAAAGTGTTCCCAACTAGATCAGGATAGCTCTAACCACAAATCTGAGCCTTGCTTCTTTTACCAACAGGGAGCAAAGTCCTCTGAGCTCCCTCAACTTTGACACACACCATCCGGCCACTTTTATACAACACTTAAATTGTCCAGAATTCATTTGCTTCACTGTCACCATTCAGATGGGTTATTTGTTAGACAAAAATTCTATGTAGCTCTACAAGGAAGAAGTAAGGGCTGGGAGAGGAGGTTACAGCCAGATGAACTGTAGCACAACACAAGGAAGAATTTCCCAAGAGTCAGGGATGTTTTAAATTCAAGTAAAGGTTGGGGGCTTAGTCAACAGGATATTAGAAAGGTAGTTTACATATCAGGCTGAGTTTGACCAGATAATCTCCAAGGATTCTTAAAATGCCAACACAGGCCAGGCGTGGTGCTCACACCTCTAATCCCAGCACTTTGGGAGGCTGAGGTGGGCAGATCATGAGGTCAGGAGATCGAGACCATCCTGGCTAACACGGTGAAACCCCGTCTCTACTAAAAATACAAAAAATTAGCCGGGCGTGGTGGCGGATGCCTGTAGTCCCAGCTACTGGGGAGGCTGAGGCAGGACAATGACGTGAACCCGGAAGGCGGAGCTTGCAGTGAGCCGAGATTGTGCCACTGTACTCCAGTCTGGGTGACAGAGCGAGACTCCACCTCAAAAAAAAAAAAAAAAAAAAAAAAAAAGCCAACATACCACTAGAACTCTACCATGCCCTATGAATACCAAATCTTCCCAGATGTAACTTACCCTAAAACATTACTTGAGGATATATGTTGTTAATGAGATAAAAATTCAGATGTCGGCCGTGGTTCATGCCCGTAATCCCAGCACTCTGGGAGGCCAAGGTGGGCGGATCACCTGAGGTCGGGAGTTCGAGACCAGCCTGACTAACTTGGAGAAACCCTATCTCTACTAAAAATACAAAATTAGCCAGGCGTGGTGGTGCATGCCTGTAATCCCAGCTACTCAGGAGGCTGAGGCTGGAGAATCGTTTGAACCTGGGAGGCAGAGGTTGCGGTGAGCCGAGATTGCACCATTGCACTCCAGCCTGGGCAACAAGAGCAAAACTCCATCTCAAGGAAAATAAACAAATAAATAAATTTTAAAAAAAATTCAGATGTCATGAAGAAATAACCTAAAACTTAACAATTGCTAACTAAACAATAATGGAACAACAGAGCACTTGAAACACAGTATCTCGTTAGATCTTCAAAACAACCCAGGGAGATGGATATTATCTCCATTTTACAGAGGAGTACACTGTAAAATGTAGCAAACCGAGGTTACACAGCTACTCAGTGGCAGCCGTGGGATATGCACCCAGGCAGCTGGCTCTTAACGTCTATGCTCTAAAACGCTGCGCTCCATTAAGTTCTCCTGCTGGCAGTGAGGAGCATTTTCCTCTTAGATTGGGTTCTATGAATATCCTAAAATAGTACTTAAACCTTTGAAATTTGATGAAACTTTTTTATATATAATTATATATTTCTATTGTATTTATAATATATGCTGAGTTAACTTTACTATAGTTTACCAAATTGTAGAAGTTAGTTCAGCTTCCAAATCTTATTTCCAAGCAGTAGCTTCAAAACACTGGAAGAATCTGGCTCAAAATCAGTTACAACATTTTGCCATGACAGTATAACACATACACGCTGCATTAGATATTTATATTTCTGCTAAATATCAGAGATGCTCAAGTTGGTGATTATGACAGAGCTGGCCCTCCACTGTGGCAGTTTCCATTACTAAATTCACTTTACAAGAATGCAGGATCCTGTTTAACATTTGATTTAAACTGATACTTAACACGACAAGATACTACTGGCTTCCCCTCCCTTTTGTTTCCCCATTTTAAAAAACTAAGCCATCAAATTGCCTTTCATTTAAACTAAAAAAGAAAAATGTTAGTTCCAAAGTTGGGGATTCTTAATAGATTCTAGCTGGTACATTTTTAAGTCTGTATTTGTAAATACAGACCTAATAATTTTTTTTAAAACCAAAGAACCAAAATAACAAATTAACTTCATGAAGACTATAAGTAAGGATATTATTTATTTATTTATTTATTTATTTATTTAATTTTCCAAGATAGAGTCTTGCTCTGTCTGTCGCCCAGGCTGGAGTGCAGTGGCATGATCTCGGCTCACTGCAGCCTCCACCTCGTGGGTTTAAGCAATTCTCCTGCCTCAGCCTCCCAAGTAGCTGGGATTACAGGCATGCACCATCACGCCTGGCTAATTTTTGTATTTTCAGTAGAGACGGGGTTTCACCATGTTGGCCAGGCTGGTCTCAAACTCCTGACCTCATGATCCACTTCAGCCTCTCAAAGTGCTGGGATTACATGTGTGAGCCACCATGCCCGGCTGGTAAGTAAGGATATAATGGATATGCAACCCGAGTCTACTTCAACAGAGACATCAGTGGTATATTTAGAACCCATTAACAAATTTAAATGATTTATGTAAATACTTACAAATATTCACATAAGTTTACACATATACATTAGAGCAGAAAAATTCTCAGAAATCATGCATTTTTAAATTTGTGATATACATAAATTGACAAAAATTTTCAGCAATAATTAAAAATCTTTCCCTTGCTCATTACAGTAAAATCTAATAATCATGAAAACTTCTATTCTTTTAAAGGAGCAGTGAAAGAAATAATTTTACAGGCCCAAAAAGAAAAGTCCCTGGAGTCCCTGCTTCACAAATACTACTGCATTATATCCTTACATATAACCTTCATCTTTAACCTAGCAAATAGCATACTCGGGAGATTGCTGCATAATGCCCATGCTGACAATGATAGTGATTTGAAATCATGTAGTTTGGGGTTTAAAGAAACTTGGAGATAGTACAAGGCAATCCCCCTCATCTGCCAGCTGAGTACACTGATAATTGAGTGACTTCCCTGCAAGGACCAAGAGTCCTTGGTGGAGTCCTTCATTAAATCTTTATTTGGTCCAGAAGAAAAGATTCCCCTACTAAGATATCTCTTCTGTATTATTCAGAAAAAAAGCAATTCTGAAACTTTTTGTTGTTAGGATCCCTTTATTGCTTTAAAATTACTGAGGACTCCAAAGAGATTTTGTTAATATAAGTCTATTAACATTTTCTGCAATAGAAATTAAAACTGAGGAAATTTTTAAATATTTATTAATTCACTAAAAACCAACTATAATAAACTGTAACATAAACAGTATCTTTCATGAAAAACAACTACTTTCTAAAACAAAATGTAAGGTGAGATGAGCAGCACTGTTTTACATTTTTGGAAATCTCTTTTTTTTTTTTTTTTTTGAGACGGAGTCTCGCCCTGTCGCCCAGGCTGGAGTGCAGTGGGGCAAACTCGGCGCACTGCAAGCTCTGCCTCCCGGGTTCACACCATTCTCCTGCCTCAGCCTCCCAAGTAGCTGGGACTACAGGCACCCGTCATCACACCCGACTAATTTTTTTTTTTTTTTTGTATTTTTTAGTAGAGACAGGGTTTCACCGCGTTAGCCAGGATGGTCTTGATCTCCTGACCTCATGATCCACCCGCCTCTGCCTCCCAAAGTGCTGGGATTACAGGCGTGAGCCACCGCGCCCGGCCGCAAATCTCTTTTCTTGTTAAATTTCAAAGACACATGCACAGCAAATCTCTTTAAATGTCTGGCTTAATACAAGACCACTGGGTTTTCCCATCTACTTTTGCATTCAATTTTTTGCAATACATTGTTCTGGTTGAAGGATATGAAGAAATCTGGCCTCACACAGATACAGTATATGCAGTTGGAAGTTTCAAATCTTAAGTTTTTTTATGTTTGTTTGTTTGTTTTTGAGACAGGGTCTCACTCTGTCACCCAGGCTAGAGTGCAGTGGCATGAACATGGCTCACTGCAGTCCTGACCTTCCGGGCTCAAGAGATCCTCTCACCTCAGCCTCCTGAGCAGCTGGGACCACAGGCACACACCACCATTCCTGGCTAATGTTTTAGTTTTTCGTAGAGACACGGTCTCGCTGTGTTGACCAGCCTGGTCTCAAACTCCTGGGCTCAAACAATCTTCCCACCTCACCCCGTGAAAGTACTGGAATTTACAAGTGTGAGCCACCACACCCAGCCAAATCTTAAGTCTTTTTATATACTTGTGGTTATTTCTTCTTTACTATTACACCTAAACTCAACAAATAATCATTTCTTAAGTTTAGTTGCAAGGTAGCATCTGAATTACATAATAAATTTTTCATACTCCGTAACATTAAAATCCTTTGCTTTCCCCAAAATACTGCGTAATTTCAAAGTGAAAAATAGTACCTTTACACCAGAGAATTCTGGCAGACATCACTCTAGCCAAGTGACCAAGATTAACGTCACTAGTAATAATTCCTATCAACATAACATATCCTCGATTTGATGCCCTGAAAAGAGGACATCACCTCTATGGTATTCTTCCAAATGACACATAACCTCAATGTAATCCTGAGAGAATGTCAGGAAAAAAATTAATTGAGGGACATTCTCCAGTAGTTCCCAAAGCGTCAAGGTCATTGAAAGACCAGGGAACTGTCAGCCTGGAGGAGGCTAAGGAGACAAGGCGACTAAATGCAATGTGAGATCCTGGGTTGGATTCTGGACCAGAAAAAGAACATTAGTAGAAAAACTGGTGAAATCCTAATAAATATTATACTTTAGTTAATAATATTGTAACAAGATTAATTTCTTAGTTTTGATCATTGTACTTTGGTTATGTAAGATGTCCTCATAAGGTAAAGCTGAGTGATAAGCCTAAAGAAACGCTGTACTACTTATGCAACCCTTCTGTCAGTCAAAAATTATCTCAAAATAAAAAGTTTTTAAAAATCACTTGCTCTGGCCAGGCACGGTGGCTCACGCCTGTAATCCCAGCACTTTGGGAGGCTCAGGCAGGTGGATCACCTGAGGTCAAGAGTTCCAGACCAGCCTGGCCAACATGATGAAATCCCATCTCTACTTTAAAAAAAAAAAAAAATACAAAAATTAACTGGGTATGGTGGCGTGCACCTGAAGTCCCAGCTTCCTGGGAGCCTGAGGCAGGAGAATCACTTGAGCCTGGGAGGCAGAGTTTGCAGTGAGCCGAGACCATGCCACTGCATTCCAGCCTGGGCAACAGAGCAAGACTCTGTCAAAAAAAAAAAAAAAATCAATTGTTCTATCTTGTACTCTCAAGATGTGGAATATTTTACCAATGCATGATTTTGTAATATCATGCATGATTTTGTAATATCATGCATGATTTTGTAATATCATGCATGATTTTGTAATATCATGCATGATTTTGTAATATCATGCATGATTTTGTAATATCATGCATGATTTTGTAATATCATGCATGATTTTGTAATATCATGCATGATTTTGTAATATCATGCATTGGTCATCTGAAAAATAATGGTTTACTGCCAAATAAGACATATTTCATTATATAATATTTTAAAAATCACATTTGTTAATATCTCAACTGATTTCATCAGAAAAGTATTTAACCATTGAGAAACTGTCATAATCATGGTAATGGATGTAAGTTTTCCAAAATTTTAACTTGTGTGAAAAACGAAATTTTATTATTGGCAACAAATACTGTTGTTTTCCTTGAACTAACAGGTTCACTTTGTTCATTTTCTTTTTTTTTTTTGAAATGGAGTTTCACTCTTGTTGCCCAGGCTGGAGTGCAATGGCACCATCTCAGTTCACTGCAACCTCCACCTCCAGGGTTCAAGCAATTCTCCTGCCTCAGCCTCCTGAGTAGCTGAGACTACAGGTGCATGCCACCACACCCAGCTAATTTTTGTATTTTTAGTAGAGACTGGGTTTCACCATGTTGGCCAGGCTGGTCTTGAACTCCGGACCTCAGGTGATCGGCCCACCTTGGCCTCCCAAAGTGCTGGGATTACAGGTGTGAGCCCCCGCGCCCGGCTCACTTTGTTCATTTTCAAAAATGTCTGCCAAATACTGAAGTCTGGATAACCATCAGTTGTCTGTCAGTCACTCTTTCACATCAAATGGTGTTCCATGAAAAACAGACCAGATCAGCTCACAACTCAAACAACTGCACAGTGCTTTTCCTCAAGAAAATCATTGTACTTTGGAATGCAGAAATGCAACATACGTACCTCCCATTTTACCATATAGAATAAGGAAAAAACATGTATCTGAGGGTAACAACACTCTTAAAGGAAAGTGGCAGATGTTTTACTGCAAGTGTGTGCCAGTGAAGTACTGCCTTCATTCCTGCTGAGTCACCAGCAGTTTTATCCAATATTGCTCTTATACAATTAGAGCAGTGTTAACCCAATCTTGGAATTATTATAAAAATAGTTGGCCAGGCGCAGTGGCTTACACCTGTAATCCCAGCACTTTGGGAGGCCAAGGCGGGCAGATCACGAGGTCAGGAGTTCAAGACCAGCCTGACCAACATGGTGAAACCCCATCTCTGCTAAAAATACAAAAAATTAGCCAGGAGTGGTGGTGTGGGCCTGTAATCCCAGCTACTCAGGAGGTTGAGGCAGGAGAATCACTTGAACCTGGGAGGCGAAGGTTGCTGTGAGCTGAGATCACGCCACTGCACTCCAGCCTGGGCAACAGAGCAAGACTCCATCTCAAAAAAAAAAAAAAAAAAAAGTAGTTTTAGGCCAGGTGGAGTGGCTCACACCTGTAATCACAACACTTTGGGAGGCAGGTGGATTGCTTGAGTTCAGGAGTTCGAGACCAGCCTGGGCAACAGAGCAAAACCCCGTCTCTACCAAAAAATACAAAAAATTAGCCAAGCATGGTGGTGTGCACCTGTGGCCCCAGCTACTTGAGAGGCTAAGGTAAGAGGATCACTTGAGACTGGGAGCCGAAGGTTGCAGTCAGCCAAGAAATGTGCCCCTGCACTCCAGCCTGGGTGACAGAGCAAGACTCTGCCAAAAAAAAAAAGAAAGAAAGAAAGAAAAGAAAAAAGAAAAAGCTGCACCAGAGCAAAAGCAAAACTAACTTGACTCTCACGGAGCTTACATTTTAGTGGGGGAAGATAAATAATAAACATAAGTAAATTACAAGCAGCTTTTGAGGTGAGAAGTGCTACGAGGAAAAACAGAGCAAGATAAGAAGGAATAGGAGTTTCTGTGGTTAGAGAGGGATTACAATTTTAAGTAGGGTGGTTAGACTGGGACTGAGCCTAGAGGTACCATATAGATGAGGAAAACTACCAATACACAGCCTCAATCCACTTCACTTGGGTTCTCCTGTCCCCCACTGGTCCTGATCCTCAGCACCGCCACCGTTCTTGAGCATTCATCTTTACCCTGTAACTTCCAGTTAAAGACCAAGTCACTGCCTCAAAAGAAAACAAGGTCTTTTCCATCCAGGTGCTCAGTTCAAATCCACCTGGCTCAGCCAACAGCTCCTCAGCCATCTCCCAAGGACATTCCCCAACCTGCTTTTTCTCCATTGGGAGCACAAAGCTAAACAGCAAATGCATTCTGCCCATAATAAGGTTGTTCTAGCTCTCTCTCCCCCTCTTTTCCTACACATATATATTGTCTAAATAAAGATTAACTTTTTGAAGACCTAACTACTATGTGCCATAAACTTCTGGCTGCTTTACAAGTATTTTATCCTCATCAAATCAAAGGAATAGGTATAATTAGCAGTATTGTATAGATAAGGCAACAAAAGCTCTGCAAACCACAAAACTGGGACTCAAATCTCCAAAACAAAACAAAACAAAAAGTTGGGGGGCAGGGAGAGCACTTCTTATCCACACCCTCTCCCAACTCCATCACTCCCATTGTACCACTGTGGTATTTCCACTGTACTGCTCTAAGTAAAACTTACGGAAAATAAAGAAACTGGGCATCAATAAAGTCTGTTTAACAGCAACATTATATTTCAGGATCAGATCTAATTTTTGTACCAAAAATATGCCTGAATAATAGAACTGCAACTTAAAAGACTGATTAAATATGTCCACCATGTGTTACGGACTGAATGTGTACCCCCCTAAAATTTGTATGTTAAAATCCTAACCCCAGTGTGATGGTATTGGGAGATGGGGCACGCTAACAGGTGGAGCAATTAGGTCATGAGGACAGCGCTCTCATGAATGGTATGAGTGTCTTAAAAGAGACTCCAGAGAACTCTCTAGTTTGTCTTTTTGAGGACTGTATCCATGTGAGGATACAATGAAAAGTCATCAGTCTGCAATTTGGAAAAGGCCCTTTCCAGAACCTAACCATGCTGGCATCTTGATCACAGACTTACAGCCTCCAGCACTGTGAGAAAAATACATTTCTGTTGTTTATAAGACATACAATCTATGTGTGACTTATATGTGACTTTGTTATAGCAGTCCAAACTAGGTAAGTACTATGGTAACATTTTCAAAGAATACTATTTCCAGTAGTTTCATTCATAATAAACGTGATCCTCTGGTTTATATGCATTATCTCATTTATAATCCTCACAAGAACACAACTGAGACAGGAACTACTGATACTTCAATTTTACAAATGAGGACACTGAGCCTGTGGTCACACAGCCTATGATCTGGACCTGAACCTGTGTGCCTGAATCCAAAACCCAAGGTCACAACTAGTGCACGATCCTGACTCTCTGACCTTTCATATGTCTCTGTCAAGACCACTCTTGACACTGTGGTGGAGAATTACTTTCCCTAAATAAAGGTGCAGCAACCCAACAAAGTTACTCTTCATCTTGATAAAGCCCTCAGGTATTACCCACATTCAGAGGGTAAAATCTCTACAAAATCCTTTTGTTACAAGTCCAAAATGAAAGTTCACTGGAGTGACTCTGTTCCAGCGAAACTCTGCTGGGAAAGCCCAACGGCCTGATGGAAAGGCACAACATCCAATCTTTGGGTTCCAAGACTGCCTCTAACTCTGACATTTAGTCCAAAGGAACAAGGATATTCATTTTACTACATCTCTTGCTCAGCAACACTAGCCTTCAGCCTTAAAGAACATATCTCACAGTACACACTGAGCTTTGAGTTCCTACAACTTAGAGCAAAGGCAGCCAGGCCGATAACTCACTTTAGCAATAGCCTTAGTTACACACCCCTGAGCTCACTCTCCAGGAAAGTCAGAGGGAGTATCAGTTTTCATCATTATTAATGAAGAGTAGATTGAAGAGGATAGCATTACAGCTCTAAAACAGAGGTTCTTAAACATAATTCTAATAAGACAGACATGATGAATCTTGTTCACATTTGGACACACTAGAGTCTTCAAAAGAAACTAGTGAAAACTACAAAAGCAGTGCTGAAAGAAATTAAGGAAAACCTAAACAAATGAATGGGTGTACCATGTTCATGAATAGCAAAACAGATACTACAGGCAACAAATTATGAGCACTTTTCATTCTATCACTTGTAATCCTAACTTCTCTTTCTCCCTTTGAAATATTTTTAAATGCAAATAACCATACTTATTTTAGAATAACCTTGAATTTAGTTTTATCTTTTTGAGGAAAATCATTTAAAGTCTTCAATTTAACTATCAGTTGTAATGTTATTCATGATATCTCACAACCTAACTGGGATATACAAGTAGGTCTTGTTATACAGAATTACCTCTCCAAAATAAAAGCATAATGAGACCTTTTAACCATAATAAAGCAGCAAAGAAAAATCATAGTCTTTTGTCAGTACAAAGGCTTTCATAATTCCTCATAGCTCTCAGATCTGTGTTTCTATCAACTCAAAAAGTTGGCTGGGAGTCATATGACAGAAAGGGTTAAAAATACTAAGCTGCTACTCTAGACCTGCTGGCTGAGGAGCAGGCAGGTTGCCCAGGGTTTCAGGATAGCCCGCCTCACACAGAGTAAACGTAGGGGATGCTGTACACCCAGGAATAAATTCCTCAACCAGTGCATACTCTCCTGAGGCATTCTTGTAAGCTTTTTCCAAGTTGAGTAATAAACAGAAATAATAGATTTTTGGGGGCCTTTCCTGAGTTCAGGGAGATCTGACAACATCACGAAATGTTTCGGCACAGTCCTCTGAAATTTTTCATTAGAATTCTTTTCTTCTGAATCATGTTAATAAAGTAAGATTTGGTCTGGGATTTGTACATAAGTACTTACTCACATGTTGCTCAAGCCCAAAAGGACAAGAAAAAGACGCTGAGGCCTGTCAACAGGAGGCAGGGCCAGGCTCAGGAACTGGAAGATTACTGGATGGATGTTTTCAAACAGAGCTACACACAGCTCCCTTATATAACACTCAATTGGCTTTTAGATAAGTCTGAAATATCCTTCTATACTTTGATCTTCAGCTGTCTCCGTTGCCTTCAGAGTCAACAGAAACTGGCACTTGGCTCCAAAAGCCTCAAATCTCTCTCATCTATAAGGGACAGGGACTTCTATTATTTGTCTACAATTTGTCAAGCTGAGTTAATTATAGGTGTTATCATTCTATATGTCAAATGTAGCAAAATAATGCAAACCTGTTTACCTGTTTCTTCCTTTCCTGCATGTAGTATACCCTGACCTTAAATTGGCATGCACTTGATTTCAAATGAAGATTTTTTTAAACAGCATCTTCCAACTGCAGTAGCAGTTGGAAAATTCACTTTTTGCTGACCTGGGCCACCTAAACAGAGGACATGAGGAACCTGACTTGTTTTATTTTAAGAAGAAAAAACTATTTAAAGCCCTGATCCTGGCTCCTTTGAACATTTAACACTTAAAACCTGAATTGTTACACTACAAACTAGAGTTCCTTTTCCTCTATTTAAGAAGAGGCCCTTGCGAAGAATTTATTTAGTTAATGAAAGTTAAACAATTGTGTTTCTCTCACAAAACAAAAATAAACAAAACCTCTTGAAGATGGTCTCTGGGCTCTCTAGGTCTGCAAGTGTCCATATGAGCTCCCTCACGGAGAGCCTAGAGCAGTACACTGGCAGTTTAGAAAACAATATAGCCACAAGCACTTCTCCAAAAAGAAAAGCAACTCCCCTCTTGGCCCAATTCCAAAACGCAATTGAGCCGGGTAAGGTCCAAGCTAATCTCTGTACCGTCTCTCTGCCAACTTTCTCCTGCAGGCATTAGGTTTTTCAGCATGGGCTTTGCAAATAATCTAACAATTAATTAGTGCTTTTGAATTCACCCCATACCATTAATGGAACACTGCCAGACAGCCTTTGATAGGGTATTTCTAGAGCTAATTAAGCTTGGCAAAACAGAGGACACAAACTTCCTGGCACTCACAAGGGCCAGGCTGAGACCTGGCAGGTGACAGACAGTAAAGTTGTCCTTACAGATAATCCTGGGGTGATGAAAATGGCAGGCTGCTTGGATCAGGCTCTCGGAGTCCTCTATAATATGCCAGACCCTACTCTCAAATTATATAACTATCAGGCTTTTCGCATTTGAGCTATTCTTTCACCCTGAAGACATTTTTTTTCTTCTGAGTGAAGATTTGATACTTAAAAGTTTGGTATTGCTTCTAGTCCACACCCCATCCTGTCACCCCCGAAAAGGGTTAGTTTAGAAAAAAACAAAAAGTTGTATACTAGGTTTTTTTTTACTATATCTTAAAATAAATCTCATCTCAAAATGTCCTTCTTCCAATCAAAGAGTCCTTGCATAATCCAAGATTTCTCACTCCTATAACCTCAGTCACGTGGGAAATCTATTTTTTTCACTATCTAATGTCACACAGAATTCCAGACTGCTCCACATGCATGGACAGCAACATAAACACATTTTTGGGAGGGCTAGAAAAAAGCTAGCAGGGGGGCAAAAAGAAAAAATATTGTTACATTCCTCAGGACTTTTCTGGTTCAATTTCAAAAGCAGAATGACCACCACCTGAGTCTTGCGGCGAGCTCCAGAGCTGTACATAGGTTGTACGCTGCCTCTCCAAAAACAGTGATGAGGCCAGAGAAAGCAAATCAGAAAACCTTATAAACTACTCAATGGCAGTGTAAACAAATAAAAGTTAGTTTAAAACACAACTTTTCAGGCACAGAGCTTAAATATTCTCAGTCTTATCCCCACTTATAATAAATGTGGTGTCAGGGTGCTTAATAAACATCAATTACAACTTACAGAAATTTTTCCCTTCTAAAAAATGTTAATTTTTTAAAAGCTCTAGACTGGAGTGTGATTATAAGAATAAAGTAGGGCCGGGCGCGGTGGCTCATGCCTGTAATCCCAGCACTTTGGGAGGATGAGGCAGGCAGATCACCTGAGGTTGGGAGTTCGAGACCAGCCTGAGCAACATGGAGAAACCCCATTCCTACTAAAAATACAAAATTAGCCAGGCGTGGTAGTGCATGCCTGTAATCCCAGCTACTCGGGAGGCTGAGGCAGGAGAATCGCTTGAACCCAGTAGGCGGAGGTTGCAGTGAGCCGAGATCACGCCATTGCACTCCAGCCTGGGCAACAAGAGCAAAACTCCATCTCAAAAAAAAAAAAAAAAAAAGAATAAAGTAGGAAGTCAATGGGGAAACCTGAGCTAGAAAATTAGAGCCCTGCTAGCAGAAATGAGGTATACCCAACTTTTAACTTTTAGTCCCTAACTCCAGAGCCACCCTCGCTAACCCACCTAAAGTCCCCCTTTTATCCACTCAGCCCATATCACCTCTCATTACCGAAGAGTCCCTTGGCCACAGGTTCCGGGACCAATGACCCCGCCCTCAGTGACCCAACACGAATCTCCTACCTTGGTCTACTAAGTCACAAGGCAAGAAATGAGACAAGGCAAAAGAGGCACATAAAAGGAAGAAATGGTGGGGGCGGGAAGAATTCCTTCTTTAACAACTGTTAGGATTATGTCAAGGTGTAGCCCCAGCTAATAAAGATGCACCTGGTTTCTGCAGGTGCACCACACTTACAGTCAGAGAGCTAAAGGCATCTGTGGAACTCACTGCCTCAAACCAACTTCCTCTCCAGCACATGGATCCCTCTGACCCAAACAAGTTTACCAAAGGTGTTCAAGGTAGCTGTTGTAAAGGCATGCTAAAATCAAGCTCCCTTTTATGGCACTAAGAAATTGTCTAGGTGTTTGCAGTTTCTGTGTTACAATTTGTGCATTGAGAAAACAGATGACCTATGCTGTCAAATGTGGTCCTCAGACTAACGGTATCAGCATCTTATGAGCCTGTTAAAAATCTACAGTCTTTGACCCATCAAGGCCTACTAAAACAGAATCTGCATTTTAACAAGATCCCTGGGTGATTCTCATGCATATAAGAAAGCACTGGCCTAATATTTGTTTATAACCTCAAACTCCAAAAGCAAAACTTCCTATTCCATAAACAAGATGGTATATTCCACCTCTGGCAAAACCACTCACCTCTGGCAAAACCACTATGAATATCCTTATTATAAAATATATTTAAAAGTGATTATTTTCTTTATAGAAAAAAATCTGTTGTATCATGCTCCTTGCTCACATTTAATATGTAGTTTAACTTATAAAAATAGGTTGACCTACAACTCAGAAACATTTACTATGTAAAACTGGATGCAACTGTATTTCTTCGAAACTGTAATTTACAACACTGTAAGAAGCACTTCTGCAAAAGGTGGTAAGACCCTCAAAACTCATGATCCTGAAAACCAGGCCCCCTGAGAAATGAAAAGAACAAGACTTGGAAATCAGGAGGGTAAGTAAGCAAGGAAAAGAGGGTTTAGGCTATTAAGACGATGATTTTTCAAGGACATTCATTCACAACACAAAGAGATTTTCTTTAGATGGTTTGGGGAGGTTGTTTTGTGTTTTAAGACTCAGCTTTTTCAGTTCTATAGATGTAATTATCTTTAATATTAGGCTATGGCACAGTATTCCACTGATGTGAGAAATACATCTTTATCCACTTTCCTCCTCAAAAGGAATAGGTTGGGGAAAAATTACAAAAGCATCATTCTGAATTTCCTAAGCATATGACTCCCAAGGGTCCTTCCTTCTAATAAGGAGTCCTGGTCATCATTTTCTCTTGCCAGTATCTCCAAATCCACCTTTGCCCAACAGCCTATTCTCAGCCCAGCAGCCAGAGTGGTCCTGTTAAGACATCCTTCAGATCATATCATTCTTCTGCTCAAACTCTCCAATGGCTCAGTGTCATTCAGAGTGAGAACCTTATGATGGCCTGCAATGCCTTGGGCTATACACACCCGCACCGTCTCCCACCCCTCAGTTAACTCTCTGACTTCCCATTCCAGCAGGCACCTGGCCCACCTGCTATTGCCTGAGCACTGCAAGCAAACTTCCACCACAGGGCCTCTGCACTTGCTTTTCCTGCTGCCTGGAATGCTCTTTCCCCAGATATCCACTTAGCTCACCTCCTCCAAACCTTTGCTCAATGTTCCTAGTGAAGCCCTTCCTAATCACCTTACTTCAAATTGCAATCCCCGCTAACAATCCCCAACCTCTTTGCTTTTTATTCGACGAACCTGCTGATATATGCATTTTGTTTGTTTCTGGTCTCTCTCCACTAGAGACATGCTTCATAAGGACAAGGATTTTTATCTGTTTTGTTTACTACTATCTCTCCAACACTTGGAATAGTGTCTGAAATACAATAGGTACTCAGTAAATCCTTGTTAAATCAATCAATCAACACTTTAGGAAAGTTAACTGTATTAGAAAAAAATGAAAAGGCCAGCGAGGTGGCTCACGCCTGTAATCCCAGCACTTTGGGAGGCCGAGGCGGGCCGATCACGAGGTCAGGAGATTGAGACCATCCTGGCTAACACGGTGAAACCCCGTCTCTGCTAAAAATACAAAAAATTAGCCGGGCATGGTGGCGGGTGCCTGTAGTCCCAGCTACTCGGGAGGCTGAGGCAGGAGAATGCATGAACCTGGGAGGCAGAGCTTGCAGTGAGCTGAGATCGCGTCACTGCACTCCAGCCTGGGCAACAGAGCAAGACTCCATCTCAAAAAAAAAAAAAAAAAAAAAAAAGAAAGAAAAAGAAAAAAATGAAAAAACTCATTATTTGCACTAACCCCAAAGTCTCTCCCCTTTCTGTGCCTCAGAAGCTAGCAAAGTACCTGAATCTTAGGAGGTACTTAACGTTGACCAGACTACAAGTCTTCATCTAAAACATAGTAGTTATTTAAAAGTATAAAGAAAAGGCAAAATAAGTGGTTCTGTCCTCTAATTAACTCAAAAGGAAAAGATAAGGGCGGGCAGGAGCTATAGAGCATTTTGCTTCACCATGTAGTATTATAACTTTAACTTTCAGCAATTTAACAACATAATTGTCATGCACAGGTGCATCCCACTGGAAAAGTTCATCACAGGAAAATGCTGTAGCAGTCCAGCGGGGTCAATGATGAAAACAACACAGCAGGGAGGCCAGGCGTGGTGGCTCACGCCTGTAATCCTGGCACTTTGGGAGGCTAAGGTGGGCAGATCACTTGAGGCCAGAAGTTTGAGACCAGCCTAGGCAACACAGTGAGATGTCATCTCTATAAAAGATCACAAAATTAGCCAGGTGTGGTGCCACGTGCCTGTAGTCCCACCTACATAGGAGGCTGAGGCAGGAAGATCTCTTGAGCCTGGGAGGTTGAGGCTGCAGTGAGCCAAGACTGCACTACTGCACTCCAGCCTGGGTGACAGAGCAAGACCCTGTCTCAAAAAAAAAAAAAAAAAAAAAAAAAATGCAGAGCAGGGGCTGACTCCAGAGGCTGAACCTCTGCCCTCCTTTGAGGCCTATGCTACCTGTGTATCCTCATGGGTGGAGTAGGAGAGTAGGAAGGAAGGGAGGTGTTACTCAGATGGCCCTGGTCAATCTTCTGGACTAGGACGCAGTTACTCAGGCATATGAGGACAAAAGGAAGCAAAACAAAGAACACAGAGCAATTTTATCAAGACCTTTTCCTTTTGCCATATATGGTTCCCCTCATTGCCAACAAACAGAGTAACTTTAAAATAATTTTTTAAATCAACATTTCCCTTTGAAGGTAGTAAAATTTTCCACATTACACTGTAGATTTTTTTAAAGATGTTTAAGAGCTGGCAAGGGAGGGCAGGGGAATAGCTGGGCTTCAGTCCCCAGAGCACCTGCTGCCTACTCCTTGGAAGGAACGTTCCAAGAGCTATGGCATTTTTCAGCCCTCTAGAATTCCACCTGATTGACAGTGCCCTCTCAGAAAACAAAAATATGACTAGATTGAAGTTCAGGATAAATGTTTTTTAGGCCATTCTGGCAGAGATCGTTTTAAAGAAAATGAAAGTCAGTGGCTGCCATGGATGTGGTGCGGGATGGGCCAATCATGCGCCTCGGTGCTGAGCAGGGTCAGTCCTAAAGGAAGGCCTCTTGCTGGCACGCTTCCCGGAACACTTCCCAGAACACTCCCTGCTCCTACATCACTTCCAAAATCAGCGTGCTCAGAGCTCGAAGCTCTATGGGGTGATAAAGATACCTCCAGAGTTGGATTAATTACCAAAGCAAACAAGCTGAGAAAGTCTAATTTCCTATATACACAACCGTGTGCAAGGGTAAGCTTTTAGCAATTAAAGAGCTGTGTAGGCACATACAGATAAAGCTGTGTCTTGATGGAAGTGTTGATCACTGTAAAACACACCATCACTGCTGTCCTAAAATAACCCAAATCAATCAGAAATCCAGAAAGCTGGGTGGCAATTATACAGCCTACGATAAGGATGCAAAGCAAAGAGAAACCTCGATTCTCTTGACTTGGCTAACATCACATCTAGCAATAATCTTACTCATTCTTGGTAAACATCCTCCCCTCCACTATATGCACATTCAGTTGCCCAACTAGCTATTAGTAAACTCTCCTTGAAAATGATAAAAAGGGCCAGGTACAGTGGCTCACGCCTGTAATCCTAGCACTTTGGGAGGCCAAGGCAGGTGGATTGCTTAGCTCAAGAGTTTGAGACCAGCTTGGAAAACATGGCGAAACCTTGTCTCTACAAAAAATACAAAACTTAGCCAGGTGTGGTGGCATGTGCCTGTAGTTCCAGCTACTCAAGAGGCTGAGGTGGGAGGATCGTTTGAGCCCAGGAGGCCAAGGCTGCAGTGAGCTACCGTGCCACTGCACTCCAGCCTGGGCAACAGAGTGAGACCCTGTCTCAGGGAAAAAAAAAAAGTAAAAGGCCTTGCATTAGGCTATCCACCCCACCTCCACACACACACAGGTCCATACAGGGCAAGGGAATCTTTGAGAAATGAACTCACCTTTCTCTCAACTACTGCCTCAACTCCCGTGTGTGTGTATGTGTGTGTGTGCGCATGCATGTGTGTGTTGTGTTTGCACACGCATGCACGCACATGCTGTTTCTGTAGAAAAATCTAATGGAGAAGGTAGGTGGGGAGGTGCTTCATCACACTTGGCTGTGCACAATATCCTCAAAGGGAATACACTCTAAAATGCAGGCTACCCTATCCACTCTGGGTCTTTCTTTTATTTTTGAGACCTAGTTTCGCTCTTGTTGCCCAGGCTGGAGTGCAGTGGCGCCATCTCGGCTCACCGCAACCTCCGCCTCCCAGGTTCAAGTGGTTCTCCTGCCTCAGCCTCTCGAGTAGCTGGGATTACAGGCAGCCACCACCATGCCACTCTAGGTCTTTTAATAGCAGTTATTTGCTCTTTAAAATAAAGTTTGGCACTCTGGTGATAACTGGTATCACATTTGACAATATCCTTTCCTTGTGTATCAAAAAGCAGAATTAAACACAAAACTGGTTAAAATAACCAGCTAAAGGCCAGGCATGATGGCTCACACCTATAATCCTAGCACTTTGGGAGGCCGATATGGGTGGACCACTTGAGCTCAAGAGTTCCAAACCAGCCTGGGCAACATGGCGGAACCCCATCTCTACAGAAAAAAAACACAAAAATTAGCCAGGCATAGCGGCGTGCACCCGTAGTCCCAGCTACTTGGGGGTCTGTGGGGGGAAAATGGCTTGAACCTGGGAGGTCGAGGCTGCAGTGAGCCATGATCGCGCCACTGCACTCCAGCCCAGGCAACAGAGTGAGACCCTGTCTCAAAAAAACAAATAAAATAAAAATAAGATAAAATAATCAGCTAAAAACAATAATAATCACAGACCAAATCAACTAGCTGTGTTCTAAGACCTGAGGGTTGGCAAAAAAAAAAAAAAAAAAAAAAAGAAGAAGAAGAAAAAAAGGGGAGGGGGCTTTTTTTCAGTTTGCTTTGAACCTTTGAGCCTATCCATCTTCTATCCTTACATTCCCTGGTGGTAGTCCCCTGCCAGCACCCTCCAGCCTTCCTGCCCTTATGAGTATTACAGCCTTTGATCACTCGTTTGGCAGACAGGAGATAACTATGGCAGAACCACCTCTGAGGTTCACAGGCCGTTAACTCACATCCAAGATTTCTCTTTCAAGTACAGGATAAATGAATAAATTGAATAATGAAAATGTGGTATATATACACAGTGGAATACTATACAGCCTTAAAAAAGAAGGAAATCCTGTCATTTGCAACAACACAGATGAACATGGAGGACATTATGCTCAGAGAAATAAGCCAGGCACAGAGCGACAAATATCATATATGATCAAACTTATATGCGGAATCTTAAAAAGCCAAACTCATGGCCGGGAGCGGTGGCTCAGGCCTGTAATCCCAGAACTTTTGGAGGCCAAGGCGGGCAGATCACAAGGTCAGGAGTTCGAGACCAGCGTGGCCAATATGGTGAAACCCCATCTCTACTAAAAATAACAAAAATTGGCCAGGTGTGGCGGCGCATGCCTGTAGTCCCAGTCAGGAGGCCAAGGCAGGAGAATCACTCGAACCCGGGAGGCGGAGGTTGCAGTGAGCTGAGATCATGCTACTGCACTCCAGCCTGGGTGACACAGTGAGACTCCATCCCACCCCCTCCCAGAAAAAAAGTCAAACTCATAGAAACAGTAAAATGGTGGTTACCAGAGGCTGGGGAGTGGGGGTGGAAGGACTGAGGAGATGTTGGTCAAATATACAAAATTTCAATTAGACAGGAGGAATAAGTTCAAGAGATTGACTGTACACCATGGTGACTATAGTTAATAACAAGGTATTATAGTAGCCACTGCCACCACTGAGCCTAAGATGGCCATGACCCCTGTAGAGGTGACCCCCACTCACCTACCCCTCTAGGACTCATGCCTTCCTCAAAAATGCCTGGGCCATGGAGCTGGTGCCAGTCATGTCCTTCACCATGGGGGCCAATACTCAGCCCCTACCAAGTACAACATCATGACCAACCAGGTGACGCCCTGAAACTATCTAGTGCCCTTCCAAGGTGGTAGGAACATGCTGACATACAGAGCCACCTCCAGGACCCCCAGTGCCCAGCTTGGAGCTGCCAAAGAAACTGTGACCACCTCACTCGACAGTGAGGAGGCCCCCTTCCTACAGCCCCCTATAAAAATGTGAAAAAAAATAATATATTTTACACATGAAAATTGTTAAGAGAGTATATTTTAAGTGTTCTCACCACAAAAAATGATAAGTGTGTGAGGTTATGCATATGTTAAAAAGCTTGATTTACTCACCACAATGTAGACATGTATAAAAACATCATGATGTACACCATAAATATATACAATTTTTATTTGTCAAGAGGTGCTAAGGGTGCACTATACCAAAAAGGTCACAGGATTTGTTGGTGCAGTTTGTCTGCAAAAGCATGTCTAAGTTCTGGTCCAACCAAGACTTGAATTATCTTTCTAAATCACTTACTTTCTCTAAGCCCTATTATTCTCATTCTAGAAATGAAGAAAATAGTGCCTGCCTACCCCCAGAGGCTGCTGTGAGGATCAAATGAAATACCTGTTATAAAAACATTTTTAAGATTACAAATACAATATGGTATTATTAGCCTCTACTCAAGGCTGCCAGCTTGTACCATTCCAGACCAAGTATTAACCAGCTGGTATCTCAGCTTGCTCTCCCACAGACACAAAGAGTTCAGAGCTTTCTGAGCAGGAAAATAGCTCAGACTAAAAGCATCTCGATTTTCCTGTGGACTCTACCTGGAATTCCAGGTACATCCAGTAGAGAGGAAAAGAAATGTGTTTCTCAATAGAAATCTGTGCACAGTTTGCAGGCGAGTTTCCAAAAGGATACATCTGGGTACTGAATTGAGACAGTGGAATGAAGAAGTTAGCCATTCCACCAAGAGCCCACTGGCATCAATGCCAGCAGCCCTGCTCCAGAGCTCACCTCAGCGGCACCCCTCTCACCTGGCACAAGGGGCCAGTGATAACTCCAGCCCTTCCAATAAAACTGATTTCCCTGAATTCTCCATGCATGCCTCTTTTTCTTATTACTAAAACTCCTGGAAACATAGCCCTGCCTAATGTTGGCAAGCCTCAGAGGCAGCAGCTAATATCTTTTAAAGATGTGTAGAACAGTTGGGAGGTTGTTTTGTTTTTGTTTTTGTTTTTGCCTTTTCAAGTTTTTATTTTTATCCATTTTTTGTATTAAAAAGAAAAGCACAATTATCACAAATTACAAAGGAGGAAAGCAGAACTAGAATAATAAATGAATCACTTCAGCCTGGAAAGCAGATATTTTCAATAATAGTAATGTTATAACACAAGTATAGACGAGTTTTTAAAGCAAAACTTAGACTTAAGCCCATAGTATCAAGCACTTATTTTTTAAACTTCCCACTTTTCTTACATTAGGTAGCTTACAGGATCTAAGAGGCCAATAAATAACCTTAGATAATTTCTTTTTTTTTCTTTTTTGTTTTTAACCCCAATAAATCTCTTGTATTTATTCTCTCTCTTTTTTTTTTAACCCAAGTAAATCACCTAAGCTAATTTCTAATCAAGAGGCATTATGGTCCTTACACAGCTCGTGTTCACCAAGAGCACAGTCCACCCTCCATCCTCAACAGTGCTATATGATAACGAAGGAACGAGGGAGGGGAGGGAAAGCATGAGTTTTTTGTTTTTTGAGACGGAGTTTGGCTCTGTCGCCCAGGCTGGAGTGCAGTGGCGCGATCTCAGCTCACTGCAAGCTCCGCCTCCCGGGTTCACACCATTCTTCTGCCTCAGCCTCCCCAGTAGCTGGGACTACAGGCGTCCGCCACCGCGCGTGGCTAATTTTGTTTTTGTACTTTTAGTAGAGACGGGGTTTCACCGTGTTAGCCAGGATGGTCTCAATCTCCTGACCTCGTAATCTGCCCGCCTCGGCCTCCCAAAGTGCTGGGATTACAGGCGTGAGCCACCACGCCCAGCCGAAAGCATGAGTTTTGTCAGAACAACACTAACACTGGGACATGGATATCCCCCGACCCACCCGGCCCCGACTGCCTTCATTCACTCTCTATCACAAGCAGAGAAGGAAAGAAAGGTTTTCACTGAAGGCCCAGACAAACCTATGGAGCTGGAACAAGCAGGCTCCTATTATTCTAACTTGGGCTCAATTTACGTGCTCCCTTGTGCTCTGCCCCTCCTCTGGCCACATAACCAAAAGGAGGCCTTTGACAACCTTCACCCCTCTGCTGCCAGACCTCCACACCTTCCCACCGATTTACAGCTTTAAGGCCACTTTGGTTAAGTCAGAATATGAATAAAGAAGGCCCACTACTTGAGGGTCCTTCTGCTCTGATGACCTGTGTCTGTCTCTTCTGAGGCCAAAGGGGCTTAATCTGGTTCCAGGATGTCACACTGGTAGCTACTCACCTGGTATTTAATCAATCAAGAAGAGGTTTATTCATCCCACACACAGGGTCTCCTCCCTAGAGAAGGATCTAGTGGTTGATGGGCTGGATTCTAGAGCCAAACTGCCAGGTTCAAGTCTCAACTCTGCCACTTATTAGTTCCAGGACTTTGTACAAATTATTAACCAAACTGAGTCTCAATTTCCTTGTTTGTAAAATGGAGGTGATGATAATAATAATACCCATCTCATAGAGTTGTCTTAAATAAATTAGCTGGCAGAGATCAAGCCCTTGATAAATGACAGCCTGTGAGCCAAGCACTGCTGGGTCTGAAGCTAATGAGGCCACATACTCAGCCTCACTGTTTGAGGCCACCGTTTGAATTCCAAGATTAAACAGTGCATGCCTTTGGCTCCAAGGGATGGAAGAAGAGAGCATCCAAACCACAGAATAAAATCCACAAGCCTCATTATGATATTTAAGAACTTTCATAATCTACTCCATCCTTCTTTCCAAATAGACCTCCTGCTACATTTCCACACCAGCTCTCCAGGTCATCCATTTATTTAAAAAAAAAAAAAAATTAAGCACCTAAATGCCACATTCCGTGCTAGGCCAGGTTTTCCCACCTGGTGAACTCAGTGCCTCCTTCTTCCTAGATTCTGCCCAGTCTTCAAGACAGAGTTCAAGATCTAGAGCTTCCACATAGCTGTCCCTGGCTACTCTGACCCACAGGGCTTCCCCTCGTGACCCCTCTGAGGTCTTTGGGTTTTACTTGGCTTTCACTACACATTCATTATTTGGTTATATGGTTATATTTTATAAGCCTAAATAAAGTACAAGCAACTCAAAAGAAGGGATGAATATGGCTGGGCACAGTGGCTCACGCCTTTAATCCCAGTGCTTTGAGAGGCTGAGGTGGGAGGATCACTTGAGGTCAAGAGTTCAAGGTCAACCTGGACAACACAGCAAGATCCCATCTCTCCAAAAATAAAAAAAATAGGGTGGGAACGAATCTTACATTTCTTTGCATGTATATCCCTAAGTGACTACTACTGTGCTTTGTACTCAGCAGGGATCAGTGAATAAATGATTTAATGTTTCAGGAGGACATAAATGGCTCAAAACCTATTACCATTCTTTCCAAACAAATGATTTCCTTCAAATCAATATAGTAGAGAGGCCTAAAGGCTCAATCTCCAGACCTGGACTAAGTAGGTTTATAGTTCCACCTGCCATTTATTAGCTGTGTGACCTTAAGAAAGTTATTTGACCTCTCTGTGCTTCCATTTCCTCACTTATAAACTATGGATTATTAAAGTATCTATATTTCTTAGAGTATTTATGAGGATGAAATGAGATAATACATGTAAAGAAATTTGGGGCCTGACACACAGTAATTATTTGAAATATTCATCATTGTTATAACTACCCAGATGAGCTAAATTCAGCTCATCCAGAATGCCCAAAAAACCATTTTGTAAAGTATGCTGGGCCTACAGAGAAAAATATCAGATATTAGCATATAAAAAATTTTTTTTGCAGCCAGGCACAGTGGCTCACACCTGTAATCCCAGCACTTTGGGAGGCCGAGGCAGGCGGATTGCCTGAGCTCAGGAGTTCACGACCAGCCTGGGCAACACGATGAAACCCCATCTCTACTAAAATACAAAAAATTAGCTGGGCGTGGCAGCGTGTGCCTGTACTCCCATCTACTCGGGAGGTTGAGGCAGGAGAATTGCTTGAACCCAGGAGATGGAGGTTACAATGAGCCAAGATTGTGCCACTGCACTGTAGCCGGGGCGAGTGAGACTCTGTCTCAAAAAAAAAAAAAAAAAAAAAAACAAAATTTCCCTCTTCTTCATTCATTTGATCTATTATGTTGTGCAAAAGGGAAACAACCAACAAACTTCTACACCAAAAAGGCATCCATACCTCTGTGCTATTTATCAGTTGCCTCATGCTATTATAAAATCTGTAATTCATCCAGCGGTGGTGGCTCACACCTGTAATCCCAGCGTTTTCAGAGGCTGAAGGGGGTGGATCACTTGAGGTCAGGAGTTCGAGACCAGCCTGGCCAACATGACAAAACCCCATCTCTACCAAAAATACAAAAATTAGCTGGATATGGTGGTGCATGCCTGTAATCCCAGCTACTCAGGAGGCTGAGGCAGGAGAATCGCTTGAACCAGGAGGCAGAGGTTGCAGTGAGCCGAGATGGCACCACTGCACTCCAGCCTGGGTGACACACAGAGCGAGACTCTGTATCAAAAAAAAAAAAAAAATCTGTAACTCTACTGTCCCTTCCACCTCAGCAAAGCCTTGAGTGTGTATTCAACTCAAATATATATATACTTGTGTGTATATTTTCCCAAAGGCTTCAAATAGGAAAGGAAGATCTGAAGCAAAACTGATTCACTATCAAATTCATCAAGGCTGGACAGGGCCATTGAACTCACTCCTTTCCCATAAAGTGCCTTCTTCAGTTGTGTTTTTCAGTCTGACCCAGGCATCAATGAAGGCAGAAAGCCCAGCCTCAAACCCACAAGGTGAGACTAGACATCTTGTCATCAAAACAGCATGTTTTCCATCAAGCCGCTTCTCTCCCTCTTTCTCTCTCTCTTTTTTTTTGGGAGGTGGGGGTGGGGGGGTGCATTTCTACTACTTTTCGATGAGATTTTAAGTCAATTCCATTTTAATACACAGGCTAAAAGGCAAATAGCACTTCAATAATGAGACAAAATGAAACTGCTGATAGACAAAAATAGAGAATGGGCAGTTGAAATTCATAAACTGGCATTCAAAAAACAACAACAACAAAAAAGGCCTAGCAACTTTCTTTCAAGATATTTATAGCCAGGGGAAGTGGCTCACGCCTGTAATCCCAGCACTTTGGGAGGCTGAGGCCAGGAGATCGAGACCAGCCTGGCTAACATGGTGAAACCTTGTCTCTACTAAAAATACAAAAAATTAGCCAGGCATGGTGGCACACGCCTGTAGTCCCAGCTACTCGGAAGGCTGAGGCAGGAGAATCGCTTGAACCCAGGAGACAGAGGTTGCAGTGAGCCGAGATCACACCAGTGCACTCCAGCCTGGGCAACAGAGGGAGACTCCATCTCAAAAAAAAAAAAAAAAAAAGATACTTGCAATGAGAGGAACATTCTACTTTCCAATCCATAAACCAGTTTCTGCCAGCTGACTCTCGCTTAGTCTACGTCTGCACACAACCCCAGATCTGAGTCTATTGGAGTCTTAAGGGAGATCTGGTTTCTTCAGTATAACACAGAGGTGAAGAGCATAGATGTAAAATCTGAATGTAAAATCTGGCTCTTCCACTTTCCAGCTACATGACACTACGCAAGTTACCTAATCTCTCCATATCTCATTTCATCATTTATAAAATGCCAAATTAATTCTACCTCCAAGTTGTGATTAAGTGAGCTCATTAAATAAGAATATCCTTATTCATTTTTATATTCTTTAATTGTTTAGCCCAGTGCCTGGATATAGTGCCCACTCAATAGATGATCATTACTATCACTCTCATCTGTATGTGCAATTCAACAGCCAAAACCAAGCAGCTAATCACTTTTCGAGTCAATGCTTTTCTTGCTGAGACCTGCCAGTTTCCAGAACTGGTCCAACAAATTAGTTTTATGTAGCTCATTACAGAATAGACACAATGGAAATTATAATAAAATAGAGCAAATTAAGCTTCCAAATTTACTAAGTAACCCCTCACAGTAAACACACTAAGATGGTGGTGTGGGAGATCCGATACTCTTAGTTAAGCAACAATGTTCCAAGTCATTTGCATCTTTTCATCTCCAATCTCATTTGGCCTCCAGGAAGCTCAGTGTATTTCTCTACTTTTTAAAAAGTTAGTAATCCCAGCACTTTGGGAGACCAAGGTAGGCGGATCACCTGAGGTCAGGAGTTCAAGACCAGCATGGCCAAAATGGTGAAACCCTGTCTCTATTAAAAATACAAATATTATCCACGTGTAGTGGCAGGCATCTGCAGTCCCAGCTACTTGGGAGGCTGAGGCACGAGAATTGCTTGAACCCAAGAGGAGGAGGTTGCAGTGAGCCGAGATCAGGCCATTGCACTCCAGCCTGGGTGACAGAGCAAGACTCTGTCTCCACAAAAAAAAAAAAAAAAAAAAAAAAAAAAGGTTACATATTGAAATATGTGAAATAGGCAAAACTAAATACCTCCCAAGCAGCCTATGTCAAGAGTGTCACCTCAATCTAGAAGATCTATTTATTTGCTAATAAAGGACAAAAATGCTTTCTTGAAATCCTTATTCAGGGACAAAAATGTAAATACAGGTCAGGCACAGTGGCACATACCTGTAATACCAGCATGCTAGGAGGCCAAGAAGAGAGGATCACTTGAGGTCAGGAGTTTGAAACCAGCCTGAGCAACATAGGAAACCCTATCTCTACAAAAAATAAAACATTAGCTGGGCATGGTGGCACACGCCTGTAGTCCCAACTAGTTAGGAGGCTGAGGTGGGAGGATCGCTTAAGCCCAGGAGGTAGAGCCTACAGTAAGCCATGATTATGCCTCTGCACTCCAGCCTGGGTAACAGAGTGAAACTTCATCTCAACTAAAGAGACTGGGACAAAATATATCCAAAAATATATAACAAATATGCAATTTATATTATGCAACTTACCTGCAGTGGCTAAACAGGAGCTCATCAGGGCAAAGATGGCAATCACATAATGGGAAGTCATTTTTATTTCTCCAACAGTGCGTCTCGTCCAGTCACTTCAGCCTGCTCAGAGCACAGACAATCTTTGCAAATCAGAAGTAGTCTTAAAGTCCCTCCTTGCAATTTTCAAACTGCCTGTAAAACAAATTTCAATAAGAAAACTTAATGAAGAAACTTCATAAACAAACAGACACTAAAATTAAACAGAGAATTTCTGAAAAGCGTAATGTAAGAAATTTATCTTAAAAGATGCAAAATAGCACTCAAGCAAACTAGACTGAGGGCAGTGACTATCTAATAAAGATTTTTATAGCAAATACTTTTGCAAATGACATATTTGTTATTGGCTTTTTTTTTTTTTTTTTGAGATAGAGTCTCTCTCTGTCGCCAAGCTGGAGCACAGTGGCGCAGTCTTGGCTCACTGCAACCTCCGCCTCCTGGGTTCAAGCGATTCTCCTGCCTCAGCCTCCCAAGTAGCTGGGATTACAGACATGCGCCACTACGCCTGGCTAATTTTTGTATTTTTAGTAGAGATGGGGTTTCACCATGTTGGCCAGGCTGGTCTTGAACTCCTGACCTCGTGATCTGCCCACCTCAGCCTCCCAAAGTGCTGGGATTACAGGCGTGAGCCACCACGCCCGGCCCTGTTTTTGACATTTTAAATCTTTGGTTTTATAGAGAATTTTCAGAACTACAGAAGAAAATCAAGGTGCACCTGAAATATAACACCACCAGTTAAGTTGTGGTACCAAAGTAATCAATGACACTTGATACATGCAACCCTAGTGCCAGCAAGAAAACAAAACCAGCACTGATTAGAGACTCAATCTAATGTTATAATAACAGGGTTATCACAAGGATCAAATTAAGTTGTGCTAGGAATCAATCTGAAAAAAATAAAGAAACATAAAAAGGCAAGGTTCTTATTTCAACTGTTTGCCAACATTTTAACAGGAAAAAAGTCTTCCCTGTCTCTCAGCCCATCTGAGACTATCTGGTTACTGGACTCAAGGATCTAGAAGGTTCTTTCTAAGCTTTTCCTATCCAGAGTCTTCAATGAGAGTTTTGTGGTGGTTTGCCTAACTTGAATATTCCTCACACGGCCCTAATGGTCACTGATTTAGACACTCCAAAGTATATTTCTCCAGCCCTCTATCCCTGAGCCTGGCACAACTCACAGAAGTTCAATTAACAAACATGTACTGAGCATTTACTATGCTCCAGGCATGGTTCCTTCTCATCAAGAATAAAAGTTATGGGTAAAAGTGCAAAGACCCTCCCTGATCTAAGCCCTGGAAAAGGCAGAATGGTGGCATTTCCGGGAGCCATCTCACACACCTGGGGGTTGTGGCCTTGTCATCCTCACTCAGGAAATATCACGCAACAGGAGTTGCCCATAGCTACCTTCAGAGACAAAGCCAATGTGGGCGCTTGTAGATAACAGTACAAAAAAAATTATTTTAAATGAGTTTTTAATTAAATGGTCTTAATTTATTGCATCAAGTGACAAAGAGAGATATTTAAAATGGCTCTTTGCAATTGTAACTTTACCTATGAGAACGGGGGAAATAGGGTGACTGCAGGACAGGGGTGGGAGGGAGCAGAAGCTTTTCACTGAATTCCCTTCTGGGTTTTGTATTAATACCATGTGCAAGTATTACCTATCCAGAAATAATAACAGTAAAGTTCCAATTTCAAAAAGAATTTCTTAGATATGTCTTGAAACTAAATTATTATATAGGCAGGAGGCCACTATGGTTCAATCTTGATATACGATAGTGATTAAAATCCTAGTATGAATAGCATACGGATTATGATAAAGATTAAAAATCTGCCTGGGTGTGAATCCACTCTGCCCCTTACCAAATGGTAATGTTAGGCAGCTTACTCTTCTTGAATGAACATATCCTGTGGTAGGAAATGTATGGTAGGCTGTTGTGAGGATTCAGTTAGTTAATATACATACACAATGCTTAGAACAGTCCCTAGCACGTAACAACCAACCAAATAAATGTTAGCTACAATTACTGTACTGTATCACTACTTGTCCATTCTCTTTGAGCTATTTATACCAATAAAGTGGAGAAATTAAGATATAGCTATTTATGTAATTCTTAGCTACTGTAAATCCAGTTCAATCTTTTGTTTACTGAAAAATAAACATTACAACAGTCAAAAGGAGATAAGCTAAAGAGTGGACTCACTAAAAGAACAAAATTACCAGTCAAGTTGAGGCATAAGTCATCAATGACACAACGGTCTTGTCTCAAAAGCTGACTAAATTATAGAGATAATTTGGGAGCCATTAAACTGACTTATTATCCCTCTAAGTCGAACATTTCTGTCACCATAATTCCACATCAACTCTGATCATATGGAAATCTTCTCCGTTAACTTAAAAATTCAACCACCACAAAGAGGATCTGTCTCTATTTTTTTCCCTTCGAAATATTAGATTCCCTAAATTAGTGAATTGGTTCACAAGAACTATAGTGCCTCCTGCCTATATAATAATTTTGATAAGGAAAAACCTCTCTGAAACAATATGCTATTTCAGCAAATGTTAAAGACAACTTTTATAAAGCAAATCCCTGTAAGGAGATCTCAGAAGAAGATGACTTCCCAGAGGATTTTATGAAGCACATAAACTGTAAGCGGCACGAGGCTTGTGGGAATATTTAATGAGCTTGCGTCACCCTGCCCACAGCTGCAGTGGGTCTGAGGGTCTGTGCTGCGTTAATCCAGGGGCTTAAGCCAGGTCTGAACAAACCTGTGGAAAAGAAAGGCAAATGGTTCCATTAAAAATATAGGCTGCAAATTGCTGACAAGAATATTGGGCAATTATTAAAATGCAGCAATTACAGATATAATAGAGCCAAGCTAAACAGTTTGATGCCCAAAGGCAAACCACAGCAAGTTTACACCGGATCTTAAAACATCTCTGAGGAAGTCCTGGACAAGTTGAAACTACACACTGCTGTTTGTAACAAAAAGGGAGCTTTTCTTCTTTTAGCTTAAAAGTCTCTCCATAATGTAACTGTTCAAAAAGAAAATAAACTGCAGAAGGTTTTTGTCTAATCTCCCCAGTGTGGTGAAAGATTCCCAAGGCAGAGGAGAAGCAAAAGGGAAGTGTGTCATTCTCATTCAGCTGAACTCCAGTTTTGGCCACAACTTGTACACCTCAGTGCCTTAACACCCGACTTAGGAATCAGTTCCCTGGAATGCTGGATGGACTGAAGGCTTCCGAAAAGTTGTAGCTTTGATAAAACTAACGAAATACAAACTCCTCTTTCTTCTGTGAGGTTCTACCACACTGACTGCAAACATCAGGGACTCCCAATCCTGACTTTTTGACCTCAAAGAATCTCTGGACTTTATGAACTAAATGCTTTCTTTAGAAATATGGGTTCTGGCTGGGCACAGTGGCTCATGCCTGTAATCCCAGCACTTTGGGAGGCCGAGCTGGGCAGAACACCTGAGGTCAGGAGTTCAAGACCAGCCTGGCCAACCTGGCGAAACTCCAGCTCAACCAAAAATACAAAAGTTAGCCAGGCGTGGTGGTACGTGCCTGTAATCCCAGCTACTCGGGAGGCTGAGGCAGGAGAATCACTTGAACCCAGGAGAGGGAAATTGCAATGAGCCGAGATTATGCCACTGCACTCCAGCCTGGACAACAGAGTGAGACTCCATCTCAAAAAAAAAAAAAAAAAGAAAAAAAGAAAGAAAGAAATATAGGTTCTGTCTATGGAGTAGCCATTCCTTTATTCCTTTACTTTCTTAATAAACTTGCTTTCACTTAAAAAAAAAAAAAAAGTAGAAATACCTAATGTAAATGATGAGTTAATGGTTTCAGCAAACCAACATGGCACATGTATACCTAATGTATACCTATGTAACAAACCTGCACATTGTGCACATGTACCCTAGAACTTAAAGTATTTATTTAAAAAAAAAGTAGAAATATAAATAGGGTACTCTGAGATCATGAAAGAGCAATTTGGAATAATAGTCATTTTCCCCACATTTCAAAGCAACATGTTCCATTTAAAAGGTAGGTGAACTTTGATGAACTGAAGAACACTTAGTATTCATCAATGAACATAAGAAAATTCTGAGAACTTGGCCGGGCGCGGTGGCTCACGCCTGTAATCCCAGCACTTTGGGAGGCCGAGGCGGGTGGATCACGAGGTCAGGAGATCGAGACCATCTTGGCTAACATGGTGAAACCCCGTTTCTACTTAAAATACAAAAAATTAGCCGGGCGCGGTGGCAGGCACCTGTAGTCCCAGCTACTCGGGAGGCTGAGACAGAAGAATGGCGTGAACCCAGGAGGCGGAGCTTGCAGTGAGCTGAGATCGCGCCACTGCACTCCAGCCTGGGTGACAGAGCGAGACTACGTCTCCCAAAAAAAAAAAAAAAAAGAAAATTCTTAGAACTTAATGGGTTTAAAAAAAAAGCAAACAAATGTGCTGCTAATTCTGCTAATTTCAGAGATCCCCTGGGTTTATTTCTGAGTCCATTAAACTGAGCATACTGCCCCACATGCCCTCATGACCCAACAGAGTGCACAGGTAAAGACCAAGATTAGCTGAAAAAATCCCATCCAAATGAATCCTCAAAACCATCACGTTCTAAACCAATATTCAAAAGGATCTGGTTGGGTACAATATTCCCTAAGGTGAGGAGAGAAATCTTGCTCTATCTAAGAGAAAAACTGTGGCAAAATGGATGTCTGGCAATAGGCTAAAAACCAGTAAGAAAAAATTAGTAGCTTCCCCTTAGATGGCTAACATGGCCTGGCTACATCCATGAGTTGATTCAGAATCAGAACTAAACTAATCCCCATCTTCAGATAGATTTGGCACAATGAGAGAAAAAGTCCTAGATTTGGATAAGAAATCTTCGGAATCACATCCAAGCACAACTGATATTCAATAAATATTACTGCTATATGCCAGGCACTGTTCAAGATGCCAGGGATATAGCAATGAAAAAAAGACGCCAAAAATCCTGCCCTCAGGGAGCTTATATCCGAGTAAAAATATCATTTACTACTTCTCACAAGACATTTAATTTCCTGAGTTTCTCCTTTCAACAAATCTTTATTGCTTACTCTGCTAAGCAGTGGCCAAGGAGACATGTTTTTTGCCCTTGTGGGCTTAAAAGCTGGTGAGATAAACAGACAATAATCACAAACATGTAACTACACGATATAATCAGAGCTCTAAAGGAAAAGTATACGCAACCTGAGGATAAGCGAAGATTTTAAAAGTCAGGTGATGAATGACACTGCAGGCAGAGGAAGCATTACAGGAGGGAGGAGAGCTGCAGAGCTGAAAGGGAAAGAGAAGAGGAATAAGTTCAAGGAGGGGTTTAAACAGGGAATAGCGTGATCAGATGGGATTACTAAAGATTTCCCTCACGCTGTACAGAGAACAGACTGAAGGGAGGCCAGACTGCCTGGACAATCAGTTGAGATTCTCACAGCATGTCAGACAAGAAAGGATGGAGGTTTAGATCAGAATGGAGCCTCAGTTTCCTCCTTTGTAAAGAGTGTAACAGACAAAACTTAGCTACATCACAGAGTTGTTGCAAGAATCAAATGAGATTGTGCATGTATAGTATTAAAACTATCATTTATCATTAGCAAGCTGTTTCTACCAAAGAGATTTATTATCCTGAGGTATCAGATTAATTAGTCCCAACATTCTGTGGCTGCCAGTGGCAGGAAAAGAAAGGAGGAAGATTACTCTGGAACCACCTGTACTGGTAGGCACGGGGGAAGCAGTACGCACAGATGGTACGAGGAGAGCAGAGAAGCCTGACTCCACTCTGCCTGTTCTGTGCCGGCTGCCTTCAGAGGCAAGGTGGGCTGTCCCTCCAGAGCAGGCCCACCCTCATTCCTGGCTGGGAGCATGATCAACAAATCTGGCCCCAGCAGCCTTGGTTTCCTTGGGGCCGAACTTCAGTCCGTCCTTAAGAGCCCTTCCATCTATCCCAAGCACAACACACCTCACTCCCAAGGAAAATACAGGAAAAAGGGAGGGTGGGTGTTGACACATTTCACAAAGTTGGAAAAGACCATGTTTTATTCAAACTCACAAACTAGGATGGCTTTTTCACCCACCCTTGCAATACTCTAAGAACCACCTTTTCACATTTAAGATTTTTGCATCCAAAGGTTTCTGTACCTTTTCATTTATAAGGGTGTCTGCTTTTAAGCTAGAATTAATAAAGAACTGTATTTGGGGGTTCAAAACCTGGCTTACCCAGCTGTGTTACATTGGAAAAGTCATTTAGCCCCTACCACGCCCTCATCTGTAAAATGGTAGCAATATTTTGATTATAATATAAGACAGAATATAGGCATGGTACCTAAAACAATACCTGGCCCACACAGTCTATTTTATTTTATTCTTTCTTTTTTGAGATGGAGTCTCACTCTGCCACCCAGGCTGGAGTGCAGTGGCACGATGTCAGCTCACTGCAACCTCTGCCTTTGGGTTCAAGCAATTCTCTTGTCTCAGCCTCCCAAATAGCCAGGATTACAGGCATGTGCCACCACGCCTGGCTAATTTTTGTATTTTTAGTAGAGACAGGGTTTCGCCATGTTGGCCCAGCTGGTCTCGAGCTCCTGACCTCAGGTGATCAACCCACCTCAGCCTCACAATGTGCTGGGATTACAGGTGTGAACCACTGTGCTCGGCCCCACACTGTCTATTTTAAATAAATAATAGTCATTGGTATTTTTATGGTTAAAATATACCTAGACTTCCAAAAAGAAAATAAGCAAACTACTAGTAGCAAGGCAACAGAAATAGTTGTTTATAGCAAATTTTGTATTATTTTTGAGATTAGACTTTATCATCTAGAATTTCAAAAATTCCCTCCATCACAAAAAAATGATTCCAAATTCCATACAAGGTATGGGTTCTAAAGATACTCATAATGTAGCAAAACTGTCCAAATGGTGGTGAAGCCATTGCCTCAACATTTCTGGTATAAGTTACAGGGATCTGGCTGCAGGGCCCTTCTCGATTCTATTTGATGATTCCCAATTAGCTGCAGGGGTTCAGCTGGGGGCTGTGGAACTTGGTCTGGCACTGCCACCAAACCAACCAAGCTACCTAGAATGAGGAATCAGCTGTCATCAAAAAGGTTTAAATCATAAAGCTGTAATTATTCGAGCAAAATTCAGCATATCAGAATATTCTCAGGACAACAGTCATCCTCCCTCAGGCCCTAGCAAGCACCTGGCCATTGAAAAAAGCTTTTGATAGCCTGGACAACATAGTGAAACGCTGTCTCTACAAAAAATTTAAAAGTGCACCAGGTGTGGTGGTTTAGAGCCCAGGCATGTGAAACACTAAGAATTAAAACTCTTCAATGGTTGCCCACTGCCGTCCAGATAAACAGCAAAACTTCACATGGCCACCAACCATCGTCTAGTTAGTCCAAGCTCATCTTCTGCACACTCCAGCCACACTAGTGTCAATTCAGTCCCACAAAAGGGCCAAGTCCTCACCTTCCAAAAGTGATGTTCACTATATCGGAACTCAACATCCCTCCATGGTCCCTAGGATGGTCACTTTCTAACATCTTCAGGTCTCAGCAAAAGCCTTACTTCTTGAAGGAAGCCTCCTCTGATTCCCTTGGACCAAGTTAAACTTGGACACCTAGAACGCAGTACAACCCTTCAGGTTGTAATTATTATGTAATTATTTCCTTCCAAGTATGGCTTTCCCACTGTCTTAATTCCAGCAAGGCGGATCACAGTCTACCTACACTTGGCTGACAGCGGGCATCTAATGAGGGTACCACAGTGGACTACAGGTATAAATACTACTGTGCACACTACAATAAAAATAGTACAGGCCGGGAGTGGTAGCTCACACCTGTAATCACAGCACTTTGGTAGGCCAAGGTGGGCAGATCACTTGAGGTCAGGAGTTCCAGACCAACCTGGCCAACATGGTGAAATCACATCTCTACAAGAAATACAGAATTAGCCAGGTGTAGTGGCACATGCCTGTAATCTCAGCTACTCGGGAGGCTGAGGCAGGAGAACCGCTTGAACTCGGCAGGCAGAGGTTACAGTGAGCTGAGATCACGCCACTGCATTCCAGCCTAGGCAACAGAGCGAGACTCCGTCTCAAACAAAAGAAAAAAGAAAAAATAGTACAGCAGGATGATAAATTAGAACATTTCTCAATAACAAGAGTTATGTATAAGAACCTCAGGCATCCTCAAAGGAAAAGGAGGCAGGAGTGCGACCATCAGCATGTTTTACCAGCTCAGACCTTCTGCATCCTACTTCCCTCATTTCTAATATGAAGAAATTAAACAAGAAAATCTTTTATTCTATATCATACTATAATTGTCATTACATGGACTAATAATCCTGAATCCCTTCTAGAAAATGAGACTTCAAACACACTTGTGGAAATCTGAAATGCATAATTATGTAAAGGCTAGCAGGAATAACTTCACAAAACAGAAAAGTGTTATCCAAGAAAAATATTCAACTTGGCAACATAAGAATAAACAGAATATTAATACTACATTAGCTATTTTAATATATAACTTACGTAAACAAAAATTATTTAAATGCAGTATCTTCCCAACAATGTAAGCACACAAAAAACCTGAATTTTGTCAGATCTAACCATTTTATCACAATCTGCCATCTTTATGCTATTCCTCAAAGTCCAAGAACTCTACCAATAGTCCTCACCTCATTCCAAAAGAGACTTCTGATTAATCCCATCCTACTGTGAACATTCTGTCACTTATCATTTTGTGTATAATTTGTTCCATGTTATCTTCTAGTCAGAGCCAATTTGGAATGCTAGAACAGGTAGTATCTACTCCGACCCTTTAATTTTACAGATTAGCAAACCAAAAATTAGAAAGGCTCAACGACTGGCCCAGCTTTACACAGCTACTTAGTTACAAAGCCAAGACTTGTCCACATGCTGCTTTGTAATTATTCTGTGGTTGATCAAGTGTCTATACCTTATTCCCCTTCCTGTCAGAAGCTGACATCTCTGCTTTCTTCTGAACCCACAAAATGTCTGTTATCATCTACTGAACACCTATCATGTATATCACAATTTCCCATTTAATCTTCTCAACAATACAAGGAGACAGATGCCCTTTACTCCATTTTGTAGTGAGAAAGGTGAGGCTTCAAGATGCTAAGTAAGGCTGGGTACAGTGGTTCACACCTATAATCCCAGCACTTTGGGAGGCAGAGGCCAAAGGCTCCCTTGAAGCCAGGAGTTCATGACCAGCCTGGGAAACATAGAAAAAATAAAAATAATTTGAATATCAGGAGTTTCTGAAAATAAATAAATAAATAAATACAAACACAAATATTAGCCAGGCATGGTGGCGCATGCCAATAGTCCTAGCTACTTGGAAGGCTGAGGCAGGGGGATCACTTGAGCCCAGAAGTTCAAGGCTGCAAGTGAGCTACAATGGCACCACTGCACTCCAGCCTGGGCAACAGAGTGGGACTCTGCTCTGTCACCAAAAAAAAAAAAAAGATGCTAAGCAACCCCAAGTCACCAGCTTATAAATCCTGGCACCAGGACTTAAACCTAGGTCTGTCTAATTCCACGCCCATGCTCTTAACTACTACAAACAAGAGATCCTCCAGAAACAGCTGACTTTCAAAAAAAAGATAGGGACTGTGCCTATTACTAAGCCACTGTAGACATCAACCAGGCCCTGCATGGACACTCACTTTCTGGTGGTGGGTAGTCTGATGAGATCTGGCACAAGGGACAAATTATTTTGTTCTGAAACCAGGGTGGCAGGCCTTGATCAGCAGTTTTAGTTTACTTCATTCATTCACTCAACAAACATTTATTAGCGCCTACCCTGTCCTGGGCACTGTTCAGGGAGGTGGGCACATAGCAGCAAATTAAACACACTCCTGTTTTCACATAGGTTACCTTCTAAAGGTGGGGACAGACAAGACAACAAATAAATAATATGTCAAGGCATGAGAAGACCTAGGAAAGGAAAATAAAGCAGGTTAAGGAGAGAGAGTGATGACAGGAGGGATGCTATTTTAGACAGGGTGGTCAGAGAGGGCCTCCCAGACAAGGTAACATTTAAGCACAGAGGTAAGAGATAAAGCTATGACAATATCTAAAGGAAAAACCTCCCAGGCAGTGGGAATAGTGAGTGCAAAGGTCCTGAGGTAAGAGCATGCTTGGTTTGTCCTAGAAGCAGACTACAGTACAGCATAGTGGAAAGTGCGGGGCCCCCATAGCCTACCTGAGTTCAAATCCCCCACCTGCCTTTTCTAAGCAATATAATTTTGGGCAACTTACTTAAAGCTCCATGCCTGATCTATAAAGTAGAGATAATGATTCTACCTCCTTCATGGGATTGTTATGATGACTAACTAAATTAATAAATAAAGCACTTACTTCCTAGTATGTTGTTAGAATTCAGGAAATGGTAGCTTTGATTATTTTTAACTACTCACTGATAACTCAGCTCCATTCTAGACAATTTATTTTCAATGTGATACCTTTGAATCCCAGGGTGAATGACACTGCAGGCTTTGTACATGGCCAATAGCTTCCTCCTAAGCCTTTGCCTTTCTTGGCTGGGCTTCCTATCCCTGTAGGAACCATGCCGATGTTATCTCAATAAGAGCAGGAGGCAAATTCCTCTAACTTTACTATTACACTAATACAAATTATGTACTTCATTCCACATAATCCCTACCCATAAGAGTCTGACACTTCTTCAGAGCTGAATTTATTGCCCTGAGGATTTACGGTATTGGTTTCACAAGATGGGGTCCTGCCAATCCTGACTTCCCACTAGCATCATCAGCAGAAGCAAGCAGAAATTTCAGGGACAACCCCTTATCTTGAGAAGGGTTAAAACTTCACTTCGAAAGATGGTAATTTAATTTTAAAGAATCCGTTCTCCAATGTCCTTTTTGCCTAAAATTAAGATTTCTCTTCAAAGAAATTACAACATCAAAGCAAAACTCAAGAGTCATCTGGCCTAAAAGTCTCAAGACTGAGCACAGCCCCCAAGCAAGGCAGCTCTGGAAGGGACTGTGTAACCAGACAAGGGGATGGGCACAGAAACAAGGCAAGATGTCAGGGCTGCAAGGAAATTCTGCCCTGTTTCCCCCTGCCCTCTTCCCTAGCTCTTTTCTTTAACGTTGTGTTTGCTTTTCATCTTTGTAGCCTGCTGGGTTAAAGGGCAAACCACAGGCAGAGAGAAACCGCAGCAAGCCCATGCCTGTTAGAGGTAAAATGGGAGTCTTCCCAAACCACTTGTAAGGATGGGGGGACCCACAGGTGCTGCTTTGAGTCAGACATGAAAACGAGGTCAGTGTTCTAGTCCAACGAGTCTTAAATGAGGCTTTTTAAAAATCAGATTCTCCTTCCCCGAGATTGATGGTTTTCCCTTTTTTTGACGGGGTGGTGGGAGGGGGGGATAGGGTTTCACTCTGTCACTCAGGCTGGTGTGCAGTGGCATGATCATAGCTCACTGCAGCCTCGAACTCCTTGGCTCAAGCTATTCTCCCACCTCAACTACAGTCCCTTTAAGCAGGGACTACAGGTGTGCCCCACCACACCCAGCTGACTTTTTAAGATTTTTTTATGGAGATGGGGTCTCACTATGTTATCCAGGCTAATCTTGAATTCTTTGCCTCATATAATCCTCCTGCCTCAGCCTCCTAAAGCACTGGGATTATAGGGGTAAGCCATCACACCTGGCCAATTTTCCCTTCTTTTTTTTTTTTTTTTTTTTGAGATGGAGTCTCACTGTTTCCCAGGCTGTAGTGCAGTGGCACTATCTCAGATCACTGCAACCTCTCCCTCCCAGGTTTAAGCAATTCTCCTGCCTCTGCCTCCCAAGTAGCTGGGATTACAGGTGCCTGCCACCACGCCCAGCTAATTTTTGTATTTTTTTTTAGTAAAGATGGGGCTTTACCATGTTGGCCAGGCTGCTCTCAAACTCCTGTCCTCAAGTGACAGGAGTCCTCGAGACTCCTGTCCTCGGCCTCCAAAAGTGTTGGGATTATAGGCCTGAGCCAACACGCCTGGCCCAATTTTCCCTTTTTAATGCCCTGAGTGCACCTATAACTGGGGCTATAAGAAATCCATAAAATGGGCTGAGCGCTGTGGCTAACGCCTGTAATCCCAGCACTTTGGGAGGCCAAGGCGGGTGGATCACTTGAGATCAGAAATTCAAGACCAGGCTGGCCAACATGGTGAAACTCCGTCTCTACCAAAAATACAAAAAAAATTGGCTGGGCCTGATGGCATGTGCCTGTAATCCCAGCTACTTGGGAGGATGAGGCAGGAGAATGGCTTGAACCCGGGAGGCAGAGGTTGCAGTGAGCCAAGATTGTGCCACTGCACTCTAGCCTGGGTGACAGAGTGAGACCCTGCCACAAAAAAAAAAAAAAGAAATCCATAAAATGCTTCTTATTCATTTAATAATGTTTATCAAGTGCCTGCTTCATGCCAGGACTGTTCCAGGTGTGGGTATTCAACAGAGAACAAAACATAAAAATCCCTGCCCTGATGGAGCTTTCATTCTAGCTAAAGGAGACAGACTATAAACAAGATACATAATTATATATTATATAGAGACCAATGCTAAGAAAACAAAGCAGAAAAGGGAGAGACAAAGTATGTGTGTGGGGTTTTGGTTTGGTTTGTCTGTTTTGAGTAAGGACCTAACAGAAGCGAATTCTGTAGCTATTTGGGGAAAAACATTCCAAGCAAAGGAAACAGCACATGCAAAGGCCCTGAGACAGAGCGTATCTGGCGTGCTCAGGGACCAACAGTCAGGTGCGGCAGCTGGAGCAGATTGAGCAGCCTAGAGAGCACAAGAGGGAAGTCAACTGGGTCACCAGCATAAGAGTGGTGGGCTGGTTGGGCAGGGCTTTGCAGATCACTGTAAGAATTCTGGCTTTTATTCTGAGAAAGACAAGAATAAACAGTAGAGTGGTTTTTTGGTTTTTTGGTCACTCTGTCACCAGACTGGAGTGCAGTGGTGCAATCTCAGCTCACTGCAACCTCCGTCTCCTGGGTTCAAGCGATTCTCCTGCCTTAGCCTCCCGAGTAGCTGGGATTACAGGCGCCCACCACCATGCCAGGCTAATTTTTTTTTTAGTAGAGACGGGGTTTCACCATGCTGGCCAGGCTGGTCTCAAACTCCTGACTTTGTGATCCGCCTGCCTCAGCCTCCCAAAGTGCTGGGATTACAGGCGTGAGCCACTGCGCCCAGCCTAGAGTGTTTTAAGCAAGGGAATGAAGGAATCTGACTTAGGTTTTATCACAATCATTCTGGCTATTGGGTGGGAACTAGGCTGCAGAGGGGCAAGAAGAGAAACACTGCTCTCTGGTTGTTCTCATCTTTAGAGAAACTTAAGGAAGATTATTCTAAGCCCCACTGTAACCCTAAACTCTATGATTCTGAGTTGATTTTCTGTGTCTTTTCTATAGCTATAATTTATATCAACTGTAAGCCTGATCTTTCCCCAAAGCCATAACTGAAGTGGGCTGAAATGAAGAATTCCATTTGACAATATATCTATAAACCAGGCCCATGCTACACACCTAGAATACCAAGATGGTAAGACTCAATCCTGCTCTGGGGAATCTGCCGAAGGAAAAACAACATTCTCACGAGGCAGCAAGAGAAGCACCTGCCAGGAGGAGCCACATGAAGCCCCACTGGAGGAGCTGGCAGCAGTGAGAGCCTGGAAGAGTAAGCAGGAACCCCCATAGAGAAGGAGGGACATGGGAAATACAGAAGGTGACACTGTGGAGGCTGTGGACCACAGAGAAGTAATATGGTGGCTTTTGGACTGTAACAGAAAAATCTACAGAACAACCAGATGGCACTGTCCGATAGGCTGTTGGAAATATGGGTGTGAAAAAACAGGGAGCTGCTGATATTGAAGCACAGAAATATGAGCAACTCAATGTAGACTGAAAAGACAAGAAAAAGAAAAGAAGAGGGGAGAGGAGAGGAGGAAAGGAAAATGCAACCTTGGAAAATGTCAACCCATAGGGATCAAGCATTGAAAAGGAAGACTGGGCTGGGCACTGTGGCTCACGTCTATATTCCCAGCATTTTGGGAGGCTGAGGCAGGCAGATCACCTGAGGTCAGGAGTTCAAGACCAGCCTGGCCAACATGGCAAAACCTTGTCTCTACTAAAAATAGAAAAATTAGCTGGGCATGGTGGCGCACACCTGTAATCCCAGCTACTCGGGCGGGGGGGGGGGGTGGGAGTGTGCAGCTGAGGGAGGAGAATTGCTTGAACCCAGGAGGCGGAGACTGCAGTGAGCCAACGTCGTGCCAATGCACTCCAGCCTGGGCAACAGAGTGAGACTCCGTCTCAAAAAAAAAAAAAAAAAAAGAAAGAAAAAGAAACAAAATGGAAGACTGAAGAGACATCCGGAACATAAGAGGAAAACCAGGAGAACTCGTTTCAGGGAAACCAAGAAAAAAAATGGGGGAAAAAGGATAGTAAAGCAGCAAATGCAACTTTGCACTCCGTACTTCACACCTCTTCTAGCACCTCATGGGGGTGTGGTGGGGGTGTGGTGGGCGTGGGAGCCAGCAGCAGGCAGAAGAGTAAATGGGAGGTGAGAAGAAAAGCACCAAGAGCTAAAACACATTAGCCTCAGTGACAAGACTAAGAGTTATCAAAGATTATGCAGCATCAGGAAAGTCTTATTCAACACTCTGTGGAGGTGTAAGGTGTGAGAAACAGGAACTAAGACCTGCCGGGGCTGATCTTCTGGCAGTGGAAAGGAGATTTCTTAGTTAACACCTAGGTCTCACAGGACCACTAATCCTGAAACTAGCAGTAGGCATCCCGAAAGGCTAGTTGCTTCTGACAAGTGCTGAGGACAATATATTCACCCACACATCATCCAAATGCTAGGCTTCGCACCTCCATACCTTTCCCACACTAACATCCCTAGTTTTCTCCTCCAGCAGAATAATGCTAGGCAGCAGGGACTACATTTCAGTTCAAAGCATGGTAAAAAAATTCATATAACAAAAACCATAGCACCACTACCAGGTATGATGCTGTGAGCCCATAACCTGGGACCATTCAGGCAGGAAAAGGCTTTACCAAAAACACAAGCTGGGTCCCGGAACACTGGACCCAAACCCTTTCATGTCAGCAAAAACTGCCTAAATGCTCTTCTATTTGCTCTCTGAGAAACAAAAAGAAGCCGAAGGAGGAAAAGGCCTTTAATCCTAAAATTATTCTTAATTTCCAATACAGAGCATTTGAGAAAAATCTGAAAGCCAACAGAAAAACTAGCAGATTCTTTAAAATGTGTGTCTACAGTCCTTTCTCCTTTACCCTCTGCAAAAAAAAAAGCAACCCAACTCCCAAATGATCATTTTTCTTGGCTTAATTTCACTATTTTTTGTGATACATAATTGGAAACAGACTGCTTTTTCCTGGCTTTAGAGAACAGGATCTTCAGGGTTATAAGAGTTGCCAACTACAGAACCTCAACCTTAGCAAAATTTTTTTGCAAACCTCTTACCTATCTACCTACTTGAAATACATATTAACTCCAAAGAAAACACGTAAATCCCCTATTATTATGCAAAAGTGGATTTTCTCCCAACAAATTAGACACTCCTCTCCTTTTCCTAGCCTACCCATTGAAATCCTGCTCTGTGTTCAGCTATGTCCCATTCAAACATGACCAAAAGCCCTAACCAGCATGGTATCTAGATGGGATACTTTTTGGAAGCATTTTCTTTTTTCTTCATATTTTCTTTTTTTGTGTGTGTGGTGGGGGTAGGGACAAGGTCTCACTCTGTCACCCAGGCTGGAGTGCAGTGGTATGATCATGACTCACTGCAGCCTCGACCTCCTGGCTCAAGCCATCCTCCTGCCTCAGCCTCCTGAGAAGCTGGGACTACAGGCACACACCACCATGCCTGGCTAATTTTTAACTGACATTTTCAGGAATTTAGTAGAATTGGTTCTACAGGAAAGCTCCTTATTTAGCCCACACAGTGAATGAAATTAAAACCTGGAACGTCTTAGAGAACAACCACTCTAACAATGAAATAAAGATGCCACAAATTGAAAAAAGATATAAATATGGAAAAATGTGAAATGCAACAAGTAGGTCATCCTTCCCCTAGCTCCTGTGTCAAAAACATGATACATCCAATGGCTGTACAGCTATTGTAACGAATAATGAGTATGACAGCTTAAAAGCTCAAAGACAAGTGTCTTTACAAAATGGGCTGTTGGCATAAGTATTTTTTTCAGGATTCAGATGATTTATCACGAATACATAACAAGTAGCAATCTCTCTAAAGTCTCGAAAATAAGAAAATGAATAGGAATGTCTATTCAGAAATGCTTTGGCTAAAAGATAGACCAGCAATAGGAAACATGCCCATTTAGATCAGAAACTTCTCCCACACACATAGGGAAGACCTTACGCTGCAATGATGCAAAATGTATGTAATGAGTCAATGGTGCTTTCCCTCAAAGTTAAATTTAATTTGCCAGCCAACTGCACAAAATCTAATATAACAAAATGAGATACTTATTCTTTATGGAGACTCAGAAGAGTTTTGTTTTAAAGAAAAAACCATAAAAGAGATAACTCACAGCAACACAGTGAGTATCTTACAAAAGTACTCAGGGTACCACATGAACACAAGCCTTTGTGATTAGAATCTAAGTTTTTCACCTCAAATAACCTTCCAGAATGAAAAGAAAAAAAAAAAAAACACACATTCTGCTCCAGCAATTATCACACAGTTAGTTAATTATAAAATGAAATTTCCAAATAGTCTCCAGAGTATTTTTGCATCCAAGGACCAATATCACACTGTCAAAACAATAAATCACTAAAAATGCTAACAAAACGAATACTCCCAAAAGGGACCCTTTTCACTTGCCAGATGGAATTAAGTATTCATCAAGTTTCCATTAGCAAAATAGTATGATACAAATTTAAAAAGAAATCCAGAGTTCTACTAGACCCTCCACCTGGCCCATTTGATGTTCTCACCTATAAAAGGTAGTGAGTCATGCTTGTGAAACTGCAGACCTTCGCCCAAGGCAATCTGATCCACAGGAAAGCTCAAGGACTAGTATCTGTAAAGATCATTTTCTAAAGATCATTTTTCAAGGACTAATCAACTTAAATGTGTTTTTACAAATGATCCATCAGCAATTTTACACAAAAAACCTGACCTTCGGCATATACCAGAGAAATGAATTATGTGCCTGGAAGGACAGAAAAGCAGGTGTTTCGTCCTCCTGCAAACAACACCCAACTCCAAAGGCCCCCTTCACTAGGAGTCCAATGTCCAGAAAGTATACGCTTCTTTATAACCATTTTTTAAGTAAAGATAGAGCTAACATTTCAGACTTAATTCTAAATTATCTTGGCAACAGTTTAACATTAAAGTGGGCTTGCGGGCATGGTGGCTCACGCCTGTAATCCCTGCACTTTGGGAGGCTGAGGGGGAAAGATCACTTGAGGCCAGAAGTTCGAGACCAGCCTGGACAACATGGCAAAACCCTGTCTCTACTAAAAATACAAAAATTAGCCAGATGTGGTGGCCCCCGCCTGTAATCCCAGTTACTTGGGAGGCTGAGGCACAATAATCGCTTGAACCCAGGAGGCAGAGGTTGCAGTGAGCCAAGATCACACCACTGCACTCCAGCCTAAGCAACAGAGCAAGACTCTGTCTCAAAAAAAAAAATAACCATTAAAATCTAATTCTAAAAATCAACTTTGCTAGGCTCTACATATAACTGAATCCTCTTCCCAGGATGGAAGAAGATTTCAACATAAAAGAACCACCACCACAAAAACCAGACATTAGGCTCCCTGCCCTGCCCCCCGACACCAAAAAATTATCTTCAGCAGGGCACATTAGGATGGCCTGAAGGCATGGTTCTGGGGCTCTTGTTCTAGACCTTCCATTTTAAATATGGTCTCTATCCCTCATAAGCAGTTGTCAGCCTATTAAGTCTTCATCTTTGGCCTGAAAAACTGAAGAATAAAAAATGAAGAATAAGTTCCAAATGACAGTAGCCTCATGCAGAATTTATATCAATGTTGTTTCAAAAACACATTTTGGTTGAGAGAGCAAGACATCAAAATCATTATTCAAGTGGGGAGGAAGAATGCTTGGAAATTTGTGCTGATTCTTAAGCAAGGACTTTGCAAGCAGAGAAAATAAAGCTCAATGTCAGTTAACAAACAAATGTGCTATTTCAAAAGATATAAAATAAGAAATCTAGAAATTTTATATTCCTAGATTTATTTATTATATTTCTATATTTCCTGGACAGAGCCCAGGAAATGAACCCAGATCCTTCTTGTAAGGCCCTTCCAAGCTGTGTTGATTTATTTCAGCTTGACTAGACACTGAACAAATTAGCAACAGCTTGTGTTTTATGACATGCTGCAAAGAAACAATGCTATCATTCCAAGTGTTACTCTGAAGATGCAGAACCAGAGAAGTTACTGCTATGGCTCTTGGTACACTTAATTTTCTTCCTACAGAAATGCCCTCACTCAATCTGCTGAAGGCTCACTATTATGTGTTTAAGGTTAGCTTTTCATATAACCTAGATTCACTCTTAAATTCCAAATTGCTTATATTCCTAGTGGCAATACAAGACTGCTTTTACATTAAAGGCCCCTAAAAACATTTATCTAACTCAAGTTATGCAAATTTCAAAAAAGTTAACATTTTTTAAATTTACAATTGTTTTAAATAAGTTTAAAAATATGGCCGGGCGCGATGGCTCACACCTGTAATCCCAGCACGTTGGGAGGCCAAGACGGCGGATCACGAGGTCAGGAGATTGAGACCATCCTAGCTAACACGGTGAAACCCTGTCTCTACTAAAAATACAAAAATTAGCTGGGCGTGGTGGCGGGCGCCTGTAGTCTCAGCTACTCGGGAGACTGAGGCAAGAGAATGGCGTGAACCAGGGAGGCGGAGCTTGCAGTGAGCCGAGATCGCGCCACTGCACTCCACCCTGGGTGACAGAGCGAGACTCCGTCCCAAAAAAAATAAAAATAAAAATAAAAATATAAGAAAAATGCTCCAGTAGACTGATGGAAATGGCAATAAAATCACTTTTAAGTAACTGTTAAGACTGAAAAAGAAGACTGTCCTTTAGTAGCTAATAAATCTGACAGCCAGGAGCAGTGGCTCATGCCTGTAATCCCAACAATTTGAGAAGATGAGGCAGGAGGATCACTTGAGCCCAGGAGTTCGAGACCAGCCGAGGCAACATAGTAAGACTCTGTCTCAAAATATATACATATTATATATTATACAATATATAGTTATAGATTATATATATGTGAGATTTTACATATATTTACATATTTTATATGAATAAGTATATAAATAAAAATAAAAAATAAATCTGACAATTACAATTTTTATCCAACAGCAATGAAAGCACCACAAAAAGATGTTTCAAAATGAACTATCAAGAAGGGAGGTAATTCAAAATGACCACAGAGCAGAATCATCCAGGCAAAATATTACAGCAAAGTTATTACTTACACAGTCACAGTCTAAACTCTAACTGTTCTGTCTGTTAAGCTTAAAATGTAAAGTCAGGACCTTTCACAGATTTTTGAAGCCAGGAAATTGGTCTTCACTTATATACTAAAGAAGTCAGCAGTGATCACCTTCTTAAAACTCAAAGGACAGTTGAGTTCCCTGGGCTCTTAGGCTCAGATTCTGCCCTCAGAAAAACAAGCACTCACCTGACTTTTACAAGTCACAACCAAGTTTGCATGCAAGAGAGAAAAATTAATTCTTTTGAGTCTTAAAAACAATGGAACAACACTTTCCTTCAAGCCAACGAAAGGCTTTCTGTAAGAAAGCCCTAAGCAACCTGAAGGCATTTTGGCCCCCAGTCATCAGAGCACTGAATAAGGACAATTAATTTGCCAAGCTCCAAGACCAGAAACCATAGCCTAGTAGGGAGTAGGAGGTTATAAGTGTTTGTTGAATTACTCGAGTAAACTAGAGCAAAGCATAGAAGACTAAATGAGATCCTAAATAAATGCCACTCTGTAGTATAAGCGCAATGCTAAGATTTAAAAAGAAGGGACTCAACTAATTTTGAAAGTTATTTTAAAATAGGATCCATGGGACCCTAACGTAGTAAATGAAATAAAGGTAAATCAATACTACATAATATGGGGCCGGGCACAGTCGCTCACGCCTATAATCCCAGCACTTTGGGAGGCCGAGGCGGGTGGATCATGAGGTCAGGAGATCAAGACCATCGGGGCTAACACAGTGAAGCCCCGTCTCTACGAAAAATATAAAAAATTAGTCGGGCGTGGTGGCATGCACCTGTGGTCCCCGCTACTCGGGAGGCTGAGGCAGGAGAATCTCTTGAACCTGGGAGGCGGAGGTTGCAGTGAGCCAAGATCACTCCACTGCACTCCAGCCTGGACGACAGAGCGAAACTTTGTCTCAAAAATAAATAAATAAATAAATAATAAAAAAATACTACATAATACGCAAGAAACAAGAAAGGAAACTGGCCTACAAAACTACAGACAAAAATTGAAAACCTTTTTTTTTTTTTTTTTTGAGACAGAACCTCGCTGTCTGCCAGGCTGGCGTGCAGTGGCACGATCTCAGCTCACTGAAACCTCCACCTCCTGGGCTCAAGGGATCCTCCCACCTCAGCCTCTGGAGTAGCTGTGATTACAGGTGTGCACCACCACGCTCAGCAAATTGTTGTATTTTCTGTAGAGATCAGGTTTCGCCATGTTGGCCAGGCTGGTCTCGAACTCCTGACCTCAAGTGATCCACCTGCCTCGGCCTCCCAACATGCTGGGATTACAGGCGTGAGCCACCACACCCAGCCAAAAACTTTTTTTAAAAGTCAAGTTTGGCCAGGCACCGTGGCTCACGCCTGTAATCCCAGCACTTTGGGAGGCTGAGGTAGGCGGATCACAAGGTCAGGAGATCGAGACCTTCCTGGCTAACACGGTGAAACCCCGTCTCTACTAAAAATACAAAAAAATTAGCCGGGCATGGTGGCGAGTGCCTGTAGTTACAGCTGCTGGGGAGGCTGAGGCAGGAGAATGGCGTGAACCTGGGAGGTGGAGCTTGCAGTGAGCTGAGATTGCACCACTGCACTCCCGCCCGGGCGACAGAGCGAGAGACTCCATCTCAAAAAATAAATAAATAAATAGATAAATGTCAAGTGTGATTTTTTCAAGCATATTCTTATTGTTTATGTTTACAAGTATGAGTATTCATAGACACATCACACTTATACTAGTATCAAATATGATACATCTGAACTACTACTATACTTGAATATTAACGTAAGCCTCTGAGGAATTCACAGTAATAGAACTGCTGTTATTTAGGATTACTGATCCCCTATTGTCTTGCACTTAGAAGATGTTAATGAAAGATGATGACAGGATTGTGAACACACCAACCTCCCTGAGAACAAATTCATTATATTCAGTTTTCTACAAAACACAAATGAGGATCATTACAAAAGGATTCACAACAAATTCCTCTGGATTTCCATTTCTCCCAGGTAAGTTGAAATATTATTCAAACCACACAAAATTAGTTTACATACAAACTTCACTTTTTAAAGAGATGGGGGTCTCACTATGTTACCCAGGCTGGTCTCGAACTCCTTGGCCAAGTGATCCTCCTACCTCAGCCTCCCAAAGTGTTGGAATTACAGGTGTGAGCCACTGTGCCTGGCCTACACACCACTTAAGGAAACAAATTGAAAAAAAACTATATGTGTGTTTATCTATCTGTCCAGCCACCATGGAGTTCTTGACATATATTCAACATACAGGCCCTGTCCTCAAGGTCATTCTTAATCAGTTCAAATTAAATCTAGTCCTCCATTATAAACTCCAAAAGCAACTTAGTTATTTTGCTAGATATTTTGCCCTCCCCTTTCAAACTATATGTTTAATACTCTAAAAACGGGTTTATGCGCCTTATAGATATCAACAGTGTGTTATGCTCCCCCTATTGACTAATATTCAAAATAACAATGAACTCCCCACGGGTTGCCTTTGAAGTGCTGGGATTCAAAACTATGTTGGTGATTTTTATATTTAAAAACATGAGCTGAATCAACAGTTGTTAGGCAAAGCTGCCGTGTAACGGTCAGATTCCATCAAAACAGGAAAAATTAAAGTTGACAAATGTCAAACTGAAGGGCCAAAAAAAAAAAACGCTCAAGCCTTGAAACACTAAACAATGCAGAAATAAAGCCAAAAGCAAAGAACAGCAAGAAATAGAGCAACATCCTTTAACTGACACAATGGCATGAAATCAATTTCATGTTAATAGCCCTTAAGGGGGTAAGAATTATTTCCCTGCCTCCTGTGCCAACCCCAAGCTGTTTCCTAAGGAAGCCAAGTAATGGTGATCAACAATGTCTGGAGAATTAATAAAAGAAATTAAGAATAAAGATCCATGTTGGCCAGGCGTGGTGGCTCACACCTGTAATCCCAGCACTTTGGGAGGCCGAGGCAGGTGGATCACGAGGTCAAGAAATCGAGACCATCCTGGCCAACATGGTGAAACGCCGTCTCTACTAAAAATACAAAAGTTAGCTGGGCGTGGTAGCGCGCGCCTGTAGTCCCAGCTACTCTGGAGGCTGAGTCAGGAGAAACTCTTGAACCCGGGAGGTGGAGGTTGCAGTGAGCCGAGATCGCACCACTGCACTGCAGCCTGGGGACAGAGCGAGACTCTGTCACCAAAAAAAAAAAAAAATTTCCATGTTAATTAATACAAGTCAGAGTTCTATTTATAATTATTTGGGGCCAGTTTCAGAGGAACTTTAATTGGGCACCCTCATAAGTATGTAAAATCGCCTAAATTCATCACAGATACCTTATGTGTGTTTCAAGAGATATGCGTTCAGCTCAAATAGAAAGCTGAAAGATGGGAGAAGATGCATGGACTATGCACACAAATCTATGTACACACAAATCGGCCTGCACTTGCCGCTCTCCGCTGAGGAAGGAAGGTAGCTTTGGAGTCAGAACTAACAGAAAGTTATGTATGATCTTGGACAAGTAACTTAACCTCTAGTGTCTTATCTGTAAAATAGGGTTATTAATAGTGCTTTTCCCATAGAGATGCTGTGAGGATTAAGTGCACACAGTATGGGCTTAGAAAACGTTAGCTGTTATTATTATCCAAAAGAAACAACTGAGTTCACACTGAAGTAACTGTTTGCACTCTGCATTCAGGAAGAAGAAACGGTCTTGACGTGTGTTTTTACTACCTGTGGAGACTTCTCCCAAACCGCTCACTTCTTCGGAAGGACATAAAACTCAGAATACGCCTGGTTCCCCAGCACAGCCTGTCACTCCTACTATCCTCTGCCCTCGCCGCTCCTATCCTGCCACCGCAGGGCTAGCGGCAAGCAGCGCTAACCTCCGTGCGGTGCTTACTCGGTGCCAAGCACTGTTGTAGCACCTCACACACATTAAATCATTAGATGCTCACAGCAACTTTACGGGGCAAGTACTACTATCCTCACTTCACAGCTAGGGAAATGGAACGGTTTTCTTCTTCCAGCTTTTCGTGAGGACACCAAATCCACTAAGTTCTACTTTGCCAAGGTAATTCATGCTTGACACGTCGGCTCCTGACACTATGCGATTCTGCAAAGCGGGGCAAATGCCCTAATAAGATCAAGTCTGCAAGCAGATTCTTCTAGCGACAGTCCAAGATTTCCAAGTTTGTCCTAACCAAATGAATACAAGAAGAGAGCCTTCAAAATAAACCGGGGCGGGGGGGGGCCGAGCTGCAGCTTGCGGCTCAGCCCGCAAGGCACCCTGAGGGCGCGGCCAGCGGGGAACGCAAACCGCGTCCGTGCACGAGTCCGGGAGCCACAGCCTGGGCCACGGCAATTGACTGCGAACCCACAACAAACCATTCCCACCGAAGCTGTCACGCGCCCGGAGGGAAGTGGCCGCCGCGCCCCGCAGGGGTCAGAAGGACCCGCGGAGAGGAAGAGTGAGGGCGGGCGTGGAGAATTCCTCCCCAGCACTGCGCATCGCCGGGGGCACTGCCTGCCCCGTGCGGCCGCTGCCCACGCACCGCTGGCCACCGGTGCCTGCTCCCCGGAGGGTAAACACCGCCCCACCAGCGCCTCCCTCCCAAGGCCGGAGGTCCTGGCGGCTGGAGCGACCCTGGCCGGTAAGTAGGCACTGGCAGCCCGCGCCGCGCCGACGGGCACCCGCGCAGCCTGCAGAGCCCACAGCCCGGGCGGGCTGCAGCGCCGCGGGGCTGGGCCGGCACGTACCTCGGAGGCGGTGTGTCCAGCGGAGATCCACCCGCAGCAAGTTGGAGGAAAGCGGCGGCAAGTTTCCCCGCCCAGCGCTCGGCGGCGGCGAGCTCCGGCAGCTGCTGCGCCGCGGCAAAACTACGCCATCCGGACCCGCTGGGGACTCTCACCTCCTGCAGGGAGCTCCGGGAATCGCGCAGGGAAAGTGGCCGGGGCGCGAGAGCCGCCGACTGCCCTCCTTCACTCGCTGGGAAGAGGAAAGTGCCGCTCGGCGTCCCCGAAACCCTCGATTACCCCCATCAGGCCGACCCGGCGCACTCGCCCTCCCTCGCACACACGCGGGCGGGGACGGGCAGGACGCCACAGCAATCAGCGCGCGGGGGGAAGGGCGCTCCTCCGCCGGCCCCACCGGGGGCTCTCGGCCGCCCAGAAACTCCTCCTCCCGCCTCCCGCCTCCCGCCTCCTCTCTCCTCCCCCTTTGCCTCCGCGGCTGATGGATGAGCCCCGAATGCTGCTCGAGCCTGTGCTTCCCTTCGGGACGAGGAGGCCGAGAGAGAAGGGGCTAGGGGCGCGGCCGGGCTCAGCGTGCCCGGGTTGGGGCGGCCCCTGTCCTGGGGGAAGCGCGAGGGAGACGTGGGCACGAGCTGCGGGGACTCGCTCCCTCAAACGAGGTCCTTTGAACTTTCCAGGGCTCCCTGGAAGAGTTGGATTTTCATTTGGTTCCTTGGTCTTTATATAAAAGTTCTGAAACCTCAGATAATCTGATCACAGCCTCTTGCCCTCTCCCCAGCAGAGCTCCCCCATGCACACATTCATTCTGTCCCTGTGCTTTTTCCCAACCTCCGGTCCCGCTTGTTGTCACGCTCTGATGGTGGGCGCCGGCGGAGTCTTGCCTCTTCCCCTCCAGCAGCTGAGACTGCATTACCCAGCCGTTCCCCCTGCTAGCTAAATAAATTAATACAAATAATGGAGCTAGGTCAGCATTACCGGCGTTACCCGGAGGTGGGCGCGATATGAACGACAGTCTCGGCGGGGCAACGTCCTAAGTACCTGTGCCTGTGCGACGTCCTAAGTACCTGTGCCTGTGAAGTACACGCTGCAGAAGTTGAACTGCTGGCACCAGAACACCACTCTGATACTCTTGCTTACACCCAGTTTTTCTTATTAAAAAGTATACTTAAGTAACAGGACATTGTTTTACAAACAGGCAGGTGAAATGACCGTGGACTGACAGGTTTCAAAGACCAGACTTCCAGTCCTGACTACTGTGCGACCTTCCACAAATGGCTAACGGCTAATACCCGTCAAGGCTCAGTTCAAATGAAGGGCTTGGCCTAGAAGGCTTCTTCCAGTTCTAAAGGGCTATGGACCTATGCCTTTTTTTTTTTTTTTTTTTTTTTTTTTGAGATGGAGTCTCGCCCTGTCGCCCAGGCTGGAGTGCAGTGGCACAATCTCAATCTCAGCTCGCTACAACCTCCGCTTCTCAGGCTCAAGCGATTCTCCCACCTCAGCCTCCTGAGTAGCTGGGATTACTGACAAATGCCACCACGCCCAGCTAACTTTTTGTATTTTTTGTAGAGGGGGTTGGCAGGGCGGGGGTCTCACTTAGTTGCCCAGGCTGGTCTCAAACTCCTGAGCTCAAGAGATTCGCCTGCCTTGGCCTCCCAAAGTGCTGGGATTAGAGGCGTTAGCCGCTGCACCTGGCTCAATCCTAGGCTTTTAATATGTTGGAGAGTAGAATGAGGAGGCTTCTTATGACATGTTATTTGGAAAGTTATTGAGAGAACAGGAAATATTTCTCGTCCTCTTCCTCTTGTACCTATAGGCAGAGAATCCACCCAATTGCAGAATTGGAGATTCATTCACAAAGGTCAAATGTCATCAGTCACCTGAATTACTGCAAAAATCTCCTCACTGAACCATTTTTTTCCTTACCAATATTCATTGAGCACTGACTATGGGAGAGCCCTGAGTCAGGCATTGGGAATACAAGTAGGCATAATATTCTGAAGGAATAAACAGTCCAGATGGAGCTAGCCTCTGCTTTTATAAAGTCTAAGTTTAAGGCCTTAAGATTTCTCCTAGACTCAAATTAAACAGTATTTGATATGGTTTGGCTGTGTCCCCACCCAAATCTCATCTCGAATTGTAAGTCCCACAATCCCCATGTGTCCTAGGAGGAACCCAATGGGAGGTAATTGAATCTTGGGGATGAGTTTTTCCTGTGCTGTTCTCATGATAGTGAATAAGTCTCACGAGATCTGATGGCTTTAAAAACAGGAGTCTCCGTGTACCAGCTCTCTCTGCCTGCTGCCATCCACGTGATATGTGACTTGCTCCTCCTTACCTTCTGCCATGATTGTGAGGTCTCCCCAGCCATGTGGAACTGTAAGTCCAATAAACCTTTCCTTTGTAAATTGCCCAGTCTCGGGTATGTCTTTATCAGCAGCATGAAAACAGACTAATACAGTATTTATGCCTTGTTAACAAGTTTTAGTTTCAAGTACAGATGTGAACACTTGAACTAGGTGTGAATATTTAATCCCACATTTAAATGCATCGGCCAGGTGAGGTGGCTCATGCCTATAATCTCAGCAATTTGGGAAGCCGAGGTGGGTGGATCACTTGAGGTCAGGAGTTCTAGACCAGCCTGACCAACATGGTGAAACCCCATCTCAACTAAAATACAAAAATTAGCCAGGCATGGTGGCGGGCACCTGTAATCCCAGCTACTTGGGAGGCTGAGGCAAGAGAATCGTTTGAACCCAGGAGGCAGAGGTTGCAGTGAGCTGAGATGGTGCCATTGCACTCTAGCCTGGACAAGAGCAACACTCTGTCTCAAAAAAATAAAATTAAATTAAATGTATCAATCATGTTAAGGCCTTCTAAATAAAATGGCCTGGTAGATAATTTAGGAGTGTCTTGTCTTTAAAGAGTGATGAAGTGACTGGTCCCCGTAGAGCCAGATTCACAACAGTAACCATCAACATCTGAGCCAGCGTGGGTACTGAATTCTTTTTTGTTTGTTTGTTTTTGTTTTGAGACAGAGTCTCGCTCTGCTGCCGAGGCTGGAGTGCAGTGGCGCAATCTCAGCTCACTGCAACCTCTGCCTCCTGGGCTCAAGCAATTCTCCTGCCTCAGCCTCCTGAGTAGCTGGGATTGACAAGCACGCACCACCATGCCTGGCTAATTTTTGTATTTTTAGTAGAGACGGGGTTTCATACCATGTTGGCCAGGCTGCTCTCGAACTCCTGACCTCAAGTGATCCACCCGCCTTGGCCTCCCAAACTGCTGAGATTACAGGCATGAGCCACTGCGCCTGGCCATGGGTACTAAATTCTATACATATAAACACATTTACTTCTCACAGCCCTCTAAGAATATGTATAAATGAGGCCGATATACATGCCTTTATACAAACTGAGATCTTGTCCACGATTCAATCTCACATCCACCGACCTCAAAACCTGTCCACGATTCAATCTCACATCCACCGACCTCAAAACCTAAGTCCTTAACCACCAGGTTCTTCTACCTGTCATCAGAAGCTTTATAGACTGGCAAAATAAAAGGGCTCTTTTTTTTAATTCTGAGCTATTTAGTTTCAGTAGATGATATGGAAAAACACAAGAAATTACATCAGTATTTACAAAATTAACAATGTCTACAGAGATGTTTTCTCTTTAAATCTTTACAATATGATATTAAAAGCAGAAATCCAGATACCTCAAGCATAGACGAAAGGTTTAAAATAAACTTGAATTTTTGGTTCCTGAGCAAAGCTCTATAAAAAAGGGTTCCCCTACCTCTTTTCTTTCTTTCTTTCTTTTTTGAGACGGAGTTTCCCTCTTGTTGCCCAGACTAGAGTGCAGCAGCGCGATCTCAGCTCACTGCAACCCCCACCCCCACCTCCCAGGTTCAAGTGATTCTCATGCCTCAGCCTCTCAAGTAGCTGGGATTACCAGCACCCACCACCATGCCTGGTTGATATTTGTATTTTCAGTAGAGACAGGGTTTTGCCATAACTCCTGACCTCAAGTGATCCACCCACCTTGGCCTCCCACAGTGTTGGGATTACAGGCGTGAGCTGCCGTGCCCAGTTGCCCAACCTCTTATTAATGGCAATATTAACTGATTTCTAAGGGAATGGATGCTCCCTTTCACTAATTTCTCATGGAGAACTGCATTCAAGCTACAGTATTTGTTACTGTAAGATACCAGCTTTCTTTTGGTCCAAAGTGGTTTCTTGGTCATTTGTTTGGAATTGTTTCAAACAGGATTGTAAGCAGGGGGGTGAAATTGAGGTGCATTACTTGCATTAAAAATGTTTGCCAGCAGAGTTTCAGTGATTTACTGAGGCTGTTTTTCATACAAGGAACCACCCCTCCTGTAGGTGTGGACTCACATGTTGACAGTGACTCAGATTTAGTGGCATGTCTCCAGATTCTGTTGATTAGCAGTTCACAGTCTGCTAATCAGACTTTCTTTAATCAGATAAAGTCTAAAAGACTTTATCATTAGAAAAATCATTTGGTTGTTTCTCTATAATCTTTTTTTTTTTTTTTTTTTTTTTTTTTGAGACACAGTTTCCGTCTTGTTGCCCAGGCCGGAGTGCAGTGGCGCCATCTTGGCTCACTGCAACCTCCACCTCCTGGGTTCAAGTGATTCTTCTGCCTCAGCTTCCCGAGTAGCTGGGACTAAAGGCACACGCCACCACGCCCTGCTAATTTTTGTATTTTTAGTAGAGACAAGGTTTCACCATATTGGCCAGGCTGGTCTCAAACTCCTGACCTCGTGATCCACCTGCCTCAGCCTCCCAAGGTGCTGGGATTACAGGCATGAGCTACTGTGCCCAGCTATTATCCTCATTTTACAGATTAGGAAATGATGCACAGAGAGGTTATGTAACTTGCCCAAGGTCACACAACCAGCAAGTGGCAGAGTCAGGTGGCCTGGCTACAGAATCCGTTCATGCTCTGAACCTCCACTTTGTGCTACAGGTGAAAGACACCTTCTACTCATAAAAAGAGAGTCTCATATTTCCTTTTTTTTTTTTGAAACGGAGTCTTGCACTGTCACCCAGGCTAGAGTGCAGTGGTGCAGTCTTGGTTCACTGCAACCTCTGCCTCCTGAGTTCAAGCGATTTTCCTGCCTCCACCTCCTAAGTAGCTGGGAATACAGGTGCCTACCACCACGCCTGGCTAATTTTTGTATTTTTAGTAGAGATGGGGTTTCACCATGTTGGCCAGGCTGGTCTCGAGCTCTGTGATCCAGCTGCCTCGGCCTCCCAAAGTGCTGGGATTACAGGTGTGAGTCACTGAGCCTGGTCTCTCTTTTTTTTTTTTTTAAGTTTACTTCAAAGGCTAAGTACAGTGGCTCAGGCCTGTAATCCCAGTACTTGGGAGGCCGAGGTGAATCACTTGAGCCCAGGATTTCGAGACCAGCCTAGGCAATGTGGTGAAACCCAGTCTCTACAAAAAATACAAAAATTAGCTAGGCGTGAGGGTATGTGCCTGTAGTCCCAGCTACTTGGGAGGCTGAGGTGGGAGGATCACTTGAGCCCGGTAGGTTGAGGCTGCAGTGAGCCGTGATCGTGCCACTGTACTCCAGCCTGGGCAACAGAACTGAGATCTGTCTCAAAGAAAAAAAAAAAAAACTCGATTCTTTAAAAACTTTCAAAAGATAAAAATGAAAGTTTGTTTAGAAGAACTATTACCCCACCACCACCACATAAAAATAGATTCCTTTCACTAATTTAAAGTTTGTCTAATACAGCCAACAGCTTGGAGGCAATTGCACAACTACTCTTAAGAATGTGTGACAGAACATGAACCAAATGTTCCAAAATTGTTGTGACAGGATGCTGATCTACAAACTACAGTATCTGCCCTTATTTTCTGCTCTGTTAACCTATTATCACAGACAGATTTACTACTTTATTTTTCAGATTCGCTCATAAAGACCCAGTTCATACTCGTTGGTGTTTTATTTCATCATAACCTAAGGCCATAATTTAAAGCCACATTTTCTATATCTATCTACGAGATTAGAATTTGGTTTTCGCTGATAAAATTGCAGCTGGCAAATTTCAATTAATGAGAAAAAATACAATCAGATGAACCTGTATGCAGAGCAGAGTCCAAAGCAGGCACTGGCTTCAGATCTGGGGAATTCCACAGAGATTTTGGACATAAAAATCCAAAGCAAATTTTCTCACAGTAACCGCAAGTTCCTGCAAACTCACCATTTCCTGTGACTGTGCAGAAGCCCCCAATGGAGGTTTCCACAGTACACCTTCAATTTCCCCCTCAGCAGGGATTCTGATGAAGCAGGAAACCTCACACCATTTCAAAGTGACAGTAAAACCCCCTGAGATCCCTGTGGTCTTAGCTCCTTAGGGTATGTGGCAGGACCTTGCTCTCCCAACAGCAGGGCTGGGATTCCAGAAGGAAAACTCCATCCTCAGCCCCACCTCCACAACACTCTGCAGAGAACTAGCCCCACCTCTTTTGTTTATCTGTTTTCTGTTTACTGGGTTTTGGTCTAGAGAAGAGAAAAAAAGAATCATGAATTATGTAATGTTATTTTGTGCTCAGGGGGACAAAAAAAGACAAGGGGCACCCGGAACATATATTAATGCCTGTAAATGTTTTGAATCTCAGCCCAAAATGAAAGTGTGCCAGAAACATAACTTTCTTATTTTTTAAAACTGAACTGAAGTTGCATTGTGAGTCCTTTAGTCAAATGAGGGTCTCCCTGAACCCTCTCTGTTCAGGGTTATACCTTGAACATTGAACAGAAATTAGTGAGGGCACCATCTCATCCTCGGATCATCATCTTATCTGTGCTTGATTGTTTCGTAATGAACATGTATCATTTTTACCAAGAGCCATGAGATGGTTATTCCCGAGATTTCAGAGTTTACTTGAAAGTAATACCAGTTTAGAGCTGAAAGAACTATATATGTGTATTACTATTCGTTTTGAGTTGCATCTGTGTGGTATTTCATCCAAAAAGTTCACAATACTTGCAAATATTAACCAAGGTAGCTTCAGGGAAATGCTTTATTCCTAAAGCCAACTGATCAAACATTTCCTTCCTAGTGCCTCTTGATACTCAGTTAACACACTAAAGAAAACAACCTCATTGACTTCATTTCAACAAGTAGAAGAAATGCTGAAAGTCTACTTCTAAAAATATCTAAATTTAAAAATTATTGCTGTTATTATTGGGTCTGTTATTATTACCCTTTATTGAGCACTTATTTTGTGGAAGGCCGTGTTGTAAGTTTGGGTTTATAAAATGTATTTTCTAACATATTTTGAAAATGGGCATATCCACATATTTGTCATAAAATTACCTGCTGTAACATTTCTTGAGTTTCTTTTAACATGTTGTCTAAGGAGAAAGAAGAGTTTCTTAACTTGTAACTATTTTTTTTTTTGAGACAGAGTTTTGCTCTGTCGCCAGGCTACAGTACAGTGGCGTGATCTCGGCCCACTACAACCTTCACCTCCCGGGTTCAAGCAATTCTTGTGCCTCAGCTCTCAAGTGGCTGGGATTACAGGCACGTACCACCATGCCCGGTTAATTGTTGTATTTTCTGTAGAGCAGGGTTTCACCATGTTGGCCAGGCTGGTCTTGAACTCCTGACCTCAAGTGATCTGCCCATCTCGGCCTCAAAGTGCTGGGATTACAGGTGTGAGCCACTGTGCCCAGCCCAACTTGTAACACATTCTTTAAGATTCAGGAATGAGTTAAATAGAAATTTGTTTTTATGTTGTATTTTTTATTTTAGTGACAATCTTAAAAAGCAATCTTTTATCCTGTTTTTTTTTTCCTGACAAGGATAATTAAGAACCAAAAGACTTTCTCATAATAAAAGACATTATTTGCTTATAGTCCATGTTTTTCAAAGTAGGAAATGTTTTCCCAAAGGTTTCTAAGAATGTTTCTCTTCAAAAAGCGTTCAGTCAGTTGGAGGATTTAAAATTTTATTTTTGGTTTATAATACATTGTTAACATTTGAGAAAAATAATATAAAATTTTTAATTAAAACTTCCTTAAAAAAAAAAAAAAACTTCCTTTGGCCAGGCGCGGTGGCTCACACCTGTAATCCCAGCACTTTGGGAGGCCAAAGTGGGTGGATCACTCTACAGGAGGTTGATTTTATTTCTTCTCAAGTCTTCAATACCTTCTTCTCCCTCTTTGAACTCAGCAGATGACCTTGTTTCTTATTTTACTGAGAATATCAGAGCCCTCAGAAGAAAGTATCTTTGTCTTCCCACCACATCTGCCGATTTTATCTATGCGTCTTCTCTGCTCTGCTTTCTCTCGTTACCCTGGATGAACTGGCCTTGCTTCCTCCATCTGTGCCCTGGAGTCATTCCTTCAATGACTCAATGACTTTCATCCTGTAGTAATTCCCTCTTGCAATTGCAGCCTCAGATTTCTTTCTTTCCTGGATCATTCTCATCAACTTACAAACATACTAGAATATTTCTTGTCTTTAAAAATCTTACTTGACCCCATCTATCCACCTTACCCCTATTTCTCTACTCCCTTTGCACTAACTCCTCAAAAGAGATGTCTTCCTTTGTTGCCCACACTTCTTCATCCACAGCTCCTCCTCAATCAGATCCAATCAGATCACTTGTCAAGGTCACCTTGTGGCAAGACCAGTGACTGATACTCAGTTTTCATCTTACCTAACTGCTCTTAGTTTACGCAAGAGATTACTTCATCCTCTTTGAGACACTGCATTTGGCTGCAGGGATAAGATGTACTAATGGTTTCCCTCCCATCACACTGGCTGTTCCTTCTAAGTCACCTCCGCTGGCTTTTCTTTCTGCTCCCAGGATCTAAATGTTGGCTTGTCCCAAGGCAATGTCCTTGGTCCTCTTCTCTGTTGAGACACTCTCTGTCCTTTGAGACGGAGTCTCGTTCTGTCGCCCAGGCTGGAGTGCAGTGGCACAAACTCGGCTCACTGCAACTTCCGCCTCCTGGGTTCAAGAGATTCTCCTGCCTCAGCCTCCCGAGTAGCTGGGACTACAGGTATGTACCACCACACCTGGCTAATTTTTTGTTTTTTTAGTAGAGAAGGGGTTTCACCATGTTAGCCAGGATGGTCTCGATCTCCTGACCTTGTGATCTGCCCACCTCAGCCTCCCAAAGTGCTGGGATTACAGGCATGAGCCACCGCGCCCAGCTGAGACACTCTCTCTGAAGGTGTTATCATCCAGACTCATCTAGCTTGAATCTGCGTCCTCATCCAAATCTCATGTTCAATTGTAATCCCCAATGTTGGAAGTGGAGCCTAGTGGGAGGTGATTGGATCATGAAGGCGAATTTCTCATGAATGGTTTAGTATCATACCCTTGGTATTGTCCTCAAGATAGTGAGTTCTTGCGAGATCTAATCATCTAAAAGTGTGCAGCATCTCTCCCCTCACTCTCTTGCTCCTGCTTCCACCATGTGAAACACCTGCTCCTCCTTCACCTTCTGCCAAGATTGGCAGCTTCCTGAGGCCTCCCCGAGAAGTAGATGCCAGCTTTATGCTTCCTATACAGCCTATAGAACCATGAGCCAATTAAACCTCTTTTCTTATAAATTACCCAGTATCAGGTATTTCTTTATTTTTTTAGAGAGATGGGGTCTCACTACATTGACCAGGCTAGTCTCAAACTCCTGGCCTTGAGTGAATCCTCCCATCTTGGCCTCCCAAAGTGCTGGGATTAAAGTGTGAGCCACCACACACGGCCAGTCCAGAATGGACTAATACAAGACCCATTTCTTTAAATGGATTACACATTGATGATCTCAAAATTTTATCTCTAACCTTGAACTTCAAAGTCATGTATTTGTGACTTCTCAATATCGCCACTTGATTTTTCAACTGGAAAATCAAATGTAACAATGAAAAAAACTCAACTCTTGATTCTTGCACACACATTCTGTCTATCCTCATCTCTGTAAATAGCCCTGCTGTTCACCCAGTAGCTCAGGTCAAACACATTATGGGTCATCATTGATTTATCTCTGTCTCTTTAACCCCACAACCAGTCTGCCAGTCAGTCCTGTTTACCCTCAAATGATCACTTCTCACTATTTCCATTGCTGCTACAACCCTGGTCAAAATACCATCATCTCTAACCTAAACAATGTTGATAGTTCTGGTTTCCTTGCTTCCTGTCTTGCTTCCCACCCACTAACAAACATATACACACACACTCATCCAGTACCATCTATGTACAGGTCTCATTAGTGAAGAAACCTGATCCTTCCTTAAAGCAGGCTCCCTGTGTAAGCTCCACAGTACACTATAAGCACCATGAAGGCAGGGGCCATGGCTATCTTAATCAGCACTATATTCCTAGCTCCTAGCAGAATGGCAGCATCTGACAGGTATTCAATAAACATCAAATTAAGGGATGGTTTCATTCTAGAGATGGGTACCCACAGTTAAGAGGTTGAGGCAATTAGTAATGTTTGCAACAACCATGAAGAGAGATGCACCTCTAGGGCTCAATGAGAGACTGATGCAAAGGTTCTGAGTGTTATGCAGCTCAGGACTTGGGAGTCATCAGAATACATCTGACCTGAGGGAACCGGGACCAATTTGTCCAGGCAGGGAGCAAGTATGTGGTGTAAACGGCATGAATGAATCTCCACCTGGAAGCCAAAGGTTCTGACATGAGGAAGGGGTTTCCATAGTCAGACCTGTTCACATAGAGTAAATAAATCAAACCCCCTAGGCTGGAGCAAATAAGCCTGCTGACTAAAGCTAGCTGAAAGAGAAAGAGTCAGATACAGGAGTAGAAATAATGTATAATGCTTTACTATATTGCTCTTATTTTGGTCTTATAATAGTATACTGCTAGAGTTTTTAAAAATGATGTCCATACTGCTATTATCATTGCTGGAAAACGCTGGCTATTTCCTTCTAGAGAAGGAAAAGTAAACAAGTCTTAAAGGGTCTTTGACTAACTCCCCAAGTGAGAGAAAGGAAGGAAGCCCTCATTAATGTACACATCCCCTACTTCCTACTCACTTTTTCTTTTCTTTTTTTTTTTTTAGGGAGTGAAGTGTATATATCTTTTTTAACTTTTTTTTAAATTAAAAAAGACAAAGTAAGTTTCCTAAACTAGTTCTCCAGACATTCAACTTTTTAAAAATACCTCCAGGTTCAACTCAGCTGGAATTTTGAGTGCTGCTGAGTACACTTATATACTTGCCTGGTTGTTTTTCTCTTTCCTATATGTTTTACTAACTGGCATTTCAGTTTGAGACTCTTTCAGAGGAGATTATAATGGTCTTTTCAATAGCACTCTGCAGCTCCACTGCCTTTGCAGGTATTGTACTGTCAAATGTAGCCTGCGGGGGTATCAGGCAGCATTTGGGTATTTATGTGGCAAAGGGACAGCATCGACATATTTTGGGAGATGCCGACTTGACGTGGGGAAGAGGAATATTCGTTAGAAAGGGTAATAGGTCTGAAAAGCATATTTGGTAAAAGGTTTTGTTATCTTTGGGAAATCTCATGTACAAACACAAGAAAAGTATTATGTCCCAAGGCCTTTGTGTGGCACAGTTCTGGTGACAGCATATTTTCATTGTATATATTGGTTCATTAAGCTCAAACCAACCTCATAATTACATGATTGTGACAAGATTAACTGAATGGACAATCCAAATGGCCGAAAGGTCAAATGAGGGTCCCTCTGTCTAATAATACTTTTACTCTTCTGTTATTTTTAGGCTGGCTTAGTGAGAATGTATCATGCAGGCTTGCAGAGGATTGCTTACGTTTTGTTCCAAGACTCATTTATTACTATTGTGTGGGCCGAAATGTGCACAACATACCAAATCCAGGCACAAAGTAGAAAATTAATCTTCACAGGAGAGAACAAATCTTATTTATAAGAAATCTTCAAAAGACAGAAAAATGCAAAGAATATAACAAACACTCATGAGTCAACATCCAAAACTGATCATTGTTAACATTTTGACAAATTTTTTGTCTTTCCTATAAGAAATAAAATATTACAGCCGGGCATCATGGCTCATGGCTGTAATCCCAGGACTTTGGGAGCCCGAGGCAGGAAGATTGCTTGAGCCCAGGAATTCAAGACCAGCCTGGGCAATATAGCAAGACCTCAGTCTCCATTAAAAAATGTTTTCAATTTAAAAAAAAAAAAAGAAATAAAACATTACATTAGTCACCCCTAGAAAGTACAGGAAAAAAAGAAAAAAAATTACAGATACAATTGAAGCCCCCTTGCACTCCCCTCAACCCCAGTCCAAATCAATTACTCTCCCAGTCTCTTCAGAGGTAACCACTTTCAGGAATTTAGAGTGTATCCTTCCAGTGTGTCCCTTTCTTCCGCATATGTGTGTGTCTGTGTGTGTGCATTTAAAAAGACAGAACATGAAGATGCTATTAGTATGAATGTGTCCATTTAAGAATGTTCCATTTTCCAATGCCCACCAAGGAGAAAAACAAAACAAATAAATAAAAACGTTACATAAGCAGTACATAATCTGTAACTTGCTTTTCATTCAACAGTATGTTTTTTTTGGTTTTTCTGTTTTTTTTGAGATGGAGTCTCGCTCTGTCACCGAGGCTGGAGTGCAGTGGCGCGATCTCGGCTCACTGCAAGCTCCGCCTCCCGGGTTCACGCCATTCTCCTGCCTCAGCCTCCTGAGTAGCTGGGACCACAGGCGCCCGCCACCACGCCCAGCTAATTTTTTTTTTATTTTTAGTAGAGACGGGGTTTCACCGTGTTAGCAGGATGGTCTCGATCTCCTGACCTCGTGATCCACCCGCCTTGGCCTCCCAAAGTGCTGGGATTACAGGTGTGAGCGAACACGTCTGGCTGATCATTGTTAACATTTTGACAAATTTGTTATCTTTCCTATAAGAAATAAAATATTACAGCCGGGCATCGTGGCTCATGCCTGTAATAATTACAATGATTTTAAAACCCATCTGTGTTGTGTATATGTAGATTTAGTTCATTTCTCTTAGCTGCTATATATCCCTTGCATTACTATACTATTACAATTTTTGTTTATAAGTTGCCTTAAAGGTGGGAAAGTAAAGTTGAACGTGGTTTCATGTATGTTTGTTAACCACTCAATTTTCCTCCTTGTGATACTTATTCAGTTTCTAGACAGAGCAAATCATAAATGTAAAGGGAAGAATGGAGACAGATCTATTGTACAGCTTGGTGACTATGGTTAATAATGTATTATAATTTCAAAATTGTTGAGAGTAAATTTCAAATGTTCTTACCCCCAAAATAAGAATGTGAGGTGACAAATATATTAATTAGCTTGATTTAATTATTCCACAATGTATACATCTATCAAAATGTCAGCTGGGTGCCATGGTTTATGCTATAACCCCTGCACTTTGGAAAGCTTAGGCGGAAGGATCACTTGAGCCCAGGAATTCAGCAACATAGTGAGATCCTGTCTCTACAAAAAATTTAAAAATTAGCCACGTATGGTGGCGTGCACTGGTAGTCCCACCTACTCAGGAGGCTGAGGTGGGAGGATCACTTGAGCCGAGGAGGTTGAGGCTGCAGTGATCTGTTATCACACCACTGCACTCCAGCCTGGGCAACAGAGTAAGAGAGTCACAAAAAAACCTTTCTACTAATCACATTATGCCATGTAAGCACTTAGATAGATGGCTCATTCCACTTTTCAGGCTCAAAATAAAATGCTTTTTATGCTGACATCTTGACTTAGGTGACTTTTCCCAGGTACTCACCACCAAAGATCTACACACAAGGATTCTCTGCCGTCCCTCTGATGTTGTGTCCTTGCTTTGACTACAAATAAAACAAAGAACATTAATTGAGTATAGTTGTAGCAAACTTGAGTTTTTGGCTGAAAATTAACATTTATACAAGAACTCCTGAAATACCAAGAAACTGCTTTGGCTGGGCACAGTGGGCACTTGTAGTCACAGCTACTCAGGAGGCTGAGGCAGGAGAACCACTTTAGCCAGGAGTTGAAGACTATAGTGTGCTATGATGGTACCTGTGAATAACCACTGCACTCCAGCCTGGGCAGCATAGTGAGACCTGTCTCTAAAAACAAAACAAAACAAAAAGAAACTTCTTTGACTTTTCTTGCACAGTTGACTTGAATTTTGTGCATAGATATTTGGAGTAGTTAAAAAAAAAAGATTCTGAAATATACTCCTAGATATCCCTCTCCATTCATATTAAACTTACTTATTTTACATCATTTTATTTTATTTTGAGATGGAGTCTCACTCTGTTGCCCAGGTTGGAGTGCAGTGGTGCAATCTCAGCTGACTGCAACCTCCACCTCCCAGGTTTAGAGATTCTCCCACCTCAGCCTCCCGAGTACCTGGGACTACAGGCGTGTGCCACCACACCTGGCTAATTTTTGTATTTTTAGCAGAGACAGGGTTTCACCATGTTGGCCAGGCTTGTCTCAAACTCCAGACCTCGGGTGATCTGCCTGCCTCAGCCTCCCAAAGTGCTGGGATTACAGGTGTGAATCACCACGCCCAGCCAAACTTAATTATTTAAATCTAAGTTGTTAGCTGTTAGATGAACCGTTTCTAAACTAACAAACTCACCGTTTTAACAACAGTAACACTTAAAATCACTACTAATGAAAATTCTAAATATGCAAACTGTAATTTCCTAATGAAATAGCTAGTTTTTTCTTATAAAACAAAATAGAAAAGTATCACATACAAGAAACTCCACATCTTGACCATTTCTACCTTGCAATATATATTCTTGACTCACTCTTTTCTGTTAGTGCCAAAGGCAACACTGACAGTCTTGCATAATCCACAAGGTGGTCCAACATTAATACTCTCTGGAAAATAGTTGGGATGACAGCAAAGCTGAATCATCATATCACTTTACAGTGTCTCAAAGTATCAAAGACTAAAACTGTGATTGCCCCACTCTCTGGATATTTCCCCAGTGGTGCCTATCTTGAAAAAGCAAATTCAAGAGACATGAAAAAAAGTTATTGGGTTTGGTTTTGTTTTATTTGAGATAAGGTCTTGTCATGTTGCTCAGGCTGGCCTCAAACTTCTGGGCTCGGATGATCCTTCTGCCTCAGCCTCTGGAATACCTGGGACTATAGGCATACACCACTGAATGTGGCTTCTCATATGGTAATTCTATTTTAAATTTTTTAAGAGCTCTGTATGCCATTTTCCATAGCAGCTGCACCATTTTACATTCCCACTAACACTTTACAAGGGTTCCAGTGCCTCCATGTCCTCATCCTCACCAACACTTGTTATTTTCTGTGGGTTTTGTTTGTTTTTAAAATAATCATATATACTTTTTGTTAGGTGTATTTTTATTGGGTCTTATCCTCTGAAAAATATATAACAACTCTTCATCAGTCCAAATACTTGGTTAGTTGGAACACATACAAATAATATCCAAAGAAAAAGAAGTAGCTTCTCCAGCATGGAAGAAAAGGATAGTCAGAAGTAATATCTGAAAATATGCAATGAATGGAAACTACATCCAAAGATTATAGTGAAACAAGGCAATCTCTATGCAATAGGCTGATTATTTATGTGATTAAGCTGACAAGGATTTACATCTGTTTTTATTCAGCTTTTTGTTTAAATAATAGCATTGTACATTCTCATATTACAAATGTTATTGTATACTATTATATATTATAACATGTTTAAAGACATCAAACTAACTTTTTCAACTGTTCTTGAAATTTTATGGAAATAAACATTAGAATAAACGTTGTGGGCCAGGCTCATGCCTGTAATCCCAGCACTTTGGGAGACAGAGGTGGGAGGATAGCTTGAGACCTGGGTTAAAGACCAGCCTGGACAACATAGCAAGACCTGGTGCTTAAAAAAAAAAAAAAGTTAGCCAGACATGGTAGCATATACCTCTAGTCCCAGCTACTCCAGAGGCTGAGGTGGGAGGATCACTTGAGTCCAGGAGTTTGAGGCTGCAGTGAGCTATAAACACGCCACTGCACCACTCCAGCCTGGGCAACAGAGCAACAAAGCAAGGCCCTGACCCTCCCCCACCCCACCAAAAGAAAAAAAAAAAAACGGTATGTGTTCACTGATACTCAAGGAATTTATAGATTTTCCTATCAAAATCAGTAGGCTCCATTAATTTATAATAATTTTTGTTTTAAAACTTACATAATACTAGCATGCACAGTATTTAATTGCCCCTACATCCTTATAAGTTAAATATTATTGGAAAACTGAGGTACAAACATCTGCCCAAAGACATATGTTTAATAAATGGTTAGCTGAAATTCAAAGTTAGGTGCTCTCTTTCCAAATCCCTACTTCTTTTCACTCCTCCATTAGAGAACATAGTTCTGTTTGAAGACGTGCAGTTTCTTTCCTTTTCTTTTGTGTGTGTGTGTGTGTGTGTGTGTGTGACAGGGTCTCACTCTGTCACTCAGGCTGGAGTACAGTGGCATGATCATAGCTCACTGCAGCCTCAAACTCTCGGACTCAAGCAATCCTCCCACCTTAGCCTCCGTAGCTGAGATGACAGACGCATACAAACACAAACACACCTGGCTAATTTTTTTTAATTTTTGTAGAGACAGGGTCTTGCCATTTTGCCCAGGCTGGTCTCAAACTCCTGGGCTCAAGTGATCTTCCTACCTCGGCCTCCCAAAGTGCTGGGATTATAGGCATGAGCCACCACACCCAGCCAAGTGCAGTTTATTTTTTTTTTCTTTTCTTTCTTTTTTTTTTCTCACATCTTTTTAGGTCTCTGAACACCCAGAACACATTTATTTCAAATAAGGGCTCAATTAATTACATTCCAGACTTGGTCCCTGTATAAGAAGCTAAAACAAACACAGGATGCTAATTCAGCACCCAGCACTGAAGAGTCAACATGAAAACAAGGCATTTCACACACGGATGATGGAGGTCAGGAGTAGAGTTCGCATCAGAGACTTAGTTTAGGAAAGGAGACAGCTGTGGACAGGGGCAGTGCCAGGCTCTCCAACCCCTTTTCCCTGCCTGCAATGCTGAGGATCTCATGAGATGGGCAGGGATGCCCTCCAGATCTTCTAAAACCACTGGGTTTTGTGTATTTTTTGAAAAAGGAGTGACTCCCAAGTTCTGGTAACAGTCTTCTAGCACCTCACTTAAAAAAAAAAAAAAAAAATTGAGGCCGGGCATGGTGGCTCAAGCCTGTAATCCCAGCACTTTGGCAGGCCGAGATGGTGGGGGTGGTGATCACCTGAGGTTGGGAGTTTGAGACCGGCCTGACCAACATGGCGAAACCCTGTCTCTACTAAAAATACAAAAATTAGCCAGGCGTGGTAGTGTGTGCCTGTAATCCCAGCTACTCAGGAGGCTGAGGCATGAGAATTGCTTGAACCTGGGAGGCAGAGGTTGCAGTGAGCCAAGATCACACCACTGCACTTCAGCCTGGGAGACAGAGTGAGATTCTGCCTCAAAAAAAAAAAAAAAAAAAAAAAAAAAATTGCCAGTCTGGACCTCTGTCTCATAAGAGAAAGAATTTATCATTCAGATAATGATTGTTGATGGCAAATTCTGATTATCTATAAGAATTTTGACAGGCTAGGTGTATTGGCTCACACCTATAGTCTCAGCACTGGGAAGTCAAAGTGGGAGGATTGCTTGAGCCCAGAAGTTCAAGACCAGCCCAGGCAACATACTGAGACCCCTATCTCTCTAAAAAAAAATTTAAAAATTAGCCGGGCATGGTAGTCTCTGCAGGTACTTGGGAGGCTGAGGTGAGAGGATCGTTTGAGCTTAGGAGTTCGAGGCTGCAGTCAGCCTGTCTAAAAAAAAGAGTTTTGAAATAAGATCTCCATGTCAATTAGACATTCTTATTCCTGGCTCATAGCAGGAATAAGCTACATATGTATTCAAAATATGTTGAAAAAATGATATTTGAATGAATTCTTATGAACTGCTAGCTACATATGGTTGGCAAATTTAAAGAATCAATCTAACACATCTAACATTAAAACTTAGTAAAACTGGCCAGGCATGGTGGCTCACGCCTATAATCCTAGCACTTTGGGAGGCCTAGGCGGGCAGACTGCCTGAGCTCAGGAGTTCGAGACCAGCCTGGGCAACACAGTGAAACCCTATCTCTACTAAAAATACAAAAAAAATTAGCCAGGCCTGGTGGCGCGTTCCTATAATCTGTAATCCCAGCTACTCGGGAGGCTGAGACACAAGAATCGCTTGAACCCAGGAGGCAGAGGCTGCAGTGAGCCGAGATCGTGCCACTGCACTCCAACCTGGGCAACAGAGCAACACTGTCTCAAAAAACTATAGTAAAACCCTGCTAACTCAAAAACTTACTTTGGAAACTTATAGAGAGCACAGTGGTTAAAAGCATGGGTTTGAAATTAGAAAGATCAGGGCTTGGATTTTTTTTTTTTTTTTTTTTTTAGAAATATCAACATGAGGGCTTAGATTTGGGTTCTACTACTTGTCAGTTGTCTTTCTAATTTCAAAGCCCATGCTTGAGCACATTACTAAACCTAAAATTCTTTTTTTTTTTTTCTTGCTCTGTCGCCCAGACTGGAATGCAATGGTGGGATCTCAGCTCACTGCAACCTCTGCCTCCCGGGTTCAAGCAATTCTCCTGCCTCAGCCTCCCAGGTAGCTGGGATTACAGACGCGTGCCACCACATGCAGCTGATTTTTTTTTTTTTTTTTTGAGGTGGAGTCTCACTCTTGTCACCCAGGCTAGAGTGCAGTGGTGCAATCTCGGCTCACTGCATCCTCTGCCTCCTGAGTTCAAGCAATTCTCCTGCCTCAGCCTCCTGAGTAGCTGGGATTACAGGCCCCCACTGCCATGCCTGGCTAATATTTGTACTTTTTAGTAGAGACAGGGTTTTGTCATGTTGGCCAGGCTGGTCTCGAACTCCTGACCTCAGGTGATCCGCCCACCTCGGCCTCCCAAAGTGCTGGGACTATAGGCATGAGCCACCGCGCCCGGCCTAATTTTTGTATTTTTAATAGAGATAGAGTTTCACCATGGTGGCCAGGCTGGTCTTGAACTCCTAACCTCGTGATCCGCCCGCTTTGGTCTCCCAAAATGCTGGGATTACAGGCATGAGCCACCATGCCTGGCCAGATTCTTTACCTGTAAAAAAGGAACAATCACACCTACCTTTTAGGATTTCTGGGCGAATTAAATATAAATAATGATAGGCTTAGCACACTTCTTGGCACAAAATATGTCAATATGTTGTAGCTATTATTAGTACAGAACTCAGGATCATTTCTCTTGGCATCAGTTTCTACAGAATAATCCTATTAATGTTGGAAATGTAGGTGATTAAGTTGAATCCACACTGACACTCTGACATAACCTGGAATTACATCTTTGAATAATCCTCAGGATCAGTTGGCTTATTTAACACTTTTCTCTAGGGTACAGAAAAATGCTAGTTATTTGAGCTTTCTAAATTTAGCATGCCAAACCAATAAAAATTTACCAGTTATCCAAAAGAGATTGTGATAAGTTTTCTATTACTCACAACCGTTGACCAGTTACTTTTTGTTTTTGTTTTTGTTTTTTTGAGGTAAGAGTCTCACTCTGTTGCCCAGGCTGAAGTGCAGTGGCACGACCTCGGCTCACTGCAACGTCGGCCTCCCAGGTTCAAGCGATTCTCGTGCCTCAGCCTCCCAAGTGGCTGGGATTACAGGCGCCCACCAGCACGCAAAGCTAATTTTTTGTATTTTTAGTAGAGACGGGGTTTCGCTGATCCACCCGCCTCGGCCTCCCAAAGTGCTGGGATTACAGGCGCGAGCCACCGCGCCTGGCCAACCAGTTACTTTTGCTTGCACCAAGTTGATCATTCTTACCCCTAGATGAAAAGCAGTATCAAAGCACTTTTGGTTGCAAATGATGGAAATTCAATTAATATTAGCTTAAGCAAAAAAGAAGGTACTGACCTCAATGTTGCCAGAGCTCTGCTTCCTTGTGTGTGCTGGCATCCATCTGCAGATAGCTTCTTCCTGCACAGCCTGATGTTAAGACCATGCGCAGCTTCAGGCTCATGCGGTTCTTTCAGTTTGAAGGCCCAAGGAAAAAAAGCTCCTTTCTTTCTTAGTAGCTACAAATCTTAAAGAAATAAATTTTAAAGATAATTCTGGACGGGCGCGGTGGCTCACGCCTGTAATCTCAACACTTTGGGAGCCCGAGGCGGGTGGATCACGAGGTTAGGAGATCGAGACTGTTCTGGCCAACATGGTGAAACCCCGTCTCTACTAAAAAATAAAATAAAATAAAATAAATAAATACAAAAATTGGCCGGGTGTAGTGGCGTGCGCCTGTAGTCCCAGCTACTCAGGAGGCTGAGGCAGGAGAATCCCTTGAACCCGGGAAGCGGAGGTTGCGATCGCGCCACTGCACTCCAGCCCGGGCGACAGGGTGAGACTCCGTCTCAAAAAAACAAGATTCTTAGTTCAGAGTAGGTGGGGCACTGTGCTCATCTCGCGAGAACCACATGGCCAGGGGAGGGGCGATTCCCCAAAAGGAAATCAAGATCTGATTCCAGACAAAAAGGAATGGTAGGGGGGTTCAAAGAATGGTAGGGAGGTTCATCCCTGTGAGGCTGGTGGGGCGGGGTGTCTAGGAGGGTGTCCCTGAGGTTTCTGGGGGGTCGCGGACACTTCTTGGGGGATGCCCAAGAGGCAGGGCTCAGTAAAGTCTAATTTCAGAGCTTTATTTGCACTATCCCTAAGTTTCCGCAGAGTAATAATTGAATTAACCAGTTTTCTGTTTTCTTCTGTCCTTCATTTGTTTTAGGGGAGGGTTCGAAGAGATGTGCCTGTACCTGCAATTGGCGTCCTCTCTTCTTTAGCTGTTATTAGCTCTGAGCAGTCCCTTTTGTATAGGGAATTGTGTTAATTTTTTTGTGCACCCAGAGCTATGTACCTTTTGAAAGATACATGGGAGGCACTACTGAAAGTACTTTTTTTTTTTGGCGTAAAATGGATAAATTTGGATATCATAAAGGCTGTATAAGTGTGTTCATGTGTTCTAGAGCCTTTCCTATTTCTCTAATGGGGAAGATTATCAAATAATGAGGAATATAAACGTAAGTGTGCATGGCTGTCAATGAAACAGGGAAAGCAAAGGGAGCATGTATATTTACCCAGGAATACAGTACCTTTCTCTTTCTCTTTCACTTTTTTATCTCATTCTTTACTGTTTAAAAAATATATTATTCCAGTTAGAACGAATAATATCTAGTATCTAATAGCACAACAGTATGACTAAAGTCAATAATAATTTCATTGTACATTTTTTTAAAAAACAGAGTATAATTGGATTGTTTGTAACACAAAGGATAAATGCTTGAGGCGATGGATACCACATTTACCATGATGTGATAATTACACACTACATGCCTGTATCAAAATATCTCATGTATGCCATAAATATATATACCTACTATGTACCCACAAACAATAAAAATTTTTAAAAAATTTTTTAAGAGGTATGGTAGAGTGTGCAGAAAAAACAATAGATGCCCGGCTGGGCACAGTGGTTCACACCTGTAATCCCAGCACTTTAGGAAGCTGAGGTGGGCAGATCACCTGAGGACGGGAGTTTGAGACCAGTCTGACCAACATGGTGAAACCCCGTCTCTACTAAAAATACAAAATTAGCCGGGTATGATGGCACATGCCTGTAGTCCCAGCTACTCAGGAGGCTGAGGCTGGAGAATCGCTTGAACCCAGGAGGTGGAGGTTGCAGTGAGCCTAGATCACGCCATTGCACTCCAGCCTGGGTGACAGAGTGAGACTCCGTCTCAAAAAAAAAAAAAAAAATAGATGCCCACAGCAGATAGTTTGGGTTGGATTACCCAAAAACAAAGACTTCAGCATGGCCATCTTGACTCTATTAAAATATACATTTGTGCCAGGTGCGGTGGCTCACCTGTAATCCCAGCACTTTGGGAGGCCGAGACGGGTGGATCACCTGAGGTCAGGAGTTTGAGACCAGCCTAACCAACATGGAGAAACCCCCATCTCTACTAAAAATACAAAATTAGTTGGGTGTGGCGGCACCTGCCTGTAATCCCAGCTACTCAGGAGTCTGAGGCAGGAGAATCGCTTGAACCTGGGAGGTGGAGGTTGCAGTGAGCCAAGATCGCACAATTGCACTCCAGCCTGGGCAATAAGAGTGAAACTACCTCTCCAAAAAAAAAAGTATTTATTTCATGAAACCACATACAAATGTTTCAAAGGGGCATTGGGGTGGGCCATTCTTGACTCATGAGTATTCTCTATGCTAACTAAGCTCCACATATGGTAAACATCTGCCAAAAAAAAAAAGTTATCCTCATATGTTCTGCATCCTAAGCAATAAAGTGTGTGCATAATTACATGAAAAAAAGGGAAAATTATCTTTCCATATTGAAAAAGCAAATCAGACCACTAATAAATAATAATCATATACAAGTACATGAAAAAGTAACAAAGGAAAAATGTTTCTTCATATTAAAAAAGCAAATCAGGAAATTAATAAATAGTGGTCTAAGAGTTCTTCATAAAATTTTGCCAATTTTGGCCCAGCGTGGTGGCTCATGCCTATAATCCCAGTACTTTGGGAGGCAGAAGCAGGCATATCACTTGAGGTCAGGAGTTCGAGACCAACGTGGCCAATATGGTGAAACTTCGTCTCTACTAAAAATACCAAAACTAGCTGGGCATGGTGGCAGATGCCTATAATCCCAGCTACTTGGGAGGGTGAGGCAGGAGAATCACTTGAACCCAGAAGGCAGAGGTTGCAGTGAGCTGAGATTGAGCCCCTGCACTCCAGCCTGGGTGACAGAGCGAGACCCTATCTCAAAAAATAAATAAATAAATATAAAAATTTGCCAACTTCAAAATAAAAACAAAAGAGTTAACATAGAAATAATTTCAACAATACTGAGAAAAAAAGGAAGACATTGGCATTATTTGCATTTGCAAATCACTATTGTTGGCTGAGTCAATTTTTCTAAGTGAAACAGCATCATGCTTACAAGAAAAAATAAGTTATTATAAATATTTTAAAAATACAAAAATGAAAAATTCGGTGTTCTTTGTTTAATCCCAATGCTGAAAATGACTTTTTAAACTCCTGATTTTATTCTTCAGCATTTTGGCATATGAGTGAGTAGAATACTGATGCCTCTCAAATTAGAAGATTCTTGTTGAGATTTCACTGGGCTTCACAAACATGATCTCATCTTTCAGCTTGGTTATGTTCCACATCTAGGAGTGAGGATGAGTATATGATCAGGGAGGAAAAAAAGGAAACATTTATATAAGCCCCATAATACACAACTTTCTTTTTTCTTTTTCTTTTTCTTTAATTTTGAGATGGAGTTTCACTCTTGTTACCCAGGCTAGAGTGCAATGGCACGATCTTGGCTCACCGTAACCTCCGCCTCCCGGGTTCAAGCGATTCTCCTGCGTCAGCCTCCCAAGTAGCAGAGATTACAGGGATGCGTCACCACGCCTGGCTAATTTTGAATTTTTGGTAGAGACTGGGTTTCTCCATGTTGGTCAGGCTGGTCTCAAACTCCCAAACTCAGGTGATCTGCCCGCCTCAGACTCCCAAAGTGCTGGGATTACAGGCATGAGCCACCGTGCCCAGCCCAATACAACTTTTTAAAACTCCAATAGAAATCTGTGATGAAGCCAGGCACAGTGGCTCATGCCTGTAATCCCAGCATCTCAAAACTCGAAACTCGAAACTCCATCTCAAAAAAAAAAAAAAATCCATGATGAAAAGAAGATGTAAACATAATATATATATATATATATATATATATATACACATGTGTGTATATGTATGTTTGTGTATTCCCTATGGGAGTACACAATCCAAACAGGGCATAATCATAGAATATGGTAAAGAAGTGAGAAAAAAGTAGTCACCCTTTGCAATGAAAACACTAAAAAGAATGAGATGAGCTATATGAAGATATCTTCCCTAGAGTGGACACACCCAAAATTTGAAACCTTGTTACTAATAACACTAGGGCGTCTTCCTAAATCACCAAGATATTGCATAAAAATCTCATCTGGAAGGCATCAAATTCAAATGTTATCTAATTAATATATAATAAATTGGCCAGGTGTGGTGGCTCACGCCTGTAATCCTAGTACTTTGGGAGACCAAGGTGGGCGGATTACTTGAGGCCAGGAGTTCAAGACCAGCCTTGACCATATGACAAAACTCCATCTCTACTAAAAATAAAAAATTATTTGGGCATGGTGGTGCACACCTGTAATCCCAGCTACTCGAGAGGCTGAGGCACAAGAATATCTTGAACCTGAGAGGCAGAGGTTGCAGTGAGCCAAGATCACGCCACTGCACTCTAGCCTGGGCAACAGAGTGAGAGTCCGTCTCAAAAAAAAAAAAAAAAAAAATATATATATATATATATATATATATATATAAAATAAACCATCCCTGGAAATGATATATTGCAGTGATGGAAGCTTTTGCAACTAGTGGGTTTAACATCTTTTGGTGTACTTCCAGAGTCCTTTTCAAGGAGAATGGACTTTGTGTGACCTACTGTAAGTGGTAATTAAGTAGAATCAATTTATGTGAATCAGTTTTTTTCTCTAATATTCTCAAAATATTTACTAAGTTCTATCATGTCTCTTACCCATACCATCCCAATTTAACTAATTAGAGTATAAGTGTTGCATCTCATTTATAGGGTACCTTTTAGGGATGACATCTACACAACCAAAGATGAAAGTCAGGCTGGGCAATTTATTCAGTCAATGTAATTAAGATATGTATTTATTTTTTATTTTTATTATTTTTTTTTGAGACAGAGTCTTGCTCTCTCGCCCAGGCTGGAGTGCGATGGTGCCATCTTGGCTCACTGCAACCTCTGCCTCCTGGGTTCAAGCGATTCTCCTGCCTCAGCCTCCTGATTAGCTTACATGCGCATGCCTCCATGCCCGGCTAATTTTTGTATTTTTAGTAGAGATGGGGTTTCACCATGTTGGTCAGGCTGGTCTTGTACTCCTGACCTTGTGATCCGCCTGCCTTAGCCTCCCAAAGTGCTGGGATTACAGGCATGCGCCACCGCGCCCGGCCGTTATTTATTTATTTTTGAGACAGGGTCTCACTCTGTCACCCAGGCTGGAGTGCAGTGGCACAATCATGGATCACTGCAGCCTCAACTTCTCTGGCTCAAGCAATTCTCCCACTTTAGCTTTCTGAGTAGCTGGGACTACAGGTGTGTGCCACTACGACTGGCTAATTTTTGATTTTTTTGTAGAGGTGGGGTCTCCCTATATTTCCCAGGCTCTTCTTGAACTCCTGGCTTCAAGTGATCCTCCTTCCTTGGCCTCTCAATGTGTGGGGATTACAGGAATAAACCATCACACCTAGCTGTGTTGCCCAGGCTGGAGTACAGTGGCTATTCACAGGTGTGATCATAGGGCACTGTGGCCTCGAACTCCTGGCTTCAAGCAATCCTCCTGCCTCAGTCTCCTGAGTAACTGGAACTACAGCTACTCGAGAGGCTGAGGTGGAAGGATCACTTGAGCACAGGCGGCAGAGGCTGCAGTGAGCCATGATCGTGCCACTGCACTCCAGCCTGGGTAACTGAGACACTGTCTCAAAAAAAAAAAAAAATTCTCAGCCTCAGGGAGCTTCTATTCTGGAAGACAGAAGTAAAATGCTTAATTAACATTTAACTACATCTTTTCTTATTTGAAAAGTAGATCACACACCATTAAAACATTAAAATAGGCTGGGCGTGGTGGCTCACACCTGTAATCCCAACACTTTGGGAGCCCGAAGTGGGTAGATCACGAGGTCAAGAGATCGAGACCATCCTGGCCAACATGGTGAAACCATCTCTACTAAAAATACAAAAATTAGCTGGGCATGGTGGTGCGCACCTGTAGTCCCAGCTACTCGGGAGGCTGAGGCAGGAGAATGGCTTGAACCCGGGAGGCGGAGGTTGCAGTGAGCTGAGATCGTACCACTGCACTCCAGCCTGGTGACAAAGCAAGACTGTGTCTCAAAGAAAAAAAAAATTAATCTCTAAATTGTCATCACAGATTGAATTTAAGAATACCTAGAAGGAAATATTGTACCACATGCATTATTTTTCTGGATTTAAGAGAGTGTGAAATCTCTTTAGCTGGGCGCCTATAATCCCAGATACTTGGGAGGCTGAGGCAGGAGAACCTCATGAACCCAGGAAGTAGAGGTTGCAGTGATCTGAGATGGCACCATTGCACTCCAGCCTGGGTGACACGGTGAGACTCCGTCTCAACAACAACAAAAAAAAGGTATGAAATCTCATTTAATGTTTATCATATAAATGATTACCTTATGGCTAAATTTGTATGCATTGTCCTAGAAAATTATGCTTTTCTTTGTAATTATGCTTTTCTCCCTCTTTCCAGAACACATTTCTTTCCAGAAAGAAAATCTCCGGAAAGAAATGTGTTCACAGTGGAATGTCTCTGATGTTTACATTAAAATCAATGGAGATATCAATCTCTCACTGGGTCTCAAGACTTCCTTTCTGTCACAATGAAGAATCCTCTGATTTAATACTTTGTTCATTAATCATCATTACACTATATTTTTAAAAAATCCCAATATATTTTGCTGGGTAAAAACTGTTGACTCCTTGTTTACTTAAAATATGATAGAATCAAGCATGAACAAATCACAGAACATAAATTTGGGTGTTCAAAATACAAAAGATTAAAAACATACTCTGTCTACATTAATAAAAACTTTCAAAGGGATTGCAACCAATTCTATCAAAGCCTCAGAAGTTCCTGCTTTGGCAGTTAAAAGAGAAGAACATGAAACATCTTGTGAATTTTTTTCTTTGTGGATAATTAAACACAAGCCATGAGAAAGCAAATGTGCAGATGTACACCATATTTTCCTCACTCTGAAGACTAGAGCCATGTTTTGGAGACTTAATATTTGAAAAAAAAAATTTGAACTACATGTGAGGTATGTAGACTTTTTTCTTAAATTAATGTTTTTTGGTAATTTTATCAAGCATCGCCCCTGTGTCTTCCTTTCTATTTAAAGTGATTGAGTTTAGTTATCCTCTTCTTTCTTCTTTCAGGGAGGCCAAACACATTTTCAAATAACCAGAGCACATTGTAAAAGTGTGTACGTGGGGGTGAGGGAGTGGCTCTCTATGTTAAGGTGGACATCGTCCTTCATTGAGTTTTCCCTTCATTCATAAGAGAAACCCTTCCTGCTGGTTGCTATCACAAAAAAGATACCATTTCTCCTGGGGCCTGCAAGAACTTATCTCCTTTTACTCAGAGTTGGAATCTCCCCAGGAGGAGGAAAATCAGACTCAATATTATTATGAATCACTTTCAAGCCCTAAAGAGCCACATAGAAGTCAGCCATCCTGAGAACTCTTACAATTCATCTGGTAACTTAACAATTAGTGGCAAAATATGTTCATTTATTTCATCTATTCAGCCAACATACAATGAGATCCTGTAACTGGCCCAGGGCGGCTGGATGTGAGGGATGCCACCAAGAAAAAGATACCTGCTCTCATGGAGATTAAAATCTGATAGGGAAGAGACATTGATAAAATAATCCCACTAAAAATATATATACATATAATTACAACTCTCATAAGAATCAGGCAGAAAAGGTACACGGTGCCAGAAATCTCAAAATAGGGGGACTTGATACAGTTGGGGAGGGAAAGAGGTCAGGACTGCTTTCCTAATGAAGGGATGGGGAACCCATTCCAGACTGAGCAAGGGTTTGTGGAGCTGGAAACACTGAATGAATGTCAGTGCAGCTGGATCTCAGAGAGCCAAGTCCCCATGGGCATTGGGACGGGAGAGGGAGGGGAGAGATAAAGCTGGAAATATAGGACAATAGTTAGATCAAACAAAGCTTTATGGTTTTTTTGTCCAAGGAGCACTGAAGAATGGGAAGCATATTTGCGTCTTAAAAATGCTCCCTCTCTCTCAGAGCTAGCAGGAAGGTCGGGGGTAGGTGGAGGGTTGCAGGGGATCTGGCCAGATGTAGGGGGCTGCTGTAGTAGTTCCGGAGAGTCACAATAGGCTAGTGCTAGGCTGATGATATTAGCCATGGAGACAAGAGGAGGTAACATAGACAGGCTAGTAAAAGTAACCATCCCATTGGAGAATGCAGAAACTACAGAACAGCCCTTAACAAAATGCTGTGAAGTCCATGCAGCAGATTTCCTCTCATAATATTGTAAAGGTGTCCCCTGTGTGTCAGCGTGTTTCTTTCACATTTCTTTTCATTCTGGAGAAGGGTGTGTCAGCTCAGATTCCATCTATGGGAAAAAAGTTTGATAAATGAGTTTTCAGTTTGGGCGCGGTGGCTCACGCCTGTAATCCCAGCACTTTGGGAGGCTGAGATGGGTGGATCGCTCAAGGCCAGGAATTTGAGACCAGCCTGCGCAACATGGCGAAAACCTGTCTCCACTAAAAATACAAAAATTTGCCGGGCGTGGTGGCATGTGCCTGTAATCTCAGCTACTCAGGAGGCTGAGGCATGAGAATCATTTGAACCTGGGAGGCAGAGGTTGTAGTCAGCTGAGATCACGCCATGCACTCCAGCCTGGGTGACAGGGCCAGACCTTGTCTCAAAAAAAAAAGTTTTCAGGCAATGGCATAGTGGTGAGGAATCTTTCTCTAGGCTGCCATTTCCCTCCCATGCAAAACTGTAAAGCAGAGATGGTCAGGCTTTAAGGGTTCCAGTTTCTCTTGATTGCCTTTTTCTACTCAGCCTGCCTAACTTTCGCTCTTTCACACTCTATCACCCACTACATCATAACCTGCTCTAAGGAAAGTGTCTGATAAACAAATTCTAACAAACATATAAAGAAAAAGCATATGAATGATTTCTCCCAAAGAGTGTTTATGTTTGAATATCTAAAGGAATGAATCTCTAATTATGGAAGGCCAGCCATCAGTCAACAAACGGAAAAAAATATTTTGGACTAGGCATGGTGGCTCACAGCTATACTCCCAGCATTTTAGGAGGCTGAGGCAGGAGGATCACTTGACCTCAGGAGTTCAAGACCAGCCTGGGCAATATAGCAAGATCCCAGTCTCTAAAAAAATTTTTTTTAATTGCCCGTGCACAATGGTTCACACTATAATCTCATCACTTTGAGAGGCTGAGGCAAGAGGTTTGCTTGAGCCCAGGAGTTTGAGACCAGCCTGGGCAAGATAGTGAGACCCCATCTCTACAAAAAAAAATGTTTTTGTTAGCCAATGAGGCCAGGCACAGTGGCTCACGCCTGTAATGCCAGCACTTTGGGAGGCCGAGGCGGGTGAATCACGAGGTCAGGAGTTCAAGACCAGCCTGGATGGTGAAACCCCATCTCTATGAAAAATACAAAAAATTAGCCGGGCATGGTGGCGGATGCCTATAATCCCAGCTACTCAGGAGGCTGAGGCAGAGAATTGCTTAAACCCGGGAGGCGGATGTTGCAGTGAGCTGAGATTGCGCCACTGCACTCCAGCCTGGGTGACAGAGCCAAACACCATCTCAAAAAAACTAAAAAATAAAAAAGAAAAGAAAAAGTAGCTGGTTTGCGACACACACCTGTAGTCCCAGCTGGGAGGTCAGGAGTTCCAGGCAACAGTGAGCTATGATCTCACCACTGCACTCCAGCCTGGGCAACAAAGCAAGACCTTGTCTCTAAAAAAAAAAATCAATTAATTAAAATTTAAAAAGAATGTGATCTGTATGCTTGACAGTTCCCAATTTCTACCTTCCCACTTGATCCTCCTCTGAGTTCCAGACTACTCTATCCAGCTATTGATCAACATCTCTGCCTGGACATCTTACAAGCATTTCAAATGTAATGTGTCCAAATCAGAACTCCATCTCCCAACCCCCAGAAACCCAGACTTCTCTAACTCAGTAAATGACAATATCAGACACTCAGAAACCTGGGATGAGGGTCGGGGGCATCCGGGACTCCTCCCTCCCTGTATTAGTTTCCTATGGCTGCTGTAAACAATCGCAATGTATTTTCTCCCAGTTCTGGAAACCAGAAGTCTGAAAGCACGGTGTCAGCAGGGCTGCTCTACCTGTGGGGCTCTCAGGGAGAAATCTTGCCTCTTGCAGCTTTCTGGTGGCTCTAGGTGTTCTTTGTGGCTGTATCATTCGATTTTTCTTTTCTTTTTTCTTTTCTTTCTTTTTTTTTTTTACATGTACCTGTTTATTATGAAGGATATTACAAAGGATACAGATAAAGAGGCACGTAAGACATGTAGGGTGAGGCATAGGGGAAGGGGTGTGGAGCCACCTTGCCCTCCTGGTGCAACCTTCCAGCTGTCTGGAAGTTCACTGAATCCAGTCCTTTTGGATTTTTCTGGAAGCTTCACGACATCAGCATTTCTTTCCCCAGGGTATAGGGTGGGACCCTCTCATGGGAAGGCCTTAAGACCCACAATCAGAAAGTCAAGAGGACATTAGAGTGGAAGGGAGACAGGAAAAGGGACAGAAGGCCTGCCCCTGAGGCCTAACACAGCCAACGTTCTAACAGAAGGTTCTAACAGGGCCTATGGGAGTTATGAGCCAGGAACCCTGGGTAAAAATAATATATATCATAACACCACAGGCCACCCCCTGGTTTTCAACCACGGATTTTTTACTCTCTCTCTCTCTCTCTCTCTATATATATATATATATATGCTTACTATATATATATATACTTACTATATATATACACTTACTATATATATACTTACTATATATGCTTACTATATATATACTTACTATATACATATACTTACTATATATATATATACTTACTATACATATACACACACACACACACACACACACACACAATCATGAATAATCCAGACCATCATATTGTTTCATGAACCCAAAAGTATCTGAGACAGATCTCAATCAATTTAGAAAGTTTATTTTGCCAAGGTTAAGGACACACAGGACACAGCCGCAGGAGGTCCTGACAACATGTGCCCAAGGGGGTTGGGTTAGAGCTTGCTTTTATACATTTTAGGGAGACATAAGACATCAATCAATACATGTGAGATTTACGTTGGTTCAGTCTGGAAGGGTGGAACAACTCAAAGCAGGGGGGCTTCCAGGTCATAGGCAGATTTAAAAATTTTCTAACTGGCAACTGGTTTAAAGAGTTATTAACAATAGAAACGAATGTCTGGGTTATGATAAGGGGCTGTGGAGAGCAAGGTTTTATCATGCAGATGAAGCCTCTAGGTAGCCAGCTTCAGAGAAAATAGATTGTAAATGCTTCTTATCAGACTTAAGGTCTGTGTTGATGTTAACGCTGGTTGGTATTTCCCAAATTCCAAAAGGGAGGAAAGTATAGTGAGGCATGTCCAGCCCCTCCTTTCCATCATGGAACTAGTTTTTCAGGTTAACTTTGGAATGTCCTTGGCTGAGAGGAGGGGTGTGTTCAGATAGTCGGGGGGCCCTGGAATTTTATTTTTGGCTTACAGTTTGAATATCTCCCAAGATGAGGCCACTCAGGTTTGCAGGTTTCCTCTCAATCTTGTCAGGTTCCAAAGCAGAAGTGGCCTTGGTAAGTATACAGCTCACACTTTCAGGCATCTGGGATGATGGAGCTAAGACATAATGTCATCTCTTACTCTGAGACTCTTTTGAGTTTTTGAGTTGTTGTGTTTTTGTTTGTTTGTTTGTTTTTGAGACGGAGTCTCGCTCTGTCGCCCAGGCTGGAGTGCAGTGGCTCGATCTCGGCTCACTGCAAGCTCCACCTCCCGGGTTCACGCCATTCTCCTGCCTCAGCCTCCCGAGTAGCTGGGACTACAGGCGCCCGCCACCACACCTGACTAATTTTTTGTATTTTTAGTAGAGACGGCGTTTCACCTGTTAGCCAGGATGGTCTCAATCTCCTGACATTGTGATCTGCCCGCCTCGGCCTCCCAAAGTGCTGGGATTACAGACATGAGCCACCGCATCTGGCCATCCCAGCTAATTTTTAAAACAACTTCCCCTAAAGCTGGGTCTCACCATATTGGCCAGGCTGGCCTCAAATTCCTGACCTCAAGTGATCCACCTGCCTTGGCCTCCCAAAGTACTGGGATTACAGGCGTGACCACAATGCCTGGCCTTAATTTCTTTACTGGAAGTTACTGTTTCTCTCTCTCTCTATTAATATTCAAACTTCGTCACCTTTGGAAGGAACATTAGAATTGCCACTGTGCTGGTCTAAACTGCAGGTAGCGATGCAAGTCTAGCAAGTACCTCCTCCTCAATCCATTCTCATTCAGGTAGGGTAAGGTAACACAGGTGTAGAACTAGTGAGCTATTTTTACCACTAGGCAGTATAGCTGCATTCACTCTTTTTTTTTTTTTTTTTTTTTTTTTTTTTTTTGACACGGAGTCTCGCTCTGTCGCCAGGCTGGAGTGCAGTGGCGTGATCTCGGCTCACTGCCACCTCCGCCTTCCGGGTTCAAGCGATTCTCCCGCCTCAGCCTCGCAAGTAGCTGGGACTACAGGCACGTACCACCACACCCAGCTAATTTTTGTATTTTTAGTAGAGACAGGGTTTCACCATGTTGGCCAGAATGGTCTCAATCTTTTTTTGTTTGTTTGTTTTGAGACAGAGTCTCACTCTGTCGCCCAGGCTAGAGTGCAGTGGTGCGATCGCGGCTCACTGCAAGCTCTGCCTCCCGGGTTCCCGCCATTCTCCTGCCTCAGCCTCCCGAGTAGCTGGGACTACAGGCGCCCGCCACCACGCCCATCTAATTTTCTGTATTTTTAGTAGAGACGGGGTTTCACCGTGTTAGCCAGGATGGTCTCTATCTCCTGACCTCGTGATCCGCCCATCTCGGCGTCCCAAAGTGCTAGGCTTACAAGCGTGAACCACGGCGCCCAGCCGGCCTCAATCTCTTGACTTTGTGATCCATCCACCTCTGCCTCCCAAAGTGCTGGGATTACAGGCGTGAGCCACGGCGCCCGGCCTGCATTCACTCTTTGCTGCAATTTTGCTAGATAGGGTGAAAGTACACCCATCCCAGTTATGCCCTTAGGAATTTCGACATAAGGTTTAACAATATCATTACATTTTTTTGCTTACAAATCTGGTTCAGGGCCAGGCGTGGTGGCTCACGCCTGTAATCCCAGCACTTTGGGAGGCTGAGGCAGGCGGATCACCTGAGGTCGGGAGTTCGAGACCAGCCTGAACAACATGGAGAAACCCCCTCTCTACTAAAAATACAAAAGAATTAGCTGGGCATGGTGGCACATGCCTGTAATCCCAGCTACTCAGGAGGCTGAGGCAGAAGAATCACTTGAACTTCGGAGGCGGAGGTTGCAGTGAGCCGAGATGGCGCCATTGCACTCCAGCCTGGGCAACAAGAGCGAAACTCCATGTCAAAAAAAAAAAAAAAAATTCTGATTCTGATGCGATGGCTCACACCTGTAATCCCAGCACTTTGGGAGACCAAGGCTGGTGGATCACTTGAGGTCAAGAATTCAAGACCAGCCTGGGCAACATGGTGAAACCCCTTCTCTACCAAAAATACAAAAATTAGCTGGGCATGGTGGCACATGCCTGTAATCCCAGCTACTTGGGAAGCTGAGGCACGAGAATCACTCGAACCCGGGAGGTGGAAGTTGCAGAGACCTGAGATTGAGCCACTGCACTCCAGCCTGGGCAACAAGAGTGAAACTCTGTCTCAAAAAAAAAAAAAAAAAAAAAAAAAACAGAAATCACCCCTGCTGATCCAGCACTTGTACTTGCAGCCCTGGCCCTGGGACCACTGCATCAGGTAAGGGAGAAAAGAAAAATTTCGAGATGATTTCAGGAAGAAAGAAAAAATTATAGTTGTTATACTGGCATACTCCTCCCTTGGTAAGGAAAACCAGCATCCTCCCCAACCACCTTTCCCTTCCTCAGATCAACCAGAAAAACAAAAAACCTAGCAGGGCCACTCTAGTCCCACTCGTGTTGAGTGTGAGCACACACTTATGAAGGTATGTAAGCCAGCCCAGCATGCTCTTATCTCTCCCTGATTTAGACAATGTTTCAATTGCCAGTCTACTTCTGCATCAAACTATTACTCTAAAGAGGGTATCTCTCTGCCCATTGTTGGACATTTTGCGCTGTACAGTGTGTTCCTTAATCTGAAGAAATGATGGTTGGCCGTCCTAATCCAGGCAACGTCTTCTGTTTTTCTTTCTTTTGCACTCTGTTTTCATTTCCATTGGATAAGCAAAGCCCATGTGAGTCAGCATCTATTCCTGTGAAGACCCACGTATAGCCCCCCAGGGCTTCCGGCATCAGTCTCACTTGCCAGCTATGATCGGGGCCTTCCCATCACAGACTCTGTTCCACAGCCATCAGCAGTCCCTGTCTCTCTTGCTGAGATACAGAATAGTTCTTCCTGGCATTTTGTGCCTTGGAATTGCCACCCACAAACCAAGCGGCTGTTGGTTAGTCGGTTGAGAGCTGTTTATTGTGCACTGTAGAATCCCGCAGTTTCTCACATAGTTCCAGAGTCAGCCATAGTGGAAAAGCAACTCCCTGCATTCCCCAGGTAACATGATGATCCTCCATAAACCATTTCCATTTTACTACGAACTCTTCTGGGCACTGTGTCCCCATTAGAATGTTTCTCTGGGCTTGGTGCGGTGGCTCACACCTGTAATCCTAGCACTTTGGGAGGCAGAGGCGGGCGGATCACAAGGTCAGGAGATTGAGACCATCCTGGCTAACACGGTGAAACCCTGTCTCTACTAAAAATACAAAAATTAGCCAGGTGTGGCGGCGTGTGCCTGTAGTCCCAGCTGCTGGGGAGGCTGAGGCAGGAGAATGGCGTGAACCCGGAAGGCAGAGCTTGCAGTGAGCCGAGATCGTGCCACTGCACTCCAGCCTGGGCGACACAGCAAGACTCCGTCTCAAACAAACAAAAAAAACAAACAAACAGAATGTTTCTCTGGCCAGGCACAGTGGCTCACACCAGTAATCCCAGCACTTTGGGAGGCTGAAACAGGAGGATTGCTTGAGCCCAGTAATTAGAGACCAGCCTGGGTAACAGCAAGACCCTGTCTCAAAAAAAAAAAAAAGTGTTTCTCTGACATCACCCGAGACAGCATGGGTATTTCAGGTGGTATACAGGTAACTTCAGCTAATGTTTCATAGCAAGGCCCATCAAGAGGAAATTCTCTAGTCCAAAGGTTCCAGTAGTTGTTGCTGGGAGGTGTTCAGAGGCTTTTTTTTTTTTTGAGATGGAGTTTCGCTATTGTTGCCCAGGCTAGAGTGCGGTGGCACAATCTCGGCTCACTGGAACCTCTGCCTCCTGGGTTCAAGTGATCCTGCCTCAGCCTCCCGAATAGCTGGGATTACAGCCCCTAGCCACCACAACCAGCTAATTTTTGTATTTTTAGTAGAGACGGGGTTTCACCACGTTGGCCAGGCTGGTCTGGAACTCCTGACGTCGTGATCCACCCACCTTGGCCTCCCAAAGTGCTGGGATTACAGGCATGAGCCACCACGCCCAGCCTAGAGGCTTTTGCCATAAACTCCAGGAAATACTCCACCGGGGGTTAGAAAGTGGAGAATTTGTCCCTACCAGCACTCTAGCTTCTACTGTGCACTGTGTGAGCTTGGGCAATATTACTGGTTCCCATTTAGCGTGTCCAATTAATGTTTGAAAAACAGATTCACATGCCTTATGTTTTACAGTACCAGGTAGGGAAAACATTCCCCAATCAGATAAAATGTTCATTCCCATGATACAATCAGGTAGAAGAGATGCTGCTGTGTGCGGTGGCTCGTGCCTATAATCCCAGCTCTTTGGGAGGCCAAGGTGGGCAGATGACTTAAGCTCAGGAGTTTGAGACCAGCCTAGCCAACATGATGATACCCTGTCTCTACAGAAAATACAAGAATTAGCCGGCGTGACAGCACGTGGTAGCAGCTACTTAGGAGACTGAGGCACGAGAATCACTTGAGCCCGGGAAACAGAGGTTGCAGTGAGCTGATATCGTGTCACGGCATTCCAGCCTAGGCGACAAAGTGAGACTCTGTCTCAAAAAAAAAAAATGCAACCACTTCACGTGAAGTGTATTCAAATACACCAACTTTCATAACTGGCTCCTCCATTTTTATGTTCCAGTTTCATGAACTCTTCCTCACCCCCAGACCATTTTATCCTCTCTTGTGCCAAAGTCTTTGGGTCCCCAGCCAAGGGTTGAGCCAAAGGACCCTGCCTCTTTTGTCAATCTTTATCTTGATTAGTCTGCCCGACTATTGCCCTAAGCAATTTCGGATCAGATTTTTCATTGTAACCTCTGCCTTCCCGCTTTTTAAATCTCTCCAAACTGAGAAAAACACAGCAAACTGGTTTGGGCCCTTTAATTGTGGGAGACCCAGAAGATTTGGTTCACTCAACCTACGATAGAACTAAGATTTTTATTGTAACCTCATCAATTTTCATTTTATTAATTCCATTTCTTAATAGCCATCTAAATATTTCCACCATGCTGGGATGAGTCCCATGACTCTCTCCTTTCTTATTCTCCCTTCCTTCCTTCCTTTCTTCCTTCCTTCCTCTCTCTCTCTCTCTCTTTCTCTCTCTCTTTCTTTCTTTCTTTCGAGACAGGGTCTCACTCTGTTGCCCAGGTTGGAGTGCGGTGGTATGATCATGGCTCACTGCAGCCTTGACCTCCCGGCTCAAGTGATCCTCCTACCTCAGCCTCCCAAGTTCCTGGGATCACAGGTGTGTGCCACCATGCTCAGCTAATTTTTTCATTTTTTTTGTAGAGATGGGGTCTTGCTTTGTTGTCCAGCCTTCTTTTTTCTTCATAGTTTCACCCCATCATCTTATTTCTTTATTCACCATATTTCTTAATAACCATTAAAAAATTTCTTGGCTGGGTGCATTGGCTCACGCCTATAATCCCAGCACTTTGGGAGGCCGAGGTGGGTGGATCATTTGAGGTCAGGAGTTCGAGACCATGCTGGCCAACATGGTGAAACCCTGTCTCTACTAAAAATATAAAAATTGGCTGAGTGTGGTGGTGGCACACCTGTAGTCCCAGCTATTCTGAAGGCTGAGGCGGGAGAATCGCTTGAACCCGGGAGGCGGAGGTTGCAGTGAGCTGAGATCATGCCGCTACACTCCAGCCTGGCGACAGAGCGAGACTCCATCTCAAAAAAAAAAAAAAGTCCACCATCCTACAATAAGTACTTTGACTCTCCCTTTTGCCTTTCCCTGTTCTCTTGTTAACTAACCTAATGCTTTTATTAACATCTGTAAGACCCACAAAGCAAATTTGTTAAGGCTTCTCTGTAGTTGGAGTCTGCAGGAGTAATATCACATGGGGTCCCCAGGTAGAAGGGGCCCCCTTAATCACGGCATTTACCCTGACCTGGTTAACAGGCACATTCATCAGGTGAATATCCTGGTCATCCCAAAGCTAGTACCACATGGCTTGAATACAAAGCACATCAGCTGCCTCATCAGGGGTGTTCCACTTGACATTTATAGGTGAATTCGGGCAGACCTTCTTCTCAGGATAAACAGACCTTACAGAGGCTTATATCCACTCCACCAGGCTGGCTGTTGCCTCAGGAATAACTTCCTTTTTTTTTTTTTTTTTTTTTTTTTTTTTGAGACGGAGTTTCGCTCTGTCGCCCAGGCTGGAGTGCAGTGGCGCGATCTCGACTCACTGCAAGCTCCGCCTCCCGGGTTCACGCCATTCTCCTGCCTCAGCCTCCCGTGTAGCTGGGACTACAGGCGCGCGCCACCATGCCCGGCTAATTTTTGTATTTTTAGTAGAGACGGGGTTTCACCGTGTTAGCCAGGATGGTCTCGATCTCCTGACCTCGTGATCCGCCCGTCTCGGCCTCCCAAAGTGCTGGGATTACAGGCGTGAGCCACCGCGCCCGGCCAGGAATAACTTCCTATGTGTCTGTGGGTCCTGCATCACCCCAAACATGTCCTTCCACTCTGCATTCTTCCCCTGAATTAGTCACTCTCATAATCCATTTTAGTAAAGCATCCTCAGGAAGCCAATGACACCAGTCTACAAAATGGAACGATTCCTTCACACTCTCCTTCTGGTTTCAATAGTTACTTGGTTTTGCCCTTCCTTCACATTGACTACCTTCTTGGTAACCACAGATCTCAGAGGCACATTCTGTTGTCCCTGTATAATTTTCTCCTTTGTGGGTGACTTTGAGGCTAGTGGCCTGAGCTCAGACAGACCCACATCTGAGGTTGGTCAGCCTCAAGTCCTGACCCAGCACCATCTTTTACTTTCATTTTAGCCATTGCAGATAACAATAACCAATGAATTAAATATCTTAACTCCACTTGTAACTTTTACCTTTAGTAACTGATCTCAACACAGCTGTGGCTTCATACCGTGGGTGACCACGTGGCCACCCAGAAATCAAAGATTTCTCATCCCCACCCTTTTATTGTTTCTCTTCCCAAACCACATGTTTCCATGAGTCAGAGCCATTCCAGCAAATCCTGCTTCACTGACATCAGTTGTGTAGGGAAAACTCTAACTGTGTTTTTCCTCTACTCTCACACCACAACAATCATCAACACAAAAGGAGACTTCTGTGACCATATGTATGGGTTTATTTTCCCCTGGACACCAAGCAGTGGACACCATCTGGGTGTCTTCTAATTCAGTTCCAACACTGTCTACCGGAATAGTGTCAGATCCCACAGGTTGAGACCAAGACTGGCCCCCCACCCACCCACACACACCAGTCTCACGTCCAGGCCTCCAGAACTTCTAACCAACTGGCTTCAAGTTGGGGTTCCTATGTCCCCCTCTTTGAGTTTGATTAATTCGCTGGAGTGGCTCACAGAACTCAGGGAAACACTTACTTGTGTTTACCGGTTTATTATAAAGCATATTGCAAAGGATACAGATGAAGAAACACGTAGGGCAAAGTATGGGTGAAGGGTGTGGAGTTTCCATGCCCTCCCTGGGTGCGCCACCCTCCAGGAACCTCTGTGTGTTCAGCTGTCTGGAATCTCTGTATCATCAATTTCTGCCTCCATTTTCACATGGTCTTCTCCACTTTTGTCTGTGTTTGTCCTCTGAGTGTCTCTTATAAGGACACTTGTCATTGGATTTAGGACCCACTTGGATAACCCAGAATGAGCTAATTTGAAGATTTTTTTTAAATTTATTATTATCATTGAGACAGAGCCTCCCTCTATTACCCAGACTAGAGTGCAGTGGCGTGACCTTGGCACACTGCAACCTCTGCCTCCTGGGCTTAAGCCATCCTCCTACCTCAGGCTCCTGAGTGGCCAAGACTACAAGCACACACCACCATGCCCAGCTAATTCTTGTATTTTTTGTAGAAACTAGGGTTTCACTATATTGCCCAGGCATGTCTCGAACTCCTGACCTCATGATCCACCTGCCTCAGCCTCCCAAAGTGCTGGGATTACAGGCATGAGCCACCACTTAGGCTGGGTGAGGTGGTTCATGCCTGTAATCCCAACACTTTGGGAGGCCAAGGTAGGAGGATCACTTGAGCCCAGGAGTTTGAGACCAGCCTGGGCAACATAGAGAGGCTCCATCTCTACCAAAAACAAAAAAATTTTAAAAATTAGGCCAGGTGTGGTGGTGCATACCTATAGTCCTAGCTACTCAGGAAGCTGAGGCAGGAAGATCACCTGAGCCCAGGAGCTGATCCTATGCACTATAGAATGTGCAGCTATGCACTATATATATGCAGCTATATATATGCAGCTATGCACTATAGCCTGGTGATAGGGTAAGACCTTGGAGGGGAGGGGAGGGGAGGGGAGAAGGAGAGGGAGGGGAGAAGGAGAGGGAGGGGAGAAGGAGAGGGAGGGGAGAAGGAGAGGGAGGGGGAGGAAGAGAGAGAAAAAGAGAAAGAGAGAAATAGAAAAAAGGAAGGAAGGAGAATAATAAAAATTTGCTGATTCCTTCAATTTTTTTTTCCAGTAAGAAAACTGAGGTCCAACAATATGAATAAAGTAACCCAAGGTCAACAGCTAGCAATGACAAAGCCCAGGCCCTCCATCTTAAAAAAAACTCATGCCTTTCCCCTGCCTTTAGTGATCATAACAATCACCCTGCATGTATGGATTTTACTTTCTAAACCACTATCATAATCATTATCTCATTTCATCTTCATACCAACTCCATGAAGCAGGTGTTATACTCATTTACACAGGAGGAAAGTGAGGCTCAGAGGCCAGGAATTTGAGGCCAGCCTGGCCAACATGGTGAAACACCGTCTCTACTAAAAATACAAAAATTCAGCATCACTTGCTGAAGGTCACATAACCCGTAAGCAGCTAAACTAGGACCACACCCAAGAATCCAGCTTCTGAAGCCTAAATTCTTTCTTATATGCCACATGGCACTATAGCAAAGTACAATGAATCAAGTGAACTTTGTTAAATCATTTTTCTGCCAATAGAAGTCTGTGCTAAAAGGACACCAATCAGTTGCTTACGGTAAACTTGGAAAACCTAACCAGCGGTTGGGCATGGTGGCTTATGCCTGTAATCCTAGCACTTTTGGAGGCTGAGGAGGGTAGATTGCTTGAGATCAGGAGTTCAAGACCAGCCTAGGCAACATGGCAAAACACTACCTCTACAAAAATTATAAAAATTAGCCGGGTGTGGTGGCGCACACCTGTGACCCCAGCTACTGGGGAGGCTAAGATAGGAGGATTGCTGGAGCCCAGGAGGTCAAGGCTACAGTGAGTGTGATTGCACCACAGCACTCCAGCCTGGGCGACAGAGCCAGACCCTGTCTCAACAAAAGAAAGAAAAAGAAAACTTAACAGCAATATTTAATGAATTTAAGTGCTAGTTTTTACATGTAGGTAATTTTTCTGCTATTTCACTTCAGTATTCCAGATCCATCCAGGGCTCAGTGCACGCACAATTCTCATTAATGCTCATGTGAATTGCATACACCAGCTCTCCACAGAAAATACACTCAAAAGCACTCATCATTTAAGAGGCAGAAACTTCCAGGTACATGCTGTCACATGATCAGGAGCCCTGACTGTCTTCCCTACTTCACAGGGGCATCATAAAATATTGTTTGTGGGCCAGGCACGGTGGCTCACGCCTGTAACCCCAGCACTTTGGGAGGCCGAGGCAGGTGGATCACGAGGTCAGGAGATCGAGACCATCTTGGCTAACATGGTGAAACCCCGTCTCTACTAAAAACACAAAAAATTAGCCGGGTGTGGTGGCGGGCGCCTATAGTCCCAGCTACTCGGGAGGCTGAGGCAGGAGAACGGCATGAACCCGGGAGGCAGAGCTTGCAGTGAGCCAAGATTGCACCACTGCACTCCAGCCTGGGCGACAGAGCGAGACTCCGTCACACACACACACACACACACACACACACACACACACATATGTGTGTGTGTGTATACACACATACGTATGTGTGTATATATACACAGTTTGTGAAAGTATTTTGTCTGCTATAATGTACTCTTCAAATATAAAGCAGTAGTATTACTGCTTCCAAAAGGTGATACAGAATAACGCTGCCATTGACAAAGTATGTGTGCATATTCTGCCACCTCGTGGCTAAAAGAAGAAATCATTTTTAATATTTATGCTTCTGGTATTAAGGTAAAATAAGTGAAAGGAACCTTGTTCATATTTTTGGAAACGTCGAACCAAGGCAGAATCTCATTCTGTTGCCCAGGTTGGAGTGCAGTGGTATGATCATAGCTTATTGAAGCCTCAATCTCCTGGGCTCAAGCGGTCCTCCCACCTCAGCCTCCCAGGTAACTGGGACCACAGGTGCCATGCCACCACGCTTGGCTAATTAAAAAATTTTTTTTGTAGAGACAGGGTCTTGCTATGTTAGTCAGGCTGGTCTCAAGTTCCTGGCCTCAAGCAATCCTCCCGCCACGGCCTCTCAAAATGCTGAGATTACAGGCATGAGCCACCACATCTGGCACCCAATTTATCCAATTAATTTCAATATTTACTGAATCTATTAACTTTATATCTTTAATGCAGTAGGAAAACACAGCACCGGAAACATAATTAGATAATTTAAATTTACTTGAACTAAAATTTATGACCTGCCTAACACCACATTTTTTCAAGTCAGGTCTGGTTTTTTTCAAGCATATATTCATTGCACATGAGAGTAGTTATTGGGAGCTACTCTGCTGGGGATACAGCAGAGAAGCCAGCACAAGTTCCTGCTTTCAATGGAGCTTACATTATAGTGGGGAAGATAAACAATAAACAGATAAATACAAAATATGTTAGTTGATGATGAATTTAATGAAGAGAAATGGAGTTGAGCAGGGGGAATCGAGTGTGACTGGCAAGGCCATGTGTGCTCCACTTCAGACAGGGCTGTCAGGGAAGGCCTGGGTGCAGGGAGAGTATTTCAGGCTGGGGAAACAGAAGGGGCAAATTCCTGATGCTGGGAAATATTTGATGTGATTGAAAAACAGCAAGGAAGCAGCAAGGAAGCCAGTGGAGCAGAGTGAGTAGGCGGGTTTTAGGGGACGAGGTCAGAGAGGTGGTGGGGATGCCAGCTTGGTGTAGCCATGGTTAGGACTTCAGACTTGGCATTGGGATTTCTAGGTGAGATGGGAGTCACAGTGTGATTTTAAGTAGTGGAGTGACCTATAATCCTGGGTAACTCTCTCACAAACAAAAGATAATACCAAATAACCTGAGAGACAAGTTTAATAGAATGCCTGGTGAGAAATGGTTACCATAAGAATATAAAATTGTTCAAAATATTTATAAAAACAGCTCTTTTAAGAGAACTCAGGGTTATAGAGAAAGAATGCATGGCATCTTTACACTGAAACAAGTTACATCAGGCTGGACATGGTGGCTCACGCCTATAATCCCAACACTTTGGGAGGCCACGGCGGGAGGTTTGCTTAAGCCCAGGAGTATGAGACCAGCCTGTGCAACATAGTAAGGACTCATCTCTATTAAAAATAAAAAAAATTAGCCGAGTGTGGTGGTACACACCTGTAGTCCCAGCTACTCGAGAGGCTGAGGCAGAAGGATCGCTTGAGCCCAGGAGATGGAGGCAGCAGTGAGCTGTGATCACGCCACTGCACTCCAGCTTGGGCAACACTGTCTCAAAAACAAAACAAACAACCAAGAAAAGAAATGAAAAAAAAAAGAGAGAGAGAGAGAGAGAGAAACAAGTTATATCAGGCAAACCAAAGCTATTTTTACTTAGGATTGTCTCTGAAAAAAAGAAAGCTTTCACAATAGTACATAAATTCTCAAGACACTCTTCAATGAAGAAATAAATACTTCCTGAATGTCCACTATATGCAGGTAACCTGAAAAGGCAGGTTACAAGACAGGGCTCCTGCTTTAAAGTCACCTATAATTCAACTGAGGAGATAAAACATATGCATATAAAATAATATCATAAGGAAACGTACAAATTCTGAAGGAGAGCTGGAGACAAGGCAGTGGCATTTGGCAGGAGGAGCTATGCTAATGCCGGGCTGCAGAAGAATGCAGGGTCAGGCAGGAATGGAGGCAGGGAAAACAGGGCAGGGCTGGGGTCCAGGAACAGTGATCTTGGTCTGGGCCAAAAGCCAAGAAAGACCAGGAGTCAAGAGGCCATACTTGGGATTAGAGACTCAGAGAATTTTAAAGGGGAAGAAAAATTGGAGATGATTGAATCCAGGTTTCCTGTTTCACAAAAGAGGAAAATCAGATCAATCAAGATTTCACTGGTTAGTGACAGAGCTGGTCCTAGAACAAAGACCGCTGAGTTTTTGTTTTGTTTTGTTTTGTTTTGTGTTTTCTGAGATGGAGTTTCCCTCTTGTTTCCCAGGCTGGAGTGCAACGGCGTGGTCTCGGCTCACTGCAACCTCTGTCTCCCAGTTCAAGCAATTCTCTGGTCTCAGCCTCCCGAGTAGCTGGAATTACAGGTGCCTGCCACCACGCCCAGATACTTTTTTGTATTTTTAGTAGAGACTGGGTTTCACCATGTTGGCCAGGCTGGTCTCCAACTCCTGACCTCAGGTGATCCACCCACCTCAGCCTCCCAAAGTGTTGGGATTGCAGGCGTGAGCCACTGCACCTGGCTGATCCTTGGGTTTTTAGTCCATTGCTTTTGCACATCACCACCAGGAAAATGACAGTGGACCTATGGAATTCTCAAAATTGCAAAGCAGGGTTGGAAGTGAGCCTCATGGGACCATGAAGAGAACACAGATCATCATGATGGGCTAGAAGCAGGATGCAGATCTAGGAATTAGGTGGTCAGCAAGATGGAAAGAAGTAGCTAGGCCACAGGAGAGTAACTGACCAGTATCTTGAGGACAAATTAAGTGGGCCCAATGCTTGGCAAGGGTAAGAAATCCTGACCCTGTAAACCTGAGCAAGAGGCACGTAGAGAGCAGACAGAATTCAGACTATTCTGAGATGGGGAGGGGCACAGGAAGAGTCATCCAGTGAGAAATCATGCACAGGGGAGTGGGGTGATGGAAAGGTATCATTCCATCTTTCCTAATAATGATGGTACAATCATTTGTCTTTTATTTGGTGGTGGTGGGGGAGGAGCGTGTAAACTGATATGCTTTGGACTTGGTTTTTAGTCTTTAAAAGTTATACTTTTTTGTCAGATATGACTCCTACATGGATAGTACTGGCTAATAAAAGATGCAACTATTTGGGGATATGAAGATGTGTCACCTTTTTTATGTCAGATAATTGAGGTTTTCTATCACTTTTGTTCTACAAAGAAATTGTTAATGTATGTTTCCCGTCAATCTTCAAGTATTACTAAAATTACTAGATCTTTTCTGAAAGATTTTATGGAAAAAAAAAGATTACTACAGAGAACAGACAGAGAAAGGAATACCCCCTTTTCCTATGGACCAAGAGAGAAGTTGGCCTACCCTGTTATTATCACTGAGGCAGGGGGAAAACATGGTCTTTTTTCTGTTCCAGGATCCAACACAGGATGATAATACATTGCATTTAGAAAGATGTCTATTGACAAACAGAAATTCTTAATTTTGTTTTGTTATTTTGTTTTGTTTTATTTGTTTGTTTGTTTTTTGAGACGGAGTTTCACTCTTGTTGCCCAGGCTGGAGTGCAGTGGCACAATCTTAGCTCACTGCAACCTCCGCCTCCCAGGTTCAAGCGATTCTCCTGCCTCAGCCTCCCAAGTAGCTGAGATTACAGGCATGCGCCACCACGCCCAGCTAATTTTTTTGTATTATTAGTAGAGACAGGGGTTTCACCATGTTGGCCAGGCCAGTCTCGAACTCCTGACCTCAGGTGATCCACCTGCCTCAGCCTATAGGTGTGAGCCACGGTGCCAGGCCTTGTTTTGTTTTTTGAAACAGATTCTCATTCTGTCTGTCACCCAGGCTGGCTCAGTAACAGCTCACTACAACCTTGAACTCCAGGGTTCAAGCAGTCCTCATGCCTCAGCCTCCCAAGTAGCTGGGACTACAGGCGTGTGCCACTACATCCAGGTTTTAAAAAAAAAATGTTTTAGCTGGGCACTCATGTCTGTAATCCCAGCACTTTGGGAGGCCGAGGTGGGTGGGATCATCTGAGGTCAGGAGCTCAAGACCAGCCTAGCCAACATGGTGAAACACCATCTTTACTAAAAATACTAAAAATACAAAAATACAAAAATACAAAAAAAAGTACTAAAAATACAAAAAAAATTAGCTGGGTGTGGTGGTGGGTGGCTGTAATTTCAGCTACTCAGGAGGCTGAGGCAGGAGAATCACTTGAACCCAGGAGGTGGAGGTTACAGTGAGCCAAGATTTTGCCATTGTACTCCAGCCTGGGCAATGAGAGCAAAACTCCATCTCAAAAAAAAAATTTTTTTTGGAGAGATGGGGGTTCTCACTATGTTGCCCAGGCTAGCCTTGAATTCTTGGCCTCAAGCAATCCTCCCACCTCAGCCTCCCAAACTACTAGGATTACAGGTGGGAGCCAACATGCCCGGCCTTGATTTTAGCAGTCAAATTTATCTACATCTTCTTTTTATACATAACATTTTTACTGTCTTAAGACACTTTTTCCCAACCAAGTCACCTATGTTTTCTATTAAAAGTTTTCTTAAATTATTGTTTTTGACATTTAAGTTTTTAATCCATCTGGAGTTGATTTTTTTTTTAATTTTATGGTGTGAGTAGAAATTCAATTTATCTTTTTTCCAAATGGATAACCATTTTTCTCAGCTGTATTAAATGACCAATCTCCCCTTTTTCCACTTACCTGACATGGCATTCCAATATATACCAAAGTCCAAACATAAATGGGTTTCTCTATTATGTTGGTTAATTTGTATCACAGTAGCTAAATTCACTCCCAAGTGAACAGAAGAGGTCTCTCTAAATAAACTTAATTTTTTTTTTGTTTTTGAATGTTATCTACAAAATAAAAATGCTTAAAGTGTTAGTGAGTAGGAGTTGTAGAGAACTAGCTTTAAGAGTTCCTATCTATAATAAAATAGCTTCATAATGAATCCTAATATAAGAGAAGACAATTTCCCTTCTTGCTTTTCTTTTTCAGAAGATTCTTGGCTATTCTTAGACCTTTACTCTTCCTTATCCATTTTTTAATAATCTTGTCAAGTTCTATAAAAACCTTGTTGAGTGTTGTCTGAATTGCATTGAATCTACAGACCAGTATGGAAGGAACTTACATCATTAAGATACAGAATTTTCCTTCACATGGCCACATGGTGTCTCTACATTTGGGTCTTTTTTTTTTTTTTTTTTTTTTTTGAAATGGAGTCTCGCTCTGTCCCCCAGGCTGGAGTGCAGCGGCGCAATCTCGGCTCACTGCAAGCTCCGCCTCACGGTTTCACGCCATTCTCCTGCCTCAGCCTCCCGAGTAGCTGGGACTACAGGCGCCCGCCACCACTCCCGGCTAATTTTTTTTTTTTTGTATTTTTAGTAGAGACGGGGTTTCACGGTGTTAGCCAGGATGGTCTCGGTCTCCTGACCTCGTGATCTGCCCGCCTTGGCCTCCCAAAGGGCTGGGATTACAGGCGTGAGTCACCGCGCCTGGCCATTTGGGTATTCTTTAATGTCTCTTAACATTTTATAGTTTTCCCTTGACATATTTTATGTGTCTTTCCTAAGCACTTAACATTCTCTGATACTATTTAAAACAGTGAAGCCAGGCATGGTGGCATGTACCTGTAGTCCAGCTACTCAGGAGGCTGAGGTGGGAGGATCGCTCAGGCCGGAGAGGTTGGGGCTGCAGCGAGCCGTGATTGCATCACTGCACTCCAGCCTGGGCAACAGAGGAAGACCATGTCTCAAAAACAAAAACAAATATTTGATATCAGCGTCTTACATTTCGGCCATTCTGGTAGGTGTGTAATGCAATCTCACTATGATTTTTTTTCCTTTAAAAAATTTTTTTTTCTTTCTAAATAATAGAGATGGGGGGTCGCACTTTGTTAGGCCAGGCTAGTCTTGAACTCCTGGCCTCAAGCGATCCTCCCACCTCGGCACCCCAAAGTGCTGGAACTACAGGTGTGAGCCACCATGTCAGGCTCGTGCTGTAACTTTAATTTGCATTTCTCTGATGATTCATGATATGGAGTACCTTTTTGTATGTTTATTGGCCACATGGACATCTTTGTCAAGCACCCCATTTTTCTACTGGGCTGTCTGCCATTATCTTATTGATTACAGTAGTTCTCCACATATTCTGAAAACAAAACCTTTGTTATTATGTGTGTTACAAATAGCTTCTTCCATGCTGTACCTTACATATTCGGTCTCTTAATGGTGTGTAGATAAACTGAAGGGATTATTGTTAGTGAAGTACATTTATCTACTTATAATACTCCCAAAGTGAACAGAAGAGGTCTCTCTGAATAAAGTTACATTTATTTTTTGTCTCTGAGTGTTATCTATAAAGTTCAAATGCTTAAAGTGTTAATGAGTAGGAGTTGCAGAGAACTAGCTTTGAGAGTTCTTATCTATAATAAATTTTGTAAAGGAAGTATTGTATATAGGTTTTAAGCTTCTCTTTGAAAAGACTTTCAAGACATCTATCTCCTTTTTTTTATCTCCTTAATTTAAAACTGTATTGTCCAATATGGTAGCCACATGTGGCTATTTAAATTTTAATTCGTTGGGATTAAATAAAATTTAGAATTCAGTTTCTGATAGCACTAGCCATCTTCAAGTGCTCAACAGCTAGCTACACGTGGCTAATGTCTACCATACTGAACAGTGCAGATATAGAACATGTCTGTCCTTGCAAAAAGTTGTCTTGGACAATAGTTGTCTATAGTACAGTGCCTACTACTAACCTTCAACATTTCAAAAAGAAGGTGGCTTCTTTTTTTTTTTTTTTTTCTGAGATGGCGTCTCGTTCTGTCACCTGGGCTAGAGTGCAGTGGCGTGATCTCGGCTCACTGCAACCTCCACCTCCTGGGTTCAAGCGATTCTCCTGCCTCAGCCCCCCAAGTAGCTGGGACTACAGGTATGCGCCACCACACCCAGCTAATTTTTGTATTTTTAGTAGAGATGGGGTTTCACCATGTTGGTTGGCCAGAATGGTCTTGATCTCTTAACCTCGCGATCTGCCCACCTTGGCCTTCCAAAGTGCTGAGATTACAGGCGTGAGCCACTGTGCCCAGCCAAGGCTTCTTTTTTTTTTTAATTTAATTGTTTTTTTTTTTGAAACAGGGTCTCAACTCTGTCACCCAAGGTGGAGTGTAGTGGCATGATCACAGCTCACTGCAGCCTCAACTCCTGAGCTGAATCAGTCCTCCCACCTTAGCCTCCTTAGGAGCTAGGACTACAGATGCGTGCCACCACACCTGGCTAATTTTTTTTTTTGTTCAGAGATGGGGTTTCACTATGTTGTGCAACCTTCATTCCCAGTTTTAAGGAGAATGCTTCTAATGTTTGCCCATCTGCCATCATGATGTCTCTAGATTTCTTTAGTGGATAGACTTTTTACAGGTACTCTTCTGTACAAGTCTGCTAGGGCTATCATAACAAAATACCACAGACTAGTTATTGTAAGTAACAGAAATGTATTTTGTTACAGTTCTGGAGTGAAGAAGTCCAAGATTAAGGTGTTGGCAAGTTTGGTTTCTTCTGAGGCCTCTCTCCATGTCTTGCAGATGGCTGCCTTCTTGGTGGGTTCTTACATGATTTTTTTCTATGCACTGGCACTGCTGATGTCACTGTGTATCCAAATTTCCTCTTCTTATAAAAACACCAGTGAGGATGGGTACAGTGGCTCATGCCTGTAATCCCAGCACTTTGGGAGGCTGAGGTGGGAGGATTGCTTGACCCCAGGGGTTCAAGATCAGCCTGGGCAACATAGTGAGACCTTGTTTCTGTAAAAAATAAACAAAAATTAGCCAGGTCTGGTGGTACACGCCTGTAGTCTTAGCTACTCGGGAGGCTGAGGAGGGAGGATTGCAGGAGTCCAGGATGTCAAAGCTGCAGTGAGCCAAGACGGTGTCTCTGCACTCCAACTTGGGCAACAGAGAAAGACTCTTTCTCAAAAACAAAAAACAAAAATAAACAGTCAAAACTCTAATAGCCTCATTTTAACTTAATCACCTCTTTTAAGGCCGTGTCTCCGAATACAGTTGGCCCTCTATATTTGTGGATTCTGAATCCATGGATTCAATCAACCTCAGATGGAAAATATTTAGGGAAAAAAAAATGCATCTGTACTGATTATGTACAGACATTTTTTCCTCGTCATTATTTCCTAAACAATACAGTATAACAACTATTTATGTAGCCTTTTTATTGTATTAGGTATTATAAATAATCTAGTGATGATTAAACTATATAGGGGGATGTGCATAGGTTATATGCAAACATTATGCCATTTTATATCAGGGACTTGAGCTTCTGTAGATTTTTATATCCACTGTGTCCTGGAACCAATCTCCCATGGATACTGAGAGAGGACTGTACAGCTACATTCTGCAGTACTGGGGACTAGGGGTTCAGTATATGAATTGGGGACAGGGAAGAAGGACATAATTCAGTCTATAACACAATTCAGTCTATAAATATTCCTTATATTTACTAAGAGTTGTTATCGTGAACAGATGTTAAATTTTATCAAATGCTGTTTTTAACCTATTGACATGACCATGTGGTTTTTATCCTTTAATATGTCAATCTAATTATATTTATTGTTTTCTATTTGTGCTAATTTTAATGTATATATATTTAGTATAGGTGATTATACTATGTTTAAACTTATTTAATCATCTTACTTCCAGTTTATTCTTTTAGCCTATAATCAGCACAAAAACAATAAAAATATAGGCCTTAATTTGTGTTAAATAAAAGCCCCCTCTTGAATTTGGTGGTCTTTTAAATTTTTTTACATAGTACAAATTTGTTATTTTGTAAAAAATGATAATAAAAGCAAAAACTTTAGAATTTGTTGGTTTTTTCTTCTCTTTCTACTGAGAGGTTAAAAAAATAAGGACAGGCGGCAGGGCGCGGTGGCTCACAACTATAATCCCAGCACTTTGGAGGCTGAGGCGGGCGGATCACGAGGTCAGGAGTTCAAGACCAGCCTGGTCAACATGGTGAAATCCCGTCTCTACTAAAAATACAAAAATTAGCCAGGCGTGGTGGCAGGCGCCTGTAGTCCCAGCTACTCAGGAGGCTGAGGCAGGACAATCTCTTGAAAACTGGAAGGCAGAGGTTGCAGTGAGCTGAGATCGAGCCATTGCACTCCAGCCTGGGTGAAAGAGCGAAACTCCATCTCAAAAAAAAAAAAAAAAAAAAAAAAAATTAAGGCCAGGCATGGTGGCTGATGCCTGTAATCCCAGCACACTGGGAGGCTGAGGTGGGAGGATCTCTTAAGCCCAGGAGGTCGAGGCTACAGTGAGCTATGATCATGCTGTTGCACTCCAGCCTGGGTGACAGACTGAGACCCTGTCTCAAAAAAAAAAAAAAAATGCACAAGGAGTAACGGAGGCCCAAGAGTTGATCCATGAAAAAAATATAATTATAATCTACTATTGTCATCTGTTATGGGATGAATTGTATTCTCCAAAAAGGTATGTTCATGTCTTAACTCTTATATCTGTGAATGAGACCTTACTTGTAAATAGGGTCTCAGGCTGGGCGCGGTGGCTCATGCCTGTAATCCCAGCACTTTGGGAGGCCAAAGTGGGCTGATTGCTTGAGGTAAGGAGTTTGAGAACAGCCTGGCCAACCTGGTGAAACCCCATCTCTATTAAAAATACAAAAAATGAGCCAGAGTGGTGGCATATGCCTATAATCCCAGCTACTCGAGAGGCTGAGGCAGGAGAATTGTTGAACCCAGGAGGCAGAGGTTGCAGTGAGCCAAGATCACGCCACTGCATTCCAGCCTGGGAGACAGAGGAGGACTCTGTCTCAAAAAGAAAGAAAGAAAGAAACAGAGTCTCTGCAGATACAATTAAAATGGGCTTGTACCAGAATGGGGGGCACTTGAACTAGTATGACTGTGTCCTTCTGAGAAGAGGCAGAGGCCAGTTGAGGTGGCTGTAATCCCGGTACTTTGTAAGGCTGAGGGGGGCAGATTGCTCGAGCCTAGGAGTTCATGACCAGCCTGAGCAACATGGTGAGACCCTGTCTCTACTAAAAATACAAAATTAGTCAGGCATGTTGGTGCATGCCTGTAGTCCTAGCTACCCAGGAGGCTGAGGTGGGAGAAGAGCTTGAGCCCGTTGAGGCTGCAGTGAGCTGAAACTACACTGCTGCATTCCAGCCTGGGCAACAGAGCAAGACCCTGCCAAAAAAAAAAAAAGAGAGAGACAGACACAGGAAGAACATCTTGTGACAATGAAGGCAGAGATTAGAGTGATGGATCTACACGCCAAAGATAGCTGGCAACACCAGATGCTAAGAGAAAAGCATGTAGGCGAATCTCCCTTAGCGCGTGTCCCTGCTGGCGCTCCGATTTCAGTCTATTGTAGTCACCCCTTATCTTCGGTTTCACTTTTTGCAGTTTCAGTCAACCATGTTCCAAAAATATTATATGGAAAGTTTCAGAAGTAAACAATTCATAAGTTCTACATTGCATGCTATTCGGAGTAATGTGAGGAGATCTGGTGCTGTCCCACTCCGGATGCGGATCATCCCTTTATCCAGGGTATCCATGCCTTACTTTATCCAGAGTATCCATGCCTTGACATCCCTGCCCTCTAGTCACTGAGTAGTGGTCTTGGTTATCAGATCAACTGTTTTGGTTTGGCAGTGCTTGTGTTAAAGCCATCCTTATTTTACCTTATAAAGACCCCAAAGTGCAAGAGTAGTGATGCTGGCAATTCAGATATGCCAAAGAGAAGCCATAAAGTGCTTCCTTTAAGCGAAAGGGTAAAAATTTTGACTTAATAAAAAAAGAAAAAAAATTGTATGTTAAAGCTGTTAAGGTATACAGTAGGAACAAATCTATCCATGAAACTGTGAAGAAGGAAAAAGAAACTCAGGCCTAGTATATATATATGGAGTACTGAACCCCATATATATATATATATGGGGTTCAGTACTATCCGTGGTTTCTGGGGGTCTTGGAACATATCCTATGAGGATAAGAGGCAACTGTTGTACAAGCCTTCAGAACTATGAGAGAATATATTCCCGTGGTTTTCAGCTATCCAGCTTGTGGTACTTTCTTACGACAGGTTTAGCAAACTCATACAGAATCTCTTAAGAATAACTATGTTTAAAAGACCAGGCCGGGCACAGTGGCTCACGCCTGTAATCCCAACACTTCGGGAGGCCGAGGTGGGTGGATCACCTGAGGTCGAGAGTTCGAGACCAGCCTGACCAACGTGGAGAAATCCCATCTCTACTACAAATACAAAATTAGCCAGGTGTGGTGGCACATGCCTGTAATCCCAGCTACTCGGGAGGCTGAGGCAGGAGAATCGCTTGAACCTGGGAGGCGGAGGTTGCAGTGAGCCAAGATGTCGCCATTGCACCCCAGCCTAGGCAATAGGAGCGAAACTCCATCTAAAATAAAATAAAATAAAATAAAATAAAATAAAATAAAATAAAATACCAGCTACTTGGAAGGCTGAGGTTGGAGGGTCTTTTGAGTCCAGGAGTTTGAGGATAGCCTGGGCAACTTAATGAGACTCCATCTCTAAAAATAATAATAAGAAGAATAGCTATCTTAAAAACAGTGAATGTCTCCACAAGCCAGAAGAATTCCCAGTTTCCTTTGAAATTACCATTTCCAGCTTGTTAATTACAAATTTTCAACTTGTGGCCGCTTGTAATCCCAGCACTTTGGGAGGCCGAGCTGGGCGGATCACCTGAGGTTGGGAGTTCAGGACCAGCCTGGCCAACATGGTAAAACTCCATCTCTACTAAAAATGCAAAAATTAGCCGGGTGTGGTGGCGCAACCCTGTAATCCCAGCTATTGGGGAGGCTGAGGCACAAGAATCGTTTGAACGCAGTTGGTGGAGGTTGCAGTGATCTGAGATTGTGCCATTGCACTCCAGCCTGGGTGACAGAGTGAGACTTTTTCAAAAGAAAAAAAAATCAACTTTGTCAGATATCTTTACAGATCAGCCAGAGAAGAGGAAAACATTATCTTTATCTTTTTTTTTTTTTTTTTGAGACAGAGTCTCCCTCTGTCACCCAGGCTGGAGTGATATGGTGCGAATCTCGGCTCACTGCAACCTCCGCCTCCCGGGCTTAAGCAGTTCTCCTGCCTCACCTCCCGAGTAGCTGGGACTGTAGGCACACACCACCATGCTTGGCTAATTTTTGTATTTTTAGTAGAGACAGAGTTTGACCATTTTGGCCAGGCTGGTCTTGCTTGAACTTTTGACCTCAGATAATCTGCCCACCTCGGCCTCCTAAAGTGCTGGGATTACAGGTGTAAGCCACTATGCCCAGCCCAGTATGTTTATAATACATTCAAAACCTAAGCTTACTCTTTTTGAGGCGTAGTTTAACCTACTGATGATGTCCTTTCTAAGGTCTACCTTCTTAGAAAATAGTTTTGCCTTGTCTTTCATTCCTGAAATGGTGTTTTATATATTTTTCCATTTTAAGCAAGTTATGGACAGTTGTTAATCAAGCATCAGTTATGGTGACTGATCAGTTAAAATTAATCACTTCTTTTGGCTAGGCTCGGTGGCTCACTCCTGTAATCCCAACACTTTGGAGGCCAAGGCGGGTGGATCATCTGAGGTCAGGGGTTTGAGACAAGCCTGACCAATATGGTAAAACCCTGTCTGTACTAAAACTACAAAAATTAGCTGGGCATGGTGGCATGCGCCTGTAATCGCTACTACTCTGGAGGCTGAGACGGGAGAATTGCCTTTGGAGGTGGAGGTTGCAGTGGGCCGAGATCATGTCACTGCACTCCAGCCTGGGCTACAGAGTGAGACTCCATCTCAAAAAAAAAAAAAATTAAAGCACTTATTTTGATCATGGTACATATAAAACACTCATTTTGTATTCAAAACAAATTTCTGAATCAATGGGAAGATAGCCAGTTACATCTCTAAAGTTTTTTTTGTTACATAAGCTATTCATTAACTTTCATACCTAACAGGAAGGAAAAAATTTAGACTGAGAATCTTTTATTCACAAAACCATAGCAGTTTGTATTTTCTAAGTAAGATTATGGTATAATAAAAAACAAATGGTTTTTGATCTAGGTTCTTAATACTGGCTCCTAAAACCCTTGGAATCTTCTGAGTGATAAGAATGTCTTTTGTATGCCAATGAGTGACTCAAGGTAGGGGTTCCTAGATAGCCAGCTCTAGGATACCGGCTGGTTGGCCAGAAAAACCCACCAGGTGATTGGAGTTAGAACTTTCAGTCCCCTCCCACCTCACCTCCCAGGAAGGGAGAAGGGCTGAGAGATTAGGCTCAATCACCAGTGACCAAAGACTTAATCACCGTTACTATGTAATGAAACCTTGATTTAAAAGAACCCCTAAACCATGGGGTTTGGGGAGCTTCCGGGTTGGTGCACAGGTAGAGATGCTGAGAGGGTGAAACATCGAAGAAGGCAAGGAGCTCTGAGTCACCCCCTACCCCTCATAACTTAATATACCTGTCTTCAATTTGGCTCCTCCTGAATTGTATCCTCTGTAATCAACCCATAAACGTAAGTAAAGCGTTTTTCTGAGCTCATGGGAACCCCTGAATTTGTAGTCTCCGTGGCAGAAGTGTAGGTAGCTTGAGCACTCTATTTGCAGCTGGTGTCCGAAGGGGCGGGTCTTGTGGAACTAATCTCTCTCTTTTTTTTTTTTTTTTTTTTTTTTTGAGACAGAGTCTCATTCTGTCGCCCAGGCTGGAGTGCAGTGGCGCAATCTCGGCTCACTGCAACCTCTGCCGCCCGGGTTCAAGCGATTCTCCTGCCTCAGCCTCCCGAGTAGCTGCGATTACAGGCGCCCACCACCACGCCCAGCTAATTTTTGTATTTTTAGTAGAGACGGGGTTTCACCATGTTGGCCAGGCAGGTCTTGAACTCCTGACCTCTTGATCCACCTGCCTCGGCCTCCGGAAGTGCTGGGATTACAGCCGTGAGCCACCACGCCCAACCCGGGACTAATCTCTTAACCTGTGGAGTCTGTGCTAACTCCCAATAGTCTTAGAATTGCATTGTTGGACACCAAGTTGGGGAGAATTGGAAAATTTGGTGTAGAAAATCCCCACACATTTGGTGCTAATAATGATGTCAGAAACGACAACATTATAAATACTATGGGAGTATTTAAATTTACCCAAGTGTCACTCAAAAAGCAAACAGCAAGCCAAGAGGCGGTGGCTCACGCCTGTAATCCCAGCACTTTGGGAGTCGGAGTCGGAGGTGGAGGCGGAGGCGGAGGCGGAGGCGGAGGCGGAGGAGGATGAATCACTTGAGGTCGGGAGTTTCAGACCAGCCTGGCCAACATGGTGAAACCGCGTCTCTACTAAAAATACAAAAACTTGCTGTGCGTGGTTACACGTGCCTGTAGTCCCAGCTACTCGGGAGGCAGAGGCAGAATTGCCTGAACTTGTGAGTGGGTGGTTGCAGTGTGCCCAGATCACGCCACTGCACTCCAGCCTGGGTGACAAAGCGAGACCCTGTTTCAAAAAATAAAAAAAAAAAATCACATAGCAGATTGAAAATTCTTGGCATATCCAACAGTCATTGTGAGAACTTTTTTTTTCTTTTTTGAGACGGAGTCTCGCACTGTCGCCCTGGCGGGAGTGCAGTGGCGTCATCTCGGCTCACTGCAAGCTCCGCCTCTCAGGTTCACGCCATTCTCCTGCCTCAGCCTCCCAAGTAGCTGGGACTACAGGTGCCTGCCAACACGCCCGGCTAATTTTTTGTGTTTTTAGTAGAGACGGGGTTTCACCGTGTTAGGCAGGATGGTCTCGATCTCCTGACCTTGTGATCCGCCCGTTTCGGCCTCCCAAAGTGCTGGGATTACAGGCGTGAGCCACTGCGCCCGGCCTTTTTTTTTTTTTTTTTAATGGAATCTCACTCTGTCGCCCAGGCTGGAGTGCAGTGGCATGATGTCAGCTCACTGCAACCTCCGCCTCCCAGGTTCAAGCGATTCTCCTGCCTCGGCCTTCAGAGTAGCTGGGATTCCAGGCATCCACCACCCGCTCAACTAATTTTTGTATTTTTAGTAGAGACAGGGTTTCGCCATGTTGGCCAAGCTGGTCTTGAACTCGCAACCAGGTGATCCACCCGCCTTGGCCTCCCAAAATGCTGGGATTACAGGAGTGAGCCGCTGCACCCGGCCGAGAACTTCTTATATGCTCACTTATTACCAATGGCTTAAGTTTCTTACTTTCCTTTCTTCTTTTTAAATAAACAGAGATGAGCTCTCCCTATGTTGCCCAGGCTGGTCTTGAACTCCTGATCTCAAAAGCACTCCTGCTGCCTCGGCCCCCCAGAGTGTTAGGATTATGGGCGTGAGCCACTGCACCCAGCCTCCTAATTATGTTTCAATAAAAATATGGCCGGGCACCTCTGTAATCCCAGCACTTCGGGAGGTCAAGGCGGGTGAAGCTCTTGAGCTCAGGAGTTCGAGACTAGCCTGGACAACATGGTGAAATCCCATCTTTACAAAAAAAAAAAAAAAAAAATTAGCCAGGTGTGGTGGTGCACGCCTGGGAGGATCGCTTGAGCCCAGGAGGTTGAGGCTGTAGTGAGTTGTGATTGCACCACTGCACTCCAGGCTGGGTGACAGAGCAAGACCCTGTCTGAAAAAAAAAAAGCCTATGCATTTTGTTCTACCTCCACTGTTTACTATTGGAGAATTGTTCTAAATAAATAAATGAAGTATAATCCCAAAGCTTCTGTTTAAAGATTAAGAGATCGTCAATGAAGTTTAAAAATAAAAATAAAGTCCAGGCCCAGTGGCTCACACCTGTAATCCCAACACTTTGGGAGGTAAGGCGGGTGGATCATGAGGTCAGGAGTAGGAGACCAGCCTGGCCAACATGGTGAAACCCTGTCTCTACTAAAAATACAAAAATTAGCTGGGTGTGGTGGCAGGAGCCTGTAATCCTAGCTACTCCGGAGGCTGAGGCAGGAGAATTGCTTGAACCGGTGAGGCAGCGGTTGCAGTGAGCCAAGATCGCACCACTGCACTCCAGCCTAGGCGACAGAGCAAGACTGCGTGTCAAAAATAAATAAATAAATAAATAAATAAATAAATAAAGCAAAAACTGAGATCATTGTTAATAAATGAACATATACAATTATATATGGTTAATAGGTACATATAGAGTACAGCAGTGCCCCCATGTCCTTGGTTTCATTTACTGAGGTTTCAGTTACCCATGGCCAACTGCAGTCTGAAAATATTAAATGGGAATTTCCAGAAAAAAATTTTTGTAAGTTTTAAATTGCCTGCCACTCTGCATAGCAGGATGAAATCTTGCACCATACAGCTCTGTCAATTCTTCTCATTGTGTAGGTATTTTGTTATTTCACATCATCACAAGAAGTGTGGGTACAGTACAATAAGATATTTTGAGAGAGAAACCATTCACATAAGTTGTATTACAGTATATTGTTATAATTGTTCTATTTTATTATTATGTATTGTTACTCTATTACTATGCCTAGTTTATAAATTAAACTTTATCATGGGAATGTATGTATATATAGTTTGGTACTATCCTCAGTTTCAGGCATCCACCGGGGTTCTTGGGACATATTCCCTGCAGGTAAGGAAAGATCACTGCATTATGTGGTATAATGAAATATATGTTTAGTCTTTGTCCCCAGTTCCTAGCCCAAATCATCTAAAACCATTGGAATTTCCTGAGTGATAGTAGCTTTTGTTATTCATTACAAGCGCCTTCAATCACACCTCAGTATATGCTAACAAGGTGACTCAGGGTGGGGCCTCTCGATAGCTTCAGGATAAGAGCTGGTCTTTGGAAAAACCAAATACTTGATTAGAGGGTTGGAACTTTCAGTCCCCATCCTCCCCAACCTTGGACCTCCAGGGAGGAGACCGGGCCATGAGCCATGGTGACTCAGGCTTGTAATCCCACCACTTTGAGAGGCCTCAGTGGGAGGATCTCTTGAGGCCAGTAGTTTGAGACCAGCCTGGGTAACATGACAGGACCTTATCTCTACAAAAAAAATAAAAAAAATTAGCCAGGGGTGGTGGTGTGCACTTGTAGTCCCAGCTACTCAGGAGGCTGAAGTGGGAGGATCTGATGGCTTGAGGCCAAGAGGTTGAGGCTACAGTGAGCCTGATTGCACCACTGCACTCCAGCCTGGGTAACAGAGTGAGACCCTGTCTCAAAAAAAAACTCAACAGATTGAGGTGGAAGGATTCCTTGAGGCCAGAAATTCGAGACCAGAGACCAGTCTGGGCAACACGGTGAGACCCTGTCTCTACACCTTTTTTTTTTTTTTTTTCTGAGACGGAGTCTCACTCTGTCACCTAGGCTGGAGTGCAGTGGCATGATCTTGACTCACTAAAACCTCTGCCTCCTGGGTTCAAGCGATTCTCCTGTCTCAGCCTCCTGAGTAGCTGGGATTACAGGCACCCACCACCACGCCCGGCTAATTTTTGTATTTTTAGTAGAGATGGGGTTTCGCCATGTTGGTCAGACTGGTCTTGAACTCCTGGACTCAAATGATCTGCCCGCCTCGGTCTCCCAAAGTGCTGGGATTACAGGCATGAATCACTGCACCCGGCCTATTTTTACTTTTTAAAAAATTTCCTCCTTCTGAGGCAAGAGTGATATTTTTTCATTTTTAGTGATAAACCAGTTGTAAATTTAAATTCTTTAACTCTTAGTTTTGAGGACATTTGTGAATCTATAGTTGCTATGGAGACCAGAAGATGGGTTTCCTTTTGTTGAATCTAATGTTAGATGAAGGATGGAAACTTAAACAACAACAACAACAAAATATATATATATATATATATATATATATATATATATATATATATATATATATATTAATGACAAGGTCCTGCTATATTGCCCAGCTAGAGTGCACAGGCTATTCACAGCTGAGATCCCATTACTGATCAGCACAGGAGTTTTGACCTGCTACATTTCTTTTTGTTGTTGTTTTGTTTTGTTTTGTGATGGAGTCTCACTCTGTCGCCCAAGCTGGAGTGCAGTGGCTCATTCTTGGCTCACTGCAAACTCCACCTCCCGGATTCAAGCAATTCTCGTGCCTCAGCCTCCCAAGTAGCTGGGATTATAGGCGGGCACCATCACATCCAGCTAATTTTTTTATTTTTAGTAGAGACGGGGCTTCACCATGTTGGCTCTGCTGGTCTTGAACTCCTGATGTCAAGTGATCACCCCTCCTTGCCTCCCAAAATGCTGGGATTACAGACATGAGCTACGGTGCCCGGCCAACCTGATCCGTTTCTGACCTGGGTTGGTTCCTCCCTCCTTAGGCAACCCGGTGATCCCCCAATCACTGTGAAGGATGGAAATGTTAAAATGTCTCCAAAGTATGTTCTTGTGATAGCCTGATTTAAATGAAAAATGCATGCTACCTGAAACTCTTTGATGATTTTTTAAAAAATCATAATTACGAGTATTTCCATATGTCATAGAATAGCCTCATAATATCCTAGTCTTCAGCCACTTTCTTTTTTTTTTTTTTTGAGATGGAGTCTCAGTCTGTCGCCCAGGCTGGAATGCAGTGGTGTAATCCTGGCTCACTGCAACCTCCGCCTCCCAGATTCAAGCAATTCTCCTGCCTCAGCCTCCCGAGTAGCTGTGATTACAGGCACCCACCACCACACCTGGCTCATTTTTGTATTTTTAGTAGAGACGGGGTTCACCATGTTGGCCAGGCTGGTCTCAAACTCCTGATCTCAGGCGATCCGCCCACCCCGGCCTCCCAAAATACTGGGATTACAGGCGTGAGCCACTGCGCCCAGCCCACTTTCTTTTCCATATTTTTGAAGCTACTTTCCCCTACCATTTTTCTGTCATACACCCCTGGCAAATCTCAATGCTACTACCTCATTTCTCCACAAACAGTCACCAATTTCTGTGTCTTCACTGTCTCAAGTATGTCTTACTAAATGCACATTTCCAATCAGCTTGTTCTGTTCTCTGTAATAATTATTTAGAAAAATTTCCACTCTCTCCTAACCTCCTTCCTGTCCTTCTTTCCCATCTTTAGCCTAGACTGTATTTTGAACTGGTTAATCAACTTCTTATTCAAAATCTCCACCTAGATATCTTACAGAATATTCAAAACTGAAATAATGATCTTCAACCTTCTAAGACTGATTCCCTTTCAGTAAATGGTGCCATTCTCCAAATGCTCAATGCAACCCAGACCATCTTTACATCTAATCTAATACCAAATCCTAGTGGGGAGGTCTACCTCCCAAATAAACCCATTCTCCATATTCTCCATTTTTGCAGCCATTTCAAGTTAAAAAAAAAAGAAAACAAAAATAACAGAAAACAAAAGAAACTTCAAATCTGGTCTTTTTACTTTCCCCACCCCCTTAATTCAAATCTAATTTGCCAGAGTCATTAAAACCCAGGCAGGGCCTGGTGCAGTGGCTCACGTCTGTAATCCCAGCATTTTGGGAGGCCAAAGCAGGCGAATCATTTGAGGTCAGGAGTTCAAGACCAGCCTAACCAACATGATAAAACCCCATCTCTACTAAAAATACAAAAAAAATTAGCTGGGCGTGGTTGCACATGCCTGTGGTCCCAGCTACTTGGGAGGCTGAGGCAGGAGAATAGCTTGAACCCAGGAGGTGGAGTTTGCAGTGAGCCATGATCATGTCATTGCCCTCCAGCCTGGGTGACAGAGCAAGACCCTGTCTCAAAAAAAAAAAAAAAACAAAAGGCAGGATCGAAGGGTAATTTACTCAATGATAATATACTTTAAAAGTTTTTGATACTTTGCACTTATGGTACATACTGTCTAGTGCAGGAAATAGACATTAAATATACCACTGGCTATACAGTTGTAATTAGTGCTATTTAATTAGGTTGTAATAAGAGTGTTTAACAGGAAGACCTAATCCAGTGGAGGCCCCCTTGAGGAAATGACTTCAGCCTGAGAGTTGAGGAATCAGTGTGGGATCGGAGGAAGGATGAAAGAGCCAATTGTAGAAGCCCAGAGACAAAGGATAGGGTCCTGGAAAGAGCTGAAAGGTCACTGGCTGAAGATGGGGGCACTACTGAAGGTGTAGTTGGAGCTGAAGGCATGTAGGACTTTTTAGCTCATCTTAAGGGGTTTGCTTTTTATCCTAAAAATAATGGAAAGTAATTGAAAGGTTTTAAGGGTGGTAACATGATGAGATTTAGCTTTTTGTTTGTTTGTTTGAGATGCAGTCTCGCCCTGTTGCCCAGGCTGGAGTGCAGTGGCACGATCTCGGCTCACTGCAACCTCCACCTCCCAGGTTCAAGCGATGCTCCTGCCTCAGACTCCTGAGTAGCTGGGATTACAGACCCGTGCCACCACGCCCAGCTAATTTTTGTATTTTTAGTAGAGACAGGGTTTCACCATGTTGGTCAGGCTGGTCTCGAACTCCTGACCTAGTGATCCACCCCTTCCCACCCCCACCCCCAGCCTCCCAAAGTGCTGGGATTACAGGCATGAACCACCGAGCCCAGCCTGAGATTAAGCTTTTTAAAAGATGGTTCAGAAGGCAATGTGGTGGTCTGCACCTACAGTACCTGGAGAGGCTGAGGTAGGAGGATGCTTGAGCTCAGGAGTTCGAGACTACCTTGAGTTATGATTGCATTGCTTCATTCCAGCCTGGGCCACAGAGCAAGACTCAATCTCAAAAAAATCACTCAATCTTCTTTACCTAGAGTGTACATGTCTCCCTGCCACTAATTCTCAAGAGGAAGGTCAAAAAGTTGATAGTTGGGGCAAAATTTGTACTGAGTCATTCCTCTCTTTCATTTCCCTTGACTTCTTTCAGATTTTTCATGATGTGAGAGTCACACCCTAAGTCTGTACCCATCTACTCTTTTCCTGAACAATAAGATAATCTCTATATCTAATCTCTAATCTATTAGAGTTTCACGTTGTTGCTCTGGCTGGCCTTGAAACCTTGGGATTAAGTGAGCCTTCCGCTTTAACCTCCCCAGTAACGGGCATTGCAGGCGCCTGCAGCCACACCATTAATACTACTTTAAACAGCAAAAACAAGAACACGAAAATTAAATCTAAACAAAAAGTGCTTGCCAATCCAGGTATTTATGTGACGTCTAGTAAGTAGATCAAGTGCGTTGCTTTCTTGTGAACACTTGGTTCTTTCCTGCCACATCAAAGTGATTGAATTAAGACGTGTCAAGCTGTTAATGGCCCCCAGACTTCCGCTTCAGGAAACTGGAGATCGATGGTTTTTTGGCCGGATTTGCGAGCAGCTTGTCAGCTGTTTTTGCCCTCCCCTTCCCATCCATCCACTGCGAATGAGTATTAGGAATTCAGAAGCGTTGTTTGCTATTTGATCCTAAGGGAAACTACTGTACTAAATATATTCTTCTGATACATGTTAGCACCTCTAAAGTATCTGCAAACCATCAAGAGGTAGTTGCGAAGACTCAAAATCCTAAATCACGCACTCATCAGTACGCAGCTGTTGCGAAACAGCTCTTAAATTGCCACTTTAAACCCAAAGAGAGTATGTCTCTAGCCTCAGCTGCTACCTAATATTGATCAAGCACTCACTACGTGCAAGAGACAGGAACTGTGGAGAAGGCTGGGGAAAAAAGCGTGAAAACCACGAAAACATCAGAAGCCAAAACTCAAGAACCTCTACTAGGCTAACTGATTAGTGAAAACGTCGTGTTAACAGCAAACGCCTTGAGTGTAGCGCTCCTACTCCTAACCCCCGGCTCTCTACACGGCAATCACCCGAACCCACTCTGCCTGCCCTAACAGGCCTGAGCTGCCCGGCTCAGACTCCTACACCTTTTTTGCACCGCCCGGGGCTGGGTGTGGTCACGTGACAGGTTCAGACCAATGGGCAGGCCGCCCGCGGGGGGTCTTCTATAAAAGCGCCTGTCGCGCGACCGCCATTACAACAAAAACTGGCGGCGAGGAACTGCGGAGAACTGTTGCCCTGCACCGCTTCATTTTGTGCAGCCTGAAAGGGGCAATCACATAAGGTCGGTTTTGTAATATACAGGTAACATACAGGTAATGTACCCTCCACAGGGGGTGCTGCCTTAGGCCGGCCCCGAGGTGCGGCCTTGGGTGGGAACAACCGTTTTTTCCCCCCTCTCCCCTCCCCGACCCCATCAACATCGTGCGACAGTCCGGGCAGTTGAGAAGGCCACCCCGCTTCGTGCCTGCAGCCCAGGTGAGTTGCCAGTCGCTTCCCTTTGGCCTTACCAACTTCAGGCTCGTTGCCCCCAAGGGATCTTTTTCTCTCTCTCCCTCTTTTCCCCTAAATGTCTGGTTTTTCTTCAAGGGAGGGCTGGGAAGGAGGAGGTTGGGGCGAGGGAGTGGGAGGTCCAGTTGTCCAACTGCCTCCTCCCATTTTGAAAAATACTCATGGTCTTTGTAGTTCCTCTTAGGTCTTGGACTGGTGTGGATCGCTGCTGCCTGTACTGTAATTTTGGAAATGCAGGAGAAAGTACGGAGCGTTTAGCTTTAGCTGGCATTTTGTGTTTATTCTGCAAGTGGTCATTTGGGACGGGGAAGTTCGGGTTCTTGCTTCATTTATTTATTCAATTAACTTTATTAAGCCCCTGGAACGTCTGAACCCTCTTTTGGGTACTGCAGGATTGTGGTGGGCTTTACTTCAAGGCGCGCTGGCCTGTATTAAGAATTAAGATAGAGGAGGCCGGGTGCAGTGGCTCGCCCCTGTAATCTCAGCACTTTCGGAGGCCGAGGCAAGTGGATCACCTGAGGTCAGGAGTTCAAGACCAGCCTGGCCAACATAATGAAATGCCCATCTCTACCAAAAATACAAAAATTAGCTGGGTGTGATGGCAGGCGCCTGTAGTCCCAGCTACTCGGGAGGCTGAGGCAGGAGAATCGCTTGAACCCAGGAGGCGGAAGTTGCAGTGCGCCGAGATCACGCCAGTGCACTCCAGCCTGGGCGACAGAGTGAGACTCCGTCTCCCCGCTCCCCCCAAAAAAGAAAGAGGTATGTACAGGGACTTTGGGACTCAAGGGAAAGGCCTGGGTGGATGGGAGGGAATGAGAGAGGCTCTTGGGCAGAAGTGATAACTCGTCTTGATCTTGAGGGACAAATAGAAGTTAGACTAAAAAGTGAGGAGGGAAGTTCAGGTAAAGAGAAGTTTCTCAAAGGCATGGATGTATGTACACCGAGTAGGATGTGACAGTGGATAATTGCTTTTTTTTTTTTTTTTTTTTTTTTAATACAGATAGCTGCTATGGCTGGGCGATCTCAGAGGATCGCCTGAGTCGCTCACGCCTGTAATCCCAGCACTTAGGAGGCCGAGGCGGGTGGATCACCTGAGGTCAGGAGTTTGAGACCAGCCTGGCCGACATGGCGAAACCCCATCTCTACTAAAAATAGAAAAATTAGCCGGGCATGGTGGTGGGTGCCTGTAGTCCTAGCTAGTTGGGAGGCTGAGGCAGGAGAATGGCTTGAACCCAGGAGGAAGTGGATGTGGCAGTGAGCTGAGATCGGGCCACTGCACTCTAGCCTGGATGACAGTGAGACTCCGTCTCAAAAAAAAAAAAAGAGATGGTCCTGCTGTGTTGCCCAGGTTGGAGTATTGACAGGCACTGTCATGGCCAACTACAGCCTGAACTGACCTCAAGCGATTCTTCTGCCTAAGCCTACTGGCTAGCTAGTACTACAGATACCCTGCCTCACTGTCGCTGACCGTGTTGGGAATTGGTGAAGTAGCAAGAGATGAGTCTAGTAAGGGGGCAGATTATAAAGGGGTTTGTATAGCATGAAGGACAGTGAGTTGAACTGTATGATCTTAAGCAACACCATTGCATAATTTATGTGGTGACTAGTGATTGAATAAAAGCAGTGGTTTATTGGATGGAGAATAGGAAAACAGTAAGTATCTCGAATATTTAAATTATATTCAGCAGTCATTTGTGCCCATGTATTTGATACTTTGAAGTGGCTGAGATTGGCATAAGGCGGGGCGGCAGGGTGGCGGGGGGGCGTGTATAGATGGAATTAAAAAAAAAGAAAAAAAAGGCTGGGCGCGGTGGCTCACGCCTGTAATCCCAGCACTTTGGGAGTCAGGAGTTGAAGACCAGCCTGGCCAACATGGTGAAACCCCGTCTCTACTAAAAATACAAAAAAATTAGCCGGGCGTGGTGGCACGCGCCTGTAATCCCAGCTACTCCAGAGGGTGAAGCAGAGAATTGCTTAAACCTGGAGGGGCGGAGGTTGCAGTGAGCTGAGATCACACCACTGCACTCCAGCCTGGGCGACAGAGTGAGACTCCAAAGTGGGGAAGGTGAGGTGGCTCAGGCCTGTAATCCCAGCACTTTGGCAAGTTGAGTTGGGCAGCCAGGAGTTCAAGACAAGCCTGGCCAACATGGCGAAACCCCATCTCTACTAAAAATACAAAAAAAATTAGCCAGGCGCAGTGGCTCATGCCTGTAATCTCAGCACTTTGGGAGGCCAAGGTCAGAGGATCGCCTGAGTTCAGGAGTTTGAGACCAGCCTGGGCAATATAGTGAGACCCTATCTCTATAAAAAATACAAAAAACTCTGCAAAGAGACTGTATCCCCAAATTCTAACTCAATGCTTTGGCACCATTTGTAGGTGCTTTATGTTAGTACATATTCAATAAATGAACAAATAGAATTTGGAAAATGGTATCCTGGAAACCAGAAGAGCATTTTAAGAATCATAATAGTTCAGTGCAGATGTTCCTGGGAGGTCAAGTTAAGAGTCAAAAATAATTCATTAGATTTAACAATTTAGCATGGTAAGTGTTAATCTTAGTGTAAGGGGAGTTTTAGAGGAATGTTGGGGGAAAAGCCAAGTGTGATGTAGGCTGTAAAGACAGTGGGTGGAGAGAGAGGCCACAGGATCATGCTGAAGGGCTTAATTGAAGCTCTCTGGCTTCCTCTGCAGTCTGGCAGGTGCACTGGCCAGAAAGGGGCTCTTCGGCTGAATGCTATGAGTCCGCTTCAGTAAGAGAAGAAAGGTGGAAAATGCTCTGGGATGAGGTATGGAAGAAAAGATTGAGGCCATAAGAAAATGATAGGATTAAGGGAAGAATTTTAAAGGAGACTGACAAAGTTTATATGGAGGGAAGCTAGTAGATAAATGTCGAAGATACAGAAAAGATGGACCAGGCCATCTGTTGAAGATACAGAAAAGATAAACCAGCACAACGGTTCATGCCTGTGATCGTAGCACTTGGGGAGCTTGAGGCAGGCGGAGGAGTGCTTGAGCCCAGGAGTTCAAGACCAGCCTGGGTAACGTAGTGAGACCCATCTCCAAAAAAAAAAAAAAAAAAAAAGAGGGACCAAGGGCCTTCCAGGGGTGATGGGGGAGTGTTATCTAGAGTCCCTGGGAAAAGAGTTCTAGATAGAAAAAGTGCCTCATCCTTAGACTGAAGGGAGAAGCAAATGAGAAGATTGAGTCATTGTAAGGAATATTGTAATTCATTTCTTTTTTTCTTTATTATTATACTTTAAGTTCTAGGGTACATGTGCACAACGTGCAGGTTTGTTACATATGTATACATGTGCCGTGTTGGTGTGCTGCACCCATTAACTCATCATTTACATTAGATATTTCTCCTAATGCTATCCCTCCCCCCTCCCTCCACCCCAACATTGTAAATCATTTCTATGAATTACCTCTGGCCCAAATTGAAGCCTGATCTAAGTTTGCAGAAACTATTTTCTCCCTTGGACTGGAGACTGCTCATTTGATGGTGTAGGATTTGGAATTAGTGTATAAGCTCATCAAGGGCCAGGTTACTTTTGACCTCCAGAATCCAAGCTCTTTAGTTCTATGCTGTGCTGTTTCCTGAGATTGAAGTATGCACTTAGGGCAACACAATTTAATAACTGATTACAGTTAGTAATCACTGAGGGAATTCAAAAATTTGTCAGCTGGGTGTTGTGGCTCACGCCTGTAATCCCAGCTCTTTGGGAGGCTGAGGCAGGAGGATTGCTTGAGCCCAGGAGTTCAAGACCAGCCCGGCCAATATGGTGAAACCCCGTCTCTACTAAAAATACAAAAATTAGCCAGGTATGATGGCGGGTGCCTGTAATCCCAGCTTCTTGGGAGGCTGAGGCAGGAGAATCGCTTGAACCTGGGAGGCAGAGGTTCCAGTGAGCCAAGTTCATGCCACTGCATTCCAGCCTGGGTGACAGCAAGAAAAAGATTCTTTTCAGAGTTCCCAAGGTTATTTTGAGAGTTATTGAGTGGGCAAGAGACGTGGTTTTCAGGCAATTTATTCATTCAACCATAGACTGATGTAACAAGGGGATGCTACACTATTGTGTGATTGTCTTCAACAAAGTGAACTGAACTTTTCATTATCATTTATGATACATTGTTTTTGAACAGTTGTAATGAGTGGTTACTATGTAACATTGAATTCTTGACATTAGATTTCATCTGCTCATGATACATTTTTTTTTTTACTTAGCATTTTCTTCTCCTACCTGTTTTTTTTGTTTGTTTTGTTTTGTTTTTTGAGACAGAGTCTCCCTCTGTTGCCCAGGCTAGAGTACAGTGGCATGATCTCAGCTCACTGCAACCTCCCCCTCCGGGATTCAAGCAATTCTCCTGCCTCAGCCTCCCAAGTAGCTGGGACTACAGGCATGTGACACCACACCTGGCAAATTTTTGTATTTTTAGTAGAGACAGGGTTTCACCATGTTGCTCAGGCTGGTCTTAAACTCCTGACTTCAGGTAATCCATTTGCCTTGGCCTCCCAAAGTGCTGAGATTTTAGGTGCGAGCCACGGTGCTCGGCATTTTTTTTTTTTTTTTTTTTTTTTTTGAGGCAAGTTCTCACTCTGTCACCTAGGCTGGAGTGCATTGGTGCAATCATGGCTCACTGCAGCCTCGACTTCATGAGCTCAAGTGATCCCCCCACCTCTGCCTCCAGAGTAGCTGGGACTACAGGTGTGCTCCATGATGCCCAGTTATTTTTTGTATTTTGTGTAGACACAAGATCTCACTCTGTTGCCCAAGATGGTCTCAAACTCCTGGGCTCAAGTGTTCTTCCCACCTTGGCCTCTCAAAGTGTTGGGTTTACAGACATGAGCCACCGTGTATGACCCATCTTTCTAGAGATATATCCACAGGTAAAAAATGTTTTGAAAGCGGAAATAACAAAATGACAACTCACTATAAACATTAGAAGCAATAGTGGAGGCTGGGTGTGATGGCTCACGCCTGTAATCCCAGCACTTTGGGAGGCTGAGGTGGGAGGATCACTTGAGAACCAAGAGTTTAATAAGACCAGCTTGAGCAGCATGGTGAACCCTCATCTCTACTAAAAAAATTAAAAAAATTAGCCAGGTGTGGTGGCATGCAGCTGTAGTCCCAGCTACTTGGGAGGCTGATGTGGGAGGATGGCTTGAGCCCGAGATCGAGGCTTCAGTGAGCAGTGATCATGCCACTGCACTCCAGCCTGGGTGACAAAGCAAGACCCTGTCTGAACAAAACAAAAAAACAGTGGACTTTCACTTAGATGGGTTAGACTGCAGATTATAGTTGCCAGTATAATGGTAACTCTGTACTTTTTTCCCCTCCTTAAGGTGGCATATTGGAATGTGAGTGTAAGTGCTTTTTAGAGAGAACCTTAAATTAACCAGCATGTTTACTTCTGACACTAGACAAGTGGTTAGGACCCACCATTAACATGAAAATTGTCTGGGTGCGGTGGCTCAATCCTGTAATCCCAGCGCTTTGGGAGGCTGAGGCAGGTGGATCACTTGAGGTCAGAAGTTCAAGACAGCCTGGCCAACATGAAATCCCATCTCTACTAAAAATACAAAAATTAGCTGGGTGTAGTGTAATGCCTCCCTGTAATCCCAGCTACTAGGGAGGCTGAGGCAGAAGAATCGCTTGAACCCGGGAGGCAGAGGTTGCAGTGAGCTGAGATTGCTCCATGGCACTCCAGCCTGGGAGACAGAGTGAGACTCCATCTTAAAAACAAAACAAAACAACAACAAAAACCTCTTTTGGGTTCTTTTGTAGGACTCTTGTGGTGGCTTCTGTTTATTATTAAAAATTAAGAGCTAAAATTAAAGGCTTTAGGGAAAGTGAAATAGTAAAATTGACAGCTGTCTAGCATAGAAATTTGCAAAGTATCATAAAAAGCCACATAAGCCCATTTTTAAACGTTTAAAAGAAACAGAAGATTAAAGTAATTGAAACAGTAAGATGGGTAATGACAGTGGATACATTATAAAAGGGAAAATTTTTAGTCATATATTGCTGGACAGTGAGCTTCACTTCACATTAGAAACCAGGGCCTCCAGCCAAGAAATGCAGAGAGTTCACCACTGAGAAGATAATCAGATTATCAAATATTAGCTATTGTTTTGCCCAGTGACAATGATATCAGAATTATTTGTTAATGTTTGGTGCATTCATGTTCAGGCCATCTGTGGCCCTCAATTACAGTGTATTTAAGGCTGTTATTAAAATTTTCAAGTGTACAGAAAGGTAAAATAGTACAAAAAAACTATATCAGCAATTGTCAACATTTTGCCATATTTGCTTTTCTATATAGCCTTCCCACAGGCCTTTTAAAGATATATTACAGATATGACTTCACAAGTTTTTTTGAGCAACACTTAACATTTCTTCCTGTATACCTTGCTATTACATCTATCAAGATGAACAATCCCCTAGATTTCCCTAGTTGTCTCAAAATGTTATGACCGATCTTTTTCTTTTTTTCTTTTGCCACCTTTCTGGCTGGAAATATGGCTGATGTTTTAAAACCAAGATTTGGTATAGAATAACCAATTGAGTTTGGTTATCATGGTTCTTCCTGCCCCCCCCCACCCCCTGCCTGCTTTTCCTGAGTTGTATGTCATGGATCTTAATGTAGAGTCATTTTTCTTATTTTCTGTAATGACCTTGACTTTTGTAAAATAGGCCATTTTAGCACTGTCCCTTAGAACTTTTCTGCCATGATGGCAGTGTTCTATATCTGCATTGTCTCATACAGTAGCTCCTAGCCACATGTGGCTATTAAGCACTTGAAATGTGGCTAAGTTTTTAATTCTATTAAGTTTTGGGTAATTTAAATTGTTATGGTTAACTAGGGGCCATCATACAGCACAGCTCTAAGTCCCTGAATTTTCTGTAAAACAAAAGTTATATCTAAAAGCTTGATTAGGCTGGCATGGTGTCTCACATCTGTAATCCCCAGCGCTTTTGGGAGGCTGAGGTGAGAGGATGACTTGAAGCCAGGAATTTGAGACCAGTCTGGGAAACATAGTGAGACTCTGGCTCCCCCCCTTTCCTGAAAAAATAATTAACCAGGCATGGTGATATGTACCTGTAGTCCTACTCAGGAAACTGAGGGAGGAGGATTGCTTGCGCCCAGGAGTTCAAGATTGCAGTGAGCCATGATTGAGCCACTGCACCCCTGCTTGGGTGACAGAGCAAGACCCTGTCTCCAAAAAATTTTTAAAAATAGAAATAAAATCTTGATTACATTCAATTGTTCACATTTTTGGCAAAAAGGCTTTATAGGTAATTTATAGGTACTATGTACTTAGCCATGTTAAATACTACAGAGAAGTCTAGGAAGGTAACTGAGGAAGGCCAGTGAGGGATATGGAATTATGGAATGTTTTACAGTATTTATGATTTGTGGGACAGCAAAAACTTTTGTGTTAGCGCTGAACATGGAGAGGATTTGTATGTGTGTTTTAATAGATTTTATTTTTGGCCGGGGGCAGTGGCTCATGCCTGTAATCCCAGTACTTTGGGAGGCCGAGGCAGGCGGATCACGAGGTCAGGAGATGGAGACCATCCTGGCTAACACGGTGAAACCCTGTCTCTACTAAAAATACAAAAAACTAGCTGGGTGTGGTGGCGGGCGCCTGTAGTCCCAGCTACTCTGGAGGCTGAGGCAGGAGAATGGCTTGAATCTGGGAGGCGGAGCTTGGACTGAGCCGAGATTGCACCACTGCACTCCAGCCTGGGCGACAGAGCGAGACTCCATCTCAAAAAAAAAAAAATTTTATGTTTTTGAGGAGTTTAGGTTCACAGCAAAACTGAGCAGTAAATAGTGTTCCCATCTACCCCGTTTCAACACTAGTACAGCACCAGAGTGGTACGTTTGTTACAATCAATGAACCTACATTGACACATCACCCAACATTAATAGTTTCCATAGTTTCTGTTTTGGTGTACATTCCATGAGTTTTGACAAATGGATCTACCGTTATACTATCATACAAGGTAGTCTCACTTCCCTGAATATCCTCTGTGCTCTGCCTATTCCCTCCTCCCCAAACCCCTAGCAACTGCTGATCTTTTTACTATCTCTATAGTTTTGTGTTTTTTTGTTGTTTTTTGTTTTTGTTTTTGTTTTTGAGAGAGTCTTGCTGTGTCACCCAGGCTGGAGTTTAGTAGGGCCATCTTGGCTCACAACCTTCACCTCCCAGATTAAAGCAATTCTTGTGCCTCAGCCTCCAAGCAGCTGGGATTACTGGCAATGTGCCACATTGCCTGGCTAACTTTTGTATTTTTATCAGAGACAGGGAAGTCTCACCATGTTGGCCAGGCTGGTCTCGAGCTCCCGACCTCAAATGATCCACCTGCCTCGGCCTTCCAAAGCGCTGGGATTACAGGCGCGAGCCGCCATGCCTGGCCAAGTTTTGCCTTTTTTTGAGAACGACATTCAGGCTTTCACGATGTCTTTTCATGACTTGATAACTCATGCCCTTTTTTTTTTTTTTTTTTTTAAAAGGAGTCTCACTCTGTCACCTAGGCTGGAGTCCAGTGGTGGGATCTCAGTTCACTGCAACCTTTGTCTCCAGGGTTCAAGCGATTCTCATGCCTCGGCCTCCTGAGTAGCTGGGATTACAAGCGTTCACTGCCATGCCCGGCTAGTTTTCGTGTTTTTAGTAGAGATGGGTTTTCACCATATTGCCCAGGCTGGTCTTGAACTCCTGATCTTGGGTGGTCTACCCACCTTCACCTCCCAAAGTGTTGGGATTACAGGTGTGAGCCACCACGCCCAGCCGATAGCTCATTTCTTTTTAGTGCTGAATAATATTTCATTGCATGAATGTAGTAGAGTGTATTTACCCTTTCACCTACTTAAGGACATCTTAGTTATTTTCAAGTTTTGGCAATTATGAATAAAGCTGCTATAAACATCCTGTGTAAGTTTTTTGTGTGGCAAGGTATTTTTTTTAAAAAATCAAGGCTGGGGGAATGTCTGTAGCCAAAGATACCAGTGGAAAGTAATTCTAGATAAAAAATTAAATGTAGAAAATGAGGCGGGGAACCGTGGGCTTACCTGTAATTCCAGCACTTTGGGAGGCCAAGGAGGGCAGATTGCTTGAGCTCAGTAGTTCGAGACCAGCCTGGGTGACATGGCAAAACCCCATCTATACAAAAAAAATGAGCTGGATATTGTGGTATGTACCTATAGTCCCAGATAATCAGGAGGCTGAGGTGGGAGAGTCGTTTGAGCCCAGGAGTTTGAGGCTGCAGTGAGCCAAGATCATACTGTTGCACTCCAGCCTGGGAGACAGTAAGACCCTGACTCAAAAAAAAGTAGAAAATGAAACCATGAGACTGCAGAAAGTATATTGTGTAATAAATACACATATATATATTTTTGAGCCAAGATCGCGCCACTGCATTCCAGCCTGGGCGATGGAGTGAGATGCCATCTCAAAAAACAAACAAAAACGTAATACATAGTAAATAATACTATATGTAAAGTTCAAAAATGGTCACAGCTTGGTCTGTAGTGATTGGAGTGGTTAACCTTTGTGGATGAGGGAGGTTACAGTGACAGGGGCACCTAAAAAGTAGGTTAGCTTTAAATAATTACAAAGCCAGGATAAGAGCCAGTTTAGTTGTGACATCCTAGAATAGCTCCATCTTTGTTCTTACGATTTTTCTCTTTTTCTTTCTTTTTTTTTTTTTTTTTATTTTACAGGTGAGGTCTCACTGTGTTGCCCAGGCTGGTCTTGAACTCCTGAGCTCTTTTTTGAGACAGGGTCTTGCTGTGTCACCCAGGCTGGAGTGCAGTGGCACAATCTGAGCTCATTGCAGCCTCTACCTCCCGGGTTCAAGTGGTCCTTCCACTTCAGCCTCCCGAGTAGCTGGGACTACAGATGTGCACCACCACGCCTGACTGATTTTTGTATTTTTTGCAGAGATGGGGGGTTTCATCTTGTTGTCCAGTCTGGTATTGAACTCCTGCCCTCAAGCCATCTGCCCTCCTCAGCCTACCAAAGTTCTGGGATTACAGGCATGAGCCACAGCACCCAGCCTATGACTTTTATTAAGTGCTATATTTCCATATATGTGTAACATGAAAATCGTGAAAGTAGAAGATTGATAACCACCTTCAATTCATTTTAATGTAGTAGTACTCAATCTTGGCCGCACATCAGAAGTAACAGGGAACTTTTAAAAAACCAACAAAACTGATTCCCAGGCGCTCTCTCCAGAGATTGGGACCTGAGCATTGGTATTTTTAAAGACCCACAGCTCCTCATACCTATTAGGATGGCTAGTATTAAAACAAAACAAAAAATTACTATTGGCAAGGGTGTGGAGAAATTGAACTCTTGTACGTTGTTAGTGGGAATGTGAAATCATGTATTGACCATGGAAAATGGGATGGGCTTCCTCAAAAAATTAGAAATATAATTGCCATATGATCTAGCAATTCCACTTGTGTATATATATCCAAAAGAATTGAAAGCAGGGTCCTGAGACACTTGTAAACCCATGTTCATAGCAGCAGTATTCACAATATAGTCAAGAAGTGGAAGCAACCCAAGTGGCATCAATGAATGAATGGATAAAGAAAATGATAGACATACGATGGAATATTATTTAGCCTTAAAAGGAAGGGAAATTCTAACACACGCTACAACATGGATGAATCTTGAGGGCTTTGTATTAGGAAAAATAAACCAATCACAAAAAAGATAAATATGATTTGTCACTTTAATGAAGCATTTAGGGTAGTCAAATTCATGGCAACAGAAAGCAGAATGGTGGTTGCCAGGTACAGCAGGGACAGAAGAATGAGGATTTGTTGGTTAATGCACATAGAGTTTCTGTTTTGCAAGATGGAAAAGTTCTAGAGATTGGTTTCACAAAAAACATGAATATACTTAACACTGCTGAACTGTACACTTAAAAAGAGTATGGTAAATTTTGGTATGTTTTACGCCACAGTTCAAAAATATAAGTGATTAATATGCAACAGGAGGTGAGAACTAATACTACTTTAATGCAGACAAAGATAATATTGGCTAAGTGTTAACACTGGTCTCTAAAAATGGGCAACTTATTTCATTTTCATTTTGCTTATGTACTTGAGGTATTATGTGCACGTTGGTAGTACCTTTATTATCCTTAAAGTAATGATGCTGTCTAGGAATATTAAATACCGTCTTTCTGAAACACCTATGAAATTTAAAATATTTTATTCTAGATGTAGCAATATGTGCCACAGAGTAACATTTTAATCTAATAAATTCGGTTTTAAAATAAATCACTTTGGGTCGGGTGCAGTGGCTCACGCCTGTAATCCCAGCACTTTGGGAGGTCGAGGAGGGTGGATCACCTGAGGTCAGGAGTTCCAGACCAGCTTGGCCAATGTAGTGAAACCCTGCCTGTACTAAAAATACAAAAATTAGCTGGGCGTGGTGGCAGGTGCCTGTAATCCCAGCTACTCAGGAAGCTGAGGCAGGAGAATCACTTGAAGCCAGCAGGCGGAAGTTGCAGTGAGTGGAAATTGTGCCACTGCACTCCAGTCTGGGCGGTAGAGTGAGACTCCATCTCAAAAAATAAAAACAGAAAAATAAAATAAAATCACTTTGGCTGGGCATAGTGGCTCAAGGCTGTAATCTCAGCACCTTGGGAGGCTGAGGTGTGTGGATCACCTGAGGTCAGGTTTTTGAGACCAGCCGGGCCAACATGTTGAAACCCTGTCTCTACAAAAAAATACAAAAATTAGCTGCATGGTGTCATGCATCTGTAGTCGCAGCTACTTGGGAGGCTGAGGCTAGAGAATCGCTTGAACCTGGGAGGCAAACATTACAGTGGGCCGAGATCGCGCCATTGCACTCCAGCCTGGGCAACAGAATGAGACTCCATCTCAGAGAGAGAGAGAGACACCATAAATTAATCACTTTTTTCAAATTAGCCAGAACATTTTTTTACTTTGCTTTTCTCTCTTCATTGAATTAACAATTGTAGAATACTTACACACTGATCATATCTTTAACATTCTCTGTTATTTCTTCCGACTAGGAATTTATAGACTTTTCCTGCTAAGACCTCAATTTGTGTTTTTGTGAAAGACAGGAAGACTGAGATGTTGAAATAATTTAAAACAGCCAAGGTTGGCCGGGCGCGGTGGCTCACGCTTGTAATCCCAGCACTTTGGGAGGCCGAGGCGGGCGGATCACGAGGTCAGGAGATCTAGACCACGGTGAAACCCCATCTCTACTAAAAATACAAAAAGTTAGCCGGGCGTAGTGGAGGGCGCCTGTAGTCCCAGCTACTCGGGAGGCGGAGGCAGGAGAATGGCGTGAACCCGGGAGGCGGAGCTTGCAGTGAGCCGAGATGGAGCCACTGCACTCCAGCCTGGGTGACAGAGCAAGACTCCGTCTCAAAAAAAAAAAAAAAAAAAAAAAAAAAAAAAAAAAAAAAAAAAAAAAATCCAAGGCTAAGGCATATATAGTGAAACTTTTACTATTTGTATATAAAAAATTTGTATTTGTTTAAAAATTGATTCCTTTGCCATTTGGCTTTTTTTTTTTTTCATCCTGTCTTAATCATGATGTGCTTTAAAACACAGTATGTGTTAACTCTTTTTTGAGATGGAGTTTCATTCTTGTTGCCCAGGCTGTAGTGCAATGGCACGATCTTGGCTCACTGTAACCTCTGCCTCCCGGATTTAAGGGATTCTCCCTCCTCACCCTCCTAAGTAGCTTAGATTACAGGCATGCACTACCACCTCTGGCTAATTTTTGTATTTTTAGTAGAGACAGGGTTTCACTACATTGGTCAGGCTGGTCTCGAACTCCTGACCTCAAGTGATCCACCCGCCTTGGCCTCCCAAAGTGTTGAGATTACAGGCCTGAGCCACTGTGCCCGGCTTCTGTTACTCTTGAATAACACTTTTCAGCTCCTGTGGAAACCATTCCTAAAGTGCTTCTGAAGTACTCAGTTTTTGTTTTTCAGGACATGTACTTGTAGACAGGATTCAAAGCAGTTAAGAATGTCTCTGCCAAGTCGACAAACAGCTATTATTGTTAACCCTCCTCCACCAGAATATATAAATACTAAGAAAAATGGGCGATTGACAAATCAACTTCAGTATCTACAAAAAGTTGTCCTAAAGGATTTATGGAAGCATAGTTTTTCATGGCCCTTTCAACGTCCTGTGGATGCTGTGAAACTACAGTTGCCTGTATGTATGTCTTCAACTATGTTAGTTTCAAAAAAAGAAAACTCCTGTAAATTTCTGTAAGACATAACTAGTCTTTAATATTATAAAACATATTTGGCCAGGCGCGTTGGCTCCCGCCTATAATCCCAGCACTTTGGGAGGCCGAGGTGGGGAGATCACCTGAGGTCGGGAGTTCGAGACCAGCCTGACCAACATGGAGAGACCCCGTCTCTACTAAAAATACAAAATTAGCCGGGCGTGGTGGCACATGCCTGTACTTCCAGCTACCCAGGAGGCTGAGCAGGAGAATCTCTTGAACCTGGGAGGCGGAGGTTGTGGTAAGCCGAGATTGTGCCATTGCCTGGGCAACAAGAGTAAAACTCCATCTCCAAAAATAAAAAATAAAAAAAATTTAACAACTGATTTATTTAGCATCATTAAAGTCTATCCCAATGAGTATTTTTTTCCAAGAAAAAAGCTTATTTTTCTGAGCATTCGCATTCTTATTTTAATAATTTGTGATAAATTGTAATACATGTTTTCTTATTATAGTATATGTCACTTCACCTTTTGGATGCAGAGTTATCCTGAATTTTACCTTTTCTATGAAGTTTCTCTTGACACTTCCTGGCAGGCTTAGTTGCATCACATACAGAATTTGACTTTAGGTCTTACGTTAGGAATTTTTAGCCATTCATTAATGCAATGGTTGAGTAGTTTACAATATAGCTAGTCAACTCGAAGCTGGAATTTTATTCTATGGAGTCAGACTCCATAAAAACAAGGTTCTTTTTCCTCATGCCCTTTTTATTTTCAAGGATAATTTTATTCTGAAATTCTTACCTTTGTTCATCTTTATTGGCTTTTTTTTTTTTTTTTTTAGCATCTAAAAATAATGCCACAGCAGTCAGCTTTGTTTCTCATTACTAAAGGTTCTAGTTTCTAGAATATGGCCTTTTTTTTTTTGAGACAGTCTCACTCTGTCACCCAGACTACAGTGGAGTGGCATGATCTCTGACCGCTGCAACCTCTGCCTCCTGGGCTCAAGTGATTCTTGGGCCTCACCCTCCCAAGTAGCTGGGAAGACAGGCATGTGCCAGCACACCTGGCTAATTTTCTGTTGTTTTTTTTTGTTGTTGTTGTTGTGTTTTTTGAGACAGAGTCTCGCTCTGTCCCCCAGGCTGGAGTGCAGTGGCACAATCTTGGCTCACTGCAACCTCTGCCTCCCAGGTTTGAGTGATTCTCCTGCCTCAAACTCCTGAGTAGCTGGGATTACAGGCACGCATCATCACACCAGGCTTATTTTTGTATTTTTAGTGGAGATGGGGCTTCCCCGTGTTGGTCAGGCTGGTCTCGAACTCGTGACCTCAGGTGATCCACCCACCTTGGCCTCCCAAAGTGCTGGGATTACAGGCGTGAGCCACCATGCCCGGCCAATTTTCTGTATTTTTATTAGAGATGGGTTTTGCCATGTTGGCCAGGCTGATCTTGAACTCCTGGCCTCAAGTGATCCTCCTGCCTTGGCCTCCCGAAGTGCGGGACTACAGGCGTGAGCCACTGTGCCCAGCCAGAATATGGCTTTTTAAAGATAATCAGTTGCTCTCTCTAGTTGCAGGTGTATAGTGCATTAAATTTCTTTGTGTATCAATAGTTGTAGTGTATTCATTCTTACTAACATTTAGAATTTGTTCAAAACCATAGGATTATTATACCATTATAAAAAACCCAATGGATTTAAATACAATTAAGAAGCGCTTGGAGAATAAATATTATGCGAAGGCTTCAGAATGTATAGAAGACTTCAATACAATGTTCTCAAATTGTTATTTATATAACAAGGTATGTAAGCCTTATGTTATACTTGCTAATTCTTTGCCATTACATATAGGAGAGAAATGTATAAAATCATGTGATCATTTCAGATTTCAATTCTCTTCGTTTGAGATACTTGACGTGTGTGTGTGTGTGTGTGTGTGTGTATATAATTTTTTTTTTTTTTTTTGAGATGGAGTCTGGCTCTGTCACCCAGGCTGGAGTGCAGTGGTGTGATCTCAGCTCACTGCAACCTCTGCCCCCAGGTTCAAGTGATTCTCCTGCCTCAGCCTCCCGAGTAGCTGGGAATACAGGCACCCACCAACCTGCCTGGCTAATTTTTTGTATCTTTTTTTAGTAGAGATGGGGTTTTACCATGTTGGCCTGGCTGGTCTTGAACTCCTGACCTCAGGTGTTCCACCCACCTCAGCCTCCCAAAGTTCTGGGATTATAGGTGTGAGCCACTGTGCCCGGCCAAGATCTTTTACATATTTTTAAGGACAATACTTTTTCACTGAATTTCATAATTTTCACATACCAATACTTGTTCAGTCTATTTGCTATAATATTTTTGTGCCTGAATAGCTGTAGTGGCTTGTTATGTTTTTAAAAACCAAAATACCAATGAGAGCTGGTTTCTGTGAATAAGGTATTTCAGAATGTTTTCTATTGCATTCCTGTCATTTTAGTTATGAGATAAAGGAAAAGCCTTAGTATATACTAATCTTCATTAAATTTTCACAGTATGGACCCCTGGCCATAACCTAAAAAGCCAAACCAATTGCCTACTTCTAAACTTCACAAGTTGATTTAAAGATCAGATATGTTCTGGCCGGGCACGGTGGCTCACACCTGTAATCCCAGCACTTTGGGAGGCTGAGGCGGGAGGATCATGAGGTTGAGAGATCAAGACCATCCTGACCAACATGGTGAAACCCCGCCTCACTAGAAATACAAAAATTAGCTGGGCATGGTGGCATGTGCCTGTAGTCCCAGCTACTCGGGAGGCTGAGGCAGGAGAATCGCTTCAGCCCAGGAGGTGGAGGTTGCAGTGAGCCTAGATGCCACCATTGCACTCCAGCCTGGTGACAGAGCAAGACACCTTCTCAAAAAAAAAAAAAAAATCCACCTTCCTGGGATGAGTCCTTTGATTCTCCCTTTTGCCTTTCCCTGTCTCTTGTTTCTCTGTCTAAAAAAGAGATCAGATATGCTCTTTGTTCTATCCCAGTAGTAGTACTTGGATTTGTGTTAATGAATTTGCCCATATGATATATGTAGAAATTTTATTTTATTTTTTTATTTTTATTTTTTGAGATGGAGTCTCGCTCTGTTGCCCAGGCTGGAGTGCAGTGTATGTGGAGATTTTAAACTTAATCTTCATATTGGCTCTCATCCATAAAATTGGATTTGTGTATTTGGTTTTCTTCCATATAGTATTCCCATTTCCTACAGTACTGTATCCTGTTCTAGCTGTTCTAGGGCATCTAAATATTTTAAAGCTTATATCTCATTTAAATATGAGAATTCTAAGTATTTGTGATTTCGTTTATTCAAAATCACTGGTGAGTACACTGAATTGTAATAGAAAGTTTGATTTGGCTCCCAAGAAAACTCACCAGTGCCAGCTTATATGTATAAAAGATTTAAAACTATTAGCCAATGCGAATGATTTTTTTGTCTGAGACGGACTCACTGTGTTGCCTAGGCTGGACTTGATCTCCTGGGCTCAAGTGATACTCCCACCTCACCCTCCTAAGTAGCTGGGATTATAGGCACACACCACTGCATCCAGCTCCAATGTGAATTTTTAAAAAATCAGTACCATTGGCAACTTCATTTTAATTTAACTACAATTCCAAAGGGTCCTTTCAGATGTAATATTTTAAAATGAAGTTTGGTAATTTTCCTGAGCTACCTAACTTAGAAATAAATGTTCTCTTTATTTAAGAGAACTGTTGCTTTGTAAATTACTTACTTTTTTTCTCAGTCATAAATTGAAGCAAGAGGAAGACTTGTAAGCGAATAGTTAAGATTGAAAAATTGAATATGTTGCCTGGGTGCGGTGGCTCATGCCTGTAATCCCAGCACTTTGGGAGGCCAAGGCGGGTGGATCACAAGGTCAGGAGTTCGAGATTAGCCTGGCCAAGATGGTGAAACCCTGTCTCTACTAAAACTACAGAAAGTAGCCAGACGCGGTGGCAGGCACCTGTAATCCCAGGTACTCAGGAGGCTGAGGCAGGAGAATCGCTTGAACCCAGGTGACAGAGGTTGCAGTGAGCCGAGATTGCGCCACTGTACTCCAGCCTGGGAGACAGAGTGAGACTTCGTCGTTGAATATGTTGGTAGAGTTGGCTTAGAAAAAAATATTAAAAAATTGAGTCAGTGCTACAGTGTTATTTTATTAATTAGTTAATTAAACAGAATTACTTCCAGTCAAACCATGAGACACTTTGTATTGCCATGAGTAAGTTTTGTTTTAACCTATTTGTGAGTAGAAATTCTCTTTTTTTTTTTTAAGACGGAGTTTTCGCTCTTGTTGCCCAGGCTGGAGTGCAATGGTGCAATCTCAGCTCACCACAACCTCCACCTCCCGGTTCAAGCAATTCTCCTGCCTCAGCCTCCTGAGTAGCTGGGATTACAGGCATGCGCAACCGCACCTGGCTAATTTTTTTTTTTTTTAAACGTAGTTTTGCTCTTGTTGCCCAGGCTGGAGTGCGATGGCACTATCTCAGCTCACCTCAACCTCTGCCTCCCGGGTTCAAGCAATTCTCCTGCCTCAGCCTCCTGAGTAGCTAGGATTACAGGCACGCACCACCACGCCTGGCTAATTTTGTATTTTTAGTAGAGATGGGGTTTCTCCACGTTTGTCAGGCTGGTCTCAAACTCCCGACCTCAGGTGATCCGCCCGCTTCGGCCTCCCAAAGTTCTGGGATTGTAGGCGTGAGCCACCGCGCCCAGCCTAATTTTGTATTTTTAGTAGAGACAGGGTTTCTCCATGTTGGTCAGGCTGGTCTCGAACTCCCGACCTCAGATGATCTACCCCCGCCAGCCTCCAAAAGTGCTGGGATTACAGGCGTGAGCCACCATGCCTGGCGAAATTCTCAGTTTTAATACCTGTTTGATTTAGTAGGATTGCTTGGATTGTAATTCTTTAGTGTTCAGAAAGCCATTTGGGTCCTTTTTAGAAGCTGAAGGAGTAGGATGCTAGAATTTTAAATGTGAGCTGCTTTCAACCATAGAGAATAAGAAAATAAAATGTGAGCAGCTTCACTATTTTCTAAATTTATAAGAGATGAATACCGTCTAGGAGTACTATGTTACTGCCTTCCATAAAGTGGGCTGAATTTAAAACATTTGGTACAGTGACCATACTGTATATCCTTATGGTATATTTAATATATTTTGTAGCCTGGAGATGACATTGTTCTTATGGCACAAGCTCTAGAGAAGCTGTTTATGCAGAAATTATCTCAGATGCCACAAGAAGAGCAAGTTGTGGGTGTTAAGGAAAGAATCAAGAAAGGTAAGGCAGGAGGTAAACACTTTATGGTTCTCTCTCTTTTTTTCCCCTATCTATCTCATGTGTGTGTGTAAATCCCTCAAAGGAGACAGACATCCAGAAGTCCTACATCCTATTCTATTAATAAAAAATGTCCATTTGAAACAATCTGCCAAACCTTGATCACAAGGATGGGTATCATTCAAGAATAGTGAGGACTGCATTGATTATGGCCTCAGAGCCAGCTTTCTTGTAGCATAATGCCGTTCACATAGTAGGGATTCAGAAAATCATAGCTGTTACTGCTGTTTTCAGTGGATCTTGCATCTGTGCTGTACTGATAAGAATGCCCAAATTGCTAGTGCTCTCTGTATTAAAAAAAAATTTCCATAGCTGAGAATGAAATGTTAGTATTGCGTTGGAAGATTGTCTTTTTTTCCTAACTTTTTCTTCACTCACAAAAATCTTTAGAGGAAATCATCTTTACAACTAATAATCATATCATTTAAATATGGTGTTTCAAAAATCTTAAATCTGAAGTATTCAAATAGATGTATTATAGAGGTTAATCAAGAGTGTAGTAAATGTTGGTTTATCTTTGGATCACTTAAGCAGTGTAATCTTTAAGTTCTTAGTCATTCCATGTTAGTTTCCTCATTTACAATATCAGGAAAATTATTTATTTATTTATTTATTTATTTATTTATTTATTTATTTGAGACGGAGTCTTCACTCTGTCGCCCAGGCTGGAGTGCAGTAGTGCGATCTCGGCTCACTGCAAGCTCTGCCTCCCAGATTCAAGCCATTCTCCTGCCTCAGCCTCCAGAGTAGCTGGGACTACAGGCGCCCACCACCACGCCCTGCTAATTTTTTGTATTTTTTTTTAGTAGAGTCGGGGTTTCACCATGTTAGCCAGGATGGTCTCGATCTCCTGACGTCGTGATCTGCCTGCCTCGGCCTCCCAAAGTGCTGGGATTACAGGCGTGAGCCACCGCGCCTGGCCCTAAAAATATTTATCTTTCGTGATTGTAAATGTTTATAAAGTATATAGTTAAGTGCCTGAGATATAGGAGGCTTGTAATAGGTTCATGGCAGAGGTTGATTTTTTTTTTTTGAGGTTTTTATTGGTACTAATATATACTTTTTTATTGCTAATAGATCCTTAAGGTGGGTCATAACTTATAGTGCTTTAACCAAATCTATGAGATATTCACATATTCACTGATTATATTTAAGTCCTTATTCTTATTTTAGAAAAGGTTGATCTAATGTCTGACAATGTGAGACCTAGGCTTCTACAAGAAGATTTAAATAAGCCCTTGTGAGGTAGATAATACATAGATTAGTATGGTATTTAAATTGTAAAACCAGCGTGCTAATTGTTGCTGACTTAATTTATTACCCTTAGCAAGATAAAAATTATTATTTTTTCCATTTAATGTTGCTAGAAGGTAAAAATTATTGATCTTTTTATTGATCTTTTATCTGAGGGAAACATACTGTTAACAGTTACCTGAGCATCTGAAACAAGTAGCTGCAACTTAACTTTCAAGTGTTTAAGTTTTTTTGTTTTTGTGTGTGTGTGTGTTTTTTTTTTTTTTTTTTTTTTGAGACAGAGTTTCACTCTCGTTGCCCAGGCTGGAGTGCAATGGCATGATCTCTGCTCACTGCAACCTCTGCCTTCCAGGTTCAAGTGATTCTCCTGCCTCAGCCTCCTGAGTAGCTGGGATTACAGGCGCATGCCACCATGCCCAGCTAATTTTTGTATTTTTTAGTAGAGATGGGGTTTCACCATGTTGGCCAGGCTGGTCTCAAACTCCTGACCTTAGGTGATCCACCTGCCTTGGCCTCCCAAAGTGCTGTGATTACAGGCATGAGCTGCTGCACCTGGCCTACATTTAAGTTTTTTGTTAGAAATAAAACTTGAAAAAAATTACAAGACAGTGCATTATGGAAAAAAAGACAATGCATTATGACACGTGTCAGATGAAATTACATGTAACATATGCTGTGTTTGAAAAGAATGAGAAATTTTGTTTTATTTCGAGACAGGGTCTCATTCTGTCACCCTGGCTGGAGTGCAGTGGCACTCCACAATCAGTTCACTGCAGCCTCAAGCTCCTGGGCTTAAACGGTCCTCCCACTTTAGCCTCCCAAGTAGCCAATATTAAGGACATGTACCACCACACCCAGCTAATTTTTTTGTTTCTTACAGAGGTGGGGTCTCATTTTGTTGCCCAGGCTCATCTTGAACTCCTGGCTTCAAACGATCCTCATGCCTTGGCCTCCCAAAGTGCTAGGATTACAGGCGTGAGCCACCATGCATGGCCAAGAGTGAGAAATTGATACGTGATGTGTGCTAGTACATTTTGCATTGCTATAAAGAAATACCTGGCTGGGCATTGTGGCTCATGGCTGTAATGCCAGCACATTGGGAAGCCAAGATGGGAGGATTACATGAGCCCAGGAATTCAAGACCAGCCTGAGCAGGATAGGAGGACCCTTTATAGAAAAATTTGAAACTTTGCCAGGTATAGTGGCATGCACTTGTAGTTCCAGCTCCTCAAGAGCCTGAGGTGGGAGGATTGCTTGAACCCAGTGGGTTGAAGGTGCAGTGAGCCATGATCACACCACTGCAACAGAGCAACAGAGCGACAGAGCAAGACCCTTTCTCAAAAAAAAAAAAAAAAAAAAGAAAAGGAAAGAAATATGTGAGGCTGGGTAATTTACAAAGAAAAGAGGTTTATTTGGCTCATGGTTTTGCAGGCTGTATAATTATGGCACCAGCATCTGCTTAGCTTCTGGGCCTCAGGAAGCTTTCAATCATGGTCAAAGGCAAAGAGGGAGCTGTTGTATCACATGGTGAGGTGGGGGTAGGGGAGAGGTGCTCTTTTAAGCAACCAGCTCTTCTGTGAACTCATAGAGTGAGCACTCCTTCATTACGTCAAGGACGGCACCAAGAGATTCATGAGGGATCCACCCCTCATGACCCAAACACCTCCCACACCAGGCCCCACCACCAACATTGGAGGTCACATTTCAACATAAGATTTGAAGAGGACAAAACATCCAAACCATATCACGCTGGAAAAGTTGGGAGAGGCTTTAGAGGTGATACAAGTTATGTTTGACCTCAAAGAATAGGTAGGATTTGGCTTCAGAGGGAATGTCTAAGTTTAAAAGACTTCTGACAGAAGCATTCCACTACCAGAGTCATGTCTTTGTTAGTCACAGTGGTAGGAAAATTGTCATATGATGGTAGCTAGTTTAAAATAATGTGGTTACGTACATGTTGATAATTTATGGCAAAGAAAACTTGGTATTAAACTGATAATGTTGATTGAGCAAATACTTGAGTGCTGATTATGTACCACAACACTGTTCTGTGCTCTTGAGATATTATCAGTGAATAAAACAAAAACTTTGCCATCTTGGAATTAATATTCTAGTAGTAAGTGAGAGACAAACATGACAGATTCAGTGGAGGCCTCATTGAGAAGTGAAGATTTGAAAGAACATTCCAGCTAGAGGAATCAGCTAGAGCAAAGGCCTATAACAGATCCTTTCCTCCTCCATCACTTTGAGCCAATGCCTTCATTTGTGAACGGATCTTGCCATCTCAACCATTTTATTCCTTTTTGTTATCTCCCTTTTTTCTTGGATCATTAATCTCTCCTCCTCTATGGGGTTAGTCTCATTACCCTATAAACTTGCTCTAGTATCTCATCTTTAAAATACTCCTTTATCCATATCCTTCCAGCTATTGTTCCTTTTTTTTTTTTCTTTCTTTCTTTCTTCCTGTATACTCATGTAGTCTCCTTAGCACAAATTCTAGCTTTGATTCACCACCAAAAACCTTTTGTCAGTCAGGGTCACTTGTAGTCTTCATGCTGCAAAATTTAAGTAGTGTTTTTCTATTCTCATTTTATTTGACTTCTGTCAGTATTTGCCTTAGGAAACTACTGTGTCTTTCTTAAAATGCTTTTATTTCTTCATGCACACAATAATCATGTGGACTTACTTCCCATTCTATAGTTCTCTTGACCTGGCTGGCTACTTCTTACCTTTATAGTGACATCTTAGTTGTCAGCTTTAGAGAGGGAGGCCTTCCTTGGCTACCCTCTCCATAATAGTTCTCTGCCTTAATTTAGTCAGTAACCTGTATATTTCCTTCCTAACACTTAGCATCACTTGTACTCAGTTTGATTACTTATTTTTTGTCTGTTTCTTACACTAGACAGTAAGCTACAAGAGCAGATACTATGTCTGTCTTGTTCATTTTTGTGCCCTAGCACCTAAAATGGTGTCCAACACGCAATAGGCATGCAGTAAATATTTACTGTGTTTCTCTCATGTAACAAGTACTGCATTAGGCACAAGGGACTTAGGGGTGACCAAAACAAAGTCCCCTTACCCTCACAGAGCTTTTTATTCTTGTGAGGGATAGAGACAAAATTAAATAATTCTAACTATTCCTCACTATGCATATCTAATTAGCTCCTGAGTTCAAAGAGCAACAGTTGGAATATCAAAGGGTGTGAGATTATCTGAATGTATTTGATTCCTAAGTTTTAGAGAGTAGTGACAACTCAGACATTGAGGAATATCAGCCCTATCTTAAAATACATTCAAATTTACTTAGTTCCTGAGTTTGTTTTGCAAGAATTGAAGAGCCGGAAATAGCTATATGTTGTATATCAAATGTGACAATGGCATGGAAAAAATAAAGCAGAATAAGAGCTAGACAGTTGGTGAGTGGGGATAGGTAGAGCGAAAATGTTATTTTATATGGGGTGGTTGAGAAGGTGACATATGAGTAAATGCCTGAAGGAAATGTTGGAATGAGGCATAAGGATATCTTCTTTTAGGCAAAACAAATAGTCTGCTTCTGCTTACCAAATTTGAGCAAGGCCAATAGGCTAGAGTGAGGTAAGGGCAGAGGGAAGTAATAAGAAGTGAAGTTTGAAGTGAGGTAGTGTGATGCCTCCAGCTTTGTTCTTTTGGCTTAGGATTGACTTGGCAATGCGGGCTCTTTTTTAGTTCCATATGAACTTTAAAGTAGTTTTTTCCAATTCTGTGAAGAAAGTCATTGGTAGCTTGATGGGGATGGCATTGAATCTATAAATTACCTTGGGCAGTATGGCCATTTTCACGATATTGATTCTTCCTATCCATGAGCATGGAATGTTCTTCCATTTGTTTGTGTCCTCTTTTATTTCGTTGAGCAGTGGTTTGTAGTTCTCCTTGAAGAGGTCCTTCACATCCCTTGTAAGTTGGATTCCTAGGTATTTTATTCTCTTTGAAACAATTGTGAATGGGAGTTCACTCATGATTTGGCTGTTTGTCTGTTATTGGTGTGTAAGAATGCTTGTGATTTTCACACATTGATTTTGTATCCTGAGACTTTGCTGAAGTTGCTAATCAGCCTAAGGAGATTTTGGGCTGAGATGATGGGGTTTTCTAGATATATAATCATGTCTTCTGCAAACAGGGACAATTTGACTTCCTCTTTTCCTAATTGAATACCCTTTATTTCTTTCTCCTGCCTGATTGCCTGGGCCAGAACTTCCAACACTATGTTGAATAGGAGTGGTGAGAGAGGGCATCCCTGTCTTGTGCAAGTTTTCGAAGGGAAAAGTTTTCAAACTATACTACAAGGCTGCAGTAACCAAAACAGCATGGTACTGGTACCAAAACAGAGATACAGACCAATGGAACAGAACAGAGCCCTCAGAAATAATACCACACATCTACAACTATCTGATCTTTGACAAACCTGACAAAAACAAGAAATGGGGAAAGGATTCCCTATTTAATAAATGGTGCTGGGAAAACTGGCTAGCCATATGTAGAAAGCTGAAATGGATCCCTTCCTTACACCTTATACAAAAATTAATTCAAGATGGATTAAAGACTTAAACGTTAGACCTAAAACCATAAAAACCCTAGAAGAAAACCTAGGCAATACCATTCAGAACATAGGCATAGGCAAGGACTTCATGTCTAAAACACCAAAAGCAATGGCAACAAAAGCCGAAATAGACAAATGGAATCTAATTAAACTAAAGAGCTTCTGCACAGCAATAGAAACTACCATCAGAGTGAACAGGCAACCTACAAAATGGGAGAAAATTTTTGCAATCTACTCATCTGACAAAGGGCTAATATCCAGAATCTACAAAGAACTCAAACTGATTTACAAGAAAAAAACAACCCCATCAAAAAGTGGGTGAAGGATATGAAGAGACACTTCTCAAAAGAAGACATTTATGCAGCCAGCAGACACATGAAAAAATGCTCATCATCACTGGCCATCAGAGAAATCCAAATCAAAACCACAATGAGATATCATCTCACACCAGTTAGAATGGCGATCATTAAAAAGTCAGGAAACAACAGGTGCTGGAGAGGATGTGGAGAAATAGGAACACTTTTACACTGTTGGTGGGACTGTAAACTAGTTCAACCATTGTGGAAGTCAGTGTGGTGATTCCTCAGGGATCTAGAACTAGAAATACCATTTGACCCAGCCATCCCATTACTGGGTATATACCCAAGGAAATATAAATCATGCTGCTATAAAGACACATGCACACATATGTTTATTGTGGCACTATTCACAATAGCAAAGACTTGGAACCAACCCAAATGTCCAACAATGATAGACTGGATTAAGAAAATGTGGCACATATATACCATGGAATACTATGAAGCCATAAAAAAGGATGAGTTCATGTCCTTTGTAGGGACATGGATGAAGCTGGAAACCATCATTCTTAGCAAACTATCGCAAGACAGAAATCCAAACACCGTATGTTCTCACTCATAGGTGGGAATTGAACAATGAGAGCACTTGGACACAGGAAGGGGAACATCACACACCGGGGCCTGTCGTGGGGTAGGGGGAGTGGGGAGGGATAGCATTAGGAGATATGCCTAATGTAAATGATGAGTTAATGGGTGTAGCACACCAACATGGCACATGTATACATATGTAACAAACCTGCACTTTGTGCACATGTACCCTAGAACTTAAAAGTATAATAAAAAAAATTTTAAAAAAAAAGTGAGGTTGGAAGGAGGGAAGAAGTGTGGAGAAGAGGACAAGCAGATCGTACACATGCTATGAGCACTTTGGTTTTTACTTAGCGAGATTACAAGCCATCACTGATTTGAGTTTTAAAAGATCACTTTGGTTGCTGTTTTGAGGATAGACTATAGAGGACCGAAGCAGAAGAAAGACCTGCCTGGATGTTATTGCAATAATTGAGTTGTGCACTGATGATGCCTTGGGCCAGAGTGAATGCCACTTGTGAGAAGTGTTTGAAGTCTAGATAGGAAGATAATGCTAACAGGGTTTGCTGGCGGGTTGGATATGGAGTTTGAGAGACAGTGGAGTCAAAGATGACTTCAAGGTTTTTGTTGTGAACAATTAGAAGAATAGAGTTGCCTTGATGGAAGGTTGAACTTTTGAAATAACAGATTTCAGAGTGATATGATCCAAATGTCTTACATCATAACATTCTGTGAGAACAGGGCAGAAGAACGTGACAATTGTTCCTTTGGCAGAATTTTCTGAAGAAGGTATTGATAAGAGAATCCTATTCACATCTTTTGTTCTGTGATGGACTATGTTAACAATTATGAAGTCCTTGGATATTTATGCAGAGCATTCTGAAGACCTCACATAGTATTGTATGGTTGGTCTCCAGAGTATCTGAAATTTTTGCTCATGTTCATAGCTACCTGAAGCTAACCACACAGCTCGATTATTAGTCTTGGTTTAAGCCAGGCACCTTTTTGAATAAAACTGATAAACCTACCATTAATAACAAATGTTGAAGTCTCCATTATTATATCTAAATTGGTCTAACCTGTCTAATCCTGTGTGTGTAGATTTCAAAATGAAATAAGTATCCTATGCTTATATTGCTAAAAAGCTGAACTAAATGAAATAGAAAATAAGACAGAAAGTGGTATTTTGTACTTTATTCATTCATATATTTGATTCTGGCTCATACTTTTCCAGGCACTCAACAGAATATAGCTGTTTCTTCTGCTAAAGAAAAATCATCACCCAGCGCAACAGAAAAAGTATTTAAGCAGCAAGAAATTCCTTCTGTATTTCCTAAGACATCTATTTCTCCCTTGAACGTGGTACAGGGAGCTTCAGTCAACTCCAGTTCACAAACTGCGGCCCAAGTAAGTTTGTTGTAGTTTTTAAATCATTGCTTTTTAACACTGGATTTTTTTTTTCCATTTATAGGAAAATTAGTCTTCAGCGTCTAGCAATTTTTCTTTTTTAATTCATTTAGCATCTAGCAATCTGAAATAATACTGTTTCCGCCTCTCTATGCATTTTATGAATAGACACCTAAGAGGCTAGCCAAATTTTAGATATTTCTTAGGTAGAATTTGTACTGTTTGGGTATCTTGATAGTATTAATATCAGAAGTTGTTCACCTATATAGTTTTCTTTTAAAAATCATATATTCTTGCTGATTTTCAGGTGTTCAGAAACTTTTTTTGGTATATGACTTTGATTTTTTACTTTTCATTCATCTTAAGGTTTGCACAAGACATTCTTTGGTATGTGGGAAGATAATATTCGAACTATTTAGTTTGCCTACAAAAGGAAATTAACCTTTAGCAATATTTAATACATGGATTGACAACAATATGTGTAAATTATCTATATGAAGACTTGGTGCCAATAATCTTTCCCTTTTTTTCTTTTAACTGATAAGGAACTATGCTCTGAATATCATCTCAAATATATTTTTGTTGTTGAATTGTTCTGTTGTAGGTTACAAAAGGTGTGAAGAGGAAAGCAGATACAACAACTCCTGCAACTTCAGCAGTTAAAGCAAGTAGTGAATTTTCTCCAACATTCACAGAAAAATCAGTGGCACTGCCACCTATAAAAGAAAATATGCCAAAGAATGTTTTGCCAGATTCTCAGCAACAATATAATGTTGTGAAGACTGTTAAAGTAACTGAACAATTAAGGCACTGTAGTGAGATTCTTAAAGAAATGCTTGCAAAGAAACATTTTTCATATGCATGGCCCTTTTATAATCCTGTTGACGTTAATGCTTTGGGACTCCATAACTACTATGACGTTGTCAAAAATCCGATGGATCTTGGAACTATTAAGGTAAATGTTGCCTTAAAAGGAAGAACTTCTTTTTCTTGATTATAAAAGTAATTCATCATTGCAAAGAAATCTTAAAATCTAGAAAAAGATGAAGGAAATTAAGATCATCCAAGTCACACTATCTGGAGTGAGTCTCTGGAAAATTTTAAAATATATCTTTTTGTTTTCTTCCACTTGAACATGTCCATGGTTCTAGGCCGGGCACAGTGGCTCATGCCTGTAATCTTAGCACTTTGGGAGGCCAAGGCGGGCGGATCACTTGAGGCCAGGAGTTTGAGACCAGCCTGGCCATGGCGAAACTTCGTCTCTACTAAAAAAAAAAAAAAAAAGCTGGGAATGGTGGTGCATGCCTATCGTTCCAGCTACTCCAGAGGCTGAGTCACGAGAATCACTTGAACCTGGGAGGAGGAGAGGTTGCAGTGAGCGGAGATCATCCACTGCACTCCAGGCTGGGTGACAGAGGGAAACTCTGTCTCAAAAAAAAAGATTATATGAAAACACTCTGCTTCTCTGCTTTTGTGATTTTGTTCCAGTTCTCTTTACATGGAATGTCCTCCTTCCTCATCTCTACTTGTCAAAATTCACTGGATTTTTTTTCAAAGTCTAAAAAATATGAAACAAATGTAGCAAAATTTTAACATTTGTCAAATCTGGATGGTGGACAACTGTTTTCTGTATATTTGAATTATTTTGTAATATGAACATTTAATGTACGTGGTCAAATAATTATTGAATTGAACTATTTGTGAATCCTGTAGTTTTTCTTTAATTTAGGAGAAAATGGATAACCAAGAATATAAGGATGCATACAAATTTGCGGCAGATGTTAGATTAATGTTCATGAATTGCTACAAGTACAATCCTCCAGATCACGAAGTTGTGACAATGGCAAGAATGCTTCAGGTGAGCTGTTACTTGTGCTCTGAAGGTGTTTTTCCTCTGAACATAGTTGAAACGTTTTTTAGAACCATAATGTAAGAGATAAAGAATAATAACTCCTACACCTCTAAGTATTAAATGGCAAAAACCACAATTACTTTTGCACCAACAAAACAGTTTATGAATTATACTTTTAAAACTGAGAGGGTTGTGTGTTTTGTTTCGTTTTGTTTTTTTGAGTTCTTGCATCCTTTAGTAGCGAATCTTTTTATGAAGCTGCCCTGCATACAAAGGAAACTGGGGAAATATTAGTGAAGAGGGGATGTAGATAGATGATATATAGGGTTGACTAGAGCCCATGTCCCACTGAGGGGACAGTCTAAATGGCTGCAGGTAATAGAATGATCTACCAACTACAGGGCCCTTGAAAGAAGATCCCCTGTGCTGGCCCGGCGCGGTGGCTCACGCCTGTAATCCCAGCACTTTGGGAGGCCGAGGCGGGTGGATCACTAGGTTAGGAGATGGAGACCATCCTGGCTAACATGATGAAACCCCGTCTCTACTAAAAAATACAAAAAAATTAGCCAGGCATGGTGGCGCCTGTAGTCCCAGCTGCTGGGGGCGCTGAGACAGGAGAATGGCGTGAACCCGGGAGGCAGAGCTTGCAGTGAGCCGAAATTGCGCCACTGCACTCCAGCCTGGGCGACAGAGCGAGACTACGTCTCAAAAAAAAAAAAAAAACAACAACAACAACAAAAAAAACCCTATATTACTTGAGAGGTCTATCTTGCCTGAAAAAAATGGAGAAAAGTTGGTAAGTTTGGCAGGCAGAGAAGCATGAGTCTTTTTTTTTTTTTTGAGATGGAGTTTCGTTCTTGTTGCCCAGGCTGGAGTGTAGTGGCGCAATCTTGGCTCACTGCAACCTCCGCCTCCCGGGTTCAAGCGATTCTCCTGCCTCAGCCACCGAAGTAGCTGGGATTACAGGCATGCGCCACCACACGGGACTAATTTTGTATTTTTAGCAGAGACGGGGTTTCTCCATGTTGGTCAGGCTGGTCTTGATCTCCCCCATCTCCGGTGATCCACCCGCCTCGGCCTCCCTAAGTGCTAAGATTACAGGCATGATCCATGGCGCCTGGCCAGCATGAGTCTTAATACGTTTCTTCTGATATATCTTAAAGGAAAAAAGAATTCTGGTCAAAATATGACACTGAAATGTACTTTTTGTTAAAAGCTGTGATTGCTGGATTAAATAAAAAATACAGAAAACCATAACAAACTAATTTTTCATTACAGGATGTTTTCGAAACGCATTTTTCAAAGATCCCGATTGAACCTGTTGAGAGTATGCCTTTATGTTACATCAAAACAGATATCACAGAAACCACTGGTAGAGAGAACACTAATGAAGCCTCCTCTGAAGGGAACTCTTCTGATGATTCTGAAGATGAGCGAGTTAAGCGTCTTGCAAAGCTTCAGGAGCAGGTAGTTGATTGTATTGATACAAATTTTGATAATCTATGAGCTGCTAATCTATCAGGAAATTTTTTCTGCAGATTTAAAGCTGTTATAGTTAAATCGCTTCATAACTGTGGCTTTATTTACTTATTGGCAAATTTGTAATGTTTAATAGTTTTTCCTAATCAAATATTTATTATCATAAAAATCTGTTATTTTAAAAAATTATGTTATCTATTCCTAATCATGAGTGGTTGATTCTCATTGAAATGATTTATGAAATAGAGATATTTTATGGATGAGGTCTTATTCAACATTAACTGCTTTTTATGATAAAATGTTAAACTGTTCTGGAGCTCAAGTCTGAAAAATCAATGATTAAAAACTTAAGACCAACCAGGCACCGTGGCTCACGCCTGTAACCCCAACACTTTGGGAGTCCAAGGTGGGAGGATTGCTTGAGCTCAGGAGTTTGAGACCAGCTTGGGCAACATAGTGAGACCATGTCTCTACAAAAAAATCAAAAAAACGAGGCAGGAGGATCACTTGAGCTTAGGAGGTTGAGGCTGCAGTGAGCCAGGATCACACCACCGCACTCCCACCTGGGTGACAGAGCAAGACCCTGGCTCAAAAAACAAAAAACTTAAGACCACCTGGAAATGTTATTTATTCTTGATCTGTTGGTAGTTGAATATTTAAGTTTATGGGTTCAGCACATGATAGTTTTTGTAATTTAATATATGCCTTTTAAAAATTCAATGCATTTGTGAAATTAAATAAAAACTTGAAGGAAATGTAATAAGAAATGAATTTCACAAAAGACATTCTTGACTTTGGAGTGGCTTGATTTTTTTCTAGTTTCTTTAATTATTTAGAGACATGAATGTTTACAGATTTTTTTTCTTTTATCAGCTTAAAGCTGTACATCAACAGCTCCAGGTTTTGTCCCAAGTACCTTTCCGTAAGCTAAATAAAAAGAAAGAGAAGTCTAAAAAGGAAAAGAAAAAAGAAAAGGTTAATAACAGCAATGAAAATCCAAGAAAAATGTGTGAGCAAATGAGGCTAAAGGAAAAGTCCAAGAGAAAGTAAGTATCTTTTATTATGATAGCTTATTAAGACAATAACGATAAGTTGGACTAAATTTAGTTTTTGTTACAGTCAGCCAAAGAAAAGGAAACAACAGTTCATTGGTCTAAAATCTGAAGATGAAGATAATGCTAAACCTATGAACTATGATGAGAAAAGGCAGTTAAGTCTGAATATAAACAAACTCCCTGGAGATAAACTTGGGCGAGTAGTTCACATAATACAATCAAGAGAGCCTTCTCTGAGCAATTCCAATCCTGATGAGATAGAGATAGACTTTGAAACACTGAAAGCATCAACACTAAGAGAATTAGAAAAATATGTTTCGGCATGTCTAAGAAAGAGACCATTAAAACCTCCTGGTATGTATTTCTGCATATTAATAGAAATCGGTTTGGTATTTATGTTGGTTTTTGGTTATACTCACTTTCTTCCCTCCTAAATCACACAGCTAAGAAAATAATGATGTCCAAAGAAGAACTTCACTCACAGAAAAAACAGGAATTGGAAAAGCGGTTACTGGATGTTAATAATCAGTTAAATTCTAGAAAACGTCAAACAAAATGTAGGTGGCAGTTTTTGTTTGTTTGTATGTATGTATGTATGTATGTAGAGACAGGGTCTTGTGATATTGCCCAGGCTGGTCTTGAACTCCTGGCCTCATGTGATCCTCCACCTTGGCCTCTCAAAGTGCTGAGATTACAGGCATGCGCGACCATGCCCAGCCTAGGTGGCAGTTTTTAAATGTTCCTGCAACTATTTAATTCTTCTGGCATTTTAATATGTTTCTCTGTTTTGTAGCTGATAAAACGCAACCATCCAAAGCTGTTGAAAATGTTTCCCGACTGAGTGAGAGCAGCAGCAGCAGCAGCAGCTCATCAGAGTCTGAAAGTAGCAGCAGTGACTTAAGCTCTTCAGACAGCAGTGATTCTGAATCAGGTTAGCTGTCCCCTTAAATGTACCTCTGTTGATGGGAGCACTTTTTTTCCTGTAATATTGATTTATATTTTGAAGAAATATTTGTTACTTACCCAGAATCCATGGTTTGTATATCATGCTAATTATTTAATTGCATGTTGACAATCTTAGTATTTTCCCTAAAAGAGATACTGTGTAAGATGAAACTTCGTATTATATGTATATGACGTGTAGGTGTGTAATGCTGAAAAAAAGTTTACTCAAGGAGGGATAGTCTCAATAAATAATTTCAAATCTTAATATCAAAATATATCAGATAATAAAATAATGACCTTTACTTGTTTTATAAAATAAAAGATTATTTGAGAGCACCTTTCGCTTTACTCTCCATGATCTATCAGATCACTCTAATGTTGCAAGGTTGCCATGTTGTGATACTATGTTCTGAATTGAATAATCCTTTTGAGTTAAACCAGTCATCCCAGAAGCTGTGAATCAGATTTTTTTTTCTACTTCTTTGGTTTCTTCACTGTAGAGTATTTTCTTCCATCTATAGAAAAATGTACTTTAAATTCAGATTCTCAGCTATGCTCAAGTGCCATATTATCTTGTATAGTTTAGCAGTTGTATCAAGCTTAGGTCATTTATGTTTTCTTTGTGCTTTTCTATTAATGATTACACAGTTGATAAGTAATCACTACCCCAAGAATACTGACTTGGCAGTGGTGTTCCATCTTTATTGACCAAAAGGCAAATTCAGAATTTGGACACTGTTGTCCCTAAATTTTGCTTTATTTTAAATGAGGTGTTTCTTGTGAAATTCAATTCTCTTTTTAAAGAAACATCTCACACAGAATATTGTGACATCAGGAATTCTTAGCATTATTAAAAGCATCCCTCTTTTTTTCAGTGTGGTAGTATGGTCTGCTGACTTGCAATACATTCTATTTAACTCTTAGTTCTGTTTAGTTTGCATTTATATGGTGCTGATTGCTGTATTTTGTTTTTACATTTCTAAAGTATGTAGTGATAAACATTTTTGGAGAATAAACAGAATTTTTACTTTGGGATTTGTCATACTAGAAAATTTAAAAATGTAGGGCTCTGATTATATAGTATTTCCTTATTTGACTTCTAAGCATAGAACAATACTGGAATAACTTAAGTTGCATTTAGTATTTTCAATTGTAATTAGCATTTGTAACTTCATCTAATAAAGCATTTGTGGTCTAATAAGTTAGAGCACTTTGTCTTTTATTTGTAGGATAAAAGTCTTACTGTTCCTGTTAGTTTGAATTATCTAATTATAATAAATGCTTCAAGTGTTAGAGGAAAAGTACAATATAATACAGAGTTTTCAATAAAGTACCTTAATTTTAATATGAATTATCAGTTTCTGATACAATATTATTATATATTGCTTGGAGGAAAGAATATTTATCACTAACTTGTGTTCTTAAAATAGTGCAATATATACTCTCTGTTTTTCTAACATTCTATCAGAATAACTCAGTCTCAGAATTCAAATCTTTTTTTTTTTTTTTTTTTGAGACGGAGTCTCCCTCTGTTGCCCAGGCTGGAGTGCAGTGGCGCTATCTTAGCTCACTGCAAGCTCCACCTCCTGGGTTCACGCCGTTCTCCTGCCTCAGCCTCCCAAGTAGCTGGGACTACAGGCACGCCCAGCTAATTTTTTGTATTTTTAGTAGAGACGGGGTTTCACCGTGTTAGCCAGGATGGTCTCGATCTCCTGACCTTGTGATCCACCCACCTCGGCCTCCCAAAGTGCTGGGATGCCAGGCATTAGCCACCACGCCTGGCCTAGAATTCAAATCTTAAAACATTGCTGTGTTGAATTTTTATTTTATGGCTGACATTTTTGTTTAATGTCATCTTTTTCAATTAAAAGGAGTTTTAAAATATATAATGTTGAAATCAAAGTAGCAAGTTTTTGTTTTTTTGGTTTTTTTTTTTTGAGACGGATTCTCACTCTGTCGCCCAGGCTGGAGTGCAGTGATGTGATTGTGGCCTCCTCCGCCTCCTGGGTTCAAGTGATCCTCCTACCGCAGTCTCCCAAGTAGCTGGGATTACAAGTGGATGCCACCACACCCAGCTCATTTTTGTATTTTTAGTAGAGATGGGGTTTCACCATGTTGTCCAGGCTGGTCTTGAACTCCTGACCTCAAGTAATTCTCCCTCCTTGGCCTCCCAAAGTGGCGTGAGCCACTGTGCCCAGCCTGAAGTGGCAAGTTTTTATATTTGAACCTACATTATAAATAGTGTACAATTTGTGACACAAGGTCAATTTGTCTTCTGATAATGTTAGTTGTTTATTTTTGAAATTTTAATTGTTTTATGAACAAACTGTGCTTTACTGGAAAAACACTTTATATATGTTATAAATTGCAAATGCAAAGACAAATGGGAAAAAATTATATCTTTGCTTAATACTAAATGAAGTAATTGGACCTTTTGTCCTAATTTTTTTTTGCCTTTCTCCACATATTCTAATGTTCTAAATATCAATTTCAGTTGCAGCTGTTATTTTAAAGGCTCTTAATTTCTAGCATGTAAACTAAGAACATTTTTTACTTCCCTGGGAACAACAACACACACAAAAAAAAGCCCTGAAAATTGTGAAAAATAAGCAAGTCAAATCATATCATTAGCAATATCTACTATAAAAATAAAGCACCTACTATTCTTAATTATACTAGTAACATTCTCAAGGAACAGATGGCAAATTCTATGTCAAAGTTTCAAGCATGGGCAGAATGAGGCTATTTACTAAGAAAATTTAATTTATGAAAATTAGGCACATCAGCAAAAGCTTTATCTGCTACATCAGTAAAAATTGACTGAAAATATGAATATGAAAAATAAAATATAAATATGAAAAAATAATTAAAAAAAATTTTTTTTGAGACAGGGTCTGGCTCTGTCGCCCAGGCTACAGTGCAGTGGCACTATCACGGCTCACTCCTCTGCCTCCTGGGCTCAAGCCATCCTCCTGCCTCAGCCTGCCAAGTAGCTGGGCCTACAGGTGTGTGCCACCACGCTGGGCTAATTTTTGTACTTTTTTTGACAAAAATGTATAGGGTTTCAACATGTTTCCAAGGTTGGCCTTGAACTCCTGAGCTCAAGTGATCCGCCCAGCTCGGCCTCCCAAAGTGCTGGGATTACAGGTCTGAGCCACCATGCTTGGCCCATAAATATGATTTTTATTGCTTTAAAAATAATTATGATTTGGCCAGAACTGAAACTTGCAGTTGGATATCATGATTCCAGAATTCTGATTAATAGGCTTTTGATTATTTATTGAAGATAATAGGCTTTGATTATTATTATTATTTTATTTATTGTGTTTTGAGACGGAGTCTCACTCTGTCGCCCAGGCTGGGGTGCAGTGGCACAATCTTGGCCCACTGCAACCTCCGACTCCCGGGTTCAAGCGATCGAGTAGCTGGGACTACAGGAGCATGCCACCACACCGGCTAATTTTTTATTTTTAGTAGAGACGGGGTTTCACCGTGTTAGCCAGGATGGTCTCGATCTCCTGACCTGGTGATCCGCCCTCCTCGGCCTCCCAAAGAGCTGGGATTACAGGCATGAGCCACCGCGCCTGGCAATTTTTTGTATTTTTAGTAGAAATGGGGTTTCATCATGATGGCTAGGCTGGTCTCAAACTCCTGATCTCAGGTGATCTGCACACCTCGGCCTCCCAAAGTGCTGGGATTACAGGAGTGAGCCATCATGCCTGGTCTTTAGTAATTTTTTCTTAATGTAATTTTCATTTAGTATCTGTCTTCCTGGATTTTCTTATAGCAATTTGGCTATATGCAATTTTTCAAAGCAAGTCAGTCTTTTATAATGTTTGTGTCAGAGACAGAGCTTTAATTAGTTTTGCTTTTTTTTTTTTTTTTTTTGAGACGGAGTCTGCTCTTTTGCCCAGGCTGGAGTGCAGTGGCGCCGTCTGGGCTTACTGCAAGCTCCGCCTCCCGGGTTCACGTTATTCTCCTGCCTCAGCCTGCCGAGCAGCTGGGACTACAGGCGCCCGCCACCACGCCCGGCTAATTTTTTCTATTTTTAGTAGAGACGGGGTTTCACCGTGTTAGCCAGGATGGTCTCGATCTCCTGACCTCGTGATCCGCCCGCCTCGGCCTCCCAAAGTGCTGGGATTACAGGCGTGAGCCACCGCGCCCGGCCCAAATCCTTGAAAAATGAGAGCTCTATGGACTGGAATCAGCATGTCATTGCAAATTTTAATGTGATTTGGTTTTATTTATCTTTTTGACTGGTGTCAGCATATGCAGATAAGTCAAGAACATTTATTAAACTTCGGTATAAATATAAAATCTTTTAAAATGATTTTTCATAACTAAAATCAATAAATGTCAGATCAAAGATGTAGCCAAGCCTTGAAAATGAAATCAATTCTAATGCATGTATCTTATGTTGACTAGGCTGTGCTAGTATGCACACATAAGCTATTGAGAGTTTTCTAATGCTCAACAATCTTGGGGTTACCTTGAGTGATTTATAGGGAGCAATATAACTAATAGCTTTAATCCTGTGACTAATGATACTGAGAAAAAAAAATCAAAAGGAACAGCTTATCAATAGGAGTACTTTTAATTAAAACCTTATAGGAAATAACTCCAGGAACTGTCTAAATATAAGCTCAGATACTTGATTAGTGTGAAATAGAATTTTTTCAGTGTACTTAATTTCAATTTTTACAGAGTTAAACACAAAGAAACTAAATGGTCATGACATCAGTTCACTGTTTTTCTTTAGTTGTTTAAGACTTAAAGTGAATTTGTCACTTCATCCTTTGGACTTTTTGCATTTTATTGGATTTAGTGTAATGTTCAGAGAATGAAATTTATAAGTTCTTTAAATAACATTTGTTTCTTTTTTTAAAAAACTTTCTTAGTTATGGGTGACATCAAACAGGAATAAATAAATTTGTAATTTTAGTACTACCACCTAGGTCTTCTATAGACATGACAAGGATATGATTTTTTTCATGCAAGGTTTGGAAACCAACAAACTTTGTTCAAGCCTAGATTTTAACTTTTTAGAGGAGGATGATTTAGTAAGTGCAGGAAGTATACAAGGAAAGCCTCTAAATAATCTTTGCCATTCAAACTAGAAAGCTAAAGGTACATGACTAGAGTTTATTAAATTATTTTAGACTTTTATAAATTCTTTTTTTTTTTTTTGGAGACAGAGTCTCACTGTTGCCAAGGCTGGAGGGCAGTGGCTCGATCTCAGCTAACTGCAAACTCTGCCTCCTAGGTTCAGGCCTTCCAATTAGCTGGGCAACAGACATGCACCACCAAGCCTGGCTAATTTTTGTATTTTTAGTAGAGAGTGGGTTTCCCCATGTTGGCCAGGCTGGTCTTGAACTCCTGGCTTCAAGCGATCTGCCTGCCTCGGCCTCCCAAAGTGCTGGGATTACAGGCATGAGGCACCACGCCTGGCCTATCAATCACTTTTCTATAATCTGTCCTCTGTAATGAAAGTGTGGTTTCTTTTTCTAATTTAAAAGTCTTTGGTAATTATTTCTGCTATATATGGCATCATATTCTGTTTTTTTGTTTTGTTTTGTTTTTTTGAGATGGAATCTCACTCTGTTGCCCAGGCTGGAGTGCAGTGGTGCGATCTCGGCTCACTGCAACCTACGCTTCCTGGGTTCAAGCAATTCTCCTGCCTCAGCCTCCTGTGTAGCTGGAGCTACAGGTGCACACCACCATCCCCGGCTAATTTTTTTGATATTTTTTAGTAGAGACGGGGTTTCGCCATATTGGCCAGGCTGGTCTCGAACACCTGACCTCATGGTCTGCCCACCTCAGCCTGCCTCAGCCTCTCAAAGTGCTGGGATTACAGGCGTGAGCCACTGCGCCCGGCCTTGTTTTTGTTTTTTGTTTTTTGTTTTTTTAAATCATATTATGTTCCTATTCAACTTTTCAAGTTTTTTAGTTCAAATTGGCTTGCTGATAATATTTAGTATCTCTGGAACATCTATCTCAGTGCTTTGATTGATGATAGGTATTAAGTAAACTCTTTAATCAAATCTCTATGATTGCAGATCTTTTTTTAGTTCTATGGGTTTTTTTTGTTTTGTTTTGTTGAGACAGAGTCTCGCAGTTTCACCCAGGCTGGAGTGCAATGGCACACTCTCCACTCACTGCAACCTCTGCCTCCCGGCTTCAAGCAATTCTTCTGCCTCAGCCTCCTAAGTAGCTGGGATTACGGGCACCTGCCACCACGCCCGGCTAATTTTTGTATTTTTAGTAGAGATAAAGTTTCACAATGTTGACAGGCTGGTCTGGAACTCCTGACCTGGTGATCCACCCACCTTGGCCTCCCAAAGTGCTGGAATCACAGGTGTGAGCCACCGTGCCCGGCCTATGGTTAACTTTTTTTGTCAGTTTAAAATGAAAACTTTGCTAACAAAGTTTTATATTGAGTTTTTGGGGGAGATATGAAATTAGAACATTTATAATTAGAATATATGCCACAGTATGCATTTGTTTAATAGTGCATATATTATCCACTTTGATCCTCTTAAGGTAGGTGTATACATGCTGTCATACTTCCCTAGAGAAATTAGTTGGCAATGTGTAAGTTGTCATTATTGTTATCGATTTTATTTTTATTTATTTATTTATTTATTTTTTTGAGACGGCATCTTGCTCTGTCATCCAGGCTGGAGTGCAGTGGCACCATCTTGGTTCACTGAAACCTCTGCCTCCCAGGTTCAAGTGATTCTTGTGCCTCAGCCTCCCGAGTAGCTGGGATTACAGGTTTGCACCACCACGCCCAGCTAATTTTTGTATTTTTGGTAGGCGGGGGGTTTCACCAGGTTGGCCAGGCTGGTCTCAAACTCCTGACCTCAGGTGATCAGCCTGCCTTGGCTTCCCAAAGTGCTGGGATTACAGGTGTGAGCTACCACGCCCGGCCTTGTTATCGATTTTAATTGATGTTTGCTAGCACTGATAGAGCTTCTTCACTAATTGAAATATGGCTGTAGTTTGGTAGTGAAAATATGTACATTTGTCTTTTAATTTCAAAGGCCAGGAACTCATGAATAAGCATATATATGTAGTTTTAGTTTATTATGCTCTTAAAAAGTCAATTATGTAAGATTAGAATGAGAAGCAAAATGCTGAGACTTTTATGAGACATATATAGTAGGTGTTTTTATTTTTTTAATTAAAATTCCTTGATGCCTTTTGCTAATATCTTTAGATTTTGAGGTGCTAAGGTTTTGGGACTTCAAACTCCTGACCTCAAGTGATCCACCTGCCTCGGCCTCCCAAAGTGCTGGGATTACAGGCGTAAGCCACTGTGCCAGCCTTGAGGTGCTAAGTTTTATAATAATTTTGAGCCTAGTTTTATGTATTAGAAAACTAAGGTGATGCCCTTGAATTTTTTTTTTTTAGTAGAACACCAATCTGGTATGTCATATTTGTACTAAAGAGTTTATATTGTAGGATAATGTAGTTTTAGGTGCATATTTGAATAATTTAGATGTATAGATATACATATATGATCATATTAATGAAGTCTTTTTGGTTTTTGTTGTTTTTTTGTTCAAAGCTGAAACCATAATTTCTCCTTTATGATTATGATTATTTTTAGACAGCTTCTGGCTCTGTCACCCAGACTGGAGTGCAGTGGTGCAATCTCGGCTCACTGCAACCTCTGCCTTTTGGGTTCAAGCTATTCTCCCGCCTCAGCCTCCCAAATAGCTGGGACTACAAGTGCACACCACCACACCTGGCTAATTTTTGTATTTTTACTAGAGATGGGGTTTCAACTTGTTGGCCAGGCTGGTCTTGAACTCCTGACCTCAAGTGATCTAACCACCTTGGCCTCCCAAAGTGCTGGGATTACAGGCATGAGCCACCATGCCCTGCCTAATATGTCCTTTAAATGCGAAAGCTACCTGGATGTATATTCTCAATCTTCTCAGTCTGTCTCCTTCTCTTCCTCCTATGCCTAGCCCACAACACTTAAATAATACTTAGCTGAGTGACATTAAGAAGGTTCATGTCATTTTAAATACTTGAATTATTTAAATTAAAGGATGTCATTGAGTGGCATTTAGCAATTTTAACAATGTCCAGCATCAAACATTTTAGGAGAGGAAAGAACAGTAACACATCCAGTGGAAACTGATGGCTTTTCAGAAGGCAGAAGGTAATTATTAAAATTAGAATGTTTTAAGTTTGAATAATGTTTGGTGTTGACCATCCGTGGTGTCCTGGAGCATGAAACAAATAACACTCAGGTGGTCATGAAAGCTGGCTTGGAGAGACTGATCAGGGCAGTTACTACCAGTTTGGTGCTTTACCTTACTGACCCAGGATTATGACTGGGGAGGATAGCATCAGAAACAATTGTAGGATAAAGAAAGAGAAACCCACTAGAACCGTGTTGGAGAGATCTCTTTTTATGTCTGCTTCTACTGCCAGTGTCAGCTGTACAGTATTTCTAAAGGCAGAGGAGATACTATAAAACTCATTTCTTGCTGTATAGCTGAGGCTGCCAAATAGCTTAGAAGTATTTAATCAGATAGAATCTTTATTATAGAGTTTAGCAAGCACAGCAGACTTTTCCACAGAACTAAAATAGCTTTACTTTTAATAAAAGACTGTATCCTCTCAGATAAATGACATCCCCTTCTCTTATAGTAAATTCTTTATTTTTTAAATTAAGCCTCTTAGGGCTATATTTATGGCTACTTGGTAAAAGGTGATTTTAGCATAATGGATGCTGCTTGTTTGAAACCTTATCTCTGTTGCAACATATTCCTTTTTAAACTGTCAATTATTCAAGCTTGTTACTGTTATGTAACATACTGCGCTTTTTGGCCTAAACATAATGTAAATTGAAATTTGTGAGTGGACATTTACTCTACTATAGGAAAATAAAATAATCTTGAAAGCAGGTATCCCTTTAGAAATTTTAGCTGATTCAAGGAGGGTGAAAACCTGTGACTCTAAGGATTTCTTGATATGTTTGTAATAAAGGGATTTTCTTGAAATCACCCCTGTATTTCTTTCTTTTTTTGAGACAGAGTCTCACTCTCTTGCCCAGCCTGGAGTGCAGTGGCGTGATCTTGGCTCACTGCAACCTCCGCTTCCCAGGTTTAAGCAATTCTCCTGCCTCAGCCTCCTGAGTAGCTGGGACTACAGGCGTGTGCCACCACACCGTGCTAATTTTTTGTATTTTTAGTAGAGATGGGGTTTCACCGTGTTAGCCAGGATGGTCTCCATCTCCTGACCTCGTGATCCACCTGCCTCGGCCTCCCAAAGTGCTGGGATTACAGGCATGAGCCACTGTGCCCAGCCCCCACTGTGTTTCTAATATGGAAAAATTATAACTTGGTATTTTTTAAGCTAATAAATATTAAAATATTTATGTGTATACATTTGCAGAAATGTTCCCTAAGTTTACAGAAGTAAAACCAAATGATTCTCCTTCTAAAGAGAATGTAAAGGTAAGTGAATTCTTTATTTGTATCTGAATTTTAAAAGTATGTATAACTCATGGGTATAGTAGTAGCTTTCTTTAAAATTGTTTTCAATTTTATTTACACGAAGAAAGTTGTCACTGTTTTTAGCTTATCAACTAAATGTTCAATGATTTCTTCCTGAAGAAAACCGAATAGGGAAGCTATTTGGCTTCATTTTTCAATAAGACATAACATTTATGTAAGCCAAATGGATAAGTAGAACAAATTCTAGAAGCTTCAGCTTATCCCTGAGAGTCTGAATACAGAGGGATGGCCTTGGTATCCTGAATGAGTGTACAAAACTATGCGTACAGTGAAGTGAAATTTCTCAAAAGATGGTAGGAGAATGGTAGTTAAGGTTTCTACAGATAAAGCTTATAATTGCCAGCTATCCATTTTGGCACATCTATGTTTGACTAGTAGTTGATGTGCTTTGAAAAGAACAGAAGTGGCCAGGCGAGGTGGCTCACGCCTGTAATCCCAGCACTTTGGGAGGCCGAGGCGGGCAGATCATGAAGTCAGGAGATCGAGACCATCCTGGCTAATACGGTGAAACCCCGTCTCTACTAAAAATACAAAAAATTAGCCGGGCATGGCGCCATGCGCCTGTAATCCCAGCTACTTGGGAGGCTGAGGCAGGAGGATGGCGTGAACCCGGGAGGCAGAGCTTCCAGTGAGCCGAGATTGTGCCACTGCACTCCAGCCTGGGCGACAGAGCAAGACTCTGTCTCAAAAAAAAAAAAAAAAAAAAAAAAAAAGAAAAGAAAAAGAAAAGAACAGAAGTGATTTTTTACTAGCTCAAGTTGTCATCCTCATATACATTTTTTTCCCTTTGTACCCCTTCCAAACATACAATTATTTATGTAACAACATCTAACTAGGTTAGGGAAACACAATAATAAATAATACTGTCTTAAAAGAGCTCTAATTTGTGAAAAAGAAATATAATCACATGGTTAAGAGATAATATGATTAATGCTATAATCTATATAATTATTTTTAGAAAATGAAGAATGAATGCATACCGCCTGAAGGAAGAACAGGCGTCACACAGGTAATGCTTAAAATGTGTTTTAAAGAACAGGGGAAGAAATGGTTTACATATAGATTAGGGGCTTACTTTTTAAAATAAGTAATAGCATGAAGAGAGGCAAAAAAAAAAAAAAAAAACCACAGCAAGTATATTCAGAGAAATATGGAAGCTGAGGGTATTTATTAGATGGCTTGGAGTATATAACAGGGCTTTGGACACGTAAGTGAAATTATACATATATATATTTTGTTGTTGTTGTTGAGACAGAGTCTCGCTCTATCACCCAGGCTGGAGTGCAGTGGCATGATCTTCCCTCACTTCAACCTCTGCCTTTCGGGTTCAAGCGATTCTCATGCCTCAGTCTCCGGAGTAGCTGAGACCACAGGCACACACCACCATGCCCAGCTAATTTTTATATTTTTAGTAGAAACGGGGTTTCACCATGTTGGCCAAGCTGGTCTCGAACTCCAGACTTTAGGTGACCCACTCACCTCAGCCTCCCAAAGTGCTGGGATTACAGGCGTGAGCCACCATGCCTGGCCTTCCCATTCCTTTTGAATAGGAAGAAGTTATAGATGGTCTGTCTTGCCAAAGGTGTATTAGTGGAATAAAAAATTATGTCAAGTTATGAAGGAACTTTGGAAGCATTTTTATCTCAATACGTAGCATGTAGAATGCCACCTTTTTAATGGTCTATTTTTGGTCAAAATTTTTTCACTTTCACTCACTGAGGAAAAAAATGCCTATTTATGGTAAAAGGTAGTATATATTAATCCATAGGTTCATGTATGAATGTATATATTTGTGTAGTTCAGAAAGTGATTTTTTTCTTTGGCTGATTTAAACCTGAGCATTAGGCTTTGAGCTTTGGCCTGGGTCTATATTGTTGTAATAAACATTCCTATAGCATTTGTTTTATTCATATTTGCATAGGTGTTACTTGTACACTTGCCTACCTACTCACTCACCCCAATGCCTTGTTAGACAAAGGAGAAAGACTGTCTTATTTATCTCTGTACCATCTACAACTCAGAGCTTAGTTAGATAAGGCTACTGGGCTTTGCTACTGTAACTTCGCTTGCCACAGAATAGGTGTGAGATTTCAGGTAAGCTGCTTCTATTATTTCTAGAAAATGTAAGTAGAGATAAAAATTATACCTAACTCAGCATTATTGTGAGAATTAAAGAAAAACCATATAAAGGACTTACCCTGGTACCTCACACATAGTAAACATTAAATAAATGTTAGCTATTATTACACTACAGCTTTTATTTAATAGTTACCTGAATATTGAATTAGAATTTATTGATAGTCTTGTGGGTTGACCATAATGTAATTTTAAATTTATCCCCTTATGTCTGTAATACAGTAAGGAAAAATGGCTAAAGTAAGTGAATTGGTCTCTAGATTTGCTATAAAAGCTCAGGGGTTTGTTTTGTTTTGTTTTTTAGTAATTACAGGAAAGCTTTAAATGAATAGCATTGTTTAATAATATACATGTATACTCATGTAAAATATACATGCATACTCATAACTAAGATCATAGGCTTTGACTTACTCTACCTCTTGTAAGCCATATAATGGCCAAGTTATTTAATGCTTTTAAACCCCAGTTTGCTCATTTGCAAGATAGGGATAACTATACATTATAGATTTGTGTGACTTAAATAATAAGGTATTTTAAAAAGGTAGCATTAAATTATATTCTTGACTCTTGTGTTTCTGTTCTCTTTGGTATACTTCTTGTATGGTTAAAACTAAGTGATAACTTTGATTTTGTTTTAACAGATAGGATATTGTGTGCAAGACACAACCTCTGCCAATACTACCCTTGTTCATCAGACCACACCTTCACATGTAATGCCACCAAATCACCACCAATTAGCATTTAATTATCAAGAATTAGAACATTTACAGACTGTGAAAAACATTTCACCTTTACAAATTCTGCCTCCCTCAGGTAAGAAATTAACAAGTAAACAACTGTTATTGAGAAATTGACTTCTAAACCTATACATATATGAAAATGTTATGGTCATCTTAAATGTTAAATATCTGGGAAATACCAACAATCATAACTAGTAAATTCCAGGTTACAAATAATCACTGAAGCACATCATTAGAAATTATCTGCTTTATACCTGTAGGCATTCATTATATTTAAAAGAAAGAAAATTATGTATATAGTTCACACCCAATTTACTTTCCCAGATCTGAGCAGATCTGGGAAATACTGTTTTAACTTCCATGACACCTATCTGGGTTAGAAAAGTAGGAAAGAATAAGGGAGGGCCGGGCGCGGTGGCTCACGCCTGTAATCCCAGCACTTTGGGAGGCCGAGGCGGGCGGATCACGAGGTCAGGAGATTGAGACCATCCCGGCTAAAAAACGGTGAAACCCCGTCTCTACTAAAAATACAAAAAATTAGCCGGGCGCAGTGGCGGGCGCCTGTAGTCCCAGCTACTTGGGAGGCTGAGGCAGGAGAATGGCGTGAACCCAGGAGGCGGAGCTTGCAGTGAGCCGAGATCCCGCCACTGCACTCCAGCCTGGGCGACAGAGCAAGACTCCGTCTCAAAAAAAAAAAAAAAAAAAAAAAAAGAATAAGGGAAAGATACTTAGAGATTCTATAAGTAAAGAAAAGAAGTTACAGATATATAAAATAGTTTACAGTTAAGGAAACTTGGGCTAGAAATACTTGCCTAAGGGTAGTTCCTATTTGTCTAAAACTGGTTAAATTTTTATATTTTTAGATTCATTTGACTTAATATCTTATCAGAAGGGAAAGTTTTGCCTGTCTCAACTTGGTTCTGGTGGGTTGAAGGGGATGTGTGGCACGAAGGGTACTTCTGATACGAGTTTAGCCTAGAGCATGACTAAACCTTGAGACACTAATGTATTTAGGCCTAGGTTAAGGGCAGATATGAATATTCCTTGTCTATTCTTCTTCCCTCTAGAATGTTCCCTGGTTTCCACTTGGCCACCCAAGGGCAGAGGTATCTCCCTAGCAGAATAAATTTCCAAGCTGTTTTGCTGCAACACAGATTAGGAGGAAGAGGGAGATGTTTTGATCCTTCTTCACAGCTTTCAGTTTAAAATCTCCCTACTATTCTGTGTGTGTGTGTGTGTGTGTGTGTGTGTGTGTGTGTGTGTGTGTGTGTGTGTGTTGTTTAAATTTTTTTTTGAGATGGAGTCTCGCTCTGTCTTGCAGGTGGGAGTGCAGTGGCACAATCTTGGCTCATTGCAACCTCCGCAATGATTCCCGGGTTTAAGCGATTCTCCTGCCTCAGCCTCCTGAGTAGCTGGGATTACAGGCATGTGCCACCATGCCCAGCTAATTTTTTTGTAGTTTTTTTTTTTTTTGAGACAGAGTTTCATTCTTGTTGCCCAGGGTGGGTGCAGTGGTGCAATCTTGGCTCACTGCAACCTCCGTCTCCCAGGTTCAAGTGATTCTCCTGTCTCAGCCTCCTGAGTAGCTGTGATTACAGGCATGTACCACCACGCCCAGCTAATTTTTTGTCTTTTTAGTAGAGACAGGGTTTCACCATGTTGGTCAGGCTGGTCTCGAACTCTTGACCTCAGATGATCCGCTTGCCTCAGCCTCCCTATTCTGTGTTTGAATATTCCATTTTGTCTTTAATTAAAGTTATATCTCTTCATTGTGGGGAAGGGAATGGAGATCAATGGAGAAAATATCTAAGGCCACACTGGAGGGCATTCCAGGAAGAAGAATAAACAAATATCCAAAGTATGAAATATTTATGTCTACTCTTTTTTTGAAATACATTTTCAAGATACTTGGAGGATAACAGAAGATATGATAGCTATAGGTCATGAGTTACCTAGAATACCAGTGCCATTAATTTGTATACAACAAATTATATACAAATTTGTATACTTTGTGTACAACAAGGAGCTTTGTATAGGAAGCATAATCAGATTTTATTCAATTTTATTTTATTTATTTATTTTTTTGACACAGAGTCTCGCCCTGTTGCCCAGGCTGGAGTGTAGTAGCACAACCTCTGCTCACCGCAACCTCTGCCTCCCGGGTTCAAGCAATTCTCATGCCTCAGCCACCCAAGTAGTTGGGATTACAGGCATGCACCACCATATGCGGCTAATTTTTGTACTTTTTGTAGAGACGATTTCACCATGTTGGCCAGGCTGGTCTTGAACTCCTGGACTCAAGTGATCCACCCACCTTGGCCTCCCAAAGTTCTGGGATTACAGGCGTGAGCCACCACACCCAGCCCCAGGTTTTATAATAGGGAAAAAATTGCTGCTTACCATGTAGAGGATGGATTAAGATGATGCTCTGATGTAGTTAGGATTAAGTAAGGACACTGAATGCTGTAGTCTAGGAAATAAATTATTAGGACCAAAACTAACACAGCAACTGTAGAAAGCATGTGGATATATAAGGTATTTTTGTGGCAGAATTGATATACTTCGTTAGGATGAATGAGCTACTGGGAGATTATCTAATAGTTGGATTGAAAACAGGGGACAGAACTCATTTGGCACATGTTTGAGATGTTACAGAATATCTAAGTGGAAATATAAAGCTAGAAATAGGTTTCTAGAACTAACAGGGTGTAACAGGAATTAGAAATTAGGAATTAACAGTATGTAGAAGCTACTTGAAGCCATAAGAATAAATGAAAACACCCAGGAAAATCTGCAGAGCAGGAAGAGAAAAGCTTAAAGACAAAATTCTAAGAAACAAAACCTCCTCAGTAAAAGTAGAAAAAAATAGTTAAAAGAAGAGGTAATCAATGGTAGAGAAAAAGAAAAAATAGTGTAATAAAAGCCCAGGAAGATAGATTTTTTTTTTAGAAGGAAATCAAAAGTATCACATACTGCAGAGCATTTAAGTAGGATGAGGAATGGAGAGAGAGCATTACATTGGGAATGTGAGAATTTTTACTTTTGCGGAAGCTTTTTTAGTACCTGTTGTGATGGGGCAGAAACCAGATTGTTGTAAATTGAGAAGTAATGGAATTTGAGTGTAGTGAATGTAAAGCATTCTTTGAAGAACTTTGTTGGTAAAGAGGATGGAAAGATATTTGTGGCTTTAACAGGAAAATAGATTTTTTGGAGGAGTGGGCAAGATTATTTTGAGTTTTTTAATTGGAGGGATTTGAACATTTGAAGGCTCATTATAAAGAGCTAAAGTAGGAAAAAGTTACTCTTTTAACTAGAGTATGTTTTATAAGAATGCTAGGGTAGCCTTGCCCTTGAAAAGGAATAGATTATGAAAAACAAAGGTGAGAATGTAGTCAAGGTGTTCTCTTATTCCTAATTTAAGAAAACACCCTATCTATGAAAAGTCAGGCTTTTAATACCTACACCTTCAGTAAGGATCAGTTTATTATATTACTTGAAATTCTGTTTATATGATGCCTATTAGTAAGCTAATATATAAAGGAAAGTTTGGATGATGCCAGAGTAGCTGTTCTTTTGCAGTTAGCAAGATTCTCAGAAACAACATGGTTTACATTTGCCAACTGTAGGTGGCACTATGCCCAAGGGAAATTGCAAATGTATGTGAGCCATAAAATTTATAGAGACATTTTCTTTTTCTGGAGTTAAATCTCAATAGAAATAAATTTTTTGTTAAACCTTACAATTAAATGATAAAAGCAATATGTTGAAGTTTTCTTATTGGAAAAATAGTTTGACAAAATGTTAGAGTACATAAAAGATTAAAAAATGAATTTTTAAGTGTTACTGGTTTTCATCACACCTGCCCACATATGATCTCCACATGAAATGGACAATGTTGAATTTTTTTTCCTTATAAGTTGAAGCTTTTAGCCATACCCTTATCCTTATAGTTTACCCTTTCCCCTTCTCATAAAAACTTCACTAAATTGCCGCCATGAAAAGGGATGAGTTCATGTCCTTTGCAGGGACATGGATGAAGCTGGAAACCATCATCCTCAGCAAACTAATACAAGAACAGAAAACCAAACACTGCATGTTCTCACTCATAAGTGGGAGTTGAACACTGAGAGCACATGGACACAGGGAGGGGAACATCACACACTGGGGCCTGTTGGGGGATGGGGGGCTAGCAGAGGGGTAGCATTAGGAAAAATACCTAATGTAGATGACAGGTTGATGGGTACAGCAAACCACTATGGCACGTGTAACAAACCTGCACATTCTGCGCATGTATCCCAGAACTTAAAGTATAATAAAAAAATTTTTTTAAACTTCACCAAATTATATTGAGTTTTTAAAATATTTAGGCTGTTATATAAACATGAATTCATAATTGCAAATGAAAAAGTAAATCCAGGAGTTTGCTATCTCATAGGAGAAATAAACAACTGGTATATAAAGTAAAAATAATGTGCCCTGAAAGAACCTAAAGTGAAGTTTAAGGAGGTGAAGAAGGCAGAATCACCTGATGTGTTTGGCAGATACATATTTTACAGAATGAGTATCATTTGAGCTGGATAGTGCAGAAAAAAAATAAGGCTTACCTATGTTTATTTAGTATGGAAAGGCATTTGGATGGAGGAAGCAACATGAATGTGAAGGTATTTAGGCAACTCATAATTCCATGTGATTAAAGATTTGGTTGGATTAAACAGGAATGTGGAAAATTACAAAGGTAGACCAGGTTTAGATCATTTAACCCTTTAGATACTTTGGACTTAATTATAATAGCATAGTCAGTGGGGAGGCAATGAAGGTTTTTTTGAGTGAAGGTGTGCCTCTGAGTGATTAATTTGCCAATATTATTTAGGTGAGTTGAAGGAAAGGAGAATATAGAGACCAGAGAAGGGAAGGAGACCAGCTGGGCTGTTGCAGTAGTAGGGAAAAAATGACATAAAGTGATAGAAGGAAAGAGAAGGGGAAAGTTAAAAGAAATTGCAAGAGTAGAATGGGCAGGTCTGCAAAATATGAAAACATGCTGGGTTAATAACCCAGGGATATAAGCTTCGGTGGCTCACAGGATACTGGCTGGATACTGTCCAGGTTGACAGACCCGGGACACAAGATGAAGAATAGGCTTCTGAGGAAAGATGAGTTTTGTAGTCTTTTGAGGTATCACAGGGTCATTCATGTAAAAATATTTTTCAGAGAGTTGGACCCTTGACATACTTCCTAGGCTTTTATGACACCTCTCTTAACAATCCCATCTGTCTGTTCCTTACAGATATCTCTTTATTTGCCTCCCTTTAGATGTTGATAATTCTCTGAATTGCATCCTTAAGCCTCTCTGTTTTTTTCATCTACCCCAGAATTTCCCAACCATGTTTCAAAGCACAGTCTTACTGAATGAATGTCCCCTCAGCTCTTATAGCAATGAGCTGGGAGCAGCCTTTCCATTTATGCAGGTGGCCATACATTGATCATTTTCTATATATCATGACATGGAAAAGGTTGGAAGCAGTGCTCTATACTTGGGTGATCTTTGGCATCCATGACTTCTAGTCTCATTTTTACAATTCAAATGTATCCAGGCCCCAGGCATGTTTATACAACTCTACTAAATGTCTTTACTTAAACATCACATAGGCATTCCAAACACAGCCATGTAAAAACTGAATTCCCCCTTTTAGTCCTCAGATTGTATTTATTTTTTTGAGACAGTCTGCCTGTGTTGCTCAGGCTGGAGTACAGTGGCGCAAATATGGCTCACTGCAGCCTCAACCGCCTGGGCTCAAGTCATCCTCCTACCTCAGCCTCTCAAGTAGCTGGGACCACAAATGTGTGCCACCATGCCCAGCTAAGTTGTTATTTGTTTGTTTTGTTTGGTAGAGATGGGATCTCACCATGGCTGGTCTCAAACTTCTGGGCTTAAGGAATCCTCCCGCCTTGGCCTCCCAAAGTGCTGGGATTGCAGGCCTGAGCCAGTGCACCCAGTCTGGTCCCCAGATTTTAATCCTTCCTCTTTAATTGTCAATAATGGCACTATCACCACTTACCAACTTAGAGTCAGCAAATTAAGGGTCACTTTAGAATTTCACTTACCATACATACTTTTTCTCCTTCCTAAATAATCACTGACAGGAAGCAGAGAAGGGAAGGCAGTCCTATACTTACAGCTTTTCTCACTATTTTTTCCCTTTCCTTGTTGAAGTGAGGAAACATGGCTACATTGAGGCTGTGTACAGACGTACAAATTAAAAATGTGAGCTTTTGTTCTGCATTCTTTGACAGTGTTTTGTCTTGCCCTCCTATGCTCACTGCTATTCCTTGATGTTCCTTGCTCTCTTCTTCTAACCTCAACCTCAGTATGATTTAGCCAGAGAATCAGTCAAGGGATTGATGGATGGTAGAAGCTTAAATGTAAGTCCCTATAATATGTAAGTGGCCAGGATTTTGTTAGTTTGGGTTAGTTAACAAAGACAGCAGCTCAGTTTTGATTTGTCCCTCTTGTTCTTCAGCCACGAATTAGAACCTGTAGACTATGACTAGAGAGAATTGAATCAAGTGATCAATTAAGTTTCACGCATCAGGATGTTCCATGTTGCAGATGACAGAAAACTCAGCCCAAACTGATTTAATAAAGGAATTTTGTTGGCATACATAAGCAATAGTCCAAAGATAGGTCAATCTTTTAGTCATGGCTTGATAAGGGCTCACACTCTGTAGTTAATCTTCACAATAATAATAAATGAAATATTTGCATGAAAACTTAAGAATTAATGAAATTGCATAGTTTGTTCTCCTCACCTCAGAGTCAGACTTACTGCGTTTCACATCCCTGTTCCCTTGGTAGCTATTTTGAGTGTCTGGTATCTTAGTTTCCCTCTCTGTGTTTTTTTGTCTCCAATTGGCCACCCAGGCAGCATCTTTCCCTTGGAAGCCCTGCACTGGCTTAGGTCTGCTCTTCCTAAATGAGTTACTGATGGTGAGATAGAATTACCAGGATTGGCTTGGCCTTATTAAAACCCACCTCTAGGCTGGGCGCGTAATACCTGAGGATAGTTATTACATTTTAGTCATCCTTACGTTCCCAGTGCTTAGTACATAGTATGTGCTCAGTAAATGTTTAGTGATAACTGGGTTTTATCAGCAGTCTAAATTGCTTTAGATAAGTTATGCTATGGTTTTGAATGTTTGTCCTCTCCAAAACTCATGTTGAAATTTACAGGCCTGGCCAGCCACAATGGCTCATGCCTGTAATCCCAGCACTTTGGGAGGCTGAGGCGGGCAGATCACTGAAGGTCAGGAGTTCAAGTCCAGCCTGGCCAACATGGTAAAACCCCATCTCTACTAAAAATACAAAAATTAACCAGGCATGGTGGTGGGTGCCTGTAATCCCAGCTACTCAGGGGGCTAAAGCAGGGGAATTGCTTGAACCTTGGAGGTGGAGGTTGCAGTGAGCCAAGATTGCACCACTGTACTTCAGCCTAGAGCATCAAAGCAAGACCCTCTCCCCGCAAAAAAAAAAAACACACCTCTGGAGCTGAGGTCAGTCTAAACTGGAGAGCTGCTATAGCATGGGGTCAGATAAAAAGGTTTTGGTGGGTGAGTATGATGTCAGCTATATTTCATGCTGACCAGAACAAGCAAAAATAACAAAAAAAGAGCAAAGTGGTAACTTTCAAATGAGAAATATTTTATAGTATAACAAGTCCCTAACTAAGAATATTCCAAAGTTAAATGATGCATCAAAAAATTAGTCTCTTTGTTTTCATAGTGTCTGACCTGGAAGGAAAAATAAAATCAAATTCTGGGTAAGTAGGATGAAATATTTTAATTATACTATTCTAAAAATGTGTGCATCCAGGTGATTCTGAACAGCTCTCAAATGGCATAACTGTGATGCATCCATCTGGTGATAGTGACACAACGATGTTAGAATCTGAATGTCAAGCTCCTGTACAGAAGGTAAAAGTAATTTTTTTTTTCTAACAAATCTTGAAGGGATTTGAAATTGGGTTTGGAAGTGGTACAAGAGGTATTTAAAAGCCCTGACTTAAATGAAATGTTGGATCTCTAAGCCTAATTTTTGCCTACGTAATTTTTTGAAAAAGTACTTCTGAGCAACATCCTTCCCCTACCCACATACCTACCTATCATTGGTCCTCTTGTTTGTGTTTTTTTGTTGTTGTTTTTTTTTGAGATGGAGTCTCACTCTGTCGCCTAGGCTGGAGTGCCGTGGCACGATCTCGGCTCACTGCAACCTCTGCCTCCCAGATTCAAGCGATTCTCATGCCTCAGCCTCCCAAGTAGCTGGGATTACAGGTGTGTACCACCATGCCCAGCTAATTTTTTGTATTTTTATTGGAGGAGACAGTGTTTTGCCACGTTGGCCAGGTTGGTCTCAAACTCCTGATCTTAGGTGATCCACCCACCTGGCCTCTCAAAGTGTTGGGATTACAGGCATGAGCCACCATGCTTGGCCCTTTTGTTTGTGTTTAATTGAAAGTTCTATAATGTTGATATTTGCCAGTGATCTCAATTTTAAAGCATGTCATAAAACCATCTTTTAGAATCTATTCTAGGGATATCTAAGAAATCCAAGGGATTTCCTAATGGAGTCTTAATGTCTACTTAATCTTCAAATTATATACTGATATCATTCTTTCAACAAATATTCTAGATGATTGGGATACATTAAGATACATAAGGTACTGTTCAAGGTGTTTTCAGAAACTATGAAAGGAATATTTTTATATATTTTTTCTCTATCCCCCTCCATCCCTCTGTTCCATTACCCTCTACTTCTTACCTTTTCCTTGCAAGTACTTTAGAGGACAAATCTAAAGGTGAGAAGGTGGAAGGTGAGATGCTTTAGTTGAGTGAGTCATAGAACTAGTAATTAGCCCATTCCATAGGTAGAGACAAAAACAGGTTTTATTGACAACTTACAGGAAAGCACAACTGGCTAATCATTGGTGATTGGTAAAGGTCATTGTGTTGGGGACAGGGAGGGATGTTTTGACTCCTTTTATTACTTCAGGATAGAAATAAAAGGCCTATAAATATATCTAGTCATACATTTTCTTTTGCCTTATATGGGGCCCTAGACAAGTTTTCTCCTCATATTTCATGGAAATACATCAAAAGTGCAATCAAGCATAATTATTAAGGAGATAATTATTTTTAGAAATTCAGCAGAAGATGTTTTAGTATTGCACAGCCCTCTTTCCGTATTATAGATGGACAGGTTTAACTGTAGAAAGGGCCATCTAGACTTGTGCTTATCTAATATGGTAGCCTCTGGTCACATGTGGCTAATTGAGCCCTTGACATGTAGCTAAAGGAGCTAAGTTTTAAAATTTGTCTTTTAATTAAAATTTAAAATGGACACAATTCAGTTTCGGAAGACTTAGATGTGTTTGGAACAGTTTGACTATACATAACTAGTTTTTCAACTGTGAATTTTATGAAATCTAATTATAGATCAATTGTTTCTAGTAGGAATTTAGCATTTGAAGTTGAAATGTCCTACAAATGTAAATTGGGATGACTTAGTATGAAAAAATACTTTATGTCTTTTATATTGATTACCTGTTGAAATAATGCTTTGGGTATATTTGGTTAAATAAATATATTAAATTTACTTAAATTTTTAAAACGTGGCTATTAGAAAACATTAAATTACATATATTTCTGGTGGGCAGCACTAACCTCAACCATGGTGTATCTTGTTTAAGAAGAGCAGTCACATCACTTAAGTTTTTTCTTCTTAACCACCAAAAGGAAAAATATATCCATGTCAGAGGACTCTCAACAAACTCCATGGCATTTTTAGGGTACAATCTTACTTTGCCTCTTATTAATCCTTTGAGCATTTTCTTTATTTTCCCTATAGGATAATAAGTATCTTGATTACACTGAGGGATTTATTTATTTTTATGCTTTCTGCAAATTATGCAGTTAATATATATGTCTTAAAATAATTGGCAAGTGTGCTACTTTAATGTGGTCTCAGATTAATAATTGAGTTTAGATGATCTATTATGTTTTTGTATTTTTTTTCTAACTTTAGTAACCTTTGACTTTAGTAACCTTTTACTTTAGTAAAAGTACATGAAGCCCTTTAGAATCTTAATTAGATCTATTGCTGTATCATCAAAAAATGTTTTCTTCCTTCCAAAATTTGGTTAACATCTGTAGACATAGACTGAACCAAATATTTGTTTTAGGATATAAAGATTAAGAATGCAGATTCATGGAAAAGTTTAGGCAAACCAGTGAAACCATCAGGTGTAATGAAATCCTCAGATGAGCTCTTCAACCAATTTAGAAAAGCAGCCATAGAAAAGGAAGTAAAAGCTCGGACACAGGAACTCATACGGAAGCATTTGGAACAAAATACAAAGGAACTAAAAGCATCTCAAGAAAATCAGAGGTCTGTAATTTACTGGATTAAAGGAGGGTTTGGGAGATATAGAATGTATTTTAAATACATTAAATTTCTTATTTGTTAAGTGACTATGATTCAACTGTTTAGTAGAACACAGAGCAAATTGTAATTGCAAAAAGTACATTTGATACTTTTTCTAAGTGATGATATCTCTTTTGAAGACAAATAATCAAGGGATTAAGCTACTAAAGATACTAATTACTAAATTATATAGTCATTATTTTACAGAAATGTCTTAAAGTTTTTCTGGTCTATGTGTTAGAAGATAGTGGTTCATCTTGGCCACAGTTTTCCAAAACCATTTATTTGTTAATATGGATTAGCCTATGTGTAATTTGATGCATCAAAAATAAAGCTTAAAATAATGTTATAACATGAACATGGTTGTCTTAATATATGGCTTTATATTTGTCATTTAATAACATTTTTGTAATACTTTTAAGGAACTTGAAACCTACTTTGAGCTATACTTTTTTTCTTTAAGGGATCTTGGGAATGGATTGACTGTAGAATCTTTTTCAAATAAAATACAAAACAAGTGCTCTGGAGAAGAGCAGAAAGAACATCAGCAGTCATCAGAAGCTCAAGATAAATCCAAACTCTGGCTTCTCAAAGACCGTGATTTAGCAAGGCAGAAAGAACAAGAGAGGAGGAGGAGAGAAGCAGTAAGTGAATTTTAGTTTACTAAATCTAATTTAACAAGGGAAAGATTTAACAGAGCACTGTCTTTTGTATGTTCAAGGATGCATTTGGGGTAATTTTTCAGTGACAGTGGACTTACCTCTTTAGTGAGGATCAGGTTCTAAAATTAAAGCTTAAAATAAAAAAATTCATAGCCAAAGGAGGCAATGCAATAATAGAGTATTGATCCTGGAAGTACTAGACTACCTGAGTTAAAATGATGATTTTGGAGGCGGGAGGATCTTTTGAGGCCAGGAGTTAGAGGCTGCAGGGAGCTATGATCACACCACTACACTCCAGTGTGGGTGACAGAGCAACATGGTGCTCTCAAACAAACAAAAAAAGATGGTCTGCCTATTTACTAGACTCTTAGACCTCGGCAATTATCTAACTCCCTAAAGTGGGAATAATAATACCTATTGTGAAGGTGAAATGAATGAGCATGTATTAAGCACATAGGAAAATGCCTAGCACTAGGTGAAGTGATTTATCACTTACTATTGTTACTGTTTAAAAATCTGTAAACCACCTATGAATTGTGGCCAGAAGATGTGCCATCTGTTCCTGGTCAGCATTTCTTCGGTTGACTGCTAGATTAAGAAGCTGACTTTCACTTAGGAGTCCTAATATGCAGAAAATAATATTTTAAAAGCTACAGTTGATTCCTTCTTTTATTCATGGATTATTTCAGAAGTGTTTAGTTTCCAGATATTTGGGAATTTTCTGATTCTAGTGATTTCTGTTAGTGATTTCTAATTTAATTCCATTGTGGTCGTACACATATCTGACTGAATTGTTTGAAATTTATTGAGACTTATTTTATGGCCTGGCTTATGGTCTACTTTGGTAAATATTCTGTGTGCACATGAAGAATGTGTATTTTATTGCTGTTGGATAGGGTGTTAATCAGGCCAAGTTGGTTTATCTTCTTGTTCATTATGAAATGATCTTTACTTCTGGTAAGAATTACTCTGAAAATTACACTGAAATTTAAAATAGGCACTTCACCTTTTTATGACTAGCGTTGGCACAGTAAAATTCTTTCCATCGTTTTACTTTTAACCTATCTTGTGTTTTTTTTTTAATTATTTAAAGTGAGTTTCTTGTAGGCAACATGTAATGGGAGCTTGCTTTTGTTTGTTTGTTTGTTTGTTTGTTTGTTTTTATCGAGATGAAGTTTCGCTTTTGTTGCCCAAGCTGGAGTGCAGTGGTGTGATCTCGGCTCACTGCAACCTCCACCTCCTGGGTTCAAGCGATTCTTCTGCCTCAGCGTCCCCAGTAGCTGGGATTACAGGCGCACGCCACCATGCCTGGCTAATGTTTTGTATTTTTAATAGAAATGGGGTTTCACCATGTTAGGCAGGCTGGTCTCAAACTCCTGACCTTAGGCAATCGCCTGCCTCGGCCTCCCAAAGTGCTGGGATTACAGATGTGAGCCACCATGCCCAGCCTGTTTTTTATTTTTATTTTTATTTTATTTTATTTTTTTGAGACAGAATTTTGCTCTTGTCGCCCAGGCTGGAGTGCAGTAGTGCAATCTTGGCTCACTGCGACCTCTGCCTCCTGGGTTCAAGCGATTCTCATGCCTCAGCCTCCCGAGTAGCTGGGATTACAGGCCCGTGCCACCACACCCAGCTAATTTTTTGTATTTTTAGTAGAGACAGGGTTTCACCATGTTGCCAAGGCTGGTCTCGGACTCCTGAGCTCAGGCAATCCACCCACCTTGGCCTCCCAAAGTGTTAGGATGACAGGCATTAGCCAAAGATCTCTGCCTTTTAATCACATGTTTAGACTAGTTACATTCAGTATAATCATTGACATTGTTAAGTTTGAGTTCATCATCTTGATAATTGTTTTCTGTTCCTGTCTTTCTTCTCTCTCTCTTTTTTTTTCTGCCCGTTTTTGTATTAAGCTTTTTTGTTGTTAACTTTTGTTTTAGGTTCTGGGGTACATGTGAAGGTTTGTTACATAGGTAAACTGGTGTAACGGGGGTTCGTTGTACAGATTATTTCTTCACCCAGGTATTAAGCCCAGTATCCAATAGTTACCTTTTCTGCTCCTCTCCGTCCTCCCAACCTCCACCCTCAAGTAGACCCCAGTGTCTGCTGTTTCCTTCTTTGTGTTCCTAAGTTCATATCATTCAGCTCCCACTTATAGGTGAGAACATGCAGTATTTGATTTTCTGTTCCTGCATTTGTTTGCTGAGGATAATAGCCTCCAGTTCCATCCATGTTCCTGCAAGACATGATCTCCTTCTTTATGTCTACAGAGCATTTTTTTAGTCCACTTCATCTCCTTCATTGACATAGTCAGTAACTCTTTGTTTTCCTATTTTAGTGGTTGCTTACGGTTTACAATATACAGCTTTAACTTAATCGCAGTCTGCTTTCAATTTACGTTATACCACCTCATGTTTAGTGTAAGAGCTTTACAACAGTTACTTCCATTCCTCCCCGTCAGCCTTATGCTATTGCTTAAATACTGATAATATCTCTTAAATTGTTTTAAATAAAGAATCTTATATTTACATATGCAGTTACCATTTCCTGTGCTTTTCATTCCTTTATTTATTTATTTATTTATTCATTCATTCATTCATTCATTCATTCGTTTATTTTTGAGGTGGAGTTTCGCTCTTGTCGCCCAGCCTGGAATGCAATGGTGCAATCTCAGCTCACTGCAACCTCCACCTCCCTGGTTCAAGTGATTCTCCTGCCTCAGCCTCCCAAGTAGCTGGGATTCCAGGCACCCACCACCACGCCTGGTAAATTTTTGTATTTTTAGTAGAGCCAAGGTTTCGCCATGTTGGCCAGGCTAGTCTCGAACTCCTAACCTCAGGTGATCCACCCACCTCGGCCTCCCAAAGTGCTGGGATTATAGGCATGAGCCACCGTGCCTGGCCCATTTCTTTGTTTAGATCCAGATATCCAAATAGTGTAATTTTCCTTTTGCATAAAGGACTTCCTTTGAACATTTCTTATAGTCTGGGTCCGCTGGCAATAGTTCTTTCCACTTTTGTGCATCTGAAAATGCCTTTATTTGGCCTTTTTTTTCCATTCATAGACTTTTATTTTTTAGAGCAGTCTTACATTTGTAGCAAAACCAAGCTGAAAATACAGAGTTCCTACGTGCCATACCCCTCTATATATATGCCCTCCCCCACCATCAATGTCAATACATCATTGTCAGCCTTAGTATAATCAAGTAAAGTCTATAGTTTACATTAGGATTCATTCTTCGTGTTGTACTTTTTATGGATTTTGACAAATGTGTAATGATATACATCAGCCATTATAGTTCCTTACGGAATAGTTTTCCTGCCCTGAAAGTCTCCTGTGGCCCACCTATTCATCCCTCCTCACAACCCTGGCAACCACTGATCTTTTTACTGTCTCCACAGGTTTATCTTGTCCAGAATGTCATATAGTTGGGATCATGCCCTATGCAGCCTTTTCAGATTGTTGTCTTTCACTTAGCAATGTGCGTTTAAGGTTCCTCTCTATCTTTCTATGGCTTGATAGCTGAATTTTAAAAAATTAATTATCTTAATTGACAATTATATATATTTATGGTATACAATTATGTTTTGAAATATGTGTACATTGTGGAATGGCTACATCAAACTAACATGTATCACCTCACCTTTTGTGGTGAGAACACTTGAAATCTATTCTTTAGTAATTTTTTAGTATATAATACATTGTTTTTAACTATAGTCTCCATGTTGTATATTAAATCTCTTGGAATTCCTACTGTCTAACTGAAAGTTTGTATTCCTTGAATAATATTTCCTATCTCTACCCCCAACCTCTCCCCATATCCTAATAAACTACCATTTCATTCTCTGCTTCTATGGGTTCAACTTTTTAAGACCCCACAGATAAGTGAGATCATGCAGTATTTGTCTTTCTGTGCCTGGCTTATTTCACTTAATATAATGTCCTCTGGATTCACCTATGTTGTTGAAAATGATGGGGTTTTCTTTTTAAAGATTGAATAGTGTTCCATTATATATATATAACATTTCTTCTATTCAGCCATTGATGGACATTTAGGTTGATTTCATGTCTTGGCTATCACAATAGGTCATTTCTTTTTAGCACATTATATGAATATACCACAGTTTAGTTATTACTTACCTATTGAAGGACATCTTGGTTGCCTCCAACGTATGGCAATTAAGAATAAAGCTGCCATAAACATTTGTTTGCAGGTTTTTCAACTTGCCACTTTTTTTTTTTTTTTTTTTCTCTTGACACAGTCTCACTCTGTTGCCCAGGCTGGAGTGCAGCGCCATGATCATGGCTCACTGCAGGCTTGACCTCCCAGGCTCAAGCGATCCTCCTACCCCAACCCCCCAGTAGCTGGGACCACAGGCATGCACCACCACACCCAGCTAATTTTTTTATTTTTTATTTTATTTATTTATTTTTTTTGTAGAGACAAAGTCTCACTGTGTGGCCCAGGGTAGTCTCGAACTCCTGAGCTCAAGCAGTCTGCCTGCCTCTGCCTCCCAGAGTGCTAGAATTACAGGTGTGAGCCACTGTGCCTGGCCCTGCCTTCAATTTTGAAAGACACTTTTGCTGAATTTAGAACTCTAGAGCTTTAATGTTTTTTCTTTTAGCACTTTAAAGGTACTTGTTCACTGTCTCATTGATTCCATTGTTTCCACTGAGAAATCCAGTACTATTATCTTTGGTCTTCTGTATATAGTATGTTTTTCCTCTACTTGCCTTTAACATTTGTATTGATCACTGGGTTTCAGCAATTGTTTTCTTCATGTTTCTTGTGATTTGTTGAGCTTATTCAAGTTGTGTGTTTTCATCAAGCTTGGAAAAATTTTGGCCATTATTTATTCAAATAATATCCCACCTCACTCCCTTGTGAGGACTCCAATTATTTATGTATTAGACCATTTAAAGTTGCCTCATAGCTCACTAATGCTCTTTTAATTTTTTTTTTTTTTTTTTTTTTGAGACTGAATCTCACTCTGTTGCTCAGGCTGCAGTGCAGTGGCGTGATCTCGGCTCACTGCAACCTCTGCCTCCTCCCAGGTTCAAGTGATTCTCATGGTGCAGCCTCTTGAGTAGCTAGGACTGCAGGCACGTGCCACCATGCCCAGCTAATTTTGTTTTTGTTTTTATTTTTTTAGTAGAGACAGGGTTTCCCCATGTTGGCCAGGGCTAGTCTCAAACTCCTGTCCTTAAGGGATCTGCCTGCCTCTGCCTCCCAAAGTGTTAGGATTACAGGCATGAGCCACCTGCACCTGGGCTGTTCTTTTAATTTTTTTAAAATTATTTTTTCCCTTTGAATTTCATTTTGGATAAATTCACCAGTCTTTTCTTCAGTGTCTGATCTTCTGTTAACCCCCAGTGTATTAATTTTCATCCCAGACATTGTAGATGTGAGATTTGGGTTTATTAAAAATGTGTGTGGTTTTTTTTATCTCTATTAAACTGCTGAAAAAATGGAATACAGTTAAAATAACTGTTTTAATGTGCTTCTCTGCTAATTCCAATATGTATGTCAGTTCTGGGTCAGTTTCAATTGATTGGTTAGTCTCTTCTTTGTGAATAGTGTTTTTCTGCTTCTTTGCATAACTAATAATCATAAATACCAGGTGTCGTGAATGTTACCTTGTTGGGTGCTAGATTTTTTTTTTTTTTCCCAGCAATCTCAGTCACATAGAACTGGATATTTTTGTAATCCTAGGAAAAACGTGTAAATTCATAGGACATATAAGAACATTAGTTTGAGAAGAGAACAGCCATTGGCTTTAGCTATAGTATTGGTTAAAGTACAAATTAATTTTCTAGGGAATAACAAAAGTTCTGTCAGCCACGTATTTTATAATACTAAGGTAGAAACAAATTGCATTTAATAGTGCTGTACATTTAACATATGGTGAAGTTTACTTTAGAGCAGTGTGATCTTAGTGGAACTTTCTACAATGATAGAAATATGCTTTATCCATTCAAACATACTAGCAAATAGCCACATAGGGCTGTTGAGCACGGGAAATGTAGCTAATGCAACTAAGGAACTGAATTTTAAACTTTAATTTTAATGAACTCAATTTTAAATAGAAACTTTTTGGTATTGTCTTTTTGGAGGTTTTTAGGAACTCATTGTTAAATTTCGTTAGTAGTTGACCTAAAGTCTTTCTTTTTTTTTTCCTGAGATGTAGTCTGTGGGATTACAGGCGTGAGCTACCACGCCCAGCCGACCTAAAGTCTTTCTGTAGTGATGTAAAATGTTTCCTGTTGGCACTCACACGGGCCTGACTTAAGTCACCCCCAAGTGATTTCACTGCACCCTAGTTGCGGCCCAACAACACAACTAGGTAACCTGATAAATTTCCCAATATCCTAAGCACTTTTCTGGAACATGACTAGACTAGGAACCCACTGAAAGCTGACTAATGATGTTACATCTAGCAGCTTGATAACTAACAACCCGACCTTGGATCTATTTGCTATCATTTTTGACAGCCCAGCCTCTTGCTGCCAGTCGAAAGAGCCATACTCTATAAAGCAATAATAACTTGACACTTAGCAGAGTTCCCAAACGTTTACCTCATGCCAGTTACCTTGACCAAACTTTTGATCTTAAATTTGAACAGTTGAAGAGTGTATTTAGGACCACACAGTAAGGAATAGCCAGCTTATGGTGTCAGCTATGGGGAGCATTAGTATTAAAAATCATGGTATTGGCTGGGTACAGTGGCTCACGCCTATAATCTTAACACTTTGAGAGGCCGAGGCAGGCAGATAACTGGAAGTTAGGAGTTCGAGACCAACATGGTGAAACCCCATCTCTACTAAAAATACAAAAATTAGCCAGCCATGGTGGCGCACCTGTAATCCCAGCTACTTAGGAGGCTGAGGCAGAAGAATCATTTGAATCGGGAGGCAGAGGTTACAGTGAGCCGAGATCACGCCACTGCACTCCAGCCTGGGCAACAAGAGCAAAACTCCATCTAGAAAAAAAAAAAAAAAATCATGGTATCTAAGGTTAATTGGTACAGAGAATACCAGTTCTCTATCGATAATTGTTCCACATGCACAGATTTTAGTCAAGATGTAAGAGAATCTAAAATAAGCCAATACACACAACCTTTAAATAAAAACAGGTTTCATTACATATTCTACAAATTTTGCAGTATGTCTGGATACTTATAGCAGTATCACATGATATTTAAACTAGGACAACGTATCCAATGCCTATATTGGAGGCTTAGAATAGAACTTAAAGGAAAAATCTGTGCTAGACATTTGGCATCCTAGAAACTGGGTGTTAAGAATGTAGTCTGGGGCCGGGTGCAATGGCTCATGCCTGTAATCCCAACACTTTGGGAGGCCAAGGCAGGTGGATCACTTGAGGTCAGGAGTTCGAGACCAGCCTGGCCAACATAGTGAAACCCCATCTCTACTAAAACTACAAGATTAGTTGGGCTTGGTGGTACGCACCTGTAGCCCCAGCTACTTGGGAGGCTAAGATATGAGAATCACCTGAGCCTGCGAGGCAGAGGTTGCAGTGAGCTGAGGTCATGCCACTGCACTCCAGCCTGGGCGACAGATTGAGACTCTGTCACAAGAAAAAAAAAAAAGAATGTAGTTCATGCCAGTTGCAGCAGCTTGCGCCTTGTAATCCCAGCACTTTGGGAGGCTGAGGCAGGTGGATCACTTGAGGTCAGGAGTTCGACGCCAGCCTGGCCAATGTGGCAAAATTGTCTCTACTAAAAATGCAAAAATTACCTGGGCATGGCGGTGCACATCTGTAATCCCAGCTCCTTGGGAGGCTGAGGAAAGAGAATCACTTGAACCCAGGAGGCGGAGGTTGCAGTGAGCTGAGATCACGCCACTGCACTCCAGCCTGGGTGACAAAACGACACAATGTTTCAAAAAAAAAAAAAAAGATTAAAAAAAATGTAGTCTAGATTAAGATTTAAGAAGTATTTTTTTGTCTCTAAGGCAGATTTAAAGAAATTTATATGGTTTGTAAGAGTCAGACATACCTTTCAAATACTTTCAGTAGGTAAATCACAATTCCAAATATTTTCCCACATAGCTAATGAGAATGCTAATTCCCATTCAAGAAGCCAACCAACTGATTGCAAATTGGTGCTTTTACCTACCACTCTGGTCTGTTGCTGTTTATTGATTTATTTTTTAAAAATAATTTTGTGAACTTTAATATTTGGTGTCATCTCAGATGCTAAAGAATATCTATAAGGGCAGTTAGAAAAGGCTTCAGAATATAGTTGACATTTGTTTCCTTTGTCTTAATTAGCTTTTTCTCTACTTTGGCTTATTTTTTAAACAGCTTTTTCGTGATTAATATGGCATTTTGCTGAATGTTACATGTAATCTGATTCTTCATAAATGCCTATACATAGAATAGACTAGGTTACACAGTTAGTAAGTGGCAGAATCAAGGAAAGCCCATAGTTTTAGCATTACATATTATAGTTATCTCACATAACAAAGATATTGGTTCATTCAGAAAGTAATTTTGTGTGTCTGGCATTATGCTGGGTTTAGAAGTAAGACAGTGTGCTCTCAGCGTTCATGTTCTTATTCATACCCACTCTGTCAACATTGAACTTTCTCTTTTACTTGTAGGGAGGGGTCAAACTTATTCTTAGTGTTCTTGTAGGTTTTGTTTTTTATTTATTACATGAACAATATATTAACAAATCAGGTAATATTTGAACAGAAATAATTATGTACAAATTTATTGTTCAACCTGAGAAAATAAAAATTAAAAAATTATTGAATAGTTTTCTTTTGTATGATTTGTTCCTAAATGTTGCATAATCATTATTGTATAGTTGTAGTAAAGACATACATTTTTAAAGTAATATTAAAATTTTCTGCTTTTTCTACAGATGGTGGGTACCATTGATATGACCCTTCAAAGTGACATTATGACAATGTTTGAAAACAACTTTGATTAAAACTCAGTTTTTAAATTAACCATCAACTTAAAATGAATGGTAAAAGATCAAAATGCATATGGTAAAATGATTGCTTTCAGATAACAAGATACCAATCTTATATTGTATTTTGACTGCTCTAAAATGATTAAACAGTTTTCACTTACATTTTTAATAGCTATATGCTTATTTTTTAAACGACATAATTCAAAGGAAATTTAATAATTTTGGATCCCTAAAAATTGGACAAATTCCCAGATATTCGTTCATTCTATAAATAATTGTCTATATATTATAGGCCCTGTACTAAGCAATGAAAATCCAAAAGATAGCTCCTGCTTGTTTAAAAATGAAGAGTATGTTTTCTAATTCAATAAGTGAAAAATAATGAAGAATATATGAAAGTGTATAAAAAACATAGTTCCTGTTGAGTTTTTAACTTTTAAAACAAATATTCGTCTGCCTTCAAAAATATTTAGATTCTAACAAATAATACTTGGTTTCACTGAATGTCAGATTTCATAAGATTCTCAGCTGGTTCTATATTAAAAATTTATATTGAAATGTAGTTTTAAAGAAATATTGGCTGGAACTGCCAGTTGTGGTGGCTCATAACTATAATCCCAGCACTTTGGGAGACCAAGGTGGGCAGATTTCTTGAGCTCAGGAATTTGGGCCTGGGAAACAGGGTGAAACCTTGTCTCTACAAAAAATACAAAAAATCAGCTGGGTGTGGTGGTGCGCACCCGTGGTCCCAGCTACTTGGGAAGCTGAGGTGGGAAGATCACTTGAGCCCAGGAGGCAGAGGTTGCAGTGAGCTGAAATCACACCACTGCACTTCAGCCTGGGTGATAGAGTGAGACCCCTGCCTCTACAAAAAAAAAAAAACAAAAAAACAAATGAGGCATGGTGGCGCACTCCATGTAGTCCCAGCTACATAGAGGGCTGAAGCAGGAGGCTCATTTGAGCCCACGAGGTCAAGGCTGCAGTGAGCTGTGTTTGTGCCACTTCACTCCAGCCTAAGCAACAGAATGAGACCCTGTCTCAAAAAAAGAAAAAAAAAAAACAAGAAATATTGCCGATGGTTTGAAAGATGTTGAATTTGAGTCAAAATAACTAAAATATTTATTTGTAATATTTAATAGTGAATATTATGTATGTAAGTTTCTATATAAACTTATGAGATTTCTTAATATGCATATGTGATAGTAATGAATGTTTAAAATATTTAAACAACAATAAGACTTATTTAAATATTCTGTAAAATATTTCTCTTTTGTTATTTTCAAGTTGCAATTATGTGTAAATCATGTGTATCAGCTTAATGTATTTTAAAATTTTGAACTCTGGAAGTGTAACATGATTCAGGCAGTGTTCTGATACCATCTAAAGTAAAAATTCAAAGTGTATGTTTATTATAGAGAAAGAGAAAAAGTTATCTTGACTTCACTTATTTTTATAATTAATATGATAAATTTTTGACATATCTTTAAATTATCAGGCATGTGAAAAACATGATTAAGTAGTAACTAAATGGTGATGTGACCTTCATGACACAGCCAGAATTAAAGTGACAGGGTGGCTCACGCCTGTAACCCCAGCACTTTGGGAGGCTGAGACAGGCAGATTGCTTGAGCTCAGGAATTCAAGACCAGCCTGGGTAACATGTTGAGACTCTGTCTCTACAAAAATAATACAAAAATTAGTGGGGCATGGTGGCACGCACCTGTAGTCTCAGCTACTGGCAGTTGGTGGGCGGGGGGGGTGGGTCTCTTGAGCCTGGGAGGTCAAGACTGCAGTGAGCCAAGATCATGCCACTGCACTCCAGCCTGGGCAATGAGAGTGAGACCCTGTCTAAATAAATACATAAATAAATAAAGTGATAGTGTATTCTTATCCAACTATACCTCTTTTAATTAAGAAATCAGTTTGTGCTAAACAGTACAGATTGTCCTATGATTATATATATATATAAAATTTTATTTACATAATATAAAAGATTATAGAGAGCTATGTTTGGTTATTCTGTTTAACTGACTTGGCACTTAACCTCTTCTTAGGCTATAAGGGGCCTGGCACATTGCAGATAATCAACAAACTTTTAGTGGGTTAAAGTCAGTTTAGCAAATAAAAGTCAATACCATTAGTTTATAACCAATGCTTCCTATGTTATACATTATTTTTAGTAAAAGATTGGCTTCTCTTAACATCATGCATATAACTGTCTTCAACAAAAGCCTGATTTTGTGAAGACTCCGTTTCTGGCCCCATCTCACACCTGCTCCAACTCCTAGAACCTTTTTTTATTGTGTTTTCTAGAATCCGTGATAAGTCATCAATGATGTTCTCTACATAGTGAATCCTTTTGCTTTTTTCTTTCTTTTGTTCTGAGTTGTTCTGAATGTGTAGTCCCTGGACCACACAGCAATGCTTGGGAACTTTTTAGAAATGCAGATTCTCAGACTTAAGTCTTACTAAATCGGAAACTCTGGGTGTGGGGTCCAGCAATCTATAGTTGAACTAACCATCTAGGTCATTCTTGTACACACTGAAGTTTGAGATTCCCCTGCTCTCACAGAACTCTGGCTGTCTCCTGCAGCCTCTCATTTGGTGCTTGCTCTTGTGGTTTTTCTTATCTTTGTAGTGCTGCTTGTAGACCATTCTCTTTCTCACCTCCCTCCTCCCTAAAAACTTCCGTCTTAAAATTTTTCGTGATCATCAGACTATACCACCCATTGTCATTTACCATTCCTGGTTCACTCTTGTTCTCAGAGATTTTAGTCTCTACCTCACCGTCACTCTCCAAATGATACTTCTCAGTCCTTTGACCTCTCTGCTAATGATCTGGAGTAGCAAGATCAGCCTCAGCCACTCACTCCTTTGTCATTACTGATAACAAAAACCCTTAATCTCAGTTTCAAGCATCCTATTCTCTCACTACTTTCTCCTATCTTTTTTCTAGCATACTCCTTATAGGTCCTTGATGCCAACAATCCTTAGACCTCATGAAGACCTACAATCCATTAATCCTAGTGTTTTCGCAGCTCCTCTCCTTTCATGCCCTCACTTCTGTGCTTATCCTAAGTTTTTAGTACATTATTTATCTTTTTATTTATTTATTTGAGACAGCATCTCACACTTGCACAGGCTGGAGTGCAATGGCACGATCTTGGCTCACTGCAACCTCCGCCTCCTGGGCTCAAGCAATCCTCTTGCCTCAGCCTCCTGAGTAGTAGCTGGGATTACAGGCACATGCCACCACGCCCAGCTAATTTTTTTGTGTTTTTAGTAGAAACGGGGTTTCACCATGTTGGCCAGGTTTGTCTCGAACTTCTGACCTCAAGTGATTTGCCCTCCTTAGCCTCCCAAAGTGCTGGGATTACAGGCGTGAGCCACTGCACCTAGCCTGTAGTATGTTATTAATAATCACTCCTTTGCATGCCCTGTCAACTCCATTGCTCCTTTCTTTGTTGTATTCGCTTGGCAAAGCTCAAATCCTTATTAAATATGAACGCCTACTTTGCACTCAGGAAGCTGAGTGTGGTTAGAGAAAGATATGTGACCATGATAACCAGTCTCACTTTAAATTTGTGAGCATAAATTCAAATTAACTTTAATGCTGCCCAGAAGTCTTACTGTTTCCATGGTTCATTTACTCTCCCTAGGGAGTCAACTATTTTATATCTCCATTCTACTCAGACCACTAATCAACACTACCCCACCATCAGTCTATGCTACCTATTTCTTGCTTCTCTTGGACTGAGAACAGAAGCAATCTGAGGAGACCTTCCACAGACTTCCAAAACCACATCTACAAGCATCACTATTCAGATGCTCTGCTATCTCCTGTTACAAAAGATGAATTGTCTGTGCTCTCATTTAAGGGGAATCTCTTATTTTTTACCTTCCTAAGGGCATTCTACCAATTTTGGTTTCTACCATCAGTGTTTCCTCCTATAAATAATTATTAGCTTATACACTGGTTTTTCTGTAAGTACAATTCAATTAGAAGAAAACCTGGGTTTTCTTCTCTAAGTTGGCTCCTCACATCCTTGGCCCATTCTTTTTTTCTTTATAGTAATTTAATTTTTTTTTTTTTTTTTTTGAGGTGGAGTCTCACTCTGTCACCCAGGCTGGAGTGCAGTGGCATGATCTCGGCTCACTGCAAGCTCCGCCTCCTGGGTTCACACCATTCTCCTGCCTCAGCCTCCCGAGTAGCTGGGACTACAGGCGCCAGCCACAACGCCTGGCTAATTTCTTTTTGTGTTTTTAGTAGAGACGGGGTTTCACCATGTTAGCCAGGATCATCTCAATCTCCTGACATCGTGATCCACCCGCCTCGGCCTCCCAAAGTGCTGGGATTACAGGTGTGAGCCACCACGACCGACCTCTTTATAGTAATTTTTAAAAAATTACTAAAATAAAACCCTTTAAAGTGTGAAATTCAGTGGTTTTTAGTATAGTTACTCTATATGGGAATTCTTGTTTCTTTATAATTCTTTGTATATCCTGGATATTAATACTTTATGTAGAAATACTATCTCTATATATCATTCATTAATTTATTAATTTGTACACAATTAAGTAGAAGCCAACAGTCAAAACCAGTTTGCCAGTCCAAAAATTGTTATAAGTCATTTATACATGAATACGATATCCAATTATGAATTTTATAATTTTTAAATTATAAAGCTTTTGGATATGATTTAAAGATAAAATTTAGAGGTATTAAAGTTTCTGTCCACTTCAGATACTGAGAGGTGAAATCTTTTTTCTTTTTTTTGAGACAGAGTCTTGCTCTGTCGCCAGGCTGGAGTACACTGGTGTAATCTCGGCTCACTGCAACTTCCACCTCCCAGGTTCAAGTGATTCTCCTGCCTCAGCCTCCCAAGTAGCTGGGATTACAGGCGCATGCCACTACGCCCAGCTAATTTTTGTATTTTTAGTAGAGACAGGGTTTCACCATGTTGGCCAGGATGGTTTCGATCTCTTGACCTCATGATCTACCCGCCTCAGTCTCCCAAAGGAGAAGTGAAATCTTATATATTATTCTGTCTTATTTATGCCCATTCAAATATGAACATATAGAAGGTTTGAGGGACTTGTTTTTACAAAATTATGATCATCTATATATGTTACTTGGCAACTGATTTAATGCATCTTGAGCATTAAGTCATCACAAGGATATACACTAATTCATTTTTAAAGGCTGTACAGCATTCATTAGTATAGCTGTATTATAATTTAAATAAGTCCCTGTTCATTCAGTTGATTACAGCCTTTTCCCACCATGAGCAATCAAAATAATGTATATAATTATACTTCTATTTCCAAAGGGTGGAGCTCCTAAAATGGGATCACTGGGTCAGAAGGTATAGTCAAAGGGAGTAGTTTTAATATTAATAGATTTTGAATCCAGTAAGTGTTAGAGCAATTCACACCCTTATAAGTTTGAAAATACCACTTTCCCATTATCTTCACCAGCATTGGATATTATTGTCTTTTTTTGGTTTGTTTTTATGTTTTTGTCTTTTTTGAGACAGTGTCTTGCTCTGTTGCTCAGGCTTCAGTGCAGTCACACGATCATAGCTCACTACCACCTCAAACTCCTGGGGTCAAGTGATCCTCCTGCCTTAGGCTCCTGAGAAGCTGGGACTACAGGTATGTGCCACTGCACCCAGCTAATTGTTTGTTTGTTTGTTTTTTGTAGAGATGGAGTCTCACTATGTTGGCCAGGCTGGTCTCAAACTCCTGGCCTCAAGTGATCCCCCTGCCTTGGCCTCCCAGAGTGTTGGGATTACAGGTGTGAGCCATTATGCCTGTATTTTTTTGTTAATCTGAATGAACAGGGGTTTCTTTAATTTGCATTTCCCAGACTACAGGTGGAGTTGATTGTCTTATGTTTGTTTGCCATGTGACTTGCCTGCTCATCCTTTTGGGATATCTTTTTCTTATCAATTTGTACTCTGGTTTTTAATCTGTTGTTTGTCCCTCAGAACTTGTCTTTTTTTTTTTTTCATTAAAATTTTAAATTTTGTATAGTCAAACTTTTCCTCTATTGTGTCTGATATATTATGCCTTGCTTAGGAATGTATTCTCACATCAAGATGCTAAATAAAATATTCTTATATCTTTTGCACTTAAAATCCAGGTATAATTAATTTTTACACTAAAAGTCCAGATGTATTGAAGATATTTTTACGTATGGTATGAGGTAGAGAACCAGCTTTCTTTTTTCCCCAAATGAATTGTCAGTTATGCTACCTCTGAATTGCTTAACTATGGCCGTTTACTACTGAGCCTCTGAATTGCTTCACTGTCACTCTATGAGAAATTTATAATTACTCTAAGTTGCAAAAATTGAGTGAACTAAAATTAGAATTTTGATTGAGATTAGTTAGAATTAAACTTAGAAACCTATCAACTTTATTTCCAGTTTTACAAATATATCCTGCATGGATATATTTTTCTGAGGCACAACCCGTCTCAGAAGAGGTGAGGGGGTTCCCAGGTTTTTCACCCTCAAATTAGCTGGGAGCAGAGCAGTCAGCAGCTGGGATGGTGGGATTTGCTTTAGGTTAGATGCTTGGAGCCACATTAACATGCTAATTGTGCCATGGGCTAATGGTGAGGTGGGAAAGTTGAATGAAGGTCTTCAGGAAGCTAAAGGTCCCCAACTGGCTATTGGCAGAAGCAGGATCAAGATGAAGAAATTAGCTCATGATCAAAGGTGAATTACATTAAAAAGCAAGCTACAATAAGTAGAAGCAGAAATAATGAACAATAAATATAGACCCGCTAGCTTGCAACCCATTCTCCCTAGGACTTCAGTAGAACAGCTGTTTGTAAAATCTTTAAGACTTTTGGCCGGGTATGTTGTCTCACTCCTGTAACCCCAGCACTTTGGGAGGCCAAGGCAGGCAGATCACTTGAGATCAGGAGTTTGAGACCAGCCTGGCCAGCAGGGTGAAACCTCTTCTCTACTAAAAATACAAAAATTAGCCGGACGTGGTGGCACCCGCCTGTAATCCCAGCTACTCAGGAGGCTGAGGCAGGAGAATCACTTGAACCCAGGAGATGGAGGTTATGGTGAGCCAAGATCGCACCACTGCACTGCAGCCTGGGTGACAGAGCAAGACTCCATTAAAAAAAAAAAAAAAAAGACTTTTGGGAGGAGGAGAATAGGCAGGTTAAAAAAAATGAAACTTCTAGGTAAGAAAATGTTGACATAGACTCAGTTTTTAAAAATCTCAATGGATAGGTTAAAACAATTAGACATAGGGGAAGAGAAAATTAATGGGTTAGAAGCTATATCCAAATAAAGATACCAGGATACATCACAGAGAGACAAGGAGAAGCAAAATAAAAAAAAAACCCTCAAAGGCAAAATATTTAGTATCTGACCTCTTATTGAAAAAATAAGTTTGCCAACCCCTGATCTACAGGATAGAATGGAAAGACCTAACATATATCTAAATTAGAGTCCTTGGAATCAACTACAAGAATAAGGAGGGTCATTATTTGAGGAGACAATAATTGTGATTTTCTTAAAATTTAAAAAAGTCATTTTATCCTGTAAGTGTAACATTCCAAACAAGATAATTAAGAAGAAATTCATACCTAAAACATTTTTCAGTGGCCTACACACCATAAGCAAAATTTTGCAAGCAGCAAGGGAAAAGCAGCTTATTTTTATTTTACCAAATATAAACGAGTTATCAGTAACAATGAATACCAGAAACAGTAGAATTAAATCCTCAAAGTTTTGAGAGAAAAATAACTGTCGACTTGAAATATGGAGAAACTTTGGAGGGCTGTGATTTTTTTCCAGTATTAAACATGCATGTATTAATCTTATAGTTTATTTTCTTGTTGTATATCTATATATAGGTTTTCTCTGCAGCACAGTTTCTCTTAGTTGTTCCCTTAGGGCACAACTAGTTATCAGTGACTAAATGTATCTCAATCATACTTGTTTCTGTTTTTTTTCATTAACAAAGTTTATATATATGTTAGCATATTTTTTTGTACCCTATTTGTGTCTGAACTATGTCACAGCAAAGTGTGTGCTGATAGGATTCTAAATTTGTATGGTTTAAAAACTTTTTTGCCAGGCGTGGTGGCTCATCCTAGCACTTTGGGAGGCCAAGGTGGGCAGATCACTTGAGGTCAGGAGTCCAAGACTAGCCTGGCCAACATGGTGAAACCCCACCTCTACCAAAACAAAAACAAACCAAAAATTAGCCAGGCATGGTGGTGCATGCCTGTAGTCCCAGCTACTCGTGAGGCTGAGGCATGAGAATCACTTGAACCTGGGAGGCAAGGATAAGATCACACCACTGCACTCCAGCCTGGGTGAGAGTGAGACCCTGCCTCAAATAATGTTTTTTAAGCAAAGTAAGGAAAAGCTGTATGTGTGTCATTGTGGACTGCAGATTCCTTTTAGATTATATTTAAAGATCTATGTATACAACATGAAGAATTATCTGAATTGTGCTGTAATTATGTTTATCTGCCAATATTTGATTAAATAAGAAGGAAAACTGGGGTGGGGGAGGCAGCTTGGGATTCTTAACTTGGCAAAACTATCAAAAGGAGGATGAAAAAAAAGTTTACCACAAAATGTTCTACTCTATAAGAAATGTAGAAATGATATTCCATTTTCATAGACATTGAAGCAGTTTGAGTGGCTCTACTCCATCATGTAGTTATACCACCTGGAAAATATGTCTAAAATTGATACAGCACAGGAATATAAGGTCAGAAGATTACACAGAATTTGTTTGTTTTTTATGTTTTTTTTTTTTTTTTTTTTTTTGAGACAGGGTCTCACTCCCATCACCTAGGCTGGAGTGCAGTGGTGCAATCACAGCTCACTGCAGCCTCAACTTCCTGGGCTCAGGTGATCCTCCCACCTCAGCCTCCCAAGTAGCTGGGACTACAGGCACACACCACCATGCACAGCTAATTTTTTGTATTTTTTAGTAGAGACAGGGTTTTGTCATGCTGCCCAGGCTGATCTCGAATTCCTGGGCTCAAGTGATCTATCTGCCCGCCTCAGCCTTCCAAAGTGCTGGGATTATAGACATGAGCTACCATGCCAGTCTACAGTGTTTTTAATGCCCAGACTTGGGAGAAACTTAAACCTCTTGCACTCATATCCTTCTGGCCAGAACCCAATCACTTGGCCACACCTGACTAAGCATGAGACATTTGGAGCAACATGTGGATATTGGTAATTTCTGCCACTCACAGGCATTTCACTTCAGAAGAAACATAGGTTAAAAAGATGAAAAGATGCTCAGATTATTTAATACTGAGAAATGAAAATTGAGACCATAGGAGATACCACTTTTTATCCATCCATCACATTAGCTAAAATAATCTAGCATTATCAAATGTTGGGAGAGGATCAGTAAGAACTCACACACTGGTGGTCAGGAGTATAAACATAACAACATTGGCTGAGTGCAGTGGCTCATGCCTGTAATCCCAATACTTTGGGAGGCCAAGGCAGGAGGATCACTTGAGGCCAGGAGTTCAAGGTGGCAGTTGAGCCATGATCATGCCATTGCACTCTAGCCTAGAAGACAGAAAGGTTAAAAGAAAAAAAATTTTTGAAAACAATTTAACATTATTTTATAAAATTGAATAGTGCTATGGTTTGGATACGTGTCCCCACCTAAATCTCATGTTGAAATGTAATTCCCAGTGCTGGAGGTGGGGTCTGGTAGAAGGTGATTGGATCATGGTGTTGGAGTCTTGATGAATGGTTTAGCATCATCCCCTCTTAGTACTGTATAGTGAGAGTTCTCACGAGATCTTTGTTGTTTAAAAATGTGTGGCACCTCCCCCTTCTCTCTCTTGCTCCTGCTTCTGCCACCTTGCCCCCCGCCCTTTGCCTTCTGCCATGATTAGAAGCTCTCTGGGGACTCCCCAAAAGCAGGAGCTACTATGCTTTCTATACAACCTGCAGGACCATGAGCCAATTAAATCTCTTTATAAGTTACACAGTCTCAGGTTTTCTTTATAGCAATGAGCGAATAGACTAATACAAATAGTTCTGTAGTCATAACTGTGCAATTCGCTCAAAGTATATAACCTAGAGAAGCTATTACAAAACAGACTAAGGAGACATGTACAAGAATATACAAAACATATGCAAGGATCATAATAGGGAAAGAGGGAGAAGAGAGGGAGGAGGGAAGGAAAGACAGGACCAACCCAAATGCTTTTAATAGAAGAAGGAATAAACTATCATGATCTTACAGTGGAATATTATCAAAAATTAATTATATGCAATAATATGGGGGAATGATACAATGTTGAGCTCTCCTGCAATCTGGTGAATGCAGTTTCAATTTCTAATTGGTTAATGCTAGGATATGGAAAAACTATTGACTTTGTATACTTACCTTGTATCTAGACACCTTACCAAATTGTATTCTATTAATTTTTTAAGGTTTAAAGAAATATAATCTGCAAACAGCTATATTTTCGCCTCTTTTCCAATTTTTATGTAATTTTTAAAATTTATTTGGTTCTTTTTGGGTTATTTCCTTAGCTTGAATTTCCAAAAATAATGTTAAATAATAGAGCTAATAGCAATCATTCTTTCTCATTCCCAACTCTTAAAATAGAGGATTTCACTATAGTTTACTGTTTTCTGGTTATGGTAATGTTTAAGCAGTGTCTTGCTACCTGGATTAATTTAGCTTTTAAGGAATAGCTGCTGAATTTTGCCACATGCCTTTATTGGCATTTGTTGATATGTGGTTTTTCTTCTACAAATGTCGATATAGTTATGTTTATAGATTTCTTGATGTTGGACCATTCTTTCCTGAAATTAAACCTCCATAGTTGTATTATTCATATTATATACTGGTAGATTCAATTTCTAATATAATTATGGAAACTATTTTCTTTTTTTTTTAAATAGTTGTTGGTTTAATTTAATTAATTTGATATAGCTGACACAAATATCTACAAAACCAAATATAAATATCTGTGCCACCACTAAATACTATAATTGCTATTTTTCAGCAATTTTAGTAGACTGTCCTTGTACTGACACTTCACTTCTCAGTCTAATGGGTTATTTATTTATTTATTTTAGTATTTATTGATCATTCTTGGGTGTTTCTCAGAGAGGGGGATTTGGCAGGGTCATAGGACAATAGTGGAGGGAAGGTCAGCAGATAAACATGTGAACAAGGGTCTCTGGTTTTCCTAGGCAGAGGACCCTGCCGCCTTCCGCTGTGTTTGTGTCCCTGGGTACTTGAGATTAGGGAGTGGTGATAACTCTTAAGGAGCATGCCGCCTTCAAGCATCTGTTTAACAAAGCACATCTTGCACCGCCCTTAATCCATTTAACCCTGAGTGGACACAGCACATGTTTCAGAGAGCACGGGGGTGGGGGTAAGGTTATAGATTAACAGCATCCCAAGGCAGAAGAATTTTTCTTAGTGCAGAACAAAATGGAGTCTCCTATGTCTACTTCTTTCTACACAGACACAGTAACAATCTGATCTCTTTCTTTTCCCCACATTTCCCCCTTTTCTATTCAACAAAACCGCCATCTTCATCATGGCCCGTTCTCAATGAGCTGTTGGGTACACCTCCCAGACGGGGTGGCGGCCGGGCAGAAGGGCTCCTTACTTCCCAGACGGGGCAGCCGGGCAGAGGCGTCCCCCACCTCCCTCCCTGACGGGGCAGCTGGCCCGGCAGGGCCTGCCCCCCACCTCCCTCCCGGACGGGGCGGCTGGCCGGGCGGGGGCTGCCCCCCACCTTCCGGACAGGGCGGCTGCCGGACGGAGACGCTCCTCACTTCCCAGAGGGAGCAGCTGCCGGGCGGAGGGGCTCCTCACTTCCCAGACTGGGCGGCTGCCGGGCGGAGGGGCTCCTCACTTCTCAGACAGGGCGGCCGGGCAGAGATGCTCCTCACCTCCCAGACGGGGTGGCGGCCAGGCAGAGACGCTCCTCAGTTCCCAGACGGGGTCACTGCCGGGCAGAGGCGCTCCTCACATCCCAGACAGGGCGGCGGGGCAGAGGCGCTCCCCACATCCCAGACGATGGGCGGCCGGGCAGAGATGCTCCTCACTTCCTAGATGGGATGGCGGCCGGGAAGAGGCGCTCCTCACTTCCCAGACTGGGCGGCCCAGCAGAGGGGCCCCTCACATCCCAGACGATGGGCGGCCAGGCAGAGACGCTCCTCACTTCCCAGATGGGGTGGGGGCCGGGCAGAGGCTGCAATCTTGGCACTTTGGGAGGCCAAGGCAGGCGGCTGGGAGGTGGAGGTTGTAGTGAGCCGAAATCACGCCACTGCACTCCAGCCTGGGCAACATTGAGCACTGAGTGAGCGAGACTCCGTCTGCAATCCCGGCACTTCAGGAGGCCCAGGCGGGCAGATCACTCGCGGTCATGAGGCGGAGACCAGCCCAGCCAACACGGCGAAACCCTGTCTCCACCAAAAAATACAAAAACCAGTCAGGCGTGGCGGCGCGTGCCTGCAATCCCAGGCACTCGGCAGGCTGAGGCAGAAGAATCAGGCAGGGAGGTTGCCATGAGCCGAGTTGGCGGCAGTACCGTCCAGCCTCCGCTGGGCATCAGAGGGGGGACGGTGGAAAGCGGGAGGGGGAGGGGGAGAGGGAGAGGGCTGAAACTATTTTCATTCAAAAAGTTGTCTATATCGCTTTTTAATCTTCATCAGATTTTGGTATTGTGGTCTGTAAATTGAGGAACTTATTTGATGTGAATGAATTTAACAGGAAGTCTGTCATTTAAAAGTTGATACAAGCTGGGTGTGGTGGAATGCATCTGTAATCCCAGCTACTTGGGAGGCTGAGGAAGGATGGTCATTTAAGCCCAGGAGTCCGAGGCTGCAGTGTGCTTAATGACTGCACCTGTGAATAGCCACTGCACTCCATCCTGGGTAACAGCGAGTCCCTGTCTCTTGAAAAAGAAAAAAAAAAAAAGGTAGGACACAAGCAGCCAACATGATCTAGCGGGCAAATGTAGAACACTCTTATCCACACGTTTTTTTTTTTTAAACAACCATGGAACATTCACCAAGATAGACCATATCCCAGATCATAAAACAAATTTAAAAGAATAGAGGTCATGTGGAGTATGTTCTTGGGCCATAATAGAATCAGATACAAGTCAATAATGGACTGCCAAGCACAGTACCTCATGCTTGTAGTCTCAGCACTTTGGGAGGCTAAAGTGAGAGGATTGCTTGAGGCCAGGAGTTCAAGACCAGCCTGATCAACATAGCAAGATCTCTATCTCTTAAAAATTTAATGTGTTATGAGTTAAGAGTTTGGAGGACTGAAAGTAATAATAGAAAAATTGCTAAACACATTAAAAACACAATGGGGCAAGGAGGAAGACAGGAATCTTTGTTTTTTTTTATTTATTTATTTTTTGAGACGGAGTCTCCCTTTGTCACCCAGGCTGAAGTGCAGTGGTGCAATCTCAGCTCCCTGCAATCTCTGCCTCCCGGGTTCAAGCAATTCTCATGCCTCAGCTTCCCAAGTAGTTTGGACTACAGGCGTGCACTACTATGCCTGGCTAATTTTTTTGTATTTTTAGTAGAGATGGGGTTTCAACATGTTGGCCAGGCTGGTCCAAAACTCCTGACCTCAGGTGATCTGACCAGCTCAGCCTCCCAAAGTGCTGGGATTACAGATGTGAGCCACCACCCCCGGCCCTGTTTTTTGTTTTGTTTTGTTTTGTTTTTCATTTTTTGAAACATAATCTCACTCTTTAACCCAGGCTAGAGTGCAGTGGCATGATTTTGGCTCACTGCAGCCTCAACCTTCCAGGGCTAAGGCGATCCTGCCACTTCAGCCTCCCAAGTAGCTGGGACTACAGGCGTGCACCACCACACCTGGCTAATTTCTCTATTTTTTGTAGAGACAGGGTTTTGCCATGTTGCCCACGCTGGTCTTGAATTGCTGAGCTCAAGCGATCCTCCTGCCTCAGCCTCCCAAAGTGCTGGGATTATAGGCGTAAGCCACAGCACCCAACCTAAAACAGGACATTTTAAAAAATACATAACAAATGGCAAAATACAACATATCAACACATATGTAATACGATTAAAGAGTACTGAGAGATGCCAGGCGCGGTGGCTCACACTTGTAATCCCAGCACTTAGGGAGGCTGAGGCGGGCGGTTCACGAGCTAACCTGGCTAACACGGTGAAACCCCGTCTCTACCAAAAATACAAAAAACTTAGCCGGGCATGGTGGCGGGCGCCTGTAGTCCCAGCTACTCAGGAGGCTGAGGCAGGAAAATGGCGTGAACCCGGGAGGCGGAGCTTGCAGTGAGCTGAGATGGAGATCGCGCCATTGCACTCCAGTCTAGGCGACAGAGTGAGACTCCGTCTCAAAAAATAAAATAAAAAGAGTACTGAGAGAAATGTATAGGTGCTAAATGATTGCATTAGAAATTGCAAAGGTCTCAATAAGTTCCTAACTCAAGACCCTAGAAAAAAAGAGCAAAATACAGTTAACCCTCAAACAACATGTGTTTGAACTGTGTAGGTCCACTTACACATGGATTTTCTTCCACCTCTTCCCTCCCCCTCACCCCAAGACAGGAAGATCAACCTCCCTTCTTCTTTCTCCTCCTCAGCTTACCTAACCTGATGATGACAAGGATGAACACTCTTAAGATAATCCACTTCCACTTAATGAATAGTAAATGTATTTTCTCTTCCTTATGATTTTAACATTTTTCTTAATTATAAAGATACAGTATGTAATACATAAACATATGTTAATTGTTTTGGTCAGTAGTAGGCTATTAGTACTTAAGTTTGGGGGAACTCAAAAGTTATACATGGATTTTCAGATGTGAAAGGGTTCAGCAACCCTAACCCCCCGCATTGTTCAAAGGTCAATTGTATAACTCACACATGCTGAAGTAAATTCAAAATTGTACAGCCACTTTGGAAACCAGTTTGACAGTTTCTCATAAAAAATGAACACTTAATACCTGACCCGGTGATTGGGAAAAGGCTTAATGAAATTCTAACAGTGAACTGGACGATAGAAGAGGTCAGGACAAGAGTGGCCATGTCGGTGCTGAGGCTGAGATACCTACCGAGGACTGTCACTCTCACGGCTTCCAGCCCTTCGACGAACTCTCAGGTGTGTGGCCTTCTGGCCAGGCTTCTGCCGCGTCACGTTGTTGAAGCATTCGTTGTATCCCTGGGGTTGCAGCTCTCTGTAAGTTTGCTGTGGCTGAACCAGGCAAGGCATAGGCGGATTTCTACAGAAATTATGATTCCACGAAAGATTTTGAGAAGAGGAAGGCTGGTATCTTTCAGAGTGCAGAGTGATTTTGCACTCTAAAGAATCTCTTTGGGTGTAATAGCATGGAAGTTTGTCGCTGACCTGTGTCCCTGAACTATGACACACGAATATGTGGGCTTAGAAATAGTTTTGCTTGATACATTGAGAACAACAAAGAAGACTGAGTGGCGCTACCTTCTTTGGTGCCCAGGATGGTTTGGGAAAGTCTCGCCTTCATCCTCCCCCACAGTTTTGCGATTTTGAAACGGGATCTCGCTCTCCGCGGAAGACAGCCAAGCTCTGCACCCCGGCCTGGCCCGCCGCACCCCGCAGGCCCGGCTCTCCCCTGCGCGCTCCGGGCTGGGCGCGGCGCGTGTGCGGAGCCGCCGCGGTGACACGGAACGCCGGCCGCCCCGGGCCGGGGGAGGCGCGCGTCGAGAGGCGACGGCGGGCTGGCCTGGCGCGCTGCGGCGCTCGCTCACCCGCTCCCGAGGAAGGGCAGTGGGCCCCGCCGCCGCCTCCCAATGGCGAGGCTGCGGGATTGCCTGCCCCGCCTGATGCTCACGCTCCGGTCCCTGCTCTTCTGGTCCCTGGTCTACTGCTACTGCGGGCTCTGCGCCTCCATCCACCTGCTCAAACTTTTGTGGAGCCTCGGCAAGGGGCCGGCGCAGACCTTCCGGCGGCCCGCCCGGGAGCACCCTCCCGCGTGCCTGAGCGACCCCTCCTTGGGCACCCACTGCTACGTGCGGATCAAGGTGAAGGGCCGCGCGGGCCTGGCGGGAGCGGGAGGGAGCGTGACCGCCGCGAGGGTGGGGGGCTCCGGGCTTCTCCTTCCGAGACGCTGGCTCAGCGTCCCCTAGTGTCCTGGCAGGAGGGGAGGAGGGGTTGGGTCCCTGTGTGTCGTGTGTGTGTGTGTGTGTGTGTGTGTGTGAGAGAGAGAGAGAGAGAGAGAGATACAGATAAACAGCACTCGGTCTTTGCAGGCACCTTGATTGGTTTCTGAATGTGGAACTTCTCTAATCAGGGGCCTCTTATATTACTGCCCCCCGGCGCCACAACAACCCAGAATAAACCTGCTCTTTTTCCTACTGCAAGGGGAAGCTGTCTCCTGTCACCCTTTTGCCCTTTAGAGCTCAGATCAGCTGTAGAGAATTGTTCCTCGTGGCATCCTAATGTCTCAGGAGGCTGTTCTTGCCCAATTTTAGAGATAATAAGAGTAAACAGTCAGTCTTTGGGAGTCATGAGTTTATTATGATCACAGACGACTTAGGTTGCATGAAACAATAAGTAAATTGTGTGTGTTGTGGGGAGGAATGCATACTTATGAAGTCAGGGACCAAAGAAAGGAATGGAATAAAAGGTAAATCCAGCCATGCCTGCAGACGCTAATTGTTCAAGCTTCCTCACAGCCCACAAATATTCTGTTTCCTGAGGCTCCAGGTGGTGAAGGGAAATAGTTCCCGTGATACACCCTGCAGTCTGACTCACAGGCCTTTCAAACCCAGCCTCATAAGAGGGGATGTTTATGTCACCAAGTCCTTATTTCCTGTTAGGAGCTAAATTGCCCCGCAGCTGAAGTTCAGAAGGGCAAGAGAACTTCTTTCTTGCCTGGGGTCGACATGAGAATTAAATAGGTTAATATTTATAAAAACAAACACGAAAAACTTAGAACAATGCCTGATGCATAGTCAGTGCAATAAAGTATCTGTTAATTAAATCCATTGCAGTGCCCATAACATTTAATCCTCCAAGACTCACCACCAATAAAAAAAGTTATTGAACCTCTAGGAAGCCATCGTGCAGCTGAGGGTAAAGTCAGATTTGTTATCTCTGTTCAACCTGAGGGGTAAAAGTAGTATAAGAACCATCTGGAATTCCATAAAACACTTTTCCCCTCGCTCTGGCCGCCTAAAGAGCTTCCCCAGAGACAGAGAACCGAGTGGAAAGAGCATTGTCCTGGGAGTTAGGACAAGATGGAGATTCTGGTCACAGCCCTGCTCTCAACCATTTTATGACTCATGTTACCATCTTTGGGCCTCATCTTCTGAATCTGCAAAATGATTCTTTCACATCTGAAAACTCAGTTGCTTGAGTTGCCTGCTATAAAAACCCAATGTCTGTGTTTAGCTTTTGGTTCTTTTTGTTTCCTAGCTTGCTTGCTTTCAGAGATTTTTATTCCTGCTGTTCCCTCTACTTTCCTCAATTCAGCCTGCTTAGTATTTGCTTGAATTCCTGACTCATTCCCATGTTTTTTTAATTTTCCTTGGGTTTTCTTGTCTCCTACATGCAGAGTGAAGTCTTGAGCACTCAGGGCATTCTCTTATTAGAAACGCACACTGACATGACATGAGCAGGCAGCAAGGGGAACAGAACATGCAACACTCAAAATAATAATGTGGGAAGGAGAGACCTAAAAATAAGAGAAGGAGGTGTGAATTATATAACTGATGGCACAGCTCTTGACGGGCAAGCTGAGAAAAGTAGATGACTAGGATGTAAACATGGCAGAAATATAAATTCAGATTAGAATTATTTACATGTCCTGCAGCATTTGAGGGAGATGAAATGTGACACATCAGTAAGATGAAAGTTACAAATGGTAAGATGAAAGTTACAAATTGTGACATTGCTTCAGAAGCTCATAATATATAAATTGACTGTACTAGAACAAGAAGAGAAGGTACTGTCAAGGGAGTGTTGACAAAGTGAATCTGTCAATTTACCCTATTAATAGGTCATGGGGTTTGCTTTTCTTTTTGAAAATTAATAAAAGTAAATATATTTCTTGATGTTAAAAATAAGGCAACTGAGTGTCATGAAGATATTGTAAATACACAAATGTTTTAAAATAAGGCAAGTTACTATTTTTTTAATGAAATGGAAATGCTAAATATATTGCTTTGTCAATCAACACAAACATCACTAAAATTCCATGCCCTCTACTTTCAGGATTCAGGGTTAAGATTTCACTATGTTGCTGCTGGAGAAAGAGGCAAACCACTTATGCTGCTGCTTCATGGATTTCCAGAATTCTGGTAAGCTTACCAACTAACATTTATTGTTACATTAAAACTTGGCTTATTTTCTCAGTTCATTTTGTGCTGCTGTAACAGAATATCACAGTCTGGGTAACTTAAAATGAACATAAATGATTTTCTCAGAGTTCTGGAGGCTGGGAAGTTCAGGATCAAGGTGCCAACATCTGACAAGGGCCTCCTTGCTGCAACATCACATGGCAGAGGAGGAAGGGCAAAGAAGCAAAAGGGGGCCGAAATTGCCCTTTCATAGTGGCATTATTTCCATCCATGAGGGCAGAGCCTGCATGACCTAACCACCTCTTAAAGGTCCCACCTCTTAATACTGTTACAATGGCAATTTTTGAGACAAGGTCTTACTCTGTCACCCAGGCTGGGGCACAGTGGCATGATCACAGCTCACTGCAGCTTTGAACTTCTGGGTTTAAGCAGTCTTCCCACCTCAGCCTACCAAGTAGCTGGGACTACAGGCATCTACCACCACACCTAGCTTTTTTTTTTTTTTTTGGAGGTGGGATCTTGCTATATTGCCTAGGCTGGTCTTGAAAGCCTGAGATCAAGCAATCCTCCCACCTTGGCCTCCTAAAGTGCTGGGATTACAGATGTAAGCCACCACGCCAAGCCTCTTGTAATGACTTTTAACAGACCCTACTTTTTGATCATGTGCCCAGAGTTAATATTCCTAAATGTTCCTGAATCACAGGTCTTTTTCCTCCTAAAAAGACCTACCTGCTACCAATTTAAATTTATATATTTTTTTGAGGATTAAAAGAAGTATCTTTTAATGTTTCAAATTTCTGAAATAGTAACAAAACAGTTTGTATAGAGTATCTACTATAGACAAAATACAACACTGGGTAGGGAAAGGAGATTTTAAACAAACCAAAGACGTGGAGTGATTGTTATTAGGAAGATTTTGGTGAGGCTGGGGTGAGGAGAAGGCAGAGTAGAGCACTTATGGAAACTGAAAATGAACTATTTCCTATGCACAGAGCAATAGGCTTATATGAATGCAGGATAATTTAAGTACCTAAATATTTCTCATTAGGAAGAAAATCTGGAGCCCCAAATATGTAATTATTAGTTACTATCTTCGTTCATTTTTGTTGCTAACAAAATACCTGAGACTGGGTAATTTATAAAGAATAGAAATTTATTTCTCACCGTTCTGGAGACTGGGAAATCCAAGATCAAGGCACCAGTAGGTTCAGAGTCTGGTGACATCCATGTCTGTGTGTGTCCAACATGGTGCCTTGTTGATGTGTCTTCTGGAGGCAAATAAACTTCATCATATGAATTTTGGGAGAACATATTCAGACCATAGCAGTTACCTAAGGGGAAGTGTTCTGTTCTCTATTGACCCCACTGGGCCAAATAAGTACAGATGAAAGCAACACATGTTTAAACTTTTTTTTTTTTTTTTTTTTTAATGAACATCTTTAAAAGAGGTGGTACATATCAGGAGGCCGAGGCGGGTGGATCACGAGGTCGGGAGATTGAAACCATCCTGGCTAACACGGTGAAACCCTGTCTCTACTAAAAATACAAAAAAAAAAAAAATTAGCTGTGCTTGGTGGCAGGCGCCTGTACTCCCAGCTACTCGGGAGGCTGAGGCAGGAGAATGGTGTGAACCCAGGAGGCGGAGCTTGCAGTGAGCCGAGCTCGTGCCACTGCACTCCAGCCTGGGCAACAGAGCGAGATTCCGTCTCAAAAAAAAAAAAAAAAAAAAAGGGTGGTACATATCATGGCAGTAAAAGAAAACCAGTTTTTATAGCACAGGGCTATAAGAAATAGTTCATAAACTAAATAGGTCAAGAAATTGATGTTTTTAAAAGCCCAGTTCCCTTAGTTGACTCAAAGGTGGAATATCTGGTATATTTTGAAAGGTCTAGGACAATATCCTGTCCCCAAATTCTCCCTTACTATCTTATAATTCCTAGAATTCCAGCATTACAGATTTCTTACCTCCTTTAGAGTCTTAAAGATTTTATGTCACTCAAAATCCTGATTTAAAATGCATCTAGTGCTGAAAGGATTACTACCTTAAGACGCTTCTTTTTTTTTTTTTTTTTAAACAGTCTTGCTCTGTTGCCCAGGCTAGAGTGCAGTGGTGCAATCTCAGCTCATTGCAACCTCCATCTCCTGGGTTCAAGTGATTCTCCAGCCTCAGCCTCCCAAGTAGCTGGGATTACAAGTGCGCACCACACCCAGCTAATTTTTGAAGTTTTAGTAGAGACAAAGTTTTACCATGTTAAACAGGCCAGGCTGGTCTCAAACTCCTGACCTCAAGTGATCTGCCCCCTTCAGCCTCTCAAAATGTTGGGATTACAGGTGTGAGCCACTGCACCCGACCCACTTTAGTTAATACTTTGTGAGTGAAAGGGACTTTATGAATAAATGTATTGAGGATGTTAGTGTACTAGGAGGTATTAGGCATTGAAGAAAAGAGTGGAGGATGGCAAAGACACCTATACCTAATAATTTTTCCAGAGTGAGAAGTCTTCCTTAGAAGATTTTCCCTGCATGAAGATTTTTTTCCCCTTCTGGATTTATGTGCATAAATAAACATAAGTCATTTTCATGTTATGCTTTGATCTGTTCTTTCATTTGGAGACAGCTTAATGAGGTGGTAGATTAGCTGCCCAGTGCAATTCGAGCATATGCATATGGTCTCACCTTATGGAGTGCGTGGCATAATTAGTTCACAATAAAATGTTACTCTGAAACACTGATCAAATCTGCCTAACATAGCATGGGCAGTACATTCTGGCTCAACCACTAGTTTGCTGAAGAACCCTAAACAGTCATCTACAATGATGTTGCAAAGTTGGGTGAGGATGAAGAGAGTCAAAATGTCGAAAATCTTTCACGTGGCCCCAGTGAATATTCAGTAAATACTCATTTTCTTCCTTCATTCCCATTCATTCATTGTGGAGATCCATGTGTCAAATAATAATTTCCTAACTCTGGTGATGATAGTTAACATTTTCTAAGCATTTACTATGAGCCAGGCACTCTCTTTTTTATTTTTATTTTAAGTTCTGGAATACATGTGCAGGACATGCAGGTTTGTTACATGGTAAACGTGTGCCATGGTGGTTTTCTGCAACTATCAACCCGTCATGTAGGTATTAAGTCCAGCATTCATTAGCTATTTATCCTGATGCTCTCCCTCTCCCCACCCCCAACAGGCTCCAGTGTGTGTTGTTCCCCTCCCAAGCCAGGTACTTTTGTAAGTGACTTATATATACCATCTCATTTAAGCCCCATAGCTACCCTTCTGAAGTTGGCAGTGCCAGAAAGTCAGGTGTCCCTTGTTTTTGAAAGTCAGGGCTGACCTCTGCAGTTTGTTCTCATTCTATAGGAATTATAGTAATCTGATCCAATAACATGCATGGATTTTTACCTTTCAAATGTCACACCTTATACAAACATTCAAGAGGGTGTTAACAAATCAGCCAACAATATAAAAATACCTTAATTTAACATTTTAAATCATCATCCTAAATAAAATTCATGCATCGGAGAGATGATACTTAACTTTTTAGAAAGAAAACATTTGAAAGCTATTTTCTTTCTCTACCTCACACCAACCCCAGTACTTGGCCATCCTTATTCCCCTGGAATTTCACCTCTTTACGTGCAGAACAATATACACAAAGATAAAAATGAACCTACAACCACTTTCATACAGGGCAGTAGATGCTCTCTGTCGTATTCTAAGAGATTTTGTGCGTGTTTTTCACAGTCATGTCTCATTATTTACTCCTCATGAGAGCCCTTTTGCAAAATAGAAATGGCTGGTGATTCTTGTCCTAGAATCATCAGGGGATGAAACAGCCTAGGAGGGGGTCCAGCACTGGTCCCTGGATATCATTCCCATTTGCCCCCGCAAAGTCAAGTCTTGGATGTATCCAAAAGGGATTTGGTCATTGTGAGGAATAGTTTAGTTTTTGGGAAGCTCCTAGAAATATTTTCACTCTGAAAAGCCATAGATTAAGAAATATGTGAAGATCATAGACAGGCATGAGTCTCTTCTGTTCACTAAATCTGTCATTTGTTACTCCAGAAAGAACATTGGTAGAATTTAAAACAGCAACAACTACAAACGCAGATAGCTCAGCTACTCAGATAGATCATATTGAATTCATTGAACTTTGCTGATCATTAATCTGAAAGCTACCTGGTTGTTTAGGGAGCATCTGAAAATACTACATGGAGATTGTTGGTAATCAGATATCTCTGGAGTCATACTCTAAACCAAGACCCCTGTTGATGCTCACTCTGTCTTTCCTTTCAATCAATCAAATTGCCACTGTTACCCATTATGAGGTCTAGTCAATCTCATTGAGGTGCTAGTGGAAACAAACAACAGGAAAAAAAAAAGGTCTTAGAATTTAGGACAAAACTCTAGGGTTTAAGTTTTAAGACAAAACTCTTTTTTATTTTTTTCATTTTAAAGGCCAAAAAAACTTCATGCATGGCATTTCAAACCAATTTCAATTTACATTACAAATGTAAATGTTATTCCTCTAGCAATTAAGTTTTGCTTAAATACACATGAAAGTGTATGCTTGATTGTAGATTAAGTAGGTAACAAATATTTGATACAGTGAAAACAAAAAAAAATGAATTGATAATGTGTGTGAAAGTGCTTTGTAAACAGAAAAGCACCATGCAAATGTAACATATTATCGCATTTATCATCATTGCCTGAGAATAGCTGACGAGAAATGGTGATATTTCATGTATACAATTAGCTGTTACACAGCAACAATAAAATCCCGGGTCTTCTTAAAATCTAAAGGAAATATTAAACAAGATACACATCTACAGGACCTTTGACTAAATTAACCCCAAGTAAGGCTGTTTGTCAAAGGATGATCTTTCTCCCACTCTCTCTCTCCACTTCAATTTGCATCTCCTTTAAAAATATTTTGAGCTGAGGCAGGCAATTTCTTTGAGTCGTCTTCGTCTCCAGCTATATGGAATGCATGCGTCATCACTCAAGTGCTAAGGCGAGTGAGGGGCCTTCATCATACAGCTGAGCACAGAAGCTGACAACTGTGGCATTTCTCTGTGGTAAAGAGGAGGAGGATAGTCTACATCTGAAAGTGTAACCTGGTAAAACCAGGAGCCCTCCTAGGTGAAGAGCAATCACGGCGAAAGAGATTGGTTATTTTTCCTGAGTGTCCTCTGCTATTACCTAAAGCTACCAGAAAAAAGGCAATGTGGATGAAAATAGTTTTGCTTATTTATAATCTTTTTAGGGTTACTGCTTTTGTAATGTGTTTCATTCCTGTATCAAGGAGATTGTTTTCGCTTTATTCATGTAAATGATATGTCCATCAGTCTAATACTGGGGTGACTTCTTTTTCAGTTTAGGGCTAATGTGTACATCAAATGTGTTTTATTTATGAACTTCAGGAAGATGACAGTTAAAAATTATTCCTTAGTAATTTATTAAAAATATGCAGTTGCCCTATTTCTTAGAATTGTTTAGGATATTGTTTGGCTTCACTCATTGTTAAAAGCAGTAGCTGGATTTATTTTTAAGGCAATTTAAATTATTTCTAATATGACATGGAAGCATCATGTTTGCATAATCTCTAATCCAATTCTAAATGTAAAATGTTGCAGGATTATATAAAGTCAAATTTCTACCTTGAAATCTCTAATTAAATCCTAAATGAAGACACGGACCCTTAAGGTATTGAAACAACGTGCAGTTCAACAGAAATTGAATACAAATTCCCCAATAGGAATTTGGGACCGTTAGCTGTCATTGTCTCAAGGTTTGAACTGGGACAAAAGTCCTACTGCACAACTGGTACTTCTAGCACTATCATTATTCAGTGTTTTTATTCATTTGTTGTTTCATTTATTTGACAAATCTTTATTAAGCACCTACAGGGGCTAGATATTCTCATAGACGACCCAGGAAACGATCTCGTGGAAGAGCCAGGTATCAAAAGTGAGGTGTGCCCCAGCCCTGAAGAGTGCACATACAAGTGCAAAAGCGTGGAAGGGGCCCACGCACCCCAGCTGTAATGGAGAGAGCTGGGAAGTCTCCTAGAAAAGGAGACGCCTAATGTGATAATGAGTTAATTGAGGGGTGAGAGTCAGGGATTATGGGGTAATAGGGGAATGGTGGGGAGTGATGGTATTTCAGACAAAGGAAACCATATGAAGAAAGTCATAAAAGCAAAAACCAATATCTCTATTTGTTCACCTATTTCAACCTAGTGCTGCAGAGGCAGTATAACATGGACTCTGGGGCCAGACTCCCTGGGCTGGAATCCTGGCTCTGCTGTTTGCTGACTCTGTGACCTTTGGTACTTCAATTAACCTTGCTTTCCCTCCATTTCTTCATCTGTTAAGTGAAGATAATAATAATATCTACTTCATAGTACTGTTTTGAAGATCAATATTACCATACAAGAAGCACTTAGAATTGGGCCTGGTATGTAGTAAGAATGGTATAGATGTTAGTTCTTTTTGTTATAAAGCAAATGACAGAGTGCAAAGTAATCTGGCTGGAAGATTGGGCAATAGTCAAATCTTTCAGATTTTTTTCTGCTAGAATAATAAGCTAGAACTTCATGTTATGGGTAATAGGGAGTCAAGAAAGGATTTTCAGCAACGAAATGACATGAGTTTGTGTCTTTGCTACATCACTGGTTTTGTAGAAGATAGAGCAGAGGGGAATGAAAGCGACACACTTAGACCAAGCAATAGGCTGCTGCCTAAATGGAGGCCTGAATTAAGGTAATGATAGAATGGTAGACAAGAGTGTTTAAATAAATATTTAAGAGGTTAAATGAACAGAACTTTATTGATTGGGTAGGATGGATTATAAAGAGGGAAGAATTAGGCTTCAGTTATGAAGACATAAAAAATCAATTCAAAATTTTAAGTAAGGCAAATCAGAAAAAATACAATCACATGTGTTGACAGATGAGTATCTTTAAGGAAACAAGCTACTTTATTTGTTACAATCCACAGACAAGATTAACAACATTACTACAGTCTAGCCAAAAAAGACACGTTTATTTAATTAATTTATTTATTTATTTATTTGAGACAGAGTTTCCCTCTTGCTGCCCAGGCTGGAGTGCGGTGACTCGATCTCGGCTCACTGCAACCTCCATCTCCCGGGTTCAAGCGATTCTCCTGCCTCAGCCTCCCTAGAAGCTGGGATTACAGGTGTCCGCCACCACGCCTGGCTAATTTTTGTATTTTTAGTAGAGACGTGGTTTCACCATGTTGGCCAGGCTGGTCTCAAATTCCTAACCTCAAGCCATCCGCCCACTTTGGCCTTCCAAAGTGCTAGGATTACAGGCGTGAGCCACTGCGCCCAGCCAGAAGACATGTTTATTAGCATTTTCTTTTTTGTTGTTATTCTTTTATTGTTTTTGTTGTTTATTAACATTTTCAAATCCATCTTAGTTGGCAATGCTTTGGCAGATTTTCATAAATCATAAATATCCTAGTGATAGATCAAAAAATTCTATATTCATTCATAATTCCAAATATGTGTCTGACACTCTTCCTGATGATATAAGGTGGTTGATTTGTTACAATGATTTTTTTTTTTTTTTTTTTGGCAGGTTCTGGCTCTGTCACTCAGGCTGGAGTGCAGTGGCGCGATCACAGCTCACTGTAAACTCTGCCGCCTGGGCTTAAGCCATCGTCCCACCTCAGGCTCCTGAGTATATGGGACCACAGGCACACGACACCATACTTAGCAAATTTTTTTTTTTTTTTTTTTGAGATGGAGTTTTGCTCTTGTTGCCCAGACTGGAGTGCAGTGGGACGATCTCAGCTCACCTCAACCTCCGCCGCTTGCCTCAGCCTCCCAAGTAGCTGGGATTACAGGCATGCACTGCCATGCCTGGCTAATTTTGTATTTTTAGTAGAAACGGGGTTTCTCCATATTGGTCAGGCTGGTCTTGAACTCATGACCTCAGGTGATCCACCTGCCTCGGCCTCCCAAAGTGCTGGCATTACAGGCGTGAGCCACCGCACCCGGCCTAATTTTTTAATTTTTTGTAGAGACAGGGTTTCACCATGTTGCCTAGGCTGGTCTCAGACTCCTGAGCTTAAGTGATCTGCCCACCTTGGCCTCCCAAAGTGCTGAGATTACTGATGTGAGCCACCGCACCTGGCCTGTTTGTTACATTGATCTTACTGTTGTGTGTCACTTCACATCGCAGCCCCCCTCTCAGGCTTATAATCTTATATTACAATCTTTACACTGGTTTATAATCTTAACATTCAGTTGCGTTAGCTTGCCTACTGCACTCCAAAAGTATTTTCAGACAATGATCTCCCACTTGGCTTGTGTCAGATAATTTTACACTGTATTTCCATGAACAAATGTGCATGCAGATGCTTTTTTTTAATGCATATTTTGAGTCCCATAACATAGTGAGTCACTTTTAAAAATCCATGTCTTTTTTTTCTGTTGGTTATCTAAAATGGTTTTGCTTATTTGAAGAAGAAAATCTTATGGATCTCTCTATTTCGATTAATTCTGCAGTTCCATGATCAAGCAGAGGGGGAATGCCTGGCTCAGCAGTGGCCTCCAGAACTTGGCTGCAGCACTGTGGCCCTTCTAATTGGTCAGTGCTGGTGCCATTTTGGTTGTTAAATGTTTTTAGTATCACTCTTGCTTATTCTCATGGTTCAGGATCTTCTCCACAGAATTTTGCTTTAGCAAGCAGAGGTTTATCTTAAATGGTTGTTTTATTATTAGATTATTTCAGTGATAATCTTTTTTAAAAAACCTTCAGACTTTTTCACCCATAAATAAGCTGTGGTTATTACTAAAACTTTGACCCTATTTGACAGTGGAGTAAGGTGAGTAACATCTACTTGTGAGAGAAATATAAAATTTCATCTAGTAAATTTTTTCAATCAGAGAATCAAATGGTTCTGCAATACAGAAGCATTTTACTTATGTTACTCCACTGAAATTCCTGGGCCAGATAAGCATTCAGATGTTTTGGTAAAACTGTCAAACTCATCTTCCCACTCACTTTTTTATACTTGATAATCCATTTATTATCTAGAAATTCGGGCTGTAAAATAACTAACTGTTCATAGTACAGATTCCCTGGTGGCTATACACACCATTTAAGAAAAGCTTTAAAAATTGACTTATTTGGCCAGGTGCAGTGGCTTACACCTGTAATCCCAGCACTTTGGGAGGCTGAAGTGGGCCAATCACCTGAGGTCAGGAATTCAAGACCAGCCTGACCAACATGGAGAAACCCTGTCTCTACTAAAAAGAAAAAAATACAAAAATTAGCCAGGTGTGGTGGCACATGCCTGTAATCCTAGCTACTTGGGAGGCTGAAGCAGGAGAATTGCTTGAACCCGGGAGGCAGAGGTTGCAGTGAGCCAAGATCATGCCATTGCACTCCAGCCTGGGCAATAAGAGCGAAACTCTGTCTCAAAACAAACAAACAAAAAATTGACTTATTGGCCAGACATGTTAGCTCACACCTGTAATCCTAGCACTTTGGGAGGCTGAAGCAGGAGGATCACTTGAGCCAGGAGTTCGAGACCAGCCTGGGCAACATAGTGAGACCCTGTTTCAATTTTTTAAAAATGGACTTATTAAGACATATATAAGTACAATGATTTTAGTATCTGATACTATGTAGTTTCTGTAAATAGTGGCACTTTGTTACCCTCCAGTGGAACTGGTAAAAAGACAAAATAATTCTCATAGAATGTCAGTGTTTCCTTCTCAAGTAGGTCTCTTTCCTGCTTACTTGCAGCTATATATCTGTTCTAAAAATAAGGAATTTCTTACAGTTTTCCACTGAGAAAATCTGAAATGTGGCCAGGTGCAGTGGCTCACACCTGTAATCTCAGCACTTTGGGAGGCTAAGGCATGAGGATCACTTGAGCCCAGAAGTTTGAGACCAGCCCTGGCAACATAGGGAGACCCCGTGTCTACAAAAAATTTTTTTAATTAGCTGGGTGTGATGGTGTGCACCTGTAGTCTCGGCTTTTTAGGAAACTGAGGCAGGAGGATCACTTGAGCCAGGGAGGTTGAGGCTGCAGTGAGCTGTGATTGCACCACTGCACTCCAGCCTGGGTGACAGAGCAAAACTCTGTCTCAAAAAAAAAAAAAAAAAAAGAAAGGAAAAAGAAAATCTGTAATGTTACTGTTTGTACTAGCTAATATGATATTTTAAATGCTTCCTTTTTTCCTGCAGGTATTCTTGGCGTTACCAACTGAGAGAATTTAAAAGTGAATATCGAGTTGTAGCACTGGATTTGAGAGGTTATGGAGAAACAGATGCTCCCATTCATCGACAGAATTATAAATTGGATTGTCTAATTACAGATATAAAGGATATTTTAGATTCTTTAGGTAGGTTAGTTTGAAACAAAACAACTCTTTTTAAGGGACAAACATTCAACAAATTGTGAATCAATGACTTCTTTTCTTGGGAGGATGCATATTCCATCTACCCAAATTATCTGGATCCTGTCACTATGGTTTCAGTTAGTCAGCCCAAAATATCTGTACAGGAAATTTAAAATGATGCATCTAGAGCAACTATTCTGTCTACCAGCCAAGAATGACTTTTCAGATTTGTTTTTAAACATAGACCTAATGGCCCGGGTGCTGTGGCTTGCGCCTATAATCCCAGCACTTTGAGAGGCTGAGGCGGGCAGATCACCTGAGGTCAGAGTTTAAGACCAGCCTGACCAACATGTTGAAACCCTGTCTCTACTAAAAATACAAAAATTAGCCAGGCGTGAACCCAGGAGATGGAGGTTGCAGTGAGCTAAGATCGTGCCGTTGCACTCCAACCTGGGCAACAAGAATGAGACTCTGTTTAAAAAAAAAAAAAAAAAAAATAGACCTAATGTATGCTGTTTATTATTTTGAGAAATAATTATTGAAAAGTTTATACTTAGAAAGTTTATTTCTTTAGAACACACACCTAAATATTCATTTTAAAATGTTATACAGATGCACTTGCATTATTTCTGTTGTATCAATCAGTTAGAACCACATAATATTGTGGAACAAACCACCCCAGATTCGGTGGCATAGGGTCATAACCATTTTTTCCTGTGCTCATGGATCTGCAGGTTAACCGTAGGCTGGACTCCTCTGGTCTTTGCCTCAGGCTGCAGGTCCAGCTGGGACTGGCTTCTCTCTGTGAGTTGGGCTGGAGCCCAAGCTAAAAGGGAGTGGCTGCCTGAGGGAAGCTTTTTTCCTGGCGATGGTAGAGGGTGAGCCCAGGTGCACAAGCTTAAGTTTCTACCGGCAGCCCATTAGTCAAAGCAAGTCATATGGTGGAGCCCAAAGTCAAGCTACATAGCCACCACGAGACCAAAGCAAATCACATGGCCAAGTCTAAAATCAAAGGGGCAGCAAGTAGACTACTGTGACAGCAGGGAGAAGGGGAAAGTAAATATTTTTTAACAATAATCCAATCTATTAATACTATATCCCTTTTGACTGAAACCAAGCTGCTACCATCAGTATGTTAATGGAAGCAATATAGTGAGAAATACCATGAAATCAAAGGCACTTTCTACAGTAATCTAATGAGAGCATGGATCAGGCCAATATTTTTAGGGGAAAAAAAATGAATGGGGTCTGGGGGTGTCACATACAATATTGTCATTTAGTCTGATTACAGTAAAAGAGACTCAGACACTGATTTTGAACAATTATATTTCAAATTTTGTGATAATTCAGTCAGACCTGGCCTAAATTTGTCATCATGAAATTTTTAGGCAAATAATTAATATAAACAAGATTTATGCATGTGTGTTTATGTCTACGTGTGTGTATTAGTATAGTAGTGAGGAGTGATGGTGAGAATTACTTCCTTGAAAGAATTAAGCAATTTTAAGTACTCCAGGAATAAATTACAAATGAATTTTATGCATCCATACAATGGAAATCCTGTAGGAATCTCTATTAATCAACATTTTAACGTACTTTAAATTAACCGAGTGATTACATGAAATGAAACTGGTGCAAAATTGGTGCTATAATTAAGACTTTCCATTACTTCAGTTTGACTTCACAGTTCCAAATTAGTGACAGATTTTCTGTGTTGAATTGTACATAGGATTTGTGAAGTTAGGGAAGAGATAGATGCTTCCTGGAAATAAAGATTTATGAGGTTGGACATAGATGAGACATTTATAATTTTACTATAACTAGAAATTTCTGAGCATTCAAAAAAAAACCAAATAATCTTACTTTTGACTTCATTATGTGCAGTCTTTACCATGGTTTCCAAACTCAGGTCCATGGGACCAGAGCTGAGCAACATAAGCTATTTCAGATGTTTCTTTTGTTTCTTTTGTACCCCCCCACACTTTTTTTCTTTTTTAGAAACAGAGTCTCGGTCTCGCTCTGTCACCCAGGCTGGAATGCAGTGGCATGATCATGGCTCACTGCAGCCTTGAAGTCCTGGGCTCAAGGGATCCTCCCACTCCAGGCTCTACAGTTGCTTGTACTACAGGTGGACACCACCACACCTGGATAATTTCTTTATTTTTTTGTAGAGACGGCTGGGTGTGTGTGTTGGGGGGAGGTCTTGCTATGTTGCCCAGGCTGGTCTCGAACTCCTGGCCTCAAGCAATCCTCCTGCTTTGGCCTCACAAGTGTTGAGATTATAGGTGTGAGTCACCACACCGGCCTATTTCAGATTTTTTTTTTTTTAATATGGATTCCTGGGAGAGATTCTCAATCTATAGGTTTAGAGTGGAGCTATATAGGTGATGTACAGACAAGTTTTGGAACCACTGAATTCAATATCTGCACAAAGTGCATAATTAGGATAAGATAATGAAAAGAGGTACTTCAGAAGTATAACTATTTTATGTGAGGTAACAGTGCACCCACCTGTTTCTTTTTAATGATGTCAACATTTATTTCTTGTTTACAGGGTATAGCAAATGTGTTCTTATTGGCCATGACTGGGGGGGCATGATTGCTTGGCTAATTGCCATCTGTTATCCTGAAATGGTGATGAAGCTTATTGTTATTAACTTCCCTCATCCAAATGTATTTACAGGTGAGTTCAAGTTTTTATCAAAACAGTTCTGCTAATGTGACAATTCACTCTTGCCACTGACCTTTTGGATTAGAAACAGCAAAATTTGGTTACTATCATATTTTAAAATTAAATGACTAAACCATGATAGCACATGACAGTGTCAGATACCTTGGTTTTCAATCTTCCTGGGGAATCTAAGAAAATTTAGCTTTATACTTGCTTACATAATTTTATTCCTTCAAAAAAAGATTTTACTGTTAACTTGGGGAGGGATAAAGGGAAACATACAATGACATTGCTTTGACAGTAATGAATCCTGACAGCCTAGAAATAAATTCTCCTTTTGCTTGACTGCTTTGGCTGTCAGGAATAGCAGTATTCTTTAAAGCAGTTCTCACATTTTTTGGTCTTGGGCTTCTATATGCTCTTAAAATTATTAAAGACCCCATTGAGCTTTTACTTATATGGTTTATAAATATTCACTGTATTGGAAATTAAAATAGAAATTTAAAAATATTTATATGTTAATTCATCAAAAGAAATAAACCATTACATGTTAACATAAATAACATATTTTAAATGAAAGCTAACTACATCTTCCAAAACAAAATTTTAGTGAAAAGAGTGTCATCGTTTTACATTTTTGCAAATCTCTTCAATCTGTTGCAATATGTTGTTTGCATTGAAGTATGTGAGGAAATTTGGCCTCACACAGATCTGTAATTGGAAAAGGGAGGAGTATTTTAATAGCCTTTTCAGATAACTGTGGATTTTCTTTCTTAATACTATACCAAACTTAAAAATTAATGGTTTTGTTTTGTTTCTGTTTTTGTTTTTTTGAGATGGAGTCTCGCTCTGTCGCCCAGGCTGGAGTGCAGTGGCGCCATCTCGGCTCACTGCAACCTCCACCTCCTGGGTTCAAGCGATTCTCCTGCCTCAGCCTCCCGAGTAGCTGGGACTACAGACACCCGCCACCATGCTTGGCTAATTTTTGTATTTTTAGTAGAGACAGGGTTTCGCCGTGCTGGTCAGGCTGGTCTCAAATGCCTGACCTTGTGATCCGCCCGCCTCAGCCTCCTAAAGTGCTGGGATTACAGGCGTGAGCCACCGCGCCCTGCCAATGGTTTCTTAAAGGTAACAATGTGGAATGTGATGGCAAATAAATGATTTTTTAATACTATACTCTATTAAAACCCACAGGTCTCCCTAGCACTTTTATTGTATCTTTTATCCATGCCTGGTTTTGTATCATCATGCATTGTAAGATGTTTGTTCACTGATTTATGCAGATCTTCCATAAGTTGACACATTTCATCATACAGGATCAAAAAATCACATTCTTTGACATCACCCTAATCTCATCAGAAAAGCCTTTAAAGTATTGCAAAGCTGTGAAGCTCACAGTAGCAGATATAAGTTTTCCAAAGTTCTAAGGTTCATTTGAAAGTCTGATTTTTATCAATGGCACAACTACTGATGATTGTTTTCCTTGACATGATAGGCTCACTTTGTTAACTTTCAAGAGATTATCCGACAAATACCCATGTCTGACTGATGATTGGTTGTTAGTCATTCTTTCAAGTAAAATAATGTTACATTTAAAAATGCAGCAAAAAATTAGCTGGGTGTGGTGGTGTGCACCTGTAGTCCCAGCTACCTGGGGGGCTGAAGCAGGAAGATCACTTAAGCTCAGGAGGTTGAGGCTGCAGTGAGCTGAGATTGTGCCAGCTGAGGGTGGCAAAGTGAGACCCTGTCTCAAAAAAAAAAAAAAGCAGCTAATTCAACCCATCAACTCAAAAAAATTGTAGAAGTGCTTTTCCTTGGGACAATCATTGTATTTGTGTTGTCTTGAGACAGCAGAACTGCTTTATGTGTACTTTCTATTTAATTACATAGAATATTAAAAAGATGTACTCAAAGGTCAAGTTTAATTAATGTTTTTTGCTGTTTCATCAAGGACACTGTTAAGTGAATCCAGCACTTAATTAAATGTAATTAATTAGTTAGTTTGCCACCAGTGTGTGGTGGTGAAGAATAGGATGACTACTAGTATTGTTCAGTGCCACTGCCTTGATTTGTGCTAAATCAGCAGTGGCTTTAACCATCATTGCTTTTGTAGTACTTGTGCAAATATCAATATGGTGAGAAAAAAGCAAATAAATATCTTAATATTGCTATGAAATAGTTTTGACCACCTGGATACCTTAAAAAGTCTTGGGAATCCCCAGGGATTCACATGGACGATACTTTGAGAACCTCCACTTTAAAGGCAACTCTTAAAAACTTAATAGTGATTAAAGACCTGTGAACCATGGCCGGGCACATTTTTATTTGGTTTTGGCAAAAATTAATAATTTTGTATTCTTTACTCTTGTTAAGTTTTCTGAGGTTCAAGTACTACTACTACCCACAGCAGGACTCTAGGAAATAAAAAATTCAGAACCACATATTTCTATTTCTTCCTAAAAATTAAACAGGTAAGGAAGAAAGGGACCATGACTATGTAAATATATAAGTCAATGTAAGTGTTGAGTTGAATTTTAGATACATATCCAACTGACCTATCACTTGGTATAGTGAGGTATAGTGGGATGGATGCTTAGGATTCAAATGTCCTGAGAGTCACTGTATTTTTCTAGTTTGAATTCAACAGCAGAAGTCATGCTACATGCTCGTTCAATTGATCAGGACCCAAGAGTAAATCTTATTTTGGTGGTGGTGCTATATGGACAAACTGTAGCTGGTGATTTCAGCAAGAAAATACTTGGAATATTTCTGGAATTATTTTATCAATAATTGTTTCTGCCCTGTCAGGTCAATATGAGGCTTTCAAATAACTTGCCTATATTTTTCCCCTAATTGTATTGTTATCTCTTAATGCAGGGGTGAATAAATCTTGTTAAATTATGACTTTGCAAAAACTATAGTATAACAATGGTATACTTATCTGAAAATTATACTTCTAAAAACTCCATGTTGAATATAGTTATGAAATGGGAAATAAGAAAAAATGACTTTTAGAGTAAGGAAAATAAGATTGCATAGTACTCAAGCATAGACTTTTTTTCCCATTTTTTTAGAGACAGGATCTCATTTAGGATCTCATTTTGTCCCCCATACTGGAGTGCAGTGGCATAATCATAGTGCACTGAAGCCTTGACCTCAAGGCTGGGCTCAAGTGATCCTCCCACCTCAGCCTCCCAAGTAGCTGGGACTACAGGCTTACACCACTGTTTTTTTTGTAGAGACAGTATCTTGCTATGTTGCCCAGGCTGGTCTCAAACCCTTGGCTTCAAGCAGTTTTCCTCCCTCAGCCTCTCACAGCACTGGGATTACAGGCATGAGCCACCATGCCTGGCTTTACACACTTTTTTATTATATATGAATATATATGTATATATATTTATATATAAACTCACCAGTTTAAAACTTTAGTGTCTTCCCAAAGCACTTAAAATAAAATCTTATTATTCTGGTCCTACATGATCAGGCTTCTGCTTTTCTTTCTGACTCATCATATACCATCTTCCTCTCATTCATTATACACCAGCAACAAAGGCCTTTCTGCATCTGGAATGTACCAAGCCCAGGATCTACTTGCTGTTCCTGGATGTTCTCCGTAGATCTTTGCACAGCTGACTCCCTGTAACCATTCAGGATTCAGCAAACATCACATCCCAGAGAGGCCTTCTTGACTACTTCTACTATGTAGCAGTCCCTCCACTCCACCCTACCATCACTGTCAATCAGATTGCCTTCTTTTATTTTCTTTATGGTATTATTGCTCTCTAAAGTGATCTTGTAAGCATTTGGACTTATTTATTGTGTAAGTTCATTGTTTGTGGGAACCTTTTCTGTCTTGTTCACTGCTAAATCCCTTGGCACACAGTAGATAGTCAAATATTCATTGAATGAATGAGTTTTCTAGATACATCAATGAATTTATAGGAAAAACTTCAGTTCCTTTTGAGGCCAGATGAACAAGGCATTCAATTTGAATCAACTTGTAAGGAAAATCTTTTAAACAACCGAAAATTACATCACCATGTATTCCTAGGAAAAGTGGTAGGTCACTGATAATGACCTTGGAGGAAAAGCAGCGTTGTTTGGGCTTCCTGTTCCCTTTTGAGTCAAGATTTCATAAAGTGAAACCTTTTTATTTAAAGTGGTATAAGACCAGGCGTGGTGGCTCATGCCTGTAATCCCAGCACTTTGGGAGGCCGAGGTGGGCAGATCACCTGAGTCAGGAGTTCGAAACCAGCCTGGCCAACATGGCGAAACTCTGCCTCTACTAAAAATACAAAAAATTAGCCGGGCTCGGTGGTGGGCACCTGTAATCCTAGCTACTCAGGAAGCTGAGGCAGGAGAATCGCTTGAACCCAGGAGGCAGAGGTTATAGTGAGCTGAGATCGCGCCATTGCACTCCAGCCTGGGCAACAGAGCAAGACTCTGTCTCAAAAAAATAAAAAATAAAAAAAATAATAAAGTGGTATAAATTTTGGAAATACCGGAATTACTCAAGATATAAGAGCATAGAAATTGTTCCAAAGAAGCCTTACTTATGGATTCTTTTATGGGATCATCTTAAAGTAAAATTGTCCTAAAAAGAAGTTCTTCTAACAGTAAGTAATTTATACCCCTTGGATAAGGTCTAACATGGCATTTTAATTTCAGAATATATTTTACGACACCCTGCTCAGCTGTTGAAATCCAGTTATTATTACTTCTTCCAAATACCATGGTTCCCAGAATTTATGTTCTCAATAAATGATTTCAAGGTAAGCCAAACAAATCAAACAAATAATGTATTATTATTATTATTAATGAAAAATATTTTAAAGTCCACGTTTAAGAAGAATAATGAAAAATGAAAGGAAATTATTATAACTTAAATGGTTTTAAGAACTTAACTATAGTCTTGCTTATTTTCATAGTCTCTGTTTATGTATTTAAATACCTGGCTGTTCTTCAAATTTTTGTAAGACTGTGCCCCTATGGGCATACCCCTTCTTAGAGAACGTCTCATAGGGAGATGAGGGAATACAAATATCAGGTTTAATAGCAGCAGAAGTAGAAGACTTCGGGGTTAAAAAAAAAAAGCCCTAAACAAAGTAAACATTCAGATATTAGTGTCACACATACACTGACACCAGTAGTCATATGCAAGTATCTTGGAAATTTATTAAATTCTTCTTTTTATTTTTTTGTTTTGCTTTGTTTTTGAGACAGGAATTTGCTTTGTCACCCAGGCTGGAGTGCAGCTCACTGCAGCCTCAACCTCCCAGGCTCAAGCAATCCTCTCACCTCAGCCTCCCAAGTAGCTGGGACTACAGGCATGTGCCACCATGCCCCGCTAGTTTTTGTATTTTTTGTAGAGACTGGGTTTTACCATGTTGCCCAGGCTGGTCTGAAACTCCTGGCCTCAAGCAATCCTCCCACCTCGGCTTCCCAAAGTGCTGGGATTACAGGCATAAGCCACCACTCCCGACATAAATGCTTCTTACATGTCCATCATGGTGTTAGATATTGGTGAGGATTTTTAAAAGGTATAATATAATTTTACCTGTAAATAATTATGTGTATAACTGTGATGGGATAAGAACTTAAAAAAAAAAAAACCCAATGCCACTATCAAACCTAACAGAATAAATGACAACTCCTTAATATCATTTAATACCCATTCAAATTTCATTAACTGTCATAACTGTCTTGATATACTTCATTTGTTTGAATCAGGAACCAAAGTCTATACCTTGTATTTAGTTGTTATGGCTTTTAAAATGTATACTAGTGCCTTCTTTCTTTTTTTTCTAATTTTTTTTTAATATCACTTATTTATTGAAGAAATTTGCCCTGAGGAAAGATCCATATTTTGGATTTGGCTGATTGCTTCATCATGGTGGTATTTAACTTGTTCCTCTAACCCTTGTTTTTCCTACTTCATAGGTATTGGTGATCTAGAGGCTTGATTAAATTTTAATTTGAAAAGGATACTTAATAGGTGGTGCTGTGTATTTCCTAACGCATCCCATCAGGGAAATGCATGATACCTACTTGGTCCAGTTTTACTAATGCTAACAGTGATCAGTGGGCTCATGAGTTGTCAGCCTATCCAAAATTTCCTAACATCCTTCCACCAAATTAATTTTAGTATACATTAGTGATCATAGCCTAGGCCCATTATTTCATTAGGGTATGAAAAATGGTTATTTTCTAATTTTATAATTCTTTCTGCTTTTAATTGAAATTCTGCTGTAAAGAATTTTTCCACATCTACTATTTATTCTGAAATATAGTTCACACAAGAATGGCAGGATATATGCTCATTCTTTTTCTTTTTACAAACAACTTTTAGAGTAATGAATATATATTTGATATATATCAGTCAGTTAGAGACATTATTCTTTTGGATGCCCAAATTATCCCACAATAGGCATCAAATGAGGCATCCTTTCAGGTTGGCTTTTGTGGCTTTTTGACATAATCCCTTTAGTCAGTGATAGCTTGCCTCCTCAATGCCCTGGGCTTATCTTTTATTTCCTGCCCAGAAGGGGAATTAGTCATTTATCCAAGGAACTCTTGAGCTGGGCCTTGTAGAATATGAATAGGCACCAAGAAGACAGGATGCTTTTTATAAAAATGCAGTGTGCAGGGGGGATTAGAAGGGAAGAATATAGAAAAAATAAAGCCAGGAAAGCAGAAATGCATAGAATATATATGTATAAACAATGAGATCTCAAACTTGGCTAGAGCAGAAATTAGGAGTTGTCACCACACAATGACCACCATCCCCTTTCCAAAGCCAAAGACTTAGCTTATTATTAGATAACAAAAAAGTTTTAATTATTGTTTTCTCACTTAAATTAGGTTTTGAAACATCTGTTTACCAGTCACAGCACTGGCATTGGAAGAAAAGGATGCCAATTAACAACAGAGGATCTTGAAGCTTATATTTATGTCTTTTCTCAGCCTGGAGCATTAAGTGGCCCAATTAACCATTACCGAAATATCTTCAGGTAAGTATAATTTCTTTTTAGTTAAATAAAAATATTTCAGTCTGATCCTACAGGGACAATATTTTATTTTTAAGGTTAAGTTCACCACTTATCCAAAGACTCAAATAAGGTATTTTAATTTTTTTAGTAAGTTGCATAATCTTTTTATGGACAATTTCAAACATATGGAAAAGTAGACAGAGTAATATAACAAATCCTTCATGTAGCTGTCACTTGTTTTATCCATAACTCTATCAACTTATTCTCTCCTTTTAGATTATTTGGAATAGATGTATATTTTTAGTTCTTTTTAAATGATGATTTATTTATTCAAGAAATATTTATTAACCACTATGTTCTGGGCTGTGTTAGTTACTCAGAACATAGTAATAAGCAAAACTAGATAAGGTCTCTGATCTCACAAAACTTGTAGCCTAATAGGGAAAACAGACATTAAGCAAATAACCACAGTAATGAGTGAATAGTTATAAACTAACAGAAAGGCTTTGAAAGAAAGAGATGAGAACTGAGGAAATAATGTTAGACCAAAGAAGTGAAGGATGAGTTAGGTATTGACTAAACAAGATTGGGGACAGGGGGACAGGCATTCCAGAAAAAGGAAACAGCAGGTACCAAAGCCCTGTGGGAAGATGGAGGAGGGTTGTAGCTTCAAGCAACAGAATTAGGGCTTCTTGGCTGGAGCACAGAAAGTAAGGGTAAGAAGAGCATTATGAGGCTGGGTCCAAGAGGTGGGTAAGTAGACCATATGAAGGATGTAAAAGCCATGAATGCGAAGCCAGTGAATGAGAATCTCAAGCAGAAAAGAAAAACAACCTACATGTGTATTTGAATAAGTTCAGTGTGGTCATAGTGCAGAGAATGTATTAGAGAATTTTCAGAGTAAATGTGGGAAAACTGCAGCAGTCCAGGCTAGAGATGATGGTAACTTTAACAACTAGTCTGAAAACAGTGGAGATGGAGAGAGTGGGCAGATTTCAGAGACACTTAAGAGGTAAAATTGACAGGGGTTGGCAATGGGTTGGAGGGGGAATGAGAAGAGAGATATCAAATATGGCTCCTGGATTTCTGGCATGTGCAGCAGTATGGATAAGCATGCCATTTACTGAGAGAGGAAACGCTAGAACAGGGCTAGTTTTTATGGGAAAGTCATGAATTTTATTGATCTTAGGCTAGTTGA